>NC_000017.11:29435980-30685980 GCF_000001405.40 Homo sapiens
TTAGCTGGGCGTGGTGGCTGGTGCCTGTAATCCCAGCTACTTGAAAGGCTGAGGCAAGGGAATCGGTTGAACCCGGGAGGCAGAGGTTGCATTGAGTTCAGATTGAGCCACTGCACTCCAGCCTGGGCAACAAGAGTGAAACTCTGTCTCAAAAATAAATAAGTAAAAAATGTTTTAAAAATTTAAAAATCAAAAAATTAAAGAATACTCACAGACAGTTTTCAAATTTTAGAGGCACCAGGCGGAGAGAAACATAACATGCTCCAAAGTTTTTTTCTTAGGAATATACCTTACTCAATTATTAAAGGCCGTAAATAGTTCAAAATGAGTTTCCTTGACTCTGAAAAACCAAACAAGGATCAGCAATATTCCAGCCAAAAGTCAGAAAGGTTGCTTCAGCTTTCTGAGTTCAGTCCATTTAGTTAACTCTTGTTTTGCTTGATATTTGTAAACATTTCAGCTCTTCATGAGTCCTGTTCATTTTCCTTTATTAAAATGTTAACAATCTCCAAAGTTATCTGAAGTCTGTATTTGAGAGCACCTGTTAAAGTCTTACAGTCTATTATAAACCATCTTCTGAAAAGGATTAAAACAAGACAACAAACATCTGTGAATAGCCAAGTTGTCAGGGTAATTATAGTCAGAAACACAATTGGCAAAGAAGTTTGGTTATCTCCATGGTTTACAATAACTTAACAACCTTAATTATGATTGATAGCAAATACGGAGACATTAGAACTTTAGAAATCCCATGCAATTTTGGAGCATACATAAGCGTTATTTACTAAGATATAACCTAAAGAAGATTAAACACCATTTTGGCAATTCCGTGTACCTAAACGTGTCACATAATCCTGTTTGCCTTTCTTTTCCAGACACTTCAGGGGCCCTCTGAAGTATCTGAAAAGCCATGTGCCAGGGAAGAAAATTTTGAAACTGAAGTTTGATTTTGGGAAGGCTGCTAAATGTTTGAGGTTTAAAACACTTGATATTATAAAATAAAATTTGAGATTACTGCAAGTTACTTATTTTGCCAAAATGATGACTCAAAAAGTTTAAAGAAGAAAAAAACCTTTTTTGTTTGTTTGTTTGTTTGTTTTTGATATGGAATCTGGCACTGTTGCCCGGGCTGGAGTGCAGTGGTGTGATCTTGGCTCACTGCCACCTCCTCCTCCTGGGTTCAAGCGATTCTCCTGCCTCAGCCTCCCAACTAGCTGGGACTACAGGTGCCTGCCACCACGCCCGGCTAATTTTTGTATTTTTAGTAAAGACGGGGTTACACCATGTTGGCCAGGCTGGTCTCAAGCTCCTGGCATTGTGATCCGCCTGCCTTGGCCTCCAAAAGCACTGGGATTACAGGTTTGAGCCACTGTGCCTGGCCTAAGTTTTGCATTTTTAGTAGAGATGGGGTTTCATCATGTTGGCCAGGCTGGTCTTGAACTCCTGACCTCAAGTGATCTGCCTGCCTCAGCCTCTCAAAGTGTTGGGATTACAGGCCTGAGCCACCACGCCGGCCTATGTATTTCTTAAAATTGGTTTTATAGAGTATATTTAACCTATTATTGAAAGTTATTTCTGATTAAACTCATTAATCCATGTCTGATTAATTTTGGCATATAATGTATAAGATATAATAATCTAACTTGGCTTTTTGAAGTAGAAAACCTGGAAGTGGGAAATAAATTTTGCATTCTATTTCAATTCTGATAAAGTGAAGGAGTACTTATGCCTTTTGAACTGCCTTTATATTCTTCTTTTTTTTTTTTTTTTTGAGATGGAGTCTCACTCTGTCACCCGGGCTGTAGTGCAGTGGTATGATCTCGGCTCACTGCAACCTCTGCCTCCCAGGTTCAACGATTCTCTTGCCTCAGCCTCCCGAGTAGCTGGGATTACAGGTGCCCACCACTATGCCCAGCTAATTTTTTGTATTTTTATTAGACATGGAGTTTCATCATGTTGGCCAGGCTGGTCTCGGCCTCCTGACCTTGTGATTCGCCCGCCTTAGCCTCCCAAAGTGCTGGGATTACAGGCGTGAGCCAGCGTGCCCGGCCGTAACTGCCTTTATATTCTATGGGGAAAATGATATGGTGGATCAGCAATGTCTTTCTTCCATAGGTATAAGGGGATGGTATTGAGAAGACTGTTACAAAACATTCATATGTATAAGCCCAAATTTAAACATTGTTCCAATATTGTATTTTTTAAATTTATTTTTATTATTTTTATTTTTCGAATGTTCCAATATTACTATTTGAATATTCTATTGAAAATATCATTTTTATATGAATTCAGAGTAAAATTAGTTTGTGGATTTTTCTTTTTCTGTTGTTTACTATTAGAATTATGTGAGCATCAAAACAAATTTAAGTTTCCTACTTTTCTCTGTTGAAGTTTGCAAATACCTATAAAGCTATCTGGTTCTGGCTGGATGCAGTGGCTCATGCCTGTAATCCCAGCACTTTGGGAGGCTGAGGCGGGCGGACCACGTGAGCTCAGAAGTTCGAGAATAGCGTGGGTAACATGGCAAAACCTGTTGTCAAAAAATACAAAAATCAGTTGGGCGTGGTGACACATGCCTGTAGTCCCAGCTACTTGGGAGGGTGAGGTGGGAAGATCCCTTGGGCCCAGAGCTCAGGAGGTCGAGGCTGCAGTGAGATCGTGGCACTGCATTTCAGCCTGCATAACAGAGTGAGGAGACCTTGTCTCAAAACAGACAAACAAATAAAGCTATCAGATTCTAAAACATGATTAGAAGTAACAGTTTGTTACTCTTTCTAATTACTGTCTAACAAGAGACAACAGTCCCACCTCTTGAGCGAGTTTTAGTAATTAATTATTTAGTCTACTGTTGTTGGACTTTAGTAATTATTTAGTCTACTGTTTAGGACTTTCCAACTTTTTATTTTGAAAAATGTAAAACTTACTGAAAAGTTGCAAGTCTAGTAAAATGAATAGCCATTATACCTTCATGAAAGCTTACCAATTCATTAACTTATTGCCCTATAACATATATTGCTATGTTACGTAGACACTTTTTTTTCCCTGAACCGTTTGAATTAGTTGCAGAATCATGACCCTAAATACTTCAGTATGTATTGCTCAAGCACATTTTCCTGCTAAGCACAATATAATTGTGATAGGAAATTTAGCAGCGATATAGTATTCTTATCAAATATACAGTCTGTTAGATTTCCTCAATTTGTCATGATAATTTCTTTCTTTTTTTTTTTTTTTTTTAAGACTGATTCTCACTCCTCTCTTGCCCAGGCTGGAGTGCAGTGGGGTGATCTGGGCTCACTGCAACCTCCGTCTCCCGGCTTCAAGCAATTCTCCTGCCTCAGCCTCCTGAGTAGCTGGGATTACAGGTGCGCGCCACCATGCCTGGCTAATTTTTTTGTATTTTTAGTAGAGATAGGATTTCACCATGTTGATCAGGCTGGTCTTGAACTCCTGACCTTGTGATCTGCCGGCTTCGGCCTCCCAAAGTGCTGGGATTACAGGCATGAGCCACCGTGCCCAGCCGATAATGCCTTTTAAAGCTGGAATTTTTTTACCCAATCTGGGATTCAGTCAAAGGCCATACATTGCATATTGTTGTCTTGTCTCTAGTCTCCTCCAGAACAGTTACCTGTGTATTTTTTTGTCTTTAATGATGTTTTGAAGAGTCCAGGCTAGTTGTTTTACAGAATTTCTGTTTTGACAGAAAATCATTCTTGTTAGATTTTTTAGTGTGGAGTTATAGATATCTAAATAGTCCATAATTACAGGGCAAGGACTACCAATCTGTAGTCCCAGCTACTTAGGAGGCTGAGGCAGGAGAATCTCTTGAGCCCCAAGAGTTTGAATCCAGCCAGGGCAACGTAGTGAAAAAGACTCTGTCTCCTAAAAAAAAAAAAAAAAAAAAAAAATTTTTTTTTAAGATAGTCTGTAATATAATAGTGGGGAGTTATAGGTATCTAATTTGACAGTCCTACTTCCGAAACTCCTCATCCTCAACCTAAAAGTAATCTTTTAGGAGAATGTCTTCCAGTGTATGCGTGGAATTTTTAAAAATGAACAAAAATCTTTCTACTTTGCAAAGTTGTAACACAGATTTTGAGCTATGATATTAAACTTAAAAAATTCCTGCTTCACCCTGTCTTGCATTTACCTTTCTGACACTTGAGAATAGTCACAACTCTGTTTTTTTAACTTGCATTTTTAAAAATCACACGAGCAATGTTAATTTTAAGCAAAATAAACTAGAAAATTCTGGTAAGGAAAATGACAAAAATAAGTCTTATATAAGTCCTAGCACTCACATAGAAAAACTGTTAACATTTTGGGTCAATACTCTTTCAAACTTGAAGGAATGTAAGTGCTTGTGAGAGAGACATTACAAGAATTTTGTGTCATATTGTAACTCTGTGTTGTAGTCTGCTCCACAACCCCCCAAAAGTGGCTACAGTATTAAATAATGAAAGCATGGAAAAGTAGAGGTACCATATGAGCTTATTAAAAGGAAACAGCTGGAAGGAGAGGCTCTTGTCTTATCAGTCAGTATTTAGATACTTATCATATACTGTAAATAATTCTTAATGGTTATATCAATTACTTTTTTTTTTTTTTCTTTTTGAGACAGAGTCTGCTCTTTTGCCCAGGCTGGAGTGCAGTCACGCGATCTCAGCTTACTGCAGCCTCTGCCTCCTGGGTTCAAGCAATTCTCCTGCCTCAGCCTCCTGAGTAGCTGGGATTACAGGCATGTGCCACCTCACCCTGCTAATTTTTGAATTTTTAGTAGAGATGAGGTTTCACCATGTTGGTCAGGCTGGTCTTGAACTCCTGACCTCAGGTGATCTGGCCACCTTGGCCTCCTACAGTGCTGGGATTACAGGCATGAGCCACCGGCCCAGCCTGTTGAGTGTTTTTATTATGAAAGTGTGTTGCATTTTATCAAATGCGTTTTCCATATTTATTGAGATGATTGTGGGTTTTTTCCCTTCATTTTGATAAAGTGATATATTACATTGATTTCTTTTCATATGTTGAATCACCCTTGCATTCCTAGAATAAGTGCCACTTAATCATAATGTATAATCCTTTTAACATGCTGCTGGATTCAGGTATTTTCGTTGAGGATTTTTGAGTCTATATTCATAAGGGGTATTGGTCTGTAATTTTTTCTTCTTGTGATATCTTTGTCTGGCTTTGGTATCAAGGCACTACTGGCCCATAAAATGAGTTAATTCTTATTTAAATATTTGGTAGAAGTCTGGCTTGGTGGTGCATGCCTGTAGTCCCAGACTTTGGAGACCGAGACTACAGGATCACTTGAGCCCATGAGTTCGAGTCCACTCTGGGCAATATAGCGAGACCCTGCTCTTTAAAAAAATTGTAGAAGTCATGAGTGAAGCCATCTAGTTCCAGGTTGTTTCCTCTGACAGTTTTCTGATTACTGTTTTATCAATGTCTTTACTTGTTGAAATTAGATCTAGGTCAATTTAGTCTGTTGAAATGTTCTGTTTTCTTGAGTTAGTTTTGGTAGTTTGTGTGATTTTAGGAATTTGACCATTTCATCTAGATTACCTAATTTATTGGTTGTTCATATTATTCTCATATCCTTTTTATTTCTGTAAGTTTAGTAGTAACATCTTTGCTTTGGCCAGACACGGTGGCTCACACCTGTAATCCCAGCACTTTGGGAGGCTAAGGCAGGTGGATCACGAGGTGAAGAATCGAGACCATCCTGGCCAACATGGTGAAACGCCGTCTCTACTAAAAATACAAATACTAGCTGGGCGTGGTGTGCGCGCCTGTAGTCCCAGCTACTCAGGAGGCTGAGGCAGGAGAATCGCTTGAACCCAGGAGGCGGAGGTTGCAGTGTGCCAAGGTCGCCGCCTCTGCACTCCAGCCTGGTGACAGAGCAAGACTCCGTCTCAAAAAAAAAAAAATCTCTGCTTTCATTACTGATTTTAGTAATTTGAGTCTTCTATCTTTTTGTTCTTTTCTGTCTGGTTAATAGGTTTGTCTGTTTTGTTTCTTTTCAAGAACCAACTTCTTGAAAGTTGGCTTTGTTGATTTTTCTGTCTTTTTTTTTGTTTGTTTTTTTTTGAGACAGGGTCATCCAGGTTGGAATGCAGTGGTACAATCATGGTTCACTACAGCCTCAACCTCCCTGGCTCAAGCAATCCTCCCACCTCAACCTCCTCCCAAGTAGCTGGGACAACAGGCATATGACACCACACGCAGCTAATTTTCACATTTTTTGTAGAGATGGGGTCTCCCTAGTTTGCTTAGGCTGGTCTTGAACTCCTAGGCTCAAGTTGTTTTCCCACCTAGGCCTCCCAAAGTGCTGGGATTACAGACCTCACCACTTACTGAGCCACTGCACCCAGCCACTTTTTCTCTTTTTATGGTTTATTTTTTTCTGTTTTTTTTTTTTTTAACATTTTCTATTTCACTTATCACAGTTCTGCTAGCATATTTTTGTAAGTTTAGTGGCCATTTGTAACCTTATTCTTTGAATTGCCTATTTATGGAACCTATTTTTTGTTATTGTTTTTTGTAGAATGCTTTATGTATTGTGGCATATGTTAACAGCACCAGGACCTCTGAACAGTGTTGAATAATAAAGGTTTCTTCTTGACTGTAATGTAAATGTATTTCACCATTAAATAGGATAGTATGGTTAAGAAAGTTTCTTCATCTTTCTAGTTTACTAGGAGTAGGTAATTGTGATGTATAAGTTTCCTACAAAAATCTAGTGGTATATCCATACAATAGGATACTGCTTAGCAATAAAAATGCTCACAACAGGCCTGGCATGGTGGCTCATGCCTGTAATCACAGCACTTAGGGAGGCTGAGGCGGGCAGATCACTTGAGCCCAGGAGTTTGAGACCAGCCTGGCCAACATGGTGAAACCCCATCTCTACTAAAAATACAAATGTGTAGGTAAGCCTGATTCGTCCTATAATGTCAAATTTCTTGCTGGTATTTCTCAGTTGTATTATCATTTCATTTATTGTTATAATTACATATGTGTGTGTGTTTGTGTGTGTCTATCGAGGGAGGATATAGTAGATAGTATAATCTCTACCAGTTCAGTGTAAAGAAGCAATTTTCTTTCTCTAAAGGGACTGCACATTTTACTAAATTGGCTGTTTTCTAAGCCTGAACACTTTGACTAACAGATGTAGAGAAAAGGGCTTTATAATATTAAATCAACTGCTTAGGACCAACAATGTCCTTCTTGTGAAAATCTGAAGGTTCTTAAAAGATGGAATACTATGACATTATCATTGTTGATTCAAGGAGCATTCCTCAAGTAATACTGAATGTGCTGTAATTATCAGTACCTTCCCCCATCTTCTTTTTGTTGCTCTTGAATGATGTTATTGTCTATTATTTGACTATGTTTTGCAAATTTGGAACAGTTACTTAATTCTGAAAATCCTACTTTGGTCTGAGATTTTAAAATAAATTATATTGGATTTTATTCTTGTTTTATCAGCTTTCTTGGAGATGTATGGGTTTATGATTGGATAAAGTGACACCACCCACAAAAATTATGTATGCCTTTCACATTTGCAAGTGTAAATAGCCTAAAAAGTGCTAGGCTTCTCTGGTCTACTTTTGTGGAACCAGGAATAAATTAGATCTCATTGGCTGTTGATGTGATTGTTAGTTTCTTTTTATTGTTCACTTTATTAGGAAGGATATGGTAAATTGCTTTAATGATACTTTCCTCTAAGAACAGATTAGATAATTTAAAAAATGTAATCTAATAGACTTTTTAAATGAAAATCGTATATGCTGTTTCATAGTACCTTTAAAAAACTTGTTACAAATATTTATATTTTTAAACCTGATCTAGGCTGGGCATGGTGGCTCACACCGTGAGCCCAGCACTTTGGGAGGCCGAAGCGGGCAGATTACCTGAGGTCAGGAGTTCGAGACCAGCCTGCCTAACATGGTGAAACCCCGTGTCTACTAAAAATACAAAAATTAGCTGGGCATGGTGGCACACACCTGTAATCCCAGCTACATGGGAGGCTGAGGCAGGAGAATTGCTTGAGCTCGGGAGACAGAGGTTGCAATGAGCCGAGATGGCGCCCCTGCACTCCAGCCTGGCTGACAGAGTGAGACTGTCTCAGAAAAAAAAAAAGGCCTGATCTATAGTTTATACACTTATATTAGTCCTACATTTTGTTTAGGTATTTCTGTATGTGTATTTAGCAGACTAGAAGAATTATGGAGTCTAGGATTGCTGTGAAAGCTCCTTGCTGCTGTTTCTTTCCTGTAGTTTTTTCATGACAGCTATTAAAAATGAACAAGACCTTTCTATGTTAGTTTACATTGACAGCTCTGTTGTAACAATATTCTGAATAGGTGCAGGGTAACCAGGATGGTGCTAATTTTTAATAATAAAGTGCTTTCAGGAACTTTAGTATGTATAGAAAAAGAAGCAGTTATGCACTGGATGCTGTTAACTCTAGTCTAACAGTGTAATGATGTATTTCAGGGTTGTCTTTTGGGAGTTCTCGTGTATTTATATATTTTATTTTTGACTTTTTCCTGTCTTCTAACAATCCAAACAATATACATAGGTGTTATTGGATCTTCAGGTAATATGAGTGCTTCACCTTTATTCTTTTTAAAAAGTTATTTTGGCTACTTTGGAGCTTTTGCCTTTTCATATACAGGCTAGAATCAGTTTGTTGATATCTACAGAAAATCCTCTTGGACTTTTGAGATTGTGTTGAATCTATGAATCATTGAATTTTTGGATCAGTTAGAAGAGAATTACCTCATAACAATATTGAGTCATTCACTCCATGAATACAGTACATGTCTCCATTTAATTAGGTTGACTTTGATTTCTTTCACCAGATTTGTATTGTTTTTACTGTATAAATTCTACCCATATATTGTTAGACTTATGTTTACTCAGTTTTTTTCCCATTGCTATTTTGTACATTTTTGGGATTTTCTCTGTACACAATAATATTGTCAATAAGTAGAGACAGTTTTCTTTCTTTCTGTTACATATGCCTTTTAGTTCTTTTTCTTGCCATGTAACACTGACTAGAACTTCTAGTACAGCGTTGATTAGGAGTGATTAGAGTGGATATCATTGCCTTCTTTATAAATTTATTTTTTACTTTTAATTTTTGTGGGTACATAGTAGGTTTATATATTTATGGGGTACATGAGATGTTTTGAAACAAGCATGCAATGCGCAATAAGCACATATGAAGAATGGGGTATCCATCCCCCCAAGTGCTTATCCTTTGAGTTGCAAACAATCCAATTATACTCTTCAAGTTATTTTAAAATGTGCAAATATGGAACACTTTACAAATTTGCGTGTCATCCTTGTGCAGGGGCCATGCTGATCTTCTTATTCCAATTTTAGCATATGTGCTGCCCAAGCAAGCACCCTTTGTGTTATTTCTAATCTTTAGAGGAAAGCTTTCAGTCTTCAAGCATTAAGTATGATGTTAGCAGCAGGTTTTTTGTAGATACCTTTAATAGGTTAAAGATGTTCCTTTCTATTCCTAGTTTGAGTGTTTTATCATGAATGGATGTTATCAATTTGATTTTCTGCCTCTGTTTATATTTCTTCTTTAGTATGTCTAGAATGGAGTATGACAATGATTTTCTAATGCTGAACCAGCCTTGCATTTCTAGATAAATCCTGCTTGATTGTGCTGTGGTGTCATTTTTATATATTGCTGAATTTAATTTGCTAATTTTGTTGATGATATTTTTGCTTTTATGTTGATGACTTTTGCTTTTATATTGGTCAGAAATCTTCAGTTTTTGTCAGTGTTCTGAAGCCATCAATGTCATGATGGCTTCATAAAATGAATTGGGAAATGTTCTCTCTTCTAAGCTTGAAGAATTTATGTAGAATTGGTATTTTTTTTTCTTTAATGTTTAATGAAATTTGATAATGAAACTGTCTAGACCTGGAGTTTTCTTTCATATACATATGACTAATCAGGTTACTTTCTTGAGTGACTTTTTGGTAGTTTATATCTGTCAAAATAATTTGTCCATTTCATCTGTGTTGTCAGATTTATGAGCTTACAGCTGTTCATTGTATTTCCTCATCTTTTTAATGTGTGTAGGGTCTGTAGTGATATACTCTCTTTTGTTTGCATTATTGGTAATTTATGTCTGCTTGTTTTCCTTTGTTAGTTTGGCTACAGGCCTTTCTGTCTTACTGACTTCCTCTGCTTCCTCCCAAATAACCAATTTTTGACTTGATTTTTTTCTCTATTGGCCTTTTGTTTTCTATTTCACTAATTTCTATTCTATTTAGTATTTCCTTCCTTATATTTACTTTTGGCTTAACTTGCTTTTTTCTTTCTTTCACGCCATTCTCCTCCCTCAGCCTACCGAGTACCTGGGACTACAGGTGTGCACTACCACGCCCAGCTAGTTTTTTGTGTTTTTAGTAGAGACAGGGTTTCACCGTGTTAGCCAGGATGGTCTCGATCTCCTGACCTCGTGATCCGCCTGCCTTGGCCTCCCAAAGTGCTGAGATTACAGGCCTGAGCCACCGCACCCAGGCTGTATTTTAGTTTTTATTCAGTTCATAGTCTTTTTCTAATTTTCCTCAAAACTCCATTATTGACTCATGAGTTACTTAGAAGTATGTCATTCACTTTCCAAATGCAGTCATGCACCATGTAACGATGTTTTCAGTCAACAGTGGACCACGTACAACCATGCTCCCATAAGATTATAGTAATTGTATTTTTACTGTACTTTTTTTTTTTTTTTTTTGAGATGGAGTTGTGCCCTTGTTTCCCAGGCTGGAGTACAATGGCACAATCTCAGCTCACTGCAGCCTCCGCCTCCCAGGTTCAAGCGATTCTCCTGCTTCAGCCTCCTGAGTAGCTGGGATTACAGGCGTGCACCACTATGTCCATCTAATTTTTAGTATTTTTAGTAGAGGTAAAGTTTCACCATGTTGGCCAGGCTAGTCTCAAACTCCTGACTAGGGATGATCCACCTGCCTTAGCCTCCCAAAGTGCTGGTATTACAGGAGTCAGCCACTGTGGCTGGCTTTTTTTTTTTTTTTTAAGGGAAGAGGTCTCACTTTGTTTCCCAGGCTGGAGTGCAGTGACTATTCGCAGGCATGATCAGAGTGCACTACAACCTCACACTCCTGGGCACAAAGTGATTCTCCTGCCTGAGCCTCCTGGGTAGCTGGGACTATAGGCACCCACCACCATGTCTGGCTTCCCCCGTTTTTAGTAACTATATTAGGGGTATTGGGATGTTGTCCATTTCTTCTCTGTTTTTCAAAACTCCACATTGTTAAGGATATTAACTCTTATGTAAGTTTCAAACTTTTTAAAAGTTTATCTTATTATTTGAGACAGGGTCTCGCTGTGTCACCCAGACTGGAGGGCAATGGCACAGTCTGCTCACTGCAGCCTTCACCTCCCGGATTCAAGCAATTCTCCCACCTCAGCCTCCCGAGTAGCTGGGACTACAGGCATGCACTACTATACCTGGCTAATTTTTGTATTTTTAGCAGAGACAGGGTTTCGCCATGTTGGTCAGGCTGGCAGGCTGGTCTCAAGCTCCTGACCTCAAGTGATCTGCCAACCGTGGCCTCCGAAAGTGTTGGGATTACAGGTGCAAGCTACCTCACCCGGCCTTTTTATTTTATTTTATTTTATTTTTTTTTTTTTTTGAGACAGAGTGTCGCTATGTTGCCCAGGCTGCAGTGCAATGACACGATCTTGGCTCAGGGCATCCTCTGCCTCCTGGGTTCAAGCGATTCTCCTGCCTCAGCTTCCCGAGTAGCTGGGATTACAGGTGCTTACCACCACGCCTGGCTAATTTTTGTATTTTTAGTAGAGACAGGGTTTCCCATGTTGGCCAGGCTGGTTTTGAACTTCTGACCTCAGGTGACCCACCCGCCTCAGCCTCCCAAAGTGCTGGGATTACAGGCGTGAGCCACTGCACCTGGTCTTTTTTTTTTTTTTTTTTTTTTTAATTCTTACAGATGTACTTCCTGCTTTCATACCGAGTTTATCTTTTTTTTTATTATTTTTGGTATCTTTTACTGTGTTCCTCTCAAGCTTTCTTTTTTATATTGTCAAATATGTTTTTTTCTTACTGCTTTGCATGTAGATCATAGATAAGTTTCTTCACACTGGTTACAAAGAAATTTACTCATATTTCCTCCCAGTACTCGTATAGTTTCTTTTTTTTATATTTGTGTATCTGATCCCTATGTAATTCTGATGTTCGGTTTGAGGAAAAGGTATAATTTTTCTCTCACATGGCTATTAGGCGCTCTCAAAAACACATTTTTATCAAATCAATCTTTTTCCCATTGATTTGAGATGCCTTTTTTAGCCATTTAGCAGTAATGTTTATGGTAAGATATGTGATAGGCATATAACTTTTTTTCCAAATGGATTGTCAAGTTTTCTCAACCTTTATTTCTTCTCCTTTAACTGTGTGTGTTAAATTCCAAGATAGACATACATGGGTTTGTTTCTGGGTCTTTTAGGTTATTAATTTCCTTGTCTTTTTGTTTTAGTATTTTACTCTTGTGATGGTGATAGTATTGTGTTGTCCTTTGGTCTTTGGTAGAACAAGTATTTCAATTCCCTAATTATCTCTTGTCTCTCTGAATTTCTGGAAGTTGCTATTCTGCATTTTCTCTGTTCTTAACAACTTTAAAGTTTTTGTATATCATAGTCTTATGCATACTGTTTGTTCTGTAAGTATTTGTGGAAGTGAAATCATTTTTAGGAGTTACATAGAAGATAATTAAGTATATTGTTTTATTCAGCAATATTTATATAATAACTGTAGATGGTAAGGGGTAGAAGCTGGAGAGATGATACAAAAATGAATGAGACACATTGTGCCTGCTTGTTTAGGAAAGAGAGAGTTAAATAATTGCAATATAATACGGTAAATGCGGCAGGATGCTTTGGGGGCATAAAGGGAGAGTAACTGACTTTTCTAATAGAGTTAAGGTTTTGCAAACATTATGACATTTAATCTAAATCTTGAAAGACTTTGAGTGGGAATTTGTTAGGTAGATAAGAAAGAAGATGCCGATCATGGACCCAGCTAGAAAATTTTAATGTAAAATAATTCTTGTAATAAGGGCACTAAAACTTAATCATTCAAAATTCTTAACTACGGTCTTAAGTAACACTGAAGTTTGTTTTTTTAATAGTTTGATTAATTGAAAATTAATACTTTATATGGAATTTAGTTCAGCCTACTCAGTTTAGGGATGAGAAGTTAAGTGACTTTGCTATGGTCACATATTCTTGGAAGAACTGTGATTAAGACTGCTCCAGGGAACTTCTAGAACAGGGAAATTGGTAAAAGTATATGGGGCAGCCTTGGATATATATTAGAAATTGAATACAAATTAAGAATTTATATATTTTTATTGCAGTGTGGTGTTAATTTAGGGGGGTACAAAAGACATATAAATGTATTTTATATAGTTACAAAGAAGTTTTCTAGCAAGAATTAAAATTGCTTGTTACTTGACAAGAATTGGATGGAGCTGTTTTTTTCTCTTAAAAGTCTGATGAAATCAGGCCAGGTGTGGTGGCTTATGCCTGTAATCCCAGCACTTTGGGAGGCTGAGGCAGGCAGATCACTTGAGGTCAGGAGTTCGAGACCAGCCTGGCCAACATGGTGAATCCCCATCTCTACTAAAAATACAAAAATTAGCCGGGGGCGGTGGTGCGTGCCTGTAGTCCCAGCTACTTGGGAGGCTGAGGCAGGAGAATTGCTTGAACCTGGGAGATGGGTGTTGCAGTGAGCTGAGATTGTGCCATTGCACTCCAGCCTGGGTGACAGAGTGAGACTCTGTCTCAAAAAAGGAAAAAATAAAGCCTGATGAAATCAATTTTGGAGTTTTTAAAAATTGTTGAATTTGAACAAGTTAAAAGAAAATAGCTAACACTTACTGTAGTGCTTATTACTCCAGAGTATTACTCTATGCTTTCATTTATTAACTCATTTAACCCTCCTGATTACACTGTGAAGTAGATTTTTTCCTCCTTCCTTCCTTTCCCTTTTCTTTTCTTTCCTTTCCTTTTTATTTCCTTTTTCCTTTCCTTTCCTTTCTTTCATCTAACAAACAGGGTCTCTCTCTCTTGCCCAGGCTGGAATGCCATGGGGTGATCATCACTCACTGTAACCTCGAACCTCTGGGCACAAGTGATCCTCCCACCTCAGTCTCCCAAGTAGCTAGGACTATAGGAGCACACCACACCACCCAGCTAATTTTGTAATTTTTTTGTATTGGAAGATCTTGCTGTGTTGTCTGAGCTGGTCTCAAGCTCCTGGCCGCAAGTGATCCTTGCACTTTGACCTCTCAAAATGCTTGGATTACAGATGTGAACTTTCACACCTGGCCTATAGTCATTTTACAGATTAGGAAAATGATACTACCTAATTTCAGAACTAGTGTTGCTGGGATTCCTATCCAGCAGTGTCATTCCAGAGTCCAGGTTCCAAAGCCTCTTAATTATGACATCCAGTTTTGTTTTGTTTTGTTTTGAGACAGGATCTCACCCTGTTGCCCAGGCTGGAGTGCGGTGGTGTGATCATAGCTCACTGCAACCTTGACCTCCTGAACTCCAGTGATCCTTCCGCCTTAGCCGCCAAAGTAGCCAGGACTATAAGTGCATGACACCACTCTTGGCTAATTTTTTAAATTTATTTTTGTAGAGGCAGGGTCTTACCATATTACCCAGGCTGGTCATGAACTCCTGGTCTCAAGCGATCCTCCTGCCTTGACCTCCCAAAGAGCTGGGATTACAGGCATGAGCCACTGAGTCTGGCTATGACAGCCAGTATTAAAACTGGGTAATCTGATATAAAGGAATTGATAGGACAACTGCCAGGAAGTTTTCTGGTTATCTGTATTTCTACTTATTTAATGAAACAGTTGATAAAGGGCATATTTTAATGTGAATCAGGTGAATCAAGTTTATGGAGAAACAGTTGTCTGTGAAATACATTACTTTCTCCCACTATATTTTTCTTTGAATGTCTGTTAGAGTTGATTAGTACACTAGCATACGGTATCTGAAAAGAAAAGAAGTTTCCTGTTGTCAGAAATACTGTGGGCACATCTTGCGTTATTGTGTATTTTTAAAATAGTCTCTTTTATATTATCTTCTCTATTGATGAGATGACTGCATCAGAAGTGGATACATTTTTAAGTATTGACTTAGAAAACCTCCCAAGATACAAAGATTATCTCATTTTTTTAAAGTGCTGTATAGTAGGAATCTGTTTTTGAAGTACCATGGTGTTCATGATGATGAAACAGGTTTAGGAGCTACTGCAGTAGTACCCACACTGCCTTTTCAGTGAAATTCTAGACATGAGATAAATTTGTAGATCAGTATATGACCTTATACTAATTATTCTTAGCAGTTTTTGCCTTTTCTGACTTTTTTTTTCTATTTTTCTACAGTAGTTTATGCCAACGTGACTTCATTCATACAGATGAACCAAGGATCGGGATAGCAGTATAAAATTAGAATCAAGACAGCTGACTGCTCAGCAGGATGCCATCAACTAACAGAGCAGGCAGCCTGAAGGACCCTGAAATTGCAGAGCTCTTCTTCAAAGAAGATCCAGAGAAGCTCTTCACAGATCTCAGAGAAATTGGCCATGGAAGCTTTGGAGCAGTGTATTTTGTAAGTGTTAGTGGCTTGATGTCAGTGACTAAAATTTACTTAATGTCCACTCCTGACAGAGCAAAATATAGTAATGAAAAGAGATATAGGCCATAGTCATTTTATAGTCACTTGCATAGGGGGAAGAGAGAGAGCGCGAGAGCGAGAGCGTGGGTGAGTGTGTGTGTCTGTGTGTAAAATTCAAATATGAAAATAGTTTTATTTATTGAACTTCTTGGATTATTGAAAAAATGAGAAAGAATATTATTTTGTGGGCCAGGCTTGGTGGCTCACGCCTGTAATCCTAGCACTTTGGGAGGCAAGGTTGGGTGGATTGCTTGAGTCCAGCAGTTTGAGACCACCCTGGGCAACATGGTGAAACCCTGCCTCTACAAAAAATACAAAACTTAGCCCGGTGTGGTGGTGCACACCTGTAGTTCCAGGTACTCAGGAGGCTGAGGCCAGAGAATCACCTGAGCCCAAGAGGCAGAGGTTGCAGTGAGCCGAGATTGTACCACTGCATTTCAGCCTGGGCAACAGAGCAGATCCTGTCACAAAAAATAAATAAATAAATAAATAAATAAATAAACAAATGAAAGAAAGAAAAAGAAAAAAATTTGCTTTAACTTATGTGTTACTTTTTTAGAATTCTTAGCACACCTTTTTTATAAGTCTCATGGCTTGCATTGCTATAGAGTTAAATACTGCAGAACACAGACTTCCACTGATTTCTACTTCTGTAAAGTCCCATTCAGAGTCAATCTTAGTCTTGTGGAGGTCTAGGATTATTATTTGACAGATATACCAAAGTCTGTTTCTTTTATATGCATTTGTGTGTGCGTGTGAATTAAAAAAACTTATCAAATTTGCTGTTTTAATTATTTTTTAACATTTGCACAAACATTACCACCATCTACTTCTAAAACATTTTCATCACCTGAAATAGAAACTCTATATCCACTGACAGTAACTCCCATTTCACCCTCCACCCAGCCCCTGGTACCTGTAATCTCCCTTGGTCTCGATGAATTTGCTTAGATATTTCTAGATATTCATAGAAATGGAGTCAAACAATATTTATTCTTTTGTTTCTAGCTTATATTATTTAACTGATTGTTTTTGAGCTTCATCCATATTGCAGTATCTGTGAGAACTTCATTCTTCTTTATAGCTGAATAATATTCCATTGTATATTAAACCATAATTTGTTTATCTATACATCTGTTGATGAACACATGGGTTGTTTCCACTTTTGACTATTGTGAATGATGCTGCCATGAACATTGATGTGTATCTGGTTGAGTCCCTGTTTTCAATTTTGAGTATGTACCTAGGAGTGGATTTGCAGGTTCCTATAGTATTCTGTGTTTGTTTGTGGGACTGCCTAACTGCACCACAGCAGCTGCACCAGTCTTTGTTCTATGTCTATGGATTTGCCTATTCTGGATACTTCATAAAAAAGAAATCGTACAATATTTGACCTTTAGTTTCTGGCTTACTTTTTTTTTTTTTTTTTTTGAGATGGAGTCTCGCTCTATTGCCCAGGCTGGAGTGCAATGGCACGATCTCGGCTCACTGCAAGCTCCGCCTCCCGGGTTCATGCCATTCTCCTGCCTCAGCCTCCCGAGTAGCTGGGACTACAGGCGCCCACCACCACGCCCGGCTAATTTTTTGTATTTTTAGTAGAGACAGCGTTTCACCGTGTTAGCCAAGATGGTCTCGATCTCCTATAGGCACGTGCTACTAACCCCTGGCTAATTTTTGTCTTTTAAGTAGAGACGGGGTTTTGCCATGTTGGCCAGGCTGGTCTCAAACTCCTGACCTCAAGTGATCCTCTTGCCTTAGCCTCCTGAAGTGTTGGGATTACAGGTGTGAGCCACCACACCTGGCCTATTTTGAGTTAGATTTTTTGTTTTGTTTTGTTTTTGTTGTTTTGAGACAGAGCGTCGCTCTGTTGCCCAGGCTGGAGTGCAGTGGTGCGTTCTCAGCTCACTGCAACCTCCGCCTCCCGGGTTCAAGCAATTCTCCTGCCTCAACCTCTCGAGTAGCTGGGATTACAGGTGCATGCCACCATGTCTAGCTATATTTTGAGTTAGTTTTTATATATGGTGTGAGGTAGAGGTCTAACTTCATTCACTTAGGTTTTTTTGTTTTTTTTTTTTTTGAGACAGGGTCTCTCACTCTGTTGCCCAGGCTGGAGTGCAGCAGAGTCATCATGGCTCACTACGTCCTCAGCCTCCGTGGGCTCAGGTGTTCCTCCCACCTCAGCCTCCAGAATAGCTGGGACCACAAGCGTGCACCACCAGGCCCAGCTAATTTTTTTGCTTTTTTTTTTTTTTGGAAATGGGGTTTTGCTATGTTGCCCAGGCTGGTGTTGAACTCCTGGGCACAAGCAGTCCACCCACCTTGGCCTCACAAAAGTGCTGAGATTATAGGTGTGAGCCACCACACCTGGCCCCAACTTCATTCTTTTGTGTGGGTAAATCTAGTTTTCCCAGTACATCTGTTAAAGAGACTGTTATTTCCCCCATTGAATTGTCTTGGCATCCTTGTCAAATCAGTTGATCATATTTCATAGATTAATTTCTGATCTCTTAATTCTATTCCATTTATCTGTATGTCTATCTTTATGTCAGTACCACACCGTTTTGATGACTGTAGCTTTGTGGTAAGTTTGAGATCAAGAGGTTTTATTCCTCCAACTTTGTTATTCTTCTTAAGGTTTGTTTCAGAGCTCCTTGAAATTTCATATGAATTTGAGGATTGGCTTTTTTTTTTCTTATTACCACTTTCCAGTTGACGTGGCTTTTTTATTTCTGCAAAAAAAGACTTAGAATTTTGATAGGGATTGTGTTGACTCTATAGATCACTTTTGGTAGATCTATAGATCACTGTCTTAATAATATTAAGTCTTCTGATCCATGAACACAGAATGTCTTTCTAAACATTTATTTATAGCTTTAATTTCCTTGAGCATTATTTTGCATTTAGTTGCAAATGTTTCACCTCCATGCAACATATTCTTAGGTTTTTTTGTTTTTTTGTTTTTTTTTTGTTTTTGAGACGGAGTCTCACCCTGTCACCCAGGTTAGAGTGCAGTGGTGCGATCTCGGCTCACTGCAGCCTCGGCCTCCTGGGTTCAAATGATTCTCCTGCCTCAGCCTCTCAAGTAGCTGGGACTACAGGAGCATGCCACCATGCCCAGCTAATTTTTTGTATTTTTAGTAGAGACGGGGTTTCACTGTGTTAGCCAGGATGGTATTTTTTGTTTTTTGTTGAGACAGTCTTGCTTTGTCACCCAGGCTGGAGTACAGTGGCACGATCTTTGCTCACTGCAACCTTTGCCTCCCAGGTGATTCTCCTGCCTCAGTCTCCTAAGTTGCTGGGATTACAGGTACACACCACCACACTTGGCTAATTTTTGTATTTTTAGTAGAGACAGGGTTTCACCATGTTGGCCAGGCTGGTCTTGAACTCCTGACCTCAAGTGATCTGCCTGCCTCAGCCTCCCAAAGTGCTGGGATTACAGGTGTGAGCCACTGCATCTGGTCATTCCTACGTATTTTATTCTTTTAGATGCTAGTGTAAGTGGAATTACTTTCTTAATTCCGTGTGAAATTGTTCATTGCTGATGTATAGAAACATAGCTGTTTTTTGTATCTTCATCTTGTACCCTACAACTCTGCTGAGTTTGTATGTTCTAGTATCTTTCTGTTGGATTCTTTGAAATTTCTACGTACAGTATTATATCATTTGCAAATGGAGATGGTTTTACTTCTTTCTTTTCAACTTGAATGGCTTTCGTTTTTCCTGTCTTGATACCCTGGGCTAGAACTTCCAGTACAGTGTTGAACAGCCGTGGTGAAAGTGAGCATGTTGTCTTGTTCCTGATAGTAGTGAGAAAGCCTTTTCAGCCTTTTACTATTGAGTATGGTGTTAGCACTGGGTTTTTAATAAATACCCTTTATCATGTTGAAGAAGTTCCCTTTATTCCTGTTTTTTTGAGTGTTTTTATCATGAAAGTATTGGATTCTGTCAAATGCCTTTTCTGCATCAAGCTGGATCATGTGTTTTTTTTTTCCTTCATTTTATTAATGTGGTATATCAAATTGATTGATTTTGTTAGTTTAAATCACCCTTACATGTCTGTGATAAATCAAACTTCATCACGGTTTGTAATTCTTTTAATATGCTCTAGGTTTCTGTTTGCTAGTATGGTGTTGGGAATTTTTCATTCCACATTTGTAAGAGATGCTGGTCTGTAGTTTTCTTGTGATGTCTTTATCTAGTGTTGGCATCAGGGTAATACTGGCTTCATAGGGTGAGTTAGGAAGTGTTCCCTTCTTTTCTATTTTTTGATAGAGTTTGTGAAGGATTGGTATTAGTCTTCTTTAAATGTTTGGTAGGGCCGGGCGCGGTGGCTCATGCCTGTAATCCCAGCACTTTGGGAGGCCAAGGCAGGCAGATCACCTGAGGTCAGGGGTTCGAGACCAGCCTGGACAACATGTCAAAACCCCGTCTCTACTAAAAATACAAAAATAAGTTGAGTGTGGTGGTGCATGCCTGTAGTCCCAGCTACTCGGGGAACTGAGGCATGAGAATCGCTTGAACCCGTCCATGAGGTGGAGGTTGCAGTGAGCCAAGATCATGCCACTGCACTCCAGCCTGGGGGATAGAGCGAGACTCTGTCTCCGGGAAAAAAAAAATGTTTGGTAGAATTTCCTAGGGAAGCCATTTGGTTCTGAAGTTTTCTTTCTTGGGAGGTTTTTGATTACAGATTCAATCTCTTTACTTATGATAGGTCTGTTGAGATTTTCGATTTTCTTGAGTTAGTTTAGTTTGTAAGTTTCTAGGAATTTGTCTATTACAGGTTGAGCATCCCAAATCTGAAAATCCAATGCTTGTTGGAGCATTTCAGATTTTGGATTTTCAGACTGGGGATACCCAGCCAGTAAGTGTAATGCAAATATTCCAAAATGTGAAAAAATTTGAAATCTGAAACACTTCTGGTCCCAAGCATTTTGCACAAGGTATACTCAACCTATAATGTTCTCATATAGTTCTATTTCTTTTTTTGTTTTGTTTTGTTTTTAAAACGGAGTCTCGCTCTGTCGCCTAGGCTGGAGTGCAGTGGTGTGATCTCAGCTCACTGCAAGTTCTGCCTCCCGGGTTCACTCCATTCTCCTGCGTCAGCCCCCCAAGTAGCTGGGACTACAGGCGCCTGTCACCACGCCTGGCTAATTTTCTGTATTTTTAATAGAGACGGGGTTCCACTGTGTTAGCCAGGATGGTCTCGATCTCCTGGTCTTGTGATCCGCCTTCCTCGGCCTCCCAAAGTGCTGGGATTACAGGCGTGAGCCACAGCATCTGGCCATATAGTTCTATTTCTGTAACGTTCTCCCATTCTTTTCTTCTCTTTTTTTCTTTTTCTTTTTTTTTTTTTTTTTTTTTTGAGACAGAGTCTCACTCTGTCTCTGTCTCCCAGGCTGCAGTGCGGTGGCATGATCCTGGCTCACTGCAACCTCTGCCTCCTGGGTTCAAGCACCCCTCCCACCTCAGCCTTCCAAGTAGATGGGAATATACAGGTGCATGCCACCATACCTGGCTAATTTTTGTATTTTTTGGTTGAGATGGGGTTTCACCATGTTGGCCAGGCTGGTCTTGAACTCCTGACCTCAGGTGATCCGCCCGCCTCGGCCTCCCACAGTGCTGGGATTACAGGCGTGAGCCACCACCCCAGGCCTTTTTTTTTTTTTTTTTTTTTGAGATGGAGTGTGGCTCTGTAACCTAGGCTGGAGTGCAATGGCGTGATCTCGGCTCACTGCAACCTCCACATCCTGGATTCAAGTGATTCTCCCACCTCAGCCTCCTGAGTAGCTAAGATTACAGGTGCGCACCACCATGCCCGGCTAATTTTTGTATTTTTAGTAGAGACGGGGTTTCACCATGTTGGCCAGGCTGGTCTTGAACTCCTAACCTCAAGCGATCCACCCATCTCGGCCTCCCAAAGTGCTGGGATTACAGGCGTGAGCCACTGCACCTTGCCTGAGTTTACTGATTTAAGTGCCATCCAAACAATGCCTTCGCAGAAACATATAAATAGTGTTTGACTAAAGATCTGGGTACCATGGCCTAGCCCAGTTGACAGATAAAATTAACCATAACAAAAGGCCAGGCACGGTGGCTCACGCGTGTAATCTCAGCACTTTGGGAGGCCGAGGCAGGCAGATCAGGAGGTCAGGAGATCGAGACCATCCTGGCTAACACGGTGAAACTCCATCTCTACTAAAAATACAAAAAATTAGCCGGGTGTGGTGGCGGACGCCTGTAGTCCCAGCTACTTGGGAGGCTAAGGCAGGAGAACGGCGTGAACCCGGGAGGTGGAGCTTGCAGTGAGCCGAGATTGCGCCACTGGGCTCCAGCCTGGGCGACAGAGTGAGACTCCATCTTGAAAAAAAAAAAATTAACCATAACACTGTTATATGATTACTCCACAGTTTGTTTCTCCATTCTTTTGTTGGCAGAAAGCTTTACTGTTTACGGTTTCTGGCTATTATGAATAAAGTTGCTGTGAACAATTCATGCACAGTTATTTTTTATGGATGTTTTGATTTCAGTAAATATCAAGGATGGGGTTATTGAGTCATCAGGCAAGCTTATGTTAGTTTTATAATCAATTCCCAGATGTTTTTATCAAGAGGGAGAAATTTTACAGTCCCATCAGCAGTGTATGAGAATTTGGTTTGCTCTTTATCGTCTCCAACATTTGGTATTGACAGTCATTTTAATTTGCATTCTGGTGGGTGTGTAGTAGTATTTCAATATGGTTTTTTTTGTTTTGTTTTGTTTTTGTTTTGAGACGAAGTCTCGCTCTCTTACCCAGGCTGGAGTGCAATGGCACAATCTTGTCACACTGCAACCTCTGCCTCTGGGTTCAAGTGATACTCGTGTCTCAGCCTCCCCAGTAGCTGGAATTACAGACATGCGCCACCACACCTGATTAGTTTTTTGTATTTCTATTTTTTGTTTATTTATTTTATTTGTTTTTTTTGTGAGACAGAGTCTCACTCTTTTGCCCAGGCTGGAATGCAGTATTGCAATCTCGCCCCACTGCAACCTCTGCCTCCTGGGTTCAAGCAATTCTCCTGCCTCAGCCTGCCGAGTAGCTGGGATTATAGGCGTGCGCCACCACGCCCAGGTAATTTTATTTTATTTTTATTTTTTATTTTTTTGTATTTTTAGTAGAGACAGGATTTTACCATGTTGGCCAGGCTGGTCTTGAATTCCTGACCTCAAGAGATCCACCCGCCTTGGCCTCCCAACGTGCTGAGATTATAGGCATGAGCCACTTTGCCCAGCCTAATTTTTGTATTTTTACTAGAGATGGGGTTTCACCATGTTGGCCGGTTACTTAAGGAGAATTTGTAGATTTTTGAGCTTCTGCTTTTCAGCTTCCTTTTCTGAGATTGTGCTTTTGTTAGCTTCTGACTCTGGCTTCTGTCTCCTCAGCCTGGCTTTCTTCTTGGACTCTGTTTTCCTTTCACAAGTTCAGAGATGAAGCTGGGGTAAATTTGGAGTTCATTTTGCATACTGTTGTTTTTTTCAAGGATTGTAGTCTCTAAAGTTATGCCTGCATTTGTTGCTCTCTGGTAATTTTATATAATTGTTTTACATATATTGCCTGCTTTGTCAGCTCACTGCAAACACCGCCTGCTGGGTTCAAGTGATTCTCCTATCTCAGCCTCCCGAGTAGCTGAGATTACAGGCGCCCGCCCCCACGCCCGGCTGTTTGTTTTTTTTTATTTTTAGTAGAAACGGGATTTCACCATGTTGGCCAGGCTGGTCTCGAACTCCTGACCTCAAGTGATCCACCTGCCTCAGCCTCCCAGTTACAGGCATGAGTCACCACACCCGGCCTCATTCTTTTTTTATGGCCGAATAGTACTTCATTGTATAAATGTACCACATTTTCTTTATCTATTTGTCTGTTGGTGGACACTTACATTGTTTCCAGCTCTTGGCTGTTGTGAATAGTGCTGCAATAAACATGAGAGTGCAGATATCTCTTTGATAATACTAATTTCCTTTATGTTGGGCATATACCTAATAGTTGGATTGCTGGATGATATGGTAGCTCTATTTCTAGTGTTTTGGAGAACCTCCATCCAAACTCTTCTTCATAGTGGTTGTGCTAATTTACATTCCCAACAGTGTACAGGGGTTCCCTTTTCTCCACATCCTCACTAGTCATATTATTTGTACTTACCTGGGCTTTTCATATATCCTTCTGTAAAGATGTGGTGTTTTGGAGCAGTGGGTCTTTCATTGTTATATTGGAAAGTTTTGAATTTCAGCAGGTTTTCCTCAGACCTCTTTAGGCCTGCCTATATGATCTACAAAGTGGTGAAAGTAATGTTTCTTGCCCTTTTCCTTTTATTAAAGAGACAAAGACCCATCTTGGCAAAATATCAATGATTTAACTTTTTCAAAATAAAACTATAAAATTGCATTATCCCAATTCTAGAACTTTGTCAGTAGTCTTTTTTTTCTGAGACGGAGTCTCGCTCTGTCACCCAGACTAGAGTGCAGTGGCACGATCTCAGTTCACTGTAACCTTCACCTCCCGGGTTCATGCAATTCTTCTGGCTCAGGCTCCTGAGTAGCTAGGATTACAGGCATTTGCCAGCACACCTGGCTAATTTTTGTATTTTTAGTAGAGACCGGGTTTCACCATGTTGGCCAGGCTGGTCTCGAACTCCTGACCTCATGATCCACCCGCCTCGGCCTCCCAAAGTTCTGGGATTACAGGCATGAGCCACCACACCCGGCCTGTCAGTAGTCTTTTTTGACAAGTATGACTGAAGTTGGTATGCCTAGGATCAAGGGTATAGTGGGAACTAAAGATGTAATGGGAGAAAAGAAAGATAATCAAGGGCTCTTGAAATACCTGCTACATTACCCTAAGAAATATGGGCTTTATTCTGAAGTCTTCAGGGAACCACTGAAGTACAACAGAAATATTTTATTTCCATTTGTGAAGTAAAGTTTACTCTTGTATTAATGTAGAGGAAAGGTTGGCATGTATCAGAGATCGAAGCAGAGAGACTGATTAGGATGCTTTTATAATAATTTAGGAAAGAAATGCAGAGAGCTTAGTTAGTAGCAGTGAGAGTGGAGAGGTAAGTAAACAGTTGAGAATGAAAGTTTTAATCAGTAGAATAAAGAGCATTTATATTCTGATAAGATAAAGGGCGCATGTGGTAGTGTCTCACTCCTAGAGTAGAATTATTAAAGAGAGTGAGAGGAAGTGATTCTCTGTTGTTTGCACCTCCTTATGTAATAATTGCTAAGATTCTTCTACCCAAACTGGATTATTTCAGAGAGCTGTAGTTGAAGGTCTCATAGTCTCAGAAATAAGATTCTAACGAGAAAACAAAAACAAATTGTTCTAAGTCAGATATCTGGAGCTGGTTTAGGAGAGACTCGGAAATTAGGCATAATGTGTGATCCTGGATTAGAAAAAAAAAGCCTGTAAAGAGCATTACTCAAACGTTGGTGAAATTTGAGTGCGTACTATGTATGCATCTGGATAATGATATTATATCAGTGCTGAATTTTCTACATACGGTAATTGTACTTTGGTTATTCATGAGAATGTTCTTGTTCTTAGGAGATACATGAAGAAGTGTTTTAGGACTAAGGATCAGAATATTCTCTAATGGCTCTTTAATTATAAAATAATGATAACAAAAGGTATATTTAGATAGAAAATCTCAAAGGAAATGTGGCAAAATGTTAACCAAGAATTTTTCTATAGACAGGGCCAACAAACCTCAGCCCTGACACCAAATCCAACCTGTGATGTGTTTTTGTTCAGCTCCTAAACTAAGGACAGTTTTAACATTAAATAAAGAAGAATATGCAACATAGATTGTATGCGGCCCACAGAGCCTGAAATTTCTACTACTTGCCTTTTGGAGAAAAACTTTGCTCACTTCTGATCTAAAGGAAGGCATAAGAAGGGTTCACTGTGCTGTGCCAACTTTGTCATATGTTTGACAGATTTGTGTAATGAAATGTAGAGAGCGAAATTTTTTTTTTTTTTAATGCTGATTTAGGGGGCCAGGAAACTCTCCAATTCAGGTTAGGACCATCCCAGAAACAATTGAATGAAAGCACAGAGGAGTCAAGGTTAATTAACTCAAAGCAGGTTTTTTCTGTTATGTTTATTGATGTGTGGGAAACATGAACATGTAGATGAGGAAAGTTTGAATGTAGTCCAGAATTGAATCTTTTTGCTGCAATTCTATTTCTGGGTCACTAATCTTCATATTTTGTGGTATCAGAGAAACCCATGCACACACTGTTCTGTTGTTACATTTCCTCTCATCCCCACTCCATGACAGGATGAAATGTGCAGTGTTTGTTTATAGACTATCTAAAGGAAGGACCCTCTGGTCAAATTTTTTTAGGTGGCTAAAAATAGCTCTTTAACACACTTCTGAATTTTAATTAATTGGCAGGGATCACCTTAAATTAAAAAATACTCAAATTGAGTCAGCCAGCATGGCTGTTTCATCAGGCAAGCTAATCAAGGACTGGTACCGTAGTGAGTATTTGAAACTAAACCAGAGTCAGATGTCCAAAAGGATCACTGTCTCTAGATTACCAGGAAGATAAACATAATCTTTTAGTTTCCAACACCTTAAATAGAACCAATGTGATGTCAGTAGATGGGTCACACAATAAGAAATATAATATAAAAGCCAAAGAGAACACTGGCTTGGGAACCAGGCAGCTTGCTAACAAATATGGTAGACCATGTATGGTCCCAGCAAAATCATTTATTTACTTTCTAACAAAGTGGGGTTTTGTTCATTTCTTGAAACGGGATGTAATATTTACCTCTTGTTTCCTAGTATAAGATTTTACTAATCTGTGCTCCCTTAGCAGGTTTGCAAGTTTTATATTTTCAGTGATTACAGTAAATTGTTTGGTGTTGTTCACATTAGTCTCATAAGACCATTTATATATAATTAATTGATGTAGTGATTTCAGATCATTCTTATGAATTTATTAAAATAGATCCCAAATGTATCTTCACAGACAATTTCCTAGTTTGAAACAAAATTATTTATTGTGTGTATTTTCTTTTTCCTACTCTCTCTGACTATTTCTGTTCCCGTTTTTCTCTCAACAGCATCTAGTTTGTCTTTAGGACTACAACTTATTTTGTTTTTGCTCTTTTTCTCTCTGGAGGTGAGAATAGATGATGTGTAGTATTGTGTTCTTTGTTAGTTACTTATAGTTCATTTGGTTCTGTTCTACACAGTGTTTTATTATGTAAACAAACACTTTTGCAAGCTTTTCTTACTGTTACTTTCTACTAGAACATTCCATCTTTTTTTCAAGTTCATTTGTTAATATTCTATCATGTCAAGTAAAATGTAGAAATTATTTATCCCTTTCCATATTCTTTATGCTATTCTTGTCATATGTATTGTATCTACATATATTATAAACATATAATACAATGCCATAATTTTTGTTTTAGGTAATTTTTTGCTTTGTAAATGCAAAATAATGAAATTGGACTGCTGCCTCATACTATATACAAAAATTAACCCAGGCCAGGCACGGTGGGTCATGCCTGTAATCCCAGCACTTTGGGAGGCCAAGGCGGGCAGATCACCCAAGGTCAGGAGTTTGAGACCAGCCTGGCCAACGTGGCGAAACCCCATCTTTACTGAAAATAAAAAAAATTAGCCGGGCATGGTGGCATGTGCTTGTAATCCCAGCTACTCCGGGGGCTGAGGCAAGAGAATCACTTGAACCCGGGAGGTGGAGGTTGCAGTGAGCCGAGATTGCGCCACCGCACTCCAGCCTGGGTGACAGAGCAAGACTCCATCTCAAAAAAAAAAAAAAATTAACTCAAAATAGATGAGAGACGTAAGTTTAACAGTTAAAACTATAATACTCTTAGAAGAAAATGTAGGGATAAATCTGCATAACATTTGTTTTGGCAAAGCCTTCTTAGATGGGACATTAAAAGTGTGAACAACAACAACAGGATAAATTGGACTTCTTCAAGATTAAAAACTTTCCTGCTTCAAAGCAGTGAAAAGACAACAGGAGAAAATATTTGCAAATGATATATCTGACAAGGGACCTGGGTCTTGAATATATGAAGAACTCTTACAACTCAATAATAAAAAGACACTCAATTTTAAAAATAGGCAAAGGACCTTGAATCAAGATTTCTTCAAAGAAAATATGCAAATGGCCAAGAAACACATGAAAAGATCCTCAACCTCATTAGTCATGAATTTTGACATTATGCTAAATGAAAGAAGTCAATTACAAAAGACCACATATATGATTACATTTGTATGAAATGTCCAGAATGGGCAAATCTCTAGGGACAGAAAGTAAATTACTGCTTAGGTCTGGGAGGTAGGTAAGGAGACAGGAGACTGATAGCTAAAGAGTTTATGGGCCAGGCGCGGTGGCTCACGCCTGTAATCCCAGCACTATGGGAGGCCAAGACAGATGGATCATGAGGTCAGGAGATCGAGACCATCCTGGCTAACACGATGAAACCCCGTCTCTACTAAAAAAAAAAAAATACAAAAAAATTAGCTGGGCGTGGTGGCGGGCACCTGTAGTCCCAGCTACTCAGGAGGCTGAGGCAGGAGAATGGCATGAACCTGGGAGGCAGAGTTTGCAGTGAGCCAAGATCGCAGCGCTGCACTCCAGCCTGGACTACTAAGCGAGACTCCATCTCAAAAAAAAAAAAAAAGAAAAAAAAAATGTTCTGTAATTGACCGTTCTAATGGTTGCACATATCTGCTAATGTACTAAAGGCCATTGAATTGTGTACATTAAAATGGGTAAATTATATGGTATATGAATTATTTCTCAATAAAGCTGTTATATGACCTTTTAGTCCTATTAATCAAAATCAGGGGGCTCACAGGTAGGTGAGTAGAGAACATTTTGGAAAAAGAAATTCATATCTAACAAGACTTATGTGGCTAGATCTACTTCACCCTTTACAGTGAATGGTACAGGTTTCCACTAACCAATCCACTGGCAGTTGAAATTAAAATGTCCTTAGTTCTTCACTGTACTCATGTAGCAGAACACAGATAATAAGCTCTGTCTTTTTTTTTTTTTTTTTTTTGATACAGGGTCTCTGTTGCTCAGGCTGGAGTGCAGTAGCGCAATCTCAACTCACTGCAACCTCTGCCTTCTGGGTTCAAGCGATTCTTGTGCCTCAACCTCCCGAGTAGCTGGGACGACAGACATGTGCCACTATGCCTGGCTAATTTTTATATTTTTGGTAGAGACGGGGTTTCACCAAGTTGGCCAGGCTGGTCTTGAACTCCTGACCTCAAGTGATCCACCCGCCTCGGCCTCCCAAAGTGCTGGGATTATAGGCATAAGCCACCATGCCTGGTCTTATTTAATTTTTTTTTTTTTTTTTTTTTTTTTTTTTGAGATGGACTCTCACTCTGTTGCCCAGGCTGGACTGCAATGGCTCAAGTGCAATGGCATGATCTCGGCTCACTGCAACCTCTGCCTGCCATGTTCAAGCGATTCTCCTGCCTCAGCCTCCTGAGTAGCTGGGATTACAGACGTGCGCCACCACACCTGGCTGTTTTGTATTTTTAGTAGAGACGGGGTTTCACCATGTTGGTCAGGCTGGTCTCGGACTCCTGACCTCGCAATCCGCGCGTCTCTGCCTCCCAGAGTGCTGGGATTACAGGTGTGAGTCACCGCGCCTGGCCCTTACTTAATTTTTTAAAGCAACCTTTATTGAGGTATAATTTTACAGGTGCTGTCCTTTTTTTAAAAAAAAAGTTTTTTGAGGTATAATTTACATACCAGAGGTCTACCAGTTTTAAGTGTACAGTTCAATTATTTTTAGTAGATACAAGTTTTGTAGCCATCACTACAATCCAGTTTTAGAACATTTTGTCTTTGGGAATTCATTAGAGCCTGAATTGAAAACGAGTTCTTGCACAGATGGTTTGAGATGGTTTCTAACCCTTTTATTAAACTCATTTTAAATATTTCACAGCTATTGCCTTGTACTTTCTTAATAGTTATTTTTTTTGTGTGTATAGTGGGAGTTTCGCTCTTGTTTTCTAAGAGTTAACTGTCAAGTTTCTGTGCTTTTTTTTTTTTTTTTTTTTTTTTTTTCAGATTTTCCACAACAGTATTAAATAATCATCATGACAGCATTTTAAGGAGTCTGGTCTTGATCCTGATTAGCAGTTGTTTTCAATAGACAGCATATGTTGAGGAATTACCTTGCTAATTTTGTTTTTCTAAGAGTTTGGCCTTCTCTACAATTGAATACATTTAGCGTTAGGCCTGTCTCACATTTTCAGCATTTATTGAGAGTTTATATATATTTTTCCCCTTGACTTTTAAAAGATGTGGTGAATTATGAAATGTTTTTCTAGTTTCAAAATCTTTTGCATTCCTGTGTGTTTTGTTTTTTGAGACAGAGTTGCTGTCCAGGCTGGAGTGCAGTGGCACGGTCATGGCTCACTGCAGTCTCCGACTCCCAGTTTCAAGCGATTCTCCTGTCTCAGCCTCCCAAGTAGCTGGGATTACAGGCGTGCACCACTACACCTGGCTGATTTTTATATTTTTAGTAGAGATAGATTTTCACCATGTTGGCCAGGCTGATCTCGAACTGCTGACCTGAGGTGATCCACCCGCTTCACCCTCCCAAAGTGCTGCGATTACAGGTGTGAGCCACCACGCCCAGCCTGTAATAGTATATTTTATCCAAAGGAAAAATCTTTTAATGCCCTGTAAAATTTGGTTTGCTAATTTTAGAGTTTTCCCATCTATATTCACAAATGCAATTGGTACCTAACTTTCAATTTTGTACTCTTTATGAGGTTTCAGTTATAGGGTTAAACTGCCTTTGTAAAATTAATGGGATAGCTCTTCTATTTTTCTCTTATATATTCTGGAAAGTTCCTTTGGTAAAACTGTTTTTCACTGAAGACTATGTTAAAGATCATTCATTGGTATTCTTTTCAATCTGCCATCATTGTTTTACTCATGTTATTGTCTTTAGGTCAGTTTTAGTAATTTATTCTTTCTTAAAAAGTTGTCTGTTTCATTGAGATTTCAAACTTTATTAGCATAGACTTTTATACACTTGTATTGCATTGTCTCTTTGTTTATAGTACTACTCAAATTTCTGTATTTTTCTTCTCAGATTACTCAAAGGTTTATTTTCTTATTTTTTTACTTTGCTTTATTTTCTTTTTAAAGCACTAGCTCCAGGATAATTTTATAAGTATTGCTGTATAGTGTTATTTTTAAAATTTTCTTTAAAAGTGGTTTTGATGTCCTTTTTGACATGGTAGTTTACAAATGCTTTTATATTCGCAAAGAAATAGTTGCCTAGATTTCACCTGTTAATTTTTACAGTGCTTCTTTCTTTCTTTCTTCTTTAGGCACGAGATGTGCGTACCAATGAAGTGGTGGCCATCAAGAAAATGTCTTATAGTGGAAAGCAGTCTACTGAGGTAGGTTAAATATGTACATTCTTGTTTTTTTCTTATATTTATCTCAGAATAAATATATACATTCTTTTTTTTTTTGAGACTGAGTCTCCCTCTGTAGCCCAGGCTGGAGTGTAGTGGTGCAATCTTGGCTCACTGCAAGCTCCGCCTCCCAAGTTCACGCCATTCTCCTGCCTCAGCCTCCCGAGTAGCTGGGACTACAGGCACCCGCCACCACGCCCAGCTAATTTTTTGTATTTTTAGTAGAGATGGGTTTCACCGTGTTAGCCAGGATGGTCTTGATCTCCTGACCTCGTGATCTGCCCGCCTTGGCCTCCCAAAGTGCTGGGATTACAGGCGTGAGCCACCGCGCCCGGCCAATATATACATTCTTATTGGTATGTTAGAGGAAGACATAATTTTTAACTGGGGAGGAAGGGTGGGAATTTTTTAAGTGTTAACAGGTGAAGTATACACATCTTAAGTGTATATCTCAATGAATTTATTTTCACAAACCGATGTACCCATTTAACTCTAATAGTACTGAGAGCCATAAACAGAGCATTATTGGTATCTCCAAATCCCCCCTACTCTTGCTTCCTGCTTTTATTTTTATTTATTTATTTATTTATTTATTTTTATTTTTTTTTAGATAGAGTCTCGCTCTGTCACCTAAGCTGGAATGCAGTGGCACAATCTTGGCTCACTGCAACCTTCGCCACCTCTCAGGTTCAAGCAGTTCCCCTGCTTCAGCCTCCAGAGTATCTGGGATTACAGTTGTGCGCCACCACACCTGGCTAATTTTTGTATTTTTAGTAGAGACAGGGTGTCTCCATGTTGGCCAGGCTGGTCTCAAACTCCTGACTTCAGGTGATCCACCTGCCTTGGCCTCCCAAAATGCTGGGATTACAGGTGTGAACCACTGTGCTTGGCCTGCTTTCAATTTTTTTTTTTTTTTTTAGGAGCTGGAGTCTCACTCTGCTGCCCAGGCTGGAGTGCAGTGGTGCGATCTCAGCTCACTGCAACCTCTGCCTCCTGGGTTTTAGCAATTCTCCTGCTTCAGCCTCCTGAGTAGCTGGGACTACAGGTGCATGCCACCATGCCAGGCTAATTTTTTGTATTTTAGTAGAGACAGGGTTTCACCATGTTGGCCAGACTGTTCTCGAACTCCTGACCTCAGGCAATCTGCCTGCCTCGGCCTCCCAAAGTGCTTGGATTGTAGGCGTAAGCCACCGCTCCCAGCCTTAATTTTTTAAACTGTCATTTTAAATATTCTCTGTTTATCTTGGAAAGATTATCAGTTTCTAAAAAATTAAAGTAAAATAAGATGTACTTGACAGTAAATTATACTGGATATGATCTTTTTTTTTTTTGAGACAGAGCATCTCTCTGTCCACCAGGCTGGAGTGCAGTGGCGCGATCTTGGCTCACTGTAACCTCCACCTCCCAGGTTCAAGTAATTCTCCTGCCTCAGCCTCCCAAGTAGCTGGGATTACAGGCGCCTGCCACCACACCTGGCAAATATTTTGTATCTTTAGTAGAGGTGGGATTTCACCACGTTGGCCAGGCTGGTCTTGAACTTCTGACCTCAAGCAATCCACCTGCCTTGGCCTCCCAAAGTACTGAGATTACAGGCGTGAGCCACCGCACCTAGCCTGTGATCTTTAAAATGGTTTAAACATTGTTTAATGCCTGTTTTAAACAAACTTTAATCAACATGAATGTATATCTAGTCTGAGAAACGAGCAATGTATAACAATTTGAAAAATTAGAAAATGAAATTATTAATGCTACATTGAATGTACTTTAGTTCACTAATATTCTAATTAGTTCTCTTCAGATTATATTCTACCTAATTTCATAAATTTATTTATGAAATGTAGTCTGCTTTTAAAAATCTGCAATTCTGCCTGGCACTGTGGTTCACACCTGTAATCCCAGCACTTTGGGAGGCCGAGGTGGGTGGATCATTTTGAGCCCAGGAGTTCGAGACCACCCTGGGGAACATAGTGAGATCCCCCCTCCCCCGCCCCATCTCAGTCAAAAAATAAAATATTTATAAATGAAAAAAGAAAAACTCTAGAATTCTCTTTAATCTTTAAATTTTTTAAAATTATTTTTAATTGTGGTAAAATACAACATAAAATTTGCCATTTTAACTATTTTCAATTCCACATTTCAGTGGAATTAAGTGCATTCACGTTGTGCAACCATTATCACCATGCGTCTCTAGAATTCTTTTTATCTTGCAACATTAAAACTCTGTAGTCATTAAGCAATAATTCCCCAGCCTCTTGCAACCACCAGTCTACTTTCTGTCTCCATAAATTTGACTAGGTACTTAATATAAGTGGAATCATTTGGGATTTGTCTGTTTGTGACTAGCTTATATCACGTAACCTAATATCCCCAAAGTTCATCCATGTTGTAGTTATGTCAGAATTTCCTTCCTTTTTAAGTCTGAAAAATATTCCATTGGGTGTATGTATATCTACATATGTATCTATATCTGTCTGTTTCAGAGTCTGATTAGTCACACCTAGAACAAAAATTTTCATTTACCACATCATCTTTTAATATCTAATGTTGGCGTCCTTCATGAAAATTTTTTTATGTTAAGGAATACATTTTTTTGAGTCTGCCTTCCAGATTATTCAAATTTGAAACTTAAAGACCATAGAACAGATTTTCTGGATTTAGCATTTTATAATGTATCTTCCACATTTTACACAAAACACCGGAACATATTTTGCTGTGTTCTGTTAAGGCCTTGTGAAATAACATAGGAGGTATATGATCTTAAATCTAGTATACAACATTTCTTATTCTATTTATACTGCTTCCCTTGCCATTAAGAATATAGCCCAAATCAGTGATAAAACTTAAAATAATTAAAAAGAGCAAAAACAGATTTCTAGTCCTCCTCTCACACCTCCTAAATCTGTGGAATTTCTGGGTATGGACCAAAGGATCTGTATTTTTAGAGTTCTTGGGTTGCTTCTTAAGAGTAACTATGTTTAGGATGTGGCCTAAGTATTTAAGGTTGTCATGAAGTAGCTTAAGACCAAAGGTTTAACTGTATTTCCTGATAGGTATAGGTATTAGTGAATAAGGCTCTTAGTAAACTATGTAGGAAAAGATTTTTGTACTGCTTGGTTTTTTTCTGTGAACTTTTATATATAATAGCTAATTATTCACTAGCATTTTAGAGTCTGCATTTAGGAACTTAAATCTCAGAGGAATTACTTCATTTGAGTTAAACCCTAACATTTGGTAATAGAAATGAGCCAAAAACACAACAGGTGAACTTTATGGTATATAAATTATATATCAATAAAACTGTATTAAAAAAAAGAAAGGTTGGACTTTTGAAGAAAAATCACTGAATATGGTATATAGTTATCAACATGATTGGTGTATGGTTGTAAAATTTTAATGAGTCATTAATGATAAATTTTATCAAACTCAAATTTGTCTTACCTACCTTGAGTGAAATAATTTTGTAAATTATATAATTGAGTTGTAAACTATAGGCATGACTTGGAGATATTGTGGGTTTTGTTCTCAACCACTACAATAAAGCAAATATCATAATAAAGCAAGTCACATGAATTTTTTGGTGCCCAGTGCATATGAAAATTATGTCTAGGCCTGGCACAGTGGCTTACGCCTGTAATCCCAGCACTTTGGAAGGCCGAGGCAGGCGGATCACTTGAGGTCAGGAGTTTGAGACCAGCCTGGCCAATGTGGTGGAAAACCCTGTCTCTACTAAAAATACAAAAATTAGCCAGGCATGGTTGCAGGTGCCTGTAATTCCAAGGTACTTGGGAGGCTGAGGCAGGATAATCACTTGAACCCAGGAGGAAGAGGTACAAGAATCACTTGAACCCAGGAGGCGAAGGCTGCAGTGAGTCAAGATTGTGCCACTGCACTCCAGCCTGGACAACAACACAAGACTTCATCTAAAAAATATATATATATATATGTCCATGCTATACTGTAGTACCGTAGTCCATTAAGTGTGCAATAACATTTTGTCTAAAAAAGACAGTGTACGTACCTTAATTTTAAAATATTTTCTTTCTTTTTTTTTTTTTTTTTTTTTTGAGATGAAGTCTCACTCTGTCGCCAGGCTGGAGTGCAGTGGCGCAATCTTGGTTCACTGCGACCTTCGCCTCCCGGGTTCAAGTGATTCTCCTGCTTGCCTCCCGAGTAGCTGGGACTACAGGTGCCCGCTACCACGCCTGGCTAATTTTTTGTATTTTTAGTAGAGACGGGGTTTCATCATCTTGGCCAGGATGGTCTCGATCTCTTGACCTCGTGATCCCCCCACCTCGGCCTCCCAAAGTGCTGGAATTACAGGCGTGAGCCACCGCGCCCAGCTTAAAATATTTTATTTCTAAAAAAAAGTTAATGATAATTTGAGCCTTCAGCATGTCATACTATTTTTGCTGGTTGAGAATCTTGCTTCCATGTTGATGGCTTCTGACTGATCAGGGTAGTGGTTGCTGAAGGTTAAGGTGGCTGTGGCAATTTCTTAAAATCTGACAACAGTGAAGTTTGCCCATCAGTTTTCTCTTTCACAAAAGATTTCTCTGTAGAATGCAATGATGTTTGACAGCATTTTACCCATGATAAAACTTTCAAAATTGGAGTCCATCCTCTGTAACTCTGTTACTGCTTTATCAACTAAGTTTATGTAATATTCAGAAATTACTTTCTTTGCCCATCTATTACAAATAGTTTCTCATCCACTCAAGTTTTATCATGAAATTGCAGCAGTGTAGTCACATCTTCAGGCTCCATGTGTAATTCCAGTTTTCCTGCTGTTTCCACCACATCTGCAATTATTTCCTCCACTGAAATATTGAACCCCCCAAAGTCATCCATGAGGGTTGGAATCCACTTATTGCAAACTCCTGATAATGTTGCTAATTTGCCCTCCCATGAGTCGGAAACGTTCTTAATGGCATCTAGAATGAATTATTTCCAGAAGATTCTCAATTTACTTTGCCCATATCCATCAGACAAATTGCTGTCTATGGCAGCTATAGCCGTTGTGTGTTTTTTTTTTTTTTGAGATGGAGTTCATTCTTGTCGCCCAGGCTGGAGTGCAATGGCATGATCTCGGCTCACTGCAACCTCTGCCTCCCGGGTTCAAGCGATTCTCCTGCCTCAGCCTCTCGAGTAACTGAGATTATAGGCCTGCATCCCCATGCCTGGCTGATTTTTGTATTATTAGTAGAGACAGGGTTTTGCCATGTTGGCCAGGCTGGTCTCGAACTCCTGACCTCAGGTGATCCACCTGCCTCGGCCTCCCAAAGTGTTGGGATTACAGGCGTGAACCACCATGCCCAGCTGCTATAGCCTTTCTTTCTTTCTTTTTTTTTTTTTTTTTGAGATGGAGTTTCGCTCTTGTTGCCCAGGCTGGGGTGCAATGGCACTATCTCGGCTCACCGCAACCTCCGCCCCGCTGGGTTCAAGTGATTCTCCTGCCTCAGCCTCCCAAGTAGCTGGGATTACAGTCATGCACCACCACGCCCGGCTCATTTTGTATTTTTTTAGTAGAGACAGGGTTTCTCCATGTCGGTCAGGCTAGTCCTGAACTCCCGACCTCAGGTGATCCGCCCGCCTCGGCCTCCCAAAGTGCTGGGATTACAGGCGTGAGCCACTGTGCCCTGCTGGCCTTTCTTAAATAATAAGGCTTGGAACTCAAAATTATTCCTTGATCCATGGGCTGCAGAATGGATGGTGTATTAGCAGGAATAAAAACAACATAAATCTCCTTTTATATCTCTATCAGAGTTCTTGGGTGGCTAGGTACACGGGCAAAGACCAGTAATATTTTGAAAGGAATCTTTCTGAGCAGTAAATCTCAACCGTGGCCTTAAAATATTCACTAAACCATGCTTAAATGGATGTACTGTCATCCAGGCTTTGTTGTTTCATTGAACAAGCACAGGCAGAGTAGGAGTTTTGGAATGGTAAATGTGCATTGACTTCAACTTAAAATCACAAGCTGCATTAGCCCCTAACAAGAGAGTCAGCCTGTCCTTTGAAGCTTTGAAACCAGGCATTTCATAGTTGCTCTGTAGCCATGAAAGTCCTAGATGGTATCTTCTTCCAATATAAGGCTATTTCATCTACACTGAAGATCTGTTGACTGGGCATGGTGGCTCACACCTGTAATCTCAGCACTTTGGGAGGCCAAGGTAGGTGGATCACTTGAGGCCAGGAGTTCGAGACCAGCTTGGCCAACATGGTGAAACCCCGTCTCTGCTGAAAATAGAAAAATTACCCAGATGTGGTGGCAGGAGGAATGCTTGAACCCAGGAGGCAGAAGTTGTAGTGAGCCAAGATCATGCCACTGCACTCCAGTGTGGATGGCAGAGTGAAACTCTCAAAAAAAAAAAAAAAAAATCTGTTGCGTAATGTAGCCACCTTCATCAATGACACATTGGCTAGATCTTCTGGATAACTTGCATGTAGCCTCTACATCAGTACTTGCTGCTTCACCTTGCACTTTTCTTTCTTTCTTTTTCTTTTTTTTTTGAGACAGAGTCTCTCTCTGTTGCCCAGGCTAGAGTGCAGTGGCACTATCTTGGCTCACTGCAGCCTCCGCCTCCTGGGTTCAAACGATTCTCCTTCCTCTGCGTTTCCTCCCTAGTAGCTAGGACTACAGGCACGCATCACCACACCTGGCTAATTTTTGTGTGTTTAGTGGAGATGGGGTTTCACCTTGTTGGCCAGGCTGGTCTTGAACTCCTGACCTCAAGTGATCTGTCCGCCTTGGTCTCCCAAAATGCTGGGATTGATTATAGGAGTGAGCTACCGTGCCGGCCTACCTTGCATTTTTATTTTACGGAGATAATTTCTTTCCTTAAACCTGATGAAGCAACCTCTACTAGCTTCCAACTTTTCTTCTTCAGCTTTCTCACCTCTCTCAGCCTTTGTAGAGTTAAAGAGAGTTAGGGCCATCCTCTAGATTAGACTTTGTTTTACGGGAATGTTGTCGCTGATTTGATTTTCTATCCAGACCATTAAAGCTTTCTTCACATCAACAATAAACTTGTTTTACCTTCTTATCATTCATATATTCACTGGAGTAGCACTTTAAATTTTCTTCAATAACTTTTTCTTTGCATTTACAACTTGGCTATTTGGTGCAAAAGGCCTAGCTTCAAAGCCTGTCTCAGCTTTTGACATGCCTTTCTCACTAAGCTTAATCACTTGTAAGTTTTGAATTGAAGTGACAGATGTGTGAGTATTCCGTTCACTTGAACACTTAGGGGTCACTGTGGGGTTATTGATGGCCTAATTTCAACATTATTGTGTCTCAGAGAATAGGGAGGCCCAAGGAAAGGGAGACAGACTGGGGAATGGCTGGCTGGTGGAACTGTGAGAATACATGTTTATTGATTAAATTCACCATCTTATATGGGCACAGTTCATGGCTCCCCAAAACAATTACAATAGTAATGTAAACAATTACTGATCACAGATCACCATAACAGATATAATAATAATGATGAAAAAGTTTCAAATATTGTGAGAGTTACCAAAAGGTGACACAAAGACATCAAGTGAGCCCATGCTATTGGAAAAATGGTGCTGGTAGACTTGCTTTGACACAGGATTGCTACAAACCTTCAATTTGTTTTAAAAAAAAAAAAGTAACATCTGTGAAGTACAATAAAGCAAAGTGCTGTAAATTGAGATATGCCTGTATATGAATGTTATTTATTTATTTATTTGTTTTATTTTTGAGACCGAGTTTCGCTCTGTCACCAGGCTGGAGTGCAGTGTGGCTCGATCTCGGCTCACTGCAACCTCCACCTCCCGTGTTCAAGCTATTCTCCTGCCTCAGCCTCCCGAGTACCTGGGACTATAGGTGCACACCACCACGCCCAGCTAATTTTTGTATTTTTAGTAGAGACACGGTTTCACCATGTTGGCCAGGATGGTCTCAATCTCCTGACCTTGTGATCCACCTGCTTCAGCCTCCCAAAGTGCTGGGATTACAGGCGTGAGCCACTGTACCTGGCTGAATATAATTTATTTAAACTTTTTAATTTTGACATTTTATCTAAAAATGACCATATTTTGGGAGGCCAAGACAAGTGAATCACTTGAGGTCAGGAGTTTGAGACCAGTCTGAGCAATGCAGTGAAACCCCATCTGTACAAAAAATAGAAAAATTAGATGAGCATGGTGGTGTGCGCCTGTAGACCCAAATACTTGGGAGGCTGAGGTGGGAGGATCACTTGAGCCCACAAGATGGAGGTTGCAGTTAGCTGAGATTGTGCCACTGCACTCCAGCCTGGGTGAAAGAGCAAGACCCTCCCAATAAATAAGTAAAACCAAGCAAAGTTGCATGTTCTTGTTAACTCTTCTAAATTTAGTAATTACTTTTATTCTTATATAACTTTCTGAGGAAAAGTCCTGTTCATAATTCTTTACCTTTTTTCTCCCCACAGAAATGGCAGGATATTATTAAGGAAGTCAAGTTTCTACAAAGAATAAAACATCCCAACAGTATAGAATACAAAGGCTGTTATTTACGTGAACACACAGCATGGGTTGGTATTTGTTCTCCCCTTGTTGCAGTTTTAGCTGATTTTGGTTTATAATGAATTAATTCAGAATATCTCATACTGGTTGTGTAAATGCATGCAAAAACACCTGAAATGTTAGTTCGTACTGAAAGAAAACAAGCAATATTTCCTAGAACTTGTAGGCAGTAAGAGATAATAGAACTTTTGCAAGTCTCACTGCAGAGATTTTTCAGAATTCTGTTGACCTTTGTATGTATGATAAAATGTCCTATGACAGTTTTAGTAGTACCATTCAAACATTGTGAAAACAATCATGTTACTTGAGGTTGAAAGTTAGCATATGTTTTCTTGACATAAATGTACTGTAATGCATTTAACCAGAAAGATCATGATGAAATTTGGGTGAATCCTGGTGAAATTTGAGCTGATCACGATTCCTTGGTCGAATAACACTAAAGATAGAGAATTGTTGCACTTTATTATAAGAAGTAGAAATTTATTTTGCCCTTTTGTTACCAGGAATGGCCCCTTATTTTGAATAATTAATAAGTCACAGCTAAGTATCATTTTAGTATACGTACTGTAGATTTAGATTTGTAGTGTTTGGTGCATTTTTATCCAGTTTGTTTTGGTAGTGGTAGTGGTGACTTGTAAAATTGAGGCTATGATTAAAGAAAAAGTAACATTAGATGGGTAACCTCTCTGCCTCTCAGGGTTCTCCAACCATAAAACAAGGATACTAATAGGACCTACCTCATAAGATTATTCTGAGGATTAAATTGGTTACTATATAAAAAATACCTGGCACATAGGAGGTGCTCTGTGTTTGCTTTCAAAGAAACAGTTGTAACCTAAGCTTTGTATAGTTTTTCCTCAGTATCTGTGGGGGATTTGGTTCCAGGACACCCACCCCCAGGATACCAAATCCCTTCTATAAAATGGAGTATCTGCACATAACCTGGGCACATCCACCTATTATTTTTTCAATCATCTGTAGATTAGTTATAATACCACAATGTGAATGCCATGTAAATAGTTGTTACGTTATATTGGCTTTTTGTTTTATTTTTATTGTTATATTGTCATTTTTTAAAATTTTATTTATTTATTTATTTTGAGACAGAGTCTCACTCTGTCGCCCAGGCTGGAGTTCAGTGGCGCAATCACGGCTCACTGCAAGCTCCGCCTCCCAGGTTCATGCCATTCTCCTGCCTAAGCTTCCCGAGTAGCTGGGACTGCAGGCACCCACCACCACACCCAGCTAATTTTTTATATTTTTAGTATAAATGGGGTTTCACCGTGTGTGCCAGGATGGTCTCAATCTCCTAACCTGGTGATCTGCCTGCCTCGGCCTCCCAAAGTGCTGGGATTATAGGCATGAGCCACCGTGCCCAGCCAATTTTTTTATTTTTTCAATTATTTTTGATATATAGTTGGTTGAATCTACAAATCTAGAACCCACAGATGTGAAGGGCTGACTATACATATAATTCTAGAGAACACAGTTTTCTGTCTTCTAACGATGATCAATATTGTTACTATAGGTTTGTAGTAATGGAATAGTACATTTTTAAGAAATAGTGTATTTCTTTATAATTTTAATTAGTAATTATATATGAAATACACAGCTTATAGAAGTGATTATATGTTGGCATTATTAAAAGATTAATGTATCATTGGCTTGACTTTATGCATTTAACAAATCACTGAATACATAACTATTTTTTATTAAAAAATTTTAAAAATATATTATTCTGAGTAATATCTATATAACTATTTTTTTAAGGTAAATGGTGACTAGAATTTTACTTCAAACTATGTTCTTGATCTACTGTGTGAACTTATTTTATCTTAAATTTATATTAAATCTTTATAATAATATATTTTAATGCTTTTATAACTTTTCCATGTAGCTTGTAATGGAATATTGTTTAGGATCTGCTTCGGATTTACTAGAAGGTAAGTTCCCTTTGATTATTTTTTAAAAAGTATTCACAGAATAAAATGATAATTTAGACATTATTTAAATGATATTAATACCAAATAATGTAAAACTTTCCAGAAAGAGCAGAACTCTTAGTCTTGTTCAAATTCTCAGCATGGTATATGCTGTCCTTATTAAATATTATATGTTATACAGTAGCTTAAAATAGTCATGTTTTCTCATTGTGACTTTACAAGTATTTTTCTGAATTCTCTGTCATTCTGCTCCTCTTGTTCAAACCAAAGATAAGTGAGAATAAAGAGAGAACTCTGTTACTATTGTTTTTACATCACCAAATAATTATTTAATATCGTTAGCTAAGAGAAGAATTGGCTATGAACTGTACTTTAACAACTGACACAACTGCATACAAGTTATAAAGTTTAATAATCTTTATCATCTTGGAAAATAAATCTCTTCTTGCTAAGTATCAGTTTTTAAAAATTGCCCCATGTATTAGATATGTATTTTTTTAACAAAAATGTTCTGTGTATTAATTATTTTGAAATAAATTTTAAGTTCACAAAAAGCCATTACAAGAAGTGGAAATAGCAGCAATTACACATGGTGCTCTTCAGGGATTAGCCTACTTACATTCTCATACTATGATTCATAGGTAAGTGCTTTGGAAATTATATATTGATAAGTAAATGGCTTGTTGCATATACCAACTTTAGAATTTATTAACTCTAAAGTTTTTATTGGTTAAAGCCAAATAAAATAATATAAGCTCATATTTTTTTAGATTTTTCATGTCCTAAAATGAACATAGTTGTATACTTTATCTCACTAGGATAATTTTTATCTTTGCCTATATGTGCTGCTGGACCTTGTAAAAATATGTATACTTTCTAGATTTGTGGTAGAAATTTAGCTATAGAATCATTTAATTTGCAAACTGGAATGGGCATTAGAGAATCATACAGTTTTTCTTTCTCATTTTACCGGTAAAATCACTGATGTCTCAATTTGTGACTAATTTCCTAAAGGTTGCAAAGCTGAGTAGATAGAGCTAGAACTAAATCTAGATCTTTTGTCTTCTTGGTAACTGATAATGACATATTTATTCCATTGATTCTATGACATGGACGAATAAAAGCTGCTTAAGGCCAGGCGAGGTGGCTCACACCTGTAATCCCAGCACTTTGAGAGGCCTAGGCAGGTGGATCACTTGAGGTCAGGAGTTCGAGACCAGCCTGGCCAACCAATATGGTAAAACCTCGTCTCCACTGAAAATATGAAAATTAGCTGGGCTTTGTTGTAGGCATCTATAATCCCAGCTACTCGTGAGGCTGAGAGAAGAGAATCACTTGAGCCCGGGAGGCGGAGTTTGCAGTGAGCTGAGATTGTGCCACTGTACACACTGTACACTGTACCACTGTACAGCCTGGGTGACAGAGTGAAACTCTGTCTCAAAAAAAAAAAAAAACAGAAGCTGCTTAAGACTCCTTATGCTTTTGAGCTGTGGTCCTTGATAATCCTTGATAATGGATAGTAACTTTGAAGTTAAAACATTTTATAATGTATTTTTGGCACTGGTATTGGTTCTAGCTGTTTTAGAAGAAAGTTAGCATTTTCTTATTACATATATGAACCAGGCAGTACATTTTAAACTATATAATAGAGTCATTGTGAGTTAATAGGTTATCATTTTTTAACATGAGGATAAGATCTGAGAGATACCCACAAGCTAGTAAATAAGTGAGTTTTAAACTATATAATAGAGTCATTGTGAGTTAATAGGTTATCATTTTTTAACATGAGGATAAGATCTGAGAGATACCCACAAGCTAGTAAATAAGTGAGTGCCATAGTTGGAATTTCAACCTAAGGTTTTCTCAAATTTAAGATACCTCTCCATTTAAAAAAAATCAAATGGAGGAAAAATAGATTCACTTCGTGTTATGCTCTAAAATATTATAGTGAGAATTAACAAGGGCTTGGAAATTCAGCACTTTAATTTCTATTTTAATTTTTGAATGATTAAGTATATATTATAATGCTAATTAGATGGACAGTCTTATTATATAAATACATGTTTTCTTAGTTTATATAGACAGTATGTTTGCTATTTCAGAAAAGTAAATTTGGGATCATTGATACTACATTATCCATATATTTCAGTTTTTATTTTATATTTAGGAAAACTATGCTGACGTTTGGAAATGATACGAATACATCTTTATGTATTTATTTATTTTGAATAAGTCTTTTAAAAAGTTTGGAGAATAAGGTTCTTTTATATTTTCTTTTTTGTTTTTAAGTTAAGTATGGATACTCAGAAATCTTACGTATGATGAAGAGATTGTTTGCTAATTGCAATATATTTTAAAAACCATTGTTTCTACCAATAAACAGAAACTAAAATATAAACTATGCTCCAATGAACTAATTTTTTTTTACTGCTATTTGTCTTCTCTTTTAGAAAATTATTACTATATGTTTATTTGAATTCTGTAGTTTTTTGTTTTCTAATTTGAATATTAATTCTCCTTATCCCAATTGTGAGATTACCCCAGCACTTAATTATTTTGATTTCTCTTTCTCTATCCTATGAATTCTTGTTTTATTTTTATCGTTTTAAACATAATCTATTGAGGGAAAGTTAAGTAATTTTCTGTATTCCCTAAACCTAGAGATATCAAAGCAGGAAATATCCTTCTGACAGAACCAGGCCAGGTGAAACTTGCTGACTTTGGCTCTGCTTCCATGGCATCACCTGCCAATTCCTTTGTGGGAACGCCGTATTGGTAAGAATAGTTAAAGCAGTCAGCAGCTGTTTTAAGTGTCTGTCTATGTTTAACATGAAATACAAATGAAGTGTAAGGTAAAGTACTGTCAGGAATGTTAAACTCGGCCAGGTGCAATGGCTCACACCTGTAATCCCAGAACTTTGGGAGGCCGAGGCAGACAGATCACTTGAGGTCAGGAGTTTGAGACCAGCCTGGCCAACATGGTGAGACCCCATCTCTACCAAAAAATACAAAAATTAGCCAGGCATGGTGGTGCATGCCTGTAGTCCCAGCTACTTGAGAGGCTGAGGTAGGAGAATCACTTGAACCCAGGAGGCAGAGGTTGGAGTGAGCCGAGATTGTGCCACTGTACTCCAGCCTGGGCGACAGAGTGAGACCCTGTCTCTCAAAAAAAAAAAAAGATTAAAATTTTAAAAAAAGAATGTAGGACACTAATTGAAGACATGAATTAGTGATTAGTGCTTCATTTACAAATAAGATGCCCATAAGATTGATAATTGTGTGATTGAGTTGCAAGCTGCCCTAGCCACTTTTATCATGGAGCACCATTTTTATTTGAAAGAAAGACACAAACAAACTATGATTATTCAGTCTTGGTTATTGTGGCAGATAATTTTCTTTAATAAATGACATGAGCTTATAACTTCAAGGAAAACAACGGACAATACTTGTTGCCAATAGTAAAATTCAATCTTTTAAGCAAAAATTAGACTTTTTTTTTTTTTTTGAGACATAGTCTTGCTCTCTCGCCCAGGTTGGAGTGCAGTGGTGTGATCTTGGCTCACTGCAACCTCCGCCTCTTAGGTTCAAGCGATTCTCCTGCCTCAGCCTCCTGAGTAGCTGGGATTACAGACAGCAGCCACCACACCCGGCTAATTTTTGTATTTTTAGTAGAGATGGGGTTTCACCATGTTGCTCAGGCTTCTGGAACTTCTGACCTCGTGATCTGTCCACCTCAGCCTCCCAAAGTGCTGGGATTACAGGCGTGAACCACTGTGCCTGGCCAAAAAATAGACTTTTGTAATGGGATCCTGAGACCAAAATATTTGAGAACCACTGGCCTAAAGTATATGAAATATTATAATCTGCAAACTTGAGCAGATGCAAAATATAATTCTGCCTTGGGAGCCTCTTTCTTTTGGGGTGGCTGTTACATGATAATGATGGATAGTGAAAATAAATCTCACACTATGGGCCAGGTGCGGTGGATCACGCCTGTAATCCCAGCACTTTGGGAGGCCAAGGCGGGCGGATCACCAGGTCAGGAGATCGAGACCATCCTGGCTAACACGGTGAAACTCCATCTCTACTAAAAAATACAAAAAATTAGCCAGGCATGGTGGCGGGCGCCTGTAGTCCCAGCTACTCGGGAGGCTGAGGCAGGAGAATGGCGTGAACCCGGGAGGCAGAGCTTGCAGTGAGCCGAGATTGCGCCACTGCACTCCAGCCTGGGTGACAGAGCGAGACTCTGTCTCAAAAAAATAAATAAATACAATAAATAAATAAATACATAAATCTCACACTATATATGCATTGCTAAATATTTACCTCACAACCTGTAATGCACTTAGTTCCCGTTATAAAAATTCTTATGTCCAGATATATTGGCTAGAATTCAAACCAGTGATCTCCATGTAGATGACTGTTACATTCTCAAAGGATAGAATACTTTTTAAAAAAAATCTTTAATTTAAATTAACGTTTTGTTCTAGGATGGCCCCAGAAGTAATTTTAGCCATGGATGAAGGACAATATGATGGCAAAGTAGATGTGTGGTCTCTTGGAATAACATGTATTGAACTAGGTAAGCATTGTTCTTCATTACTATGGATTAAGTTTTGATCAATGTTTTACCTCAATTTCTGTACCAATCTATAAAAATTATAGATTTTTATCTTAAATGTCACTTTATAAGGGGGGCAATACATTTATTAAGGTTTTCACTTTGGTTATTTGGTAAGTTTTATTTATATTAGGGTTACCTATATTATATTTGCTCTGTTCCATTATATCTAAAATAATTTTCCACTGTGGTTTTAATTAAGTTTGAGGAATCTATGTCTAACATTAATGAGTATTTGTTAAACACCTAGAATATGTTTATGATTACCAGATTTACCAGCTATAGAAGATCTGTAAGCCATTCATAACTAGCTGGGGTAGTTACTACTTTTTTTTTAATTAGGGATGAAATTAGATGTCAGACTGTCATACCTACATACCATTTTGTAACAGTTTGATATATATATATATACATATTTTTTTTTTTTAAGACGGTAAGGCCGACTTCATTCAACAGGGGCCATGATCCATAGGTATATGCATCACTGTAGCAGGGTCTTGCAATGAGAGAGAGAGAGAGATTGGACTGAATTTCCTGTAGCAGTTTGATTTTAAGCACACATTTTGTTAAGTTGTTCATAAATAGAACTGTGCTAAAAAGAGTGGACCATCATAACTTCTGTGAGCCAATAAACTGTCACTGTAATTGAAGATGCTGGCCGTCTTCTTGCTCTGGATTTCCCAATGGAGGTCTACCAGCCCAATAGTCTTTTCCTTTTTATCTTCTTATAAGAGCATTGCATTAAATTTTACTTATTTATTTATTTTTGAGACATGGTCTTGCTCTGTCACCCAGGCTGGAGTACAGTGGTGCAATCTCAGCTCACTCTAACCTCTGCTTCCTGGGATCAAGCAATCCTCCCACCTCAGCCTCCTGCATAGCTGGGACTGCAGGCACACACCAGCACACCAGGCTAATTTTTGTATTTTTAGCAGAGACAGGGTTTCGCCATGATGCCCAGGCTGGTCTTGAACTCCTGGGCTCAAGCTATCCTCCTGCCTCAGCCTCCCGCAGTGGGGGGATTTCAAGCATGAGCCACTGCGCTCATCTAAACCATTCTAAAAGGAGTGACTAAGGATGGAAAATAATACATTAAAAGTAAAATCTGTTGGTAATTTTGATTAATCATTATCTACTCGAGTTTGTCAGTAGTTTTCTAAAATAAGTATAGGGAAAATGAGGTAAAATGAAGGTAAAATCTTGCTTATTATTACACAGTAGATTAAAGTTACGATTTCTATTACAACCAGACTACCTTGCAGTCCAGTTTTTTTTCCCTAAAATGTAATCTTTAAGTATTTTCACTTTTGTTGGAATTCCTCTGTTAACTACTCCCTTCAAGCTCCACATCCTGCTGCTGTTTGTTTTATAGTTTAACAACATCAACAAACAGAGATTTGGAGATTACCATGTCATACTTGGGATTTCTTTGTCTTAATTTGAAGTTTGCAAAACTGTTTCTTCCATTTGAAAGTACCTTTAGGTGTCCTAAACTCTAATCTCTATTCTTTTACCTATGATTCTTTTTCCTACCCATAGGTCCTAATTTAATTTCTTAAGAAGCCTGGGTATACATGTACAGAAGCTGGTTAATGTACTCTTTGCCCATGGGGTCCTTTTACATTCTTAATGCTGGCCGATGCATACATGTGCCCCTCAGTGATAGTGAAATTGCATTAATGGACCTGCTAGATTTCATTGATATATTTTAAGATTTATTTGATTAGAAGGTATTTGTTGGCTCATTGTTGTGCTTAGAACAAAATCTACCTAAACTTTGTAGTTTCCGTGAAATGGCTTCTCCTTTCTAGCTTCTTTTTATTCTACTTCATAAAAGAGTTCCTTCACAATAGAAGTTTTTATACTTAAAGGAACTTTAGATGTGACTGCCTTTAAATAATTTTGCATGGGAGAAATATTTGAAATAATTTCTTAGAATTTTAGGCATTCATTTGGTATCTTCACTTTTGTAATCTTTCATAATAACTTTAAACATTTTACTTACAAATGTTTTGAATATTTTGAAGTGCTAAGTCAGGAACTATATTTTAAGCCTGATTATGGTTCTAGGTGAAAGGTCTAAAGTAGCACAGGCCAGGAAAACTTTCTGCAGTGAAGGAAGTGTTCTGTAGCTATGGCTTTTCAGCTAAAGGAGTGAATTTTCTAAAATTTTATTTAAATACATTTGCATTTAAATAGTCACATGTGCTAGTTAGCTACCTTTTTAGATAACACAGGTCTAGAGGTATGATTTTCGTTTTTTTTCTTTTCTTTCTTTTTTTGCGGGGTGGGAGGGAGACAGAGTCTCGCTCTGTTGTCCAGGCTGGAGTGTAGTGGCACAATCTTGGCTCACTGCAACCTCCGCCTCCTGGGTTCAAGGGATTCTCCTGCCTTAGCCTCCCAAGTAGCTGGGACTATGGGTGCCTGCCACCACGCCCAGCTAATTTTTTTATTTTTAGTAGAGATAGGTTTTCACCATGTTGGCCAGGCTGGTCTCCAACTCCTCACTTCAGGTGATCCACCCACCTCAGCCTCCCAAAGTGCTGGGTTTATAGATGTGAGGTATGATTCTCAATGCAAATCCGATTCAGTCTTGGGACACATATTTATGATAATATCCTTTTCTACTTTGGAAGAGTTAAGGATAGCAAATTAAAGCAAACCATTTTCTTACAGTATAGGTAATAGAAAAAATTTACATCAATTTTACCATTATTGGTCTTGATAAACATAGTTGTGAATAGATATGACTCTTGCTTTAGTGTCACAAAGGTTGAAATTACTTGGTTATGTCTTAATACCAAGAAATCTTATAATACATAATTTTTCATGAGTGGGTTTGCTTACATGTTTCTTTATAGTTAATCTGATGAAAATTCTTAGTTTGTTATTCAAGCTGCATGATTATATAATCTTTATAAAAATATAATTTACCATTTTTAATTACATAAATATATGTTTAGGGTATAAAATTATAGAAATACAAAAGGAGCGAAAAGAAAATAAATTATTCATAGTTCTACTCTCAGCTGGATACAGTGGCTTACATCTGTAATCCTAGCACTTTGGGAGGCCAAGGCGGAAGAATTGCTTAAAGCCAGAAGTTTGAGACCAGCCTGGGCAGCATAGCAAGACCTTGTCTCTACCAAAAACAAGACAAATAAGCTGGGCATGGTAACCCCACACCTGTAGTCCCAGCTACTCGGGAGGCAGAGGTGGACGACCCCCTTTAGCCCAGGAGTTTGAGGCTGCAGTGAGCTATAATTATGCTACTACACTTCAGCCTGAGTGATAGAGTGAGGCCCTTTCTAAACAAACAAATTAATTAAATTAAAATAAAACAGGAAACAAAAGTACACATAGTCATTTTTCCCATTGAGAGGAATAAATGAAAATAGTAAAATTTGAACCCATTTATCTCACCCTTTGGTGATTACTCTTCTGTATAAGTATATATAATTTGAACTCTTTCTCTGGAAATTTTATCACTGGACATTGTTTCTGAGATTTACTTTTTAGACCGTTCAGTTCTTCTATCTCAGTTTCATCTAATTTCCTCTTGAGTTTTGGAGGTATTAATTTTACAGAAGCAATCCAAATTTATGGGTAGAGACGTTTTAGAAACATGCACAAGATAATAAGAAATAGTATCTCTAACTTAAAATAAATTTGGTTTAAAATTAAGTGGTGGCTCATGCCTCTAATTGCAGCACTTTAGTAGGCCAAGGTGGGAAGATCGCTTGAGCCCAGGAGTTGGAGACCAGCCTGGGCAACATGGAGAAACCCCATCTCTACAAAAAATACAAAAAAAATTAATTTGGCATGGTGACATGCACCTGTAGTCCCAGCTGCTTTGGGGGCTGAGGTGAGAGGATCACTTGAGCCCAGGAGGTCAAGGTTGCAGTGAGCTAAGATCGCGCCACTGCACTCCAGCCTGGGTGACAGACCAAGACTTTATCTCAAAAAAAGAAAAAAAAGTTTAGTAGTAGCTTATAAAAATTTGAGATAAAAAATATTTGGCCGAGTGCAGTTCAGTGGCTTATGCCTGTAATCCCAGCACTTTGGGAGGCCAAGGCGGGCAAATCACTTGAGGTCAGGAGTTTTAGACCAGCCTGGCCAACATAGTGAAACCTCATCTATACTAAAACCGCAAAAATTAGCTGGGCGTGGTGGCGCATCCCGGTAATCCCAGCTACTTGGGAGACTGAGGCAGGAGGATCTCTTGAACCGGGGAGGCGGAGGCTGCAGTGAGCCGAGATCGTGCCACTTCACTTTGATCTGGGTGACAGAGTGAGATCTGACTCAAGAAAAAAAAAAAAGTTATTTGAATTTATGAGAGTCTAACACATTGTAAATTTGGTGAATCTCTTCTGTGATTTTTAGGCAAGTTTAATGTTCTTTGATAAAATTGAGAGATTTTTAATTTAATAGTGAATGACAAAATTAAAAAGATATGTTCTAGTTTGATATATTGACGGTATACCATTTAAAAGGCTTGGTGACCAAGAGGTGAAGTGGAATGGGGATTCAGAATTTGAACAGAGAAAGGAGGGCATCTGTTTAAGCAGAGAGAAGATGGTCACAAAGATGGGATATTGGTTACATAGGAGGAATTTATCAGATAGAAAAATATATTAAGGGCCAGTTGCTGTGGCTCATGCCTGTAATCCCAGCACTTTGGGAGGCCAAGGCGGGCAGATCACCTGAGGTCAGGAGTTCAAGACCAGCCTAGTCAACATGGTGAAACCCCGTCTCTACTAAAAATACAAAAATTAGCTGGGCATGGTGGCCCATGCCTGTAGTCCCAGCTCAGGAGGCTGAGGTAGGATAATTGCTTGAACCTGGGAGGCACAGGTTGCAGTGAGCCAAGATTGTGCCATTGCACTCCAGCCTGGGCAACAGAGCGAGACTGTGTCTCCAAAAAAAAAAAAAAAAAAAAAAAAAAAAAGTATTAAGGATAATGAGAGCAGGGTTTCTCTCATTGTCAGAGAAAGCTAGAAATAAACACTATGGTGTTAGATTGGAATTTGAGATATTGTAGTAAATTTATTGTTTTCAAATATAAGTATTCAATATACATCATGTATTTGTACAGATAGGTGTATAAATGTATTATGTACATGTATATATTCCCAACTCTGTTCATTGAGCGTGTCTGAGAGCAGTGACACCCCAGTAGCAGTAAGCACACCTAGCACAACAGCCCCTTGGAGAAATGATTGATCCAGGGTCTGGGCTAGGGAAAGCACAAGATGAAGCTAGGACATCTTAGTGTACCAGAAAGCAAGAAAGTAACCAAATAATAATGGGGCCATGTCCAAAAGACACAAGCCAGTTTAAAAAGGTTTCTACTGTTCAAATATGGGATAATTTGAACATCAAAATAAATGATATAACTTATTAAATAAAATAAAAATCTGTGACTCCATACAATAAATAAATAAAAGAATAAAGTTGAAAGTTTCATGAGAAGCAGAATATTTATGTAGATTCAGAGTACCATCTTACAAAATGCTTATTAATTACAAAGGAGAAAAGAGAAACTTTATCATGAAGAAGACTGGCAGACATGGGCCTTAACCAAGTGATCAAAATGAATACCATCAGTAACAGAACTTCTCAAAATCATGTGCCGCCTCATAGGATATAAATTATAGCATTACCTCTGTGATACTCCTGCCAAAGGTGTTTAGCCTAACTCTAATAATAGGAAATGTCAGAAAATCTCAAACTGAGGGACATTCAGGAGTCCTGTATATCTCAGAATCTTCAGAGGATTGGTTCCAGAACCCCCTCAGATAACAAAATGTGCAGATGCTTAAGTCTCATATAAAACGGTGTAGTTTTTGCATATAACCTATGCATATCCTACCATATACTTTGAATAATCTCTGGATTACTTATAATACCTAATACAATATCAATGCCATGTAAGTAGCTGTCTTAAAAATTTGTATTTTTGGCTGGGCGTAGTGGCTCACACCTGTAATGCCAGCACTTTGGGAGGCCGAGACGGGTAGATCACCTGAGGTTGGGAGTTTGAGACCAGCCTGATCAACATGGAGAAACCCTGTCTCTACTAAACATATAAAATTAGCCAGGCGTGGCAGCGCACTCCTGTAATCCCAGGTACTCGGGAGGCTGAGACAGGAGAGAATCGCTTGAACCCGGGAGGCGGAGGTAGTGGTGAGCCAAGATCGTGCCATTGCACTCCAGGCTGGGCAACAAGAGTGAAACCACATCTCAAAAAATAATAATAATAATAATAATAATAATAATAATTGTTAATTTTTTAATTGTTAAAACAATTTTTTTTCGCCAAATATTTTCAGTCTATGGTTGAAATATTTCGGTTGGTTCAGTCTGTGGATGCAGAACCTACAGATACAGAAAGGCGACCATACTTCAATTTGTCAAAGTCATGACTTCAACTTTTACCTTAAACTAAAACAGAGCAAATTGAACACAAAATAAGCAGAAGGTAGAGGATAATAAAGATCAAAGCAGAGATCAGTTGAATAGAAAACTGAAAAACAGTAGAGAAAATCAGTGCGGATATTAAAAGAGTAATGGGGAAATATGAACAATTTTCTGTCAATAAGTTTGACACCTTGGATAAAATGAACAAATTCCTTGAAGATTAACAATACTCAAAGCTCATTATTGCTACATGGGATATTATTGGGACATCTGAATGAAACTTGAATGTAGTTTGAATGTAGTGTAGTCTTATATCACTATTAAATGACCTGATTTAATGGATGTATTACGATGCTTTAGGAAAATGTTCTTCTTTACAGGAAATATACACTCAAGTATATATTAAGTATGGTGAGGCTTCAGGTCAGCAATTTATTCTCAATTGATTCACTTGAAGAAGTTCTTGGAGGCTGGGTGCAGTGGCTCACACCTGTAATCCCAGCACTCTGGGAGGCTGAGTTGGGAGGATCACTTGAGCTCAAGAGTTCAAGACCATCTTGGGCAACATGGTGAAACCCCATCTCTACAGAAAATACAAAACTTAATTGGGCATGGTGGTGCACACCTGTGGTCCCAGCTACTCGGGAGGCCGAGGTGGGAGGATTGCTTGAGCACAGGAGGTCAAGGCTGTAGTGAGCCGAGATTGTGCCACTGCACTCCAGCCTGGGTGACAGAGCAAGACCCTATCTCAGAAAAAAAATAAAAAAAAAGCTCTTTGAACTCTACTTGCAATTTTTTGTGTAAGTTTAAGATTGTTTCAAAATAAAATCATTTAAAAAAAAAAAAGGAAAAACGTGCCCAGGACTTGAGTACCCCTGGAACCTATTTTAACAGGAATGTTTCCTTTCTTTTACAGCGGAAAGGAAGCCTCCTTTATTTAATATGAATGCAATGAGTGCCTTATATCACATAGCCCAAAATGAATCCCCTACACTACAGTCTAATGAATGGTGAGTATTGTTAATATATATATTGCTCAGTGTTGAATAAATGAAATGCTTTTTCATAATCTGTTATCAAAGTGATTTAATTTCAGTTAGGTAAAATGTATCACCTTATAAGATATTAAAATAGATGTATTTTACCCTTTTAAATATATTTATTCTTTATCATGTTTCCATTTCATGGCATACGTATAACTGAGTTCAGAAAAGGATGGATGATGTCACATGAATGCAAAAAGTATTCATTTTACAAGAATTTGTATTTTACTTTCTCTTTAAATTTAGGAATACCTAATCCTAATTAAATAATAAATAGCATTTAAGCATTAATATTTTATAACTAAAATATATGTATTATTACAACCTATAGTGATATTTGATTGGAGGGATGGTTTATAATTTATATGATATAAAAATATAAGTAAAATGATTTGACTTTATCAAAATTACCAGGTAATTAAAAATATTGGGATCACTCTAATTATCATATTTGTTATTCAGTTTTATCTGATATTCCTTCTAGGACTTCCTTGATTTGTTAAAATTTAGTTCATTCATGTAAAGAGGTTTATGGACAACAGATTGACAATTTTAGAAAACTAGGATTTTTATCAACAGTATAAAACTGTAGTAGAAAATTAATTCCTCAGGTGTACCTAGCATTCGATAAATTCTAGGGGGATATTTAGCATATTTAATAAATATTTTGAAATTCACAGACATATAAATTAGGGGTACTTAATTATTTAAAGAGTACATAATTATGGCACATTCATATAAGTCTTTGCCACTTAAGAATGTGCCATATAACTCTAGTAAACTAATAATGCTAAAACTCTGTGCCAAAAGATTCTTTCTATATAACTCTACTTTGTGTTTAGAATTATATAGAACGAATCTTTTGACACTGAGTTTAGTGTTATGGTATGGTTTAGTACATTTTGTGCTGCTGTAACAGAGTATCAGAGGCTTGGTAATTTATAAAGAACAGAAATTTATTTCTCACTTTCTGGAGGCTGGGAAGTCCAGGACCAAGGCACTGGCAGGTTAGGACCTGGTCCTCCTACTTACAAGATAGTGCCTTTAACTCTGCATCCTTTGGAGGGGAGAAACATTGTGTCCTCACATGGCAGAGAGCAGGAGAGAGAGAACCCTCTCCCACAAGCCCTTTTTATAGCAGAATTAATCCATTCATGACCTGAACAACTCGCATTAGGCCCCACCTCCCAACACTGTTGCACTGGAGATTAAGTTTCAACATCAGTTTTGGAGAAACAAAAACATTGAAACCATAGTTGATACATATAAGTAAAAAATATATTGAACACAGACTGTCTTTACACTGTGTTTGAGACTTGGAGATTTATAAAAGAATTCTTGCCTACAAGGAACTTAAAATCTTATTTGAATATTGGAGACAAACATTGATGGAGTAATTATTTACTGCCTTACTGAACTCTTGTCAATAACACTATATAATAATGTGTTACAGACTTCTAACGTTTTTAAAAATATCTTAATTGGTTTTCTAGGTTTAATGGAAGTCTTATCCATTTGCTCAGGGGCACCAAATACTCAGGTATAAAAACACTCTCTCCAGAGCAGATAGAGTGATATTCTGAAACATGCTATATAGAAGAAGATCCAAGGGGCAAATAAGAAAGAGCTTATTATAAGAAAGGCTTAGCAAAAAGGAAAATAGAAAGGAATGTTATCTTGGGTTTGAAAGAAAAAAAAAAGTAGATAGGCTTCCCTCATTTTGCCTCGATATAGTAATATGAGTTGTGATATTTAAATATGTAGGAGCAGGATTTTAAAGTAATCTGTGTGAATTTATCTTTGGAAAATGGTGAACATTCATTGGTTGCTTTAGATAGATCTTCATAGACTTATATGAAACTGTATAGTCTCTGCTTTTTTTTAATCATTCCCTTTCCATTTCCCCTCCCACCAATAGGCACGTGTCTTGATTTGTGAATGTATTTTTAAAGGAAATAGCAATGTGTTCACTTGATACTTTCCTTTACAATAGGTCTGATTATTTTCGCAACTTTGTAGATTCTTGCCTCCAGAAAATCCCTCAAGATCGACCTACATCAGAGGAACTTTTAAAGGTCAGTTCTATTATAGTTTATTTATTTATTTTATTTTAAGACAAGGCCTCACTTTGTCACCCAGGCTGGAGTGGCAGTGGCACAATCACGTCTCCTGCAGCCTTGACCTCCCAGGCTCAAGCGATCCTCCCACCTCAGCCTCCCAAGTAGCCGGGACTACAGACACATGCCACTGAACCCGGCTAATTTTTGTATTTTTGTTAGAAGTGGGGCTTTGCCACATTGCCCAGGCTGATATCGAACTCCTGGGCTCAAGTGATCCACACCTGCCTCAGCCTCTCAAGGGCTTGGATTACAGGCATGAGCCACCAGTTCCATTATACTTTAAATTTGTTCTTACCCCTAAGAAATGATTGTAAAGAATGTGTTTTATTATTTGATTCTGAATTAGGATTAAGTATACTCTACTAGTTTTTAATAAAATACTAGTTTTTTATGCCGTTGTTTCTGATAACTTTTCTTAGATACTAAATTTTTGTATTTTGTTTTTCAAATTGATTAGCTGCTCTTACCATGTCTAAATAGAATATGTAGTTAAGTATTCAAATAGCTCAATACTTAATATGTGCAAGAATATAATCATGAGTTATAAATTTTAATTCATGTGGAACAATGTCTTATTTCAAAGTTGATAAAACATAGCTTAGCCAGGCGCGGTGGCTCACGCCTGTAATCCCAGCACTTTGGGAGGCTGAGGCAGGCCGATCGCGAAGTCAGGAGTTCAAGACCATCCTGGCCAACATGCTGAAACCCCCGTCTCTACTGAAAATACAAAAATTAGCTGGGCGTGGTGGCGCATGCCTGTAGTCCCAGCTACTCGGGAGGCTGAGGCAGGAGAATCGCTTGAACCTGGGAGGCGGAGGTAGTGGTGAGCCGAGATTGCACCATTGCACTCCAGCCTGGGCAACAAGGGCGAAACCCCTTCTCAAAAAAATAAAAAATAAATAAATATAAGGTTTTATGTTTTTGGATGAAACAATATGGTAAATAGTAGGCTGGGCACGGTGGCCCACGCCTGTAACCCCAGCTCTTTGGGAGGCCGAGGCGGGCGGATCACTTGAGGTCAGCAGTTTGAGACCAGCCTGGCCAAAATGGTGAAACCCTGTCTTTACTAATAATACAAAAATTAGCTGGGTGTGATGGTGGACTCGTGTAGTCCCAAATACTCAGGAGGCGGAGGCACAAAAAGCTTGAACCCCAGGAGGCAGAGGTTGCAATGAGCCAAGATCGTGCCACTGTACTCTAGCCTGGGCGATAGAGTGAGACTGTGTCTCCAAAAAAAAGAAAGAAAGAAGAAGACAATATTGTAAATAGTGGTACACATCAAACTAAAGAAAAAGTAAGAATGGCCGGGCGCGGTGGCTCACTCCTGTAATCACAGCACTTTGGGAGGCCGAGGCGGGTGGATCACCTGAGGTTGGGAGTTCGAGACCAGCCTGAGCAACGTGGAGAAACCCTGTCTCTACTAAAAATACAAAATTAGCCGGACGTGGTGGCGCATGCCTGTAATCCCAGCTACTCAGGAGGCTGACGCAGGAGAATCGCTTGAACCCAGGAGGCAGAGGTTGTGGTGAGCTGAGATCGCACCATTGCACTCCAGCCTGGGCAATAAGAGGAAGCTCCATCTCGAAAAAAAAAAAAAAGGAAGAATGTGACTGGCTTCTTACATTTGCCAAATAGAAGCAAAAGAAGCCTTTCTAACTCAGGTAGTAGTAACCCAGCCCACTAGTATTTGGTGATTAGATCCTAAGTCTGCATATATTAATAGTATTCATTTGCCTGGCCCCTAGTGTATATTATCACAGCCCTATTTGAAATGATAGGAAATAGTTATCATGAGCTTCTTATCTTTTGGACTAATTACATTTCTGTTGCAGTCTATCATAAAGAAAAAAACTAATAAAAAAATTTAATGTATGAAGCTATTTATCATGGAATTAAAAATTAGAAATAGCTGCCCCAAATTAGAGTAATGGTTAAGTGATTTGGGCACAAACATTTGATGAAATATTCTACAGGCATTATGTTTATGAGTTTGAAATAATAATAATTATTTTTTTTTTGTTTTTGAGACAGAGTCTTGCTCTGTCGCACAGGCTGGAGTGCAGTTACATGATCTCAGCTCACTGCAACCTCTGCCTCTGAGGTTCAAGTGATTCTCGTGCCTCAGCCGCCCGAGTAGCTGGGATTACAGGCCTATGCCTCCACGTCCTGCTAATTTTTTATATTTTTAGGGTTTCACTATTGGCTAGGCTGGTCTTGAACTCCTGGCCTCAAGTGATCTGCCTGCCTTGGCCTCCCAAAGTGCTGTGATAACAGGTATAAGCCACTGCGCCCAGCTAAAATAATAATACTTATGACTGTGAAAATTGAATAAAATAGTGTATAGAGGCTGGGCGCAGTGGTGTAATTCCAATGCTTTGGGAGGCCAAGGTGGGAGGGTCACTTGAGGCCAGGAGTTTAACTCTACCCCCCACCCCCCAAAAAATAAAAATTAGCTGGACATGGTGGTGCACACCTGTAGTCCTAGCTGCTTGAGAGGCTGAGGTGGGAGGATTGCTTGAGCCCAGGAGTTTGAGGTTACAGTGGGCTGTGATTCATAGTTACAACTCTTTGCATAAAAAAGAAATAAATTTGAGCTAACAAAGGAGGTAAAAGTTGTCTTAAGAATTCAAGGATAGCTGGGCGCGGTGGCTCACACCTGTAATCCCAGCACTTTGGGAGGGCGAGGTGGGCGGATCACGAGGTCAGGAGATCGAGACCATCCTGGCTAACACGGTGAAACCCTGACTCTACTAAAAATACCAAAAATTAGCCGGGTGTGGTGGCGGGCTCCTCTAGTCCTAGCTACTTGGGAGGCTGAGGCGGGAGAATGGTGTGAACCCGGGAGGCAGAGGTTGCAGTGAGCCGCAATCGCGCCACTGCACTCCAGCCTGGGCAACAGAGGGAGACTCCGTCTCAAAAAAAAAAAAAAAAAAAAAAAGAATTCAAGGATATTTCGTAGAACTCAAGGGATGGCAGAATATGTCTTTCTGGAATTTACATGCTAACTATGTATCTACAAAACATTTTATACATAGAAAATTTATGAAAAGTATATTACAATGTAACTGTGATCATCATAATGGTGGAATTGTTTTTTTCTACTTTTTGTATTTGATAAGGTGAAATTATATTAAATGCTAGTAATAAAAAAGTAATAATTTAATGGCTTTTAGTCTGTGTTAGTATTTTATAAAGAATATTGTTCACGCAGCATATAAAGGAACCCAATATCTAGTGTCTAAATTCATCTTTCATAATTCACCATCATTAAATACATTCCTGTTGAAACAAATATGACTCAGAGCTGAACATGTCTTTTGTGTGAAATCATCAGTTCTTAGAATATGTAAACCTTGAGAGCTCTGATTGGACTTAATTCTTAGTGTTTAGACCCTTCAGTTATTTTAACTCTGCATTTTTAGTTGGCCAACAAAAATATTATGTTCAAAATAAAGAAAAAGAATAGTTATGTATGCACAGAGTATATGTATGTAAATGATAATTTTATAAATAGAAGAAATTTAACAGAATTATATAGCTATAGATTACATGCATTATCTATCATAGGATATTATCTCTAGGGTCTGAGAAGGAGTACCTTGTCACTAATTGAAAAAAAAATCAACCTTTTACCTTCTACCCTATCTAGCACATATTTGTTCTTCGGGAGCGCCCTGAAACCGTGTTAATAGATCTCATTCAGAGGACAAAGGATGCAGTAAGAGAGCTGGACAATCTGCAGTATCGAAAGATGAAGAAACTCCTTTTCCAGGAGGCACATAATGGACCAGCAGTAGAAGCACAGGAAGAAGAAGAGGTAAGAGATAAAAAAATGACTCCAATATTGAATTTTCACTTTTGGTTTCTTTCCTTATGCAGCTTGCCCTGCCATAATTTACCTTATATACCAAGGGTTTCCAGGTTGTATTTTCTCAACACTGGTCCTATAAAATCCCAGTTAGGAATAAAAAAAGGTCCTTTTTTCTTGGAGAAATAAGAAAAGTTAAAAAAAAAGTTTTTTTTAAGTCTTTAATCATGTTAGATTGCATGCTCTAAATCCAACCCCTTTATGGTACACAATGTCATAATGAAGGTTCTGAGAAGTCCTTCGTTAAAGAAACTTGTTCATCTTTGTTTAGTCTAGGCCTTCTCTAATTTCTTGACCACTGAACCTGTTTTTTTATTTTTTAATTTTTTTGTTTATTTTGAGACGGAGTTTTGCTCTTGTTGCCCAGGTTGGAGTGCAATGACATGATCTCGGCTCACTGCAACCTCCACCTCCCTGGTTCAAGCGATTCTCCTGCCTCAGCCTCCCGAGTAGCTGGGATTATAGGCGCGCACCACCACACCTGACTAATTTTTATTTTATTTTATTTTTTGTATTTTTAGTAGAGACGGGGTTTCACCGCATTGGCCAGGCTGGTCTTGAACTCCTGACCTCAGGTGGCCCACCTGCCTCGGCCTCCCAAAGTGCTGGGATTACAGGCATGGGCCACTGTGCCCAGCCTGAGCCCTTTTTTGACTGATTGTCCAGTTCCATATGATGTGCTTTTGGAAGTTCTTGAATTACAGAATGTGAAGGTTGAATGTACTCTCTCAGAAGTCATGAGAAAGTTAGTAGGCATTCGACTGTGTCACCAAAGAAACTTGATTTCATTCCATCTACACCTTTTTTTTTTTTTTTTTTTTTTTTTAAAGACAGGGTCTTGCTCTGTAGCCCAGTTTGGAGTACAGTGGCACGATCTCGGCTCACTGCAATCTCCACCTCCCGGGTTCAAGCAATTCTCCCCCTTCAGCCTCCCGAATAGCTGGGACTACAGGTGCGCCACCACGCCCAACTAATTTTTTGTATGTTTAGTAGAGACCGGTTTCGCTATGTTGGCCAGGCTGTTCTCCATCTCCTGGCCTCAAGTGATTCATCTGCCTCAGCCTCCCAAAGTGCTAGGATTACAGGTGTGAGCCACCGCACCTGGCCTACACTGTTCTAAAATACTCATTTTACAGATACCAAAAGCAAGGCTCAGAATAAATTAAGTTGCTCACTGTAGGTAGAGGAACATGGGTTCAAATTCATACCTCTTTTACTCTCAAGGCCAAGTTCTGTGTTGCCTCTTAGGGAGAATGGAAATACAGATTTGCTATAGAAGTATTACAGAACTTCCTCATGAAGCAATATACATATTAAGTATATTATGTGTAAAGCTATTTTTTCCCTCTAAATATTTTGTTTCTTCTTTGCCCCGTCAGAATTCATAAAATTTTATTCTTTTCTATTGCTTTCCATCGAGAGAGACCACTTTGTATTCTGAAACCGTGCTCAATACTTTCTTTTCTCTTTTTAATGTCACTAAATAAATAATGAACTGTCAAATATAAGACTTTATAAACTTACAATTTTTGGTTTGGGGATTATTTTTAGTTCTTAATGATAGTCACTAGAAAATTGGGATGATTTCAGATATGTGAAATACTTTAATAAAGTGAAATTAATAAAATTCTATGTAGTTAAATTGTTAACAACATCTGTGTTAGGCTGGGGATGTAAGAAAAGTCCCTATCTATATATGTGTCTGTGTTTATTAAATTCTGCATATCTTAAAGAATTCTGGTATGGTAAGACTACTGTAATGTTAGTGCCCAGATACTACAGCTGCCCGTTTACATCAGAAAAACATTCTTATGATTGTGATTTGAAACAATATAATATGTAATTGTTAGTTTACACAAGAAGAGGTAGGAATTAATGTTAAATTATTTGGTGGTAAAAAGATAATCTAGAGTTCCCCAAAAACCTATTGAAATACAAAAAAAAAAAAAAAAGAAAGACAAGAAAGGTAATCTAGAGACTATGTTTTCCAGAAGAAAGAAGAATCTACTTATGAAAGGCTGATTTAATAAAGAAGAATAACAACTACAATGAAGTTTCTAGTACTTTATTTTTTTTTAAATGCTCCTTATGGAGCAGGGCTACGCCGTAGGCACTGTGCCCAGAATAGCCAGTGCTTTTTTTTTTTAAAAGGAGAGATTTGTATTAACCAAGAATTATTGAGAAATGAGCAGGATCTCTATATATACCCCATGAGATGTACTGTAGAAATGGTTATTTTAAAATATCAAGCAATTTAGATAAAATATTGTACTTTGAAAATCACCCAAATCTGATCAGCTGACTTTGTTTTAGACAGTTGGTTGAATTTTTTTGTGATTTACTTGTTGGTCATTTTTGTTTTTCAATAAACTAACAGTTGATAAACTTCCTGGTCTTGGAAAATAAAAGCAATTTCTCATGATAGACCAACTTTCTGAGACTGTCTGCCAAGTGGTATGCTAGGTGCTTATAGTCAAGAATTCAGAAGAGAGAGATATATATTAATATTTGAACTGAACTGAATGTCCTTTTCTCTTAGGAACAAGATCATGGTGTTGGCCGGACAGGAACAGTTAATAGTGTTGGAAGTAATCAATCCATTCCCAGCATGTCCATCAGTGCCAGCAGCCAAAGCAGTAGTGTTAACAGTCTTCCAGATGTCTCAGATGACAAGAGTGAGCTAGACATGATGGAGGGAGACCACACAGTGATGTCTAACAGTTCTGTTATCCATTTAAAACCAGTGAGTATTTGGATTTCAATGAAAGAAATTCAATGTTGGTAAACTGTTTTCTTCATCTGTTAGTTTAAGAGAAGGAAGAAGGAAGATAAGGAAGTTTCCCGAAGTTTGGAACATGGCTGGGCTCAGTGGCTCATGCCTGTAATCCCAGCACTTTGGGAGGCCGAGGCGGGTGGATCACTTGAGGCCAGGAGTTCAAGACCAGCCTGGCCGACATGGTGAAACCCTGTCTCTACTAAAAATACAAAAATTAGCTAGGCATGGTGGCACGTGCCTGTACTCCCATACTCCCACCTACTTGGGAGGTTGAGGTGGGAGAATCGCTTGAACCTGGGAGGTGGAGGTTGCAGTGAGCCAAGATCCCACCACTGCAGTCCAGCCTGGGCGACAGAGTGAGACCCTATCTCAAAAAAAAAAAAAGTTTGGAACATTTTTTAATGGAAAAAGCCTTGTTAACTCCTAACCTGTTATCTCCATTTGGAAAATTCATGTTTTGAGAATACAAAAAGAATGTGGAACTATTTCAAAATATTAGAAGAAAAAGTACAGAAACTTCAAATATATTATTTGACATTATTTACATGAAAAATAAAATACTAAAAAATAGGAAGGATACACATAAAATGATAATGGTTGCCTTTGGGGAGTGAGAAATGGTTGGGATGAGTGATGATCAAAAGTGAATTTTATGTTATCCATAATGTTTATATCTTTTTTTTTTTTTTTTTTTGAAACGGAGTCTCACTCTGTCACCCAGGCTGGAGTGCAGTGGCCACAATCTTGACCCACTGCAACCTCCACCTCTCAGTTTCAAGCGATCCTCCTGCCTCAGCCTCCTGAGTAGCTGGAATTACAGGTGTGTGCCACCCTGCCTGGCTAATTTTTGTATTCTTAGTAGAGACAGGGTTTCACCATGTTGGCCAGGCTAGTCTCAAACTCCTGACCTCAAGTGATCCACCTGCCTCAGCCTCCCAAAGTGCTGGGATTACAGGTGTGAGCCACTGCGCCAAGACGTTTATATCTTTTTTTCTTTCTTTCTTTCTTTCTTTTTTTTTTTTGAGACAGAGTTTTGCTCTTGTTGCCCAGTCTGGAGTGCAGTGGCGCAATCTCGGCTCACTGCAACCTCTGCCTCCTGTGTTCAAGCAATTCTTGTTCCTCAGCCTCCTGAGTAGCTGGGATTACAGGTGTGCACCACTATGCCCAGCTAATTTTTTGTATTTTTAGTAGCAAAGAAGTTTCATCATGTTGGCCAGGCTGGTCTCGAACTCCCAACCTCAGGTGATCCACCTGCATTGGCCTCCCAAAGTACAGGGATTACAGGCGTGAGCCACTGCACCCAGTGTATATCTTAAAAATAAAGCTGAATGTAATTGTAGAAAACTGTAGATTCTGGGTTTAGGAAATGTGGGTGTTTGCTGCATTACTCTTTACCCTTTTGAATATAAAATGTTAAATCTTCTGAAAAATACTGGAAAGTCAGGTAACTCCTTTTAACAATTAACAGGAATGCTAAGGCTGGGAGTAGAGGCCCACCCCTGTAATTCTAGCATTTTGGGAAGCTGAGGCGGGCAGATTGCTTGAGCCTGGAGTTGGAGAACAGCCTGGGCAACATGGTGAAACCCTGTCTCCGCAAAAAAATTTAAAAATTAGCTCGGCATGGTGGTGCATGCTTCTAATCTCAGCTACTCAGGAGGCTAAGGTGGTAGGTTCACTTGAACCCAGGAGGTAGAGGTTTTCAGTGAGCCAAGATCGTACCACTGCACCTCAGCCTGGGTGATAGAGTGAGACTGTATCTCAAAAAACAAACAAACAAAAAATAGGAATGCTTCCTTTTTCACTTCACAGCTTGTGTTATTATCTAAAAGTAGTAGGTACAATGGCTAAAAGATGGAAACAACCCAAATTATTCATCAACGGATGTATTAACAAATTGTGGTTTATAGGCCAGGTGTAGTGGTTTACGCCTGTAATCCCAGCACTTTGGGAGGCCGAGGCAGGCGGATCATGAGGTCAAGAGATTGAGACCATCCTGGCCAACATGGTGAAACACCGTCTCTACTAAAAATACAAAAATTAGCCAGGTGTGGTGGCACACACCTGTAATCCCAGCTACTCAGGAGTCTGAGACAGAAGAATCGCTTGAACCCAGGAGGCAGAGGTTGCAGTGAGCCGAGATCATGCCACTGCACTCCAGCCTGGTGACAGAATGAGACTCTGTCTCAAAAAAAAAAAAAAACTGTGGTTTTTACATCCAGTAGAATATTACTCAGCTATAAAAAGGAATGAAGTTCCAATACATGCTGCCATATGGTTGAATCTTGAAAACATGTTAAGTGATAAAAGCCTAGACACAAAAGGACAAATATTGTATAATTAAACTTCTATAAAATATCTAAAATAGGCAAATTCATAGTGACAGAAAGTAGGTTAGGAGTTACCAGAGACTGGGTGGAGGTCAAAATAGAGAGTTATTGCTAATGGATGCAGAGTTTCTGTTTGGGTTGATGAAAAAGTTTTGGAAGTAATAGGTGATAGCTGTACAACATTGAGAGTATAATTAATACCACTTAAAATGGTTAAAATGGGCTGGGCACTGTGGCTCATTCCTATAATCCCAGCACTTGGGGAGGCTGATTCAGGAGTATCACTTGAGGCCAGGAGTTCAAGACCAGCCTGGGCAACATAGGGAGACCCCATCTGTTTAAAAAAAAAAAAAAAAAAAAAGAAAAGAAAAGAAAAACAGCCAGGTGTGGCATATGCCTGTGGCCCCATCTACTCAAGAGGCTGAGTAGTGGAGGCACACTGAGTAGTGGAGGATCAGTTGAGCCTGGGAGATCAAGGCTGCAGTTAGCCTTGATCATACCACTGCACTGCATTCTGGGCAACAAAATGGAGACCCTGTCTCAAAAAAAAAAAAAAAAAGATTATTCCCACAATTAATTGGTTGCTACTTAACTGATGTTCTCTTCAGCTAACAAATTGAGTTCAGGGAAGGATATCAGTCCTTCAATTTTTTACAACTGTTTTTGTTTTTGCTTATTTTGGACAGATGGCAGAAGTATTAAAAAGATAGCTCCATTGCTTCCAAAACCCAAGAGCCTTTGAGCAATTAATTTTCTGCTACTCCTATTTAAAACATTGACTATATTGGCTACATGTTTCATCAGCTTTGTTTTCAAGTTATGTTAAAGCTTTTCAATTTTGCATATAATCGGTAGGATATAAATCTAGTCATGTGCCAGGCACAGTGACTCACGCATGTAATCCCAACATATTGGGAGGCCAAGGCAGGCAGATTGCTTGAGCCCAGTAGTTCAAGACCAGCCTGGGCAACATGGCAGAACCCCATCTCTACAAAAAATACAAAAGTTAGCTGGGCATGGTAGTGCATGCCTGTGGTCCCAGCTACCTGGGAGGCTGAGGTGGGAGGATCGCTAGAGCCCAGGAAGTTGACACTGCGGTGAGCCATTGAGTGTTTACCACTGCACTCCAACCTGGGTGACAAAGCGAGATCCTGTCTCAAACAACAAACAAATCAATCAGTCAATCTAGTCATGTGCATTTTCTTGTCCTGAGTCTGTGTACTATTTTATACCCTGTACAAATAATTTCTTCTAATTATATTGAAAATAAAGTTGGACATATTGGCTTCCACCTGTCATCCTAGCACTTTGGAAGGCCAAGGAGGGAGGATTGCTTGAGCCCAGGAATTCTAGACCAGCCTAGTCAACATAGGGAGACCTTGTTTCTAAAAAAATAAAATTAGCCTGGCCTGATGGCCCGTGCCTGTAGTTCCAGCTTCTCAGGAGTCTGAGGTAGGCAGATCGTTTGAGCTTGGGAGGTTGAAGCTACAGTGAGCTATGGTCATACCACTGTACTCCAATCTGGGTGACACAGTGAGACCCTGTTTCTAAAGAAAAAAGAAGACCAGCATTTCTACTTTTTGGCTTTGCTTTTTAAAATTATGTCTTTGAGATTGATTGATCAAGTTGTCTTTAAACTTTAATTTCCATAAAGATTCAAACAAACTGTTCACCTTACATAATATTGTCTTTTTTTTTTTTTCCTAGGAGGAAGAAAATTACAGAGAAGAGGGAGATCCTAGAACAAGAGCATCAGATCCACAATCTCCACCCCAAGTATCTCGTCACAAATCACACTATCGTAATCGAGAACACTTTGCTACTATACGGACAGCATCACTGGTATGTACTTACCCGAATTAGAGATAAATATATTTTTCATGTGGGACCTTGGCAATATAAACTCAAGTATAGCTATATATTGTTTTGTATTTGGGTTTTATTTTACGAAATACTCATTTAATATTTAAGTGCCTATTAAGAGAAAGATGTTATTCAAAGAACTCTGAGAAATGTTAAACTAACAATGTCTTCATGACACGTACACAAAAAACGAGTATGTTAGAATATCTTAAATAAGATAACTACAAGGCACTAAAGAGGAATTCAGATAACTTTTGATTAGGAGCATAAATGAAGTATTTATGAAATAGTTTGAGTATTTAAAATTAGTTGGATTTAGGCACAGCAGGGAGAGGAGAAATGAATGGTATTTCCATATAAGAAGAATGTGGGCCGGGCACAGTGGCTCATGCCTGTAATCCCAGCACTTTGGGAGGCCGAAGCGGGCGGATCACGAGGTCAGGAGATCGAGACCATCTTGGCTAACACGATGAAACCCCATCTCTACTAAAAATACGAAAAATTAGCCGGGCGTGGTGGCAGGAGCCTGTAGTCCCAGCTACTTGAGAGGCTGAGGCAGGAGAATGGTGTGAACCTGGGAGGCAGAGCTTGCGGTGAGCAGAGATCACACCACTGCACTCCATCCTGGGCGACAGAGCAAGACTCTGTCTCAAAAAAAAAAAAAAAAAAAAAGAATGTGGACAGTAAGGAAATATATTATGTGGGGCTCACCAGAAAGAGGGGAATATTGGAAATGGCAAGCAGTACAATGTGGTATACTCTAAATGTCATTCTGATTTTCCAAATAATATGGATTATCTGTTCATTACAAGGATGCTATAATGGGGCACTTAAAATCCTAATCAGACAGATAAGTAAAACCAAAGCATGATAAAGGATACTAAGGATACAACGAAATTACATTAAGATACCATAAGAAAAGTAGGCTATTAGAAAACATAATGTAAAGGCTGGGTGTGGTAGCTCATGCCTGTAATTGTAGCACTTTGGGAGGCTGAGGTGGGCGGACCACTTGAGCTCATGAGTTTGAGACCAGCCTGGGCAACATGGTGAAACTCCATCTCTACAAAAAATACAAAATTCAGGTGGGGTGCGGTAGCTCACACCTCTAATCCCAGCAATTTGGGAGGCTGAAGTAAGTGGATCAACTGAGGTCAGGAGTTCAAGACCAGCCTGGCCAACATGGCGAAACCCCGTCTCTGCTAAAAATAGAAAAATCAGCTGGGCATGGTGGCGTGTGCCTGTAATCCCAGGTACTCAGGAGGCTGAGGCTGGAGAATCGCTTGAACCCGGGAGGCGGAGGCTGCAGTTAGCTGAGATAGTCCCTCTGCACTCCAGCCTGGGTGACAGAGGTAGACCCTATCTCAAAAAAAAAAAAAAATTTCAGCTGGGTGTGGTGGCATGTGCCTGTAGTCCCATATACTTGGGAGACTGAGTCAGGAGGATTGACTGAGCCCAAGAGATGGAGGTTGCAGTGAGCCGAGATCACGCCACTGCACTCCAGCCTGGGTGACAGTGCCAGACCCTGTCTCAAAAAAAAAAAAAAAAAAAAAAGGAAAGGAAGAAAAGAAAAGAAAGAAAGAAAAGAAGAGAGAGAGAAAAGAAAGGAAGGAAGAAAGGAAAGGAAGGAAATGAGGAAATGAGGCCAGGCGTGGTGGCTCACACCTGTAATCCCAGCACTTTGGGAGGCTGAGGCGGGTGGATCACCTGAGGTCAGGTTGCGAGACCAACCTGGCCAACATGGTGAAACCTCATCTCTACTAAAAACTACAAAAATTAGCTGGGCGTGATGGCGGGCACCTGTAATCCCGGCTACTTGGGAGGCTGAGGCAGGAGAATTGCTTGAACCCAGGAGGCGGAGGTTGGAGTGAGCTGAGATCGCACTATTGCACTCCAGCCTGGGCGTCAGAGCGAGACTCTGTCTCAAAAACTAAAAAATAAAAAAAAGAAAAGAAAATATGATGGGGAAAAAAAGATATGATAGCTATCTGACTTCTCAACTATGTAATAAGCAGATGTTGTAAATCCTATGCTGTAGTTCATGAATCTATATGACATGTGGGGTCGGGAACATAGTACCCTACCATAAGTCAGGTTATTCCTACTATTCTGCAACATGTAAATAACACTTTGAACAGAGCAAGTGGTAAAGATTGCTTAATTTTTGCATGACTATTTTGATAAATATGTTGAGAAGGACCAGCTCAAAGGAAAACCTCTTGGTAACTTGGCATAAGTTAAATGTTTCCCAAGAAAGTGTTCTCTCCCAAAGTTTGGCTTCCTCAAATCAATTAAGGACATTTTAAATTTATGGATTTAATGAATCAAAAATCTGAAAAAGATTTATATTTTTAAAGCCAGTAGTTTCATTTACTTCACTTAAAATATTCAGAGCATAAGTAGTTTTTTAATACAAATAAGCATAGCTATATTATTCATTATAAGTGCTATATACCATAACTTAGTCTACCGTCTCCTGCCTTGGATTTTTTTCATACAATAAAATGCACAGATCTTAGGTATTCAATTTGAAGAGTTTTTACAATTCTATACACCTGCCTTAACCGTCTGAAACAAGGTACAGTTATCCCTCAGTATCTGTGAGGGATTGGTTCCAGGACTCTCCACAAATCCCAAAATCCACCGATAACCCAAGTGCCTTATATAAAATGGTGGGCCGGGTGGAGTGGCTCACAGCTCTAATCCCAGCACTTTGCGAGGCCAAGGCAGGCAGATCACTTGAGGTCAGGAGTTCGAGACCAGCCTGGCTAACATGGTGAAACCCTGTCTCTACTAAAAATACAAAAATTAGCCGGGCATGATGGCAGGCGCCTGTAATCCCAGCTCCTCGGGAGGTTGAGGCAGGAGAATTGCTTGAACCTGAGAGGCGGAGGTTGCAGTGAGCTGAGATTGCGCCATTGCACTCCAGCCTGGGGGACAAGAGCAAGACTTCGTCTCAAAAAATAAAAAAAAGAAATCAGGAGTTCAAGACCAGCCTGGCCAACATGGTGAAACCCTGTCTCTACTAAAAATACAAAAAATTAGCTGGGTATGGTGGTGCGTGCCAGTAGTCCCAGCTACTCAGGAGCCTGAGGTGGGAGAATCACTTAAACCTAGGAGGCAAAGGCTGCAGTGAGCTGAGATCGTGCCACTGTACTCCAGCGTGGGCAACCCACCGACCCTGTCTTTGAAAAAGAATTGAAAACGTTATCAACAAGATGAAAGATAACAAGTATTGGCAAAAAGGGGAACTGTTACACATTGTTGGTGATAACCTAAATTAGTATGGCCATTTTGGAAAATGGTGTGGAGGTTCCTCAAAAAACTAAAAATAGAACTACCATATGATCCAGTAATTCCACTTCTGGGTACATATTTAAAGGAACTGAAATTAATATGTTGAAGGGATATCTGCACTCCCATGTTCATTGCAGCATTATTCACAATAGCTAAGTCATGGAATCAACCTAAGTGCCTATCAGTGGATGAGTGGATAAAGAAAATGTAGCATATATACACAATGGAATACCATTCAGCCTTAAAAAGGAAAAATCCTGTCATTTGCAAGAACATGAATGAATCTGGAGGATTATGCTAAGTGAAATAAGGCAAGCACAGAAAGACAGATACCACATGATCTCACTTTTATGTGGAATCTAGAAAAATAAAGTTGAACTCATAGAATAGAGGTGGAGAGTAGAGTGATAAGTTACTAGAATTTAGGGAGAGAGAGAAATGGGGAGTTGTTGATCAAAATGTACAAAGTTTCAGAAAGATAGGAGGAATAGGTTTGGAGATCTTTTGCATAGCCAGGTGACTATAGTCAACAATAATATATTGAATATTTTGAAATAATTAAAAGTAGATCTCAAATGTCTCACCATAAAAAATGATGCATAAGGTGATGGATATGTTAGATTGATTTAATTTAATATGTTGAATACATATATCAGTATATCACATGTACTCCATAAATGTATACAATTATGATTTGTCAAAACATTAACATTTTTTAAAGCAATTGAAAACAGGTACTCAGACAAGTGCATGTACACACAGTCACAGCAGCAGTTTTCACAGTAGCCAAAAGATGGAAAGAACACAAATGTCCATCAATGGATGAGTGGATAAACAAATTGTGCTATATATGTACAGTGGAATTTTATTCAGCTATAAAAGGAAATGAAATACTGATACATACTACAACATGGATAAACTTCAAAAACATGCTAAGTGAAAGAAACCAGCCATAAAAACTCATATGACACTACTTATATGATATATGCAGAATAAGTATATCTATAGAGACAAAAAGCAGATTGATGGTTACCAGGAGGGGAGAATGGAGAGCAACTGCTTAATAGGTATGGGATTTTCTTCTGAGGTGATAAACATGCTTTATAACTAGATAAAGGTGATAGTTGCATGGCATGGTAAATACACTAAACATATTGAATTGTTCACTTTAAGGTGATTAATTTTATGTCTTGTATTTTATCTTGATTTTTAAATTGAGGTTTTTTTTTTGTTTTTTTTTTTCTTTGTAGTCAGTGTTTTTTGTGTCCTGCCCAAGAAGTATTTGCTTACTCCAAGGTTATAAAGATATTTTGTGTTTCTGCTTTCTGATTCTGGGTTTTACATTCAGTTCAAATGATCCTTCTCAAATTAATTTTTATATATGACATAAGTGATATAGGGAGTCAAGGTTTATTTGTTTTTTCCTATGTAAAGAACCACTTGTTTCAGCAGGATTTGCTAAAAACACTATCCTCTGAATTAACTTGACTTTCTTGGTAGAAAAATCAATTGAACATATGTGGATCTCTTTCTAGTTTTTATTCTATTTCCTTGATCTACTTAGCCTATCTTAAAGCCAGTATCACATTGTCTTGATTACTATAGTGCTGCATATCCTCCAAATATTTTTTTTCCTCAAGATTGTTTTGGATATTCTAGGTTCTTTTATATCCCCATATAAATTTTAGAACCAGTCAATTTCTTTAAAAGACTTGTTGGAAATTTCCTTGGAATCTGCTAACATTGGGATATTTTACACTAATTCCCTACTTAGTTAATATAGAATTGTCTAAAATGCTTTTCGAAGAAGAATGTTTTATTTTCTTCTTTTCCTTACATTATTTGTATGTCTAGGTTACGAGGCAAATGCAAGAACATGAGCAGGACTCTGAGCTTAGAGAACAAATGTCTGGCTATAAGCGAATGAGGCGACAACATCAAAAGCAACTGATGACTCTGGAAAACAAGCTAAAGGCTGAGATGGATGAACATCGCCTCAGATTAGACAAAGATCTTGAAACTCAGCGTAACAATTTTGCTGCAGAAATGGAGAAACTTATCAAGAAACACCAGGCTGCCATGGAGAAAGAGGTGGCTTATTCAGTATTATTACTTTGCTTATTTTAGGTTTTGAATGTCTCAGAATTAACCAACATGGCAGTTTGATGTTAGCGTATCTGTTCCCGTGAACCAAGCAAATTGGGGAAAAGGAGAAGCATTTATGTGACTTATATAAAGGTTTCTGTAAATTGATATTACAAGAAAGGGTGGCACCTGTGTGTTTTATCTCTCACTAATTTTGTGTGTGGGTCATTTAAAACAAATCAGTCTTAAAACTGTTCATTGGAGTAGTCCACTTTATAGTTTTTGTAATAGCCAACAAAATTTTGAGTCTGAAAAATTGATGTGTTTTAATATCAAGTACTAGGTCTGGGAACTAATAAGACATGGGACCATTTCCTGATTATTGATAGTTTTGTAGTGTCACAATAGGTAAGTTACTCAGTTACTTTAAGCTTTTTGTTTCCTGGTTATCTGAGGAGTTTGCTAAATCTCCTATCATTAGGTGATTTAGGTCTCAAAAAGTCACTTTTATTCTCTTTTTTGTATTTTTTGGAAACTACCCTTGAATTTCTGGCAGCATTTTAATATCAGAATGATTTAAGATTACTGTAATAAATACAGATAATGTTGAAGATTATAAGTTATGAAAGATTCAGATTCAGATTGAGCTCATTTGATTATTGACAAATAATTGTCATTATTTTACATGATAAAAGTTAGTTTTTAGGATTTTTGTTATGTGAAACCTTTTCTTCTAATGTTTTTGGTGTCCCATTGTTTTACTTTTTTTGATAGCCATGTTTGTCAAGTAGAATGTAGACTTCTCAGTAAATTCACACAATATCATTAAAATATGTCCAGGTAGTCTGCAGTGAGGCATTATTTATCATAGCTACCCTCTTCTCCCTTTTCACAAAAAAAGAACATTCTTATAGTAGTAGGGACCCTGACAAAATAATTTATAGTATAAATACATACTTGATTTTGAAATAATTTGATGAAACAATGTATACATATTTAAAATCCTCTGGGCATTGGATATTTTCATTTTTTTATTTTTTATTTTATTTTTATTATTTTTTGAGACAGAATCTCCCTCTGTCGCCCAGGCTGGAGTGCAGTGGTGTGATCTCAGCTCACTGCAACCTCTGCTCTCCAAGTTCAAACAATTCTCCTGCCTCAGCCTCCCAAGTAGCTGAGACTACAGGTGCATCTACCATGCCTGGCTAATTTTTCATCTACCATGCCTGGCTAATTTTTGTATTATTTTTATTTTAGTAGAAAAGGGGTTTCACCATGTTAATCAGGCTGGTCTCAAATCCCTGACCTCAGGTGACCTTCCTGCCTCGGCCTCCCAAAGTGCTGGGATTATAGATGTGAGCCACCACACTTGATAGATATTATTTTTAATAGCTTGGGAAAAGGCGATACTAACATATTTAGGAAAACAATTCCTGAAGCAGATATGCAATGTGGTAACAAATTTGTTTTAAAAGTATATAACCAGGATGGGTGCAGTGGCTCACACCTGTAATCCCACCACTTTGGGAGGCCGAGGTGAGAAGATTACTTGAGCCCAGGAGTTCAAGACCAGCCTGGGCAACATGGGAAGACTCTGTCTCCACACACAAAAAAAATAAATTAGCTGAGCAGGGTGGCATACGCCTTTAGTTCCAGCTACTCAGGAGGCTGAGGTGGGAAGATCACTTGAGCTCAGGAGGAGGCTGCAATGAGCCATGATTGTACCACTGCACTCCAGCCTGGGTGACAGAGTGAGACCCTGTAACATATTTTTTGAGACAGGCACTCGCCCTGTTACCCAGCTGGTCTTGAACTCCTGGGCTCAGGTGATCCTCCCACCTCAGCCTCTCAAAGTGTTGGGATTACAGGTATGAGCCACAATACCTACTTAATTATATACATGCAAATATATGTGTGTATGTGTATGTGTGTGTGTTTGAGACATGAACATTTATAGAAAAAATTAGAGGCCGGGCATGGTGGCTCACGCCTGTAATCCCAGCACTTTGGGAGGCCGAGGTGGGTGGATCACCTGAGCTCAGGAGTTCAAGACCAGCTTGGCCAACATGGCAAAACCCCATCTCTTCTAAAAATACAAAAATTAGCCAGGCGTGGTGTCACACACCCGTAGTCACAGCTACTTGGGAGGCTGAGGCAGGAGAATCACTTGAACCCGGGAAGCGGAGGTTGCAGTGAGCCGAGCTCGTGCCACTGCACTGCAGCCAGGGTAACAGAGCAAGACTCCATCTCAAAAATAATAATTTTAAAAAAAGAAAAAATTGCAAAAGATATGCACCAAAATGTTTACATTGGTTATCTCTGGATGCCAAAATTATGTAAGATGTTTCTTGTTTTTCTGTATTTTGTAAATATTCTACAATGAACATGTATTGCATATAGAATCAGAAATAAAATATAGCATTTGTTTTGTTTTACTGAGGGATTGAGGGTTGGGAGGAAGGTATACTTCTGTTAAATGAAATAAAAAGTTGACAACATTTTTGACCCTGTAAGAGATCAACATTTCAAAGATGAGTTTCATCTTACTGATTCTATGAAGTTCAAATTATAAGGATGCCAAGTAGCACATGTTTATAATTTGGTTCAGTCTTTTATTTTGGTAATGTTTCTAATGATTTCTTGTTCTTAGAAAATAAAAGGTATTCTTAATGATGTATATTAAACCACTACTTTATCTACTTAACTAAATTTGATTCATTTTTTAAACTTCATATAGGCTAAAGTGATGTCCAATGAAGAGAAAAAATTTCAGCAACATATTCAGGCCCAACAGAAGAAAGAACTGAATAGTTTTCTCGAGTCCCAGAAAAGAGAGTATAAACTTCGAAAAGAGCAGCTTAAAGAGGTACTTATGTCATAAAACTTTCCAAGCAAATTTTCTGCTTATTAATTATATCCAATGGTGACCAACTCATAGAAGCATTAGGATAAAATTATCTTTTGTTGTTTATGGTCACTAAATGGGTATTAGTTTAAATGATGACATTGATTATAATCAGTTACCCTTAACTGAGTCATTTAGTTGAGTAGGATTTAAAATGAATCATTTCCTGAAAATATACTTTTTTTATGTTTTTATTTTATATTTATTTATTTATTTTTGAGACAAAGAGTCTCGCTCTGTCACCCAGGCTCGAGTGCAGTGGCGCGCTCTCGGCTCACTTCAAGCTCTGCCTACTGGGTTCACACCATTCTCCTGCCTCAGCCTCCCTAGTAGCTGGGACTACAGGCGCCCACCACCACACCCGGCAAACATTTGGTATTTTTTTTAGTAGAGACGGGGTTTCACCATGTTAGCCAGGATGGTCTCGATCTCCTGACCTTGTGATCCGCCTGCCTCGGCCTCCCAAAGTGCTAGGATTACAGGCATGAGCCATCGTGCCTGGCCTTATGTTTTTATTTTTTGTGTGTATTTTTTGAGACAGTCTTATTCTGTTCCACGGGCTGGAGTGCAGTGGCACAATCATAGCTCACTGCAGCTTCGACCTCCCGTGCTCAAGCAATCCTGCTTTAGCCTTCCAAGTAGCTGGGAACACAAGCACACACCACCACTCCTGGCTGATTTTTAAATTTATTTTTTGTAGAGACAGGGTCTTGCCATGTTGCCTAGTCTGGTCTCAAACTCCTGGGCTCAAGCAGTCCGCCTACCTCGGCTTCCCAAAGTGCTGGGATTATAGGCATAAGCCACCGCACCTGATCACATTTATTACTTTAAAAGTAAACAATAATGTCTTACTTTTGGATCAGAAGATTATAATAATTTGTTTTTATGCCAATTTAAATGTAGAATAAGGGAGATATTTGCTTATCAGGTTTTTTTTAAGTAGAATATGCTGATTATTTCTTTGTGGCTACAGGGTTTCATATTTGTTTGCCCTTTCTTGTGCTGCCCGGCCTCCCCCCTACCCCCCGCTTTTTTTTTGAGACGGAAGTCTCACTCTGTCATACAGGCTGGAGTGCAGTGGTGTGATCTTGGCTCACTGCAGCCTCCCCTCCCCCCAGGTTGAAAGGATTCTCCTGCCTCAACCCCCCCGAGTAGCTGGGATTACAGGTGTGTGCCACCATGCCTGGCTAATTTGTATATATTTTTTTAGTAGAGACGGGGTTTCACCATGTTAGCCAGGCTGGTTTCAAACTCCTGACCTCAGACAATCTACCCACCTCGGCCCCCCAAAGTGCTGGGATTACAAGAGTTAGCCACCACTCCCGGCTCTTGTGCTGCTTTTTGTTTGTTTGGTTTGGTTTGGTTTGAGATGGAGTCTCACTCTGTTGCCCAGGCTGGGGTGCAGTGGCATGATCTCGGCTCACTGCAACCTTTGCCGCCTGGGTTCAAGTGATTCTCCTGCCTCAGCCTCTTGAGTAGCCGGCATTACAGGCGACTGCCACCACGCCTGGCTGATTTTTGTATTTTTAGTAGAGATGAGGGTTTCACCATCTTGGCCAGGCTGGTCTTGAGCTCCTGACCTTGTGATCCACCCGCCTCAGCCTCCCAAAGTGCTGGGACTACAGGTGTGAGCCACAACATCCAGCTGACAACTTTTTTTTTTTTTTTGGAGACAGAGTCTTGCTCTGTCACCCAGGCTGGAGTGCAGTGGCGCGATCTCGGCTCACTGCAAGCTCTGCCTCCCAGGTTCACACCATTCTCCTGCCTCCGGCTCCCGAGTAGCTGGGACTACAGGGACCCACCACCACGCCCGGCTAATTTTTTGTATTTTTGGTAGAGACTGGATTTCACCATGTTAGCCAGGATGGTCTCAATCTCCTGACCTCATGATCTGCTCGCCTTGGCCTCCCAAAGTGCTGGGATTACAGGCGTGAGCCACCATGCCTGGCCCGACAACTTCTTAAAGAGGATCATTATTCAAGATAGTCACTAGGACAGAAAAATGATATGTCTTTTAATTTACCCACCCCCCCCCCCGTCTTATAGGATGATTGAAATTTTTAGTTCATATAATTAATTAGCATACTGTGATACATCGATTGATTTTGATAAAATAAGTATAATCAATTTGATATTAATGATTTTTGTATGTGTAGGAATTTGCCTTATAATCAGATATGTATGTCTTGTTGTGTACCTATTGGTGGCACAAAGACTTGCTCTATACCTTGCCACGTGAGCTTCACTGACAAGATTTTTACAACTCTAAATGGTATAATTTGCAGTATACTCCCATGACTATAATTCGAAAGCCAAACTCTACTGGAAGTTTGAGTTTGAAACAATAGTAAATAGAGTTTCCAACTATAAATAAATCTCCAACAAAATGCAGTTGTTTTGTTTTCCAGTGAAATCAGACTTTAGCTTTATGGATTAGTTTGTTTAGATAATCCTTTAGGCATATACCATATAGTCAAACAAATAAATGCATTTTCTTTTAGAAGCTAAGTTGTTGTGTATGTATTTGTGTTCATTTAGAATAATGATTCTCAGTAGAGAGGAAGGGACATATCAGAGTCTTGGAGGGGAGAGTTCCCTGGCAGAAGATTTTGAAAAAGATACCCAGGTATGGCCAGGCGCGGTGGCTCACCCCTGTAATCCCAGCACTTTGGGAGGCCGAGGCGGGCAAATCACAAGGTCAGGAGTTTGAGACTAGCCTGCCCAATATGGTGAAACACTGTCTCTACTAAAAATACAAAAAAATTAGCCGGGCGTGGTGGCACATACTTATAATCCCAGCTACTCAGGAGGCTGAGGCAGGAGAATTGCTTGAACCCGGGAGGCAGAGGTTGCAGTGAGCCGAGATCGTGCCACTGCACTCCAGCCTGGGTGACAGAGTGAGACTCCATCTCAAAAAATAAATTAAAAAAAATAAAAAATAAAAAAATTAGCCAAGCATGGTGGCACACAACTGTCATCCCAGCTACACAAGAGGGTGAGGCAGGAGAATCCCTGTAACTTGGAAGGTGGAGGTTGCAGTGAGCTGGGCCACTGCACTGCAGCCTGAGCGACAGAGCTAGACTCTGCCTCGAAAAAGAAAAAGATAACCAGGTATATAGTCTACTTGTGTGCCCATGTTATTCCTTTCTCTTCCCATAGCGTGCATACACATAAACTCTTAAGTAATAATTTATGTGCTTTTTATTTTTATGTGTTTGAATATTTTATTAACTAAAGGGAAAGACCATGAATGAGGTCTAGTAGTCTCTGAAAAATGATCCTATACTAAGAAAAATGAGCTATTTATATTCTAAACAATGTTGATGGTGTTTTGTTTTGCTTTTTTTGAGACAGGGTTTCGCTCTGTCACCCATGCTGGAGTGCAGTGGCACAATACTGCTCACTGCAGCCTTTACCTCCCAGGCTGAAGCAGTTTTCCTACCTCACCCTCCCAAGTAGTTGGGACCACAGACGCATACCACCATGCCCAGCTAATTTTATAATTTATTTTTTGTAGAAACAGTGTTGCCATATTCTCCAAACTGGTCTCAAACTCCTGGGCTCAAGCAATCCTCCGGCCTTGGCGTCCCAAAATGCTGGGATTACAGATGGATGTGAGCCACCATTCCTGGCCACAGAATGCTAATACTAGTATATTTTTTACCAAAAGAGTATCAAGGCCAGAGTGGTGGGTGGCACATGCTTATAACAGCACTTTGGGAGGCTGAGGTGGGAGGATCGCTTGAGCCCAGGAGTTCAAGACCAGCCTGGGCAACATGTTGAGACCCTGTGTCTAGCAAAAAAAAAAAAAAAAATCATTAGCCAGGCATGGTGGGACACACCTGTGGTCCTAGCTACTCAGTAGTCTTAGGTGGGAAGATCACTGGAACCTGGGAGGTCCATGCTGCAGGGAGCTGAATTCGTGCCAGTGCATTCCAGCCTGGGTCACAGAGTGAAATTCGATCTAAAAAAAAAAAAAAAAAAAAAAAAATTCTAGTTTGCTCCATTGAGTATATTGCCAGTTTTTTCACATTGCTCAATATAAATGCATTCTTATTGAGATAGTTTATGAGCTGGTATGTAAAACAATGTGGAAAATCATTAATTTTGATTTGTTCAGTGGTTATTAATGCTGAAAATTAAATACCATTCATAAAGTATGTCTCTATTCTCCCATGGTTTTGTTTATTTTCCATTTAATTTCCAGTTTTCTTATGCTGAGTCCTTCCATAATTTTGCCAAAAACTTAGCATCAAGGATGTCAAAAACCAAGAAGCGAGATGTTTAACTGTATTTTTGTCCTAGTTCACTCGTGATTTTTACCTGAAAGTACTATCTTCTGTCTCTTCTTGGGAAGGTTTTAAAGAAGGATGTGTTTTACTTTATTAACCAATCATTGTGTACTTCGAAGTTAGGAACCATCAGAAACGTAGCTGTGCAGAGACAAAAGATACACATGTTTTCTGGTGTACATATCTCTCTTTCCTTTCCGATTGAGTGGGTAACTCAAGAAAGATCTAAAGGCCGGGTGCAGTGGCTCACACGTGTAATCCCAGTACTTTGGGAGGCTGAGGCGGGTGGATCACAGGGTCAGGAGATCGAGACCATACTGGCTAACATGGTGAAATCTCGTCTCTACTAAAAATACAAAAAATTAGCTGGGCATGCTGGCAGATGCCTGTAATCCCAGCTACTCAGGAGGCTGAGGCAGGAAAAATCACTGGAACCCAGGAGGTGGAGGTTGCAGTGAGCCGAGATCGCGCCACTGCACTCCAGCCTGGGCGACAGAGCAAGACTCTGTCTCAAAAAAAAAGAAAGATGTAAATACCACTTGCCTTCTAGAGGGCATTGCCCTGCCTGAGCATTAGAGAAAAAACACAATTAAGAACTTTTATTTGTTTATTTTAATTTTTATGTATGTATTTATTTATTTATTTATTTTGAGACGGAGTTTTGCTCTTGTTGCCCAGGCTGGAGTGCAATGGTGCGATCTCGGCTCACTGCACTGCAACCTCCGCCTCCCAGGTTCAAGTGATTCTCCTGCCTCAGCCTCCCGAGTAGCTGGGATTGCAAGCCTGCACCACCATGCCTGGCTAATTTTGTATTTTTAGTAGAGATAGGGTTTCTCTATGTTGGTCAAGCTGGTCTTGCGCTCCCAACCTCAGGTGATCTGCCCACCTCTGCCTCCCAAAGTGCTGGGATTACAGGCGTGAGCCACCGCGCCCAGCCAAGAACTTTTATTTAAAATTTACTGATGCAAAATGATAATATTCACGTAGGTAATTTTTATGGGGTTTTCGTTGTGTTGTTTTTGTTTTTCTGAGACTGGGTTTCACTCTGTCACGCAGGCTGGAGTGCAGTGGCACAATCTTGGCTCACTGCAACCTCTGCCTCCCAGGTTCAAGCAACGCTCCTGCCTCAGCCTCCCAAGTAGCTGAGACTCCAGACACGTGCCACCACACCTGGCTAATTTTTTTTTTTTTTTTTTGAGACTGAGTTTCGCTCTTCTTGCCCAGGCTGGAGTGCAGTGATGCCATCTCAGCTTACTGCAACCTCCACCTCCTGGGTTCAAGCGATTCTCTGCCTCACCCTCCCAAGTAGCTGACATTACAGGTGTGCACCACCATGTCTGGCTAATTTTGTATTTTTGGTAGAGGCCGGGTTTCTCCATGTTGGTCACGCTGGTCTCGAACTCCCAACCTCAGGTGATCTGCCTGCCTCAGCCTCCCAAAGTGCTGAGATTATAGGTGTAAGCCATTGCACCCGACCCCTGTTTTTTTTGTTGTTGTTGTTGTTGGTTTTTTTGTTTTGTTTTGTTTTTGAGACGGAGTTTCACCAAAGAGTGCAGTGGTGTGATCTTGACTCACTGCAACCCCTGCCTCCTGGGCTCAAGCAATTCTCCTGCCTCAGCCTGCTGAGTAGCTGGGAGTACAGGCCCATGCCACTGTACCCAGCTAATTTTTTTTTTTTTTTGAGACAGAGTCTCGCTCTGTCACCCAGGCTGCAGTGCAGTGGCGAGATCTCAGCTCACTGCAAGCTCCGCCTCCCAGGTTCACACCATTCTCCTGCCTCAGCCTCCCAAGTAGCTGGGACTACGGGCACCCGCCACCATGCCCGGCTAATTTTTTTTGTATTTTTAGTAGAGACAGGGTTTCACCGTGTTAGCCAGGATGGTCTCGATCTCCTGACCTCATGATCTGCCCGCCTCAGCCTCCAAAAGTACTGGAATTACAGGTGTCAGCCACCACGCCCAGCCTAATTTTGTATTTTAGTAGAGACAGTTTCGCCATGTTGGCCAGGCTAGTCTCAAACTCCTGACCTCAGGTGATCTGCCCACCTCGGCCTCCCAGAGTGCTGGGATTACAGGCGTGAGCCACCGTGCCAGGCCTATTTTTACCTGAGTTGTTTTTTATGTTGCCAGGAGCTAAATGAAAACCAGAGTACCCCCAAAAAAGAAAAACAGGAGTGGCTTTCAAAGCAGAAGGAGAATATACAGCATTTCCAAGCAGAAGAAGAAGCTAACCTTCTTCGACGTCAAAGACAATACCTAGAGCTGGAATGCCGTCGCTTCAAGAGAAGAATGTTACTTGGGCGTCATAACTTAGAGCAGGACCTTGTCAGGGAGGTAAGTTTGAGTGATGAGAAATTTTAAATCCTTTATCAAAAGAATCTTTCCTGAAAATATTCCAATTCCATTCTAGTCTCAGGGACTTTGCACTTATACTTGCCTCTGTCTGAATCATTCTTCCCCAGATATTCACATGGATTGTTTGCTCCCTGTATATCTTTACTCAGATGTCATTTCCTCAAAATCTCTTTCTTAACCACCAAAATTTTTTTTTTCAAGACAGTCTCTCCATGTCGCCAAGTATGGAGTGCAGTGGCTCCATCTTGGCTCAGTGCAACCTCCACCTCCTGGGTGCAAGTGATTTTCGTGCCTCAGCCTCCCAAATAGCTAGGATTACAGGTGTGCACCACCACACCCAACTAATTTTTGTATTTTTAGTAGACATGGGCTTTCGCCATGTTGGCCAGGCTGTTCTTGAACTCCTGGCCTCATGCGGTCTGCCCGTCTCAGCCTCCCAAAGTGCTAGGATTACAAGCATGAGCTACCATGCCTGGACTGCACCACCACATTCTTCTGCTTTCTTTAAATATTATTCTTTGCAGCCAGGTATGGTAACTGTAATCCGAACACTTTGGGAGGCCAAGGCAGGCAGATCACTTGATCCTAGGAGTTTGAGACCAGACAGGGCAACATGACAAATCCCTGTCTCTACAAAAAATATATGTATACAAAAAAATTAGCTGGGTGTTGTGGTGTGCACCTGTAGTGCCAGCTACCTGGGAGGCTGAAGCATGAATATTGCCTGAGCCCAGGAGGTTGAGGTTGCAGTGAGCCATGATCATGCCACTGCACTCCAGCCTGAGCTACAGAGCAAGACCCTGTCTCAAACAGACAGACAACTAACTAAATACATATGGTCTTCTTTGCACTCTCTTTCTCACATGAACATGTGTGTGTTCACAAAACCATGTGTTTCTGTAGGGTAGGGAGGTTGTTCCTGACTCCCTCACTACAATGGAAGTTTTATGAAATCACGGAATTGATGCAATTTTTTATATCTCCAGTTTCTGACTCACAGTAGGCATTCAATAAATATTAACCAATCCACAAATGAAAAATTTAAAATGTTGATTTTTATTTTTTATTTTTACTTTATCTATTTATTTATTTATTTATTTATTTATTTTGAAACAGAGTCTCGCTCTTTCACCCAGGCTGAAGTACAGTGGCAATCTCGGCTCATTGCAACCTCCGCCTCCCAGGTTCAAGCAATTCTCCTGCCTCAGCCTCTCAAGTAACTGGGACTACAGGCGTGCATCACCACACCCAGCTAATTTTTGTATTTTTAGTAGAGACGGGGTTTTGCCATGTTGGCCTGGCTAGTCTCCAATTCCCAACCTCAGGTGATCCACCCACCTCGGCCTCCCAAAGTGCTGGGATTACAGGTGTGAGCCACAGTGGCCAGCCTTGATTTTTACATATGAGGAAATTCACTGGGCAGTTTTTGCCTCTGACCTGAAATGGGTTCCATGAAGTGTGTGCTGCCCTTAAATACATTTTTATCATCATGTAATTATTAATTGGGTAAATGTTGTAGAAACTCTTCTGCCAATGAAAACAGTTATTCTTGGCTGGGTGTGATGGTTCATGGCTGTGATCCTAGCACTTTGGGAGGCCAAGGCAGGTGGATCACTTGAGGTCAGGAGTTTGAGACCAGCCTGGCCAACATAGTGAAACCCCATCTCTACTTTTAGTAGAGATACAAACAAATGAGCCGGACGAGGTGGCGGGCGCCTATAATTCCAGCTACTCAGGAGGCTGAGGCATGAGAATCAACTGAACCCAAGAGGCGGAGGTTGCAGTGAGCTGAGATCGCGCTGCTGCACTCCGGTCTGGGCGACAGAGCAAGTCTGCATCTCAGAAAAAAAAAGAAAAGAAAAGAAAAAAATTATTCTCATTATTAGGATACCTGTGAGTATAGATAAATTTATTTCTGAGAGTGGGTTGAAATAAGCTTGTAATATAGCATAATTGTGCGAGTTTACTAATAAATTCAAATTAAAACAGTTGCATCCATTATGTAAGAAAAATGTAAAAGATACAATCAATCCTAGTAATAGCATGTGTTAACAGACACTATTAGTAAGAATATAAATTGATATTGCCCCTTTGGAGCAGGATTTAACAGTAGCTTTTAAAATTTAATACGCACATAGCATTTATCCATCAAATCCACTTCTAGAACTCTGTCCTACAGAAATAGTAACATGATTCTGTGATACAGTATACATAGATATTTATTGAAACTTTTTTCATAAAAGTGAAACATGGGCTGGAGCAGTGGCTCTCACCTGTAATCCTTGAGGTCAAGAGTTCGAGGACAGCCTGGTCAACGTGGTAAAACTCTATCTCCACTAAAAATATTTTAAAAATGAGCTGGGTGTGGTGGTGCATGCCTGTAATCCCAGCTACTCAAGAGGCTGAGGCACAAGAATTGCTTGAACCTGGGAGGCGGAGGTTGCAGTGAGCTGAAATCACACCACCGCACTCCAGCCTGGGCGACAGAGTGAGACTCTGTCTGAAGAAAAAAAAAAAAAAAAGTGAAACATGGAAACAGCTTAAATGTCCAACCACAGAGGAATGATTGAAAGAATTAAGGCGTCACAAAGCAGTAGGTTACAATGAAACTTTAAAAATTTCTATGTACTGGCTGGGTGCAGTGGCTCACACCTATAATTCCAACACTTTGGGAGGTTGAGGTGGGAGGATCACTTGAGGCCAGGAGTTTGAGACTGTCCTGGGCAACATCGCAAGACCCTGTCTCTACAAATTTTTTTTTTTTGAGACTCTATTGCCCAGGCTGGAATGCAGTGGTGTGATCTCGGCTCACTGCAACCTTTGCCTCCTGGGTTCAAGCCATTCCCCTGCCTCAGACTCCCAAGTACCTGGGACTACAGACATGCACCACCATGGCCTGGTTAATCTTTGTATTTTTAATAGAGACTGGGTTTCACCATGTTGACCAGGTTGGTCTCGAACTCCTGACCTCAGATGATCCGCCTGTCTCGGCCTCCCAGAGTGCTGGGATTACAGGCGTGAGCCACCGTGCCCAGCCAAAAAATTTTTTTTTAATTGGCTGAGCAGGCCGGGTAGTAGTGGCTCACGCCTGTAATCCCAGCACTTTGGGAGGCTGAGGTGGGCAGATCACGAGGTCAGGAGATCGAGACCATCCTGGCCAACATGGTGAAAACCCATCTATACTAAAGATACAAAAATTAGCCAGGCGTGGTGGCACATGCCTGTAGTCCCAGCTACTCGGGAGGCTGAGGCAGGAAGAATCACTTGAACTCAGAAGGCAGAGGTTGCAGTGAGCCAAGTTGGTACCATTGCACTCCAAGCCTGGTCGACAGAGTGACACTCAGTCTCAAAAAAAAAAAAATCTTTTATGTACTGATCTGATCCGGATACGTGTATATTATATTATTAAATGAAGAAAGCCAGTTATGTGCCTAAAACATATATTGTTGTTCAGTTTTTAAAACTGTATGTTTTTGTAAAATAGACTAATCTGAATAAACTTGGGGAAGGTTGAGAAGCACATGCACCAAACTGTTGGCCTCTGGGGAGAGAGTCTGCAAAGGCAAAAGGAGCAAGTTTGACTTTTACATTATATATGTATGTGTTTACTTGTTTCCAATATGAAACAAAATTTTAGAATCTCTTTAAAAAAATGTTTAGAGCCCTGTGAGGTCTAAAATAAAGGAATGACATTTGTTGAGTACCATGTGCTAGGTATTATTCTGAGAACTTTTTGTTTATTAACTGATTTCATCTTCACATTAAATCTGTGAAATAGCTATATTATTATATGCATTTGAGAAATGATGAAACTAAAGCACATTTAGTTTAACTAAGTGAAGGTCTCACTGCTCACAAGTAGCAGAGCCAGAATTTAGAATACAGGCAGTATAGCTCTCTAGTGTCCATGTTTTTTTTCTTTTGAGAGGGAGTCTCGCTCTGTCGCCCAGGCTGGAGTGCAGCGGCTTGATCTCAGCTCCCTGCAAGCTCCGCCTCCTGAGTTCATGCCATTCTCCTGCCTCAGCCTCCCGCGTAGCTGGGACTACGGGCGCCCGCCACAACGCCTGGCTAATTTTTTGTGTTTTTAGTAGAGACGGGATTTCACCCTGTTAGCCAGGATGGTCTCGATCTCCTGACCTCGTGATCCACCCGCCTCGGCCTCCCAAAGTGCTGGGATTACAGGCATGAGCCACCGCGCCCAGCTGTGTCCGTGTTCTTAATCACTACACTAACCAGAGTAGACTGCGTGTAAAATAATTGAATAGAATACTCTGAAGAAATTGAAAGGATAACTTAGGAGCCCTCTTCAAATATAAAATTAGGAAGTATACAAAAGAAGAATGTTAAACCTCTTGATATAGATTTAGTCTTAAGCTAATGGTAATAAAATAATATGAATAAATAGTAAATGAATATAAGGAAATTTGTGCTACTAATTGCCCATTTAAAGAGGTAAAAGTCACAACCCTCTTATTTACTATGCAACTATAATTGAATAACAGGGTTAATTACATCTGTTTACTGGTTATTCTGTTAATTAGGACTTTTTTCTGGCATTATACAGCAGTAAGTTATACCTTTGTCTTTTGTGTTATGGATTAGGAGTTAAACAAAAGACAGACTCAGAAGGACTTAGAGCATGCCATGCTACTCCGACAGCATGAATCTATGCAAGAACTGGAGTTCCGCCACCTCAACACAATTCAGAAGATGCGCTGTGAGTTGATCAGATTACAGCATCAAACTGAGCTCACTAACCAGCTGGAATATAATAAGCGAAGAGAACGAGAACTAAGACGAAAGCATGTCATGGAAGTTCGACAACAGCCTAAGAGTTTGAAGGTATGGTTAGCCTAAGCTTTTTGATAACAGGGAGGAGAATGAAAAGGTATCCATGTAAGCAGGAAAAGTCTTAAGATGATGTCTAGTCATAAAGAAATTGACTAAGCTTCTTTTCATTTTTAGCATCTTTGGTTGACTTTAATGTTAAATGCCTGTTGCTACAGTCTTTTGCTTATGTATTTCTCATCAGAGTACAAAAAAGTGGCCAAAACTTTTAACCATGGGAAGTGCCAGTAGATAAGAATCAAGATTCTTGTTTTAAACTTATCCAAGGGCAGGGTGCAGTGGCTCACGCCTGTAATCCCAGCAGTTTAGGAGGCCAAGGCGGGTGGATCACCTGAGGTCAGGAGTTCAAGACCAGCTTGGACAACATGGTGAAACCCTGTCTCTACTAAAAATACAAAAATTAGTTGGGTGTGGCGGCACATGCCTATAGTCCCAGCTACTCGGGGGGCTGAAGCAGGAGAATCCCTTGAACCCAGGAGGCAGAGGTTGCAGTGAGTCAAGAACACACCACAGCACTCCAGCCCGGGTGACAGAGCAAGACCCTGTCTCAAAAAAAAAAAAAAAAAAAATGTACTCAAATGTCCAAGGCCAATATTATATTCTACATGTCAACAAGCTTACCATTTGGCTTCTCTCTGTTGTTCCAAGTAAAATTTTAAAACCCTAATTTGCTGTAAATATGACTTGTACAAGATTTAAAAATATGAAAGTGCATTATAAAGTAAAAAGTTTAAAGCTGCACAGCTACTAGTTAGAAAAAAAAAAAACAAGAAAAAGTTTTCTTCTCTGTGCTTGTTCCTCCAGCCACCTGGTCCATCTCCCTCCATCAAAGTCAACTGCAGTTAACAATTCTGAAGTTTTTGTTTGTTTGTTTGTTTTTGAGACAGAGTCTCGCTCTTTCGCCCAGGCTGGAGTGCAGCGGCATGATCTTGGCTCATTGCAAGCTCTGCCTCCTGGGTTCATGCCATTCTCCTGCCTCAGCCTCCCTAGTAGCTGGGACTACAGGTGCCTGCCACCACGCCCGGCTAATTTTTTGTATTTTTAGTAGAGACGGGGTTCACCGTGTTAGCCAGGATGGTCTCAATCTCCTGACCTCGTGATCCACCCGCCTCGGCCTCCCAAAGTGCTGGGATTACAGGCATGAACCACCGCACCTGGCCCACATGAATCTTAATATACAAAACCACCCACTATCTGTCATCGATGATAAGCACCTCAATTGCTCTGTACATATCTGTACATTTAAAACTTTTATTTATATTCAGTAAGGTCCAGTTTCCACAGTATTTCCTATTTAAAGCTTCTCCTGTACTCCTACCCAGCCCTTTTTATAAGCTATTTGATATTTAAACTATAAAATGGTTCTTGGTTTTACTCTGAATAACTATGCTGGAGTACAATGAAATTCATTCACAGAGGTAATCTGTGTCAAAATCTAGAAGCTATAACACACTCAATGGTATTCCCAATGCCCACCCAACTCCATTCAAACAAGCTGTTCTGAACAAAATACAGAAACAATGTTAAGATGCTTTATTGTTTTCATGTGAATGTGAGTAAAATTTCACCTTGCTATATCTTCAAAATAGGTAATTATTATTACACAGTAGTTATGTTGACTACTAACATAATCTTCCTTAGTTAATGCTTAGAAAAATTAGAATTATAATGATTTTTTAGATTTGTTTTTGCAGTGGGGAGATACATAATCATTTAGCTACAGAATAGACAATCTCCCATGAACAGATTTTTAAACCAACGTGTCAGCAAAGTCAATTATGATTTTAAAGCCAACAGCACCGAGGAATAAACCAAACTGAAAGTCATACCGTAAATCTGATATGACTGCATTTCTCTAGGGCTTGGGTGATGGATAGGTGTTTGACATTTAACCATTTCTTTCTGTCATTAGAACCTTTCCGTTTTAAAGCTTATAAACAGTAGTCCGATTCTCTCAGATAGTACGTTAAAAGTGAGGAGAAAATAAAGCTTCGTTATCATAGTCAGGCTTTAAATAAAATGCATTTCTGATTACAAGTGAGCTCAAGGTTTCCTGTTAGGAAAGAAAAATCACCATTTTCCTCATATTTAGGTGTATCTATTTACTTAGTCAACTTGAACATTTTAACACCAAGTCATCACATTTCTATTTACTTAAGTAATCGTTGCCTCTTTCAATTTTCTCCTTTAGTAGCGGAGGCAGAATTTAGAATATAGCATCAACTGTGTTTGATGGAGGAGAGGAGACTGCAGTTGGAACATTTTATTTATGTTGATTAGGATTTGTGGGGGTGGGGTGCTGTTTCTATGGAAAGGGTTGGGTGAAAATCTGCTGCCTACTCCGCTGTTTCTTCAGCTGCCATCCAGATGATGCTTTGTCAGCACTAAATGAGTAGAAATAAATGTAACTTGCCTTCATCTCGCTTTCACTTGAGTCACACATTGAGGGATATAGTTTATTCTTAGTATAAGCATTAATTTTACTCTTGTTAAAGAAAAATTTTTCAAAGAGTTATTTTTTCTCATTAGGCAGGAATGTGGAATGATTACAGTATTCCTGGCACAATGTTTGTTTTTTTTGTTTTGTTTTGTTTTGTTTTGTTTGAGGTGGAGTTTCGCTCTTATTGCCCAGGCTGGAATGCAATGGCACGATCTCAGCTCACCACAACCTCCGCCTCCCGGGTTCAAGCAATGCTCCCGCCTCAGCCTCCCAAGTAGCTGGGATTACAGGTGCACACCACCACGCCCGGCTAATTTTTGTATTTTTAGTAGAGATGGGGTTTCACCATGTTGGTCAGGCTGGTCTCAAACTCCTGACCTCGTGATCCGCCCGCCTCGGCCTCCCAAAGTGCTGGGATTACAGGCATGAGCCACCATGCCCGACCTTGTTTTCTTTCTGAAACAGAGTTTCGCTCTTGTCGCCTAGGCTGGAGTGCAGTGGCATGATCTTCTCACTGCAACCTCTGCCTCCCAGGATCAAGCGATTCTCATGCCTCAGCCTCCCAAGTACCTGGGATTACAGGCGCCCACCATCACGCCCTCGTGTTTTTAGTAGAGAAGGGTTTCACCATGTTGGCCCTGCTGGTCTTGAACTCCTGACCTCAGGTGATCCACCCACCTCAGCTTCCCAAACTGCTAGGATTACAGGCGTGAGCCACCGCGCCCAGCCCAGCACAATGCTTTAAAAATAAAAACTTTTCGCTGGGGCAGTCACTCACACCTGTAATCCCAGCACTTTGGAAGGCCGAGGCAGGGGATCATGAGGTCAAGAGACCATCCTGGCCAACATGGTGAAACCTCGTCTCTACTAAAAATACAAAAATTACCCAGGCATGGTGGCACGTGCCTGTAGTCCCAGCTACTTGGGAGGTTGAGGCAGGAGATTGACTTGAACCCAGGAGGCGGAGGTTGCAGTGAGCCAAGGTCGTGCCACTGCACTCTAGCCTGGCGACAGAGCGAGACTCCGTCTCAAAAATTAAAAATAATGTCCGGGCGTGGTGGCTCATACCTGTAATCCCAGTACTTTGGGAGGCTGAGGTCGGGAGTTCGAGACCAGCCTGACCAACATGGAAAAACCCCATCTCTACTAAAAATACAAAATTAGCCGGGTGTGGTGGCACATGCTTGCTCTCCTAGCTACTTGGGAGGCTGAGGCAGGAGAATCACTTGAACCCGGAAGGCGGAGGAAGGTGGAGGTTACGGTGAGCCAAGATCGCGCCATTCCACTCCAGCCTGGGCAACAAGGGCAAAACTCCATCTCAACAAATAAATAAATAAAAATAAAGCCTTTTAAAAGAATGGATGCTATTTTACTGAGGCAGAAGATACTATCTAAATTTCATTGTTTCATTTCTGTCTAGAAGCACTTGGAACAACTTTGTTAACCATGAATGGTTTTTTTGTTTGTTTTTGTTTGTTTTCACTGTGTCACCCAGGCTGGAGGGCAGTGGCGCAATCTCGGCTCACTGCAACCTCTGCCTGCCAGCTTCAAGTGATTCTCCTGCCTCAGCCTCCTGAGTAGCTGTGATTACAGGCATGCACCACCACCTGGCTGATTTTTGTATATTTAGTAGAGAAGGGATTTCACCATATTGACCAGGCTGGTCTTGAATGCCTAACCTCAAGTGATCCACCCACCTCAGCCTCTCAGAGTCTTGGGATTACAGGCGTGAGCCACCACACCCAGCCTAAGAATGGTATTTTAAAATGGTGCTACTCAGCCTGAGCAACATAGTGAGACCCTGTCTCTAGAAAAAATTACCAGCCTGGGCAGCATAGGGAGATCTCATCTCTTAAAAAAAAAAAAAAAAAAAAAAAAAAAAGCCAGGCACAGTGGCTCACGGCTGCAATCCCAGCACTTTGGGAGGTTGACGTGGGCAGATCACAAGGTCAGGAGATTGAGACCATCTGGCTAACAGGGTGAAACCCCATCTCTACTAAAAATTAAAAAATTAGCTGGGTGTGGTGGCATGCACCTGTAGTCCCAGCTACGCAGGAGGCTGAGGCAAGAGAATCGCTTGAACCACGGAGTCGGAGGTTGCAGTGAGCTGAGGTAGCGCCACTGCACTCCAGCCTGGTGACAGAGCAAGACTCTTTCTCAGGGAAAAAAAAAGAGGCTGGGCATGATGACATGCCTGTGGTGGTCCCAGCTACTCAGGTGGCTGAGAGGCAAGAGGATCACTTGAACCCCAGGAGGTTGAGGCTGTGGTGAGCCATGATCATGCCACTGCACTCCAGCCTGGGTGACAGTGAGACCCTGTCTCAAAAAAAGAAAAGAAAAAGATTCAAAAGCCAGGCGTGGTGGTAGCTCACACCTGTAATCCCAGCTACTTGGGAGGCTGAGGTAGGAGGATTGCTTGAGCCTGGGAGGTCAGGGATGCAGTGAGCCATGATCATGGCACTGTACTCCAGAGCCTGGACAACAGAGTGAGACTGTCTCAAAAATAAAAACAGTGCTACTAACCATAGCTAAACTAAGAGTTTCTCTTACTAGCTAGACATTTCTTGACCCCTCACAAAATAAAGACATATTACTAGGGTCTAGTGCCTCAGATGGTGAAAAATACAGAAAGGCATATTTAATGTTGTAGTATTGAGGGGAGTACTTTCTCTTAGACAAGTGTGTAAATTTGGTTACATATCCATTTGTTGCATGATGAATCAACCAGCCAATACCTGGCAGTATTTATATTAAGATAAAATAATTTCAACAATAGGTTCTGCCTCAGTGCAGTAAATGAATGTGTTCTCACTTGTAGGATCAACTGGTACACCTTACAGAAACAGATCTCATCTTATTGAAGCTTTTTAAAACCTGAGTTCATAGAATACCCAACCTACTGATTAACCAAACACTAAAGCCAAAGATCTTCTGTCTCTAAACTTAAATATTTTCATCTCAGAAATGTTTATATACTGTAGTTCATGTCTGTTACCCCACGAAGAGGATTGTCTCCTCCGTTACCACAGAAGTTTTGTTTAACCTTTGAAAGATTAGTTTTGTTATTTTGTTTGTTTGTTTTGTGTGTGTGTGTGTGTTTTTGAGACAGAGTCTCACTCTGTTGCCCAGGCTGGAGTGCAGTGGTGCAATCTTAGCTCACTGCAGCCTCCACCTCCCGGGTTCAAGCAATTCTTGTGCCTCAGCCTCTTGAGTAGCTGGGATTACAGGCACATGCCACCACACCGGGCTAATTTTTGTATTTTTAGTAGAGACAGAGTTTCACCGTGTTGGCCAGGCTGGTCTCAAACTCGACCTCAAATGATCTGGCCACCTCAGCCTCCCAAAGTGCTGGGATTGCAGGCGTGAGCCACCACGCCTGGCCAAGATTTGTTAACTTGACTGACTTTTAAGTTTTTGCTTGTGTTAAAGAGTAAACCATTGCGAAGTATATCTCTACCTAGTTTATTCTCTTAAGGAAAAGACCATTGTAATAACAATATTAGTAATTCCTAATAGAGATTTCCAAGTCAGCCTCACATTTGGTACATAAACTGTATAGTTAGAGTTGAGAGTGTCATGAAAAGAAATTGGGGGCAAGGCACAGTGGCTTATGCCTGTAATCCCAGCACTTTGGGAGGCCAAGGTGGGCGGTTTGCCTGAGGTCAGGAGTTCAAGACAAGCCTGGCTGACATGGTGAAACCCTGTCTCTACTAAAAATACAAAAATTGGCTGGGCTTGGTGGTGCAAGCCTGTAATCCCCACTACTCAGGAGGCTGAGGCAGGAAAATCGATTGAACCCAGGAGATGGAGGCTGCAGTGAGCTGAGATCACACCACTGCACTCCAGCCTGAGCAACAGAATGAGACTCCGTCTCAAAAAAAAAAAAAAAAAAAAAAAAAGAAATTGCAGCAAAGTGTTTCTAAAACGAACAGAATAAATGTGCTTTATTTTCTGTCTCTAGATCTGATAAGATATTGTCTCACCAATAAAGTGCTTTTATATCTTTTTTTTTTTTTTTTTTAAGAGACCAGTGTCTCACTCTATTGTTCAGCCTAGAGTCCAATGATGCAATCATGGTTCACCGCAGCCTTGAACTCCTGGGCTCAAGTGATCCTTCTGCCTCAGCCTCCCTAGCAGCTAGGACTACAGGTGAACATCATTATGCCTGGCTAATTTTAAAAATTGCTTTGTAGAAATGGGGTCTCACTATGTTGGCTCAGGCTAGTCTGGAACTCCTGGCCTATAAACAATCCTGCCTTGGCCTCCCAAAGTACTGGGATTACAGGCATGAGCCACAATAACTCTATTATGCTTAATTCATGAGAAAAAATTTAATTTTCTAAGCCAGGTACAGTGGCTCATGCCTATAATTACTGTACTTTTAGGGGCTGAGGTGGGAGGATCGCTTGAGGCCAGGAGTTTGGAACCAGCCTGGGCAACATAGGGAAACTCCATCACTAACAACAACAACAAAAATATCCAGGAGCTGGGTATGGTGGCTGACACCAGTAAACCCAGCACTTCAGGAGGCCAAGGCAGGTGGATTGCTTGAGCCCAGGAATTTGACACCAGCCTAGGTAACACAGTGAAACCTTGTCTCTACAAAAAATACAAAAATTGGCCAGGTGCAGTGGTTCACGCCTGTAATCCCAGCACTTAGGAGGCCAAGGCAGGCAGATCACTTGAAGTGAAGAGTGCGAGACCATCCTGGCCAACATGGTGAAACCCCGTCTCTACTAAAAATACAAAAATTAGCTGGGCATGGTGGCACATGCCTGTAATCCCAGCTATTCGGGAGGCTGAGACAGGAGAATCGGTTGAACTCAGGGAGGCGGCGGTTGCAGTGAGCCAAGATTGCGCCATTGGACTCCAGCCTGGGTGACAGAGCGAGATTCCAAAAAAAAAAAAAAAATTAGCTGAACATAGTGGCGCACACTTGTGGTCCCAGCTACTCAGGAGGCTGAGGTGGGACGATTGCTTGAGCATAGGAGGTTGAGGCTACAGTAAGCAATGGTTGCACCACTGCACTCCAGCCTGGGTAACAGAGTGAGACTCCATCTCAAAAAAAAAAAGAAAAAGAAAAAGAAAAAATGTAATTCTCTGTCATGAATATGCATAGTAATCAAAGCTAATTTTAATATCTACTCAGGTCACTAACTTTATTAGTGAAACAACAGATATTGTTACAAGTCCTATCATAAATGGGGCTGTTTATGCCCTAATGTTTTAAATGAGGTTTTTTGTTGTAAAACTGCATAAAATTCAATCAGCAGTTTGGCCAAATAGCCAAGTGCAAAAAGTACCTGCAACCTGATGATCTGACCTGCTTGGCTTTCCTCTCATTTTTTTCCTAGTAGCCTTTATTTTCATGTATGTAAGCATACCATATACCAAATGCCTTTCGTTACAACTTACATAAATGTATTTTTTTTTCTTCCCAGTCTAAAGAACTCCAAATAAAAAAGCAGTTTCAGGATACCTGCAAAATCCAAACCAGACAGTACAAAGCATTAAGAAATCACCTGCTGGAGACTACACCAAAGAGTGAGCACAAAGCTGTTCTGAAACGGCTCAAGGAGGAACAGACCCGGAAATTAGCTATCTTGGCTGAGCAGTATGATCACAGCATTAATGAAATGCTCTCCACACAAGCCGTGAGTTTGCTTTTTTTGGGGCAAAACAAATTTAGTGCCCCTTTTCTTCCACCACCTGAACGAAATCACAGCAATTAAAGTACTAGTTGGAAATGATAGCTCTCCTGAAGCTTGGGAAATGTGGTGGTGGTTCATTTTCTTCCTGTTCTCAACATTGCTTGAAAATGTCATGATGCATGTAGAATTCTCATTGATACATTTAGACATGAGGTTCTAAATAGGCTCCCTGCCAGCACAGATCCTAACACCTTATTGAGATTAGAATAGCAGCTTTGGGAAGCAGTGAGCAAAAGGTATGATTATAATGGGAATAAAAATGGTTGTGTTTGAGTACAAGTACAAATTTTTTTTTTTTTTTTTGAGACGGAGTCTCACTCTGTCACCCAGGCTGGAGTCCAGTGGCGCGATCTCGGCTCACTGCAAGCTCCGCCTCCCGGGTTCACGCCATTCTCCTGCCTCAGCCTCCCAAGTAGCTGGGACTACAGGCGCCTGCCACTATGCCCGGCTAATTTTTTTTTTTTGTATTTTTAGTAGAGACGGGGTTTTACCGTGTTAGCCAGGATGGTCTCGATCTCCTGACCTCGTGATCCGCCCGCCTCGGCCTCCCAAAGTGCTGGGATTACAGGCATGAGCCACCACGCCCGGCTACAAATTTTTTATTTATTTATTTATTTTTTTAGATGGAATTTTGCCCTGTCGCCCAGGCTGCATTGCAGTAGTGCGATCTCAACTCACTGCAACCTCCACCTCCCGGGTTCAAGGGGATTCTCCGTCCTTGGCCTCCCGAGTAGCTGAGATTACAGGCGCAAAATATTTTCTATATAAGAGCTTTGTAAACTTTTTTTTAAAGGGCCAGATAAGGCTGCGCGCCAGTGGCTCACGCCTGTAATCCAAGCACTTTGGAAAGCCTAGGCGGGTGGATCACCTGAGGTCAAGAATTCGAGAGCAGCCTGCCCAACATGGCGAAACCTCGTCTCTACTAAAAATACAAAAATTAGCCAGGCGTGGTGGTGGGCGCCCATAATCCCAGCTACTCTGGAGGCGGAGGCGGGAGAATCACCTGAACCCCGGGGGCAGAGGTTGCAGTGAGCCGAGATTGCGCCATTGCACTCCAGCCTGGGCAACAAAACGAGACTCCGTCTCAGAAAAAAAAAAACAGGGCCAGATAAGACTTTTTAGGCAGGAGGCAAAACTAAGGCTATTATGTGGGTACTTATATAACTGCTTAAGATGTAACCCTTTCTTTTTTTTTTTTTTTTGAGACGGAGTCTCGCTCTGTCACCCAGGCTGGAGTGCAGTGGCACGATCTTGGCTCACTGCAAGCTCCGCCTCCCGGGTTCACGCCATTCTCCTGCCTCAGCCTCCCGAATAGCTGAGACTACAGGCGCATGCCACCAAGCCCAGCTAATTTTTTGTATTTTTAGTGGAGACGGGGTTTCACCGTGTTAGCCAGGATGGTCTCAACCTTGTGACCTTGTGATCCGCCCGCCTCAGCCTCCCAAAGTGCTGGGATTACAGGCGTGAGCCACCGCGCCCGGCAATATGTAACCCTTTCAAAATGAAAACACCACTCTTAGCTCATGGGCTGTAAAAAATAACAACAAAACAGGCGCCTGCTCATACTTTGCTTGTAGACTATAGTTTGCTGGTCTTTGTTCTATAGTTATTTCCACTAGAGAGGAAGAGATTCAGAGATCTAATGAGATTCTAGGTTTTTCTTTTTTGTTTGTTTGTGGTTTTTTTTTTTTTGATCATTCTTGGGTGTTTCTCGCAGAGGGGGATTTGGCAGGGTCATAGGACAATAGTGGAGGGAAGGTCAGCAGATAAACAAGTGAACAAAGGTCTCTGGTTTTCCTAGGCAGAGGACCCTTCGGCCTTCCCAGTGTTTGTGTCCCTGGGTACTTGAGATTAGGGAGTGGTGATGACTCTTAACGAGCATGCTGCCTTCAAGCATCTGTTTAACAAAGCACATCTTGCACCGCCCTTAATCCATTTAACCCTGAGTGGACACAACACATGTTTCGGAGAGTACCGGGTTGGGGGTAAGGTCACAGATCAACAGGATCCCCAGGCAAAAGAATTTTTCTTAGTACAGAACAAAATGAAAAGTCTCCCATGTCTACTTCTTTCTACACAGACACGGCAACCATCCGATTTCTCAATCTTTTCCCTACCTTTCCCCCCTTTCTATTCCACAAAACCGCCATTGTCATCATGGCCCGTTCTCAATGAGCTGTTGGGTACACCTCCCAGACGGGGTGGTGGCCGGGCAGAGGCGCCCCTCACCTCCTAGACGGGGCGGCTGGCCGGGTGGGGGGCTGACCCCCCCACCTCCCTCCCGGACGGGGCGGGTGGCCGGGCAGGGGGCTGACCCCCCCACCTCCAACCGGGCGGGGGGCTGACCCCCACCTCCCTCCCGGATGGGGTGGCTGCCGGGCGGAGATGCTCCTCACTTCCCAGACGGGGTGGCTGCCGGGCGGAGGGGCTTCTCACTTCTCAGACGGGGCGGTTGCCGGGCAGAGACGCTCCTCACCTCCCAGATGGGGTCGCGGCCGGGCAGAGGCGCTCCTCACATCCCAGATGGGGTGGCGGGGCAGAGGCGCTCCCCACATCTCAGACGATGGGCGGCCGGGCAGAGACGCTCCTCACTTCCTAGATGGGATGGCGGCCGGGAAGAGGCGCTCCTCACTTCCTAGATGGGATGGCGGCCGGGCAGAGATGTTCCTCACTTTCCACACTGGGCAGCCAGGCAGAGGGGCTCCTCACATCCCAGACGATGGGCAGCCGGGCAGAGACGCTCCTCACTTCCCAGATGGGGTGGCGGCCGGGCAGAGGCTGCAATCTCGGCACTTTGGGAGGCCAAGGCAGGCGGCTGGGAGGTGGAGGTTGTAGCGAGCCGAGATCACCCCACTGCACTCCAGCCTGGGCACCATTGAGCACTGAGTGAACGAGACTCCGTCTGCAATCCTGGCACCTCGGGAGGCGGAGGCTGGCGGATCACTTGCGGTTAGGAGCTGGAGACCAGCCCGGCCAACACAGCGAAACCCCGTCTCCACCAAAAAAATACGAAAACCAGTCAGGCGTGGCGGCGCGCGCCTGCAATCGCAGGCACTCGGCAGGCTGAGGCAGGAGAATCAGGCAAGGAGGTTGCAGTGAGCCGAGATGGCAGCAGTACAGTCCAGCTTCGGCTCGGCATCAGAGGGAGACCGTGGGGAGAGGGAGGGGGAGGGGGAGAGGGGATTCTAGGTTTTTCTTAAGAAAAATATGGTTATTCAGGCATCTTCCAAATAGCTTATGATAGCTTTATCTTCATACCGATATTGGTTATTCTGCATTTCTTTTTCAGAGATGTTTACTCCAAGATACAAGAGAGAAAAATTGTCTAAACTAAAAAAGAGTAGTCTGTCTTCTAACACTCCTCCTCCTTTCCATAGGTCATGAATTGATAGCTAACATTAGGATATATCTTTTTTTTTTCTCTCTCTCTCTCTGTCTCAGCTGCGTTTGGATGAAGCACAGGAAGCAGAGTGCCAGGTTTTGAAGATGCAGCTGCAGCAGGAACTGGAGCTGTTGAATGCGTATCAGAGCAAAATCAAGATGCAAGCTGAGGCACAACATGATCGAGAGCTTCGCGAGCTTGAACAGAGGGTCTCCCTCCGGAGGGCACTCTTAGAACAAAAGGTATAAGTAATAGAAGGAAAAATCATTGTTTTCGAATTAGCTTTTGTCAGAAGCGTTTTATAAATATATTTTCATGTTGGCAGAGGTCACATTAGATTTCTTTCACAATACCACATTTCCTGAATTCTAGTTATGGCAGCAGATTTTTCTTTAAAATTACTGATTCACTGATGAACCTTATCATTAATGAGCTCCAGAAATCAAGGGAATATAATTAAGTAGTAATTGCTAGAGAAAAGATATGGGTGTGTGAAGACAGTCAGCTGAATTTGAGAGTAGCAGATATGGCTCTATTTTCCTCACTTCTGTGTTCCTAGCTTGCTCTACCTAAGGAGGTTGGAGAAGGACTTAACTAGTGAAGAAAGAGAGCTGCATTAATTGCCTGAGAGAGCCAGGGACAAAGGATCAGGAATATTACCTTACTCATACATCCTTGGCCTGGAGCTATACAGATTGGTAGAGGATTACTGAGGGACAGAAGGTAAAATTAGTTCCACACAGGTGAAAAGTCAGGCTGAAAAAATGTTATTTCTAGATGCACATCTTTACTTTTTTCTGAATTATTCTTGTCAGATATATTGGAAAATAGAACTAGAATCCCCAAATTTCCATCCTTCAGGATACTAAGGTGTGTGTGTGTGTGTGTGTGTGTGTGTGTGTGTGTATTAGGGAAAGGGCGATGGACAGAAGATTTTGAGAGGTAAAGAGAAGAAAGGCATTTGTTGCAAGAAGTGGTAGATTAGGCTGGGCTTAGGCCTCCCAGCACTTTGGGAAGCCAAGGCGGGAAGATCGTCTGAGCTCAGGAGTTCGAGACCAGCCTGGGCAACACAGGGAGACCCTATCTCTACAAATATTTAAAAATTAGCTGAGTGTGGTGGCTCACTCCTGTGGTCCCAGCTACTTGGGAGGCTGAGGTGGGAAGATGGATTGAGCCTAGAAGGTTGAGGCTTCAGTAAGCCATGGCTGCACCACTGCACTCTAGCCTGGGCAACAGGCAAGATCCTGTCTCAAAATAAATAAATAAATAAATAAAACAGTGGTCGATTATCAATTGTATCCAGGATTCAGAGATACATTCCAGAACTCTTGAGTCTTAAATTCCCAACAGCTGATGTAGTCTTAGGTCCGTCGGTTATCGCATTTAATACTTACCTAATGATCTTCCTAAAGTTGTCATTGTTTCTGGACCATAGGCCTGTAGATTTTTCCTCTATTTCCTATAGTTCCTGTGATAAAAATAGAATGCCTTATTAAAGTAAAAAATATCTTTTAAACCAGGTGTTGTGGCTCATGCTTGTAATCCCAGCACTTGGGAGGCGGAGGCAAGCAGATCGCTTGAGCTCAGGAGTTCAAGACCAGCCTGGGCAACATGGCAAAACCCTGCCTCTACAAAAAATACAAAAATTGGCCAAGTGTGGTGTCAGACACCTATAGTCCCAGCGACTAGGGAGGTTTAAGGTGAGAGGATCACTTGAGCCCAGGAGGTTGAGGCTGCAGTGAGCTGAGATCATGCCACTGCACTCCAGCCTGGGTTACAAAGCGAGACCCTGTCTCAAAAAAACAAAAAAAATCTTTAAAAAAATCACCTAAATAAGATATAAGATGTTACTATTTCTCTAGCACAGCTGTCTTTATTACTGGCTTCTTTGAGAGGTATTTGCATCTAAATATTATCTCAATTTTATTTCTCATTCAAGATGAGAAAGATAAGGCCAGGCACAGTGGCTCACGCCTGTAATCCCAGCACTTTGGGAGGCCGAGGGTTGGGGGAGCAGATCGCCTGTGGTCAGGAGTTCAAGACCAGCCTGGCCAACATAGTGAAACACCATCTCTACTGAAAATACAAAAATTAACCAGGCGTGGTGGCAGGCGCCTGTAATCCCAGCTACTCCAGAGGTTGAGGCAGGAGAATCCCTTGAATCTGGGAGGCAGAGGTTGCAGTGAGCCGAGATGGCGCCACTGCACTCCAGCCTGGGCAACAGAGCGAGACTCTGTCTCAAAAAATAAGATGAGAGGCCGGGGCATGGTGGCTCACACCTGTAATCCCAGCACTTTGGGAGGCCAAGGCGGGCGGATCACGAGGTCAGGGGAGATCGAAACCATCCTGGCTAACACGGTGAAACCCCGTCTCTACTAAAAATACAAAAAATTAACCCGGGCATGATGGCGGGTGCCTATAGTCCCAACTACTTGGGAGGCTGAGGCAAGAGAATGGCGTGAACCTGGGAGGCGGAGGTTGCAGTGATCCAAGATCACGCCACTGCACTCCAGCCTGGGCAACAGAGCAAGACTCCATCTCAAAAAATAAATAAATAAATAAGATGAGAAAGATAGAAACATAAATCTTGAAAAATATAGCTTCTTCCATGTGCAAATTTCCTAAATCCATGTCATTCAAACTTTTTTTTTTTTTTTTTGAGACGGAGTCTGGCTGTGTGGCCCAGGCTGGAGTGCAGTGGCGTGATCTCTGCTCACTGCAAGCTCCACCTCCCGGGTTTACGCCATTCTCCTGCCTCAGCCTCCCGAGTACCTGGGACTACAGGTGCCCACCACCACACCTGGCTAATTTTTTTGTATTTTCAGTAGAGACAGGGTTTCACCGTGTTAGCCAGGATGGTCTCGATCTCCTGACCTCGTGATCCGCCTGCCTCGGCCTCCCAAAATGCTGGGATTACAGGCGTGAGCCACAGCGCCCGGCCATCTCATTCCATCTTTTATATTTGAAATTTAATCTAAAGTTCTCTCTTAGGATTCAGTATTATCACTAAATGGAAAACTCCCTATAATATTTCAAGAATGGTGTTATGAGAGAAATATTGGCACTATTAAAGTATGGTTATAATTTTAGCTCCACCTAGTGGTTAACAGTTAAACAGCACTAATTAGCATCTTAGTCTTATTTAATATCCTAACCAAAAACTGCATGTTAATACAAAGCCATTACAATGCAGGCATAAAATCAGTACTCATTGGTGAAGGTACAGTGACACTTTTATACAGTGTTAATACATCTTGGAAAGCAATTTGGAGTTGGGTGTATATATACTTGTTTGTTTTTTTTCAAGTGTCAACAGAGACTCACTCTGTTGCCCAGGCTAGAGTCCAGTGGTACAATCTCAGCTCACTGCGTTCTCCATTTCCCAAGGCTCAAGCGGTCCTCCTACCTCAGCCTCACAACTACAGGCATGCACCACCATGACCACTGATTTTTTTTTTTTTTTTTTGGAGGGGGCAAGGATAGAAATGGGGTTTCTCCATGTTGCCCAGGCTGGTCTCAAACTCCTAGGCTCAAGCAATCTGTCCACCTCGGCCTCCCAAAGTGCTGAGATTACAGGCATGAGCCACTGCGCCTGGAGTTGTATATTTAGCCTTGTAAATGTTAAGTGTTTAAAACTTTGAGGAAAAGAAATCCAAATTACAGGAAAAAAGGAAAAGAAATCCAAATTACAGGAAAAAAAAACTGCATAAATATGTTAATTATAACAACTTTATAATAGTTTAAAACAACCTAACTATTTAAAATAGAGATACGGCTGGGTGTGGCGGCTCACGCCTGTAATCCCAGCACTTTGGGAGGCTGAGGCAGGCAGATCACAAGGTCAGGAGTTCAAGACCAGCCTGGCCAACGTGGTGAAACCCCGTCTCTACTAAAAATACAAAAATTAGCTCGGCATGGTGGTGCGTGCCTGTAATTCCAGCTACTTGGGAGGCTGAGGCAAGGGAATCGCTTCAACCTGGGAGGCAGAGGTTGCAGTGAGCTGAGATCACGCCACTGCACTCCAGCCTGGCGACAGAGCAAGACTCCATCTCAAAAAAAAAAAAAAAAAAAAGGTAAACATGGCCAAGCCAATAAAAAAATCTTATTCAGCCATTTAAATGATGTCTGCAAAACCAGTATTAATATGGAAAAATGTTTATGGTGTGTTGAACAAAATTTTAAAAGACAAATCCTACTTGAAGTAATGTTAGTAGTGGCTATGTTAATGTGATAGGTTGATTTTTTTCTCTGTTTCTTTTTTAAAATATGGTTTTATTCATTTCATAATGGAAAAATGCATACAATTATTTAGTATTTAAAAGAGTAAAAGAACAATAGGATGGTACATCTATAGTGCTTCAAGATGTTACTTGGTTTTTATGGCTAATATTTTGCCTTTCAAGCAAAGTATGTGACTACAAGGCAGGCTGGGGTCAATTAGCAATCACTAAGACCCTGTACCTCTCTACAAAAACTTTGTAAAATCCTAAAAGCTGTGATTTCTGCACTTTATGCTTGCCGGTTGTACATACATATAAGAAGGAGACATCTGAAAATAAATAGAAATGGAACTGGAGTGAATGTTAGTTGATTCTAGATGAAAAATCATTCTGTTTGAAGATTGTTGTAAGTCTCCAAGTGAACCAAAAATTGTTCATTTAGTTTGAGACAAAATGAGCCTCACATGTACATGAAGTCTTGTTTCAATGTTTCTCATCCTTCATTTACATTAAATTTTTAGATAACAACACAACTATAAATGTTAAATTATATGTGAAATATATATATATGAAAAGTAGTAGCATTTCCAGAGTATAAATGACCTTTTTTTAATCATCTCATTTAATTTTCTCTCAAGATTTCACTTAGTATTAACATCATGGTTAGTAGTGTTTTTAAGTAAGAATTAAAATTTGGGGGTGGGTGCAGTGGCTTACACTGTAATCCCAGCACTTCGGAAGGCCGAGTGGGGCGGATCACTTGGTGCTCAGGAGTTTGAGACCAGCCTTGGCAACATGATGAAACCCCGTCTCTACAAAAAAAAAATACAAAAATTAGTTGGATATAGTGGTGTGCGCCTGTAGTACCAGCTCCTCTGGAGGCTGAGGTGTGGAGGATTGCTTGAACCTGAGAGGTAGAGGTTGCAGTGAGCCAAGATTGCACCACTGCACTCCAGCCTGGGCAACAGACCAGACCCTGTCTCAGAAAACAACAAACAAACATATTTTTGTGTAGGAAACAAAAAATTGCAGAAGAGGCCGGATCGCTTGAGATCAGGAGTTTGAGAGCAGCCTAGGCAACATGGTGAAACCTCCTCTCTACCAAAAATACAAAAAATTAGCTGGGTGTGGTGGTGCATGCCTGTTTTTTGTTTTGTTTTGTTTTTTGTTTTTTTGAGATGGAGTTTCACTCTTGTTGCCCACGCTGGAGTGCAATGGCACTATCTCGGCTCACAGCAACCTCCGGCTCCCGGGTTCAAGCAATTCTCCTGCTTCAGCCTCCCGAGTAGCTGGGATTACAGGCATGTGCCACCATGCCCGGCTAATCATGTATTTTTACTAGAGATGGGATTTCTCCATGTTGGTCAGGCTGGTCTCGAACTCCCGACCTCAGGTGATCCTCGTACCTCAGCCTCCCAAAGCTCTTGGGATTACAGGCGTGAGCCACTGCACCCAGCCAATTTTTGTATTTTTAGTAGAAATACCCAGTTACCCAGGAGGATAAGGTGGGAGGATAGCCTGAGCCTGGGAGGTGGAGGTTGCAGCGAGCCACGATCGCGCCACTGCACTCCAGCCTGGGTGACAGAGCAAGACCCTGTCTCGAAAAAAAGCAAAAATTGCAGTAGAATGTGGCAAAATATAATAACAGATTTATAAAGTATAGCAGAAATACAAAAGTATAGGAGTGATGTACTCTATAGCGGAGGGAAAGTGGGGCAAAGAAATCTCAGGGAGATGGTATAAAGAGTGCTTTCTGAAGGAAGAATAGGTTAACCAGAAACACAAGGAATGTGTAAAGGCATGGAGAAATGATAAAATAAGAAATGTTTGGGAGAAATTACAAACAGGCCAGGATGGACTGGAGTAAGAAGAGTTTGAAAATTGTTATTCTAAAACATGTTATTAAAGAGGCATTAGGCATTTTTTATGAAGGTTGAAGGAGGACTTAAACATGGAATATTCTTCTCAGGGAAAGATACCAAATGTCTGTATGTCTGTACCATCTTCTTTGAGACTTATTTGCTCCACTTTTCCTCCCCTATAGAGCAAACCGTTCAATACTTTTTTCTGTTTTTGTTTGTTTGTTTGTTTGTTTGTTTGTTTTGAGACTAAGTCCCATTCTATTGCCCAGGCTGGAGTGCAGTAGCCCCATCTTGGCTCACTGCAACCTTCGCCTCCCAAGTTCAAGTGATTCTCCTGCCTCAGACTCCTGAGTAGCTGGGATTACAGGCACCTGCCACCACTCCCGGCTAATTTTTCTTTTTGTTTTTGGGTTGTTTGTTTTTTGTTTTTGTTTTTATTTTTGTTTTGAGATGGAGTTTCACTCTTTTTGCCCAGGCTTGAGTGCAATGGTGCTATCTCTTCTCACCGCAACCTCCGCCTCCTAGGTTCAAGCGATTCTTCTGCTTCAGTCTCCCGAGTAGCTGGGATTACAGGCATGTGCCACCACGCCCGGCTAATTTTGTATTTTTACTAGAGACGGGGTTTCTCCATGTTGGTCAGGCTGGTCTCGAACTCCCAACCTCAAGTGATCTGCCTGCCTCAGCCTCCCAAAGTGCTGGGATTACAGTCGTGAGCCACTGTGCCCGGCCAATTTTTGTATTTTTAGTAGAGACGAGGTTTCACCATCTTGGCCAGGCTGGTCTCAAACTCCTGGCCTGAAGTGATCCACCCACCTCGGCCTCCCAAAATGTTGAGATTACTAGGCATGAGCCACCACGCCCGGCCTTGATACATTTTTTATTTCTGTAGTACCTTATAAATATCTTAACCCATTCTATTGCAATTTTTTATTTGTATTTGCTTCCCATGAAAAAAATTTTTGTTTTGTTTATTTGTTTGTTTGTTTTGAGATGGAGTCTCAGTCTGTCGCCGAGGCTGGAGTGCAGTGGTGTGATCTCTGCTCACTGCAGCCTCTGCCTGCCAGGTTCAAGTGATTCTCCTGCCTCAGCCTCCCAAGAAGCAGGGATTACAGACGTGTGCCACCGCGCCTGGCTAATTTTTGTATTTTTAGTAGAGATGGGGTTTCACCATGTTGGCCAGGCTGGTCTCGAACTTCTGACCTCAAGTGATCTACCCGCCTCAGCCTCCCAAAGTGCTGAGATTATGGGCGTGATCCACCGCGCCCGGCCTAGATAGGACTTTTGACTTTAATGTAATCATAATTCCACTGTGATATCTAACAGAATTCATAATAATTTTTAAATGCATGTCTAAATTTCCCCTATTATCTCAAATCCTCAATCCCAGCACTTTGGGAGGCTGAGGCGGGAGGATCATCTGAGGTCAGCAGTTCAAGATCAGCCTTGCCAACATGGTGAAACCCCATCTCTACTAAAAATACAAAAATTAGCTGGATGTGGTAGCACATGCCTGTAATCCCAGCTACATGGGAGGCTGAGGCTAGAGAATCGCTTGAACCCAGGATGCGGAGGTTGCAGTGAGCTGAGATAGTGACATTCCACTCCAGCCCAGGCGACAGTGCAAGACTCCGTCTCAAAAAAAAAGAAAAAAAGGAACTTGATTTTACACATTTTAAAAATATAAATTATGCTGATTCCTAAGGGACATCTCTTTTTATTTTTTTATTTTATTTTACTTTTTATTTTTTTTGTGAGACGGAGTCTCGCTCTGTCGCCCAGGCTGGAGTGCAGTGGCACGATCTCGGCTCACTGCAAGCTTCACCTCCCGGGTTCACACCATTCTCCTGCCTCAGCCTCCTGAGTAGCTGGGACTACAGGGGCCCGCCACCACCATGCCCGGCTAATTTTTTGTATTTTTAGTAGACACAGGGTTTCACCATGTTAGCCAGGATGGTCTCGATCTCCTGACCTCATGATCCGCCCGCATCAGCCTCCCAAAGTGCTGGGACTACAGGCGTGAGCCACCGCGCCCGGCCTTGATTTTTAAATGTATATCCATAGCATCAAATAATAGACACTAGAGACTACAGAAGGTGGGAGGGTGGGAGATGAGTGAGGGTTGAAAAATTACCTATTGGGTACAGTGTTCCCTATTCAAGTTATGGGTGCACTAAAAGCCCAGACTTCACCACTACGCAATATGTGCATGTAAAAAAAATCTGCAGTTGTACCCCCGAATATATAAAAACTTTAAAAATTTTTTAATAAATTAAAGGGAAAAAGTTTAAATAAAATTTGAAACTCATGGACAAATATACATCCATAAAATAACCACTTCAAAGCTGAATAATTATTGCTTCCTTTCTTTATAGACTTAAAAATAATAAATTGGCTTTCATTTTTCTTCCAATCTCCAACAGATTGAAGAAGAGATGTTGGCTTTGCAGAATGAGCGCACAGAACGAATACGAAGCCTGTTGGAACGTCAAGCCAGAGAGATTGAAGCTTTTGACTCTGAAAGCATGAGACTAGGTTTTAGTAATATGGTCCTTTCTAATCTCTCCCCTGAGGCATTCAGCCACAGCTACCCGGGAGCTTCTGGTTGGTCACACAACCCTACTGGGGGTCCAGGACCTCACTGGGGTCATCCCATGGGTGGCCCACCACAAGCTTGGGGCCATCCAATGCAAGGTGGACCCCAGCCATGGGGTCACCCTTCAGGGCCAATGCAAGGGGTACCTCGAGGTAGCAGTATGGGAGTCCGCAATAGCCCCCAGGCTCTGAGGCGGACAGCTTCTGGGGGACGGACGGAGCAGGGCATGAGCAGAAGCACGAGTGTCACTTCACAAATATCCAATGGGTCACACATGTCTTATACATAACTTAATAATTGAGAGTGGCAATTCCGCTGGAGCTGTCTGCCAAAAGAAACTGCCTACAGACATCATCACAGCAGCCTCCTCACTTGGGTACTACAGTGTGGAAGCTGAGTGCATATGGTATATTTTATTCATTTTTGTAAAGCGTTCTGTTTTGTGTTTACTAATTGGGATGTCATAGTACTTGGCTGCCGGGTTTGTTTGTTTTTGGGGAAATTTTGAAAAGTGGAGTTGATATTAAAAATAAATGTGTATGTGTGTACATATATATACACACACATACACATATATTATGCATGTGGTGAAAAGAATTGGCTAGATAGGGGATTTTTCTGAACACTGCAAAAATAGAACGTAGCAAAATGGCTTCAGTTATCACTTTTGGGTGTCTGTATCCTAAGAAGTTTCTGAAAAGATCTAAAGCCTTTTTATCCCATATCCCAAATTCTTATGAGCCACTCACAGCAGGCAGCATATGTTGAAATAAGTTATTACTGGTACACACCTGCATTGCCTCACCAGTGTATTTATTTGTTATTAAATTGATCTGACTTCTCAGCCTCATTTGGACTAAAAAAAGAAAGCAGAAATCCATGAACACATTGCTTCTCGGCCTTTTGGCTAAGATCAAGTGTAGAAATCCATGAACACTAAAGGACTTCATTGATTTTTTCAGAGAGTAGAAAACAACTTAGTTTTTCTTTTTTCCTGAATGCGTCATAGGCTTGTGAGTGATTTTTGTCCATTCAATTGTGCCTTCTTTGTATTATGATAAGATGGGGGTACTTAAGGAGATCACAAGTTGTGTGAGGATTGCATTAACAAACCTATGAGCCTTCAATGGGGAAGACCAGAAGGGTGAGAGGGGCCCTGAAAGTTCATATGGTGGGTATGTCCCGCAGCAGAGTGAGGAGATGAAGCTTACGTGTCCTGACGTTTTGTTGCTTATACTGTGATATCTCATCCTAGCTAAGCTCTATAATGCCCAAGACCCCAAACAGTACTTTTACTTTGTTTGTACAAAAACAAAGACATATAGCCAATACAAATCAAATGCCGGAGGTGTTTGATGCCATATTTGCAAATTGCCATCTATTGAAATTCTCGTCACACTACATAGACATAATTGTTATCTCCTTTTGGCTTATGTGATTTTCTGTTTACAAGTAGAATAGCCAATTATTTAAATGTTTAGTTGCCACAGTGAACCAGGAGTCACTGAGCCAATGACTTTACCAGCTGCTGACTAATCTTCATCACCACTGTAGATTTTGCTGCATGTGCAGGTCCTCTATTTTTAATTGCTGTTTTCGTTGCTGCAGTACTTTACAAACTTCTAGTTCGTTGAGACTTAGTGACCATTTGGCATCAAGTTAACATCACACAATAGGAAACACCACTTCCACAAGTCTCAAGCCTCAGTGCTAAAGTACTACTGAAAAGGAACTAGGAAGTTTGGCCAATTAAAAAAAAAAAGTAAAATAAGTTATAGTGGTCAGGGAATCTCTTGACGAAAGCTAACTCTTATTTTTCAGGGGGCACATGTTTTGTTTTGTTATGTTTTGTTGTACAATGAAGGATGAACCCAATGCTAAAAAGTCAGTTATTTTCTTGGTTTTCCATTTCTTGTATATAAATTGTGTTGGAGGTGGGTAGGAAGCTGTGAGTATGACTTGAAGAAAAATATCCTTTTCAGTGACAAATCAGAGTTTCTTACAAGTTATTGTCCTGCTCCCTTCCAAGTTGTCTTGAAGAATCCTTGCTGCTAACTCTGGATCCTGCTTTTCCTATAGTCAGAGGGCTCCAAGGTAGAACTCTCTAAGTCCCTCTCAATGGCACTCTTTGCCTAGACCAAACTAATGACCAAACAGTAATCAATCTATCACTGTTGAAGTCCTGGTTTTCTCAACCAAATTTTAAGTCTTTCCCAGGTATGTCAGTCGAGTTGCCATGAATCCTCACCTGTAGGAGTTTCTGGGATTCATTTTAAGGAAACTGGAAGAAAATTAATGTTTTAATGTAAATGTTTTTAAAACCAAGATCACCATAGAGTTCACACAAAATTTTAGGCAGTGTTTCAAGAAGCACTCTTATGTGTTGTTCTTTCAGCCCATGCTCCAGGTCACCGGTTTTTAGGTAAACATGACATGACATGTACTTGTAATATCAGTGAAAGGGGCTTTTAGTCGTCTCAGTATCTTTTTTGCATTCAGGTATTATAGCGTTTCCAACAAATTGAGAAATTACTTATTTGGTGTAAAATGACGAGAGAGCTTTAGAATTTAATAAAATGTCAAAAATACAATTTGATACCCTTAAAAATTATTCATAGATCTGGCTGCTCTGTACTACTGGATGGGTGGAATAGGGAAGCAGATCACTTTTGCATACAAAAACTCTTTCAAACCCAAAATATTATTGGTGGTACATTTTAAAGTCCAATTGTGGACTTAAATTAGTCAAATTGAGAGTTACTGAGTCCATTCAGATCTCCAGTAGGGTTTTGTATCTAATGTATTTGGCCACCAGTTTTACATGTAGGTCATGACTATACCTGGATTTTATCATTAAGTTAACTTTAAAGTATATACAGTTTGCAAAAAATGATTCAAATTAATTGGTTTGTATATGTTTGTGAGATCTAGCTTCTGAGGAATCTCATACATAGTAGGAACCATCATAGAGTAAAGCTTGTAGCAGAAAAATTGGAAGGGTTTTGAGATATCCTAGAGAAAGAGCAAGCACTTTCTGAATCAGTGGGGAAATATCAATATTTGATCAAATTAACACTACCTCCTTCCCAGTGTTGGTGTTCACTCACTATATGTCTTTAAGAAAATTAAAACTATGGAAAATTTGTCTAGCATATCAGAAGTTGTAAATGCTATATCTGGTATCCAGAGGCTGGCTGTAAAAAGTTCCTTGGGGTCACTCTATCTCACATTTTTTTTGGTTAGCATTTTAAAAATGCAAAGCCACATACTTTGAAATATATTATTCCAAATTGAGCTCCCTTCCCTTTGCACATATTTTTTCCTCCCCTTATTGAAGTCAGCTCTAACCCCAAATTCTAGTATCCAAAAGTATTTTTATTTGTATAATGCTATCTGAAAAATGTGTTTATATTATATTTTCAGAGCTGCAATTCTTATTCGCCATTTCAATACCTAGAGATAGAGAGTCTTGTATTTGAAGCCACACACACTGGTGTAATATGCTTAGTACTCTAGGTCAAGGATTTGTTGGTAAATGGAACATTTTAGCATAGTCATGATTTTTGGTTGCCTAGACATCAGGTAAACATTCAGTACACTAAAGAAACTATCCTGGACACTCCCTCCTGCTTCCACCAATTTTTTTCTCACCCCCTTTTCAAAAATTGAAAACTCTATGAGTGTCTTTTTGAGACCATAAAGCAGACTTTAGTAACTTTCTATTTCTGTAAGTACTAAATGTCTGGCATTTTAAACTTTTGTAGAATACATTATGTTGGACACTGGAATAATACTATTTATTTTCACCTGTGAAAAATGACTTCATTGTACTTGAAACACCTCCTTTGCATTTCTCCATTTGTGCCATTCACTAGTGGAAATAAATTGTATTATACCATGATCTACTGGCTTTTTAAAACTGTATTAAATATGCACATTTTTGGTATAGCTATTATCATTTGTATGTATATATTGTATATACATATGAGTGTCTGTATGTGTGTATAGATGGATGGATGTAACTCATACTGTACATTTCCATCAGGGCACTTAAAAGTTCTGTTATTTTTGTTTGGTTTTGTTATTTCAGTCCTCAGTTAAGGCAAGAATGCATGTGTTTCTTAAGAATGAGTACTCTGCGTTGATGTTTATGAGAAGGTGGTCATTAGATGCAGTCTTTTCCTTTTTAATCCCCTCTTAGCACTTCTGTGAGTGGAGAGGACATTAAGTAAAATTTGGAATCATAAGTTGCAATGCAGTAAAATGGTGCTGGGGAAGGAGCCAGTTAGTGTTTCTGTGAGTTTGTGTTGTGATGCAATAAGAGATAAGTAATGCAGAGAGAAATGAACCATGGAAAGTAAGAACACTGATGGTGATTCCTCTGCAAAGATGATAAGAAAAAGAACCAATAAATCACACAATCTTTATGTGCTTTCTATATGTATTTCTTAGTAGTGATACCATTGATCCTCTTACTTTTTTTACTCCATTAATACTAATAATTATATACTTTGCTGAGGATCAAAACAGCCAAGAAAGGAATTACTGCTAAAGCATCTAAGATTCTCCTGAACTGTAAAATCAACAGGAAATGGCCACTGGGAGAGAAGGATTTGGTATTGGGTGAGGGGCTTTCTCCCTTTACCTGCCTCTTCTTGCTTGCTAATAGTAAGTTCTTTGTGCACCTTCCACCACTTCTGAGCCACTACTATTCAAGTAGAGATTTGCCCCAACACATTAACTTTTTCCTTGGAGATTTATATGGTCCTGCATTTTGTCCTGTGCTCACAATGTGAAGTGTCTTCTGTATTCAAATCAAAAAATAATATATTTAAGGTATATAAGTGTGAATCTCCTATAATGATGGAAGAAGAGGTTCTCTTGTCTTAGATAGAAAAGAGCCTTCTCCAAGAGCAATGTCAAAACTTGGGCTGTCATCTTTGAGCTGTTTACCAAAATACAGACCATTATTGAAGAAAAACAAATTATCTATTTTGTTTTCCCCCATCTAACATGATAGTGCCCCCAACCAGGTTGTAGCATTGCCTTTTAAAAGAGACTCACTCACTCTTAGTTTTTAAGAACTGGAAATTTCCCATCCTCAGATCCCTTAAAGGATGAAGAGTTGGCTGTACACTTAGCGGACTTGCCTCTTGTATGCAAGGACTACTGATTGAAGTCTGTTTTGCTGTGTCTGGTTATGTTGTCTGCACTTTTATGAAATCACTACAATAGGTCTGCATTGGAAATGACTATTAATTTGTAAAGAAGTAAGTTTTATTAAACACTGTCTAGAAAAAGAAAGTGAAGCTGAGAACTCTTCCTTTATTGTGCATTTATATTTTCTGCTGAATTCCGGTAGTTCCCTTTAAAGTCATGTTGACTAATGTTTTCCTCCTTGTTTGTATTCAGATTTCCAAAATTTCACTCATACAAGGGAAGAGACTCCATTTAGCTTAACGGTAGTCTTTAGATCATAAGAAATATATAAATTAGTATGCACCTTATCTGCCTGTTGTGGGTTTCTTAAACTTGCACTTCCTACCCACCCAAAGATAGATATCCTTTAAAGAAAATAAAGGCAGAGAATTAAAACTGGGGAGCCATTTACTATGTCACCATCACTGTTAACTGTTTCCCAGCAATCTAAACTTTTTGAAGTTTCAGAGGTGTATTTTTTTTTTGTATATATGTCTGTGTGATTGTATTGTTTTGTTTCTAAATATACAAGGAATTCTTTAAATAGAGAAAAAGGTTAATCCTCACTGAAACACCAGGATGCCCACTGGATATACTAATCTGAACATCTGTAGGTAGTTTGTCATGAAAAAGTGGAGAGAAGATGAGACTTTTGAATGAATGAAAAAGGGTATCTTGATACCCAGAATTCCCCCCAAAGTACGGGTAATTCAACCTGCACAGTTTTCTTTCACTCAAAGTGTTCAGCACTTGTGAGTGAAAAATCATGTAATTATCTGTAAATATGTAGCTAACAAATTGACCTAGTTTCTGTATTTTTTTGTTTTTGTACTAAAGTTTATAGGTCTGTGCCAGCTAGAGAGAAGTTGCTGTCATTACCAGTTGTGGTCCTAGCATCTAACCCTGAAACCATCCTAGGTGACATTTTTAGAATTAATACTTAAATGTTAAACAGGGGGAAATGAAGCTTAATCATGGTCAGGTTTGAGATCTTTTGCAGTGAAATAATTTTATTTAATATAAATGATCACATGTCCTCAATCATGAATGAGGTAGGGAGCCTCTCTCCCCCAGTGGCCATGTTTACAAAAGTGTGTTTTGTCTATAAAGTGCAAGTGTTTTAATGTTTATGTAAATTATGCAGGTGATAACATGGTTTGGAACTGTTTATTGGGCTCTTTAACTGAATTTTCAAATGAAATGAACTATGCTTATTGCTGGCACATTGATCCCATTTCTGGAACATTTTTCCTATTTCCAGAGTTACATATGTTCTTTTGTCATTACCCAATTTAACCTCCCTTTCTCTGATATGCCTTGTAGCCAAAGTATTAAAGGCTGATGAACATAGACAAGGGAAATGCATTTCTTAGAAATCCGTGAACCCTCAGTTGTATGCTTTCAGTACTCGTGTTAATATGTTTCTATGGCAACTCTGAGGTCAGTGGTTTAGAAATGAGATACCAGTGTTAATGAAAAGTGTGTGCTCTTTGCTTTTGCATGGCTTGGCTTAGTATCCAAGGTATATTAGGGCCACTTGAAAGCATGAAGACCAGTTATATAGGGAACAGGTTTCTCTCAGTGGCACATTTTGCTTTTTCTGAGCCCCAAATACATTGCCTGGGCATGAACATTGTTACCGTAAATTGCACATGGTCATGGACTGAATTATGTGACTTTAAAGGATGTAACTGCCCAACATTTGCAGATTCTGGGTGGTCTATGTGACCATTTGTCTCGTATCCAAAAACCCCGGGGCTATTGGAACCCTTCCAACACTTTTTCCTTTGTCATAGACAAGTTTATATATAACTTACCAAGATGTTGGCTGTCCTGGTGTATTGCCAGACAGCTCTCTTTTGGTTCCCATTCCAAATGTGCTGCTGTCCTTCTTTGCATTTCACAATATCAAAGAAACCACCACCCTTCTTCCTAACAGCATTTTATGCCTTTTATTCCACATTAAATGGGAATTGTGCCTACTTAGGAGTGCCCCTCCAATTAATTACATGTGTCCAAGAATAATCCAAGCTAGAGACACAAGGTGGGAAAACATTTCAAAAAAAAAAAGTCCTCTTAAGGCCAGTAATTTATCTGAAAAGGTATTTTATCACACCTTGACACCTTATATATGAGCCTATTAGGAGCTGCAGGTGGTTTCATAGGGTAAAATCCAAGAAAAGAGAAGGATGTGTGGGGTTTCTATTAGAAGATAATTTTGTTCTCATTTTACCTTTTCTTTTATGATCCTTCTCTGCTAGAACAGGTTAATTCTCCAAATTTGTTTTGTTTTGTTTTGTTATTTTTTAGGGAACTCTTTTGCAAAAGCAATGGTCGGATGTAAATAACATTTAAAGTATAGTGCACATAACTTCCCCGGACTGTTCCAATCTGATAATTTGTAAATGCTTTAGAGTTTTTTTAATTAACACTTGTGTTGCTAAATTCTATTTATGTAAGTCTGCTAAAGTTTTTTAGCCCACTTAAAACTTAAGACAACCATTTAAAATAATGGATGGGTTACTATGAGCAATTTCGCTTTCAGAACCCCCTTGTTTTAGTATATGAAAAAGCCTAATGCGCATTAATGAGGTTGAAGAGACTATGAGAAATATGTATAGTGTATATTTTAAAACAGCTTTGCTTGTATTGTGAAGATTTAAAAACAAACTTGAGATTTTTAACGTAACTATTAACACAGTTTTAACATAAGTTATCCCACTGGGTTTAAGAGCATCTTGAATGTATAATCCTTTTTGTAACCCAGGTTGGTTTCTACTTTTACCAGTCACCCAAACATATTTATGTTTTTAGTTTTATGTACTCATTTCCCTTTGTTTTCCTCAAACAGCATGATTTTTTTGCACATGTAGAAATTTTTTAAAAGAAAGAAATTAGTACATCATTTTCTCTGGATTTTCTTCACTTCCCTCTTCCTTTCTACTAACTCCTTCCTTAAAGGCCATATCACTCCATTTGCATTATTTGTGCAAATGCCAGGGTTGGTTTTTATTTTTATTTTTGCTATTTACCTAAAAAAAGAAAATGCTTCAGTCAATTGCTTTTTTATTTAAAAAAAAAAAGAAAAAAAGCTGTAACCTTATCATTTCTGAGTAGACCATTGAGCGATGAATGCACACCTGTAGTAGCCCAGGACCAGCTGTGGTGGCTAAAGGGAATATGTTAATTAAGCAAGAGGTTCTTTTCTAAAAGTGGTATCTGTTATCCACAATGTATTTTAGTTATTCCCACAAGTCAGGGGTCCAGATAAAATGAGGGTTATCAGCTAACTGATATGCTATCATTGAGGTTCATCAATGAATTTGTACATTTCTAGTTCCCTTTGGTGAAGGGAAAAATGATGATTTTGCAAGACCTAGATTTTGGCTTGGTTTCTTGCCTCCTTTTTTGGCAGCCTTCATCTTCTCATCTCCCAAACCCCCTGAGCCCGTAGGGTTTTCATAGTGGACAAAGAACTTGTGGTCTTTTAAAACTGGGACTGATACTTTTTTGAGAGAGTATCGTGTCGAAAGTGTGATGTTCTACCACTTTACCAATAACTAATTTTAAATACACATTGTCCTCTCGATTTTTGGACCAAACAGACGCTCACAGTGGAGGCTTATCAAGGGTTGCATTGGGGAAGAAGCCTCTCCCTCTCTGTCAGCACCAGCTGGTAAAGGTGACTGTACAGATGTGCATTTTCCTTTTGGTATAAATGGTCCACAGCACTAACTGGTAAGGCTTATTGTACAGTATATTGTCAGTATTCTTCTGGTTCAGCATACCTTATAGTTCATATATAACCTGTATTAATTGTATAGATTGTGCATTAAAAGCTGTTACCAAGTTGTCAGAACATAAGAGCGAAAACAAGGTCATATGTAATATTTTGTTTGTAAGTATCCTTTGTATCATAGCAAAGGAAATGTTTAAAAAAATCAACTGTAATAAAGTAATTTTAGTACACAGTGTCTGTCCAGTTTTTTTAAGCAATTTTATTCCCATGAAGATAAACTCTATTGAGTGACTATTGGATAATTACTGAACCTTAGGCAGTGTGCTGAATGTTGGGGTTACAAAAATGGGATTACCACTCAGATGGTAAGAGTGTACCATCTGATAAAAGACATAAACCCTCGTCCGGGTGCGGTGGCTCGCACCTGTAATCCCAGCACTTTGGGAGGCCAAGTTTGGTGGATCACCTGAGGTCAGGAGTTCGAGACCAACATGGCGAAACCCTGTCTCTACTAAAAATGCAAAAATTAGCTGGGTGTGGTGGCGGGCGCCTGTAATCCCAGCTACTCGGGAGGCTGAGGCAGGAGAATCACTTGAACCCAGGAGGCAGAGTTTGCAGTGAGCCGAGATCGTGTGACTGCACTCCAGCCTAGGTGACAGCGAGACTCCGTCTCAAAAAAAAAAAAAAAAAATATATATATATATATATATAAAAACCCTCTAGTCTAATTGGCTCGCCTTCTGTCTGCCCAGAGTGAAGTGGCCTATTGTGTTCTGGGTGTGAGATTATTCTAGTTGAAATTCTGACTGCTTGATGCAAGTTCTTACGTTTTATTTCTACCTTGTGGTCTGCATAACCACAACGCCGATACACGGAGCCATAAATGTAAGCAGTTCTCTTGGGTCTTGTACAAAGCCTCAAAAGGTGGTCTTATCTGGGCTTATCTCCCTAGATTTGAAAAATCACATTTTAGCCCTATGTGGGGGCAGTAAACCATGGAATCCAGTCCTATTTAAAACACTGTGACTTTTTTTTTTGTCAGAAGACTAATTCAGAGGGAGAAATGCTCAGGGGCTGGGATTTATGTTTTTTAATTTAAAAAGAAAATAGGGCCGGGCGTGATGGCTCAACCTGTAATCCCAGCACTTCGGGAGGCTGAGGCAGGCAGATCACCTGAGGTCAGGAGTTTTGAGACTAGCCTGACCAACGTGGTGAAACCCCATCTCTACTAAAAATACATGGTGAAACCCCGTCTCTACTAAAAATACAAAAAATTAGCCGGGCATGGTGGTGGGCTCCTGCAGTCCCAGCTACTCGGGAGGCTGAGGCAGGAGAACGGCGTGAACCCGGGAGGCAGAGATTGCAGCGAGCCGAGATCGTGCCACTGCACTCCAGCCTGGGCGACAGAGCGAGACTCCGTCTCAAAATTAAAAATAAATAAATAAATAAATAAATAAATAACAAAAATTAGCCAGGCGGTGGGTGCCTGTAATCCCAGCTACTAAGGAGGCTTAGGCAGGAGAATTACTTGAACCTGAGAGGCGAAGGTTGCAGTGAGCCAAGATCAGGCCACTACACTCTAGCCTGGGTGACAGAGTGAGGCTCCATCTCAAAAAAAAAAAAAGAAAAGAAAATAACTTTTGGGTTTTTTGTTTGTTTTTTTGTTTTTGAGGCAGCCTCTCTCTGTTACCCAGGCTAGAGTGTAGTGGCCTGATCTTGGCTCACAACAACCTCCGCCTCCCAGGTTCAAGTGATTCTCGTGGCTCAGCCTCTGAAGTAGCTGGGATTACAGGTGTGTGCCACCAAGCCCAGCTAATTTTTGTATTTTTAGTAAAGATGGGGTTTCTCCATCCTGGCCAAGCTGGTTGCGAACTCCTGACCTCAGATGAACCATCTGCCTCGCCCTCCCAAAGTGCTGGGATTACAGGCGTGAGCCACCACACCCAGCCAAGAAAATAGTTTTAAGTACCATTTTTAAAAGTATAATTTAGGTTGGGCCGGGCGCGGTGGCTCACGCCTGTAATCCCAGCTACCCCGGAGGCTGAGGCAGGAGAAAGGCGTGAACCCGGGAGGCGGAGCTTGCAGTGAGCCGAGATCGCGCCACTGCACTCCAGCCTAGTTTACAGAGCGGGACTCCGTCTCAAAAAAAAAAAAAAAAAAAAAGGATAAAGTATAATTTAGGTTACCTACCATATTGAAAAGAAGACTTAAAGTGGCAGTTTTTTAACTCCTAGAATGTCGACATTTGAACTATTTTGAGATTAACATTTCTATAGTGTTTAATTTGCTTGCCTCAAACAGCTGTGTGGCAGCCAGGTGCAATGGCTCATGCCTGCAGTCCTACCACTTTGAGAGGCTGAGGTGGAAGGATTGCTTGAGACCAGGAGTTTGAGACCAGCCTGGGCAACATAGTGAGACCCTATCTATCTACAAAAAAATAATAAAAATATTAGATGAGCATGGTGACACATGCCTGTAGTCCCAGCTACTTGGGAGGCTGAGGTGGGAGGATTGCTTGAGCCTGGAAGGTTAAGGCTGCAGTAAGCCATGATCATACCACTACATTCCAGCCTAGGTGACAGAGCTAGACTTTGCCTTGCAGAGCCAGGATTAGATCCCAGACCTCATCTCCAGTATTTTCAATATACCCACCTGAATTTGGACTAACTCAATGGGGTTAAAAAACAAGATTTCTAGGGCATAGAGGCTCATGCCTATAGATCCCCCCCTACTCAGGAGGTTGAGGTGGGATGATTGCTTGAGCCCAGGAGTTTGGTGTCCAGCCTGGGCAACATAAGGAGACTCCGTCTCTAAAAAAAGATTCTTTGTTTTCTCCTCACAATTGGGTTCTTCAAATTACAGTGGGATGAAAGATTCGAGTTATGCTTAGAATTTGAAATCTATCCTACCTGACTATAAAAGAAATTTGAACATAAAATTAGTCATGGGAGGTCGGGCACGGTGCCTCACACCTATAATTCTAGCACTTTGGGAGGCCAAGGCAGGCGGATCACTTGTGGTCGGGAGTTTGAGACCAGCCTGGCCAACATAGAGAAACCCTATCTCTACAAAAATACACAAATTAGCTGGGTGTGGTTGCGCATGCCCGTAGTCCCAGCTACTTGGGAGGCTGAGGCAGGAGAGTTGCTTGAACCCAAGAGGCGGAGGTTGCAGTGAGCTGAGATCATGCCACTGCACTCCAGCCTGGGCAACAAAGTGAGACTCTGTCTCAAAAAAAAAAAAAATTAATCACGATTGTCAGCTAGCTTCACAGCCCCTATGCCATCACCTACATCACATTTCGCCAGCTGCAGAATCAGGGTCTTCCTGTATGTGTCCTGGGCAATTAATGACTTTACCTTTTGCTACCCTATTTTCAGGTACTTGTTCTTAACGGATACAGGGAGAGAAGGCTGCTGAGGGTGTTAGCTCTGTGCAGGCTGTGCAGTGAAATTTAAAGGGTGCCATTTGTAGATAACGTGCATGGCTCCCCCCATGCAGTTGTGCACCCCGGCAGCTCTGAAGAGAGATACCCTGAAACCCCCACCTTTTTGTTAAAATCCTTTACATTTTGGAGTCCAAAATGGACATTGTTTAGTATCATCTCAGACAGTGATTAGGAAAAGGCAAATAATGTATGGCATAAAGAGCACTAATTTGGGTCTGGTCTTAGCCCCACCACTAACCATGAGATCTTAAAAGTCACATCGTCTCTGACCATCTATAAGAAATAGAAATGCAGATGGTTTTTGACAAAAATTGATGTGAAACCAATTAGCTGTGACATAGTATCAGTGTGTGTGTACATATATGGGGGTGGGGATGGGGAGAGTTTGTCCTCAACTGGGCAACCCAAACCCAACCTGTGAGGCTCAAAGGTGCTGCTCTTCCAGGCCCTTCCCAACTTTGCAGTGCAATTAATAACTGGAACTTCTTAGCCTTATAAGATGTTGATCAGAGAATAAAGACTGTGATTTGAAAGCAGATGCCCCTTCATCATGGAGGTCTTTGAGCTATGGCTGAGGAATTAGAGTCTTGGAGAATGGGATCTGTTTGCTATTAAGTATCTCATTATATCCTAACAGACCTTATAAATTAAGGCCTATACACATTCCCAGTCTTTTCATATGGAACAACTCATAAAATAACTTTCTCAGGGTCACTTAAGTCATAGATGAAGTAGAAACTGGAACCCACATCTCCAAACTATTACTTCAGTATCCTATCAACACACAAACACTGTTTGCCCACTGAATAATATATTTGTTGTAGGCACCATCAATGATCAGGGAATTGTGCGCCTGCTGGGAAATTATTAGCCCAGAACAGGAGACCTGGTTATTGATTAAACAGAGCTGCTGCTGGTTAGTGTTAGGCCACACGAGGCTAGATCTACAAAAGTGAGGCAACATCCAGTGGCTAGAGAATGTGCACTGAGGCTCTGCTAAACGCCACAGTAGGCAAGCATGGCTTAGTACACAGAAGACTTCAGAAGACAAACAGCACATATTTGTTTCTGGAGATTTAAAAAATAATAACATTCCAGTGTTACTGGGAGACTGATTTACTATTCAGAGACAAATAAGTTGGAGAGAAATTTTTTGTTCAACCATACTAAATACTAAGGCAAGGTATTGCATTATTACAAGGTAAGACTAGAGGGACTAGAGACTTACTTTTGATGCATGAGTGTCTTATTGTTTCAATGAAGTATCATTTTACCTTCAAAACTTTAGCTCCGGCCGGGTGCGATGGCTCACTCCTATAATCCCAGCACTTTGGGAGGCCGAGGTGGGCGGATCATGAGGTCAGGAGATCGAGACCACAGTGAAACCCCGTCTCTACTGAAAATACAAAAAATTAGCCGGGCGTGGTGGCGGGCGCCTGTAGTCCCAGCTACTCGGGAGGCTGAGGCAGGAAAATGGCGTGAACTTGGGAGGCGGAGCTTGCAGTGAGCCGAGATGGTGCCACTGCACTCCAGCCTGGGCGACAGAGCGAGATTCCGTCTCAAACAAACAAACAACAATAAAAAAAAACCTTTAGCTCCTCTGAGCAAGTGCGACTAGAGCATAATCATTGGCTATCTTAAAAATATACTCTGATGCCAGGTGTGGTAGCTCACACCTATAATCTCAGACTTTTGGGAGGCCGAGGTGAAAAGATCCCTTGAACCCAGGAGTTCGAGACCAGCCTGAGTAACATAGTAACAAACCCTATCTATACAAAAAATACAAAAATTAGCTAGGCATGGTGGTGCACACCTGTAGTCCCAGCTACTTAGGAGTCTGAGGTAGGAGGATCACCTGAGCTCGGGAGGTCGAGGCTGTGGTAAGCCATGATCACACCACTGGGCAATCCAGCCTGGGTGACACAGCAAGACCCTTTCTCTAAACAAAACAAAACACTCTGGGCTGGGAATGGTGGTGGCTCATGCCTGTAGTACCATCACTTTATGAGGCTGAGGCGGGAGGATTGCTTGAGCTCAGGAGGTTGAGGATGCAGTGAGCCAAGATTGCACCACTGCACTCTAGCCAAGGTGACAGAGCAAGACCTTATCTCAAACAAACAAAAACCACAGACACACACACTCACTCTGGTCACTTTGGCAGGGTTATTTTCATTAAAATTTATGTTATCTCTCAACTCCCAGGATCCTAGTCAGGTCTGTGGTTTTCTGATCCTTGAGCCCAGAAACCCACCTTAAGTTGTTACAAACACTAAGATCATTAGCATTATTTATTTTAATTCACAGACCTTAGATGAGAAGAAACTGGATATCTGATCTAGTTCATCCTCATTTCTTGCCACATGTTCTCTCCATGATATGTGCCAAGGGGCAGTCTAGCTTGAATATCCCACTGATGATGTGAGACTTACTGTTTCCTGAGGCATTCATTTAATCTCTGAGTACTTGGACACTCCCTATGTATAACTTCTCAAGCCTTCCTGAATGCACTCTTATCTCTGCAAATTGTGATAATGAGTCAAAGCAATTTCTGGTGTCATCCTTTCTGGCTTGACTGAAGAATCACAAATACTCCTTTTATTGGCATTGTTACCAAGTTCTACCAGAGTGGCCAAGTGTATCTGCTTGTTTAAGCAGGGAGAGGAATTCATGCTAAAATTCATCTCTAAAGGAAGATACCTTGGCATTCATTACTAAAGGTGACTGATTGAGAAAGGACCTTGTGGTTTGGGATGGAAGATGAGTACAGAGGAGTTTCTGACTCTAGGTGGTTCTGAGGTTATGTATAAAGCCAAGGTGACACTTCCTTGTTTTGAGACCTTTTCTCTTTCCTTTTTTTGAGACAGGGTCTTGCTCTGCTGCCCAGGCTAGAGTGCAGTGGCATGTTTACAGCTCACTGCAGACTTGACTTCCTAGGCTCAAGTGATTCTCCCACCTCAGTCTCTCTAGTAGCTGGGCCTACAGGCATGCACCACCATACACAGCTGATTTTTGTATTTTTTGTAGAGACAGGTTTTCACCACGTTGCCCAGGCTGGTCTCAAACTCCTGGACTCAAGCGATCCACCCACCTCAGTCTCCCAAAGTGCTAGGATTACAGGTGTGAGCCACCATGCCTGGCCAAGGCCTCCTTCCTTCCTTCCTTCCCTCCCTCCTTCCTTCCATCCTTCCTTCCTTCCCTTCTTTCTTTTTCTTTCTTTCTCTTTCTTTCCTTCCTTCCTTCCTTTCTTTCTTTTTCTTTCTTTCTTTTTCTTTCTTTCTTCTTTTTTTCCTTTCTTCTTTCTTTCTTCTTTCTTTTTCTTTCTCTTTATTTCCTTTCTTTTTTTCTTTTTTTTGAGACGGAGTTTTGCTCTTCTTGCCCAGGCTGGAGTACAATGGCGCAATCTTGGCTCACCGAAACCTCCACCTCCCGAGTTCAAGTGATTCTCCTGCCTCAGCCTCCCAAGTAGCTGGGATTAGAGGCATGCACCACCACACCTGGCTAATTTTGTGTTTTTAGTAGAGACGGGGTTTCTCCATGGTGGTCAGGCTGGTCTCGAACTCCCAACCTCAGGTGATCCACACGGCTCGGCCTCCCAAAGTGTTGGAATTACAGGCGTGAGCCACTGCGCCCGGCCAAGACCTATTTTCTATCAGTATCCAAGTCTTAGGATATCGTCACTCAAAACAGAGATGATGTCTTCTCAGAGAATTTAGTGCTGTATTTTTCATACTGTCATCTCCAGCCAAGCCACCCTGGAAATCTATGTATAAATACATAAAATACTAAATTATGAGAATTAAGTTATAGCTTAGCACAATCTTGATATCAGAGATCAGAACTTAGAACTCACAGAAAATTTCAGAAGCAGTTGTCTGCTTTCTGCATTCTGATCCATGGCTAGAGACAGAGGACTCAATTGCCACTTCTGAATTAATGCCTCCCTTTAGTCATTGGCTTTTTGTTTTTGCTTTATTGTTTTCATTATGATTTTGAGACAGGGTCTTGCTCTGTTGCCCAGGATGGAGTGCAGTGGCGCAGTCTCGGTCCACTGCAGCCTCTGCTTCCCAGGCTCATGCGATTCTCTCACCTCAATCTCCCAAGTAGCTGGGACTACAGGCGTGTGCCACCACACTCAGATGGAATTTCACCATGTTGGCTAGGCTGGTCCTGAACTCCTGGACTGAAATGATCTGCCTGCCTCGGCCTCCCAAAGTGCTGGGATTACTGCACTTTGCAGTGAGTCACTGCACCTGGCTCGTTTCCTTATTTGTATTCATTTTTTTATCTTACCATTTGAAGGTGTTGGTAAATAACGGACACCAAAAAGGAGGCAAGCAAGTAATGAGGCCTGAAGATTACTGAAGACCCACCACCTGGAAAGTCCAACTCAGTGGTTCTTAGGTGTTCGGGAGGGGCTCACTGAAGTCTCGACCTCCAGGGCTGAAGCAGTGCTACCGCCTCAGTCTCCCGAGTGGCTGGGACTACAGGGTGCACCACCATGCCTAGCTAATTTAATTTTTTGTAGAGATGGGGTTTTGCTATGTTGGCCAGACTAGTCTCGATCTCTTGGCCTCAAGTGATCCTCCCACCTCAGTCTCTCAAAGTGCTGGTATTGCAGGTGAGAGCCACTGTGCCCCGCCTATTGTTTGGTTTTGTTGTTTGTTTCTTGCTTCCTCAAACTCATAACTTGCCATTTTGTTCAAGGGCCACCCATTCACAGAACAGTGTGCCTGGGGCTCCTCCAGCTGGCTTCACACAATTAGCTATTTACCAAAGCAGAATTCACCTGTGTGATTCTTGAATCATTAGGCTAAAGGACAGGGCCATCCAAATCTTTCCTGCTTGAACAGAAATTACACTTTCTCAGCACAAAACAGGCATTTCAGCCCTAGTCTTCAAGTAGTAATGGGAAAATCAGAGAATGTTCTTGGGATATGCAGTGGGTGCATCTGGCACAAGGGCCACGGAAGAGAAATACTTTAGGGTTCGGGTCACTAGAGTTCAGGGTTCAAAGGAATTAATGGAACGTGAACTGGGGCTGATTCTGCCATTCTTCTGACTGTAACTACAAAGTTTATACATTTCTCTCCCTGGAAAACTTTCTTTCCTATCAAAAGGGAAAGGAAAACCAACCACTATTTCTCCAAAAGCTATTCTCTTGAAGAACCAGAATCTTGCATTATCTGGATAGTTTCTAGAGAAACTATGCAGATTTTCACCCTTAGGGACTCTTTAAGCCTTAGGGTTTAAAAACCACTAGGCTGCTTCCCATTTTGCAGGGCAACTGGGACTACGGGACCCTAATTAACTGAAATCCTCACTGTACCAGATGTGGAGGGCAGCTGGTGGTAGCGGATGGCCAGATGGCAGTAAATCTCCCTCACCAAGGCTTACACCAAGGCTGTTGTTCACCGGCAGTAGAGCAGCTTAATTTCAGTTCCTTTTTATTTATCCTGCTTAGAAACGGCAAAAGAACGTCAGATGAGGAATATGGAGGAGGAGAAACAAGAAGTGGGGAGAAGGGAGATAATTTTTCTTTTCTTTTTTTTTTTTGAAACACAGTCTTACTCTGTCGCCCAGGCTGGAGTGCAGTGGTGCGATCTCAGCTCACTGCAAGCTCCGCCTCCCGGGTTCACGCCATTCTCCTGCCTCAGCCTCCTGAGTAACTGGGATTACAGGCACCCGCTACCACGCCCGGCTAATTTTTTGTATTTTTAGTAGAGATGAGGTTTCACTGTGTTAGCCAGGATGGTCTCGATCTCCTGACCTCGTGATCCACCCACCTCGGCCTCCCAAAGTGCTGAGATTATAGGTGTGTGCCACCGCTCCCAGCCAGGAGGGAGATAATTTTTCACAACAAGATAATGTCCCTTAGATTATCGAGTGCTGTCTACATTTCAGTGCAGATTCTTGGAGTTATTTCAAAGTTTCTTCTGATTTGATCTAGAAGAACAAGATCTAGAATCTGGGGCAAGATTATCCAAACCTGAAATCAAGGCCTCAGGAATACCTTATACCAAGTCTTGGAATGTGGGTTTTCGTATAAGCAGCTCTCTTCTTTACAACAGCTTTGCTGTTTTTGAGGTCAGAACAGGAGCCCTCTTTCTCAATGACGATTAAAATAAAACTTCAGGGCAAAGTTTTTGAATCTTAGCAACACATGGAAACATATGTCCTGTTGCCAAAAAAATTTTAATTGCCTAATCCAAACCAGAATATTTAGATCAACCTGTATACTATATATTATCTCTGATATACTATATCTCTAGTCCTCAGCATTATTCTTCATAAAACCAAATACCCACTTATTTGCTGAGTGGCCAGATCTAAGAGGAAGCTTTTCTGCCTTTACAGGGATGGCCTTTTGAATAATTGAGCAGACGAAGCATTGGAATATGAAATATTTGTAAATCACTGGTCAGCTCTAGTCAACCTCTTGGTGCTTTTGTTTCCTCTGGTCCCAGATGTGTCTCCTGGCTCTGGAAAGGGAGAGGCCAGTAGTAGGATCAGAAAAGGGAGCAACCAACCAGAAAACACCTAAGTTATGAGGTTTGTGCTTTTCCTGACTTAGAGAAAGTCCATATCTCAGGAGATAAACAGTTCTGGCTGCAGCTCTCTGGAGTAATCCCCTGAAATGGTGCCAGAGGGAGCATGTAGGGTAGCCAAGATTCTGACTCCTTGAACCATGGTCTAGCAAAGCCCTCAGATCCTGCATGAGAGCGCTTCCTATTTGTAAAATACCCTTGGGATCTCTCCAGTGAGGCTTGGGGGCCAGATCAGCCCCATTCCTAGCTGAGACTTGCAGAGCTCCTCTGAGAGATTGGAACTTCGCATTCCTTGAGATGGACATTCACATTCTCTACCTGCTCAGCCCTCAGCGAGCCAGCCCCACTGCCTCTGCCGCCCTTCTCACACACACAAGCCTGCTGCCGCAGTTGCCAGAGCATTCGGTCAAAGCAGGGCGCCACAACCACAGAGCAAATGAGGGAAGTGGGGCCGAGACACAAACATCCTGTCCTCATGACATCAAATGGCTCCAGCTTGAGAATCGGGGTCACTGCCCAGTGACATACACAAACGTCTCATCCCTCTAGCCACTGCCAGTAAGAGGGCATTTTCTCCTGAGTCCATGGATTGAAAAAGTGCTATCCTTTGGCTTGTGATGTCAGTGACAGGTGACAGTGACTGGAACGCGCCGCTGCTGACCGGATGAGTAGGGATATGTTGAGCAGAGGCCAGGCAGGAGTTCTGCTGAGGATGAAGTGAGTGCAGGCTCGCAGGACGTTCCTTCTCTTTCAAGGCACCAATTTAAGAGAGAGGGACTGAATGAGGAGCACAGAGCTGGAGCTCCCTCTGTTCAGTCCGCCCCATCTTTCCAGGACTCCCCCTTGCCCAGCTCTGTTTTTCTTTGCAGGACTTGGGGGTTCTCAGGCCAGGTCTTTCACCTTGTGTATGATCGCTTCCAGTTAAAGATCTCCTCCAGGTTGGAAGAGGAAGAGACTTCCCGCCTCTGCAAGGCTCCCCCACGACGACGGCCCCCAAGGAAGGAAGCTCTGTGCCTGCTCAGCCCTTTAATCCTCTCCTCCGTTCGGAAGAACTCAGTCAAGGCCCGGAAGGACTCCAAGATGACCTCATGGCTCCAGGCTGGCAAGGGCTCCTGGCGCAGGAAGCCACAGTGGCCTCCGTGGCGACTGAGCAGGAGGAAGAAGTAGGGGTTGCTGTGGAAGAGTTCAGTTGTCAGAGTGTGGTCTGGGGGTCCACACACGGGGTCGTCAGCACTGCAGATACACAGCACAGGCACGGCTGCCTCATCGACATCCCGGAGCGGGTCGTTGCGGTCCCAGTAGGTATCCCAGCTGATGGGGAAGCTTTTGGTGTGGCAGAAGAGAGCCTCCTCAAACTCTCGAAGGGAACGGCTCCTGAACAGTCTGCTGGTGTCCACAGTGTCCTCCAGGGCTGTGGCATACCTGGCAGCGAGGTGTTTAGTGGGGAAGGTGGGAAAGAGAGGGAAGAATGAGAACATCAGGTGACAGCAGATGAGACAGACAGACAGCCCGCAGGCCAGATCTGTCCACAGAGGCTTTCTTTGGCCATTTAGGGCTTCGAAAACGTTTAATTTCATGGCCATCATTTAAAACCAGATAAGGCTGGTTGTGGTGGCTCACGCCTGTAATCCAAACACTCTGGGAGGCCAACGAGGTGGGTGGATCACTTAAGTCCAGGAGTTTGAGAACAGCCTGGGCAACAGGGCGAAAACCCATCTCTAAAAAAAAAAAAAAAAAAAATTAGCTTGGCATGGTGGCTCAGTCCCAGCTATTCAGGAGGCTGAGGTGGGAGGACTGCTTGAGCCTGGGAGGTCAAGGCTGCAGTGAGCTATGATTGCACCATTGCATTCCAGCCTGGGTGACACAGAGAGACCATTTCAAAAAATAAAATAAAATAATATAAAATAATAAAAGTGGCCAGGCGCGGTGGCTCATGCCTGTAATCCCAGAACTTTGGGAGGCTGAGGCAGGTGGATCACGAGGTCAAGAGATTGAGACCATCCTGGCCAACACGGTGAAACCCCATCTCTACTAAAAATACAAAAATAAGCTGGGCGTGGTGGCGGACACCTGTAGTCCCAGCTACTTGGGAGGCTGAGGCAGGAGAATCACTTGAACCCAGGAGGCAGAGGTTGCAGTGAGCCGAGATCGTGCCACTGCGTTCCAGCCTGCTGACAGAGCGAGACTCCATCTCAAAAAATAAATAAATAAATAAATAAAATAATAAAATTAGAAGATTTCACATAAAATGCAGGTGTCTGGCTTCTCTAGGGAAGTGGGAAGATCCAGCCACATGGGTGGGCATTTCTCAGCACAACAATGGGTTCCTCCCTCCTTCCTGTGTGACGGTGCCCACTAGGCCTGTCATTCACAGCATCACTGCACCTGTCTATGTGCCCTAGGGGCAGCATTTGACTTCACAGCTGCTGACAGTTCTCCTAACCTCAACTTCTGGCCCTCTGTGGAGAACTTGCTATGAACTGTAACCTACTAAACTGCTCCTAGAAGAACTTGCTGCTCAGAGTATCCAAACCAGCAGGTGACACCTCTGCTAATAATTCACATTTGACTTTAGGTTGCATTCATTGTTTTTATTTTTGCTTTTTAAACTAACATCCTGTCCTGGTAATGTCACATGAGTGTGATGTTGATCAGGTATACCTGGGGCAGATATTCCTAGAGAGTGTGCTGCCTGGCAGAGGAAGCAATTGAGTTGGTCATTAATTTACTGGGTGGATTCCTAAATGGGGGCCTCAGAGCAACTGCTTTGGGTAACAGGGAACATCTTTGCTGTTTCTAGACCCCTGGAGAGGGCTTGGCATCCTGACAAGGAGGCCAGGATGAGCAGCTCCGTCTTTTGAATAGCTCAATCCAGCCTCAGACAGTTGAAATTAGATGTTAATCTCTGACCAGGCATAGTGGCTCACATCTATAATCCCAGCACTTTGGGAGGCCAAGGCGGGTGGATTCCCTGAGTCTAGACATTCAAGACCAGCCTGGACAACATGGCACAATCCCATCTTTATGAAAAATACAAAAATTAACCGGGCATGGTGGCATGTGCCTGTAGTCTCAGCTACTCGGGAGGCTGAGGTGGGGGTCTGGCCCCCACATCCCAGGTCTTTCTGCTACACCACACTGTTGCCATAATGACTTCGACCTCATTCTGCCATCTCCTAAGAAAGCCAGAGTGCAGGCTAGGAATGTCACCTGAGCCCAGGAACTCAAGGCTGCAATGAGTGGTGATTCCACCACTGCACTCCAGCCTGGGCGACAGAGTAAGATCTTGCCTCAAAAAACAAACAAACAGCTGGGCACGGTGGCTCACACCTGTAATCCTAGCACTTTGAAAGCTGGGGCAGGCGGATCACTTGACATTAGGGGTTCCAGACCAGCCTGGCAAACATGGAGAAACCCCGTCTCTACCAAAAAAAATATTAAAAATTAGCTGGGTGTGGTGGTGCACGCCTGTAGTCCCCAGCCACTTCAGAGGCTAAGGCAGGAGAATAGCTTGCACCCAGGAGGTGGAGGTTACAGTGAGCCGAGATCATGTCACTACACTTCAGCCTGGGTGACAAAGTGAGACTGTCTAAAAAAAAAAATACTTTTAAAAAATAATAATTTTAATAAATGCCTACATATATGCGTGTGTGTGTATATATATATATAACATTTTTTTTTGAGACAGGGTGTTGCTCTGTCACCCAGGCTAGAGTGCAGTGGCCTGACCAGGGCTCTCTGCAGCCTCGAACTTCTGGGCTTCGGTGATCCTCCCATCTCAACCTCCTGAGTAGCTGGGACCACAGATGCATGCCACCACACCCGGCTAATTAAAAAAAGAAATTTTTGTAGAGACAGGTTTTCCTATGTTGCCCAAGTTAGTCTCAAACTCTTGGGCTCAAGTGATCCTCCTGCCTTGGCCTCCCAAAGTGCTGGGATTACAGGCGGGAGCCACTGCACCTGGCCTCAAATGCCACCATATTTCTGATTCCTGTCACCTCCAGGCTCAGAGACTGTGAGTAAACATTCTGGGCAGATAATCGTTTGCAATTGCTTCCAGAGTGCTCTTTGCTGAGCTGTTAAGCTGTGGGCTAAGTGGTAAATGTCAGGTATCTCTGCTGTCGTGGGCCAGGTGCTCAGATTGCTAGGATACAGCAGGGGGTGCCGAGATGAGGCAAGGGGCCGGGTTAGGAGTCCCTGCTCTAGCACAGCGATACTAGCTGAGTCCATCGATGACCTTTAAACCCGCTTCCCCGGTTCTGTCTAGATTACAGGGTTTGGAAGGCTTTGGAAGATGTGTTCAGAGAACTTTGCCCAAACTGGCCCACGCCTGTTCCAATGCTATGCATAGCTGTTTCTGATTCTTAGCCAGCTCAGGCCCTCTATTCTTTCCATGCTGGTCTGCGGCCTCCGTTACCCACCTGCTGAGGGCGATCTTCTGGTGGAGCAGAAAGCCCCGCTCGTAGGGCCAGGGCAGGCCGGCCTCGAACCACTCTCGGCAGCGCAGCACGGGCGAGATGCAGGCGGCGCCTGTCACGTAGCTGGAGGAGCCGCACTCGCCCAGGTAGGACAGGAGCAGCGCCGAGCCCGAGCCTTCGCTCACCGCGAACAGCGGCGCCGCCGGGTGTCGGAAGCGGATGTATGTGACCGCCTCCTTGAGGTCGGACGGGTCCCCGAAAGGCTGCAGCCGGGGGCTGACCAGTGGGCAACCGTGGTGGCCGCGGCGATGGAAGATGACCGGGTAGTAGCCGCGCTCCAGGGCGAGCAAGCAAAGGCCGAGCACGTTGCGGGTGAGGCGACCCCACGCATTGGGGATCACCAGAAGCACCGCAGGAAGGCCCCCGGCGCTGGTGATCCGGCGGCCCCGAACACAAGGTCCTACCACCCAGTCCAGGGCCACTAGCCCATCGTCCGCCAACTGCAGGTACTCCCGGGCCAGCTCAGGCCCAGGCGCTACGGGCAGGACGAAGTGGCAGAGGGTCTGCAGGTGGGGCCCGGAGAACCAGGAGCGCGGGCCGGCCTCCAGCGCCTCTGAGCGCCGCAGGGCGCGCAGCAGGCACTGGGCCAGGGCCGACGGCTTGCAAACAAGGCTGCACCCTCCCGGCAGTGGCTCGCGCCCGTCGCTGAACTGGTCCGCCGGGCCTCCGCCGTCCGCCTCCTCCCCGTCGTCTCGGTCTTGGGCCCCCGGCAGGGTCCTCTCTCCGACGGCGCGCCCCCAGGGTCCCCGGAGCCGCGGGCCGAGCAGGCCGAGAAGGGCGAGCACGGCCAAGATGAGCGCGAGGGCGGCGCCCCACGGCGGCATGGCGAAGCTGGAGAGCCCCGGCGGGCAGCGGGCGGCGGGGCCGTCTACTCGGCGAGCTCCGCGCTTTGCCCGCGGCTCCGCCCGCCGGCGGCGGCTGCCCAGGGCCCTCCCGCGCGGGCGCGCTCTGGATTGGCCGTGGCCGGGCAGAGGCAGCCAGTTCGGGCCCGGCTGCCCTCGCCCGCCCCCCACCCCCGCCCCGGCCCTTTGTACAGCAATTGCAACAAGTGGGAGCAGAGGGTGAGAGGAGCCGGGGCCACCAGGGAGGGAGGGCGCGCCGGCAGCCGGAAGGGAGTGGGGAGGGCACGAGCCGGGGAGAGCGGTGTTGGCCATGGAGACGTGGGGAGACTGGAGGCCGAGGCTTGGGGACCCGACTGTCATCAGGGTCTTCCGCCAGACCCTGGGCGCTGCGCCCTCAGAGGCCGATGAAAAGAAGCAGAAGGGAGAGGTGAGTAAGTCGCAGCTCCGGGCGCCGGCTCCCGGGACCCCGTGGGGCGGCGGCCGCGCGCGCGCTCTGCCCTCGGGCGGCCCTGCTCTCCCCCGCCCGGCCCCGCAACCCCGCAATAACTTGGCTGGGCGGGGTCCGGCACTGGGCTAGAGAGGTCGAGCGCGGCGTCTTGAGCCGCTGGCGGGAGGCTGCTGCTTCCCCGCCTGCATCAGTGCGGGTCCCGTGGACTCCTCGCCCCCGTCCCCGCGAGCTCGGGGCTCCACATCAAGGAAATCCTCAGCCCGGGAGTGGCTTCCCCAGAAACAGCAGCCCCAAGCCTCCGAGAGTCAGTCGGAGAAAAGGACACACTCAGGCGCCCTGCGACAGGGATGCCCGTCCGACCTACAAGGAACGCCTCGTAAACCGGGGTGCATGGGAGACCACGGAAATAACACGTTCTCGCTGTTTCCAAGCTTTGGGATAGGCATCTCGACCCTCGCTCTCTACCCACGTTTCCCCCCCAAATCCTGGAGAGGGAACCAGAACCAGCGCCCCGCTGCGGGGCGGGCCGGCCAGCGCACCTCCTGGGGGTGAGGCCTGTGGCGTCCCCATCTCGCGGCGACCAATCTCTTTCTAGACGCGCGCCTGCCACCGCTGGGCGACGGCGGAGGTGGGGAAGACAGCAGCCTCTCGGCTAGCTCCGGCCTCCCGGGGCTTCTGGGTTTGGAGAGTTTGGGGAGCGGAGACACCTCCCGAGGCTCCTCCGCGTTGGACCCTATTTGCGAGGGCGGGAGCGGGGTGGGCCGACGGCGAAGCTCCAGAGGTGGGACCCTCTCCCTTCAGCAGCTCTTCCTGACTTCATGATTCTGCCCCTCTTCTCATTGCAGGTCACACCGACAAATCTGAAGCGGGTTTGCCAGGGGAGTGTACCCGTCTCCCCAGCCTGGGCCACCCGGTCCACAGGGATTCCATTTCCGGCCTTACACTCCGCTCCACGATCTCATCCAGGCGCTGCAGCTGTGCAGCTGCTCTACAGACTGCAGGGACCTGCTGAGACGAATCCCCGGACGAGGAAAGGGGCCCCCCGCCTGCCCTACTGAGCCTTGCGCGCTGACCCGGTTCCTACACTTAACTTTTCCGGCTTCGGGTTTAAGACGCGTGCGCGCACACTCCGCTGCTGTGGGCGGGCATTGGGGCGGGGCGATACCGGGGGCCCACTGTCTGGGGAGGGGCGCGCGCGAGCCCAGGGCCAACGGACGCGCGGGCGGCGCGGGCGGCGCGGGGGCGCTGGGGCTGGAGGGGCGGGGCGCGCGCGCTCCCTCGCTGGCGGAGCGGCTGGGCGGCGGGCCGGGCCCGGGGCCGCTTGGAATGGCGCCTCCTCCGCCTTCGCCCCAACTGCTTCTCCTGGCAGCCCTCGCGAGGCTCCTGGGTCCCAGCGAGGTAAGGTGACCCGCTCCTGGGAAGGCCTCGGCCCGCGAGCTCAAAGCGCTTTGCCAAAAGTTCGTCCTGGAAGGAGTGGCGCGCCGAGGGGGACGCGGAGTTCTTCCGCTGGCGGGCTGGGCCTGGGGAGAGAGAGGGCAGGGCCTCGCCGCGTCCAGCGCCCCAACTCTTCGCTTTGGACCCACAGGTGATGGCTGGACCGGCGGAGGAGGCGGGAGCCCATTGTCCCGAGAGCCTGTGGCCTCTGCCTCCGCAGGTAGGAGCCCTGGAGGGCCCAGGGAGAGAGGGATGTGAAAGGCTAGCCCAGTCCCGCTCTGTTCTCGCCGCACCCTCCACAGTCACCATCTGAGGACCTCTGCCGGTTCCTCAGTCCTCAGTAGCCAACTTCTCCATCCCAGCCTGGCGCTTGGGGCCTGCCGTCCCCTCCCCACCACACACACACGGAGTCCCCCAACTGCCCTAAGCTCTGTTCTTTCCCCATGTATAGGTGTCACCAAGAGTGACCTACACACGAGTGAGCCCAGGGCAGGTGAGTACAAGCAGGGGCCCACCACCCTTGGTGTCCACGCCTGGAGACAGGCGCTCCTAGCAGGCTTCGCTGCCTGTTCTGCTGATCGGCCCCATTCCTTACCACTTCCCTCAGGCAGAGGCAGGGTTCTAGTTCTCTGCCCCACCTCCAAGCCCAGGACAGATCAGCCCCAGGACAGATGGCTCAAAGACAGTGAGCCATAGGCCTGTCATCTGCAATGCTGTGTCAGGATGCTGTTGGGTAGCTGGCTCTGTGGACAAGTGGCTGTGAGTGGAACTCTCTCTGAGAGTAGCTGGAAAAAACCCAGGCTCCAGCTCCCTGAGGAGACAGCGGGAAGTCTCCTGACTTTGTGGGCCCCAGCTTTCTGTAGGAGAGGGTATTAATTCTGTCTCTACCTGTGAGCAGCGAGGGAGGGTATGTGCCAGCACCGTGTACAGTACAGAGCTGCATCGTGCAAGGAGTGTGCCTCCAGTTGCCAGGCTCCACACTGCGGGCTCAGCTTGCGTGGTAGCATCTCCATCTTCATCGCCAGCTCCTCTGAATTTTCCTTTGAAATACTTATTATTATTATTATTTGAAATGGAATCTCACTCTGTTGCCCAGGCTGGAGTGCAGTGGCACTCACTGCAACCTCTGCCTCCAGGTTCAAGCAATTCTTATGCCACAGCCTCCCGAGCAGCTGGGATTACAGGCGTGTGCCACCTAGCTTAGCTAATTTTGTATTTTTAGTAGAGACGAGGTTTCACCATGTTGCCCACGCTGGTCTTGAGCTCCTGACCTCAAGTGATCTGCCTGCCTCAGCCTCCCAAGTGCTGGGATTACAGGTGTGAGCCACCATGCCTGGCCTGAAATACCTAACTTAAATTGGCCAGGCATGGTGGCTCACACCTGTAATCCCAGTACTTTAGGAGGCTGAGGCGGGTGGAACACCTGAGGTCAGGAGTTCAAGACCAGCTTGGCCAACATGGTGAAACCCTGTCTCTACTAAAAATACAAAAATTAGCTGGGCGTGGTGGCACACCCCTGTAATCCCAGCTACTTGGGAGGCTGAGGCAGGAGAATTGCTTGAGCCCAGGAGGCAGAGGTTGCAGTGAGCCGAGACCATGCCACTGCACTCCAGCCTGGCGACAGAGCGAGACTGTCTCAAAAAAAAAAAAAAATTCTCTGTAATAGCTCCAGGCCAAGAGTTGTTGCCTCACGCCACCTATCAGATTCCTTTCCTCAAACAGCCCTTTCATGAAGTCATTCCTCTGTTCACAAACTGTCAATGGCTCCTTATTTCCCACCTTATCGTGGCCATATTCTCCGGCCTGGCTTTTCAGGCCTTACTTAAGTAAGCTTCGTCTGACCTCTCCACATCCTTGGTTCCTCTCCAGTTGTGTCGGGCTGTTTGCCACACAAATGAGTGCCAGCCTCGCCCTTACCACAGCCCCTTTGCTCCTGTTTATTCTCCTCCACACCTGGCCTATCCTGACTCGGAGAGTGCAGCTCCCTGCCCTCCTGCCATACTCCCCCAGCCATCTTCCCAGTCCCAGCTGGCATCAGCTCCCCCTGAGACACTGCCCGATGGCATCAGCCTTTATTCCTCCCCTCCTCCTCTGAATCTATCTCTGATAATTTAACAACTAATCACTAAGTTTTATTAGTTTGCTGTTTTATTTGCATTAGTTGTTTCCCTGAGTTTCTCACACACTCCTTGCAAGCAGAGTCCAGGAGTTCTTTGGCATCTCCCACAGCATCTAGCACAGCACTGAGCACCAAGTCAACTCAATCAAAGAATAATGAATGATTGATGGAGTATTTCCATCCTGAGATTGTGCACCTGCTGCCTGCCTGCCCTGTATTTGGATGCTCTTGGGAGACTGTATAGATTGGATCGATGGTCTTCATTTGGGGGTTGCTTATGGCTTGGATTGTGGACCTGTAGAGCCATCGTTACACCTGCAGGGAAATATGGCTAGAGTGTGGTCTGAGTCTGGCAGGATTATCCAGGCATGCTGTGAGCTTTGAAGGGTGGCACTTGATGGAGAGGAAGGGTGAAAGGAACACTCAGAGGCAAGAGTGGGTACATGCCAATACCCAGGGCCCTTTGTCCTTTCCTGGGCCCTGAAGGTAGAAGAGCCATCCAGCTATCCTGGGAGTACCTTTAAACTGGTCCCCTGGATGGGAGAACTTGAGATTCTCTGGGAGGGCTCTGGGCCTGCTTTGATGTCTCTGTGCCTTTCCTCCAGGCTGAGGATGTCACCTTCCTCTACCACCCCTGTGCCCATCCCTGGCTGAAGCTCCAGCTTGCCCTCCTGGCCTATGCTTGTATGGCTAACCCTTCCCTCACCCCTGACTTCAGCCTCACGCAGGATCGGGTATGTAGCTGATGAAAGGCGCTTGCCTGGCCCTGGCAGAAGGCTATGGCCCCGTGTGCAGGGAATGGAAAATTCAAGGGTTTCCTCTTGTTTGTCCCCACCTTCCTCGTAGCTCTAACAGTTACCTCCTCTCGTAGCCCCTGGTGCTGACTGCATGGGGGCTGGCGCTGGAGATGGCCTGGGTAGAGCCAGCCTGGGCTGCCCACTGGCTGATGAGGAGGCGGAGGAGGAAGCAGAGGAAGAAGAAGGCATGGATCTACTGTGAAAGCCTTTCAGGGCCTGCTCCCTCCGAGCCAACTCCCGGTAGAGGGAGGCTGTGCCGAAGAGGGTGTGTGCAGGTGAGAGACGCTGGGCCCAGGCTTGTTGGCCCTCGGGTTCTCTGAGAGGGGCAGCAGGGTGATTGCTCTCTCTCCTCTCCTTAGGCCCTGGCTCTGGCCTTTGCTCTGCGGAGCTGGCGGCCCCCTGGCACAGAGGTGACATCTCAAGGGCCCAGGCAGCCCTCTTCTAGTGGTGCCAAGAGGCGGAGGCTGCGGGCTGCCCTTGGTCCCCAGCCCACTCGCTCAGCCCTGAGGTTTCCCTCTGCTTCCCCAGGGAGCTTGAAGGCCAAGCAGTCCATGGCGGGAATCCCTGGTAGGGAGAGTAATGCCCCATCTGTGCCCACTGTCTCCCTGCTGCCGGGGGCGCCTGGAGGCAATGCCAGCTCCAGGACAGAGGCTCAGGTGCCCAACGGGCAAGGCAGCCCAGGGGGCTGTGTCTGTTCAAGTCAGGCTTCCCCGGCCCCTCGCGCAGCAGCGCCTCCACGGGCAGCCCGGGGCCCCACCCCACGCACTGAAGAGGCCGCCTGGGCTGCCATGGCCCTGACCTTCCTGCTGGTGCTGCTCACCCTGGCCACGCTCTGCACACGGCTGCACAGAAACTTCCGACGCGGGGAGAGCATCTACTGGGGGCCCACAGCGGACAGCCAGGACACAGTGGCTGGTGAGGAGTTCCCTCCCTACCCTACCCGAGGCCCCCGCCCCACCTCGCGTCGCCCGCCGCCCCCCGTAGCTTCCCTGCCCTCCCGCCCTTGACTGCTCGGCGCCCGGCCCACAGCTGTGCTGAAGCGGAGGCTGCTGCAGCCCTCGCGCCGGGTCAAGCGCTCGCGCCGGAGACCCCTCCTCCCGCCCACGCCGGACAGCGGCCCGGAAGGCGAGAGCTCGGAGTGACGGCCTGGGACCTGCCACTGTGGCGTGCGGCTCCTCCCCGCGCCGCGAGGCCGCGACCTCTGCCACGTGGACCGCGCGCGGGGCGCTCCCTGGTGGCGATGGCGCGGCACTGGCCGAGCACTGCGGGGGCTTTCCTCCTTGTTGGTTGCTGAGTGGGCGGCCAAGGGGAGAAAAGGAGCCGCTTCTGCCTCCCTTGCCAAAACTCCGTTTCTAATTAAATTATTTTTAGTAGACTCTGGAGTTGAGCTTGTGCATCTGCCGCACAGAGACTCCCACCCGGACCCTCGTCCTAGGCCATGGAGGTGGTGTTTGAGGCAGCCCGCCCCCGCTGGCCAACCTGTCCCTGGACATGGGGCTTTAGGAATGTGCTCGTGGGAGGGTGGCGTTATCGTCATACATGTTAGCTTTGTTATTCGCAAACTAACTCTTCCACTAGACAGACGTTCCCAGCACAGGGGCTTCCCTAGGGCGGGGGTCCTGGGGCACTTGCAGTCACCCTTCATGTCTGCCACCTCCCTCCAGCCCCCATTCTCTAAGCATCAGAAACAGCTCATGGTCACTTCTTTATTTTTGATACAAATGTACATGACACGTCTTGACAGCCCACCCACCACCACACAGGTAGGGCCTGGCCCCCAGGGAAGAAGCGGGATGGGGAGAGAGCTGGTGGGTCCCACCGTCTGCCTCTCCAGCCTTCCCAGGCTGCAGCCAGGTTCCCAGGCCTCCAGAGGGTGGGACCACAGCAGGTGCAGGTAGTGATGGTGGGTGCTGGCCTTGCAGAGGTTACGGGGAGGGGACTCAGCTCCACAGCCACCAGCTGAGTCGGGGACCCCGGGGAGCCAGCCCCAGGCTCAGGTGCTCAGTCCTCCACCCTAGCCAGCACACATTCCCCCTCCACGCAGGAGCAGGAGGAGATGGAGGGAAGTGGTTTTTGATTTAAGTTCATAGAGAAGGGGCGAGAGTGGGGAGGGATCAGGGAGGCAGCTGGCAGGACCAAAACTGGCTACCCGGACAGTCCCTGGCTCCAGGTGGGGAAGGGAAGCTGATCCCCATGCTGGTCCCACTGCTCTGGTCCCCTCACCCCTCAAAACTCCAGATGGACCAGGCCTCCGGAACGGCACTGCCGCCCACACACTCAACACGCAGGCACGCGGGGGCACTCAGTTACCACAAAGTTAAAATTAAGGGGTGGGGAAGAAGAAAGAAAAAAAAAAAACAGACTTTCCAGTGTTTGCTGCTGGGGACCCCAGCACACAGGTTGGGGCCTGTGCCCTAGGCAGGGGCCATATGGCATTAAAGGGAGAGCAGCAAGGGGCTGGTGGCTACAGGGCAGGGACATCCATGGAGACTATGTACAAAGGAGGGGATGCCCCCGCTCAGCCCCCAGTAGGGCTGAACTGGCTCATGGGGGTGGGGCGCATGTACGGAGAGCTGCCCCACTTGGAGTGTCCCCACCTGCCCCTTTGCTGAGGGTGCCCTAGAAGGCGAGGGGCTGGGAGTGATGCCTTGCAGGCCCCTGCTCACTAGGAGGGGGGAGATGCTATATACAGAGGGGAGGTGCATGGAATGTGGGGGACAGAAGCTCCTGCCCCCCCACCTCCCCATCCTTAGGGGCTCGACAGGGGTGGGCACCAGGGCACCTGGCTGCCAGGGAGTGTGGCAGCACTAAGGGCACTTGTGCCAGTGGCTCTGTTGGGGTGGGGATTAATGTCTGGAGTGGCCCAGCTCCTATGGCCAGTGAGGTCCTAGGGTGCAGGTGAGGGTGTGGGGAGAGAGGTCACTGCTTCTTCTCTCGGGTGGTGATGGTGACCAGCTGCTTGGCAGCCTTGGCGATGTCATAGGCGCACTGGATCACCTGCTGAGTCAGCAGCTGGAAGTCCACTGGGGCGCCGGGCTCTGGGGGCACTGTCTTCCGGCACTCACTCTGCAGCCGGTAGGCGCTGGCGTTGAGCAGCCGCAGTGAGCTCCGCACTGGCTCCAGGGCTGGCCTCTGGAGGGGGCAGGAGTGAGGCTGGACCTTGGACTTTAAGCCACCAGCTGAGATCAGGGCCCAGTTTGTCTGTGTCTCCACCCAGGTAGCGATCAGATGGGATTCTCCACGCCTGCCCCAGCTCGAGGCCCTCCCACTCCTGGTCCTCTCTTTGGCCCCTGTACCTTTGGGAAGAGGGAGGCCATCTCGGTCACAGCCAAATGGATCTTCTCTGAGCAGGGCACGAAGCTGCGGGGAGAAGGGAGGCTATAAAGCAGGGGGCTCTCAAGGGAGGTTCCCAGGGACAGCAGAACCCAGGGCCCCTCATGCTCTCTGCAACACCCTAGAAGCCAACAGGAACTGCATCCCCCTCACCTCCCCCTCCACTCAGTACCTGTCATGCTTGAACTCCTGGGCTGCCCGCAACAGTTCCTGAATGTTCTTGGTGACCTGCTCTGTCTTCAAGATGACATCCTCTGTGCTGGGAAGCCCAGGATCTAGGTCTCCATCCAGGCTTTCCAGCTCTGGGTGGAAGTCTTCCTCTTTGCCCAGCTCTAGAAACCTCTTCCCTTCCAGCCTGAGGCCCAGGTCCAGAAAACAGAGACAAAGATACATATAGAGAAAGACACGTTCCAGCCTCGGAGCCGCCCGCCTTGGTCCTCACACACTGGGGGCCCTCTCAACCTCCCCGCCTCGGCATGTGAGCAGGCTGGACTGGAGACCCAGGGAGCCTCACCCCAGCAGTGGGTCCCCACTTTGCGTGTTCTCATAGTCACTGTCGGCTCCACTGCCGTGGCGGGAAAGCTTGCTCTGGAGGGCGGAGGGAAGGGGCTGTGAGCGCCGTGTTCCTGGACCCACACTGCCCCTAGCCCACACGGCCCCCAGCCACCCTGTGGGCACTGGGCATGGAAACATTACCGTGTGGCGGCTTCCCTCCTGGGAGCAGGACAGCAGCGGGGAGGAGGGAGTGAAGGGCACAGCTGAGGCAGACACCCCTTTCCGGATCTGAAACCCAGGGCAGCGCTGGATGGAGTCAGTGTGCCCCACTGCCCCCCTGCTCACCAGCAGTGCAGCAGGGACCAGGTCAGTCTAATCATCTTAAGCCCCGAATTCAGCACAGAGCCCAGAACCCCCTGGGGCTCAGAACCTACTGGCTAAGATGGACACGCCTTCCCCAGGCTTACCCGGTAAAGGCCAGCAGGGACGTGCACTGAATAGATGGCGTCGTCCTCTAGCTCCTGGGGATGTTAGCACAGCGAGCGTCATGGTGGACCCTGCGGCAGCCCCACCCATCTCCCCACACCTTGAGACCCATAGGTGACTCACAGTGCTGTGGAAAGGCTGCAGCCGCGTAGTGAGCTCGTCCCCAGGGGGGCCCCCAAAGGGCTTCAGGGCAGAGCCAGGTTCATACATGGAAAAGGCCTGGCGATCCCTGCGGTGTGTGCTCCCGCCTGGCGCCATGGGTGTGTGTTCCGCCCGTTCACTGGGGAGTGGAGGTGTGGGCACCGGCCCTGGAGGCTGCCGGAGCTGCAGGTTCTCCGCCTGCAGCTTGTGGATCTATGGGTGCAAAGTGCTGTCAACCCCCTGGAGTCCTGGGGCTCCCCCTCCCACCGAGGCTGCACCCTCACCTCTCGCTGCAGCCTCCGGAGCTCGTCGCTCAGGCTACTGTTGACCTTCATGAGCTGCTGCACCTTTGCCTCCGATGTAGCCAGGGCCTTCTTCAGCTCCAGGTACTCCTGCAGCGTCACAGCCCCGTCAGACAAGTCCGAGGAGTCCATGCTCTGCAGAGAGAGACCTAAGCTGGTCAGCACCTGGGGGCAGGGAGGCCAACACCCGCAGGGGGCAGTTATTGAGGCTAGGAGCAGCCCACCTGTCCCTCAGGCCCCTGGGCTACAAGAGGACAGAGCTGGGCCTCAGCGAAGGCCTGGGTCAGGGCACAGGGGAGTGGGAAGGAGGGTGGGACTCAGACCCGGGCCCGGTTGCTCCGAGTGGCGCCGGTGCTGCGCAGGGGCTCCTGGTCTGTGTCCTCGTCAGAGGCCACGCTGTCGTAGTCGTGTTGGTCGTCGAGGTCACTCTGGCTCCGCAGAGACAGCTCGAGGTTGTCTGAGGACACAGGAGTGTCACTCAGGCCACACTCCACCACACAACCCATCTCTCAGGTCACCACTGGCAGGGAGAGCCATGCAGGAAAGACCCCTGGAGCCCCGCCTGCTTCCCACACCCTCCCACACAACCCTCCCACCTGTGGGGCTGCTCAGGCTCTTGCCCTGCTGTCTCCGCTTGGCCTCACTGAGAATGTCGATGATCAAGGTGGCAAACTCTCGGGCATTAAAGCGGGCCAGCTTTTGTCGCCCCTGCAAGGCAGAAAGGGCCAGGCTGGCTTCAGGGGACCCCTTATGACTGACGCAGGACGGCAGGGACCAAGTAGCAAGGCATGGCTCTGCCATTTAATTTAACCCCAGCTAAAGCGTCCCAGCCTAGCTTCACCTGGCTAGTCAGCAGCCAAGGCCACCCGTGGCAGGGTATGATAGAGTAGGGTGCCTGAGCAGAGGCCGGAACACCCACCGGAGCTGCTCCCCAAGTGCTCAAAACAACAGCCTCCTGACCTTCCCAAATCCCAGTGCCAGCTGTGCCCTGAGGGAGGCCCTGGCAAATGCTGGAGAGCTGGCTCAGGCCCCAGCCCACTGCCGGATGAGGAGGGACCGCGGGGATGAAGTAGACCACCCCAGGCCCCCAATCCAGCCCCCTCACCTGATTCCGCGTGGCTGAGTATTCCGGGTTAACAGGCAGGAAGGGCACGGCACTGCGCTCTGTCACCAGAGTGCTGTGGTTTTGGGTAGCCAGCCACACTGTAGGGGACGGACAGGAGCAGATCAGCCACGGTGGCCAGGCCCCCAAGGTGGGGGTGGGGAAGCACTGAGCCCAGCCTTCCTAGCTGCCCCCACGCCTACTGAGCACTGGTGTTCAGAACAGGGGTGGTCTTTGGGCACGCAGAGCTAGGCCGGGCCAGGGCAAGGCTGGGCGTGGCCGGCTGGGGACAGACAAATGGAACAAGGCCAGTGCCACTCATCCAAACCCAGAGTTTGGGCTGGAATCCGGCTGTGGCCAGGAAGGAGTGATGCAGGGGGGTGGAGCGGTACCAGGGAGACAGCCAAAGTGGGAGGCTGCCAGAGCAAGAGGAGCCCCAGTCTGAGGCTGGGGGAGGAGCACGCTAGCCGCCTCCCCCTCAGCACTCTACCCAGCCTGGGATGCTGCCCAGGCAGGCTCACAGCCAGCAGGGGCTCATCTGCAGGCCTCTGAGCAGCCCCAACCCCAGGCACCCCTTCTTAGCCCAGTAAAGGACCAGAGACCCATGCCTGGGCCGCTCGGGTCCTCCACGCCAGACACTCCTGCTCCCTGACTCACCTGCATCATTTTCTCTTCGATCCACCTCGTCATACACGTCCATGGCGAGTTCCTCAAAAAGCCGGTTGCTGAGCTGGAGGAAGAGAGGGGCCCAGATGTTGTCAGATGCATCGGCTCCCAGTGCCAAGGCCAGCTCCCCAGCATGTTGTGAGCCTTGGGGAACCGGTGGCCTTCCTTGTGCTGCCCAGCCCCTACAGTCTCAGAATGGGAAAGTGGAAAGGGATCATGTTCCAAACTCCAAGGTGGGAGAGAAGGGACCAGTCCATCCCCTTGTAGGGAGGTCAGGGAGAGGGGACTGCTGAGGCCAGTGAGGGGACAGGTCAAAGACTTGGAAAAGGTCATCGAGTCAGAGGCAGAGGAAGCAAGAGCAGAGGGTGGGGGATCAGAGAGGGGCCAGCTTCAAGTGTCAGGGCACTGTTGGAGCAGACTTACCGCCTGCAGCTTCTTCTTAGCAGCTTTGGCCAATTCGGATAAGTCAAGGCTGAGGGCAGAGGGAGATGGGAATTGGGAGGAGAGGAGAGACCTGAGAGGTGGCCAGGCCCATGCCAGCAACCTCCCCAACATGCAGGGATCCCGGGGAGATGGCACCCCAGATGCTGCACACCAAATGCCTCCCCGCCCTACCCCACCTTCAGGCCTGCTGCCCCGGCAGGCACCATATACCTCTGAGACATGCACTTTTGCCGAGATCTAAGTCCAGAGGAAGGCAGCAGAGGGAAGAACAGGACAGAGGCGGCAGTTACCCAGGAGCAGGGCAGCACACGCCTTTTCACATCAGGCCCAGACCCATCTCCACGCACACCCGGCCCAGAAGGGACAAAGCTGAATTCATCTCACCGCGTCCCCCACCCCTCCTCCTCTGGCTTGCTCTTCCTCTCAGTGACCTGTTTGTCCACCACCAGTGTCAGCCACCTGGCAGTCACCTGAAGCCTCCCTCACCCTCCAGTCCTAGTGAAGCTCCCCAGGTTCCTCAATCACCTGTTGCCTGGGCTTTGTAAGTTTCTTAATCTCCCTCCTTCTAGTTTTGTCCCTACAATCCTGTTCCACCCAGCAGCCAGGGTGATTTTTTGGATACACCTGGCTGCACTACCCCTTGCCTTAAGGCACTGCAGTGATAACAGGTGCATATGGCACACTCCAAACATACTTCATCAGAATACCCTAGGGACGGGCACAGTGGCTCACACCTGTAATCCTAGCACTTTGGGAGGCCAAGGTGGGAGGTTCGCTTGAGGCCAGGAGGTGGAGACCAGCCTGGGCAACACAGAGATACAAAAGCAATTTAAAAATTAGCTGAGCACGGTGGCATGTGCCTGTAGTCCCAGCTACTCAAGAGGCTATGGTAGGAGGATCGTTTGAGGCTGTGGTAAGCTATGATCAAGCCACCGCACTCCAGCCTGGGCAACAGAGCGAGACCCCAACTCTTAAAAAAAAAAAAAGGCTAAACATTTTGCATACATTCTTATCTAATCCTCTCCTCCCTGAAAAATAGATGCTGTCATCTCCATTTCCAGGAGAGATAACCAAGGCTCAGAGAGGTCAAGCAGCCTGCAAGTCACACAGCCAGTAAGCAGCAGAGATGACTTCACACTTCTGTGCCTGGAACTCTCCGCTCTCGGGATGGTCACTGCTCCTGCTGATGCTCTCGGGGCTGCTCATTCTCCAGCTCGTCTCTATCCCAGTCTTGCTTGTAGGGTTCCCTGCCTCCCATGCTGTGCTCCAGCCCGGGGGCTGCCTCCATTCCCATGCAGCATTTCTACCCTCCATGCCTCTGCCTCTCTTGCTGCACTCCCCCATGAGGACTAGAATCACCTGGCTAGGCTGCCTCCCCAGCTAGATTGTGAGCTCCTTAAGGGCAGGGATTGTGTCTCAGCTGCCTCTGTGCTCCCAGTGCCAAGAGCAGTAGCTGGCTCCGGGAAGGTGCTCAGTTAATGTGCTGTTGAATGGAGCCCATATTTGGGTGTATTTACCATACACATGCACGCATGCACACACAACCCAGGTAGAATCAGACCATAGAAGTAGGAGCCTTGGGGTCTGGAAGAGGTCTGGGTTTAGGATCTGAGTCGCCCAGGCCTGGTTATGCCCATCTGCCCACACAGGCCCTTGGGGAGGAGAGCACCTCCTCTCTCCAGATCCAGGCCAGCAGGCACAGCCTGGCATGAGGACATGGCCATCAGAGGTGGCCACCAGGTGGCACCAGCATCCATCTTATGTGCTGGGTGAGTGGCAGGGGGTGTCCCACACTGCCTCTCAGACGGAAGCAGAAACACCTCATTCAACCAGCCTCAGCGCACGTGCCTAATTCTGAGCACGCTAGAGGCCTAGCCAGCAGTCACAAAGTTAGTCACATCCCTGAAGCCCACCCATCTTTTCAGCGAAGAGCAGAGGCTTCTCTAAAGACAGTGGGGTCGGTGCCACTGGGACAGAACCCAGTGGCCCACCCTCCCAGCCGGAGGTAGCTTCTGTTTCTTTTTCTTTTTTTTTTTTTTGAGACGGAGTTTGGAGTTTTGCTCTTGTTGCTCAGGCTGGAGTGCAATGGCGTGCTCTCGGCTCACCGCAACCTCTACCTCCTGTGTTCAAGCGATTCTCCTGTCTCAGCCTCCCGAGTAGCTGAGATACAGGCATGCGCCACCACGCCTGGCTAATTTTGTATTTTTGGTAGAGACGGGGTTTCTCCATGTTGGCCAGGCTAGTCTTGAACTCCCGACCTCAGGTGATCCGCCCGCCTCGGCCTCCCAAAGTGCTGGGATTACAGGCGTGAGCCACCGCGCCCGGCCCACAGGTAGCTTCTCACACCCAAGCCCTCCATGTACTTGACAGTCACGGGGCTCAGGCTATGCGGGCCACATATGGAGCTGACATTTTTTACCTGCCTTGGGGCCCAGCATTAGGGACTGAGGACTAAGCTGTGCCTCTAGTCTCTGGGGGGAGGGAGCAGGGTCCTAGGCCTCTGAAACCTGGGCTGGGAGCTCTGGGGGTCAGCCACCCACATGGCATCCAACAGCCTCTGGAAAGGGGCATCAGGTGGGCACTCACCTGTCAGCCATCTGTGGGATGATGTAATGCCCATTCTTGTGATCTGAACAAAAATAAAAATGCCAAGTCACTCACTAGTGCTGGGTGGCCTCAGCAGCTGGGAGCCCACCTCACTGCCATGAGCAGGGCTGGCACCCAGAAGTGTCAGGGGAAAGTGGGGAGGGCAGGCCACCCCCAAGAATGCTGGGAGCTCGTGGGAGGATGCAGGATGCCCACCCCCACTCCCTAGCCCCAGCGATGCTATGGCCCAGAGCCTGCAGTAATTTCACAGGAGCCAGTTGCCTAGCAACATTGCTCCCCAGCCGCTCTGTCACCATGGCACCTGCTGCCGGGTGCGTCCAGGTCCCACCTGCCCAGCCCCAGCCAGGCCTGTCACAGCCAGGCGCCCCCCAAGCTCTGCTCACCCGGCTTGCGTCCACAGAGGTAGAAGGCCAGCCGGTCAGTGAGCTCATATTGGCACTCAACCAGCCTTTCCGCCAGCTCATGGTGCCCCGCCTGCCTGTGAGGAGGGGGTATGGCTCAGACCTGCAGCAGCAGCCCTCACCCACACCCCCACCCACCCACACTGCACCCTTCAGCCGACCCTCACCTGGCATAGTCAATGGGTGTGCGGCCATTAACATCAGGGGAGCCAGGGTCAGCCCCATACACTACAAGCAGCTCGGCCTGCAGTGTCTGTCCTGCCTTGGCAGCCACGTGCAGAGGTGTGGTGCCCTTCTCTGGGTGGAAGAAGTTGGCCTGGGCACCCAGGGAGAGCAGGCGCAGACATGTCTCCAGGTTGCCTGTCCGCACGCTCGAGTGTAGTTGCTAAGAGGAGCAGAGTGTGCAGTGAATACGCATGTGCGTGAGGCGCACCTCCCCACCCACAAGCTGCACCCTGGCTGCCCCTGGGACACCTAGCAGCTCCAAGGAGGCCTGCCCAAACCAGACTATGTCGGGAGGACAGAGGCTTCCCGCTAGGGGTTAATGCCAATTAATAAACGCTGCCGTCAGTCACCATCTACCACGTGTGCTGTGTGCCCTGCTTAGATACTATTTATGAAGTAGATGCTGTTATTTCTTTCCCATTTTACAGATGAGTAAACTGAGGCTATGAGTGGCTAAGCAACTACCCCCAGGTTTTCCCAGCTTCTGAGTGGCAGCTGTGGGCTTCTAGCCTTGTGTGTCTACTTGGTTGCTGGGGAGCCTCAGCCACACACGGCCTGACCCAACAATCTGCTCTCTCCACCCTGTCTACTGTTACCCTGACCTGGCTGCCTTTGGGGCCCAGGGCTCAGTGGGGACAAAGGAGAGGCCTTCAGAGAGTCGTGGATGGGAAGAAGAGGAGGGGGCCACCCATCTGTTGTAGGGCCCCTCAAACCTTGCTGAGGTCTTTGGCGGTGACTCCATCATCGTCCCGGCAGGGAAGCTTGTGCACAAATGCCAGCATCTGGTACTTGGCCCTGATGAACTCTGACTTGATGGGGCTGCATGGGGCACACAGGAGGAATGGGGAGCATGGTGGGAGAGGGTGGTCACCTTGCCACCTCCCAGGGCCCTGTCCCGGACTGCGCAGTCTCTGCCCACCACCCCTCCAGCCCCACTCACTGGACTTTGTCTTGGGGGTTGGCTTTACGCCGGCCGCTCTGCACTTGTGCGGGGTCCAGCAGGGAGTGCTCCCAGATGGAGTTGGCCCCGTTGCTGGCAAGCGTGTGCACCATCTGCAGGGAAGAGATGCCAAGTGAGAGAGTGCCCACTGCGTGCTAAGCAATGGGGGAAACACTTCCTGAGCGCCTGCTGTGGCTGGCGTAGCTGGAAACGGTACCAAGGGGGCCTACTGTGTGCCCGCACCACCACACCTCCATCTAGTCCAGCTGCCCAAAGACACAGATCCCATGAGTGTGCCAAGGCTCAGAGAGGTGAAGCAACTTGCTCAATGCTACACGACCACGTTGATAAGTGGCAGAGCAGGGGTGTGAGCTACTCTTCTGCATGAAGTGAGTAGATGGGAGGAAAGGGTCAGGATTAGCCTCTGCCCTAGGGGGGTGCTGCCCCTTGGAAGCTGCAGATTCCAGATGGGGGTGTATGTGGGTGAGGGGGAAACGCCCTCATGCTCAGCACACTCTGCCTGAGGGGAAGGAAGAACCACCCGACTGAGCCCTGTACCTGCAGCAGCGTGGGAGGCCAGGCGCTGTGGCGAAGGTGCTTGACAATGGAGATGTGGCGTCCCAGGCTCCGGTGCACGCTGCAGCACTCGTCACACACCAGCACACCCCTGCTGATGGATGCCCAGCCAGGGTCTGCCAGGGTGAGGGCAAGGGTCAGCCGGAGCCAGATGATGGGCCAGACCTCCTGAGCACCTGCTCTGGCCCGTGCCAAGCCTAGTACTCTCCACACATTCACTCACTCAGTCTCCAACAGCCTAGGAGCTGGGACCATCACTACGGCCAGGTTACCAGTGAGGGATCTCCCCAAGAGCTCACAGCTGGGGGCTGACAGAGCCATGCCCTTTCCTACATCCTTACCCCTCTGGGATATGCAGTCCCCAGGGCCCATTCAGCAGGCACAGTTTCCTGCCCTGCAGCCACTGCTACCAGTCTCTCAGCCTTTTCCCAGGAAACGAGGTCTCTGCCCCAGCCCGTCCCGAAGGGAGGAAGGGATCCCCAAGGGGATGCAACCCAGATGCTGCTGCATGCCAGATGCTGTTGAAACATGCCTGACAGATCACACCCGTCCACAGGTCCTGCCTCTGGCCTCCTGCCAGCAGGTGAGGTCCTTTCATGCTGGAGCCTCCTGCCATCATCACTGAGGGTGTAAGCTGGAGCCCTCTTAAGGAAGATGGACAGAGCAAAGGAGCTGGGCTTGACTGGGCACCCACTAGGTACCAGCTGGGTACATTATGTGTGATGCTGCTTGCAACTGTCAGGCAAGGTAGGACATGCTACCTCTGTGATGAAGAAACAGTGGCTCAGAGAGGTTAAAGGGCTTATTCAAGGATGCGAGGCTAATGAGTAGAATTGCCAGGATGTGGCACTTTCATGCCTGAGACCATGCCATGTCCACACTTGCTGCTGTCCCTCTGCCTCTATAGCCTGCTCTCCACTCTTTTGGGAAAAGTGAACTTGGGAGAAGAAGCAGGGCCAGGACTGGGTGGGAGTTCCGGGGTTCTTCTCAAGGGTGGAGGAGATGCCACCCATCCTAGGCCCCTTGGGAGACAGCTGCATACGACTCAGGCTGCGGAAAGGTCACGGGGGAGAAAGCAGCCATTGTGTGCCGCCTGAGAGTGGGGGCAGGGCGCCTCTCTCCCAGGACACTTTGCTCTGCCCAGCGGCCCCCACCCTGTCTCAGGAAACCCTGTCCTGGGGTGGGGGTGGGGGACTGGCTCTCTGCCTTGCCCTGTAGCGCTCAGGGTGTTCAGAAGTATCCCCATCAGGGGAGGGACAGGCTTAGGGGGATAAGAATCTCTCCCAACTAGAAGGCAATTCTCAGGCCTTTCCCCTCTAAGGACTTCCACCAAAGTTCCCAGGAAAATTGAGGAGACTCTGAGTCAGGGGCCCAGCCTGAGCTCTGCCCACAGCAAGTGACCCCCACTGAGGCATGAAAACAGGAAGTAAAGGAGAGAGGCCTGTCTTTGGGTTTAGGCTTTTTTTTTTTTTTTTTTTTTGAGACGGAGTCCCGCTCTGTCGCCCAGGCTGGAGTGCAGCGGGTTTAGGCTTTTTAAGGGACCCCCTCCCAATCAGGGCAACAGAGGGATGCCCAAGGTGACCGCCAACACCTTCCTGGGGGGCTGACTCCAGGGCTCAGGAGGAAGGGACCAGCCTTCTTCGCCAAGAGGGGGAGCCCTAGCATGCACTTCTGGGCTGGCTTTACCCAAATAGTGAGGCACCCCAGGTGTGGAGACCTCCCTCTCCCCACTCCAAACACCACTGGGTCAGGGGGCTGCCAGCCAGCCACCTCCAGCAGCCCAGGCAGGAAGCCGGAAATGATGCAGCCCAAATTCCTCTTGGTGGGGTTTCCTGTAAGTGGGGAGCCGCCCAGGGCAGGATCATAAATGGGCTGATCTGAGGTCTGTGGTCCTACCGGAGAAGCCAGGCATGGAAGGCTGACTATATATCCACGGCCAATGGCTCCAGAGCCCTAAGCCATGGGCAGACCAGATGTGGTGAGTGACCCTGGCTATGGCAGTAACCAAGACCAGGATGCAGGAGTGTGGTCCAAGGGTTTGCCTGGCACTTTCCCCCAGCCTGGGGGAGGGGTTCTCCTTCTCCTCCAGGTGACCTGAGAAGAATGGTAGGCAAAGGACACTGTCCTGGTCTGGGCAGCCGCTATTGGTGTCAGCTCATTTCTGGATGACACAGATGGGACGCCCACCCTAACCATTCTGTCTCCTCCCTCTGTGCAAGTGCCCTTGGGACTACCCAGATTGTAGTTTAAGGTGAAGGGATCCTTGCGTCAAGAAGCTCCTTGGACCAAACCTGGGACGGAAAGGACAGGAACTGTAAGGGAACTCGTCAGCCCTCCCCCTGCGCTTCTGGCTCCACCGGCAGGGTATGGGTCTGTATGTGTGGAGAGGTAGCAGGCGTGATCCTGGGATCACGTTAACCAGTGCCAACCCCATGGAGGCCTCTACTACGGTGAATTCCTGCCACCACCTGAAGCCATCAGTGGCCTCCAGGGCCAGTAGGTTTGCACATACAGGCTAGCCTCAGGCCTCCCTCCCCTGAGCTAAGGGCCAGATCTCCACTAGACTAAGGGAAAAGCCCACATCATGAAGGCAGGCGAGAGTAGTCCTTGGGGTAGAGTCAGAATGGTGGTTACCTCTGGGGTGCACGGACTGGGAGGGGGTACTTGGAAGCCCCCTAAGGTGATGGAAATGTTCTATAACATGCTTGTCTAACCTGCAGTCCATATGCGGCCCAGGCAGCTTTGAATGTGGCCCAACACAAATTCATAAACTTTCTTAAAACATTATGAGACTTTTTTGTGACTTTATTTTTTATTTTTATTTTTGCTTGTTTTATTTAGCTCACCAGCTATCATTAGTGTTAGCGTATTTTAGGTGTGGCCCAAGAAAATTCTTCTTCCAATGTGGCCCAGGGAAGCAAAAAGATTGGATACCCTTATTCTATAACATGATCAGAGCAGTAGTTACATGGGTATACACACATGTAAAAGCCCATCAGGATGAACACTCAGGTGCAGGCATTGACACACACAAATTCTACCTCCATAAGGGAGGAAGAGGAGCCCAACATTTGTCCCACTCTGCAATCTACACTATGAAGAGACAAATCAGCCTGTAGCTTGTCCCGTAACATGTCCCCGGCCTTGCTCACCAGAGATACCTACAGGACAGGCATCTTGAGGCCTTCACTCTCACCCCCAGGGTTGCCAAAGTGGAAAAGGCTGAGATAGAAGCCCATGGGGTGAGGAGAGGCCCTTGACTGAGATCGTGTGGCGAGGTGGGCCAAGCCTAAGGAAAGGGGAAGATGCACATTCTCCAGGGCTCCCTGCCCCCTTCCTCTCTTGGACTCCCCAGGCAGGCAGGAACACATACGGTGCCTGACGAGGTGGCACAAGCTGCCAGAGCAGCCATGTCATGTCCAGCTGCCTAGCAACACACTCACACTTGTCCTGTGTGCCCATGCCCGGGAGCAGAGGGAGGATGGGGCTCTCTGGGGACAGGCTGCATCTCACCTCTGACCTCCATGACCCCCCAAATTAACCAAGCACAAAAAGTCCCTGGCCCCACTCCTGTGGTTAGGACTGCAGGGCTCCTATCATAATAAAAGAAGCCTGTGACCCTGGGGTGGAGCGATACACCATGGGGCTGGCACTGGATCTGGACTCCGGACTGCTGGGTACCCTCATGCCTCTCTGCCTGAGATGCCACAGGACCCAGACCAAACATGCCGCTGCATGCCAGGGCCAGCATCCTAGGGTCCAGGTGTGGGATAGTCCCAAGCAGCCAGCCAGGGTCCTAACAAGCAGCCAAACACTCAGGGAGTGCCTGCCATGTGCTGGACACCTCGCTGGGTGCTAGGTGGGCTGATGAGTAAGACTGTCCACATCCTCCCCACCCCACCATCCTCACCTTCTCACCACCTTCCTGACCTCTATTGTGAATCAGGGGAAAGGAGGCATCTGGGGCACAAATTCCTCTGACAGATGAGGACCTGGGAGGAGGAGCTGGGCAATCCAACACATCTGATGCCCACCATTCCTCCCTGAGCCCACTGGGCATCCAGAGGCTGTGGTCGGACATTCAACGCAACATACAAAGGACAACTGCCTTGCTGGTGCTGCCCTTCACCCCTCCACCCCAGAATCAGACCACAGATTCGGAGATGGCAGCCCCCCAAAAACCATTTCTACTCCAACTTCTTTGCCTCTGAATTGAGGAAGCTGAGGACCCCACAGTGAGGAAAGTCTTGTTGGGATTACAGAGTAAGCTGGGAACAAAGGCAACACTAAGCCCCAGACTCCCCCGATTGGGCGCCTGCTAAGACTCTCCTCCACATTCCATGCCATGCTTACCCCACGGAGTTGTGGAACAGTGGGGAGACATTTATAAGGCAAGGTGCATCCTCAGCCCTGCCATCCCCAGACCTGCCTGCAGCTCGGGGAACGGAGTCACAGTTTCTTAGGGGTATGGACCCTCAACCCCAGGGCCCTCTAAACCATGATAAGCCCCTAGGAGGCCTTGGTCATAACCACCTATGGAGTATTTTGTGCCCAAGCCCTGCTAAGTCATAGTTCCCAAATACTCTAGCTTGGCACCCCCAGAACCACCAGAGCATCTGTGAGGCTCAACCGGTGGGGTCCTGGGCCTGCTCAAGGGGTGGCTGAAAGTTATGGGCCCACAAACCAGCACCCCATACTCTCACTCTTAATCATGCCCACAGCCCCGCTAGAGTTCACGGACCTCCGCAGCCTGCCCAGGGGCCTACCAGGGAGATAGCTCCTTTGCTAAAGAAAGAATGGATGTGGGCTAGAGCTTCCTTCCCAGGCCAGCTGCAGAGCCCCGTCACTGGCTGTCCTCCCTCATCAGAAGGGAGCAGCCTCTTGGATCATTACCCCTGACTTCCTCAGCAGGCCTGGGGGGTTTCACTCCAGCCCAGTCCTAACTCTGTTAGGAAAAGGAAGGGAACCACCATGTAAATACAGCCAGGAGACAGGCCAGGAAGCCAGCAGGATACGGGGAATCTCGGCACGGCCTCCCACCCATTTCTGGCCAGACTGGGCTAGGGGACAGGGAGGGGCCCGCACCCAGGATAGCTTGATGCCAAGCTCACTTTCCCAAGCAGGCCTTACCGGTGAACAGGAACAGCAGGGTCCAGCCGAGCTGTTCCCAGTCACCACCAGCAGGCCTGGGGATGCCTCCCGAGAAGACACCCGGGTCTAGACTGGCCCTGAACGCCAGGCCCGGCAAGGAGCGCTAGCCTTAGGAACCCGAGGCAGGGAGTCCTGGGAGTAGCCACCGCTCATCTGCTCCTGAGGAGACGGTATTCAGGCCCCACTGGCGCATCTGCCCGGCCCTCTGCTCCTTGCCCTCCACCACCCCGGCAGGCGTACCGACCACGCGAGCAGCAGGTGCAAGACGCGGGGGTGGCACTGAGATGACATAAAACCACACTCGCCCCCACCTCCCAAGCCCTGACGGCCTCCGCCACGGCCCTCCTGCCACCCCAGGCTGGCGCTTCCGTCGGATACAGAGATGGAGGTGGAGGAGCAGCCAGCTGCCCGCCTCCCTCAGACCGAGGAGCGGGAGGCGGCGCCGGGAACGTCCTTCCTCGCTAGTCCACGGCCTCCAGGGAGCATGGGCACCCCAGGCCGGCCCTCCCGCCAAGGGCGCAGCTCCGCAGTGGCCGAGGCGGGGGCCCAGCCTGGAGGCCGCAGCCCCCCGCCCCGCCCAGCCCTCCGGCCCCGCACAGCGCTCTTGCCAGGCCCCGGCGCCCGCCCGGCGGCGGCCTGGCTGTGCGGTCCCGCCCCCGGCCCCGCCGCGCTTACCCGGGGCGCTGCAGTCCGCACACACCTCCGCTCGCGGCCCCTTTCGGGACATCCTCAGCGGCGACGCGGCCGCAGCCCTCTGGGCCAGCGTGGGGGGCGCGGGCGGCGGGCCCGGGCGGCGGCGGCGGCCCCTGCTGCCCGGCCCGGCTCCGGCGAGGCCCCGGCGAGGCTCCGCGCGCCCGGCCAACCGTCCGCCCCGGGGCTGGCCCGGAACCCGCCGTGCCCGCCTGCCCGCTCGCCCTCGGGCGCCCTCCGCCCCGCGCCGCCCCGCCGCCGCTCGCGGCTCCTCTCTCCGCCCCCTGCGCGGCTCCCGGCCGCTTCTGCAGGAAGCGGCGCAGGCCCTGCCCACAGGGGGAGGGGCCGCACCCCCGCCCCGCCGCGCGCTGCCGGCCGCGCCCCCTAGAGAAAGGAAGCCCGGGCGCGGGCAGGAGGGGGCGGGGGCGCTTAAAGGGGCCGCGGCAGATGCCCGGCCCCGGCGGGCAGCGTGGCCTGCGGCCCTGGCCTCCGCTGCAGCGCTCGCCTGGCCCGGAGGCAATGTGAGTCACCCTCACAGCCCCCTCCCCTTCACTTTCCGCGTGGGGTGGACCGGGGGACGCTGGGCCCACGGACGGCGAGGGTGGGGATTAGGGAAGAAGGACTTGGAGGCCCAAGTCCCGCTCCAGGTCAAAGGGGCTGTGCCTTGGGGTACCCGTCTATCTCTGGTTGGGGTGAGGTGTGCGTCCCTGTCCCGTAGGTGTCCACATCTGTGTGTCCAGGGGTGTGTGTGTATGTGTCACACTCTTGCTGAATACGCCCACTGCTAACAATATGGACGCCCAGGTGCCAGAAAGGTCAGGCAGTGTATTCCCCTGCCTCCGGACTAAAAATATATCTATCTCTCCATGCATCCTTCCATCCAGAGAGGAGAGAATCTGGGCGGTTTTTAAAGACCTCCCGAGGAGTGACCACTGTGCCTGTGTGCACTCACATCCACTTGTCATCCGCCTTACACACACCCACGGTGTTTCTGGGCCACCAGAGGTGTGTGTGTCCAGAAAGGGTGCATATAACATAGAGGGGCCGTTTCAGGTGACGGCCTTTCTTCCTGGACTTCACACGACGAGGCAGGCAAAGGCAAGGCAGGTGAGGGACGTGGGTGGGCTGGGGGGCAGGGAGCCTAGGTAGAGGCCGCACATGAGCGCAGCCCCCGCACTGAGCATGCGCCCCCATACGCGTGTGCCGCGCGTGTACCCAACCCCCAATCCCTGCAGCAGCAAAAGGCCCGGGCACTCTGCTTGTGGGGAGAGGGTAGAGGTCCCCAGGGCCAGACCTGGGGGCCAGGTCAGTGGTGACAATTGAGGAGGGGTTCTCCAAGAGTCAGAGACTCCTGCTTGTTAAGATGGGGGCAGTCCTTTGGCAGGGGTGCTCAAGTTGGTCGATTATCCCAACGGTGCCAGAGCGGCAGTGATTTGTGGGTGGGCAGGCTCCTTCCCTAGGGGAGACAAGTAATGCTCATGAGTCACACCACCCGAAATACATGCAAAGCTGCCTCCATCGCCTTTTGCTGCGGCCCAGATTGACAAGTTTGTTTGAAATCGCGATCCATGGGCTTTATTTATAATTGCACCTTAAAAAAATCTTGCAGGCCTCCCCTCCCTCGACAGCCAGCCGCTCAGCTGGTGGGGCTTTTGCAAGCAACGATACCTAGCTGGTGTGTAGGGGGGAGCACCACCTGCCGCCCCGAGCTGCTCTCTCACCAGAGTCCATGGGCTTGGTGGCCTCAGCGGGAAGGGGGTAAGGGGCGGGGGGAGTGAGACGGGAGGAGTGGCCAGGCAGCCCGTGCCAGGCGCTCAGTCCACGAGCGGTGGCCGCCCGTTCACCCCCGATCGACCCCCAGCTATGGAATTTCATTTATTAAATGTCGAGGAGGCTGCTGGCAGCCCTGCCGCTTGGCTGTCTTTGTTTCTCCGCTGTGTGGGCGCGTCTCGAGCACGTGGCAGCTGAGAGCGCGGGCCGAAGCGCAAGCGACCTGGGTTCAGTGTCTACCGCCGCCTGGCAAAAAAAGAACACGGCCGCCCAGGGGACAGTTCCCCACAATCGACAACTCCCCACAATCCATCCTGAACTCCCCCTGTCCTCGGACTCCTGGGCTTTGCTGGGGAAGAAGGATGATTCACTCTGCTTACCCCTCCACCCCACTCCCCATCTCCTGGTTGGCTCAGAGACTACCTGGGAGTGGCCCTGGCGCGGACACATCGTCCAAACTTTGTTTCCCCCAGCCCCGTCACAGCCAAACTTCTGGGCCTGGGACTGGAGATAAAAGGGTTTCTGGATTCCCCCGTGGAGATGTCACCACCCCAGGAAGCAGGACTGCTACAGTGGAATCACACACAAGGTTCGAAAAACAATTTAATAAGGAAATGCACAGGCATGCTCCCGGCCACTCCTAGATGCCCCTCAACCGCGCCAGCCCCCTCCCCTGCACTGGCTGCAGCCACGACACTCTGCTGACCCCTGGTGGTGCAGGCGGGCAGCGGTCCCGGGCCCCCGGAGACGCCAGCTGGCTCCTCCCAGGCGGGAGAAAGGGGCGAGGCAGCCCGCTCCTCCCTCATCTCTTCCCGCTGGGGCCTGGCACCACAGGGTGTGGAGGAGGAAGGAGGGAAGACCACACAAAGAAACCTGAGAGAGTTTGCAAGCTTTTGCTGGCACCTCCCACACAAACACTTCTTGGATTGTTGTTTTAAGTAGGGCCGGTGTGGAATCCCTTATTCCTGCCTTGTTCTGAGGTGGGCTCAAGAAGGCACCGTGCCTGGTCCCGCCACCTGTCTCGGCCCGCCTGGTTGGGGGAGGGAGGCGCTGTTTCCAGGGCAGTCATTATCCTTAGCTCACCCCAGGAGGTAGTATCTAGATTCTCATTTTGAAGGGGAGTGGACCGAGAAAGTCGGAAAAATTAAGCAGTTTGCTCTTTTAAGGTCAGGCAGTTGGAGCTATTCGAACTCTGGTCTCTCTGACATCACAGTCCCCTCCCTCCAGGGACTGGTCCAAGCCTCTTGGTCCTTCCAGGCCTTGCAATTGGCGCTTGAGAGGCCAATTCAACTTTTACCACACCCTCTGCAGGGACCATTCTGGAAGTACCTCTTCACCCTGGGGTCATTCAGGAAGGAGACAGTCTCTGGAATCAGTCACTTCCCTTCCTGAAGGGCCAGCTGGGTGGAGGAACGGAGCTGCCACCTGCTGCTTTTTCTGTCCAACCTCACTCTGGTTCTTGCTGGGGACAGTGTGCGGGGGGAAAGGGACCATCTTTCCCGCGTTACTGGACATTCTGTTTCCAATGACATGTGTGGAAGATGGAGTTTAATTTTCTAACAGGGCAGGGAAGACTCCTCAGAAATGTTCCAGGGGCCAGACCCCTGGCTGCTCCAATGACCCTTGGTACTGATGCCCCACACCTTTCTCAGGAGTTCCCAATCAGACGCTCTCTTCTGGGAATCCGGATCCTTCTTCATGGCCCCTGGGACCCAAGCTCAATTCTGAAGACCACACCTCCACCCCGTCTCCCAAACGCTCGACCTAGGCCCGTGCCCCCCCACTTCCCCAGCAAAAGGCAAAATGCCAGCGGGGGAGGTGCGTCCCAGCCCACCTGGCGTCAGGGCCCCGCCCGCGTCTGGGCCAGGCCTGACTCCCCGCCCACTCTCCCACGAGATCCGGGGACAGTGCAGACCCTCTTCGGCCACCTGCCACCCCCAGTTTCACGAGGCGGACTACAAACCCCATGATGCCGCGGGGCTGAGCTGACAAGCTCTACCCGGGGCGCCTGGTCCCCTTCCTCTCTCCCCATCATCCCCACATCCCCGTATCCCGCGCCGGCCGCTCGGGCTGAGGGCCGGGCTATGCAGCTGTGGGGACCCGGGGGCTGCGGGCGCGCGTCCCTGCGGCGGCGTCCCCGGGGCCCGCGTCCCGTGCGCCCCCGCGCCCGCTGCGGGCGCCTGCTCCCTCCGCCGAGCGGCGTCTTTGTGTGCGGGGGTGTGGGAGGCGAGCGCGAGTCCGCGCAGCGCCGCCGAGTGCCCGCTCCCTCCCAGGGCGGGTGGGGGCCTCTCCGCGCCGCCCGCCGCCGCCGCCTCGCGAGGACGCCCGTCGCCCGCGCCGCCCGCACCGCGCCGGGCGCGCCGCCCCCGCCCGCCGCCGCTCGCACATGCCCGAGCCGCAGCCCCGCGAGCAGGCAGCGCCGGCCCCCCGCCCCGCGGCCCCGGGCCCCGGCTCCGGCGCCGTCCCTCCTCCCCGGCCGGGCGCCGCGGCCCCGGCATGAGGAGCGGGCGATGATCCCCGCCAACGCCTCCGCCAGGAAGGGGCCCGAGGGCAAGTATCCGCTGCACTACCTCGTGTGGCACAACCGCCACCGCGAGCTGGAGAAGGAGGTCCGCGCGGGCCAGGTAGGAGCGCCTTCGGGGCGCCGCGGGGACCCCGCGGCCGGGCACGCCCGTCCGGCCTGGGGAGGGGGTGCGGCGCGGGCTGTCCCGCCTCCCTGGCGAGTTTGCGGCGCGTCTTTGTTTGCGGCCGCGGCTTTTGTGCTTGTTGACCGGGAAAGGGTGATCCCCTCCGGCCGGGACGGGCGGGACCACACGTGTTTCGGACTCACCTAGATGAGAGTAGAGGCCTCTGTGCCCCTCCTCCGCCGGGGCAGTGAGGGCTGCAGGGAGGGGCTGCGGGCTGTGTCGGTGTTCCATGTGGTGGGAGAGTCCGCCCCAGCCAGTTGAGCGGCGACACCTCCCGAGTGAGGGTGCGGAGGTGGGAAAGGCTTGCGTGGGGAGGGGGCCATAGGTCAAGAATGGGGAAGAGGCTGTGTCACACTCCCAGGCACCCCAGCCCCACCCAGCGCCCTCTCCCCAACGGTGAGCGCTTTCTCTTTTAGCTCTCAAACTGGGCAGATCCTTGGATCTCTCAGAGCCCAGCCCCAGCTCAGGAACAGGGAGTGGAGAAAGACCCTCTTGGGAGGCCCCAAGGGCCTTGTCCAGGTGCTGAAAAGCGCTCTCCTGCCCTCTGGTGCTGGGGCCTGGTTTCTAGGCGCAGAGGAAGCTGAGGGGCCCTGGCTGCTGGAAGGACTTGAGGTTCTGCGCACCAGGTGGGCTCCCTGGTTTCTGCTGGTCAGTAAGGCCACGTGGGTCACCAGCTTTGGGCTGGGCAGTGGTCTCCAGAAAACAGGGGAAGGGGGGATGTCTTCTGGCCATGCTTCAGGATGTCTTCTGGCCATGCTTCAGAACAAAGGCAGGCACAGGTCACAGATTGCCACTTCTGCCCTTGGCACCCAGGCCACAGGTAGGCACTCATGGCAGAGATGACCCCCCGCCTCCAGGGTGGGCTGCAAGAGCCAGAGCTGGGCCCGGGTCCCATGGCTTGCTGCAGGCTGAGAACCCCAGTTTTGGACTGGGTCTGAGACCTTGGGGCCATGGGCTGGGGGTGGTTAGCGCAGTTGCCCGCTGTGGGAATTTACCTTCTGAGGGCTGCTTATTGAGTCATGAGAAGTTCAGTCTGAGGAGCTGTGCAATCGCCAAGGGAAGCATGGAGGTGGAGGGCAGGCCATCGGACTGAGCAGGCTGGGGGTCAGGATGTGTCTCTGAAGTCCCACGCTGAGCCAGCCCCCAGGCCTGCATGGCATCCAGCTCTGCATGGCAGTCCCTGTAAATATGCGAGTGACCTGTGCCCGCAGGCCTCTGGGCCGGTCTGGGTGGCCACTTCCTGTTACCTGTGCCTATGCCAGCACTCTCCGAGTTTCTCCTCAGACTGAACTCCTCAGACCCTGTCTTTGTTTATCTATCATAAAGGCAGTGCTCTGCAGCCACGAGAAGCCTGTTAAAGAGAGTGGGTCACAGTGCCCCCAGGAAACAGATGAACAAACAGGGCATCAACCCCTGCCCTCAAGGAGTCTCTGTTCTGGTGAAGCAAGTGTGAACAGGAAATTCCAGGGTGATGTGCAAAGCGCTAAGACATGGCCAGCCAGCCTCTGCTGGCTCTTCTCTGCTTTCCTTCCCTGAAAGCAAAAGAAGACAAGCCTCATGTGGGAAGAACTTCCCAGGGGTCCAAGGATCACTAGGCAGAAGGCTGAATCTCCAGAATGCCTCAGTCCCACTCCCTTGCCTGAGGGTGGGTGGTCCTTTTACTGCAGAGACTGGAGAGAGGCAGAATGCCCTGGGAGAAAAGACTTCTCCAGCAGGCCTCTCTGCTGATAATCCTGAAGTGGGTGGCCATCTTGCTGGGGTAAGGTTGGGGTGGGGGGCACCGGAGCCGCTGCAGGTAGAGGTGTTGGGGGCTGCTCATGTGTTTCTCTCTCCCACCCCTCTGGCTGCCTCAGAAACAAGGTCCCAGATTCACCCCTACCCCTGCCCCAGTGAGTTAATGTCTCCTTGAAATGGACACTGCCTGTCCTGGATCCAGGCCAGGGGGAATATAGGGCACTGGTGGAGGTTAACCCTTGTTCAACCACAGAGGAGCCAGGCCAGTCCTCTCCTTCCCTCAGGCGTGCCAAAAAGAGGAATGCCACTCCGTGTAGGTGGGAGAGTTCCCTAGCTGTCTCCCCTCTCGAGGACTGGCCCAGAGTGAGGCTTGTATCCAGATGTACACTGCCTACTCCCCAGGGCACCAGGCTCTGTTTTCTGCAAGGGGGACCTGGGGACAGCCACCTAACATCATGAGAAAAGCACTGTGGAACCCTGGCATCCCAGCCAGGGGTCCCTGGCCTCTAGTCCCCCTGGTACCAGCCGCCACAGAAACAGCTCGGCTTTCCTCAAGCACTCAGGAGCCAGGTTTCCCTGGTCTTGGCTTGGCATAGCTGCCTCTTCTTCACTCCAAGAAAGCCCCGCAGAGGCCCTCCGTGGGCAGGCTTGGCAGTGCAGCTGGCTGAGGAGGGGGCCAGCATGGCCACCTTCAGAGCAGGTTAATGGGCTTTGCTCAGCCCCAAATTGCTCTGCTGGAGGCTGGAAGCAGGGAGTGATGGGCAGATAGGAGGTGCCTGGTGAAGGGAAGGGGCACCCAGCAGTGCTGTGATGCCAGCCCGGTGCCCTGCTTGCCGCTATGCATGTTCTCTGCCAGGTCGGGGGGGACAGGGTTGTAAGCCAGGGAATATGCCAGTTCCCCCTTGCCTGGCATGGCCAGCTGGGCATGGTCCTGGTTCTGGAGTCGTGAGTTCCTGGTGTTCCCTGGGGTGGGAACAGGGGGAAGGGTTAGCCTGTGCAGCTCCCGTGGGAGGGACATGTGTGGGCTGGGCCTGGGGAGCAGGACTCTGCCCCTGGCAACCAGAACCCTGAAGTGGGCAGATTGTGGTCCCAGAGAATCATTTTCCTTCTCCCTGGGGCGTTCTCCACCGTGGGCTTGCTTCCTGCTTTCCCTGTTCACCCTTCTGACCTAGAGGCAGGGGAGATGGGTTGTGGGGCCCAGGATGTGCGAGGAGCACCTCAGACCCCTCCCTTTGCCTACACTGGGCAGTCCTGGATGTGGGGCATCACCACAGCTGGTAAGCTAGGAAGCTCGGGAGAGGGAGCCACAAACCCCAGAAACCAAAAATCAATGTGTTCTGGGATGAGGGGGAGGGGCTGCAAGGGCAGGATGGGAGGGGTGACATGGAGGGAGAAGTCCAGGGTGCGGTCCCCACAGCCCGTGGCCTCCTACGCAGCTTGAGGATGCATCCTGCCTCCCTCCCCTTGAATGAGCTCAGGCAGACCTGCCCCTGCACCCCACGCTGGGCAGGAGAGGTCAAGCAACGACTACACCAGACTCCTGCCTTCCTCCTCGTGGGCTGGGGAAGGGGCTGAGCAGGCACCACCTTGAGCACAGGCTCTGCGTCCCTCACCTTCCTCGCAAGCACTGTGTTTAGTCCATACATGAGATGTATGCTTTTCATACTTCCCTTAACAAAAGGATTCTGCTCATGCTAAAGGAGTTTGGAAAGTACCCTGCTAGTGCACATGGGTGTGAGGGGTGTTCCTGTGCAAATACGCACACACACGTTACACAGGAGTGGACTCCTGCAGGGCCAGAAGGCAGCTGGGCATGCATGTGCTTGTACACTTAAGGGCACACGTGAGTACCTATGAGCGTACGAGTGTGTATCTGTATGGTACCAGTGTGTACTAGAGTGTGGTGTGTGTGCCTGAGTGGAGGTAGGGAGGCTCTCTGCCCAGGGACCCCCAGCTACAAAACTCCAAAGACTCCACCTTTTGACTCCAGCTGAGGCCTGCTGGGATAAGGAATCTCCGTTCTCTTGGTGGGGAGGGCTGGGTGTTGGGTTTCATGGGAAACCTTTTCATTCCAGCAATTAAATAGCTAGAGGCCTCTGCTGAGGAGAAGCTGGAGGCCTCTGCTGAGGAGATTAATGAATTCTCCTACCTGGGCCCAGGGCAAGGTGCCACTTACACTGCAGGCGGCACTCTGGGCTTGTGGGGAGAGCTGCTCTGGAGCTTGGCTGAGTGTATGGGGTTCTGCATGGGGTGTATGGGGTGCTGAGCCATCCAGGCCTCCCTGGGGAGTGCTCCTGAGGTGTGGGGATGGGGAGGAGCACCCTGCTTGCAAGGAAGTGCCAGCCGCTCTCTGGAGCCTGGAGCTGAGGCACCTGATGGGGAGGTGGAGGCAGCATCTGGAGCCCTGAGGCCAGGCAGCGGCCTGCCAGCTCCCTAGGGTCTTATTAGCTGCAGCGGCTGCGGCTGCAGCATCTGGGGCAGGGCTGGGAGGCCTGGATTGCTCAGCACTTCCCCAGTCAGCTCGGGCCCTGTGGCCCTCTCCCACTCCCGCTGCCGGGCTCAGGACCCCACCCAGGTTGCAAGCCCCGGAGTCCAGCCCAACCAGGATTGGACAAGAGTAAACAACACTCCCCTTCTCTGTGAGGGGCCACAGCTCAGAGGCCAACAGGGGCCAGGCCCGCTGGTTTTTTTGAGGCTCCCAGTATATTGAAAAATGAAGAAATTCCAGGACAAGGCTATAAAAATTATATAAATAATCTTAAATTATTTAAAATGTTTCATTTTTGACAATGGAGTTCATGGTCATGCTTTAAAATATTTAACTGTTGCTAGAAGATGCGTAATGAAAAGCAGTGCTCCTTGCTCCGCCTCTCCCACCTCCCCAGCACTCTGGACTCCTTTTGTCATTTACCTCCCTAATTATAAACAATATATTGTTTATACTGCCCTCTCCCCTCCCCTTCTCCCTCCCTCCCTCCCTTCCCTGCCTCCCTCCCTTTCTCTTTCTTTCTTCTTCTTTTTTTTCTTTTTTCATGAGACAGCGTCTCACTCTGTCACCCAGGCTGGAGTGCAGTAGTGTGATCACAGCTCAGTGCAGCCTCTGCCTCCCAGGCTCAGGTGATCCTCCCATCTCAGCCTCCCAAGGAGCTAGGACTACAGGTGGTGCCACCATGCCTGGCTAATTTTTGTATTTTTTTTTGTAGAGATGGGGTCTTGCCATGTTGCTCAGGCTGGTCTCGAACTCCTGAGCTCAAGTGATCCACCTACTTTGGCCTCCCAAAGTGCTGGGATTACAGACGTGAGCCCCCCGGCATAAACAATATACTTCTGCAATGATTTCTTGGTTAATTACCTTCCCCTCCTTGTGCCCCCTCAGCCTAGTACTCTATGCATTTGTCTAGCAAATATTTATGTGCCAGGTGCTGCCTGGGGAGTGGGGAACCAGCAGTGAACAAAGCAGGCAGGGACCTGGCTGATGGGGCTTCTGTTCGAGGTGCAGGAGGTGCTCAACAGGCACTTGGACGGGCAGTGGATAGAGCCATAGCAGCTGTTACCTCAGATGGGCTGTCAGGGTGGGCTTTTCTAAGGAGGTGACATTTGAGCAGCAGCCTGAGTGAAGGGAGGGAGAAAGCTTTGGGGCTCTCTGGAGGATCCTGGAGAACGTTCCGGGGAAGGCCATTGGCGAAGGGTGGAGCAAATGAGTTCAAAGAGAAGTCTGGGGCCATTGGATTCCCTGCTACCTACGATGGAAAGCCACTGGAAGATTTTGAACTAAAGAGTGTCAGGACCTGAGTAACACTTCACAGGGTGACTTTAGCTGCCATAGGTGAGGTGGACAATAGAGCCTGGCAACCGGGGAGCAGCAAAGAGGCAGTAGGGGGCTGCCAGTGAGAGATGGGGGGGCAACAGCTGCAAGGTAGTGGAAACTGGGCGGCTTCTAGGTCTGTTTTGGAGGCAGAGCCTACAAGTTTTTCTGATGGGTTAGATGTGGAGGGTGCGGGAAAAAGAAGAGATGTAGACAGTTTTAAAGTTGGTTTTTTTTTCCACCTGAAAATGCAGTAAATCCAGGTGATGTTTACTGTTTATGGGGGCAGGTGCAGCTGTCCAGGAATGCAGAAAACAAGGAAAAGTTAAGAAAGTCACTTCCAGAATGAAGAAGGCAAGAGAAAGGGCAGGAGACGTCATGGAAAGCCAGGCTGTCCCATTTTGTTTCATGAATTCAATGATCTTTTTATATTTTTCCTGAGGATGTAAATTACTGTTTTCCCCCAAAGAGTTTTCTTTTATTCCCTGCATCAAGAGAATTTCCTCTGGGTTCTTAGCATCTAATTTGTTTTTTTTTTTTTTTTTTTTTTTTTTTTTGATACGGAGTCTCGCTCTGTCCCCCGCGCTAGAGTGCAGTGGCGCAATCTCGGCTCACTGCAAGCTCCGCCTCCCGGGTTCACACCATTCTCCTGCCTCAGCCTCCCGAGTAGCTGTGACTACAGGCGCCCGCCACCACGCCCAGCTAATTTTTTGTATTTTTAGTAGAGACGGGGTTTCACCGTGTTAGCCAGGATGGTCTCGATCTCCTGACCTCGTGATCCGCCCACCTCGGCCTCCCAAAGAGCTGGGATTACAGGCGTGAGCCACTGCACCCAGCCGTCTTAGCATCTAATTTGTATGTTTTGGTTTATTTCACATGGGAAGCTTTCATCAAGTGTCCAGTTTCTCCTGGCTGTTGGGTCATATTTAAGAATGGGGCTGGGGAGCTCAGGGATGTGTGGGTGCTACTGTAAGGTGATCAGGTGGCAGGCTGGCCTGTTCATTGTAGGGTCACCAGATGTCTGTATTCTGAGGTCTTTGGGACAACTTCCTACTCGGGTAGATAGGGTGGTGGTGGTGTGACCTGGCTGCCAGTGGTTCAGGACCCAGGTAGGGAAGGGGCTGGGGTTTCACGGATCACTGGCTTTCAGCACCATACCTCATCCTCTGCTGTGGCCAATGCTCCTGAGTCCAGAGCATCTCATGCCCAATTTCTACAAAGAATAAACCCCTGGTGTCCTGTGGTGAGGAAGGGGGGCATCTCCCAGCTTAATGAGGCTGGGAAGGGGACCAGGGGATCCTGAATTGTAACCAGCCTCCCTGCACTCAGCTCTAGCTTCACCTCCACCTCTGCCATCCCCATTGCCTGCAGGTCCTACCTACACCTTTCAGGGGGGCTGGGGGTCACCTGGCTTGCTCCTTATGTGGACGTTTCCCTCTGTGGCTGCTTTAGTTTCAGCTTCCTCTGCTCCCCTAAGTCAGTTGTGAGGCCCCAGCCACTTTCCATGTTCTAAAGTTGTGTTGAAGTTTCTCATCTGCTGACATCTCTTCTCTTTATTCTTGTGGGTTTTAAATATTTTACTGACTTTTTTTTTTTTTTTTTTTTGAGACAGGGTCTGGCTTTGTTGCCTAGGCTGGAGTGCAGTGGGATGATCTCTGCTCACTGCAACCTCTGGCTCCCTGGCTCAAGGGATCCTCCCACCTCAGCCTCCCAGTAGCTGGGACGATAGGCATGCACCACCACGCCTGGCTAATTTTAGTATTTTTTTGTAGCACAGAGTTTCACCACATTGCCCACGCTGGTTTCAAACTCCTGGGCTCAAGTGATCTGCCCACCTCGGCCTCCCAAAGCTTACAGGCATGAGCCACTGCGCCCAGCCTGACATTCTTTTTTTTTTTTTTTGAGACAGAGTCTCTCTCTGTCACCCAGGCTGGAGTGCAGTGGTGCGATCTCTGTTCACTGCAACCTCCACCTCCCAGGTTCAAGCGATTCTTGTGCCTCAGCCTCCCTAGTAGCTGGGATTACAGGAATCCCCCACCACGCCCAGCTAATTTTTGTATTTTTAGTAGAGATGGGGTTTCACCATGTTGGCCAGGCTGGTCTCAAACTCCTGACCTCTGGTGACCTGCCCGCCTCGGCCTCCCAAAGTGCTGGGATTACAGGCATGAGCCACTGTGCCTGGCCTCCTGACATTCTTATACATTTAACATTTTTTGGCACTCTTCAATCCTTTGTACAGATTCAAGTTTCTATCTGGGATCATTTTCTTTCCACCTGAAGAACTCCCTTTAACATTTCCTGCACATCTGGCAATAAATTCCCTTAGAATTTGTTTGTCTGCCAACATATTTATTTCTTCTTCAGTTTTGAAGAATATTTTCACCGGGTATGGAATTCTAGGTCAATACCAGTCATACTGGATTAGAGAAAAAAAAAAAAAGAATTCTAGGTTGAAAGTTTTTGTTTTTGTTTTTTTCCCCCAGCACTTTAAAGATTTCATTATATTGTTTCCTGGCTTACATAGTTTCTGATGAGAAGAATATAGTATTTCCTGTATCTGTTCTTCCATACATAATGGACCTCATTTCTTTGAATGCTTTTAGGATTTTCTTTTTACCACTAGTTTTCAGCATTTGATTATGATGGACCTTGGTGTAGTTTACTTCGTGTTTGTCTTACTTGGGGTTCATTGAATTTCTTGGTTCTTGGCTTTATCTTGGTATTAGTTTCCACAACAAATTACTACAAACTAGGTGGGTTAAAACAACAAATATTTGGCCGGGTGTGGTGGCTCACGCCTGTAATCCCAGCATTTTGGGAGGCCGAGGCGGGCGGATCACGAGGTCAGGAGATCGAGACCATGCTGGCTAACACGGTGAAACCCCGTCTCTACTAAAAATACAAAAAATTAGCCGGGCGTGGTGGTGGGTGCCTGTAATCCCAGCTACTTGGGAGGCTGAGGCAGGAGAATGGCGTGAACCGGGGAAGCGGAGCTTACAGTGAGCTGAGATCACGCCACTGCACTCCAGCCTGGGCGACAGAGTGAGATTCCATCTCAAAAAAAAAAAAAAAAAATTTATTCTGTCACAGTTCGGGAGACATAAATACAAATTTGAGATGTTGGCAGGGTGGCAGTCCTTCCAAAGGCTCTAGGGAAGAGTCCTGCCTTGTCTCTTTCAGATTCTGGTGACTGGGCCACAACCCTCTTGGCTTGTGGCTGCAGAACTCTAGTCTCTGCCTCCGTCTTCACATGGCCTTCCCACCTCTCTGAGTGTCTTAGAAAGACACCTGTCATTGGATTTAGGGCCCCCTGGGTGATCCAGGATTATTTCATCTTGAGATCCTTAACTTAATTATGTCTGCAAAGACCCTTTTTTGAAATAAGGTCTCATTCATAGGCTGTGAGGGTCAGAATGTGATGTGGACATGTCTTAGGAGGGGCACCATTCTTCAACCCACCATAGTAGTTTTTATCAAGTTTGGAAAAATTTTGGACGTTCTTTCTTTCTTTTATTATTTATTTACTTATTTTGAAATGGAGTCTCCCTCTGTCGCCCAAGCTGGAGTGCAGTGACACGATCTCGGCTCATTGCAACCTCCCCTTCCCGGGTTCAAGCGATTCTCCTGCCTCAGCCCCCAAGTAGCTGGGACTACAGGTGCCCACCACCACGCCTGGCTAATTTTTGTATTTTTAGTAAAAATGGGGTTTCACCATATTGGCCAGGCTGGTCTCAAACTCCTGATGTTGTGATCCACCCGCCTTGGCCTCCCAAAGTACTGGGATTACAGGCGTGAGCCACCGCACCCGGCCTATTTCTCTAAATTTGTCTTATTTGTCCTACTTCTTTATTCTGTCCTTTGGGATTCCAATAGATATATGTTACAATGCTTGATAATGTCTTACAGATTATGAGGCTCCATAGAGACAGGGTCTTGCTCTGTTGCCCAGGCTGGAGTGCAGTGGCGTGATCATAGCTCACTGCAGCCTCGAACTCCTGGGCTCAAGGGATCCTCCTGCCTCAGCTTCAGAGGAGCTGGGACTACAGCTGCTTGCCACCATGCCCAGCTAATGTAAAAGTTGTTTTGTTTTGTTTTGTTTTGTTTGTAGAGACAGAGTCTTGCTGTATTGCCTGGGCTGGTCTTAAACTCCTGAACTCAAGCCAACCTCCCGCCTTGGCCTCCAAAAGTGCTGGGACTATAGAAGCCCAGCCAACTTTATTTTTCAGTACTGTTTTTCTCCTCTGTGCTTCAGTTTGGAAAGTTCTATTGCTGTCTTCAAATTCACTGATTTTTAAATTGTGCAGTGTCTAATCTGCTGTTATTTCCATTCAGTGAATTTTTCATTTCAGTTACTGTACTTACTATCTTTAGATGGTCCACTGGGTTCTTTTTTATACCTCTCATTCCTCTCCTCATGAACATCTTTTTCATGTTTTTCTTTAAACTCTTGAGTATATTGAGCCATCTATCATCTTTATCATTTCTGAGTTTTGTTTCTATGAAATTATTTTTCTCCTGATTATAGGTTATATTTTCTTTCTTTTTTTTTTTTTTTTGAGATGGAGTCTCTCTCTCTGTTGCCCAGGCTGGAGTGCAGGGGCGCCATCTCGGCTCACTGCAAGCTCGATCTCCTGACCTCGTGATCCACCCGCCTCAGCCTCCCAAAATGCTGGGATTACAGGCTCACGTGAGCCACCGCACCCTGCCTATAAGTTTTATTTTCCTACTTTTTGGCATATCTAGTAATTTTTAACTGAATTTTGGACATTGTAAATATGATGTTAAGCATCTGGATTTGTTATTGTTCTTTAAAGAGTGTTGGGCTTTGTTCAGGCAGACTAGGTAAATTACTTGCAAATCAGTTTGACCTTTTTGAGGCTTTTTTTTTTGAGACAGAGTCTTGCTCTGTCACCCAGGCTTGAGTGCAGTGGGGCAATCTCAGCTCATTGCAGCCTCAACCTCCTGGGCTTAAGGGATCCTCCTGCCTCAGTCACTGAGTAGCTGAGGCTACAGGCACATGCTACCATACCTGGCTAATTTTTTGTATTTTTTGTAGACATGGGGTTTTGGTATGTTGCCCAGGCTGGTCTTGAACTCCTAGGCTCAAGTGATCTGCCTGCCTCAGCCTCCCAAAGTGCTGGGATTAGAGGTGTGAGCCACCGTGCCTGGCCTTTGATGCTAATTTTTCTTTTTCTTTTTCTTTTCTTTTCTTTTTTTTTTTTGAGATGGAGTCTTGCTCTGTCACCCAGGCCAGAGTGTAGTGGTGCAGTCTTGGCTCACTGCAACCTCCGCCTCCTGGGTTCAAGTGATTCTTGTGCCTCAGCCTCCTGAGTAGCTGGGATTACAGGCACCCATCACCAAGCCCGGCTAATTTTTTGTATTTTTAGTAGAGATGTGGTTTCGCCATTTTGGCCAGGCTGGTCTTGAACTCCTGACCTCAGGTGATCTGCCCGCCTCCGCCTCCCAAAGTGCTGGGATTACAGGCATGAGCCACTGCACCCGGCCTGAGGCTAATTTTTAATCTGTTAGGGTGGGTCTAGGTGAGCCTTTTCTCTAGGGATAGTTTAGCTCTACTGCTAAGGCATAACCCTTCTGAGGTCTGATTAAATATGCATCTCCACTCTAGGAGGCTGGAGCTTGATTATCTCCTTGCTTTTGGTGAGCTCTGAGAATTTACCATTTTATTGCTCCTTTTTGTGTGGTCTTACTGAGTTTCACTATACACATGTGAAGTTTAGTATTCAGGAAGACTTGAAGAGACCCCTATGCAGATTTCTGGAGTTTTTTGAGTAGTTTACTCTTTTCCAGAACTGTGCTCTGCTGCAACCTTTAATACCTTGGCTTCCCTGAATCCTGTCTCCATCTTCTCAACTCAGGAAGAGCACCATGCTCTGCTCGGGCTTCCCCTCCTTGAATTACAGTCTGGAATGTTCCTCCAGGCAGAAATCCAGGGATGTTACAGAGCTCACCTTGTTCATTTTCCTTACTTCAGGGATCACAGTTCTGGACTTCTAAAAACAGCTATTTCTCTTTACATATATTTTCTATATAGAGAAATATATATATATACACACACAAACACACACACACACACACATACACACACACATATATATATACACACACACGCATATGTATATATATATTTGAGACAGCGTCTCACTCTGTTGCCCAGCCTGGAGTGCAGAGGTGTGATGATACCTCACTGCAGCCTCAACCTCCCAGGCTTAAGCGATCCTCCCACCTCAGCCTCTGAGTAGCTGGGACTACAGGCACAGGCCATCATACCCGGCTAATTCTTTTGTATTTTTTGTAGAGATGGGGTTTTGCCATATTGCCCAGGCTGATCTCTAACTCCTGGGCTCAAGCAATCCGCCAACCTTTGCCTCCCAAATTGCTGGGATTACAGGGGTGAGCCTCTGTGCCCAGCCTTCATATATTTTGCAGCAATAATTTTCTCATTGTTTATGGTGGCAGAGTAATTTCATTTATTATGGTAGGAGTAGAAGCCTTTTTACTGGCGTTTTAATCAAGTTCAGAGAAGAGGAGGGAGTTACATGCATGTGGTCAGTTCACTGTTCCTTTTTTTTTTGAGACGGAGTTTTGCTCTTGTCGCCCAGGCTGGAGTGCAGTGGCATGATCTCGGCTCACTGCAACCTCCGCCTCCCGGGTTCAAGCGGTTCTCTTGCCTCAGCCTCCTGATTAGCTGGGATTACAGGCATGGGCCACCACGCCTGGCTAATTTTGTATTTTTAGTAGAGATGGGGTTTCTCCATGTTGTCAGGCTGGTCTCGAACTCCCAACCTCAGGTGATCTACCCGCCTCGGCCTCCCAAAGTGCTGGGATTACAGGCGTGAGCTACCGCGCCTGGCCTGTCAGTTCACTGTTCTTAACCAGAAGTCCTAGACTCTCGAAATATATTTAAATACTTATGCTTAAGACCGGGCGTGGTGGCTCACGCCTGTAATCCCAACACTTTGGGAGGCCAAGGCAGGCGAATCACTTGAGGTCAGGAGTTAGAGACCAGCCTGGGCAACATATCAAAACCCCGTCTCTACTAAAATACAAAAATTAGCCTGGCATAGTGGTGCTCGCCTGTAATCCCAGCTACTCAGAAGGCTGAGGCACAAGAATCGCTTGAACCTGGGAGGCGGAAGTTGCAATGAGCCAAGATGGCACCACTGCACTCTAGCCTGGGTGACACAGTGAGACTCTGTCTCAAAAAACAAACAAACAAACAAACAAACAAAACTTACGTTTAACAAACATGCTTTCTAAGCCAGGTGCAGGGGCTTGTAATCCCAGCTGCTTGGGAGGCTGAAACAGGAGGATTGCTCAAGCCTAGGAGTTTGAGACCAGCCTGGGTGACATAGTGAGACCCTGTCTCAAGTAAAAAAAAAAAAAAAAAAAAAAAAAAAAAAAATCTTTTGTCTGGGCACTGCGGCTCACACCTGTAATCCCAGCACTTTGGGAGCCCGAGCCAGGTGGATCACCTGAGGTCAGGAGTTCAAGACTAGCCTGGCCAACATGGTGAAAACCCATCTCTACTAAAAATACAAAAAATTAGCCAGACGTGTTGGCGAATGTCTGTAATCCCAGCTACTTGGGAGGCTGAGGCAGGAGAATCGCTTGAACCTGGGAGACGGAGGTTACAGCGAGCTGATATCACGTCATTGTACTCCAGCCTAGCCAACAGAGTGAGACTCCGTCCCCCCAAAAAAAACACAAAAAAAAACCCCAAAAAAAGCTTTTATCACTTTTATCACACAACAGAAATCTCATGCAATGTAATCATGTTATTCACAAAATTATAGGATTTGTACAAATTTTAATGCATAGTGTCCCACAAGCACAGGACATGGTTGTGAAATTGTATTAATACCATGAACTTGTTATTTCATTCCTGTCTGTGTATTACTGTAACCGTTTGTTAAACCTCACTCAGTGATAATGTCAGTGATCTAAATTGGTAGCTCTTCCTGAAGGTGGCCTGGGACCCTTAGGGTAGGTCTGGTCCCAGGTGAGCTCCTTGGCCAACAGCCTCTTTGCCACCCCACTTCAGTCCCAGGCTTATTCTTGGCAGGCAGGCCACTGGGCCCTGGAGGAGAGGACCCAGCCAGGGGCCCTTGGTGGACAGGAAGGGAGGAAGCCCTCCCTCTTCCAGAGTTACTTTCTGTCCTGTCTTCTAAGCCCCTTTCCATCCACGTGTCTGTCTTTCCGTTGCTCATAGTGTCTGTCTTTCCGTTGCCCATAGTGTCTGTCTTTCCGTTGCCTTGTGAGGTTGGTGAGGCAGAGCAGCCCCAGCAGGGGGTGGGGGTTGCTGCCTGCTCCAGGGCTGTCTGGCTCCGGAGGGCTGCCTCCGACGTGACTGGGGCTTTATCTTCCACTCCTCCTCCTCCTCCAGGTGGACATCGAGCAGCTGGATCCCCGCGGCCGGACTCCCCTGCACCTGGCCACCACGCTGGGGCACCTTGAGTGTGCCCGTGTGCTCCTGGCGCACGGCGCAGACGTGGGCAGGGAGAATCGCAGCGGCTGGACAGGTGGGCAGCCCTGCTCACCCCAGCCCCACAGCCGGGGCCTCCCCAGCATCATAGACCTATGGTTGGCTGAAGGGTCCTGCCCTGTGACCTTGCCTCGCCCTCCCCCAGTGCTCCAGGAGGCTGTGAGTACCCGGGACCTGGAGCTGGTGCAGCTGGTGCTTCGGTACCGGGACTACCAGCGGGTGGTGAAGCGGCTGGCGGGCATCCCCGTGCTCCTGGAGAAGCTGCGCAAGGTGAGGCCCAGCCTCTCAGCCTCCACGGGAGCCCTTGAGCCCTTCTCCAGTGCAGACTTAGCCTCTCTCCCCTTCGTCCTCCAGGCCCAGGACTTCTACGTGGAGATGAAATGGGAGTTCACTAGCTGGGGTAAGCGGGCTGCAGCAGGTCGCTTCTGGGCTCTCCCACTTTAGGTCCTGCGCTTGCTCCCCTGCCTGGAATGTGTTCTCATAGTTCTTCCGGCGGTTCCCTCTATGCCTTAGCTCAGCTCAGGGCCACCGCCTCAGCTAGGCCTTTCCAGATTGCCCCAGATACTGTCTTGACTCCATTATTATTCTCTTCACTCTGTCATGATTTGCTTACTGTATTCATGACCTGCCGCTCCTTGTTAGAAGGTAAGCTCTGAGAGGGCAGGAGTCCTGTCTTTTTCACTGTTGTATTCCCAGTGGCTGGAACACTCAGTAGGTGTTTCATAAATATTTGTTGAAAGAATGGATGAAAGAGTGAGTGAGTGAATTAACAAATGATGGACACTAGGGACTTAGTGGTGACAGAAACATGCCCGTCCCGACCTCAGGTTGCTCTTCTGTGTGAGTATGGTCTACACTGGCCAGGGAGGGGGTTTTGGAGGAGAGGCTGCTCTCTCTTCAGTTCCCTCCCCTGTTCCTGGCCACACGGATCCCAAACCCCATGCCCTGAGCTGGTCCAGGCCGTGTAGGCCAGACCAGTCAAAGCCACCTCCAACCTCCGCTTCCACCAGTGCCCCTGGTGTCCAAGATCTGCCCTAGTGACACCTACAAAGTGTGGAAGAGCGGCCAGAACCTGAGGGTAGACACCACACTCCTGGGCTTTGACCACATGACCTGGCAGCGAGGGAACCGCAGCTTTGTCTTCAGGGGCCAAGGTCAGGCAGGCAGGAAGTGGGGCAGGGTGGGGACGATGGGAGGCAGCCCCAGGCCACCCCTGATCCCCCTGTGCTGTTCCGTGTCTGGCAGACACAAGCGCCGTGGTCATGGAGATTGACCACGACCGCCGGGTGGTGTACACAGAGACTCTGGCACTGGCTGGGCAGGACCGGGAGCTGCTGCTGGCTGCTGCTCAGCCCACTGAGGAACAGGTGCTGAGCCGGCTTACCGCGCCCGTCGTCACCACTCAGCTTGACACCAAGAATATCTCCTTTGAGAGGTGGGTGGACATGGCCTTGGTCACCCTTGAGCCAGCCCGGTGGGGTGCCTGCCTCACCTGGACCACTCTGCTTCCCCAGGAACAAGACTGGCATCCTGGGCTGGCGCAGTGAAAAGACGGAGATGGTGAATGGGTATGAAGCTAAGGTGAGGCTGCAGCTCCCAGCTGCCAGCCCAGCTGCACTCTTGCCTACAGCAAGCTGTACAGGGGATTCTGACCTCCCTTCCCCAGCCCTGGAGGTACAGAAGCAATGCAGCGTGGTCAAGCACTTATATTTGGGTTCAAGGCACTTCTCTGGTGTTTTATATGGATGTATGGATGTATACACAGGGCACGTGCACACGCACACACACACACACATTTATTCCTCACAGCAACCCTTTCTGGTAGGTGCTGTTCTGTTAGTATTCCCATTTTACGCATGTTTATTGAGTCCTTTCCTTGGCATCCCATTTACTCTTCACAACAACCCCAGGAAGTAGGGATGATCGGTCCATTTTATGATGAGGAAATAGAGGCTTAGAGTGGTTCTGTGACCTGTACAAGGTCACACAGCTGTTAAGTGGCAGAGTTGGGGTTCAGATCCTGGCTGGCCTGACCCTAGAGCCAGGCCTTTATCCCTAAAAATGACTGCCTGGCTGGGCATGGTGGCTCATGCCTGTAATCCCAGCGCTTTGGGAGGCCGAGGTGAGCGGATCACCTGAGGTCAGTTCGAGACCAGCCTGGCTAACATGGTGAAACCCCGTCTCTACTAACAATACAAAAAATTAGCCGGGTGTGGTAGCAGGCGCCTGTAATCCCAGCTACTCGGGAGGCTGAGGCAGGAGAATTGCTTGAACCTGGGAGGCGGAGCTTGCAGTGTGCAGCGATCCCGCCACAGCACTCCAGCCTGGGCAACAGAGCGAGACTCCATCTAAAAAAAAAAAAAAAAAAAGGCTCTGCCTGTTACTCTGGGACCCCTATGTTGCCCACGACATGAAAGCAGGAACTAACAAATGCCATGGGTTTTGTGTGTGGCATCTCCTCTGAAAGCCTCCCCTGCTTCTGTAGTCTGGGAAGGCCTCTGTGCTACCCCCACCAGTGCATGGACCATGCTGTTATAACTCCATTTTATTGTCTCCTTATAGAGATTGTAAGTCTCAGGAGGGCAGGGATCATGTTTGGCTTGTTTACTGTATCCCTGATGCCTACCTCAATGCCTGGCACATAAAGGCTCCTCAAAAAATGTTTGTTGAATGAATAAGTGAATGAATGAATGAATGAATGACCTCATATATTCACTTACCCAAAAGCCTGAAGCAGAGTCTCTCCAGGACCCTTTGCTACAGGGAGTGTTCCCAGTGCCCTTAGGGGTAAGACACAGGGTAAGACCAGAACTGCTTATGAGCCCTTTCTTCATCTGTCCCCAGGTGTATGGGGCATCTAACGTGGAGCTCATCACCCGCACACGGACAGAACATCTTTCAGAACAGCACAAGGGCAAGGTCAAAGGTAATGAGGCAGAGCTGGATGGGGAGAGGTGTTGCAGGACTGCGGGAACCAGCTCCCACTTCAGTGCTTCCATCAGTATTCCCACTGGCATCCTAGCAAGAGGCTGGATGCTTTATTCAGGCCGATAGATTTCAATTCAGGTGCCAAGCCCTAAGGATGGGTAGTGGCTGCCTAGAGTACTAAGAAGTTTCTAAGGACTCATCTGGGTTCAGTGGAGAGCCATGCTGCAAGTGATTACTAATGTTGCTGTTGAATTTGGGAGAGGAGAGAAATGCCATGTATGCCATTTATTGGCCATTCTAGTCTAGTGGGACATATCCTAGGTAGAAAGTCAGGGGACCTTGCCACAGATTCTGTATGCCCATTGATGCCACACCTGATTCTCTGGGTACCAGATACCGTGTCCGAGGTGAAAAAGCATAATTTCTACCTCACAGGGGAACAACATGAAATCATGCCTATGGAAGTGCCTGAAGCAAACACACACACGCACATGCACACCCCACAGTGCCTGCCGGGGCAGGCGTTTTACTGTCCAGGGTCACCGAGCTGGAGAGGAGCACTTTTGGAAGTTGCTTCTGACCTCTAGGCCTTCCTTTTAGTGTTTTAAGCTGTGCTCACAGAGGCCCTGGCCCCTGGTCCTTGAAGCACTCAGTCCCCTTCAGGTGAAGGTGCCTGAGTATGTGGTTGGGTGAGCAGGCCCCACCCCAGGAACCGGCCTCCTCCCTAGGTCTTGGGTGCTGTCACCTCTGATGAGGTGCCCAGGTGTGTGTGGAGTTGCGGTGTCCTCTGAGATGCCACATTTCTTGTAGGCTGTAAGACACCTTTGCAGTCCTTCCTGGGAATCGCTGAGCAGCACGGGGGCCCCCAAAATGGGGTGAGTGTGTGCAGGGGTACCCGTAAGTGGAGGGATGTGGATGTGGCTCAGGAGGAGGCTTGGGAAGCGTCCTGCTTAGCATGGCCTATGTGGACCTCCTTTCCACAATGCCCAAGGCCATGTCAGCGCCACACTGGCAGAGGGGACAGCTTGGGGGCCTTGTGACAACAAATGAGTTGGCCTGGCATTAGGAACTGAGGGGAGCTCCTGGGCCCCTCCCCATGTGGTACAGACCCTGATCACTCAGACTCTGAGCCAAGCCAACCCCACTGCCATCACTGCAGAAGAATACTTCAACCCCAACTTTGAGCTGGGCAACCGTGATATGGGCCGCCCCATGGAACTGACCACCAAGACACAGAAGTGAGGCCCCTGCCGGTGCTGGGAAGGTGGGGGGCCGGGGCTCCAGGAGATGCTGGGAGGCCATGGCTTCCTGCAGTGTCCCTTACCCCTTGGGATCTGGTGGGGGCAGGTTCAAGGCCAAGCTGTGGCTGTGTGAGGAGCATCCCCTGTCCCTGTGTGAGCAGGTGGCCCCCATCATTGACCTCATGGCCGTCAGCAATGCGCTTTTTGCCAAGCTCCGGGACTTCATCACCCTGCGTCTGCCTCCTGGCTTCCCAGTTAAGATTGGTGAGACCGCACGGCCATTTCTCCTGAGCCCGTGGCGGGCCGACCGGGGTTTAGATGAGGTCGGGGTGGGGCTGAGGCTGAGGTGTGAGGGGCTGAGTGGTGGCGCCTAAAGGTTTCCTCATCCTCAGAAATCCCGATCTTCCACATCCTCAACGCCCGCATCACCTTCGGGAACCTCAACGGCTGCGACGAACCGGTGCCATCGGTGCGAGGCAGCCCCAGCAGCGAGACGCCTTCCCCAGGCAGCGACTCCTCCAGCGTCAGCAGCTCCAGCTCCACGAGTGAGGCCCCCCGCGAGAACGCCTGCCCCTCGGCTCTCCCCGGGGTGGGTGGGAGGGGCGCGCCCGGCCGTGCCTGACCCAGCCCCCGCGCCCCCAGCCTCCTGCCGCGGCTGCGAGATCTCCCCAGCGTTGTTCGAGGCCCCGCGCGGCTACAGCATGATGGGCGGCCAGCGGGAGGCGGCGACCCGGGACGACGACGACGACCTGCTGCAATTCGCCATCCAGCAGAGCCTGCTTGAGGCGGGCAGTGAGTATGACCAGGTGCGTCTCCGCGGGCGCGCGGGGCCACGGGACTCCGCGCCGCCACGGCTAACGCCCACGCCTCCCCGCAGGTCACCATCTGGGAGGCGCTAACCAACAGCAAGCCAGGCACCCACCCCATGTCCTACGAGGGTCGCCGACAGGACAGGTCAGTGCCCGCTGGGCCGGAGAGAATCCTCCGGAGAGGATCCTGTCTCCCCTAAGCCAGGACACAGCCGGAGAACCCGCGGGGCCCTCGGCAGGGACCCTCCTGGTATCGGGATGGCTTCTGCCACCACTCCTGCCTCCGAGGCGGCAGGCAGGGGTCAGGGATCCAGGCTTCACCGCGGAGTTCAGACTCTCCCCAGGCATTGACGGGGAGAACTTGGTAGGGTCTGGGCTCCGCCACGACCAGGTGGGGGCCAGGACGCCGCGGGACTGACCGCCTCCACTAGAGGGTGGTGGCCGCGGGCCGCCCTGGAGCCTCCACGCCGTGTCCCGGCCCCGGCCGGTGGGTGGGTGCGCCCGGGAGCCCGCGACATTCCTTCCCCACCCCCAGGAGCGCCCCGCCCACGCCGCAGCGCCAGCCTGCGCCCCCGGCGTCAGTGCCCAGCCCTCGGCCCAGCTCAGGGCCAGGTTCCGGCGGCCACGTGTTCCGGAGCTACGACGAGCAGCTGCGGCTGGCGATGGAACTGTCGGCGCAGGAGCAGGAGGAGAGGCGGCGGCGCGCGCGCCAGGAGGAGGAGGAGCTGGAGCGCATCCTGAGGCTCTCACTGACCGAGCAGTAGCGCCCCCTGCCGGGACCCTCGCCAGCGCCACGCGCGCCACGCCCAGGGCCAGGAGCCAGACAAACCCCGGCCTGCGCGCCTGCAGAGCGGCGGCTGGAGACTGGAGCCACCGCCTCGCGGGTGCAGCAGCACAGCAGGCACGGTTCGGGGAGGGATTCGGCATGGCCGCGGGGTACCTTCCCAGGCCAGGGCCCTGGAGGCAACTGGCACGGCCTGGTCCCCCTGCTTTGCTGTATTCTGATTCCCCAACCCGCTCCCCTGGGCTCAGATCTGTCCTGTCCTAGGGCGGAGCCAGGCGGTCCTGAGGGGGAGATGAATCCTTAGAGGAGCGCTGTCCCTATCCCTTGCTCCTTCTGGCCGGTCCGCATTTCTGTTCACTAACCCCACTCCAGGACACTGCCCCTGAAGCCTTTGCATCTCTGCTCTTCACTCCTGGGGGGCAGCTGAGCTCCCCGCGTGCTGTGTCACTGCTTTGTTCCAGACACAAACCAGCACGTCTAGGGCCCAGCCCCTCCCCCACCCCGGCATTTCAGCGTCAAGTGCACTTAGCGGGGTACCCGGCTCCCCCAGCCCCCACACCCGTCCTGGGTCTCAGGGTGGTTCCAGCTTCTCCTTGGGCAGCCAGAAGTTGGAGTCCCATCCCCCAAGGCACATTTTTTTTTTTTTTTTTTTGTGATCAGGGAGTGTGTCCAACGTAGCCCCCTGGCCTGTGCAAGCCCTGACTCCCTCATGGTGCCTCGGAGAGTGGGGAGCATATTGGGCTGGGGTAAGCACTAGACCCAAGTAGACTGGACACAAAGGGCTCGCCCAGGGCCCTGGCGCCACCCCCACCCCTTCCCACCAGCTGCTGCTAGCCTCTGTGGTTGTACATCCCACTTGCCCCCACACGGAGACTGACTCTAAAACCCTTCATCCAATGGTGCTAACCCCCGGCTCTCCCCTGCCCCACCTCACCCACCCAGAGAAGCACAGACCCCGCCAGGGGCAGGGGCCCACCGCACACCCTTGTCCCGGGCCTGTCTGGGACTGGCCTTCCCGGCTCAGCCAGTGAGGCTCAGAAGGGACACAAAGAGGGATGGAAGAAAAGAACAAAGAGAAACTGTTCCTCCCACCCCCTTCCCTGATGCCAGGGGCACCAGACTGATTCTGAGGCACAAATAAAAGAGGCTTCATACCGGAGGCTTTTGCTACCTAACTTTACTTGGGGGGAACGCCTACGGTGTGGGTTGGGGTCCTTCTGAACCTCAGAGTGGAGAGAGCTCTAGGGTAAGAGGCTGCCTGATGGACCCTGAGCCCAGGAGTGCATCGCCAGGTCTCCCAGGAGCCTGGGGGTAGCATTTGCAGAGGCTGGGGGTCTCGTTCCCCTCACTCCCACCCATGCAGGAGGCACAGACTGAACGCTTAGTAAAATATTTCATTCAGTACGTCTTGTTTTTCTGAGAGAGGCAACGGCAGAGGGTTGGGGGCAGTGTGTGTGTATTTGTGATGAACCTAACTCCTCATGCCAGTTCTCTCGAGATTTCTTCGCGGGGGCTGCCGCGAGGAAGCAGCCCTCGCCCCTGTCGGTGGAAAGAAGGAAGAGAGTTCTCTACCACAGACCGCTGTGGGTGTAGCCACTGGGTCCGGCTCTGCAGCAAACGGGTTGTGTATGTGTCTGCAGAACTGGGGTGACGCCCATCTGGTTTACCGCTCAGGGTGATGGAATCCAGTGAGCTGATTAGGAGAAGCGCTGTCATTTTCCCCAGCCTGGGGGTACCCATCAAATCGCCACCCGTTTGAGGTCAAGCTCAGGCTCCAATAACCCCAAGCATCACGCTAATACTAAGCACTTTCCCTGCCCTGGGCGGAGGACAAAGGGGGACACCACCTCGCCGTGCAGCACCATTGCTGAGCCCCCCAGGTTACCCCAGGCCTCCCTAGGCCAGCTCCAGCCGAGTCCCAGACGAGGCTCGCAGTCCAGCCTCCGCTGGAGCGACGTGGGTCTCCCCTAAGCTCCAAGAGTTCTGGTCTCCCGCGAGGGGCGGAGTTCCCTCCCCAGTCCCGCCCCCGGGCCCAGCCCAAGAAGGCGGGGTCCGGAGTTCGGGACTAAAAGCCGGGGCGGGGCCGAGCTTGTGCGCCCCGCCCCGCTCCGCCTGCCTGGCGCGCGGGGCTAGTCCGTGCCGTCCACCAGCTCGCACAGCATGTTCTCCAGAGCCGTGATGCGCTGCTCCTGGGCCTGCACCCGCTCGCGGAGGGCCTTGATCTCTTCCAGCAGCGTCTCCAGGGTGTGCTGCTGCTGGGGCGGAGGACAGAGAGGCCGTGTCGTATAGGGGCGGTTGGGGGAGATGTAGATTGGGCCAGAGTGCAGCAGGGCCGATCTTACCGACAAGGGGGCGTCGCTGGCCGACTGGCTGCGGCGGGGGCCGGAGGGCGGGCGCACGTCCAGGATGTTGCGCTTCGTGACCCGGAGCTCGCGGTGCTTGGGGGGCACATAGCCGTCCCTCAGCGAAATGAGCACGGGTTCGGCGTCCTGGCCGGATAGCCATTCGTCCGCTTCTAGGGCCGGCTCCGGGCCTGGCGTATCCGGGTACAGATCGTCCTGGAAGAGGTCTGACTGCGGGGGTGGGTGGACAGGAGGACTTGCGTGAGAGGGTGCGGGGCTTGCTCCGCTCCCTTCCGCCTCGTAGCCCTGCCCAACCCTTCTCCCGGCCCCTCACCTTGCGGGGCACAGTCATGATGATAGGTTCACACTTTCTTTCGTGTAGCTTGTAGAACCTATAAGGGAGCAGGGTTCAGCACCCTCGCAGACTTCCACGTCCTTAACTTCTCCTGTCTAAGACCAAGGGGGTTGGAGGCCAACACTTGCTCAGCGCCTACCATGCATATTGCACATTACACACATTATTGGTTCTGCAATAAAACACCCTGATGGTGTGTTCACCATCATCTTATAGATGAGGAAACTGAAGTTGAGAATGTAAGGCTAGTGAGCGGTGGGTCTGGCACTGAAACAGAGCTGTCTTATCCCCCCGCCCCGCTTTTCCAAAGCACTGCATTACTGGGGAAGCCCCGTGGCTAGGACCCGACATGAGTGGGGGACAGAGGCGGGTAGGTGTTCAGGAGGGGCCAAGGCTGCTGACCGGGCGATCTCACACTTGCTGACATCCAGTCCCCTTTTGGGCATGAAACCCATGCCCCGCTGCGGCTCTTTGCTGCTGAACGTGTTCAGGTAGTGCACGAAAGGCGGCTCGTCGGTAATCTCAAAGTACCGAATGCTGCTGTCGCCCTGCAAAATCAGTCGGTTCAGGGGCGCGCCCGGACAAGGCCCTCCACATCTCCATCCAGTGCCCTGTTCTCCCTGCCCGGCCGTGAGCACCTTGCCACACAGGTAGACGATGCTGGAGTCGGGATCGTAAAAGGGCAATAGGACCCCGTTGCTTGTGTCCATCTCCTGCAGTGCCACTGGCTCCTCGAAGTTGTTCTGCCCGAGCACAGGAGGCGTGACCAGCCCTGCCCCACCCTCCCGTGCTACTTCGGGACCCCCAGAAGCCCCTTTACGCTTCCTGGCCTTCCCAAACCCTATGCCCCAAACCTCTAGTGACCAGAGTTGCAGGCCCCTCCCCTGGGCACATCTCTCCTCCTCCCCTGCGCACATAGCTCCTCCTCCCCTGCACATATACCCGCTGCGCGCCGCATGCAGTCACAGCAAACCACCCCCAGGGACTCGGCATCACCAGGTGGGGGCGCCAGCGCAGGATCCTTCACGCGACGCAGCAAAACTGGGCAGAGGGGTGGGTGTGAGAATGGCAGGCGCTGCAGAGGTGGCAGCAGCCTTCAGTCCTGTCCAGGTGGGCATGCCCTGCGGGTGGGGGGCGCCTGGCCACTCTCCCGTGATGCCAGTCCCCGAGGCACACACCCCAAGCCTCCAGCTGCGTTACCGGGTCCCACAGGCCCAGCTCTCGCTGGCTCATGCGGGTGAAGCCCGTGGTGAAGATATGGCCCTGGCGCGTGAAGACGGCCCGCATGGGCCTCATCCCCTCGTGGGCCGCAAACCTCTCCTGGGGGGAGGGGGAGACAGGGAGGGACATCACCCAGCTGCCTGCCCTGAGGAGCATGGAGGGATGAGCAACCAGCTTGCTGACTTGGGTGTCCGGGGTGGAGGAGCGGATGCGGGGAAGAGACAAATGGGGCCTAAGCACTCAGCTTCCTGCGGGGCCACGTCTGGCCCCTGACCTGGAGAGCATCCGGGCCTGGAGAGAGCAGGAGGCACGCGGCTCTCAGCCGATCCCGAACCCTTAAGCGCGCTCAAAGGCCGATCCCTAGAGCAGGGGTGTCTGCTGGCTCCCCGGAGTCGCAGCGAGGCTTTTCCCGAATGGGAGCTCCCCGCTCCGCTCTGGCCTCTTGGGCGCCAGCCACAGCCCGGGAAGGCGCTCCCGGCAGACCCAGAGAAGGAGCGAGCTAGCGCGCCCGGCGCGGCCTGGCCTACCGGGTCCCAGAGCGCGAGTTGCCGCTCACTCATCCTGCTGAAGCCGGTGCTGAGCAGCTTCCCGTCTGCGGTGAAGACAGCCCGCAGCGGGCGGGCGCCCTCGTGAGGCCGGGCTTGCTCCTGCTCGCCGGGTTAGTGGGTTAGAGCGCCCCGGCGCCAGCCCCGACCGCTCTCGGCGCGCTTGCTCCACGCAGACATGCACGCGGCCCACGCACCCGCACCCCAGGTTAGACTTGAGGCTGGCGAGGCCAGGGCCGCCGCCCTCCCAGGGCATCCGGCTGGGATAAGCAACGCGCGAGGGTTGCCCCATCCCCCGCCCAGCGGGTCCACAAGGAGAAAGGGCCAGCCCTCGAGCCAGTGTCAGGCCCCAGACCCTGGAAGATGCGTCTGGGTGCCGGCTGAGAGGAGAGGGGTCCAGGAGCTCAGGTTTCATGCAGGTTCTGGTGGGAGGATGGAGTTTCCAGCTTCTCCCCTCCTCAATCCCAAAGCGAGGAGCCCTTCTCTGAGCTTCTGAGATGCAAGGGAGGGGAGGGAACAGGAGCCGGGCAGAGAATTGCAGGCTGGGGGCTTACTTAGGGCAGAGACCTGTGGTTGCAGAGACGGGGGAAGGGGGCTAGTCTCTGGAGCAGGGATGCGACAGGTGAAAGCCGGGACCAGGGGCTCTGATAATGGTGGGTACAAGGGTGCTGACAGCTGGCCACTGGTCAAGGGGTTCTGGGGAGTGGCCAGGCCAGGCACTCACCGCCACCACTTGGCCTTTTCTGGGGTCAATGATGCGCAAGGTCTTGTCCTTGCAGGTGGTGGCTAGCAGGCTACCGTTGCTGTTCCAGCACACACTGTGGATGACGTCTGGGTGCATATCATCCAGGCTCAGCAGCACCTCCCCGGTGCCCACATTCCAGATGATGATCACATTGTCACCACCTGCCCAGAGTGGCCAGGCATGGTCACCTGGGTCCCACCTTTGCCACCACCCACCCATCTATGGGGGACCCCTCCTTAGCCCCCAGACCTGCACTGAGCAGGACATTCCTGGCAGTAGGGTGCCAGGAGAGGATGCCCACACGCTTGGAGTGGCCCTCAAGTGTGATGATAGGTTCCGTAATGTTGCGCATGGGGGTATAGTCTGGAATCTGCCACACCTGGGTAGGAAGAAAAGGTATATGGTGGGTGGAATGAGGAGCCACCCTGTCCCTCCACTCCTTCCCTACCTTTTTTTTTAACCCTACTGGCTCTCTTGAGTGGTAAGGGTCAAATACAGGGCAAGATGTGGTGGTGCATGCCTAGAACAGAAGCAGCTGGGAGCCAGGAGGGGGCACTGCCAGCTCTCCAGAGACCTCCCATTCACTCCAGCAGGGAGACTTCAGAGCACTGCCCTGCTGCTCTCCAGGCACCAAGTTGGCCATGGCTATAATTAGTCCTAAGCAGTGCATCCTGGGAGGGGGTGGGCATGTAGCTAAAAATAGTCCAGGAGCTGGGCAGGGCAGGGCCCTGGGACCCAGCACCTCCCTTATTACCACCCTTAGCACCTTCCCCAGCACAGGTGAGGCAGCCTTCCCTGCTCCCCTGCTCAACTGCCCAGCAGTAGCCACCTGGCTCCTACCATGATGGTGGTGTCGTCTGAGGCACTGGCGATAACGTTGTCATTGTGTGGACACCAGTCAATATCCAGCACAGGGGCAGTGTGCCCAGTGACCAGTGGGTAGTTCTTATCCACTCGCCCTGTCTGAGGGGTTGGAGAAGAAGATGTGGGGCTACTCTCCTGTGTGTTTTTTGGGGAGTGGGTAGCAGATCTGCTTACATCTCGATTCCTTATTACCTATTTTCTCTTTGCAGATCCCTCTCTGCACTTCTAACCCCATCCAGTCCACTTCCTGCACTTTACTGAAGGCAGAGTTGAAATAATTTAATATTAGGGACTGTGACACAGAGAGGTAAGATGGCCTCATCAAGGACACACAACAAGATACTTGTAGAGCTGAGATTTGAACTTTCCAGCCCAGTGCTCTTCCAAAGACACCTACTTGGAGGAGGCTGTTCTTCAGCCTGTTCTCCTATTGAAGTGTCTGTGGGAATCTCCTGGTGGAAGAGGTCAAGGTGAGATAATAGTGTAGTGCTGGACAGCCCTTTCCTGGCCTCCCTTGGCAGATCTCTTCCTTGTGAACCACTTTTACCTTGGAACCACAAGCAGCAAGCAGTCCTGGTGCCTACTATCCCCAAATGGGAGCTGGGGGCCCATCTATTTTTTGGTCTTCACAGGCTGCTTGTGGGGGTTCTGAGACCTCTGCAGGGGCAGACACTGGTCCAGACCAGGCAGCGGGGGAGAGGGTGGCTATGTGGTACTGAAAGAGCAGACATATTGGGGGAGGAGGCAGCTCCGGCTGAAATTTGAGCCCTGGGGCTGTGTCCCAGGATGATGTCTGCATTGTCTGGGGTGAGTCACTGGCTTTTTCAGGCCTCTTCCTGACCCCGCCACCTGTGGAGCCTACCCTAACAAGGTGTAGGGGCCAGAATCCAGGTCAAGGTCATACCTTGGGGGTTGGGGGAGAGTCATCCTTGGGATGTGGATGGTCAAGGGGCTTAAGGTTATGAAGCTAACGTGGTAGTCATTGCCTGGTCCCCATCCTGAGGGTAGGGAGGGCTCTGGCTTTATGTGTCATGTCCCCCTTCCTTTCCGTTCCCTTTCTTTCTACTTCACTGCAAGTGTCCTTGGAGGTAACCAGGGACTCTTTGGATAGAGCCTGACCCTGTCCTCAGTTTGCTGCTCTGGGATGTGACTTAATCAAATGGTCATCTTGGGCTAGGGAGGAGGTTCTCCACACCCAAAACATGAGGGGATGCGGCATTAGGAGAGGCAGTGATGGAATCTGGCCAGGCTTGGCTGTGCTGTGTCCCAACCATCTCCATCACCCGGCTCCCCTCCTGGTCCCTGCTGGGAATGGGGTGGTGCATGGAGAGGTGGGAGGGCTAGGGAGTGGGAGTAAGCCACCCTGATGTTAGGGTGGGGTGGGGTGGCCTCCCCTCTGGTCCTTGAGGGCTTGGGGAATAGGGAGGAGCCAATCCACACAGATGCTTCTCCTGACTATGGAATGGAACTAGGTGAGAACAAAGGCTCAGGAGTTCCCAGGGGCCCCAGCTAGTGTCCTCCCACTTGCTTCCTTTCCCTGATCCCTCACCTTGGCCAGAGGCAGGACGATGAAGGCACCCCCGCCTCCAGCCTCCACAATAATGGCCAGGAATTTGGGGTTGACGGCACAGAAGGAGCTGTCCCATGTGACCTTGGACACACGGATGTCCTCGTAGGCCTGGTCGGCCTTTGCTGCCTGCCCAAACACATGGCGGAACTTGCTTTGCCGAACCACACGTCTGCTCATAGCTGCAGGCAGAGAGGTAGGATCTCAGTGCCCAGAAATGCCTTTGGTCCTTAGTCCTGTGAGCTGCGGGAGGGAGGAGGAGTGGAGGGGTGGCTGATGAGAAGGGTTATGTGGTCAGGAGTCAGGTATAAATCCATATAGTGTCTGGTCCTAGAAGCAGGGAGCTTTCTTCAAGGTGGTCAAAGTATGGGAAAGTTATTTTGCTGTGTAAAATGCTGTTTAATGTAAGTGGCTAGGATTTGGGGCCTGAATTCTCCACAGAGACCCAGGCTGAGGGGATTGTGGAGCCTAACAGACTGAAAGCTTTCTGGACGTTGGAATGTTTTTGGGAGGAGCCTCAATGCCACACTGCCTGCACCCCCCGCCCCCACCACCGCCAGCCTTGATGAGCATCTCTTCACGGACGTGGTTGTAGCTCCCAGAGGCACCCTGTCCAGAAGCAGAAGACTTGACCATTGGATCTTGGCTTAAAGCCAGGTATGGGGCCAAGACTGCAGCCACCACAGGATACCGAACTCGCATCTCTGGAATAGTTCAGGCAGATGGGGTTTTGCCTTTTCCTAAAATTTTGCCAAGGGGGAAGTTCCTCCTGTCCACCAATCTGAGTCCTTTCTGCTACTGTTTTCATCCCATGCCTTGTGGGGGGACGGGTGGCAGCACAGAGTGAGGTGGATCCCTCTTCTCCCACTCCTTTCTGCACTGGCTTCTCCAGGAAGCCCTGATCATGGTCTTCTGGCTTTTGCCTACCATAGGCTTGTCCGGTTTCTCCTCTGGGTCCTCTGCCCTGGTTGGGCCTTCTTCCTAGTGAACTCTTCTAGGGGTGGGGTCTTCAACCCCATCCTCCACCCCTGCCCCCGCCACGGCCAAGCCAGATTTGCAGGGGTGGGGAGGGTGAGGTGCCTTTTCTCCAGCTAGGGTCTCCCTAGAGGACACACTGAGCACTCCCAAAGCCCCAGCCAGTGGCTCCTGCCCCACCCCAGCCCCAGCATCCGTGTGCCCTTCAAGGCGCGTCTGCGGCCCCGAGCCTGAGGCCCGGCCTCCCTGCACCCTTCTTCAGCCTGCTGCCCTGACACTGCGTTCTTGCGAGACGAGGTGTCTGCGCCCTCCGGGAGCGCTGGCTGCTGTCCGGCCAAATATAGACACCACGTCCTCCCCGCCCGAAACCGAATTTGGCGGCGCGGGGGGAGGAGGCGCAGACCTCTGCCCCTCAGGGACCCCGCCCGCTCCGCTGGCTGCGGTGACGGCCGGGTGTGGGGGGCTGGGTACCTGGTCCTGAGCGGGCTGCGGGGCGCTCACGCTGCGAATCCTCTGCGGAAGGGGCCCGAGTGCGTAGGGGGCCGAGGAAGGCTTCAGGGCGAAGGAGCCACCTCTCCGGGTGTCTGTAGTATCTGGGACCCGGGTGTCCAGCTCCGCACTCTGGCCGATCCTGCGGCTCTCTAGAGCCCGGCGCCGCTGCAGCCCCAGCTGCCGCTGCCATCAACCTAAGAGGGCGGGGCTAGCATAGGGGCGGGGCCAGAGCCCAAGTTGCCCCGCCCCCTCCAGCGGCGGGAAAGTCGAGCGACCCCGACTCCCCTCCCAGCTTCCGCCGGCCTCGGAGAACCATCGAAAATAAATGTGCAGCTGTGTGCTAGGTGCGCACGCTGCTTCCCTCCCTCCATGACTCCCGGGTAGGCTGGGGAGGCTCGGGTTCGCAGACCTAGAGCAGGACGCTTGGAGAGGGAACGGGCGAGGGGGCGTGCGCCCCTAGAGCGGGCAGCCGAGGGAGACCAGGTGCCTCCACCCGCATTCCAGCCTCAATCGCGCTCCCAATTTAGCTGTCCCGATCGGCCGGGACTGCGGGACTGCACTTCCAGGCCTCCCTGGGGGAAAGAGGCCCTAGAGAATGAGGACCCAGGCTGATCCTGATGTAGGGCAAGTGAGAGGGCACCCGACACAGGGTTGTGAATGTTAGTTATTGTTATGAATGGCAATAGCGATCATTTGAGAAACCTAAAATGCTGGCTGTGTGCTAGGCATTTCACCCCATTAGATGAGATTCCATGGAGCAGGGCAGGAAGCAGCTGAAAGAACAAGGGGAGGACCGAGTGTAAAGTGAACCCACCTTGACACTCCCTCCCCTCCCAGATGCAGGGGGAAGAGGCTAGCACCGGTCTCTAGTCACATTTTAGGGGTCAGAGAAGCCAACTCAGAGGCCAGACTCCTAATGTTTTCTGGGCCTTGTTTGAATTGGCGCCCGACTGTGTTCCAGGTAAGCTTCCCCCGTCTCCCCCAATATTCACAGAACTGAATGTTGACCGAGGTCAAGGAGATTAAAGATAACCTGATCAAAATACAGCCAGTGAAGACCAGCCAGTCCCGTAGCTCCAGTCTACCCAGTGTCTGCACATTGCCTGGATTTCTTCCCTTGGATCATAAGGGCATCTGGGGCCAGTTATTACTTCCCACCCTCCAGGGCACACCTGGGAGTGAGTGAATGGAACACAGCCTTCTGAAGGGCAGGAACCAGCACTGGGGAGGAAAGGGAGGGAAGGTGGTAGAAACCATGAAGGGCCCACGAGGCTCCTTTGTTTCTCAGGAAGAGTCCAGGTGGCTTGTAGGGACAGAATCAAATCAAGAGTCAGTGGCTTGTAGGGGAACAGAATAAAAAACTGTTACGAGTGCTCCAGAAATAACTCCTGGCGTAGGGGTGCTGGGGCAGGGTATGAGGGTATGTGAGTCATCTCTCTTTTACCTAAAGATTCCAGGCACATGATTAGGAGGAAAATACCTGAGTGACTCAGTTGCTCCTTTACAACAATAACCCATGCTTATGTGCTAGGCACTGGCACTAAGGGCTTTATACGTATTAATTTCATACTCTTAACAATCCTCTAGGCTGGTCGCGGGTGGCTAACGCCTGTAATCCCAGCACTTTGGGAGGCTGAGGCAGGTGGATCACCTGAGGTCAGGAGTTCGAGACCAGCCTGGCCAACATGGCAAAACCCCATCTCTACTAAAAATACAAAAATTTGCCAGGTGTGGTGATGCACACCTGTAATCCCAGCTACTCAGGAGGCTGAGACACGAGAATTGCTTGAACCTAGGAGGCAGAGGTTGCAGTGAGCTGAGATCATGCCACTGCCCTCCAGCCTGGGTGACAGAATGAGACTCTGTCTCAAATAAAACACACGCACAAAAAACCAAAAAACAATCCTCTAAGGTGGGTACTGTTGTTATCCCTATTTAACAGTTGAGGAAATGGAGCCACAAAGAGGTTAGGTGGCTTACCCATCACAACCTCAACTGGTAGTTGATGTAGCTATGATTCTTACCCACGTGGTCTGGCATCTGGTTCTTGCTTTTCAGCAGCATGCATTTCTGTCTCTCCCTGAAGGACAGTGCCACTTTATCTCACAAGTGCTGAGCTAAAACGTAACTGAGAGTTTATACTGTGTGGCACAGAGGAAAGGATGCCTGGAATGAATTAAAAAACTGGTTCCAGTCCTGGCTCAATCGCCATATTTTTACAGCTCTCTGAACAGGATTGGGTCAGATTCTTTCCAACTCTGCACCACTCCTTAGCAGAGTAGGGATTTTATGTGCTGCCTCCTCTGAAGTGGCATCTCCCCTACCCCCACCCTCCTTCTCTTTAAAGAGAACAGGAGACTCCCTTCTAGAGGGAAGCGCTTGGGACTAGGAAGCAGGAATCCTTCAATGCGTGCTCCCTTCAGTTCCATCATCTAGGAAGAGCAGTGCTTTCTGGGTACAGGGATTCAGATATTTGCTTGGGCCTGGCGTAGCTCAGCCCTGCCCTCTAGCCTTCTTCTGGCTGCCAAGGCCTGACAGAGCTGTGAGTGGGCAGAGTTAAGGCAGGAAGAACCAATCAGGGAGAGAAGCTACTTGGGCTTCGTGCCTCCCTTTTGAACTGTTAGCTCTGAACGGCAATCCATAGAAGACAGCCATGGATTTCATCTTTTAGGAAGCCATTTTCTGGATGAGGTAGCTCGCAACTTAGCCATGATTTGGTCCATCTGCTTTGGCTAGAAAACCAAGACTGAACTTATCTAGATTGGTCAGGGATCCCAGGGATCCTTAGAATATTTTGTGAAAGACCTTACCTTCACCGTCATGCACTCCAGCTAAAGACCAGCACTGTGCCCCTCCCACTTGATATGGATGATTCAGAATGAAGCAGGCTGACTTTAGTTCAAGGCAGTGATTTTTTTTTTTGAGGGGGGCGGGGACTTCAAATTTTGTTAGCAATTGGGAACTGGAAACTGAGCTCTCCCTAGATGGTAGTCCTGCCTTGTATGTGATGAATGGCACCACTAAATATCTCATGATGTTCATGTCCCATTTCTAGACATTTTTCAGTGGGCTGAGGTGTTTCATTTATTTCTGGGGACTCAGCTCTCTCTTCAGGGTGACATGACTGGGATCAATCATTGAAAACTACTGGTGTTCACTGTGTTTCCTCTTCTGACTCTCCCACCTTCTCCAGCACCTCCCTCCTTTGTTGCATCTGATGAAGTACACGTTTCATCTTCAAAATAAAAATTTATTCAATCTGTAACAAGAACATTGAATCTGCACATTTGCGCACAAGTTCACATTTAAAAACAGTGGAGCATATCTGTAATAAAAAAATCTATGATACAAGTGGAACATCCCAACCACCAGGAAGATTAAGGAAGGAGATGAGACCACTCTATATTCTGCTTCAAATGCCTCAAAAATGTCCCAGAGATTCCAGGGAGCACCTGCTTTAATAAAACATGAGCATAAAAGTTTGGGGTGGCTTGGGGCAAAGGTAACAGTCAGAGGAGAGTCTTCTGGACTTGTTTTCCATGTTAGAACAAGTCCTACAAAACAAAGCAGAAAGAAAAAAAAAAAAAAAGAAAAGTAAAGGCACCTTTAGATATGCCAAGCAAACCAAAATCCAACAGAACATAAAAATCAAACATTTCCCTGTGGGCTTACTGATTGGGAAGCACTTCAGGGCCAGTTACCCAGTTTTTAGTTTGGGTATTAGCTCTGCATGTGTACACAGGACGCTGCCACCAGCATTGCTTTGAGGACACAGACGGCAGCACCAGTCAAATGCCTCTTAAGGGATCTTCAAGGTGATTAAGGATGATTCCAGTTTAGAAATCCTATCCTAGACCTCTGGGGCACTGAGAAAATGAGGCTGGTTATCTTCTCATAGCAGGAGCCAGGGCCAGTCACCCTCCATTTCCAGGCTGGAAAAGTACAGAAGCACCTTGCAATAGCTCTTCATGACGTCAAGGGACCCCACACCCTGGGAGAAGGGTTAGGAGTGTGCAGCTTCCTGCTTTGGTGGCAGGCCTTTTCCTAATATGGGTGTCAGAGGAGTTGAGGCAGCAAATATGCTTGTGTCTAATACATGCCTTGATCTTTTAGTTTGGAAGGGAAAACAAAGTCCAAGATGCTTTTAAGTTGGATTGATGCTGAAACAGCTAAAATTTCATCTTATCCACCATCAAAAAGCAAAACAAAATTAAACAAAATGACACTAGCCATTCACCATTACAACCATCACTATAAGACACACCATCACTGAGGAAATGACAACTATTTCCATAGAGAGTGCTGGATGGGAGGGCAGGACACAGACGGAAGTCAGCTTCAGCGTATACCCACTTACTCACAAGGGCTGACCATGATGGCCCTGCTCTGCATGAGGACTCACAGGACAGCCAGGGCACTGATGCCTGCAGGACTGCATGGCCGACAAGATGATGCACATTTTAATATTCAAAATGTAAACAAAGTATCCACAAATAGTCCAAAAAAGCCAAAGAATGGCTTTACTTAAAAATTTTTAAATGCCCTTAAAAGTGACTTTTTGCATAATGCTTTCTTAAAAAAAGAACTCTCACAAAAACATTTTTACCAAACATGCCTAGATCACTTCAGAACTGAAATCCTCAGATGAAACAGGTGAACACTTCTGTGACCTGCTACATCTCAGAAGCTTCTCATAGGAAGCTTTGAGTTTACCCAACAGCATCTGTCTGGGGCCTGTGAGCAGAGTACCTCAGAGCCTGAGGCACTGAGATCTTCAGGCTGTCCTTGGAGCTCTGGGTAGTTTGCAAAATGAGAAAGAGGAACTATCAGTAGGGATAAAGACACAGAACAAGGAAATCCATAACCCTGTCTCAAGCCTCCTCAGAACCAGGAAAATACTAAAGATCCTGAAGAGACTAAGATGATAGGAATGATCCCAAACATTTAGAATCTGAAAGGCAACTAAAATGAGGAGAGATGAATATTACGGTACTATAGTACTACATGTCTACTACAGTATCCATTAGTCCTGGGTGTCTCCAAAAATCAAGAAAGGGTTGGGGTTTCCCTTTCTACTGACCAGGTTCAGCTCAAGTTCTGTATGCTCCTGGGGCTTTTACCCCATACACCAAAACATCAACTGTTTTTATATATGTACATATGTGTACACATGCACATACACTCCTCCAAAATAAGTGAGAGTCTATGGTGGTTTAAAAAGAGAGAGAGAGAGAGGAGAGAGAGAGAGGCAGGCAGGCACTGGGCAAGAGTCAAAGTTTTTCCTATTCATCTTTGCCAGTCTATCAAATCTGCTGCTTCAGGTCAGGTCATGAACAAAAGAAAAGGGAAAGATGCCACTGGAGATTATAAAAGTCTGAAGAGAAGACAGTCTGGAAAGTCCTTGACAGTTCACTGCGCACCTCCCCTGGACACTGCTCAGCTATGTAAATAACCCAGGAACACCCAATTCTGGGAGTCTGAAAAGGCTGGCACAAACTCCTTGGCATGGTTGAATGACAGATATTCTGTAGAAGATGTTTATTTAGGCAGGTAAATTAAATGATAAAAAAAGTAATTATAAAAAGGCAGAAAGACTTTCCTCTGCTCTTGAAAATTTTTTTTCCCCACAGTATTAGTGGGTTTTGTCCCATCTTTGTTGTTATTTAATGCAGTGAGTGAACATTAAACACAGTGGAGGGGAGAAGAGGGAACAGTCCAAAACTTTGGTCCTGCTTGTACCTCTTAGTGTGTGGGATGTCATCATCGTAAGGGGTTACCACAAGTGGATGCCACTCTCTTAACTTCCAGGCAAACCCTCTCCCCACCCTGCCATAAGTTCCTGCCCTTCCCCATCATATTGGTGGTGGAACTGCTTCAAGAAGGCAGGGTATTCTACATGGAAGAGCTCTGGAAATCCATAACCCTGTCTCAAGCCTCCTCACATTGGTTCATACCACCTAACAAAACACTTTACAACACACAAATATCCAGGAATCACAAAACTGAGTGGATGAGATACTTGAACATTCAAGGAGACTACTGAGCAACAGCACAGGGTACACATAATCACTGCACCATAGAGACGCTTTTAGCAAGTGGTTTCTGTCCAACCTGCTTCCTGGCAGGGATGTCAGACCCAGCCTTGGCTTCCACACAACTTCACAGCTCCTCTTAAGACCCAGTGGCCCCAGTCTACCTTTTCTGCATCTTTTGGGTCGCCCTGCCATCTGCCCCCACCAAACTCTGGCCTCTGACATCATGCTGACAGTCTGTGCATTTGTATTTTCCTCAGTGCTGTGATAAGCCAAAAACCTGTCTCCAGTCTATACTCAGTCAATCCTCAGTAACGTGGACATCAACGAAAGCAAATCTGCAAGCCTCTTCAGTTTCAATGAGATGCAGAGGTGTTTCATGCTAGACTAAATCTGTTTTCTGTAAGAAGCTACAAGAGGCTTGTTTATGACAGGCGCTGCTGCGTTAAGGATCTCCACAACAGTAGCAAAACGACAGCATCCTAAATGGAGTCACTGTGGGCACTTGCCCCTGGCTGAGGCCTCCCCTGTGGCCTTCAGCCTCTACTAGGAGCTTCCACTCTGGGCAACTCACATATACTTCCTGGCTGTGGTTGAGATACTGGCAAACAATGTTCTGGGATTTCAGTCTCACAGAGAAATCAGCTTTCAGTCACGCTGTGACCTAATGGGAGCCTTTAGGGGTGTCTCTGAGGAAAAAGTTACTAATGCATAATTTGGCAGGAGCTGGTGATTGGAAGTCTCCATTTAAACAACTACAGCCACCATCAACATATTGTACAGATTCCTATCAACACCCAACACTTTCATTTCTGGTGTCTGTGTTTTCCAGTTGCAACTCTACTCCTTCTTAAAAAGAATAAATCAAAATTACCCTACAACATGAACAAGACACTAAGACAGTGACAATATTATGTACATAAATACTGTGTACAAACTTTAGAGAAATGACAAACCTTCCAGGAAAAGGAAAAAAAAGTGTTAACAGTGATAATACCAAAAATAAAACGTTGCATTCAATGGATGTTAAACATATGTAACAATTCAAATATAATCTATGAAATTTAAAAAAATAGGCAGCATGGGGACAACAGCATGGGGAAGGAAAATAAACTGGAAGAAAATATGGCCATTAAACTCAGAAGGCCCAAAGAATTATTCAAGTAATGGAAGGGTTAAAACCCTACATACATATTCATTTTACAAGAACACACTGACTTTCGATTGCTGCTTTTCAAACATGTCACTGTTGTTTTCAGTTGGGAGGACACTGCAGAGCACATTTTTCTGGCAGGGAGAGCCAAGATGCCCATCTGTGTGGATCCCACCAACCCAGCAGTTTCTGGGCAGCAGCCTCTCCACCCCCAACTTTATGTCTTCCTCCTCTTATCATGCTTTCCTCTACAGAAGACCACTTGGATTTCATTTGGGGTCCTGTTTTAATTTCAAAAATAATTTTCTTGGGAAAAAAACTATATGATAAATTTGCAGAGCCGGCCATTATCATGTCTTACTGTAACGATACACTCTGGAACACCGGAAGACCCTCTTTTAAAGCAAAGCGGAACCTGCCTCCTTCAGGAACTCTAAAGGGCTGCGGCTGGATGAAGGCTGAGAGCCCTCTGACTTCTGGCTGACCTTTAGCCCATTCGATGCCTCAGGTCTGGAAACCAAACCATCATCACAAAGGCAGGGGAACATCTCCAATCCCCAGCTTTATCTCCACCCCTCCGAATCTGCTTCCTTCCCTCAATTAAGAAACCATGCCTTTTCTCAGAGGGCAAAATGAGAAGCAGGTGGCAGCTGACTGAAAAACAGCAATTTGCCTTTGATAAAGGTGTTCTCTGAAAATGACTTTTTTGAGGTTTGATTTTTTTAAATAAAAAATGATAAACGGTCTTGCCATCCAGATCAATCTCTCTTTCCCCTTACATATACACACACATACACACTGAAAAACACCCAAACCCTGCATGCACCAGAAACAGTAAAATGACCAAAATATTATAAAATTAACCAATAAAGTGCATGTTCCTTACATATTACACCTGCCCCTTTTACAAACATTTCTTCTAGAAAGTCACATGTGTAGGCTCAGAATCACATGGTATTATAGAAGGGGTTGGTTGTCCGTTTTTTGTCATTTGCCTTTTTCAGTCTCCTAAGGGGGTGAGTTCTGCCGTGTTGCTGACGGGGTGCCACGGCCAGCCCTGGAGCTGGGCATGCACACTGCAGTCCCTGGGTCTGTAGCACGGGAAGGCCTCCTTCAGAACTAGTCAATTCAAGTCCTGCCCTGGGGAGCAAATACTGCTGACTAGAACCAAATTCTTTGGCATACTGCACAAGGGGCCTCTCCACTGGCTTGCTCTGCACAATACACTCTGTTGTTGTGAGTTGTTCTACAAAAGACTTGGTGGGCTCTGGGTTGTGGGGGGCACCTGGGTTTTCTAGGGACTCTTGGTCCTCCATCGCGTGCATGCCTGAGTCTGTTCTGAGGAAAGGCTGAAGCAGTTTGAGATGAGGGGATTCACAGGAGGCAGGCTCCCTCTCTGGTAAGCAGTCTTTACAGAGGTCCAAGTAACCTAATTTGGCGAGAGAAGCTGAGCGCCTCATTTGGGATGGTTTGGTGAGCCCTGCCTGGAAAACCACTCGAGACTCGATTTCTTTAGCACGCTCCTTCACCACACCGGGGCTGTGGCTGAGACTCTTTATGTTTTCACTACTAGAGCTATGTGGGAGTCGACAGGCTACAGGCAATGGGTCCATTTTCTCCTGTAACTCCCCAGTGTTGTCACCAAGTTTGCTAATTAAACTTAGGTCTGCGCTACTTAGCTGGGAGTCCTTATATGGCACCTCACTGCCACTGGAGAGAGGGCTCTCCTGACTTTCTTCCCAGCTAACCTGTTCTGCAGAGGGCTCATCTGTAGTGCTGCTCTGCTCTGTGAAGCCCTCCAGGTGAACCATAGTCTGGGGATGCAGGTAATCCAAACTGGCAGACAGTAAATGGGTTGTATGACTGACAAAAGGTGCTGCTGTCTCCAGGGCTGTGGACAGGCTGCTGCCTCTGTCTTCAGGGCTACTCAGGATGGAGGTTGGATGGTCAGTGGGTCTGTTGTGCTCAGGGGAGGAAGAATGAGGCAGAGGTAGCACTTGGGGGTGCAGAGAAACCTGGTTGGGGTCCAGAGTCCTGTTTAGATTTTCATCCAGTGTGCAGAGCACAGTGACAGATTTTTCCATGTTCACTTTCCTCAGCCCTTGCTCTCCGCTCTTCTCACTGGTGGCTATTTCACTCCCTGGCCCAGTGTGATTGGGTGATGTAACTATGTGGGTATATTCAATGATTTCTACCCTCTTGGGAAGGGGAAGAGGGACTGCTTGTGTTTCAGACTCCTGGTATGGAATCACAGTCCTCAGATCCTTCAGGACTCCTTCCTGCTGTGTTCCAGTATCTGACCCTGGGCCCTCCTGAGGATCTGGCAAGTGGTCAAACTCCAGCACCCTGGGAGCTGGAACAGTGGCATTCTGCTCAGAATGGGACAGTGAGCCAGCCTCAGACCCACTGTATTTCCCTTTGCCTTTGCTCATTTCTGGTTCCTTGAGGACAAATGAATGTTCTGGGGGGGCTTCATCACTTTTCCCTTTTGGTGCTAGGTCTGCCACAGAAGAATCATTCTTTGAATTCTTACGAGTGGACAATGAGGTACATGTTGGGGCAGCACCATGATGCTCTTGCTCCTGCCGTAAGCGCTCTTCGAACTCCAAGGTGGCTCGCCTCACAGACCCAGGGTACCACTTGGCACCTGGGTGCATCCCTGAGCCCTGGAGCTCTTGTTCCCCCTCAGCTGGTTCCCCTTCTTCCAAGTCTGCTATAGATGAGTGTGTGGTTAGGCAGCCTTCTGGGTTGCACATCCCTGAGTCTTTGGCTAGTTCAGGCTGGGCTGTGCAGGAGTCCTCATCTTGCTCCATATGTCCAGGTTTGTTCTCTGGAGTCTGGGCCCTCTCAAGGAGCAGCTCATGGATGCTGTTCTTCTTTGGTGTATGGCATGGGTTGGGTAAGATGTCTCCTTTCAGTTGAATCTGCCCAACTCCTTGACTGATGGACTCAATTTCAGTGACAATTTCTTTGACTGAAATTGCATTTTCCGAGTGAGACTGCATGAAGATGTCTGGGCTGACCAGTTCTGAAATTGCCTAAGAAGAGAAAGTAGTGAGAAGATTATGGCAAACTGTAGTCTAATTGAAAATGCTGGATTTTCTGCTTATTAATCCTCTGATCCAGGACAACCTATCTGACTAAGAGAATACAAATCATGGAGTGCCTGGGACCACACTCTGCCCATCTGTTTTGTCAGACTACAAGAAAAAACTGGATTCATCAAGGCTAGACATAACATTTGTTATAGCTTGTGTTACTCTCTACTAAACTTTCTGTTCTGTTTACTCAAGCAGAATTCCAATCCAATACTTTGCTCCCAAATGAACAGCAAATATTTTTGGAGGCTCCTATAATCTATATTTTCCTAAGACTATGAGCCTCCAGGTTCAGGCCATACTATAGTAAATGAAACCTTTCCCCCGTGGCCTATCAACTTCTAGTTTGATCCTAACCTATCTGAGGGAAAGAGTTCCATTTAAGGGCTAAGATATGTCCTTAGATATGTCCCAGTGATAGAGCAAGATGGACGAGGCTATCACCTGATGTCTGATTTGGAGACTCACTGCTCTCTTTCACTCCTCTGTCTTGCTAGCTTTCACCCAAATCCTCTCACTGCTTCCCCTAGCAGCAACATCCCAGTACCTACAAGCAGGGAGAATGCACTGTCTGACTACATAATCTCTAAGTTTCACATGGTTCCTTCTGGGAAAGGTTTACTTGGCTTACACAGCCACATGCCTTAGCAAACTTAGAAACCATAACTCTCTAATATTTTACTATTTTACCAGCTATAAATTCCCAGGTGGATTTAGAACAAGGCCAAAGAATACTGACCAATGCAAAATCAGGTCCTACTGTAAAAAAAACAAAAGAATATCAAAATCTGGGAATAGCCCTTGGACACCTCTTAAAGTAGTATCATTATGAGTATCAATCTAGTTAACATTTTTATAAGCCTTCAAAGTATATTTCCCTGGAACTGTTCTGGTTTTTCTCCCTCAAAAGAGTCAGAGTTAGTACAATCTAACAAGGTCAGTAATGCCTTTGGGGGAAATGTGCCATGACATCAGGCAGAGGCAAACTTGCCATGAATGGGAGAGAAGCCACAGTGGGCCCAGTATGTGCATGGGCCATGGAGGGAGGGCTCATATGACCAGGGACTTTGCAGAAAGGCTATTTCTGTCAGTGCTGCTACAGTCAATGGTCCAAAGGAGAGCACAAGCATCCTGCCTTCTCAGTAGAAAGGAAACAGGGGCACAGCTTTGCATGTGGTGAAAAGACAAAAGCAGAGTCAAGAATCACAGTGGGGTAGTTAAGGAGAGAGAACAAATCGTTAACGGACAAAGCGGTAAATATAAGCAGACAGACATCAGGAGAGGCAAAGAATCTATGACTAGCTCCACTAATCATTAGGTGAAGTTTGGTATGTTAGAGTCAATCTGTCACAGTTTATTTCCCAACTACTGTATTGTAATGATTTAAGACACTGCTGTATATAAGATGTCAGAAGTGTCAAAATATGAGTATGAGTCTTAGAATTGATGCGATATAGTGATTCTTTTCCTGGTTTGAGATGGCTTGTAAGAGCTCCTATGCCACAAAGAAGAATCTTAGGATTCTGTCTGCTGGCAAATTCATTTCCTTTTGATTATTATTATTATTATTATTATTTTTTGAGACGGAGTCTCGCTCTGTTGCCAGGCTGGAGTGCAGTGGCATGATCTCAGCTCACTGCAACCTCCACCTCCCGGGTTCAAGCGATTCTCCTGCCTCAGCCTCCCAGGTAGCTGGGACTACAGGTGCGCGCCACCACGCCCAGCTCATTTTTGTATTTTTAGTAGAGATGGGGTTTCACCATGTTGGCCAGGATGGTCTTGATCTCTTGACCTCGTGATCTGGCTGCCTCAGCCTCCCAAAGTGCTGGGATTACAGGCGTGAGCCACTGAGCCTGGCCTTCCCCTTGATTCTTGAGTACCACAGCATTGGAGATGAAGAAGTCAGGTACATTATTATTATGATATTGTTTGAGACAGTCACACTCTGTCATCCAAGCTGGAGTACAGTGGCACGACCTCGGCTCACTGCAATCTCTGTCTCCTAGGTTCAAGTGATTCTCCTGCCTCAGCCTCCTGAGTAGCTGGGATTATAGGCATGCGCCACCACACCCCAGCTAATTTTTGTATTTTTTGTAGAGACAGGGTTTCACCATGTTGGTCAGTCTGGTCTCGAACTCCTGACCTTGTGATCCGCCCGCCTTGGCCTCCCAAAGCACTGGGATTACAGGCGTGAGCCACCGCGCCCGGCCAGCACATTATTAATAGCAGGAACTCAGCATGGGAAGCAGTTGCTACTGTAACAACTATTCACACATGTCTAGTCTTTGACTTTTCTGAGACAATAAGAATTTCCCAAACAAATCTATCTTCTCAGAGACACAGCTCTCACTCAGGCAGCATCTGAGTCCCTGGCATTTTTTTGTTAAGATCTGATATTAACTGCGTATCTTTGGACTTCTTTTTTTTTTTGAGACAAGAGTCTTGCTCTGTCGCCCAGGCTGGAGTGCAGTGGCACAATCTCGGCTCACTGCAAGCTCCGCCTCCTGGGTTCACACCATTCTCCTGCCTCAGCCTCCCGAGTAGCTGGGACTACAGGCGCCGCCCGCCACCACACCTGGCTAATTTTTTGTATTTTTTAGTAGAGACGGGGTTTCACCGTGTTAGCCAGGATGGTTTCGATCTCCTGACCTTGTGATCCGCCCGCCTTGGCCTCCCAAAGTGCTGGGATTACAGGTGTGAGCCACCGCGCCTGGTCATCTTTGGACTTCTCGTTGTTCAGCCAGGACACTTGTTTTTGGCTCACTCCTTCCTCTGTCATCCCCTCTTAGAAGTGCTTCCAATGACACCAGAAAGGTAAATTCCCAAAAGGCAAATTATTTAAAAAATATTTAAACCCTAAGTTTTCAAAGAAAACCTCAGCCAGACTCTCCATCAAAAACAAACATAACATAATCCCAAATAATTTACCTTTGAAGAGAACTTCATTAGGCGGAAAACTATAAAGACAGTTTTTACCTTTGACTGTTCCTCATCCATTGAAGATTCTTCTGATGCATGGGGAGTATTACTCAAAGAGCTGCTTCTCTGGTCATCAGCTGTCACTTTGGAAGGGGCTACTTCTACCACTGACAGTCGACAGCTCTCATTCCTTCCTCCACCCAGTTCCTCCATCCTTGAATGGGAAAAAGATCGTGACCGGGTTTCTTGGGAGAGCTCCACAAACTTCTCTAGGGCACTAAAAAAGTCAATGCGATCTGTACTGAAATCTGAGATTTCAGTCTGGCAACTGGGTTGGGGGCTTGGTGACTCAGGATCAGGGGACATGGGGGGGTCTTTCAGTGGAGATGTCAATTCTTCCATAGGCAGTAGGTGGACATTCATGTCTGCTTTCAGTGCATCTGTCTCCAAATCTTCCACTGTTAAGTCTGGAAACTTGTTGGCCATTTCTGGGACATGTCCAGGCTGAATTAAGGCTTTGGATGCATGGCAATTGTCAAGAGGAAATTTTGATTCATTCAGACAACACCCTGATGAGCATCCATTGATGTCATTTAAGTTTAATTCATCCTCAATCTGTCCAGCATGAAATTCCCTAGAAGTAAACTCCAAGCAGATCATTCTTTCTTTGGTACACAGGCCTTTCTGATTTGCATCTTGTGGGACCATATGTTCCACAAAGACAGGAGGTATGGGTGGGTGACTCTCCATGGTCTTCACCTCAGCAATCTGGTCTGCTGAGGTGGTGATATCCTTCTTGTTGAGTTCTAGCCCAGGTTTGCAGATGGGTTCGTGGTGGTCTGAGAGGTCACTATCTGAATGAGATCTCCATAGTTTGTTATGCCGCTGTTTGCTGTGGAGGACATACACAGGAAGTATCTTAATCTGGTTTGTAAAGATAATCAACACCCTCCCAGGAAAACACTCCCAGATAAATCTTAACTTGTAAAAATGCTTTGTTATTGCTCAATGGAACTAGGCAATAAACGTTTGAAAAGACAATTTAATAGCAAAAAACAAAGCAAAACAACAACAAATGAGTGTGAGTTTTTTTTACCTATCAGTCTGACAGGAATTAAAATGGTTGGTAACAGCCAGTGTTGATGATGGTATGGCTAAACAAGCCCTCTCATATACTGGTAGGAGGAATGTGAATTCAGAATTTTTGTTTTTTGTTTTTTTCAGAGTCTCGCTTTGTTGCCTAGGCTGCAGTGCAGCGGCTTACTGCAATCTCTGCCTCCCAGGTTCAAGCAATTCTCCCACCTCAGCCTCCCGAGTAGCTGGGATTACAGGAACATGCCACCATGCCTGGCTAATTTTTGTATTTTTAGTAGAGATGGGGTTTCGCCATGTTGACCAGGCTGGTCTTGAACTTCTGACCTCGAGTGATATGCCCACATTGGCCCCCCACCACACCCAGCTGAACTGTAGATTTTAAAGACTGAAATCTGGCAATAGCTCTCCAAATTTAACCCTTTAACCAACAATTCTTCCTTAATACATTTTTCTTGGAGGAATACTACTACAAGTACACACAGATATCCATATGGCCAGGTAAGGTGGCTCACGCCTGTAATCTCAGCACTTCATGGGAGGCCGAGGCGGGCAGATCGCTTGAGCCCAGAAGTTCGAGACCAGCCTGGGCAACATGGTAAAACTCCATCTGTACAAAAATATAAAAAATTATCCAGGTGTGGTGGCGTATGACTGTAGTCTTAGCTACTCAGGGGGCTGAGGTGGGAGGATTGCTTGAACCCAGGAGGGTGAGGATGCAGTGAGCTGAGATTGTGCCACTGCACCCAGCCTGGGTGACTGAGTGATCCCTTGTCTCAAAAAAAAAATAAAAAATAAAAATAAAGAAAGATATATACAGATATTTACTGGCCGGCTGCCGTGGCTCATGCCTGTAATCCTAGCACTTTGGGAGGCTAAGGCGGGCGGATCGCTTGAGGTCAGGAGTTCGAGACCAGCCTGGCCAACATGGTGAAACCCCGTCTCTACTAAAAATACAAAAATTAGCTGGGAGTGGTAGCGGGCACCTGTAATCCCAGCTACTCGGGAGGCTGAGACAGGAGAACTCCTTGAACCCGGGAGGCAGAGGTTGCAGTGGGCCGAGATTGCACCAATGCACTCCAGCCTGGGTGACACAGCGAGACTCCATCTCAAATAAACAAACAAATAAACAAAAAAAGATATTTACTATGACACTATTTGTGATACTAAAAGATGAGACACCAAACAACAACAAAAAAGGATTTACATTATAATCCATACAACTATATGCTGTGGAGCTGTTAAAAGCTGTCAGGTCTACAGAAATCTTCTGTGGTAAGAAAAAAAAAAAACTAAAAGGAAAAAAAAAACCTGTCAGGTATTTTAGTGGAATGATATACAAGGTATACTATTCAGTAAAAAAAAAAACCTCAAACACATTTGAAATTAGTGTCTATGTTAGAATAATATAGGAAAAAATCTGGAGGAACATCACCAAACTGATAATAGTGATTCTTTCAAGAAAGGTAGAAATACTTCTGGGGAAGGCTTTTACTTTCTATATTTTACACACACACACACACACACACACACACACACACACACACACACACACACACAGAGACAGGGTATCACACTGCCACCAGGCTGGAGTGCAGTGAAACGATCAGAGCTCACTGCAGCCTCAACCTCCTGGGCTCAGGTGATTCTCCTGCCTCAGCCTCCTTTTAGTAGTAGCTGGGACTACAGGTGTTTGCCACCACGCCTGGCTGATTTTTTTATTTTTTATTTTTGTGGAGATGGGGGTCTCACTATGTTGCCCAGGCTGGTCTTGAACTCCTGGGTTCAAGTGATCCTCCTGCCTTGGCCTCAGGGATTATTGGAGTGAGCCACCAAGCCTGGCCTCTATATTTTTACAATTTTTGAATTTAAAAAATGGGCATGTTTAAAAATTATAATCAGAAAAAAACCTACTAAAATCAAAACATACAAGTAACACAAAGGGAATACTCTGTTGGAACCTATTACCAAGTCCTCATAACTAGGATGAAGAACTGATGGTAAGCATTCTGGAATCAGAAAGCAAAGGAACGGCTAGTAAATTTGGAGAGAAAGCTTAGTAACAGAATGAAGGGAACAGCATAAAGGATAGGCCCTTTCAGAAGAATCTCTGGGTAAAAATCATTAAGCTAAGGAGACACGTGGAAAAAGCAGGTGGGCCAAAGGAAGACTCCCCTCCATCACCATTTTATGAAAGAGGTCTGAGGTAGGGAGGAGATTTCATTTCAAACCACACACTCTTAAACAGTTCCCAAAACCCCAGCCAAAAAGAGAACGGTGGCCCTTTTGTTGGTCAGGTTCATCTGCCCAGGAAACAGGTCACTAAGTATGGTCCTTGGGGGTGTGGTCTCCATGACTTACAAGCTGATGAGGAGTTACCAAACCGCAGGGTGGAATGGGAAACTCAGCCCAAAACAACTTGCCCTGGGCTCCGGGCCACGCCTGGGCTCTGCCGAGTCATGCTCAGGCGCCTGCACTAATGTGACCCCCTGTTTGTTCTCAACTCTGCACCTGCTCTCAGCTCCCCCTGCCTGTCTGCTGCTTGGGTGGGGCTCTCTCTGACTCATGCCTGCACAGCAAAGGGGTGCTTTCCTGGGAAGGAGCAGGTCAATCTTTTTATGAAGACAAGCTGTAATCAATCAGCTGGGTATAAGATGGGGTTTTCACCCTTTCCAAGCTGCATGAGCTCCAGCCACCCCTAGGAGGAGACAACATATCACGCATCTCAAGTGAGTGGCTGTGGGGAGGGGCAAGCTGACTGTTTGGATAGGTGGGGCCTAAGTTGTACATTATGACCAACTGAGGCCAGTGGTTTCCTTTTAAAGTTTCTTCTCTTATATGCAGACATCCTTGTTTCCTGAAATAAATATGAGTGTATTCCCCAATTTCTATCCCTCACCTATCATGAGGATGTTCAAACCTGCACCAGCTTCTCTCACCCACCATAGTAGGACAATGCCTGGGATGCAAATCACTGGGAAGACCTCTCAGGGGGTGGCTGTTTTCACTCTTCTAATAACAGAACAGGCAAAATGAGAAGTTTAATGATCCCAAGAATCCTCCAAAGTATGTTTTTTTTTTGTTTTTTTTTTTTGAGACGGAGTCTCGCTCTGTCACCCAGGCTGGAGTGCAGTGGCGCGATCTCGGCTCACTGCAAGCTCCACTTCCCGGGTTCACGCCATTCTCCTGCCTCAGCCTCCTGAGTAGCTGGGACTACAGGCACCCGCCACCACGCCTGGCTATTTTTGTATTTTTAGTAGAGACGGGGTTTCACCGTGTTAGCCAGGATGGTCTCCATCTCCTGACCTCGTGATCCGCTTGCCTCAGCCTCCCAAAGTGCTGGGATTATAGGCGTGAGCCACCACGCCCGGCCCCTCCAAAGTATGTTTTTTAAACTGCCTGCAGATCACTAATCAGTCAGGAGAGAATGAGAGACTGAAGTTATGCTAATAGGCAGCAACAGTGCATGTTTCAGAGGAAGTCTGACATCGCAGCTGTGTAACCAGCAGGGATTTCCTTCTCTTCCTTGGGGAGAAAATCATCAGAAAATACTGGGCCAGGGCTCTGGAATTAAACTGACACTTGTAAAAGAGAGAGAAAAAAAAAACAATCTAAAGATAGGTCTGATGCTGCTGCCTTGTTTTCATTTTTGCAATAGGACCTGGAGGGAGAATGGCAAGCAGCTGATTCATCTCCATTGCCTGTGAAACACTGCTACTCCACGTGTCACTTCTCACTCAGGGGTCCCCTCCTCACTCCTCCCTACTCAAGGGTAACCTCCATCCTGAATTTTGTGCTTATCATTCCCTTTTTTTTTCTTTATAGTGTCAACATGTTTTGTTCCTAATACTGCTTTGTTTTGCATGTCTTGAACTTTATATAAATGGTATCCCACTGTATATATTCTTCACCAATGGATTTTTTTTTTAAAGATTCATCACTGTGTATAAAGGTAATCCACAGAGTGTAATGAGTATGCCACAATTTATTTCCCTTCTGTTGGTTCAAGCAATTCTCCTGCCTCAGCCTCCAGAGTAGTTGGAATTATAGGCATGCGCCACCATGCCTGGCTAATTTTTGTATTTTTAGTAGACACAGGGTATCACCATGTTGGACCAGGCTGGTCTCAAACTCCTGACCTCAAGTGATCTGCCCGCCTCGGCCTCCCAAAGTGTTGGCATTACAGATATGAGCCACCACGCCTGGCCTCATCATGTTTTAGTCGGTTACACTAAACTGTTTTTTTCCAATGAAGCTTTGTCCTGAGACAGTTTATTCTAACACTTCATCACTGGTAGGAATAGATGTAATGTATTAGATCATATCTATTATTTTAAACTATTAAATTTTAAACTCGGCCGACTCCCCACCTCCCACCCCCTTCCAGGCAGGCAGCAAATAAACAGCTTGCCAAAAAGGAACTTCAGAGTTGGTCTGTATCCTGGATGATATAACCAAGTCTCAGATCCTTTTCCCCCTTGAGTGGCCTCTGACCTGAATTTGGATTCATATAAAGACACAGACATACATAAGGTGATGAGGTCATTCTGGGAAATAATTGGCCTTTTACCTAGTTAATGAACAAGAGGAAATTTTATTTTTATTTTTAAATATTTTTAAGTTGTCAGCCTTGTGTAGGGGCCATGCCAATCTTCTCTGTATAGTTCCAATTTTAGTGTATGTGCTGCCCAAGTGAGCACAAGAAGAAGGAAATTTAAATGACAGATGCATAAGTCGTCCCATTATCTTGCCTCCACTTTCATATTGTTACGTGTTTGGTGAAACATCAACTCTGAGAAAGTTATATAAAGGAAAAGGCTGCTAAAAATGGAGTACTTGCGCCTGTAATCTAGCTACTCAGGAGGCTAAAGCATGATGATCACTCCTAGAGCCTAGGAGTTGAGTGAGACTAGCCTGGGCAATATAGACATTGTCTTTTTTTTTTTTTTTTTTAAAAAAAGAGGGCCAGGAGTTATAGTAAAATCAGGCTGCCTATAGTTACTTTTTGGGGTATTAGGCAGCCTGTATAAAGGAAGAGAAAAAGCATTATCTGAATATTTTTTTGTGTGATGTGCATCGCCCAAGATGCTTTAAGATTATTTAACTGGAAAGCTAGTAAGAAAATCCTTTTAAATCTCCATTGCTCTTGGCTGTCACCTGACCAGGAGTCCACATCTTTCCTTCTCAGGTTGCCTACTGCCAGCTGACCAATGTGCATCAGCTAACTAGACCTCAGTGTCTCCACCAGCAAAGCCAGGGTAAAAGACAACCCTGCCTCCTCTGGCCCTTGTGACAGGGGCACTCAAAGAATCAAAACTGACATTTCTGAGGAAACATGGCACAGACTCTCCCTGGTCACCACCCAGGTTTTTTTCCTTGCCCCCTATACACTGAAACCTAATACCACAGACACACGGTCCAACTTGCAAATGGTCTGCTTGAAATCTAAACCTCTCTAATGGAACATAAATCTGCCAGATACCTGCATGATCAGAGTGCAGAATAACAAACAGGGCTGCTGGCAGTTTAATGGAGTTTTAAAACACAGGCACACACACAGACACCACCCCCCCCACCGCCTCTTGTTTTGCTCCCATCCCCCATCTATAAAAACAGAAAAAATAAAATCAGATATAAATGCTATAAGTAGCTTTATGATACCCTTCTTTTTAGGTCTAAAGGGAAATATTAAACATTAGCCTTCTCCAGGCTCTTAATGATATACTGGGAGGTGCAAAAAGTCCCTTGTATTTCAGAGGGGCTTGGCCCATACCCTCATACTCTGATTAAGACTGTAACCAATTCACAAATCAGTACAGGAGCCTGGAGTCACTTTGAAAACTTCTCTTCTACTAAGGCCAAAGCACTAAGTGAATGCCCTCAAACAGAGAGCTGCCACCTCAAATTAAATACCCAGGGCCACCCTGGATAACCATGGAGCTACCGAATGCTAGGATCAGGGCTCTGCCTCTTTGAGAAAACCACCACAGGCCTCTTGGGATAAAATATAAAATGCAAGATCTAAACACTTGGACAGGAAATGGACTTTCTCTGCAAACAATGAGAGATTTTTCTAAGGATTTTCCTCTCCTGCTTACCTAAATTGCAAGGCTTGATAGAGCTTCATACAGTCATAGGAGTCTGGAGATTTTTTTCTTTGCTCTTCTAAGCAGGCAGATCTGGAGTGGTACTTTGGTGCTGGGCGAGTCTGCTGGGCCTATTCACTTGGCAGTTAGCCTACAAGTACCAAGGTGTCCTAATAACACATCATAGATTGCAGACCCTAACAGCTATATATCCAACAGCCATTTTTCTTACTGTCAGAGGCCTGATTTGATTTGGGTGTTCACTGTCCCATGGGTTCAGGAAATGTGGCACTTCCCTAGATCCAGAGGATAAATGTGAATACGCTTTTTTTTTTTTTTTTGACACGGAGTCTCGCTCTGTCACCCAGGCTGGAGTGCAGTGGCATGATCTCAGCTCACTGCAAGCTCCACCTCCCGGCTTCATGCCATTCTGCTTTAGCCTCCTGATTAGCTGGGGTGAAGTGGCGTGATCTCAACTCACTGCAACCTTTGCACCTTGGGTTCAATGATTCCCCTGCCTCAGCCTCCCGAGTAGCTGGGATTTGTAGGCGCCTACCACCATGCCTGGCTAATTTTTGTATTTTTAGTAGAGACGGGGTTTAGCCATGTTGGCCAGGCTGGTCTCGAACTCCTGACCTCAAGTGATCCACCCGCCTCGGCCTCCCAAAATGCTAGGATTATAGGCGTGAGTCACCGTGCCCGGCTGTGAATATGTTTTATCCAGTCCTGGAAATTCTATTTTCTTGGCCATATGACCCAGTCCTAGGCAATGGGTGGGGAGCTTTTGGGGAAGGTCTTCCTATCCAGTTTAAATGCCCCTTTTCTTCAGCCAGATGCTGTACAATTTACAGACGCCTAGAGATGTGGCAGACATCTGGCAATTGTCAGACAACCTCAAGGACCAAGCTGTTAACTAAGGAAGGTGGAACAGAAAGCTGTAGAACACCAGAGTCCATGATTACATTACCACTGAGCCACTACAGAGACTACTTTTTTGTTTCTTTTTAAAGGAGATGATAAGTGGTACAACTTTTATCTTTTATTTGCCCTGCAGGGTCCACTCTTCAGCTTCTCCACCCTGTTTGCTGCTGCGGAGGCAGCACAACAACAGGGCCCCTAGTTTTCTGACTTCCAGAGGGTTTGGCTATTGGGGAGTTCTGGAAGGAGACTGGAGGAAAGAGAGTGAGGGCAAGGTATTTACTCCCCTAGCTCCCTCAGCACGGGGCTACCTCAGGCTAGCTGTGTCCCTCTGACAGAAAGTTATTGCTTGCCTCTGAAAGTGCCTTTCTCTAACAAGAGTCTCTTTCCAGGTTCTAGTAACTGCTTCCTCTCTTTTTGGGTCTAGGAGCTGTTTCCAAACAGCCCTGCTGATACAAGTCCCTTGATTCCACTACAATGCCACACTTGTAAATAGTCCCTTTATAAAACTCTCCTCAATGGCCAGGTGCGATGGCTCACGCCTGTAATCCCAGCACTTTGGGAGGCCGAGGCAGGCAGATCACGAGGTCAAGAGATCGAGACCATCCTGGCCAACATGGTGAAACCCCATCTCTACTAAAAATACAAAAATTAGCTGGGCGTGGTGGCGCACACCTGTAGTCCCAGCTACTCGGGAGGCTGAGGCAGGAGAATCCAGAAGGCAGAGGTTGCAGTGAGCTGAGATCACGCCACTGTACTCCAGCCTGGCGACAGAGTGAGACTTTGCCTCGATAAATAAATAAATAAATAAATAAATAAATAAATAACCCTCCTCAAATAATCCTAATCTGAGTCTGCTGTTTCTTGCTGAGATCCTGATTGAGGTAATTGATTACTTGCAGCCAAAAGCAGCCTAAGTGACATCCCTAGCACTAGATAGTACTTAAAATCCAGAAAACACCACAATATAGGAAATTCTAGGAACACTTCCCATTTCAGTTTTGAATGGAATATGTCTGTGGGTGGCAGGAGGCAGTAGTGATGTCATGGAAGAGGAAATAAATGGCACATACACGTGTCTTCTGGGTAGCCTTGGAGGAAGATGAGAATCATATCTGAATAACTCTCAACAATACGTAATAAACATTCAAACACATTTTTATTCACAATAACCCTGTGAGATGGATCTCTTGATTTTCATTTTATAGATGGGGTCAGGTAAGGATGAGAAATGTGAAGTAACTTCTCAGGGTTGCAGCAAGAGGGTGAACCAGGAATGGAAACCAGATCTACTGACTCAAATTCTGTGCTTTTCTCTCCCCAGGGCTTGTCCCTCCCTCCATGAATCAAGCCTAGGAAGCTGAGATGGAGCAAAAAAAGGAAGGGAAAGGGAAGAAAAGGTGATTTTGGGTTTATACTGCCCTTCTTATCCTCATCTAAGATTTTTCTGAAACTCCTTCAACAACTAAGGAAAACCACACACATTAAAAAAACCCAACCCAACAGCTTGCAGAAGCCTGGGATTCCAGAATAAATACTAAAATTGGCAGGACACGTAGTATCCTTTCTCTCAGTGGGTCACGTGAGGACACTGCCCAACATCTGTCATGTGTGTCTGGGAATATATATTTATTTCTTGCTGAATGCTCAGATGCCTCTTTCTTGTGCCAAAAAGAACTGCTACATCCTACCTTCTGATCTAATCTAAAAATGCCATCAAAATCTGGCCCCAAAGACCTACAAATTATTTTAAACACAGGACGCTTCAGTATCCTCCCAGCCTCCTAAGAGAATGGTTCAGATAAAATCATGCCAAATGTTGAGTAAATGGGAGGGGTTTTTTAGTGGAAACCATAATGCTATGCTGTGGCCACATTTTCACAATACTTCGGGGGCGGGAGGGTGATCCCTCTGCCCAGATAGGCTGGAAGGCTATGTAACATTTTGTTCAGGGGAAACACAGTCCAGATTCAAGAGTCAAGACCAAATCATAAGACTCACTGGAGTCAAACACTGGCACCAGCCCCAACTGCTTCTAGACAGCTGTGCCTTCACCCTAACAAAACCACCTAGAATATACCTACATGGAAAAAACAAAGCAGAATCTAGAAATCCACAGAATTTCAGCATGTAGCATCTCAGGAAACTGATCCTTAAATCACTTAATATCTGATGCTTGTTCCTGCTGCTGAAGGTGGCTTTAACCACCAAAGGGATAATAACGTAGTGCAATTAATTACTCATTTTATAACCAATTACCAAATTATTATTGAAAACAGCTGGTTCTTACCGATATAGGAAGACATTCAAGACCTGGTACTGAGTGGAGAGGTAGACTACAGAACAGTTTTTGTGGCGAAAATAGCCACCAAAATATGTGATAGAGTAAAACCTTGAGAAACTGGTAATGTCAACTGCTGTCTGTGTGTATTGAGCTCATTAACTATTTTTTCCTTTTGCAATTTTCTGCATTTTTGAAAAGCATATATAATTGGATTAAATTGTTTTTTTGAGACAGAGTCTCACTCTGTCGCCTAGGCCGGAGTGCAGTGGCGCGATCTCAACTCACTGCAACCTCCGTCTCCCGGGTTCAAGCGATTATCCTGCCTTAGCCTCCCGAATAGCTGGGACTACAGGTGCCCGCCACCATGCCTGGCTAATTTTTATAGTTTTAATAGAGATGGGGTTTCACCATATTGGCCAGGCTGGTCTCAAACTCCCGACCTTGTGATCCGCCCGCCTCAGCCTCCCAAGGTGCTGGGATTATAGGTGTGAGCCACCACGCCCGGCCAAAATATTTTTTAAATAAGAAAGAATTGTTTCTAGGAAGTGCTTTCATACCTCAAAGGAGTTATACACATCCGTATTCTGCTGATTTGTCACATGATCAAAATTACTGGAGAAGGCTCAGTGAAAACAAGCACTGAGGTAAAGAAATACCCAAATTAGCAGATGGTACTTATTTTTTTTTTTAAAGAGTCGGCCAGGCTGGGTGGGGTGGCTCACGCTTGTAATCCCAGCACTTTGGGAGGCCGAGGCGAGCGGATCACAAGGTCAGGAGATCAAGACCACAGTGAAACCCCATCTCTACTAAAAATACAAAAAATTAGCCAGGCATGGTGGCGGGCACCTGTAGTCCCAGCTACTCGGGAGGCTGAGGCAGGAGAATGGCGTGAACCTGGGAGGCGGAGATTGCTGTGAGCCGAGATCGCGCCACTGCACTCCAGCCTGGGTGACAGATCGAGACTCTGTCTCAAAAAAAAAAAAAGAGTCGGCCAAAGGTTGCAGCGAGCCGAGACTGTGCCACTGCACTCCAGCCTGGGTGACAGAGTGAGACCCTGTCTCAAAAAACATAAAAAATACAAATAAAATATGAATGAATGAATGGGCCAAAAAATTTCCAAGAATTTCAGCTAAGCCTCGCATTACCTTGAGAGTCACTGGTATCCATTTTTTTTTTTTAAGGGCAGCTGAACCTAGTCTTATAAGATGTTGAAAAGTGGTATTAATATTTAGTATTTCCATCCTTTATAATTATATCAACCTGAAAGATTAAATGCTTAATCTTCCATACTACTCTTTTTTTTCTTTAAAAAAAATTTTTGGTACTGCTCCTTATGGGGCAGAGCTATCCCACTGGCAGTGTGTCCAGGGAAATCTTTCTTTTCTTTTTTTGAGATGTTGTTTCGCTCTGTTACCCAGGCTGGAGTGCATGGTACAATCTCAGCTCACTGCAACCTCTGCCTCCCAGGTTCAAGCGATTGTCCTGCCTCAGCCTCCCAAGTAGCTGGGATTACAGGGGCCCATCATCATGCCCAGCTAATATTTGTATTTTAAGTAGAGACGGGGTTTCACCATGTTGGCCAGGCTGGTCTCGAACTCCTGACCTCAAATGATCCGCTTGCCTCAGCCTCCCAAAGTGCTGGGATTACAGGCGTGAGCCACTGTGCCCGGCCAGCCCATGCAAATCTTAAATGCTTACACTTATGTTTTGAAAACTGGATTGATAGAGAAATAAGTCTTTTTTGAAAAAATATCACATCCAAATCAGCTTGAGAAGTAGCTACAGAGAAGGACACTTCATCTTGCTTTAGGGAACTTAAAAGGAGGGAGAATTGGAGAAAGTCACTGACTCACCTTGCCAGCAAGATCCCCTGATACTCTTCCAGTTGTCTCATGAAGCTTGGGTTGGGCTTGGTTACCGTTCGTCTTTCTTTCACATAGTCATAGGCTCGGTCCAGATTCCAGCCATATTCCTTCATTGCATAGGCAATCACGGTGGAGGCTGAGCGACTCACCCCCATTTTGCAGTGCACAAGGCATTTAGATCCATGTTTCCTTGTTTGGGGGATTGAGGTAAAGAATAGAGGAAAATACAATAGTGGGGATATTTTAAAAGTTGGTTTCTAGATTTTTCCAAGTGTCCTGTCCTGCTCTTCCATTTTCTTGCTATGCAATCTCTCCACTTTGGTACACTCATATACATTTATAATCAAATGTGTGGGTAGGGTAGAGTGAGGCAGCTCACTACTAATTATTCAATGTTAATATTATGCTTCTTTAATCCATTCAGCAAACATTTACCAGGCATTTACAATATGTGTAAGGCAATGTGCAAAGTGCTGGGATGCAAAGGTAAGTAACATACAGCTTTTATCCTAAAGGATAGGATTCAGTGGGAGAAACATACAATTAAAATGCAGTATGGGGCTGGGTGTGGTGGTTCCCACCTGTAATCCCAGGACTTTGGGAGGCTGAGGCAGGTGGATCACTTGAGGTTGGGGGTTCGAGACCAGCCTGGCCAACATGGTGAAACCCCGTCTCTACTAAAAATACAAAAATTAGTTGGGCAGACTGGGCGCAGCGGCTCATGCCTGTAATCCCAGCACTTTGGGAGGCTGAGGCAGGTGGATCACGAGGTCAGGAGTTCAAGACCAACCTGGACAAGATGGTGAAACCCTGTCTCTACTAAAAATACAAAAAAATTAGCCAGGAGTGGTGGTGTGTGCCTGTAATCCCAGCTACTCAGGAGGCCGAGGCAGGAGAATTGCTTAAACCTGGGAGGCGGAGGTTGCAGTGAGCCGAGATGGCACCACTGCACTCTAGCCTGGGCAACAGAGCAAGACTCTGGCTCAAAAAAAAAAAAAATCAGGGTCCTGATTAGGATGAGATATAGGAGCATTTTAAGAGATACACACCCTTAGGTGCTGATTCATGCTTGCAAAAGCCTGAGAGTGAGTGCCCTCAGTTGTGCCTGGGTGCCCCGTACGTCTCTCCCTAATCCTAAGTAAAATTAGCCTTTCTTTTCACTGGGACTGGGGCCTAGCCTTCTAGTACCTTTTCCTTATAGAACTAGACTATTCCAGTACCCTTGGATTCTGAAATGAGACAAGTTTTTTTTTTTCTTCCCCCTAAACCCAGGCTCAAGTGCAGTGGTGCGACCACAGCTCACTGCAGCCTCAACCTCATGGGCTCAAGCGATCCTCCCACCTCCCTCAGCTTTCCAAGAAGCTGGTATCACAGACATGCACCACTGTGACCGGCTAATTAAAAAAAAATTTTTTTTTGTAGAAATAGGAGTCTTGCTCAGGCTAATCTTGAACTCCTGGGCTCGAGTGATCCTCCCGTCTCAGCAAGATCTTTGTTCAAGTCCTATCTTCACCACTTATTTGACCTCTCTGAATGTTGACAACATCTGCCCCTCTGGATCTTAGAAAATACTACATGAGAGAACAGTAAGCATGCCATGAATGGTATTATTACTGGGAATAATTTATTAACAGAATTCAAAAATATAAAACACTCTTTTAGGTACTTGCTGAGAATAAAGGAATAGGCTCAAAGCTAGAGTATGAGGATTTAGAGAAACTAAGAGGAAGAACTTCCTGACCGTGAAGGTCCTTAAGAGAAGTGTGAAATTATTTTTGAAGGAGTTTAATTAAATACAAAAGCACTTCTCATCTGCCAGGGATGGTTTGAACATAGTCCTACCTGAAGGAAGATGTGGCAAACAAGCTCGTTTATGGTTCTCTCTAGTAAAGGAATAAATAGGATTGGCAAGGAAATCCCCAAGGACTTAAAAACAAAAAGGCAGTGTTGACATTAATACCAAACACTAAGTTAATACAAAATACTCTCACTAGAAGAGCCAACTAATTTAAGGAAGACATCAACAGAAGGGCCACAGAAAAATTTCATCATTTAGAGTATCATAAAAATAAAGTAAGAGAGTAGGAAAAGATTTCCAAAGTTTGTCTCCTTATCTTCAGCGGGGAGGACCAGTATTCTATCTATCTGAAATAATTTCTATGATATAACTTTTAAAACTCCCCACTGGCAACTTAATTTCATTCAGAATTTCTTCCTTCTCTCATTTCTGTATCTTTTGCTGCAGTTTAAGTCTATTTTCTTTAATTCTGTGCTCAATGGAAATAGCCAACATGAGGTTACTTTCTCCTAGGGGTTTACTTTACTTAAAGTGAGTCACTAGTCTTTTGCCTAGGATTAAAAAGATTTCAGTCTCCTCCTTTCCTTAGTTCCTTTTTCCTGAGTACCATCAGTAAGTTGTCTATAGCCCTCAGGACCCAGCCATGTGTGGTGGGGCAAGAGGAACAGAGATCACAACATTGTGCAGGACTATTACTCACTTTGCTTTAGAGATGAATTTGTAAGTGTCATTCCAGTACGCCAGGAGATCCGTTGCCTCTTCATCATATACCCGAATGTTATGATACTCAAAGACTCCTGGGAAGAAGTTATCTATCTCTCGAGTGACATTCAAGATATACCGTACCCTGCAAGGAAACCAAGGGAGAATATGTGCTCTACTACTCAGGCTAAATCCAATTCCCAGCACTGTTTTTTCTTACTTAAAACTTGTTTATTCCATAGACTGAAATTAAATACAAAAATAATGAAGACAGCTAAAAAACTAAGAGGTTATATTTATTTATTAGAGAAATGATACAGCAGGGTTCCTGGGCATACCTGGGCACCAGGGAATTATTAAGCAAAAAGTTATTCACCATGTTCAACATCTAAATTCCATTTTCAGTTTATGTAGTTATAAAATCGTATCCTTGATAGTATTCTGAAAATATGCCTCATATTTTACTCCAAAGAATCAACTTGAGTCCATAATCAGACACTTTCTCAGTTACTAAAATTGTCAGCAATACAATTTATTCTCTGAAAGTCATCTGTATAAAATCAGACTACTGACATGTACCCCAAGTGAAAAAAGAGAGAATGAATAACGATTTCTTCCTATTTTTCTAAATGCCAGATTGTTAGGCTTTGTGCAATTACTCTCTCTAAACTACATGAAAGGCAAATGAGGACAGAACTGGAAGGGTCAGAGAAAAGCCGGACTTAAAACTCCCTTAAACTCATTTGACTGCATTACTGGCTGCTATGGCATCGATGTATCCGAAGATTCTTCCACACTAAGATGCTTGCAGAAGAGAGTTTCTGTATCAAAACAGTCTTCTATTATCTTTCTCACTGCACAATCTCAATAAATGCTTGAGCTCCATTTACCAAATATTATCTTTTCTTAATGCTGTGATTTAGACATAGCTGGATGTCTAAGTTTACTCCAACAATACAGCATGGACTCACTCATTTCTCTCTGAGACATTGCTTCCTTCTCAGCACAAATGTGAAGTTCCATAAACCCAAACTCTGAAATCAATGAAATGAATACAGAAAAAGAAAGCAGCCATAGCTAACCAAATCTGTGGTTAAGGTCAAGTGGCCAAAAATTTTCTCAGACACGAATTGAATCTGTTTTAACTTGGCATCAAAGCCCATTACTACAAATTTTTTTTTTTATTTAATTTAAAAAGCGAGCTTGGCCAGGCGCAGTGGCTCACGCCTGTAATCCCAGCACTCTGGGAGGCCGAGGTGGGCGGATCACCAGAGGTGAGAAGTTTGAGACCAGCCTGGTCAAGATGGTGAAACCCCGTATCTACTAAAAATACAAAATTAGCTGGGCGTGGTGGCATGTGCCTGTAATTCCAGCTACTTGGGAGGCTGAGGCAGAAGAATTGCTTGAACCCGGGAGGCGGAGGTTGCAGTGAGTCGAGATTGCGCCATTGCACTCCAGTCTGGGCAATAAGAGTGAAACTCAGTCTCAAAAACAAAAAAAAAGGTGCAATTGCTATGGAAAACAGTACAGCAGTTTCCCCAAGGGTAAACACAAAATTACCACAGGACCCAGCAATTCCTTTCCAAATAATAAATCCAAGAGAAATAAAAATATAAGCCCATCTGAAAACTTGTACACAAATGGTCACAGCAGCATTATTCAAAACAGCCGAAGAGTGGCTCTTTGTTAGTTGATGAACATTAGTGATTTCTAGGGATTGTTGGGGCAGGGGTAAGAAGAAAAATGGAGGTGATTCCTGAAGGGTACAGGCTTTCCGAGTTGAAAAAATGTTCTAAATGGATTGTGGTGATGGTTGCACGGCTCTATGAATATACTAAAAACCAACAAATTATACATTTAAAATGGGTGAATCATATGGTATGTAAATTATATTTCAATGAAACTTTTAGAAAAAAAGGCAACACTCCAGCCTGGGTGACAGGAAAAAAAGGAAAAAGAAAAAAAGACAGGCAACACACTTTCCTTATTTTATTTTATTATTTATTTATTTATTTTCCCCAAGATGGAGGCTTGCTCTGTCGCCCAGATCTGGAGTGCAATGGCACGATCTTGGCTCTCTGCAACCTCCGCCTCCCCGTTCAAGCAATTCTCCTGCCTCAGCCTCCCGAGTAGCTGGGATTACAGGTGTGCGCCACCACTCCCACCTAATTTTTGTATTTTTAGTAGAGATGCTGTTTCACCGTGTTGGCCAGGCTGGTCTCAAACTCCTGACCTTGTGGTCTGCCTGCTTCGGCCTCCCAAAGTGCTGGGATTACAGGTGTGAACCACCTTGCCCGGCCTCCTTATTTTATTTAAAATAAAAATGAACAATCTCCCACCTCTAATCCCATACCTCATAATAAATTATGGCACTATCTTTCTAGAGGCAGGACACAGCTTCCCAATCCTTTTCATTACAAAGCTGTAGGCAGTCACTGCCAATTGGAACTGAAACTCCTTGAAACTTTTTTCCCATCTCAGCACCAAATGACTCTATACAGAGTAACATTTTACTTTGGGTAAGGTTCTGAAGTCAGCAGATTGGATGGAAATGGCCTTAATGTCAAAATTACCCTTGAAAATCCCATTAAGTCATCTATAGGCAGCACTATATGTGGTTTTGTGTACAGATCCCTGAACTGTAATTCTTCACATATTAAAATTTAACAATCACTGAATTTAAGAAACAAGATCTAAGTAGCTATCTGGGAATTTGACCATACTGTTTTTAAAGACAACTAGATACAGTTAGTTGCATTTTATAATTTAGCCTTCTAAGAAGCAAATGATATGATGGGTCTCATCTCCAGCTGGGGTTATATTCTAAATTCATATGTATATATGACATGATTCCAGTGCTTTTGGCAAACACTGCTATACCGCATCTCAGGCTTAATATTAAACACTGTATCTAGGTTTCCCAGAAGTACAGATTTTTTTTTTTTTCCCCAGACAGAGTCTCACTCTGTTGCCTAGGCTGCAGTGCAGTGGCATGATCTCAGCTCACTGCAACCGCCACCTCCCGGGTTCAAGCAATTCTCCTGCCTCAGCCACCTGAGTAGCTGGGATTACAGGTGCCTGCCATCACACCTAGCTAATTTTTTGTATTTTTAGTAGAGACAGGGTTTCACCATGTTAGCCAGGCTGGTCTTGAACTCCTGACCTCAAGTGGTCCACCTGCCTCAACCTCCCAAAGTGCTGGGATTACAGGCGTGAGCTACTATGCCTGGCCAGAATTACAGAATTTTTAAAGCTTGATGACTTGAGAAGCTTGTAAAAAACATTGTCCCACTCCTAAAGAAATCTTAAGGAGACTCTTGTATATAAAGCAGATGCAATGTTATTAATCTTGTTGAATTATGGGGTCCTTATGCTTCAGGGGCATTTCCAAATAAGGCAAATGGCAGATACAGGATTAGAACTGAGGTCTCTGAATTCCCAACACAGTTTGCTAATTGATTTTCTCTCCTTATCTGCCATCAGCCAAGTCACAGTGTTCAAATATGTGTGAACATACCTATCATTCATTCACATTTACTGAGCACCCTCTTGTTATACAGCTCTGAGCTAGGTAGATAGTAAGCTATAAGCAAGACTAAGATACAGTCTCTGCCTTGAAGAACTCTAGACTTTCTTATTAAGTTTTCCAAGTTTTATTTAACTTCAAATTTTAAATTAAGCAACCAGATTCCCCTCCCCACCCCCCGGAATTCTTTGTATAATCATTTGGCTTAAGTCCTGTTCCAAGTTCATTTGGCCAATTATGAAATACTTTTCATGTGGGGAAAAAGTAGGGAGTATTTATCCACTAATGGTAAAGATAACCAGGAGGCTTATGGCTGAGAAAACAGGCAGCCAGCAACCATCACTACCTCTGAGTCTCAGCTGGTCTTATCTCTTTCCACAATGAGTTAGCATGGCAAATTTCAGACCTTATTTTCTCTTTTCTTATTGGGATTAGCTGACCTCCTAAAGTGAATGAACTTCAATAAGAAACTTAGTAGGCATCAGCTAAGGGAAAAATGGCAGCTTTTTACTTGCTGAATGTTCACTGTAGTCTCTATTGTTACAATCAAACTTAATAACCATGCTGCTTAGGGACAGTTTTCTTAATATAAGATAGGTCCTCTTCAATTTCAGAAGCTTGTCCAGTTCACAACCATAACCTACAGTCTTTAAGCAGCTTACTACACAGGATAGGGACTGAGTCTTAATTTATCTGTGGATCCCCAGCACCTAGCACTTTGTCCCACAGAAGACGCTCAATCAATGTTGAATGAACAGCTCTGTGAACCCTACATATGCAATTCTATGTATTCTTGCATAAAAATAAAAATTTGATTTTAAACATCACCAATGGTTTGCACATTTGTTCTTCAAAGCCCTTCAATTAAAGCAGCTGGTATTCTTGGGAGGTGGGGGGACGAAACAGGGAGAATAGCTGTTTTTCTTTTTCTTTTTTTTTTGAGATGGTGTCTCGCTCTGTCACCCTGGCTGGAGTGCAGTGGCGTGATCTTGGCTCACTGCAAGCTCCGCCTCCCAGGTTCACGCCATTCTCCTGCCTCAGCCTCCTGAGTAGCTGGGACTACAGGCGCCCGCCACCATGCCTGGCTAATTTTTTTGTATTTTTAGTAGAGACGGGGTTTCACTGTGTTAGCCAGGATGGTCTTGATCTCCTGACCTGTGATCCACCCGCCTCAGCTTCCCAAAGTGCTGGGATTATAGGCGTGAGTCACCGTGCCCGGCCCAGCTATTTTTATTTTTCTTAGATTACATCTGATTAGAATCAGTCAGATGCAACTCTTAAGATTAAAGTTACCCACTGATACCTCTTTGATGGGAAAATGAAGATAAAACAGGGACTTCTGTTACACAGGGGTGCCAGCTATTGCTTTGTGTGCTTACCCTCGGTTCTGTAAGTCCTCTAAGTTGGAGGCATTCCATTCTGAGCCCTATGGAGCCAAAAAGACAAGGTTAAGGAGTATTAGCAAATCAACCAAACAATACTTGAAAAGGAGCGAGAGAAGAAGAACTTTCAAAAAGAAGACTAATAACATCTACCAGTGCCCTTTAAGTTGCCAGGCACTTCATATGTTATCACATTTAGTTTTCACAAATGATAGAGTAAGAATGTTATTTTCATCTTCATTTTTACAGATACAAAAACCAACTCATAGAATTCAAATAATTTTTGCCCATGATCATACAGCAGGAGAGGTGTCTTTAACCATCATCCAATCTAAATTAGATGTCTTCTGTTATTCTTGCTCATAGTAATCTCCTATTTTCCTCAACAGCATGTATCACAATTTGTACCTATATATTTATTTATGTGCTTACTTTCTAACTACCTTTAATATAAGCTCCTAGAGGTCGGGAACCAGCTCTTTTCTTCCCTATGGAAACCCACGCACCTTGCACAGTGCCTGGCACCTGGCAGGTGCTCAATAAACATTTGCTGAATTTTTACAGATAACAAAAGCAGCATTATTATGCATTGAACTACACCTTATTCCAAAGCTCACACTCTTTTTTTTCTGAGACAGCGTCTTGCTCCATCACCCAGGCTGGAATGCAATGGCGTGATCTCGGTTCACTGCAACCTCTGCCTCCCGGGTTCCAGCAATTCTCCTGCCTCAGCCTCCTGAGTAGCTGGGATTACAGGTGCGCGCCACCATGCCCAGCTGATTTTTGTATTTTTTAGTAGAGGCAGGGTTTCACCATGCTGGTCATGCTGGTCTCAAACTCCTGACCTCGTGATCCACCCGCCTCAGCCTCCCAAAGTGCTGGGATTACAGGTGTGAGACACCGCGCAGGGCCGCTCACACTCTTTTTAGTGCATTAAGTTGCATCTAAGGAGTTAAAGGACAGAACTTGTGTGTGGCAGGAGAAGACACTGAAATAGCAGCTTCTGTCAAACAAATGAGGGAAACATTATATGTAAAATTTTAAGATAGGGATAAATGGCAAACTTTGGGGGAAGAGGTTCTGCTGATGATCTGGAGGACACAATTATTAATATTTTGCCATATTTGCTTTCTTTCCTTCTTTCCCTTTTCTTTTAGTACATATCATACTTTTTCCCCCTGAACCATCTGAGAGCATTTTGTGCACCATGACACTTTATTCAATACTTGAGCATGTATCATCTAAGAACATTTTCTTACATAATATGATCATACCAAAGAAATGTAACATTAACACAATAACCTGATACACTATACATATTTGAATTTCTACAAATGTCCCCAAAATGTCCTTTATATTTACTCAATCAAGGATAATTCTTCACATTTAGTTGTCATGTCTCTATCCTCTAGCTACACTTTTTTTTCTTTTGAGACAGAGTCACCCAGGCTACAGGGCAGTGGTATGATCCTGACTCACTGTAACCTCCACTGCCAGGGTTCAAGTGACTCTCCTGCCTCAGCCTCCTGAGTAGCTGGGATTATAGGCATGCATCACCATGCCCAGCTGATTTTTGTATTTTTAGTAGAGACAGGGTTTCACCATGTTGCCCAGGCTGGTCTTGAACTCCTGACCTCAAGTGATCCGCCTGCCTCGGCCTCCCAAAGTGCGGGGATTACAGGCGTGAGGCACTGTGCCCAGCCTACTTTCTTTTTTCTTTTTGAGACGGGAGTTTCACTCTTGTTGCCCAGGCTGGAGTGCAATGGCACAATCTCGGCTCACTGCAACCTCCTCCTCTGGGGTTCAAGCGATTCTCCTGCCTCAGCCACCCGAGTAGCTGGGATTACAGGTGCCTGCCACCATGCCCAGCTAATTTTTTGTATTTAGTAAAGACGAGATTTCACCATGTTGGTCAGGCTGGTCTCAAACTCCTGACCTCAGGTGATCCGCCTGCCTCGGCCTCCCAAAGGGCTGGGATTACAGGTGTGAGCCACTGTGCCCGGCTACTTTGTTTTTTTTTTTTTTTTTTTTTTTTAGAGACAGAGTCTTGCTCTGTTGCCTAGGCTGGAGTGCAGTGGCACACTGCAGCCTTGAACTCCTGGGCTCAAACCATCCTCCTGCCTCAGCCTCCCGAGTAGCTGAGACTACAGGTGGGCAGCACCATGCCTTGCTAATTTTTTTACTTTTGTTTCTTAGAGATGGGGTCTCACTATGTTGCCCAGGCTGGTCTCAAACTCTTGGCCTCAAGTGATCCTCCCCACCTTGGCCTCCCAAAATTTGGGATTGCAGGAGTGAACCACCACACCCAGCCTAGCTTTAATCTAGAACAGTACATCTTCTGCTTTCTTTGGGAGTGTGGGAGGGGGTCTTTCATAATATTGACATATCGACATTTTTGTAGACTCCACATCTGTTATCTTGGAGAATTCCCCACAATCTGTATTTTTTTTTTTTTTTTGAGACAGAGTTTCACTCTGTTGCCCAGGCTGGAGTGCAATGGCACAATCTCGGCTCACCGCAACCTCTGCCTCCTGGGTTCAACTGATTCTCCTTCCTCAGCCTCCTGAGTAGCTGGGATTACAGGTGCGCACCACCACACCCAGCTAGTTTTGGTATTTTTAGTAGAGATGGGGTTTCTCCATGTTGGTCAGGCTGGTCTCGAATTCATGACCTCATGATCTGCCCACCTCGGCCTCCCAAAGTGCTGGGATTACAGACAGGCATGAGCCATTGTGCCCAGCTGTATTTTCTTTTTTAAGAGGTGGGTCTCGTTATGATGCCCAGGCTGGAGCTCAGTGGCTATTCACAGGTGCTATCATTGTGCGCTATAGCCTTGAACTTCTGGCCTCAAGTGATCTTCCTGCCTCAGCCTCCTGAGTACCTGGGACTACAAGTGCATGCCACCATACCTGGCTTGTATTCAATTTTAGAGTGCTTTTTCTATTCTTTCCCATTTAATATTTTGGGCATACAAAACTTTTATGTGATTAAAAGTCAAAAGCTTATTAAAAAGTAAACTTAGAGGCTGGGTGCAGTGGCTCACGTCTGTAATCCCAACACTCTGGAGGCCGAGGCAGACGGATCACCTGAGGTTGGGAGTTACAGACCAGCCTGACCACCATGGAGAAACCCCGTCTCTACTAAAAATACAAAATTAGCCAGGTGTGGTGACGCATGCCTGTAATCATAGCTACTTGGGAGGCTGAGGCAGGAGAATCACTTGAACCTGGGAGGTGGAGGTTGTGGTGAGCCAAGATTGTGCCATTGCACTCCAGCCTGGGCAACAGAAGCGAAACTCCGTCTCAAAAAAAAAAAAAAAAAAAAAAAAAGTAAACTAAGAGGTCTCACTCTCACTCCTATCTCTTTAATTCCTATTGGTGACATTTTCATTAGTTTCTGATTTACTCTATTTTGAAAAAATATAAGCAAACATATGCTTATTGCTACTTCTTACTCATATTACCAATTCTTACTAATATGCTACACATAATTTTTTATTAATTGCTTTCATTTTACATATATTTCATTTTATATATCCTCAAAACCACTAAATGTAACAGTTCATAGAGATCTTATTTTTTCCTACATCTGCATAGTACTTCATGAGTACTGATATAATAGTTTATTCAACTAGTCTCCTATGAATGATATTTCTTATTTGTGGAAGCAGGTTTGCTAGGTCAAAGGCAGGATACACTTTTGTTAAACACTGCAAAATTTCCTTCCGTAGAGGCTGAAACAATTCTGTGGTCCCACCAGCAATGCATCAGAGCACCACTTTCCCCACAGCCTCTCCAATAAACTGTGGTTAAGCTTTTGAATTTTTGCCAGTCTGATAGGTGTCTCAGTGTAGTTTCAATTTGCATTTCTCTTAGAAGTAAAAGTGAGCAACTTTTCATTGTTTAAGATCTATTTTCTATCTTTGAGCTATCTGTTCATATCTTCTGAAAAGGCAGACATTTTATTTTATTTTATTTTTGAGACGAGACTTGCTCTGTCACCTAGGCTGGAGTGCAGTGGCACCATCTCGGATCACTGCAAGCTCCACCTCCCGGGTTCATGCCATTCTCCTGCCTCAGCTTCTCGAGTAGCTGGGACTACAGGCGCATGCCACCATGCCCGGCTAATTTTGTTTTTTGTATTTTTAGTAGAGACGGGGTTTCACCGTGTTAGCCAGGATGGTCTAGATCTCCTGACCTTGTGATCTGCCTGCCTTGGCCTCCCAAAGTGCTGGGATTACAGGCGTGAGCCACTGCGCCTGGCCAGACATTTTATATATATTTTTTGAGACGGAGTCTCGCTCTATCGCCAAGGTGGAGTGCAGTGACGTGATCTTGGCTCACTGCAATCTCCACCTCCTGGGTTCAAGTGATTCTTCTGCCTCAGCCTCCCGAGTAGCTGGGATTACAGGCACGCACCATCATACCCAGCTAATTTTTGTATTTTTAGTAGAGATGGGTTTCACCATGTTGGCCAGGATGGTCTCAATTTCCTGACCTCGTGATCTGCCTGCCTTGGCCTCCCAAAGTGCTGGGATTACAGGCGTGAGCCACCACGCCTGGTCAGGGCAGACATTTTATAATAAGAGTTTACTCTTTCAGAATTAGAGGCATTAATGGAATTTAGCATTAGAAGACTTAGGTTCAAGTTCTGACTGCCCTTCCTACTGTGGGTGGGGACATTAGGGCCAACTGCCTAACCTCTCCTTTTTTTTTTTTTTTTAGATTGCAGTCTCGCTCTGTCGCCAGGCTGGAGTGCAGTGGTGCAATCTCAGCTCACCGCAACCTCTGCCTCCCAGGTTCAAGCGATTCTCCTGCCTCAGCCTCCCGAGTAGCTGGGACTACAGGTGTGCGCCACCACATTCAGCTAATTTTTGTATTTTTAGTAGAGATGGAGTTTCACCATGTTGGCTAGGATGGTGTCCATCTCTTGACCTTGTGATCTGCCCGCTTCAGCCTCCCAAAGTGTTGGGATTACAGGCATGAGCCACTGTGCCTGGCCAACCTCTCTGTCTTTATCTGTAAAATGAAAACCCCTTCCCACCCCAGTAGTATATATTTAATGGGTACATTTCCCTCAAATTATACATGCAAAGTTTTTCCCATATTAAAATGGAAAACCCCTCTCTCTCTCATAAATCCTCCTGCAGACTCTGTCCTTTCTCCCTTTCCTTCATGACTTCATAGAAATAAAGTCAAATACTCACTTTCTGGATGGGTGCAGTGGCTCATGCCTGTAGTCCTAGCACTTTGGGAGGCTGAGGTGGGCAGATCACCTGAGGTCAGGAGTTTGAGACCAGCCTGGCCAACATGGTGAAACTCCAACTTTACTAAAAATACAAAAATTAGCCTGGTATGGTGGTGCGTGCGTGCCTGTAATCCCAGCTACTTGGGCGGCTGAGGTATGAGAATCACTTGAACCCAAGAGGCAGAGGTTGCAGTGAGCCGAGATAGCACCATTGCACTCCAGCCTGGGCAAAAAGAGTGAAATTCCATCTCAAAAAAAAAAAAAAAAAAAAAGAAAAGCAAATACTCATTTTCTCTATTTCCTCATTTCCCACGTATCTCATCCATAGCACTTGGGCCTCTGCCCTCATCACTCTCGCTGATGTTACTAATGACCTCTCCTAATTGTCTTATCACCACTGTATCCTTATTCCATTGGCCTTCTCTGAGTATCTATCTGATATGGCTCATCATGCTCTCCTTCTAGAATTAGATCAGACTGTACAAATACCTAGTCTCATACCTCACACAATAAAGAGGATAGACAAACGTTTGTTAATTGGAAGATCAAATGTGACCAGTAAATGAAGCACTGTGAAAATTGTTAAGTGTTGTGTAAGTACTATCATATTACAGGTGATCTGTAATCTGGCCGTTGAACTGGGAAAGCTCAAGGACACTGTGCTGAAGTTCCATTTAGGAAAAGGTCAGTGGTGATGTACAGGCAAGAGCCCTGCTGGCTTGTTTTAAAAAAATATGGGAGGCTCTGAAGGCTCTGCTCAACCTTAGAAAACAAGCTTCTGCACCAAAGAAATAGCCAAGAACTACAAAGGACTTCAAGGAGACAGATGCCAAACAATAGGGGCTGAGAAGTTAAACTGGAGCCAGCGAAATGTGACCACCTCACTTCTTAATTTAGAAATCTAAATCCTTCGTGGAACTCTGTCCAGTTAGATGAAAATAACATTGACACGATGGATAAAGTCCCTAGTTTTCATCTACCTGTCCAGAGAGAGTTCAACCTGACAATGTGAAGTGATACCTATCCATTGGCAAATAAATTAAAGGCACTGGTTACTGACTCACTGAAGCCCATACAAAGGGACTTGGGCTACACTTAGGGCTGCTTCAGGTTCAGTTTGAAAGACCTAGAGACCACTTGGTATAATTACTTTTCTGTACTCAATACAAATGCCATGTATATTAGACTTCCGGGGCTCTTTGCAGACCCAATTTCCCCCCCGCCCATGCTTCATAGGCTTATGGTGACGTAATTCTACCAGGGTTTCCATTATGTTCTATGTAATTATGCAAAGCATATTCTAATTTTACTGAAGTGTAAAATGAAACCTTTGGACTATAATACATTTTAAAGTAAGTTCATTTCCATCTTTTACTCTGGTTCCCTTGCACTGTACGCTGGCCCAAAGACCCAAGTAACTGATTTCTTTTCATGCTATCCTCAGGAAATAGCCTTGCTGGAGTCCAAATGTCCAAGGAAAATAGAAGACTACAGCACATTTATAGCAAATAAGGACTGTACTGTGGGAGTTCTGCTAAGATAAATATAACTTGACATAATATCCAAGGACTGGTATCTCTGTCCATATTTTATCATATCATTCCTATAGCCTCAATACTGTAAGTCACATTACTGTGGCAACCAGGCATAAGCTGTTTATTAACTTTTCCTTCTAAGAGAAATTTATGCCACACCTCCTGAATTTATCACATTCAGGGACAAAAATCATGAATGTGATAAAATAATCCTTTCTATTACTGTCTCACCTATTTACACACCCTCTGTTTCTCTTCATCTACATTAAAAGTAACCAATTTGAGGATTTTTTTTTAACTTTTAAGTTCAGGGGTACATATGCAGGTTTGTTACATAGGTAAACTTGTGTCATGGGGGTTTGTTGTACAGATTATTTCATCACCCAGGTATTAAGCCTAGTACTCATTAGCTATTTTTTCCTGATCCTCTCCCTAGGCTGAATTTTTTTATGAAAAGGAAACACTTTCCCAAAAGATGTCAAATCTTGTAATGTCAAATCTTGAAAAAGATAATCAGCAGTAAAAGTTCTATTTTTCAAATTCATGAGCAAAATTATTGGTTATGTGTCCAATATACTTGTTTGCCTGCTTTTCTGCAAAGGGTCTCTATCAACATCTAGCTTTTTCTCAGCCAAATCGGACAGCCTCCAGGAGAGCTGATGATACTGAAACTTAGTTGGGCAAAGGCTTCCAGCTCAGAGAAGTGATATGCTTGTAAGGGTGTAGAATCTCTTTTTCTAGAAACACCCTGGCTTCCCACCAATCAATTCTCTCTTCTCAATGCAGCTTTTATTTAAGCTATAATCTACACTTTCCCACTCCATACCAGCTGGATACTTTCCCTAATAAACAGATCTCTGTGCAGTACACTGCAGAACTGAGCATTCTTCCAAAGGGAAGGAGAAATCCTGTTGCCTCTCTTTACTCAATCTGGTTGAGCTCCAGGCATGGCAGCTATGCAAGATGAGATGACTCTGCAGAAAATCAACACCACCACTTGCAGCTAGAATGCCTCTTTTTCCGTGTCAACTGCTAGGAAAGCCAGCAGGGCAAAGACTCAATGGAGAAGAGATAGGGAGTTGGACATAGGATATGGCAGTGTAAACAAAGGGAGGAAGCCACCAAGGAACAAGTATAATAAGATGTTTAGACAACCTGTTCATGCATTTACTTTGTTAAGTAGGATTTAAATTACAGAGATCCTCAATTTTGAAGTTTTTTTTCCCCCAAATAAATATTCACAATAGAAAGAAAATGTCCATTTTCTAGAATACAGAATTATACCTGAAGCTGAAGAGATTTTCCTTTGTTCAAAAATATGTACATATATACACAATGCTGATGTGCAAAACAAGTACACAGATGTGTATTTAAAAAGTAAAAACTTCTATGTGATACTCTAATAGTGAATACAGACAACAAATTTGTCCAAATCCATATAACGTACAACACCAAGAGTGAACCCTATTGTAAACTATGGACTTTAGTTTACAATGATGTGCCAATGTAGAATAATGTGCTGTAACAAATGTTACACTCATTTGTTACACTCCACTCTGGTGGAGGATGTTGACAATGGGGGAAACTATGCATGTGTTGGGATAAGTTGTATATGGGAAATCTCTATACCTTTTGCTCAATTTTGCTGTGAACCTAAAACTACTCTTTAAAAAAATAAAGACAATGTATCATATCTGTGTGTGTATACACAAAAATATATATGTACATCTATAAATAAAAGTAAAAAAGATTGGGGCTGGGCGCGATGGCTCATGCCTGTAATCCCGGCACTTTGGGAGGCTGAGGCGGGAGGATCAGGAGTTCAAGGCCAGTCTGGCCGACATAATGAAATCCCGTCTCTACTAAAAACACAAAAAATTAGCCAGGCGTGGTAGTGTGTGCCTTTAATCCCAGCTACTTGGGAGGCTGAGGCAGGTGAATCGTGTGAACCTGGGAGGTGGAGGTTGCAGTGAGCTGAGATCATGCCATTGCACTCCAGCCTGGGCGACAGAGCGAGACTCCGTCTCCAAAAAAAAAAAAAAAAGATTGGAAGGCAATATTATATAATAAAAGATGATGGTGATTATCAGTCTTGATGATTAAATAAATATGATAATCTGTTGTCTTCTAAAATTTTTAAAAATGAACATGGATTATCATTATTTTTAGACAGGCTCTCTCTTTGTTGCTCAGGGTGGAGTGCAGTGGCATGATCATGGCTCACCGCAGCCTCAAACTCCCAGGCTCAGGTGATTCTCCTGCTTTGGCCACCCCAAGTGCTGGGATTATAGGTGTGAGCCACCACACCTGGCCAGAATTATTTTTTTAATAAGAAAAAAACTCAAGACAGAAGATTATACCTGACAATAATGAAATCATGGTATTAATCTACTGGCACAAATGCTCAAATGCATTTGTAGTTGATTAGAGAAATGTAATTTTGGGGAAATTAGATTGTTTTTTCTGCTTACAATACTATTAAAATTTGCTTGCATGGCCTAAAATATACCATTTGAGGAGTAGTTCTTGAGTGGGTGGCACCAGAGACACAGGGAAGCATGCATGAAATAAAACAGGTTGATCAGTCAGAATCTGACTGTATTTCATATTTATCATGTCTATATTCTTTTACGTGTTAAAAGTCAAGCTCAATGGGAAACTTGACTTTCAAGTTTGCAGCTTCAGTCACATGAGCTCCTTTTGACTACAGATATTTGTCCTTCATAAAAATTAGTCTCAGGGAAACAGTTGGGAGGGCCCCATAGAACGAGTGACTCACAAGTTTTCTATAGATAACACAAAGATTCTTTCCAATAATACAAGAGCAGGATATATCTGAATCCTTGTGGAAGTATATGTAAGAGACAACAAAGCCAGGTGTCTTGCAAATGGAAAAGCCAATGACAGTTTTGCAGTATGATCTACAACCAGAAATGCCAACACATACTGGTCAGTTAAAGTAATGGAAAAGAAGTCCCCCTCCCAACTCACAGCTTTTCATGAGTAATTTCATAGCTAATATACCACTATGAATCACTCTAGACACATATATCCTAGAGTGTCAACAAGTTATTTCAGGGCACAAGCCTTCAAAGGCATAGTCTGAGTGCCTCATGAAATAAACTCTTGAATATTCAGAGTGAGGTGGATCCAGTTTAGTCAGTTCCTGAGCATTTATTCTCCTTCTCTTCTGTTTCCCAGCTTCTAATCATTTCACAGTTCATAAACGTCCTCAAGAAGAGAAAGGAAGTGAAATTCAAACCAACTGATTTACTTCCTTGTAAGCATTTTTGGTGAAAGTGTGTGGGAAGTGGACACAAAATGAGGTTTTGGCATTCTCCATTGATTTTAATTATTCTTGTTAACTTTGTTCCCACTAAATGTACAGATAAGAACTAAAACTCTAACACTTGAGAGAAAAATAGACTTTAGAAGCTTTCAAAATCTACCTGTCAGAGAGGTCTCCTTGGGCTAATTACAAAAGGTCACTAAATGTTCAGGAACCATGAAGAACAATTTTTAGTCACCAATTTTTTGGTAATCATAAAAGTAGGGACTCAAAGTGTAGCTACAAGGTTTCATATGTTTGAAAGTCCAGTAGTCTCTTGTCTCTCAGTTATATAGTAGCTCCCACCAGCTCTGCTCAGATATATCAGAACTTAGACACATTTGGCAGATTTGAGAGTGATCTTAAAGGATCATCCTATTTGGGGCCAGGCGCGATGGCTCATGCCGGTAATTTGGGGCCAGGTGCGATGGCTCATGCCTGTAATCCCAGCACTTTGGGAAGGACTAGGTGAGTGGATTGCTTGAGCTCAGGAGTTCGAGACCACCCTGGGAAACATGGTAAAACCCCATCTCCACAAAAAATACAAAAATTAGCTGGGGGCTGGTGGCACACGCTTGTGGTCCCAGCTACTCAGGAGGCTGAGAAGGGAGAATCACTTGAGCCTGCGAGGCTGAGGTTGCACTGAGCTGAGACTGTGCTACTACACTCCAGGCTGGGCAACAGAGCGAGACCCTGTTTCAAAAATAAAAATAAAATTAAAAATGAGGGCCAGGCATGGTGGCTCATGCTTATAATCCCAGCACTTTGAGAGGCCAAGGCGGGCAGATCACCTGAGGTCAGGAGTTCAAGACCAACGTGGCCAAGATGGCAAAACCCCGTCTCTACTAAAAATACAAAAATTAGCTGGGTGTGGTGGTATGCACCTGTAGTCCCAGCTACTCGGGAGGCTGAGGCAGGAGAATTGCTTGAACCCGCGAGGCAGAGATTGTAGTGAGACGAGATCGTGCCACCGCACTCCAGCCTGGGCGACAGAGCGAGACTGTCACACACACGCACACACACACTAAAAGTAATAAAATAATTAGGAAGTGATGAGGTTTGAGTACTTATCACTTTTGTCTTTAAAGTAAGTTACATTTTATTTATGTATAATAAAATTTAATAATTACCCCTGCCCATGAGTCCATATGGGCTAGCGTTAGCACACCACTTAAAGTGGCTTTAAAACTTACCAGGAACACATGCTCAAATATCTGTGTAGGGCTATCCATTTGACCAAGGATCACTATCATTTCATTGTCTATAAATTCCTTGAATTCCCGCAAGTTGCACACCATTTGCATTTCCAACTCTGTTCTTATCTGAAACAAAGATGATATATTGGACCCATCTCTTAAAGTCCCTCTGTACTTTCAACCATGCACTATTTCCAGCCCCACACCTACTGTTATCCCACTGCTAGCCTTGGAACAAACAAGGACTCAAGGTCTCTTACCTCTTTGGATGTAATATTCTCCAAATCCTTCTGCATCATGATCTCCCTTAATTTGGTTTTAATTAGCCTTTCTGTTCGTTCACGTTCAGTAGGTCTGAGAAGAGAGAAATAACGATTATTCTTAAACGATATTCTTAATAACGATTATTCTTAAATGGGAAAGAAAGAAGAATGATCCTGTCTTCTTCAATAAGGCAAATCCTTTTCCAAAATCGGTTCTAGAGATCAACAACTTAGAGCGTGGGTCCCCAGTGAGTACCGGTCAGTGGCCTGTTAGAAGCCGGGCAGCAGAACAGGAGGTGAGCAGCGGGCAAGCATTACTGCCTGAACTCCGCCTCCTGTCAGATCAGTGGCAGCATTAGATTCTCATAGGAGCGCAAACCCTATTGTGAACTGCACATGTGAGGGATCAAGGTTGTGTGCTCCTTATGAGAAGCTAACTAACGCCTGATGATCTGAGGTGAAACAGTTTCATCATGAAACCATCCCCACTCCACTGCTCCGTCTGTGGAAACTGGTCTCTGGTGCCAAAAAGGCTGGGGACTGCTGACTTAAGAGCCCTTCCATCCAGAATGCTTTCCTTTTAATGACAACTCTCACAATATCTCTGTGAAACACTTATCCTTTTCTATAGGGAGAGGAAACAAACAACTGAAAAGCTAAATGACATGCTGATAACCATGCTGGGGCAGGAGAACTACAACGCTCAGCCTAGCCTAATGCTCTACCTGAAGGATTATGTCACTTCCTTTAGTCTTCTGACTCTCTTAAAAATAAAATCACCCTTGGAACTTTAATATGAAATCAAACTAGGTAGCTGACTCTCCAATTATTAGAAAGGTAGTGGTTCAATGTAACTGGATACTCCTCCTCTAAAGCATTATTTCAGATTATGCAGAATTTGAATGAGGTTGACAGAGAGTACTTTGTTTCATCTCCTCCCCAACTCCCACCACCTACTCAAGAAAGGTATCTGGCTCTGCACCTCCTTATTTGGAGATGAAAATGGACTAAGCTTTCAGGCATCCTGCCTGCCCTTGCTGCCTACAGCCTTATCACTGGTTGCAAAAATAGCTTTGGTAATCTCCAAAGATGGATGCTCCAACCCCACAACCTTGGGGCTTCCCACCACTTGGACTCTTAATTTCTCATGAACCCTACAGAATACAGCTAATACCTGAGCTGTTTCTCTTCAACCAGCCAAGGTATTCCTGTCTTAACTAGGATTAAAATTCTTATCCATGCTTTATTTGTCCTAGACATAGCTAATGGTAGAAAATAAATGTATAATTTCAGTCTTCCATTAAAAATAAATATTGGGCCAGGCACAGTGGTTAATGCATGTAATCCCAGCACTTTGGGAGGCCGAGGTGGGTGGACTGCTTGAGCTTAAGAGTTTGAGACTAGCCCAGGCAATTGGCAAAACCGCGTATCTACAAAAAATAAAAATAAAAAATTAGCCAGGCATAGTGACACACAGCTGTAGTCCCACAGCTACTTGGGAGGCTGAGGTGGGAGGACTGCTTGAGCCCCAGAGGTGGAGGCTGCAGTGAGCCCTGATTGTACCACTGCACTCCAGCCTGGGTAACGGAGCAAGACTCTGTCTCAAGGAAAAACAAAAAGGTAAAAACAAATTTTAGTACCTGTGTTCATGGGTCAGATTCCCTAGTTCCTAAGCAATTTTCCCCTCAATCCCTCACAAGTGTTTGAGGCAGAGTGGTTGGGGAGTAGAAAGACCTAGGTTTTAATCCCAGCCCTGCTATTGGTGGTGTGACTTCTAACAAGTTCCTTCTCTTCCCTGAGCCTCTGTTTCCTTTTCTATAAAATGAGTAGAGCAGGCCGGGTGTGGTAGCTCACACCTATAATCCCAGCACTTTGGGAGGCTGAGGCAGGTGGATCACCTGAGGTTAAGAGTTCGAGACCAGCCTAGCCAACATGGTGAAACCCCGTCTCTACTAAAAATACAAAAATTAGCCGGGCATGGTGGTGGGTGCCTGTAATCTTAGCTACTTGGGAGGCTGAGGCAGGAGAATTGCTGGAGCCCGGGAGGTGGAGGTTGCAGTGAGCCGAGATAGTGCCATTGCACTCCAGCCTGGGCCGACAACAGTGAGACTCCGTCTCAAAAAAAAAAGAAAAAAAGAGTAGAGCAATAATACCTGTCTCATAATATTCTTATGAGGATTAAACAACATGTATGAAGTGCTGGGCATAACACCAGATGTGTATCCCATATATGTATATTCCCTTCTTCCTCCTTTCCTTAGATTTCAAAATATAAATTATTCACAGCAGAGTATTTCAGTCCATTTTGGCACACATTCTCCCTGTATTCTCAGCTTTGTTTTATAAGCTTTTCTAGTCAGTTTAGGGAGGAGGAGGAATGGAAAAAGCATTACAACACACAAATCTGCTTTTTCCTCCTCAATTTCATTGGAGAAAAATTTGGAAAATACATAAAAATATAAAGTAAATAAAAACCACTGAAAATCCCTCTACCCAGAGATAATTATTAACACTCTGGCCTACAGCTTTCATGTATTCTTTTTCCGTAAACAGACAGAAGTTCTTAAGATATATCTCAAAATTAGGGTTATTATTATACATACTAAGAACTAACAGTTAATAAGCCTCTATCATTTGCCAGGGACTGCCTTTATGTTTTTTGCTTAGGGATGTAAAGAGAGTAAGAGCAATATCTTTCTTCCTCTCTTCTTGTTTGTTGTGTAGTATCAAAATCTTCTCTAATAAAATCTTTTTTTTTTTTTTTTTTGAGACTGAGTCTCCCTCTGTCGCCCAGGCTGGAGTGCAGTGGTGTGATCTCGGCTCACTGCAACCTCCACCTCTTGGATTCAAGTGGTTCTCCTGCCTCAGCCTCCTGAGTAGCTGGGATTACAGGCGCCTGCCACCATGCCTGGCTAATTTTTCTATTTTTAGTAGAGACGGGGTTTCACCATGTTGGCCAGGCTGGTCTCGAACTCCTGACCTCAGGTGATCTACCTGCCTTGGCCTCCCAAAGTGCTGAGATTACAGGCATGAGCCACCACCCACCACGCCCGACTGTCTCTAATAAAATATGGGAAAAATGGGAAGAAAAGTTACCTCTCTCTCATCTAAGTCTGGTTTAGAATGTGCTTTTTTGAGCTAGATGAGACATCCATTTCTCTGAAACCCATCATCCAGCTGTAAAGCATGAAATCACCAGTAACATTTCCCATGAACCTTTATCTTTTCAATTACTGTGAGATCTTGAAAAGACCAAGGCTACTAAAAAGAAGGTCCTAGCAGCAAAAACATCCTGTGCAAAAAAAGATTCCACTGCTTTTTTGACTGTTCCTTTCATACAATTTTTGGAAAGTTCACCTTTTCTAGTAAAGAGCATTTTTTAGGGCAGGTGTGGTGGCTACGCCTGTAATCCCAGCACTTTGGGAGGCCGAGGCAGGCAGAGACCAGCCTGGTCAACATGGTGAAACCCCGTCACTACTAAAACTACAAAAATTAGCTGGCCGTGGTGGCATGCGCCTGTAATCCCAGCTACTCGGGAGGCTGAGGCAGGAGAATTGCTTGAACCCGGGAGGCAGAGATTGTAGTAAGCCAAGATCATGCCACGGCATTCCAGCCTGGGCGACAGAGTGAGACTTGGTCTCAAAAACTAAAATAAAATAAATTACTCTGTTAAAAAAAACCCAAAAACCATGAACTGTTTTGGCATGACTTTAGGAATCTAAAGGAGAATCCTGAAGGTCAGACAGTAACTAGCTACTCTTCTTTCCCTGCTGTAGAATACCTTGGAAGTGCAGAAAGATCAAATTAGAGCAAAAGAAACATCATGACGAATTTACAAAGCAGGCACTAAGTGTAAAAAAATTTCCAAAATAGTCACAGAAGTTTCAACACATAGACCTAAAAAGGAAATAAACATCAGCTTTACCTTAGGCCTTTATCTAACTCACAGTACACTAGGGAGATTTAATTAAATTGTACTGACAAGGACTTAACAAGGCAAAGGTAGAGCAGAATGACATCTGAATGATAAAATATTTAAAAAAAATTTTTTAAGTTAAAAATTAGCAGGCTGGGCGTAGTGGCTCACACTTGTAATCCCAGCACTTTGGTAGGCCGAGGCAGGAGGACTGAGGCCAGGAGTTTAAGACCAGCCTGGGCAACATAGTGAGACCCTATCTCTAAAAAAATAAAAATTTAAAAATTAGCCAGGTGTGGTGGCACATGCCTGTAGTCCCAGGTACTTTGCAGGCTGAAGTGAGAGGATCACTTCACCCAGGAGTTTGAGGCTGCAGTGAGCTATGATTGTGCCACTGCACTCCAGCCTGGGTGACAGAGTGAGATCCTGTCTCTTAAAAAAAAAAATTAGCTTATTAGTTAAGGCATTCTTTTAAGTTGACTGGAAACATCTTGTTTTAAGTATTACAAACATGACTTTGAAAGCTTCTTTATATCACTAATATGCTTACTAAAATGATTCTTTCAGATAATGCAAACTCAAACTTCAGCCCAACTCCTTTAAACTCAAATTTCAAATTAATGGAATCTGAATAATGAAATTTTATCGTATTGAAGTTTTTGACTATGGAGACTCTATTGTGCCTTGGGGTGAAGCTTCTCAGGCCTTTGCAGGCAACAGCAAGAATAGGATTCTTCATATGTGGCAGACACGTGCTATTCACAATGACTAATATTCCTAGGTAAGATTAACTCCCCAAGAGAAAAGATTAGGGAGGAACATGCTTCTTATGACTCCTCAGGACATAATGGAGAGAACTTCCATAATCCTTAGCAAACTGACTTACATGTCGGTGAAGAGAGCTGGAGAGTCGGGCCGGTGGGACTGTACATCTTGCATTGCATTCCATTCATTGACTGAGGATTGATCTGAGTTGATATGGCTCTCATAATAACTCACCCAAGTGAGAAATAGGCTGCCTGGGTAGTAGTTATGCGCTCTGGCGACTTCACAAGCCTTGTGTAAGCTCTGTAGTGCAGACCTGAAAGACATGCTGGGAAATGAGCACCATAGAACTGTGGGGTGCCAAAGGCCAATAACCTGTGTACTCCAAACTCTTCTAATTTTTAAATTCTATAGAATTTGTCCTCTGGACAATCTACTCCTTGAAAGTCAAGATTCTCCAATTCTGATTATACCATATTATCTATCCACAGCAATGGACAAGACATTTGCTGAAAGATATGATGCATCATTAAGGTAGGGAGAAGGCGGGGAAGGACAGCTGACAACTCACCAGTGAAAAATAGGTCCAGGTACCTATGGAGCACATGATCCTATAGTTGGGACCATGCAGTGACTGCCGTATCATTAGAAAACTAAAGATCTGAATAATTTGCCATATAAAGATTTGTTTCCCTCAGCACAGGATGTTACAGCATATATTTTCTGTAATTCTTAACAGGCTTCACAAAGATCACATAGATAGATGTCCCTAAGCCTTGAGGACATGTCCTTTAATGTCCAGGAAGTGTTGATCTAATGATATTTATTATTCCTGCTGCCTTAGTCTCCTAGTCTCTTTAAATCCATGAGCTACTTTCTAAGAACAGATCTGGTTATTCTTTTTTGTTGAGACAGTGACTCACTCTGTCACAGAGGCTGGAGTGCAGTGGTGTGATCTCTGCTCACTGCAACCTCCACCTCCTGGGTTCAAGTGATTCTCATGCCTCAGCCTCCCGAGTAGTAGCTGGGATTACAGGTGCATGCCACTACACCGGGCTGATTTTTGTATTTTTAGTCGAGACGGGTTTTTGCCATGTTGGTCAGGCTGGTCTCAAACTCCTGGCCTCAAGACATCTGCCTGTCTTGGCCTCCAAAAATGCTGGGATTACAGGCGTGAGCCACCGTGCCTGGCCTAGCTCTGGTAATTCTGAGACTAATTAAACCTTCTGGCTCTGTCTGAACTCAGGAACCCAAGAAGAGTAAACAAACAGAAAAGTATGTTTTTCATTATATATGTGGGAAAAGCTTAAGGTAGAAATACTAGGAAGTTATACAAGAGCAAGAACTTTTCTACATTTTGTTTACCCAAGTGACTAAAAGAATACCTAGTTCACAAGTGGAGCTCAATTAGTATTTGTTGAGTGAAATGTCATTAGCTATAAACTAATGTCTCCCTAAGAAAAAAAGACATTATGGCCAGGCACGGTGGCTCACGCCTGTAATCCTAGCACTTTGGGAGGCCAAGGTGGGTGGATCACTTGAGGTCAGGAGATCGAGATCAGCCTAACCAACATGGTGAAACCCCATCTCTACTAAAAATACAAGGATTAGCTGGGAACGGTGGCACATGCCTGTAGTCCTAGGTACTCGGGAGGCTGAGGAGGGAGAATCGCTTGAACCTGGGAGACGGAGGCTGTAGTTAGCTGAGATGGTGCCACTGCACTCCAGCCTGGGTGACAGAGTGAGACACAATCTCAAAAAAAAAAAAAAAAGTATTTTTGTTTCCCTCATAGCAAAAGTGATCCATGCCTACTTTAGAAAATTAGGGACCTCACAGAAAAGGCAGAAATATCTTGTAATCCTACCACCCTGAAATAACCACTGTTAAGATTTTAGCGTAGATCTTTCCAGTCTTTTTGGCTATGCATAGATGTATAATAAACAAAGATATGACCATATTCTCCATATCATCTATAACTTGCTCTTTTGCTTTACAGCCTATCATCAACATCTTTCCATGTCAAATATTTTTCAACTGGATCATTTTTAATGGTTGCATAATATTTAATGATATAGATGTACCATAATTTACTAATTCTATTTTTCAATCATTTGTTTTTTATTTTTTGCTATTATTAGAACACTGACAAACATTCTTAGAGCTAAAATCTTTGCACACATCCATGTTTACAAACTTAGAGTAAATCCATAGAAATAGAGTTACTAGGACAAAGATCATGCAAAATGATAAGGCATATTGGCAAATCACTCTCCAGAAAGGCTGCTCCAGTTCATTCTTCCACCAATAGTACATCACAGTGTTTGTTCCTTGAATCCCTGTCAACCCTATACAATGTAAATTAAGAAAACAAATTTAAACCAATTTAATCAGAGGAAAATGTGTCAGTCCATTTTTATTAGGAAAACACATTTTTCCTTAAAAACAAAGTTGCAGAGTCTTTTAAAAATGCTTTATATTACTCAAAGTAAGCCAAAGTCTCAAGAGAATAATCTGAGAATTTCAGTTTCATTACACAGATTCAAAGGTAAGAGCCAGCTTAGTGTAACTTACAGGATGCCTAATGCATGTTTCTTCATCTAGGAAACACATGCTCCAAAAGCATATGCCACAGAGTCTGGTGCAACGGTCCTAAAATACACTCAAGGCCTAGCCACCTCAGATACTCCAGCTGCATCAGAGTGGGAGGCTGCAGTAACTATCTTCCTGTGAAGGAAACACCTGGTCTAAATGTTGCTTTGATCCACACATCATCTATTTTTTTCCCCCTGTGACTTCAACTCACTACTCCCCATAAGGTATATCAAGAAAAGTTTATTTTGCAATAAGAGCTAGGACCAGTCAATTTACTTTTACAGGGGTGTCCAATTTTTTGGCTTCCCTGGGCCACATCGGAAGAACTGTCTTGGGCCACACACAAAATACCGTAATGATAGCTGATGAGCTTAAAAAAAAATGCAAAAAAATCTCATCATATTTTAGGAAAGTTTTATGAATTTGGATTAGAATTTTAGGAAAGTTTTATGAATTTGTGTTGGGCCGCATGCAAAGCCATCCTGGGCTGCATGTGGCCTATGGGCCACGGGTTGGACAAGCTTGCTTTAGAACATCAAAGCTTGATTTAAGGTTATTACTTGAATTAAGACTGCTCTGTACTCTTCCCCAAAATATACCTGAAAATGCTGTCATTTATCGTTGTTACTGCTGTTTGGTTTTACTTGTTACTTAGGAATAGATAAGTCAATTGTCTTTAACTGAGCCTTAGTCAAAGGGGGTCATAAATTTCCTGTTTTCCATGAGAAACTTACCTGCAAAATATGCCCTAACTCTAAAAATCTGGTCTAAACACATGACCTGAAACTGTCCTATCTCAATCACTGCAGGAAATGATAAGACTTAATTTTTCAGTGAGTCTTTGGATTCCACCCACCTCCATCCTATCAATTCTGTTTTCAGGGGTAGATTATCTCCCTGGGGTCTTTTTCAGGCTCTTTTATTTCTTGTTTTGCTTGCATTCTATCCATTCCGCTCCCCATGGGGACTTCTACTACCTAACAGGCAGCTGAATAGGAAACTGAAATTCAAATCCCTGACTGGGGAATGGATTCTGAATCTTAGTCACATCATTCTCTGGTTGTATTAGATAATTTTCTAGATAATCTAAAATAAGAGAATAAGAGGCCAGGTGCAGTGGCTCACACCTGCAATCTCAGCACTTTGGGAGGCCAAGGCAGGAGGACGGCTTGAGGCCAGGAGTTCAAGACCAGCCTGGGCAACACAGAGAGACCCCCGTCTCCACAAAAAAAATTAAAAAAAAAATTAGCCAGGTGTAGTGGCACATGCCTGTAGTCATAGCTGCTTAGGAGGCTGAGGTAGGAAGAACACTCGAGCCCAGGAGTTGGAGGCTGCCATAAGCTATGATTGCACCACTGCACTCCAGCCTGGGCGACAGAGGGAGACCCTGTCTCTTTAAAGGAGAGAGAGAGAGAGATATGAGAGAGAGAGAGAGATCTATCCTGTCTAAATGTAAGAAATACTCTCAGGGCAGTTATGTAACCCATCCAAAGCATGTTTTCTCACCCATAATAAGGGGCTAATAATATTATTTTGGGGGCTTGGTATGATGATTAAATATAATCCATGCAAAGCATCTGGCATGTAGTAAATAGCCCTGAAATGTCCATATGCCAGCTGATGGTTATTAGCAAGTATAATGTTTTCTCTAGGCTTTATTTGCATTATGCAAATAGCCACCAGCAGTTTAAATGGAAATTTATTTATCCATAAAGTAACGAATGCTATCCCTGGTTACCTTAGGAAATAGCTAATGCAGGCCAGGCGCAGTGGCTACGCCTGTAATCCCAGCACTTCGGGAGGCCAAGGCGGGGTCAGGAGTTCAAGACCAGCCCAGCCAATATGGTGAAACCCTGTCTCTACTAAAAAATACAAAAAAATTAGCCAGGCGTGGTGGCACATGCCTGTAGTCCCAGCTACTCAGGAGGCTGACGCAGGAGAATCGCCTGAACCCGGGAGGCGGAGGTTGCAGTGAGCCGAGATCGCGCCACTGCACTCCAGCCTGGGCAACAGAGTGAGGCTTCGTCTCAAAAAAAAAAAAAGAAAAAAAAGAAATAGCTAATGCATAGCAATGTGATGTTCTAGATTTGGCTCTTAGTCCACTAACTAACTTAGTCAATATGTCCCTAATAAAACTCGGTATCAACTGGCTTATCTAAACCGTTAAGTCTCTGCCAGAGCCTAAGAATAACACCTCTGAATTCCTCTGAATTTCACTTGTTCACCAATACTCAAGGCCTTCCAATTGCAACAATTTGAATATTGCATTTCTAGGTCATCTTTAACTACGATGGTTATACAAACAGATCATTTAGCATTTTCATAGCAAACTGTACCATTTCAAACATTTCTTACAAAATATTCCTCCAATAACATTAAAACACTTTTGTAGAGATAGTAAAAGTCATCTTACCACATTGCCTGCACAGATACAGGTTTGAATATGTGAACTCTGTTATCCGTCGATACACTGAACCCACTAAGGACAAATGAGAACAAGACAAAAATCCACAAATTAGGGTAGGTTATTTGAATTGTGAGTTTTCATGGATGTATCCCAGGCTAAAAACAACTGGCTCCGTAGAGGGAATCATCAGGCATTTCACGTAGAAGTTTTAACTAGAGTGTAAGACTTGACCAAAAAGCTTTGACAAATTGTCTGACTTCATCTACCAGGCAAAATGAATGGATTCCTATATTGGAGTTAGAGAATTCAATACAGTTTCCCAGCTGTAGCTATGGACAAACTGTTCTGTATATTTCTATTTGGAAGTCTTGTGGGTTCTTAGCAAACCTGACCCTGGTTTTATAAACTGGAGCAAACATCTTGGTCTCTTGGGGACACATTCTAAAAACATTAGGAGGTAGGGTGGGGGTGGGGTCACTGGAAGGAACTGGCACAGGAAAGGGGTTATACTGTAGGCTGACAGCTGGCAGAGGCAGCAAGAGGTTATTTGAAACAGAACATATCATCCTTTGGGAGAGCATTGCAACAGTCCCACATACTCAGATTAAAGAGCCAACAAACTAGTTCTTCTTTGTCTTGATTCCTACCACAGTCGGCCTAGAAGAACAGAAGTGAGAGACCCTGGCAAGTTGTATTTTTACTCCACTTTACAAAACAGGAGTTTAAAAGGACTCATTCAGCTGTTGACATGAAAGTTCAGTTGGCACACTGGGCCTCCCTTTTAGCTGAATGAATGTGCAGTAAGATGGAGCCCCACCCCTTGGCTTTCTGTAACAGAATAAAAAAGGAAATCTCTTACCCATCACCATCCAAATGAATTAGCGTGTCGCTCCAGAGAGGCAAAACTAAGCCCATGGTACAAGTGCTACTGCAAGACAAGAAGTAGTCCAATAGTTACTCCCCATTACTCTGGGAAGCAGTCTTCTGTTTACTAACTCTTTCAACACCAAGGATAAACCCTTAAATTCTAAATTCTGGCATAAGTGTTACAATGAAGAAATTTCTATCATATTATTATTAATCTTATGTATGTCCTCAGGAGCTGTTTTAAAGAGATAGTCAGTCAGTTCCTTAAATATTTAATGAAGAAAACTTACTGACTCAGCTTCCTACATTGTCATCTTGCAAATGGCCACTATCTAAAAAATGCAGATGATTGCTGCTGACTTGCATTTGGCAGGTCTTAGCACATAGTACAGTGTCCACCTCGACTCCAAGGATTTTTTTTTTTTTTTTTTGAGATGGAGTCTTACTCTGTTGCCCAGGCTGGAGTGCAGTGGTGCAGTCTCAGCTCACTGAAACCTCTGCCTCCCAGGTTCAAGCAATTCCCCTGCCTTAGCCTCCCCAGTAGCTGGGATTACAGGCGAGCGCCACCACACCTGGCTAATTTTTCTGTACTTTTAGTAGAGATGGGGTTTCACCATGTTGGCCAGGCTAGTCTCGAAGTCCTGATCCACCCACCTCAGCCTCCCGAAGTGCTGGGATTACGGGCATGAGCCATGGTGCCCAGTCCCAAGGATTATTTTTAATGCCAATAACTATTGCTGGTTGCTGGAGAGCTTGGGATGTGTTATTTGCCTCTAATTCTGAGGTTTACATAGATTTACTTAACACCAGAACACACTCAATAGTCTAAAAGGCAAAGGGAATTAAAAAATGTAAAGAAGTAATTGTTAATAGTTTGTGATCAAGATAGGCAAAATAGACATAACAAAACTTAAATCAATGAAACACTGCTTTGTGACTGTGCACTGAACTAGCACTGCTGAAACACAGTTAATAGAAATGTCAACAACCAAGAAAAGGGTAGCCCTAGTATGGTATTTAAAAATACTATTTCTTTTTTTTTTTTTTTTTTTGAGACAGAGTCTCCCTCTGTTGCCCAGGCTGGAGGACAGTGGCATAATCTTGGCTCACTGCAACCTCCACCTCCTGGATTCAAGTGATTTTCCTGCCTCAGCCTCCCGAGTAGCTGGGATTATATGCATGTGCCACCATGCCCGGCTAATTTTTGTATTTTTAGCAGAGATGAGTTTTTGCCATGTTGACTAGGCTGGTCTCAAACTCCTGGCCTCAGAGTGATCCACCCGTCTCAGCCTCCCAAAGTGTTGGGATTACAGGCATGAGCCACTGCACCCGGCCTAAAATGCTATTTCAATCTCACATTAGCCCAGGAAGGGCTTTAAGTTAATGGAAGAGGTTCGTACAGAAAGCCATGGACCCCTGATTGTATGCTCTATCACATCTCTTCTCTGGGAAACAGTAACCTACCCTAGGCTACTGCCACTATCTCTCCTTAACGCTGCTGTAACTGCTTTCCCACTCTGGCTAGTCTCCGAAAGGCTTCCATGATGCTCCATGCCAATCTATCTAGAGCGGAAGCATGGTGTACTAGAAAGAATCTGGCATAACCATACTGTGGAAAAGCACAGTATGGTTAAGAGCTCTGGAACCTGGGTTCACAGTATGATTATGGGCTCTGGAACCTGGTTTCTTGCACTAACTGTATAATCTTTTTTTAAAATTTATTTTTATTTTTTTTTTTATTTTTAAGATGGAGTTTCACTCTTGTTGCCCAGGCTGGAGTGCAATGGTGTGATATCGGCTCACTGCAACCTCCACCTCCTGGTTCAAGCGATTCTCCTGTCTCAGCCTCCTGAGTAGCTGGGATTACAGGCATGCACTACCACGCCCAGCTAATTTTGTATTTTTAGTAGAGATGGGGTTTCTCCATATTGGTCAGGCTGGTCTTGAACTCCCAACCTCAGGTGATCCACCCGCCTTGGCCTCCCAAAGTGCTGGGATTACAGGCGTGAGCCACCGCGCCCAGCAACTGTATAATCTTAGGCAAATTACTTAACTGTCTTGTGCCTTAATTTCTTCATTTGTAAAACTGGGATAAAAATATCTTCTTCATTGTACTGTTTTGAAGATTAAATAACAAATAAAAGAGTAAAATAGTGTCTAAGTGCCTAAAATGTAATAGTCATTACCATTTATTGAACATCTACTATGCCAAAAGATCTGGGATTGATTTCCTTCAGTATTACAACTTTTTTTTAAACAAATTATTTAACCTCTCTCAGCCTTAATTTCTTCATCTTGAACTGTGAATAATAAAACCTATTCTCATAGATATAGGTATAAAGACATAACATACTTAAAATAAAACAATATATGTGAATATACTGTCCTGTAAAACAAATGTTGAATATGAATCTGTAATGGGTGCTCTAATATATCTGAAAGTGATTGGGGGAAGGGGAAACCATTATGCTTTAAAAACAACATAATGAATACCAAACTTTAACTGTTAGTCACTGCAGGGTTAAAGGAGGCTAGCCCTTAGTTGGGCTTTCCACTACACTTGCTGGCCTGTGCTGCTTAACACCTTAAGAGTGATTCCAGGCCAGGCACGGTGACTCATGCCTGTAATCCCAGCACTTTGGGAGGCCGAGGTCAGGAGTTCAAGACCAGCCTGGCCAACATGGCGAAACTCCATCTCTACACTAAAAATACAAAAATTAGCTGGGTGCAGGGGCAGACAGACACCTGTAATCCCAGCTACTCGGGAGGCTGAGGCAGGAGAATCACTTGAACCTGGGAGGTGGAAGTTGCAGTGAGCTGAGATTTGCGCCATTGCACTCCAGCCTGGGAGACACAGCAAGACTCCCTCTCAAAAAAAAAAAAAAAAAAAAAAAAAAAAAGAGTGATTCCAGAGCTCAGGAGATTCAAATCAAGACTGAAACAGCTTATCCACATTAGAACCTGGACCTGAACAACAGAAACACAGCTACCATGCCAGAGTCCAGGAGCAAGACAGCTCTACCACAAGTTTTGTTGAGTAGATGAGATGAGCGCACAAAAAAATTTGTTTTGAAAACGGCTTCCCAAGATGAAGTGGGGATAGTTTTACAGTAGCTTTTTGTTTTGTATTTAGTGAGTGCTTAGCCAGGTTCTTAGCAACAAGTATAATTTTGAGTATAAATATGGTGGGTTGGTAGCCCAATGACAAATCTAGAAATTAACTATATAAAAAGATACAGAAGCTGCAAAAGAGTGTGATCTATAAGCTTGTGACCAGATTTTGGTTAACCTTTGGACAAGTGACATTGATATACAGGAATCGACATTACATTTTTGGCTTGTATTCAGGCCAGAGTGCTTTTTTACATTAAGAAGTAGCTTTTTCAGCAGGGCGTGGTGCCTGTAATCCCAGCACTTTGGGAAGCAGAGGCGGGCGGATCACGAGGTCGAGATAGAGACCATCCTGGTCAACATGGTGAAACCCCGTCTACTAAAAATACAAAAATTAGCTGGGCATGGTGGTGTGCGCCTGTAGTCCCAGCTGCTTGGGAGGCTGAGGCAGGAGAATCGCTTGAACCCAGGAGACGGAGGTTGCAGTGAGCTGAGATTGCACCACTGTACTCCAGCCTGGCCACAGAGTGAGACTGTCTCAAAAAAAAAAAAAAAAAAAAAAAAAAAAAAAGTAGCTTTTTCACGCAACAGGAAGGAAAGGACTGAATAAGGCACGCTTGGTATTTTTATCCAGGTTACCTCAGTCTCTCAAGATTTTTCTCCATTTAAGTATAACTACTTATTTTAGTAAATATTCAATTCATTCAATAAAAATTTATTTAGTGCCTACTATGTACCAGACATTTCAAGGTGTTAGGGGTACAAAAAGAAATGGAAAAAAAAAACCCCAAAAAACCATGAAGCTCTATTATTTTATAACTTAAAATATGTTACACTTTAGAAACCAAGATTATGCTGCATATTTAAAAAATTATTAAAATATAACATAATACTCAAAGAACTTGTAAATGGGCTAAATGAATTGGCTGCAACGTATTATTAAGAACTATTTGTACTTGTCATAATCTGGGTTCCACTTTGGCTTAATACTATTTTGAAGCATTAACATTTACATTCTCAGATATGAAATGATACAAATTCAAATTCCTTCAACAACAACTGAGACAGAAATGATTTTAGATTACCTGAGCATCTGAGACTTCTTACTGTCCAAGGAACTCATTAAAGCAGAGGATGTATGGGAATTTCATAATAGCAAGTTTAGCAAACAGAATGAAAACTAGTTTCTAGCTTTTCATGTTTTAAGTTTGTCTTCTATAAACTATAATTTCCTTTGGCTAGTGACACTGGTCAGATATGATTCAGACAGGGCCATTGGCAAAAGATAGATGTAATTTACTGAGTATAAACTACTGGATACCTATATTAATATGCATTCTTTCTGGTAAAGTTTAGGACAAAGTGAAAGAGAAATGATTAGACATGTGCTTGCTCATATTCTGGGTCAGGAGAATCTGCAGTTATTGTCTTCTGTCTCTAGGGGAAGATTCAATTGAAGCTTCATGAGGTTCCTGTTCCTGTTTTATAGGGTTTTCAAGGGAGGGGGTCAGGGAGAACTGAACAAAGGAAATATGAGCTAGAACAGTGCTGTCCAACTGAACTTTCTGCAAGAATGGAAAATGTTCTATACATGTACTGTCTAATACGATAGCCACTAGCACATACGGTTACTGAATACTTGAAATGTGACTAGTTAGAACTGAGGAATTGAAATTTCATTTAATTTTAATCTATTTAAAAAGACACGTGCATGCTGTATGCAGTGGCTCATGCCTATAATCCCAGCACTCAGGAAGGCAGAGGCAGGAGCTCAGGAGTTGAGACCAGCCTGGGCAACACAGAGAGACTGTGTTCTTCACAAAAAGGAAAAAAGAAAAGAAGAGAAGAGAAAAGGAAGGAAGATGAAAGAAGGAAGGAAGGCAGGCAGGCAAGAAGGAAGGAAGGGGCACATATGGTTAGTGGCTACTATACTGGACAACACAGATCTAGAAAGATTAAAAACCTAAATTAGAGGTCCTAAAATCCTAATGAATGTAAACAAGGTAGGTGCTGTTATAGGAAAATGCTTACTGAAAGCTCTGTTGCTTAATCAGAAGTTAAAACCATGCAGGAGAAATCTTCCTAAATCTGGTTTACAAGCCTGTGTAAATTCAGAGCCTACAATTAAATGCTGTTAAGTGGTATACAAGCTAATAACTTTGGCTTTGGGAATTCCTGTGAACCCCCAAGTCATTTTCAGGTTGACTTCTATATAGGAATAAGGTAAACATTGGTTTGGGAAACTTTCTAGTGACAAAGTGATTTTTTCCCCTCAACATCAGGAAAATTAGAATCATTCCCAGGCTCCTCCTCTCTTTGTGGCTAAATTTCCCTAGGCCTGGGTCACACCCCTAGCTACCCCATAGTTCCATTCTAATCCTGAACCAGGAAGTCAATGCTTTGAGACATCTGGCAGGATTTCCTGAGGCTAATTATCCACAGCGTAAAGATCTGCTTAGCAGCCACATTCCAAAGTCTTCCGAAGGTTTCTCCAGAAAAAGTGGGAAAAATAAAAAAGGAAAGCAACAAACCTTAAGGACACACGAAAAGGCCAGGTGTTGTGTGTCATCTTTCATCATAGAATGTAAAGTACAGCTAAAGCCAAAGGTACATAAAAAGTTCTGCTTTGAGTTTAAGGAGCCATCCCGTACCACCCCATCCCCGCCCCGCCCACCATCCTTTTTAACTCAATAGAAGGAAAAAGGAGGCATAGCATTTGGTAAAAGCAAGGTTTAAACAAAACAGACTGTAGTTTAAGTGGGATCTCTTTGTATCTGGGACTACTGGTATACTACCACAAAGGGTAGGTGCCCTAGAATCACCAAAGTGAATCATTACTGACTACAATAGAGTAGGCCAGGTGCAAGGCTCATGCCTGTAATCCCAGCACTTTGGGAAGCCGAAGTGGGAGGATTGCTTAAGCCCAAGAATTCAAGACCAGCCTGGCCAACATAAGGAAATCTTCTCTCCAGAAAAATAAGGAAAAAAAAAAAAAAAAGACCAAATAGCTGGGTATGGTGGTGCATGCCTGTACTTCTAGCTACTTAGGAGGCTGAGGTGGAAGGATTCCTAGAGCCCAGGAGGAATTTGAGGCCGTAGTGAGCTGTGACTGCATCACGGCACTTCAGCCTGGGCAGCAGAGCGAGACGCTGTCTCAAAAAGAGAAATAAAAAGGCAGCTTTTTTTCCATGGAAATGTAACTTTGAAACCACTTGCTTTATATTGTGACTATCTAAAGATGAGATGAAGGTATGGAATAATGGTAAATTGGAAACACACGACCAAAGACATTCACTAAACATTCTTGTTTCTCAAGACTGTGGCTAAGATACTTATGTTCTTTAGTTTTATGTCTTGTACTTTAACAGCAGAACTGCACAAGATATTTTTGTGATAAAAGGCAACTGGGGCCAGGCACGGTGGCTCACGCCTGTAATCTCAGTACTTTGGGAGGCTGAGGTGGGTGGATCACTTGAGGTCAGGAGTTTGAAACTGGCCAATATGGCAAAACCCCATCTCTACTAAAAATACAAAAATTAGTTTGGCATAGTGGTGTACACCTGTAATTCCAGCTACTCAGGAGGCTGAGGCAGGAGAATCGCTTGAACCCGGGAGGCGGAGGTTGCAGTGAGCCGAGATTGAGCCACTGCACTCTAGTCTGGGCAACAGAGTGATGACACTCCGTCCCCATTAAAAAAAAAAAAAAAAAAAAGCAACTGGAACAGGTTACTTAAAAAGCAGTTTTCACATTTTGAAATGGTACCACCATACCTGTCATTAGAGGAGAAATCCATTCCTAGGACGATGCTTTCTTCAGTGTCTTGTCTACCATTAGTTGAAACCACTACCATATAGCGTGTTCGATTCTGGTAAGTACTTTCCAGTCTTACAGCCTGGAATTTAGCAGACAACAGAGAAATTATGAAATTTAGGACATTAATTTCAGATCATTTCAACCCTTTTTCATCAGCATCTTAAAGCATACTCACGAAGGCAGCAGAGCCAGTAGTTAGGAGACATAAATTAAAATCTCAGCTCGTACACTAGCTATAAAAACTTTGGTAAGTTACTAAATTAATTGGAGGGAGATATAATAATACCTAACTGTCAGGTTGTTTTAAGAATCTTATAAAATAATACAGTAAAGCACAGTGCTTGGCACACAGTAAATGCTCAATAAGATGTTTGTTATTAGTGCAATTTATACTAATTACCACAGTGTGTAATAAAGACTGAAGAGGGAAATGTGAGGTATATGAATGTGAGCATTGGTCTCAGAGATGCAATTCCCACAAACAATTATAATATGGAGCAAACTATTAGCATCATCTAAGGGGAGTACTGACTTTGCTATACTGAATTCCTGCATGTTAATGCACTATAAGATTTTCTTCAGTTTCGATGATAATGAAAGGAGATTGCATTTTTAGAAACTTCTCATTTTTTGTCAAAAGTTTTAATTTATTCTTAATTAAATTTTAAAAGGACCCTCAGAAAATCTGAATATGGACAGGGTCTTAGATGAAATTAAGGATTTACTGTTAATGTAATAACAGCATTGTGGTTACTGTGACTTTTTCTTAAGTACCTGGAGTGAAATGACATGGTTTCTGAGTTTTACTTTAAAATGTTCCAACAAAAAAATTTAACAGGGAGTGGGGACAGATGAAAGAAATCAGACAAAAGGTTGATGGTTATTAAAGCTGAGTAATGGCCAGGCACGGTGGCTCATGCCTGTAATCCCAGCACTTTGGGAGGCCAAGGTAGGCAGATCACCAGAGGTCAGGAGTTCAAGACCAGCCTGGCCAACATGGTGAAACACTGTTTCTACCAAAAATACAAAAAAAATTAGCTGGGCGTGGTGGCGCACGCCTGTAATCCCAGCTACTTAGGAGGCTGAGGCAGGAGGATCACTGGAACCCAGGAGGCGGAGGTTGCAGTGAGCTGAGATCACCCCACTGCCCTCCAGCCTGGGTGACAGAGTGAGACTCTGGTTCAAAAAAAAAAAAAGCTCAGTAATGAGTTTGTGAGGATGTACTTTCTTTCTTTCTTTTCTTTTTCTTTTTTTTTTTTTGAGACAGAGTTTCGCTCTTGTTGCTCAGGCTGGAGTGCAATGGTGTGATCTCGGCTCACCGCAACCTCTGCCTCCCGAGTTCAAGCGATTCTCCTGCCTCAGCCTCCCGAGCAGCTGGGATTATAGGCATGCGCCACCACATCCAGCTAGTTTTGTATTTTTATTAGAGACGGGGTTTCTCCATGTTGGTCAGGCTGGTCTCAAACTCCCAAGCTCAGGTGGTCTGCCCACCTCGGCCTCACAAGATGCTGGGGTTTACAGGCGTGAGCCACCGCGCCCAGCCTTGATAAGTTCAAAAAGGTATCTTATAAGCCTTAAAAATAAAACAACTACAGGCAACACATTCAAATATTTATTACACATATATTATATATACAATAACAATGCCAAGTGCTGAGGATTCAGTGGTAGAAGAGAGAGACATGATCTATGCCCTCATCGAGTTATATAGTCTAGGCTACTCTTCTTTCATTTGTTAATAATAGTTTTAAAATGACAGTTTTTTTTTTTTTAAGAGACGGAGTCTTGCTCTGCCTCTCAGGCTGGAGTGCAGTGGTGTGATCTCGGCTCACTGCAACCTCCACCTCCCAGGTTCAAGCAATTTTCCTGCCTCAGCCTCCTGGGTAGCTGGGACTACAGGCACATGCTGCCACGCCCGGCTAATTTTTTTTTTTTTTGTATTTTAGTACAGATGGGGTTTCACCATGTTGCCCAGGCTGGTCTCGAACTCTGAACTCAGGCAATCCACCTGTCTTGGCCTCCCAAAGTGCTAGGATTACATGCACGGGCCACTGCACCCAGCCTTTTCTTTTTGTTTTTTTGAGACAGAGTCTCCCTCTGTCACCCAGGCTGGAGTGCAATGGCGTGATCTCGGCTCACTGCAACCTCCGCTTCTTGGGTTCAAGCGATTCTCCTGCCTCAGCCTCCCAAGTAACTGGGATTACAGGCACATGCCACCATGCCTGGCTAATTTTTGTATTTTTATAGAGACAGGGTTTCACCATGTTGGCCAGATGGCCAGGCTGGTCTCGAACTCCTGCCTCAGGTGATCCACCCACCTCAGCCTCCCAAAGTGGTGGGATTACAGGCGTGAGCCACCCACCTGGCAAAATGACAGATCTTTGAAGCCAGAAAAATGTGCTCTGGAGGCAAATTCTTCTGTATAAAATAACCCCTATTCCTTAGAGAAACAGAATTCTAATCCATCAACTGGCTCATTATATTTGTCAGAAATTTCTATTTGGAACTTTTTTTTCAGTGCTGCTGTTCTTGGAGTCTCCCTCCTGTTAACTCTGTCACCATTCCAAAATGGCCAGGCCAAGGGAAAAAGAGGCATAGTTACACGGCTCAAATGACCCATTTAGCAAGGCAGAGGTGAGACTCCCATGGCTATCTTTTTGTCTCTATTCTGATACTCCTAGGAAAAGCTAGGGAAGCACAAACAGCAGAAGTGGCTACATTAAATCTTGTTTCTAATAAGAACGGATATAACAAGAATGTAATGCTTACCATTCTGATGCCAAATGCATAAGATAGAGAGCTGTACTTTTGACTTCATGTTCCATGAAGTAATTGAGCATTTAAAACCAAATTCACTTATGAGAAGCTAAGCGGAACTAACATTTAAATGGACTAAGATCTAGAAGGCTGGGATCAAGGGTGGGATATTATACACACAGAAAAATGAATAAATAGTAAATGTACATGTGGCAGACCGGGAGGCAGTACTGACTCCTTCTCTGATTGTAGAAACACTCTACAACATGTTAATTAATCACAAATCCTGGTGCAGGTAAACTGGATTTTCTTATAAACAAGATCTCGCATATTATTACATATTTATATTTGGGCCTCCCTTGGCCCAAGTTTCCTGAATGTGTTAGAGGCTCTTTTATTCTCTGTCAACGCTCCAAGAATTTCTGGCAAGGCTCAAATACAAATGGCCTGGGAACAAATGAACTTTGTTTCTGACAATTTATTTACAGCTCCTACACCAACCAGTGGCAACTGATTGGCTAAGTCAAAGCTGATAAAAGGAAAAATATAACTTTCATAAGTATTATCTATAATGCAAGTTACCAGCCAAGTTAGAAGTGGGCTGCAAGAGTTTCTTTGTAAGTGATATTCATTGCAAACATTAGTGTTTTTTTTTTTTTATTTTTCGAGATGGAGTCTCACTCTATCGCCCAGGCTGGAGTGCAGTGGTGTGATCTTGGCTCACTGCAACCCCCGCCCCCCGGGTTCAAGCGGTTCTCCTGCCTCAGCCTCCCAAGTAAACGGGATTACGGGCACCTGCCACTGCGCCTGGCTCATTTTTGTGTTTTTAGTAGAGATGGGGTTTCACCATGTTGGCCAGGATGCTCTCGATCTCTTGACCTTGTGATCCACCCGCCTCGGCCTCCCAAAGTGCTGGGATTACAGGTGCGAGCCACTACGCCCGGCCAGATGTCTCTTTAAAGTTTATTTTATAATATCAAAAGCATTTCAAATGTTTGGCTCTCCCTTGCTTACTCAAACTGTAACAGAAGTTCCCAAACCTAATGAGAAGGGCCCCAGACATTTAATACTGACTTAGGCTTGAATAACATGCATATCTCAGATCCATTCAATTTTAAGCTTCTTTTTTGTTTTTGTGTTTCACTCTGTTACCCAGGCTGGAATGCAGTGGTGTGATCTGCAACCTCTGCCTCCCGGGGTCCAGCAATCTTCCCACCTCAGCCTCCCAAAGAGCTGGGACCACAAGTGCCCGCCACCATGCTTGGCTAATTTTTTGTATCTTTGGTAGAGATGGGGTTTCACCATGTTGTCCAGACTGGTCAATTTTAAGCTTCTTAAATGGAAGAATAGCACTTAAGAGTTCCTGGAATTTGATCACAGGCCTCTAGACAGTACCTACAGTATTGATTCAACACCTATATCCTAATTAGAAGGATGAGATAAAAATCTTTGAAGAAAAAATTCTGAAATGTGAGGGGATAAACCCAAGACTTTAATTAAAGTTCCTTTTAGGCCGGGCGCAGTGGCTCACGTCTGTAATCCCAAAACTTTGGGAGGCTGAGGCAGGTGGATCGCTTGAGGTCAGGAGTTCGAGATCAGCTGGCCAACAGGGCAAAATCCTCTCTCTACTAAAAATACAAAAAAAATTAGCTGGGTGTGGTGGCATGTGTCTATAATCCCAGCTACTCAGGAGGCTGAGGCAGGAGAATTGCTGGAACCCAGGAGGAGGAGGTTGCAGTAGGTTGAGATCACGCCACTCCACTCCAGCCTGGGCGACAGGGCAAGTGAGACTCTCAAAAAAAAAAAAAAGTTCCTTTTAAGCTTCAAGATTCTAGGTTAAGGAATTAAAAATCTATGTGCCGCAGCCATAAGGAAAAGTCTAACGCCCATCCTGGTTTAAGGTTTATTTCGTATTCCTCTGTTGGAGATAAGATTAAGCAAAATCTAATAATTTATTAACACAATCAAATAAATTTAAAATGGCAATTTTGTACATAATATCCTAATTTTGAAAAGGACAGCATTTCCAATGTTTCTTCAGTCTCCAGAACCTATATTGAAATCAATGACTGGAATAAGACAATAATTGAGATGCATTTGATTTATCAACTAAAGTTCTCCTTGAAAAGGACACTACTGAAGTCCATTTTAATTGTCTAAACAAAACAATTATTCTGGACTTTAAAACTTGGCAGCAATAGTAACTAAGATTATATTTCCAAGAAACTACATTTACTGCCTAAATGTGGAATCCTATTACAAGTTACAGGTGAATTGGATCCAGCAATCTTAGGACTGAAGTAGGTCTGAGAAGTCATCCCCTGCCTCTTTATTCCTGAAGAACCCAATCTGTTTTCAAAGCTCATCTATTAAAGAATAATGCTATTCCCTCGGCATCCAATTTAAATGTTTAACCTAATTACAAGCAGTTTACAAACTGGGCATAGTGGCATGCCAGCTACTCGGGAGGCTGCAGTGGGAGTATTACTAAAAATACAAAAATTAGCAGGGCATCATGGCATGTACCTGTAATCCCAGCTACTCAGGAGGCTGAGTCGTGAGAATCAGTTGAACCCAGGAGGCAGAGGCTGCAATAAGCCGAGAACACACCACTGCATTCCAGCCTGGGTGACAAAGCGAGATCCATCTCAAAAAAAAAAAAAAAAAAAAAAAAGAGCTTCTCTCCTCAGCATCATCTAACATCAGGAAATACTCCTCCTTAAGCTTAAACTGTAACTTTGCCTTTAATTTCTTTTCACCACTGGGTGCAGTGGCTCACGCCTATAATCCCAGCACTTTGGGAAGCCAAGGCGGGCAGATCACCTGAGGTCGGGAGTTCAAGACCAGCCAGACCAATATGGAGAAACCCGGTCTCTCCTAAAAATACAAAAAATTAGCCAGGCGTGGTGGCGCATGCCGGTAATCCCAGCTACTCAGGAGGCTGAGGCAGGAGAATCGCTTGAACCTGGGAGGCGGAGGTTGTGGTGAGCCAAGATTGCGCCATTGTACTCCAGCCTGGGCAAAAGAGTGAAACTCTGTCTCAAAAAAAAAAAAAAAAAGACTTAATTTCTTTACACCAAGAGTCTTACATGCATGCCCCTGTGTGCATGATGTAAGACTCTTGGTGAAAAGAAATTAATTACCCCCAGTAAACTACATTATAAAGGCCCAATGTCTAAGACAGGCAGTTCACCCAATCCATCAGAGAGAAAGGTTCCAAAAGTAGGTAAATATTAAATGCTAGTCAAAAGAATGAAGCAAAATCAATAGCCAAAATTAAAACAGGCTTCACTTGTGACACTAGTAAACTAAAGAACACTGTCTTCAAAAGAAAAAGATTAGAGCTTCAGGAAGTCTCTGAATTTTTTTTTAAATCAGTCTGTATGAAATTCTTAAATATGAATTATATTCTGTGTAGCCATTAAAAACCATGATTTATTTATTGACATGGAAAGATATCCATGATAAACTATGAAGAAAGTAGGTTACAAAAAGGTATTTCTATTTTTATCACATTTTCGTAGAAACAAAACAATGCTCTTCCTCTCACTCTTTACACACACACACACACAGACACACACACACACATAGACACACACACTCTCTCTCTCATATATACATATTTAAAAAAAGAGTGGAAGGATACTTATCCAAATTGCTGAGAACGATTTTCTCAGAATGTAGAATACAGAGTGATTTTTATTTTATTTATACCTTTTTGCATTGTTTGGGAGAAAAAAAAACCCCACATAATACATTTATAGCTAGAAAAAATGAACCAATTTCCATTTTAGAAAGCAACATATGATGAAAACCAAAATCATAAAACTTCTCATTTTCTTGAATTCTCCTGCAAAATACTCAAAAAAGACCTCTTTGTACCTTATCAACACTTCAGCTTTAGTTAAGAACATCAATTGAAATTACTTCAAATGTCCTGAAAATTCTTAATTTCTCAGATTAATGTTTTAATTAAATGGTTGATCTTTGGTAACGTGCAAGAGTACTATAAAACCACTTTCTTTATTTTACTAGCTACAGTTTTTCTAAGTACTACAGTTAATGCTTGATGCCTGTATTTGGAACACAGAGCTTCCCTGGAGGAAAAGATTGGCTTTGTCCTATTTTCTCTCTTTTTTTTTTTTTGAGACAGAGTCTCGCTCTGTTGCCCAGGCTGGAGTGCAGTGGCACGATCTCGGCTCACTGAAAGCTCTGCCTCCCGGGTTCACACCATTCTCCTGCCTCAGCCTCCTGAGTAGCTGGGACTACAGGCACCTGCCACCACGCCCGGCTAATTTTTTGTATTTTTAGTAGAGACGGGGTTTCGCCGTGTTAGCCAGGATGGTCTCGATCTCCTGAACTCGTGATCCACCCGCCTCGGCCTCCCAAAGTGCTGGGATTATAGGCGTGAGCCACTGTGCCCGGCTTATTTTCAATGCTAAAGCAAAATGTGTGGTTTGGTTGGGTTATTTAAAAAATGAAGTCAAGACTTTCAGCCGGGCGCGGTGGCTCATGCCTGTAATCCCAGCACTTTGGGAGGCCGAGATGGGCAGATCACTTGAGGTCAGGAGTTCAAGACCAGCCTGGCCAACATGGTGAAAGCCTGTCTCTACTACAAATACAAAAAATTAGCCGGGTATGGTGGCATGGGCCTGTAATCCCAGCTAGTCGGGGGGCTGAGACAGGAGAATCACTTGAACTCGGGAGGCAGAGGTTGCAATGGGCCAAGATCGAGCCACTGCACTCCAGACTGGGCGACAGAGCAAGACTCTGTCTCAAAAAAATAAATAAATAAATAAAAAATAAAAAAAAAAAAACAAGACTTTCAGTTGACTATCAAACTTTTAACCTTCTGCACAAATCTTCAGAGTTTCAGCATTACAAATTTAACTCAAAACAAAAGCCTTTGCTTTGAGTCTACAAATGCTCCTTTCAGTTACAGAAGTGCTAATTTGTCCAAAGTCATACAATGCATTGACTCATTTTCTTGAAGATGACTCACTCAATAAGCTGAAACATAATGACTATGTGTTTGTAACAACTCAAAACAACTGTAAAACGGCTTGTCATTTGAACTTTGAATTCAGAGGCATCAGTTACATTTTCTGAATTTATATTTTATAAATGTAAAGCAGCTGAAGATGCATATTTTAGTAAGAAAAGAATTGCCAGCTCTGCCTTTGTAACTGCTTCCTTCATGTTCTTCCAAGTCTCTATGTAGTTAAAATTATTTTAATATTTAGAGGTTCAAACCAAATTCCAGAAGGTTATCAATGAGAAAACGATAAAGTGATGTTAGATCTCTTTAAAGCTTTAGCTTTACCAAAACACACAAATGTTGAAAGCTATCAGCAAATATTTATTGGGCATCCAGTATGTGCAAGTGACTGTTGTTATGGGTTTTCAAAGAGGTGTACTCCAAGTGTGATTCCTGGATCAGCAGCATCAGCAGTGTTTCGAAACTGGCTTAAAAATACAAATTATCTCTGCTTCCCCTTTACTAATCGAACTCTGCATGTGGAGTCCACCAATTGGTGATTTAACAAAGCTCTCCATGTGATTCTGATATACTTTAAAGTTGGAGAATCATTGCTTCAGATGATGATGATGATTATTATTAGAGGGTCTTGCACTGTTGCCCAGGTTGAGGGCAGTGGCGTGATCATGGCTCACTGCAGCCTTGACCTGCCAGGCTCAAGCAATACTCCCACTGCAGCCTCCCGAGTAGCTGGCATGCCACTATGCCCAGCCAATTTTTTACTTTTTGTAGAGACAGGGTTTTGCCATGTTGCCTAGGCTGGTCTTGAACTCCTGGGCTCAAGCGATCCTCCTGCCTTGGCCTCCCAAAGTGCTAGGATTACAGACATGAGCCACCACACCCCAATCACTCCAGATTATTAATACTGTAAGAATAGCATCCCCCCCGTTCCCTTTTAAATAATAATAATAACATTATTATTATTTTTTGAGACAGAATCTTCTTCTGTCATCCAGGTTGGAGTGTAATGGCACAATCTCGGCTCACTGCAACCACCGCCTCTTGGGTTCAAGTGATTCTCCTGCCTCAGCCTCCTGAGTAGCTGGGACTACAGGTGTGTGCCAACACACCTGGCTAATTTTTGTATTTTTAGTAGAGACAGGGTTTTACCATGTTGGCCAGGCTGGTCTTGAACTCCTGACCTCAAATGATCTGCCCACCTCGGCCTCCCAAAGTGTTGGGATTACAGGCATGAGCCACTGTGCCTGGCCTTAGATAATTATTTAAGAAAGAAATATATCAAGAAATACAGACAAGATTTATATAAATGTATAATGTTACTTTTGGTTAGGATATAAAACATTTAAAAAATTAAAATTAAGATATAAAATAACTATGAAAAGATTCCTTTAAATTTTTATATATTCTAATCAAAGGACTCATTACCACATACCTAGATTACTGCAATAACTACCCTAGCAGGCCTCCCTGATTTAAAATGATCTTTTCCTCCTCTCTATTCTGTATTAGCTTCTGAGGAATCTTCCCTAACTACTATAGCTGTCCCACGGCATTCTTTGGCTCAAAAACCTGTAATGTTTCACAAGTGCTTATTGAAAAGGGAGAGGTACTACCTTTAGTTAGTAATCTAGAGCAGGCAGCAAGCTTGTGCAACCCGTGGCCCAAGATGGCTTTCAATGTGGCCCAGCATAAATTCATAAACTTTCTGAAAACATTATGAGATATTGTGATTTTTTTTTTAAGCTCATCAGCTATCGTTAGTGTATTTTATATGTGGCCCAAGACAATTCTTCTTTTTCCAGTGTGGTCCAGGGAAGCCAAATGATTGGACACCCCTGAGAGGCTCAGATGGGAAATGTAAATAAGGAAAGTAAGCCACGTGAATATTGAATGGGTAGAAATACTTTCCAATTTCCACAAAGAAATATGGTCATCTCAGTTTTGTTTTCCTAGTTTTATTGGAGGTATTACTACAACAGTGCAGGAATGATGACAAATGGTGACACTTGACTTAAGAAGACAATAGGGGCTGGGCACTGTGGCTCACGCCTGTAATCCCAGCACTTTGGGAGGCCAAGGTGGGTGGATCACGAGGTCAGGAGTTCGAGACCAGCCTGTCCAATACGGTGAAACCCCATCTCTACTAAAAATACAAAAATTAGCTGAGCATGGTAGTGTGCGCCTGTAGTCCCAGCTGCTCGGGAGGCTGAGGCAGGAGAATCGATCGAACCTGGGAGGTGGAGGTTGCAGTGAGCCGAGATTGTGCCACTGCACTCCAGCCTGGGCAAAAGAGCAAGACTCCGTCTCACAAAGAGGATTATGGTAAATTAAGAACCCATGCTAGATCTCACCTAACTTTAAAATTCTGGCTTATGTTTTTTTAAAAAAACACTGTGATCCAAACAAAATGTATCTCTGGCCTATACACTGCCAGTTTGAGACCTCCAGTTTACAGCACTAAATCCATATTTGCCTGCCTTGTTTTCTAGTCTCTATCTTCCCAATAATCATAATAATAATCCCCATACTTAGACAGCATTTTGCACTATGCAGTATGTTTTCATGTCCAGTTGACCCTCTCAACGTGAGAGGTAGTCAGGAGATGAGGAAATGGGCACAGACAGGGTAAAGTAACTTGTCCAGTATCGTATGATTAGTAAAGACCTAAGTCCACGTCTCCTGAGTCTGAAGCCAGCATCAATCTTTGGCCATTTCACTCCCTCCTTGTCCTTCCCTATGTGTGTTTTTGCTTGTTAAGTCCTTATCTAGAATAATTTCTTTCTACCAATCCAAATCTCATCATCTTTCAACAGTCAGCTCAAGCTCCACTGACTACATAAATCTTCCTAATCTAGGTCAAATCCCCAAGGTTTTTCTCCATTTTCTGAACTTCAATTGTAATTATAGTTAATAACTTACAAATTGGTGCTTACCAACAGTCTTAAACCATCAAATTATTTCACAACACTCCACATTATCTTCTCTCTTACTTCACATAGTTCCCAGCACTGTGTTGGGATGTAAAAATGACTGTTCAATTTTGGCTATCTTAGATAGTCTTTTGAGGAAGAAAATTATGATGACACCACTAACTTACCAGCCTGATGTTGTCTTCTGGGCGGAGTAAAATGAACATTGCTTGGAGATGCTGTTGGAGATCGCCTGGTGAAATTTACAAACCAAAGGATAATTATTCTCCATTCTAATGTTGACAGAGAGGATTCCTTCTACTTTAGTGACTTTTGTAAAAGAAAGTTCTGATTCATTAAAGGACTCTAATTAGACATAGAAATTAAATGATTATTAACTTCTTTTAAAATGGAAAGACAGACTGCTAGACTGCATCTTAATACATTTGCTTTTAGTCTATACTACATTAAAATTTATGTCTGTTCTATGAAAGGTACACTTGAGACCAGTCTCAGTTTTGTATTATGGTGGATGTTCATGAGAGACTTGTTGGTGAGATCTGTTAGGCAGAGGTAGCACCCACTGGCTGTTTTTGGGCCCACTGAAGGTAGCAATGAGGGCACTTTGAAAATGGGTGTAGTAGTGTAGTGTTAGAGGAATTATCCATAACTTTTAAAAAGCTAACCATTTTTTCATTCCTATTTCTATAATTATATGCTTCGGTTGCATTTGACCTAGGAAGACTTTTGGATTCTCCCTAGAATAAGGTCAATAGTTTAAAATGATTTTCATATTAGTGACTGATATTATTATTATTTATTTTAATTTTTTTGAGATGGAGTCTCGCTGTCACCCACGCTGGAGTGTAGTGACTGATATTATAATGAGAGTATGTATATATATACACACACACACACACACACACACACACACACACATATGTATATACGTATACATATACACAGAGTGAGACTCCGTCTCAAAAAATATATATATACACACACACGTATATATATGTATATACACATGCATATATGTATATAAATATACATACATATATACACATATGTGTGTATATATATACTCTCATAATATCCATACATATAAATATATATTTATATTTATACATATCCATACATATAAATATATATACACATATATGTGTGTGTATATATATACTGTCATTATAATATCAGTCACTACACTCCAGTGTGGGCGACAGAGCGAGACTCCATCTCAAAAAAAAATTAAAACTCATGCTAGAGCTTGCAGAGCCAAGATTGCGCTACTGCACTCCAGCCTGGGCGACACAGCGAGACTCTGTCTCAAAAACATATATACATATATATATACACACACACACACACACACACACACCTATGTATGTATATATATACGTACGTGTGTGTGTGTGTGTGTGTGTGTATTTTTTGAGACAAGAGTCTCGCTCTGTCATCCAGGCTGGAGTGCAGTGGTGCGATCTCTGCTCTGCAAGCTCCGCCTCCCAAGTTCACATCATTCTCCTGCCTCAGCCTCCCGAGTAGCTGGGATTACAGGCGCCTGCCACCATGCCCGGCTAATTTTTTGTATTTTTAGTAGAGATGGGGTTTCACCGTGTTAGCCAGGATGGTCTTGATCTCCTGACCTTGTGATCCGCCTGCCTCGGCCTCCCAAAGTGCTGGGATTACAGGCGTGAGCCACAGTGCCTGGCCAATGAGAGTATATATTAAGTATGCCACATAAGGGATATATATTCTCCTGAACATATTATTAGGTTCTTTAAAATGGCCAACCATTATTTGAATCTTCACTTGTTCTTATACATCTTGTCAAACTAAGTTGAAATTTCTTTGTTTTAACTATTATAGATTTCCTCATATTCCTAGGAAATCTGAGGCTTTAGATAGCAGGAGATAAATAATGTACTATCATAAATTATGAAAATCTGTGAACAAAAAAACCTCATTCTTGCCCACTCAGATCTTGCCCTTATTAAAGTCTAAGGTGACTGACATAGTCACATAACCATGAATGCCAGTATAACTTGTTCTCACATTGGTCTTGAAATCTACATAATTTTCCTTCAGTTAACTAATAGCTGTTAATTATGAGATGAAATACTGTTATGTACAAGAAGTGGATAGAGGCAGGAAGAAAAAAAAATAGGTTGGCAAACGGGTTGGTGCGTTTGTCTAAATGGTCAGCAAGTCTGAAAGCCTTTCCTTTCTTCTCCCTCTTTCCTTCTCATACAGAATAGTTTTCTTAATCTCAGCACTTTGGGAGGCTGAAGCGGGGGAGTGCTTGAGGCTAGTGAGCTATGATCATGCCACTGCACTCCAGCCTGGGTGACAGAGCAAGACCTTATATTTAAATATAAATAAATAAACAAAAACCAAACAACTCCCCCACCCCAAACCAAAAAGGATGGTTTTCACTGCTGGCTTCTGACCAATTAATTCCATATTGCAGAATCTTTCAATTTTCAAAATTAAAATGGAGAGTCATTATGTTTGGCCAGATCCATTCTACTACATTTCAAGGCCAGGGACACAATCTAAGTCTCATATGCACAAACCCAAGAGAAATCAAAACGTATGTCCACCCAAAAAGTTGTACACACATCTATAATACAGCATTATTCATAATAGCAAAAAAGTGGAAACAACTCAAATGTCTATCAAATGATGAATGGATAAATAAAATGTGGTATTATCCACAAAATGTAATATTATTTGGTCATAAAAAGGAATGATGTACTGATACATACTATACCATGGATGACCTTTGAAAACATGCTAAGTAAAAGGAGCCTAACTCAAAAATCCATTCATATGAATCCATTTACAGAACATCCAGAATAGGCAAATCTATAGAGACAGAAAGTAGATTAGTGGTTGCTTAGGGCTGGTAGAGAGGGTGAGAGAAATAGGGAGTGCCTGCTAATGGACATCGGGTTTATTTTCAGGGCGATAAAAATGTTCTAAAATTAGATTGTGGTGATGGCTGTACAACTCTGTGACTATTCTAAAAACCAATGCATGTACACTTTAAATGAGTAAACTGGGTGAATTATATGGTATGTGGATTATATCTCAATAAAGCTGTTAAACAAAAAATAAAAGAACAAGTATGAGGAGACAAAGTGTTAGGTATAAACAGTGAAAAGCTACCGGAGTTACAAGTTGCAACTGAGTTAAGCAACTGAGGATACTTTTTATTTTATTTTTTTCTTGAGACAGGGTCTTACTCTACCACCCAGACTGGAGTACAGTGGCGCTATCACAGCTCCCTACAGCTGTGACCTCCTGGGCTCAAGCAATCCTCCCACCTCAGCCTCCAGGGTAGCCAGGACTAACTACCCTAGGTGTTGTGCACCACAACGCCTAGCTAATTTTTTGTATTTTTTGTAGAGATGAGGTTTCACCATGTTGCCCAGGCTGGTCCCAAACTCCTAAGCTCAAGCAATCTGTCTGCCTCGGCCTCCCAAAATGCTGGGATTACAGGCACAGACCACTGCACCAGGGCTGAGCTTCTTTAAAATTAAGTTTCCTTCTGTCCTACCAGTAGAAATAACCAGAGGAAAGGATTTTTAGGATGGAGAACTTCTGGAGGAGAACCCTAAATAGCAGCCCAAAGTCCCCACTCCAAACACTACTGGCCCAAAGATTCAGCTGGCTTATTTGAAGCTCAGACAAAAACCAGGAGTCCTACTCAAGTAAGCCTTCTTATGCGAGTTGGAAGCTCAGGTTTGTCAGCTGCAAAAAGTACTTACTGCTCTGAGCAAACTGCATATCATTTCCTACTGGGCAACTGTTCTTCACAGAGTCTAACAGAAGGCAATATATTGATATAGCATTAAGATAACCTTCCCTACATTTCCCTACCATATACTTCATTTCTAGGAGCTAAATTTCAAATTTCTATTGGATTTTATAGACTTTTCATTGTTTCCATTTAAAATACTGGCAGACATTCACCCATAATACCCTTTTTTGATTGCAAAATAGTATTTGGATATTTCAAATGCAGCCCAGTTAAAAAATTCTAACTAGTTCAAGAAACATGCATAAGGAAGTACAACTAGACAAGGTAAGCCCTTGATCTGCTCTCAATTCTGCCATCAACTTGCAGTTACTGTGGGCCTGGCCAAGGCAGCTTCAGTTTATGTGACAGCCTGGCTTTTACAAGCTGAGTTTATACTCGCACTGCCTCATCTGTTCCGGTCTGGATCACAAGCAAGTCCATTCAGCTTGTGTTAAATCTGCTTTTCTTTTTAGTATGAGGAAAGCTAAGTGAACAATGTCAAGTAGAAACCTGGGTGGCAGCTGAGTGTAGAAGTTTGACCAAAGAAAAATGCCAACCAGTGCCAGGAGCTTTAAAAGCCACTGACCCCATTAACTATCACATGCCATAGAGTAATTTGCCCAACATTCTAGTCAGACAAACTGGATTTAAACCAATAATTTGTCTTCTTTTTACTGTAAGGGATAAATATCCACACTGAAAAGAAATAAAAAGCTTAGTGGGCATACTTCATCTGCACATTCAAGTTTTTTGGGGAAGTGTCCTCCCCTACCCGACCTCTGGTACTGGGCACTGGGGAGGAAGGTTTTAGAAAGTGTAATCCAAGCTAATTTCCAAAAGAGGTTATTTCTTCCCTTACTCTAAAAAATTTTCCATGGCTGGAGAGTTCTGGTAGGAGGAAAATATTGTCCAAACAAAATGGATTATGATTCTGAGCTGCCACAGTTGCAACTAGGTGAAGGCCCAAACAAGTAGTAGGGCAGCCACTAAAACAGCCGAGATTATCTTGACTAAAGCTATGCTCAACTACTGGCTCAATGGGATCCAATATTTTTGGCTTTTACCTCTGACCTAAACACTTAAGGTTATCGTAGTCTTTGTTCCTTTCTTAGTAATTACAATTTTTTTCACTCCTGGAGGTCATAAGTGGTCAAAGTGGCCCATTTATGACAACAAGCAATCACCTCTTTCTGTACTACTGATCAGGATTAGTGTCCTCAGGCTGACTTTTATTTTTTTTCCCCAAAATGATAAATAAGGTCTGCCAGTAGAAGAGAAGCATTAGGTTATCTTCTTAAACTGTGGATATCCTATACCTGGAGATCTCTCTCCCTAAGACACATTTTCTACGGTTCTTTTAAAACCTCATCATCACAGGTGTTCCTGATTTTAGAGAAATCCAATATAAAAGAATACAGTGCATATACTACTGTTAGTTGATATTTCAAAACAAGAGTCTTATACTCATTCCTATGTGAACATTTGATGATTCCTTCTGGGTTGAATTTCCAGTCTTTTTAGTGTATACATTCAAGTAGCAGACACTGGCATTTTAATATGTGACATAATGACTCATTATCACAGCAAAAAGTTTATCTTAGTATATTCTGTATCATTCCCCTCCTCATACCATCACCAGACAGTAGAAAGAAATCAGAAATTGAATCTTTGATTAGTTGAAGTAATTCTGAATAAGATTCAAGGGAACAGCTAAACTTCTTTTTTTCTTTTTGAGATGGAGTCTCATTCTGTCGCCCAGGCTGGAGGGTAGCAGCGCAATCTCAGCTCACTGCAACCTCCATCTCCCAGGTTCCAGCAATTCTCCTGCCTCAGCCTCCTGAGTAGCTGGGACTACAGGCGCGCACCACCATGCCTGCTAATTTTTGTATTTTTTTCTTTTTTTCTTTTTTTTTGAGATGGAGTCTTACTGTGTCGCCCAGGCTGGAGTGCAGTGGCGTGATCTCAGCTCACTGCAAGCTCCGCCTCCCGGGTTCACACCATTCTCCTGACTCAGCCTCCTGAATAGCTGGGACCACAGGCGCCCGCCACCATGTCCGGCTAATTTTTTTAAATTTTTAGTAGAGACGGAGTTTCACCATGTTAGCCAGGATGGTCTCGATCTCCTGACCTTGTGATCCGCCCGTCTCAGCCTCCCAAAGTGCCGGGATTACAGGCGTGAGCCACTGTGCCCGGCCTAATTTTTGTATTTTTTATAGAGATGAGGTTTCGCCATGTTAGCCAGGCTGGTCTCAAACTCCTGACCTCAGGTGATCCACCTGCCTCGGCCTCCCGAGGTGCTGGGATCATAGGCGCGAGCCGTGCCTGGCTCTTTTTTTTTTTTTTTTTTTTTTTGAGACAGGGTCCCACTCTGTCACCAAGGCTGGAGTGCAGTGGTGCAAAGAGGGCTAACTGCAGTCTCAACCTCCCAGGCTCAAGTGACCCTCCCACCTCAGCCTCCCAGGTAGCTAGGACCACAGGTGTACACCACCACACGTCACTAATTTTCTTTTTTTGAAGTGGAGTCTTGCTCTGTTGCCCAGGCTGGTGTGCAGTGGCATGATCTCGGCTCACTGTAACCTTCGCTTCCCAGGTTCAAGTGATTCTCCTGCCTCAGCCTCCAGAGCAGCTGAGATTACAGCAGTGTACCACTACGCCCAGCTAATTTTTGTATTTTTAGTAGAGACAGCGTTTCACCATGTTGGCCAGGCTGGTCTCGAACTTCTGACCTCAGGTGATCCACCTGCCTTGGCGTCCCCAAATGCTAGGATTACAGGTGTGAGCCACTGTGCCTGGCCACATTTGGCTAATTTAAAATTTTTTTTTTTTTTTTTTTGTAGAGATGGGATTTCACCATCTTGCCCAGGCCGGTCTCAAAGTCCTTGACTCAGGCAATCCTCTTGCCTCAGCCTCCCAAAGTGCTGGGATTACATCTGTGAGCCAATGTGCCTGGCCCACCTGAACATTTTTAATCTGAACACTCAAAACCTTAACTGAGGGCTGGGTGCGGGGACTCACACCTATAATCCTAGCACTTTGGATAACTGAGGTGGGTGGATCACCTCAGGCCAGGAGTTCGACACCAGCCTAGCCAACATGGTGAAACACCATCTCTACTAAAAACACAAAAATTAGCTGCATGTGGTGGTGCATGCCTGTAGTCCCAGCTACTTGGGAGGTTGAGGCAGGAGAATTGCTTGAATCCAGGAGGCGGAGGTTGCAATGAGCTGAGATTATGCCATTGCACTCTAGCCTGGGTGACAGAGTGAGAGTCTGTCTCAAAAAAAAAAAAACAACCCTGGCCGGGCGTGGTGGCTGAAGTCTGTAATCCCAGCACTTCAGGAGGCTGAGGCAGGCAGATCACCTGAGGTCAGGAGTTCGAGGCCAGCCTGGCTAATGTGGTAAAACCCTGTCTCTACTAAGAATACAAAAATGAGCTGGGCGTGGTGGCGGGCGCCTGTAGTCCCAGCTACTCAGGAGGCTGAGGCAAGAGGATCGCTTGAACCCAGGAGGTGGAGGTTGCAGTGATCTGGGATCGTGCCACTGCACTCCACCCTGGGTGACACAGCGAAACTCCATCTCAAAAAAACAAAACAAAACAAAACAACCCCAATCTTAACTGAGAAGTTCCATATAACTTCATTATTTTGGTACCGTCTTATTATTATTCCAACAAAAATGTATTGAACATCTACTATGTGTAAAAGGCTTTTTGCGAAGCGCTAAAAAAATTGGTCTGTGAGGGTAAAAGTCATTACGGCCCTGTACAATGCTTTCTTTCACCATTAAAGAACTTCTGAAGAGATGGGGATGAGGTAGTCAACCTTTTAGAATGTAACAAAAGATATAGTTACCAAGAAAGAAATGGTGTATATGCAAGCATTACCTGCATGCTTGTTCCGTCTGTGGCTGATTCTTGGTGTGGATGAGCCATTTCCCCGTGGTAGAAAAAGGGCAGCACCTTTGACAGTTAGAAAGCTCTCGCTGATGCTACAAGGAAAAAGTCAAAAGAAAATAAATTACTTAGGAAAGGAAATCAAAGAGTAGGATGGATAACCACTTTTGGATTCTCTCTTCTCTATTCCAAAGTCCCAACTTCATGGAACGAAGTAAAAACATAATCAAGAGAGGCTGTGGTTACTCACTCATACGCTCCTGTCTACTCTAGACAAGTTTGCTTTCTTTTTCTTTTTTGAAAGGGAGTCTTGCTCTGTTGCCCAGGCCGGAGTGCAGTGGCGTGATCTTGGCTCACTGCAACCTCCGCCTCCTGGGTTCAAGTGATTCTCCTGCCTCAGCCTCCCGAGTAGGCTGGGATTACCGGCGCCCGCCACCACACCCAGCTAATTTTTGAATATTAGTAGAGAGTGTTTCACTATGTAGGTCAAGATGGTCTCAAACTCCTGACCTCAAATGATCCGCCCACCTCGGCCTCCCAAAGTGCTGGGAATACAGACGTGAGCCACTGTGCGTGGCCTCTAGACAAGTTTTCTGAAACAAAACTTTACAATATTCTTTTTTTTTGAGATGGAGTCTCACTCTGTTGCCCAGGCTGGAGTGCAGTGGTGCGATCTCGGCTCACTGCAACAACCTCCGCCTCCCAGGTTCAAGTAATTCTCCTGCCTCAGCCTCCTGAGTAGCTGGGATTACAGGAGCGAGCCACCACGACCAGCTAATTTTTGTATTTTTAATAGAGATGGGGTTTTACCACGTTGGCCAGGCTGGTTTTGAACTCCTGATGTCATGTGATCCACCAGCCTCGGCCTCCCAAAGTGCTAGGACTACAGATGTGAGCCACTGCGCCCAGCCAAAACTTACAATATTCTATATACATTACATGGCAGCAGTTAAGAGCGCAGGCTCTGAAACCAGAATGCCTGAGTTTGAATCCTGGCTTTACTTCTTCCTAATAGAGTAGGCCTAAATTTCCTTATCTGTAAAACAGGGATAATAAAATGAAGTTGTTGTAAAGAGCCAATGAGAACAGAGCTTCTTAAAGTGGTGCCTAGCATACAGTAAAAAGCCCTTAATAAATATTAGTTATTATAAGTAGATTAGTAGAAGGTTATCAGTAATGATGTTTCAATACCGTCCTGATCAGATGTGAAGTATGTTACAATATTTAGCTACTAGTAATAGGTCCAAAGTTTGCAAAAAAAATTTGTTTAAAATATACACAACAGTAAAATGTTACCTCAAAATTTTACTACTGCCAACTTGTATCCCCATACTCAGTGAAAAGTAGTAGGCAGGAAGTGTGTTTAACCTACTTGAGTTTGTCATTCACAAGATGATAATATAGGTGGAGAATTACTGCTGAGGATAGTAACTATTCAAAATACAATTACTGGTCTGGTCACAGTGGTTCATGCCTGTAATCCCAGTGCTTTGGGAGGCCAAGCCAAGAGGATTGCTTGAGTCTTGGAGTTTGAGACCAGGCTAGGCAACACAGTGAGACTCCATCTCTGAAAAAATATTTTAAAAATAGCTGGGGGTGGTATCACATGCCTGTAGTCCTAGCTATTCAGGAGGGTGAGGTGGGAGGATCACTTGAGCCTAGGAGTTCGAGATTATAGTGAGTTATGATGGCGCCATTGTACTCCAGCTGGGGCGACAGAGCAAGACTCTGTCTCTTAAAAAAAAAAAAAAAAAAAAAGCAAAACACAAAAACTAGTGGATACCCACAAACAACCAGAAAATAAATCTAAATTATTTCATATCAATAAACTAAATAAGCCTTTCAAGTTATCCATCAAGTTTCTCACAGAATCTGAAAGGACAGAACTTAACTCACAAATAGCCAAGTTTAGAAATACCTAATAGAGGATTCTAAATTGCTTTTGAGTACAGTACTGCTATTAAAGGTTAGCTAGCAGACTGTAAATGACATTGTCTACTCAGTATTTCCACTTGGAAATCTTAACTGGCAATGTTAAATTGACGTTGCCAAAACTAAATTCTTGAGTTCCCCCACCCTCAAGTCAATCTCTGGCCTCGTTCTCCAGCCTCATTCTCCCAGTTGTTTAGGCAAAACACCTAATAGTCATCCTTAGTGTCTTTCCTTCCTATAATATATATCTAATCCATTAGCAAGTCCTGTGAGCTTTACTTTCAAATATATCTTGAACCTGCCCACTTATCCCTATCACCACTATCACACTGGTCCATGGCACCAGCATTCCTTACTTGGACCACTATTTAAAAAGTTTTTCTTAAGCCTTTTATTATAGAAAATTTCAAACATACACAAAAGTAGAGGGAATAACTATGATAAGTAAGCCCCCATGTTCCCATCACATTTGAGCTTTAATTTGTGGCAAATTTTGTTTCTTCTACATCCTCACCCATTTTACCTTGCCCCTAAAGTGAAACAAACCCCAGGTGCTGTATCAAAAAAAAACTTCTTAACAGGTCTATCTGCAACCACTTCTGCCCTCGATTATCTATCTACTCACCAAATAGCAACCAGAGTGACTTAAAAAACATCGATTGTACAGTGTCACTTCCCTGCTTAAAACCCTCCAAATGCTTCCTTTTGTACTTGTAAATAAAAAAACCAGTCTTTAGCTTGGTCTTCAAGGACCTGTAACATCCTACAGGACTACTCCTCTGATCTTGTATCATCTCCCCTTTTGTTTACCATGATCTATGATTCTTCTTTCTGTTTCTTCGATGTTTGAGGGACTTTGTGCTTTCTGTTCCCTACTTGGAATACTTTTCTTGTGGCCTATCATTATGTAAGTCTCAGCTTACATATCACTGCTCCTTCCCCCAATTCCAATCATACTCTATCCTGTTGTTCTGTTTTGTTTCCTTCAGAATATTTATCATAAACTAAAATTATATTTATTTAGGTGTATACCTGTTGTGGTTACCTTCCTATAGTAGAATATAAGCTCCAAGAGGGCAAGGACTTAATTTTGTGCATCACTGTAGCTGCAGCACTGGAAATAGTCTAAGGCACGTATTAGCTGCTTGAACAATAGGTGATGGATGAATGAATTTATCCCAGTTTTTTCCACACTGTATGTCTGTCCTGTCACTGTAGCAGAAATTGTAATTTAGGACAAGTCTCACATGTAAAAGTAATAAATTATATAACTCAATATATGTGGCAGATTAATGGACTTTAAGATGTTTGATGATAGATTAGCAAATGAAGTTAAATCACCTCTATAATGTTATCAGACATTGATTCAATTTTATCCTTTAATAAAGTCCATGAAGCTAATAAAACCTTTGAGGTAACCTGCCAAATAGACTGAAACACACCTTCTAAAAACAAAAGAATCCACAGATGTCACTTTAAAAATCTGCATGCTGGCTGGGGGTGGTGGTGCCTTGATTTTATTTTGTTTTCATCTTTAAATAAAGCATTACTCTCTTGTGGTCTGTTGCACAAGCCTTCTCTCTTGTTACAACCGTGGTGTTCACATGCCACCCTACTGTGGGTCACTCTGTTCCACTCACATTACGGGAACAACCTAAAACAAAATGTCTGAGTGACAGGATGAGTGGGCCACACCACAGACAGGAAATGAAATTCACACTTTTGCCAACACAGCAACTGCTGCTTTACTAAATGAAAATATTTTAAAAATAAAGGCTAAATATTCTACCTATTCACCAGGCAAAGTAACAGCTTTGGACACTGTGGGTTCCAGTAAACAAAGCAGTTCGCTACATCTACAAAAGAAGTGTGTATATTTGTTGAAGAGTTTAAAACAACTGAACATACTTCAGTCACTCCTTTTGTGAGATAGGTAGTTTCTCTTTGACAAACACTATTTTAAGAACTTCCTGGCCGGGCGCAGTGGCTCACGCTTGTAATCCCAGCACTTTGGGAGGCCTAGGCGGGCGGATCACGAGGTCAGGAGATCGAGACCATCCTGGCTAACACGGTGAAACCCCGTCTCTACTAAAAATACAAAAAAATTAGCCAGGCGTGGTGGCGGGCGCTTGTAGTCCCAGCTACTCGGGGGCTGAGGCAGGAGAATGGCGTGAACCCGGGAGGCGGAGCTTGCAGTGAGCCGAGATTGCGCCACTGCACTCCCGCCTGGGCGACAGAGCGACACTCCGCCTCAAAAAAAAAAAAAGAACTTCCTGGTTTTTGGAGTTCAGCAATACTGTTTTTTTATAGATACATTTGTTGCTTATGCTTTAAAGTATATGTAAGTACATTCTTGCTTTAAAGCATATCTAAATGTGTTATTTAAAATGAATGCAGGGCTTTCTCAAAGTAAGGGTTAAGGAGCTGGACAAGGGCTGTTGGTTAGTTCAAAGCCACCTGGACTCCAGAAACTCCTGATTATAAAAGAAAGGCCAGGAGTCAAACTCACATATAGTATAAATATCACAAATTCACATATAAGAGAAAAGAGGCTTTCCTATTTGAAACACAAATGTCAATAAACTTTTCTGATGGAACAAATTGTACAAGGTAGGCCAACAGACTACTATTTTTTTTTTTTTTTGAGATGGAGTCTTGCTCTCTTGCCCAGGCTGGAGTGCAATGGTGAGATCTTGGCTCACTGCAACCTCTGCCTCCTGGGCTCAAACGATTCTCGTGCCTCAGCCTCGCGAACAGCTGGGACTATGGGCATACGTCACCATACCTGGCTAATTTTTGTATTTTTAGTGGAGACGGGGTTTCACCATGTTGCCCAGGCTGGTCTGGAACTCCTGATCTTAAGTGATCCGCCCGCCTTGGCCTCCCAAAGTGCTGGGATTACAGGTGTAAGCCACCATGCCCAACCCGAGACTACTATTAAATACTATTATAATAGGCGCGATACAGGCTCCCAGAGACTCGTGGCAGATAATCTGGATGGTACAATCAATCCTCTTTATTCCATGGCCCCAGGTTATGACCCCTCAGTTATCAAAAAAGTGACATTCTGTTGGTCACAAGGGGACCAGAAATAAGCGTGTGGCTGATTACAAAAATCTCTTATCATAACAGAAAAAAATTCATAGCATGGAAGTGATAAAACAAAATTTATAACCACCACCAGAGTTTAGGTAGATAAAATTCCACTTGAAAATTAAATGCTTTATTTGCATATGAAGAAAATTATATGTAAATTTAATCACATATACTTTTGTGTAAGATAAAAGGTTGGTATATCTTGCCAGAATAGTAAAAGATTTATTATGTAAATATGTCTTCCTGAAACAGCTGCTTAAAAATTCAATTGACAAGGAGTTGTCAATTGTCTAATTAAAAAGTCTGTTCTTGCTAGGCGTGGTGGCTCACACCTGTAATCCCAACACTTTGGGAGGCCAAGGCGGGCAGATCACCTGAGGTCAGGAGTTCGAGATCAGCCTGGCCAACATGGCGAAACCCCATCTCGACTAAAAATACAAAAAAATTAGCCAGGCGTGGTGGCGGGTGCCTGTAATCCCAGCTGCTAGGGAGGCTGAGGCAAGAGAATCACTGGAACCTGGGAGGCGGAGGTTGCAGTGAGCCGAGATTGTGCCACTGCACTCCAGCCTGGACGACAGAGGGGAACTCTGCTTCAAAAAAAAAAAAAAAAAACAAACAAAAAAACCGGTTCTTTAGAAAGGCAGGTGAAAACTTTTTCATGTTTCTGAATTGACTAGTTCTGTAGAGTCTGGCACAGAAACAGAACTGCAGTAAACTCTATGAAGTCATTTGTATGTGATTACAGATACCTAAGTTAAATATAACCCCGAAGGACTTAAGAAGCCCCACAGTAAGGAATGAATGAGATAAAGAAAATACTATTTTCTTGATCTAAAGAGAATAATTAGCTGCTTGATACAAAAATGACAGAATCACCTTTCTAATAGAGCACTCCTGACAGTGAAGTTCTCCAGAGTCTTTATAACTTAAAAACATCTATGCTTCTCTTTGCCATAGATTGCTTGCTCAATAAGGGGAAAGTCATCCCTAGTTAAGAAATATATATATATATATATATATAGAGAGAGAGAGAGAGAGAGAGAGAGAGAGAGAGAGAGCTAATAATAGCTAACTCAACTAGATATCTACTGTATGCTAGGTGCATTTTACATTACTTTATTTAACCTTCCTAACAATTCTATGAAGTAGGTACTATTTTTACCCCCAATATACATGTAAGAGACTGAGGGCTCAGAGATCATAAGTTACTTGCCTAAAATCTATACAGCTAGTAAGCCTCAGAGCAAGGATTCAAACCAAGATTTGACTTGAAAGCTTATGCTCCAAATCATGCTCTACCATGTTGTTTTCGCTTTATGATATAGTTTATGGCGGACGAAATACAATGTCTTACCTACACACCTTTTCAACAGAATAGAATTTAAAAGTAGAGTACAGGGGCTGAGTGTGGTGGCTCATGCCTGTAATCCCAGCACTTTGGGAGGCCAAGGAGGGTGGATCACTTGAGGCCAGGAGTTCAAAACCAGCCTGGCCATCATGGCAAAACTCCGTCTCTACTAAAAATACAAAAATTAGCCAGGTGTGGTGGCACACGCTTATAATCCCAGCTACTTGGGAGGCTGAGGCAAGAGAATTGCTTGAACTCTGGAGGTGGAGTTTGCAGTGAGCTGAGATCACGCCACTGCACTCCAGCCTGGGAAACAGAGCGAAACTCCATTTCAAAAAAAAAATGTAGAGTACAGGAGTGAGAGAAAAGAACTGAAATCCATTCGGATTCCAACTCTTCTCATTTTCCCCACCACTTCCCCAACAAGGCCATAAACAGAAAGACTACACTGAGGGGAATAAAGAACATGTCTGAGATGAATCCAGCTGGGCTGGACAGTAGAGCAAGTTGTAATATCTGTTGGGAATGACAGTGGCATCTCAGTCTCAAAAAATGGAGGAAAGAGCACTCGGCTTTAAATATATTTGGGAAAGTGCTCTGTGACAATCCTTTCTGATCAAAATCACTTCCTAAAGTATGACATTTGTTAACTGGTAGTTTCTTCTTAGACAAAGTGTGGAGGAAAAGGTCAACTAAGGGAAGAAAATATTTAACTGTTCTGAGGTTGAAATAATCTTTGAGGAATGTGGCCAGGGTGATCATCCATGACCAGCAGGAAGGTCAAGGAAGCAAAACAAAGCAACAACATACCTGGCCTAACTGCTGAACGTCAGTTGGATAGAAATTCCACTGTTCTACATGCACACATATAAGAAGAAATGGCTCATTTACTATGAGAAATCAAGTGGCACAAAGTAGATGTTATACTAAAATGAAGGAAGCAGATTTTCATGTTTATGTTTGTAATGCCAAACTCTGGAGTTGGTTTGATATTTCTGCTTGAAGCCAAAATTAGCAGGCAAATTATTGTGTAATAACGACTGCATGCAGTATTATTGCACAAAGTGAGTTGGTTGGTATTTATGTTAAATTCAAGTACCACACATAATCTGAACTCATACTTTTGTCTTGAAGAATACTCATCTAGCAAAAACTTTCAAATATATTCCACTCTCCCAATATTTTTCTCCTCCTGATAAGCCTTCTCTGCTTCGTTGTTTAATTTTCAGATTCAAGGTGCTAGGACAGCTTCTGTCAACCCCACTAGGTGGAAAGGAATTCATGTTCCCACTTGGTGTGACCACACCACAGACAGGGAATTTCATAATAAAAAGTTTCAAATATCAGACCAGAGTTCAAGGAATTACACAACTATCAATACTAATGCCTAATGAAAAAATCTGGCCAAACCCCTAAAACTGGAAGGAAAAAGTAACTGTTCCTTGATGTATGCAACCTGGCTTCAAAAGTCAAAAGTACACCTCTAGGTAGTGAAGAAAATGTGATTCTGTAATCCTAAAGGAATTTAGAATACAACAGGAGAAAATCCAAACTCATATATTGTAATGTTCTCTGTAATTAGACATTCCCGCCCTACCCCTGCAGCATGACCAAACATTGAATACTAGAATGCCCAGCCATACCTGGAACCCTCTCCCTGAGGGCATTGACTTCCCAGACACATGCCTCTGAATGCAAGAGTCAGGATTATTTATCTCCTTATCACCAGACCAGCAGAGACTGGGCCACATGAGTAAACCAATTACCGGCCGAAGCAGAGAAGAGCTTAGGACTCTGGTTCTTACTCATTAACGATAACCATCAGACTTAGTTCCAGCTCATCTTCCACTTAAACTCTGTTGCACAATGCCCAGCACAACTATACTAGGATGCAGCTATCTGTTTTTCCCCTTTCCTAAAACTGAAGGGGGGAAAAAGGATCTGTTTGTTCAAGATTGAGAGACAAATTCCAATCTGGACGAAACTTCCTGGTCTTTTCACTACAGATCATCAATGGAAGGCAAAAACAAAACAAAAAACCAAAATTACTTGTTCTGTTCATTTTGAATGTTCACTTACTGATACGATCTTCTAATTCCATTTTTGCTTTAACCATGTGCATCTTAGAAATGTCTGACAGAGACATAATTTAGGATCAATAATTTTACCATTGGTCATACAATTAACCTTCTAGCTTTTACAGATGGGGCACATCTGCTTTGACATTTGTTGGTTTTGGCTGTTCAGCAATAGATTTATCTTTTTCAATATCACCCTACTCTCCTTTTGGGGAATCCATTCAAATGTGGTTCTAGTGGCGTCCAACTCTGGAACTGCAAGGGGTTTTGTAGGAAGCTGGAATGTGGCTTACATCTGGCAGTTGGAAATTCTCCCCGTGGAATCTGAATCTCCCCTGGAAACTCTCCCCTGGGACCATACCCCATTATTCGTACTGCTTTAGATACATGGGGAGTGTCGAGGTATGGGACACTCTGCTCCTGCTCCCTGGTCTTCCCTGAATGACTTTAGCTCTTTCCTTTGAACCCCAAATATCTGAGACAGGTCTCGGTCAATTTAGGAAGTTTATTTTGCCAAAGTTAAGAATGTATGCCTGTGACACAGCCTGAGGAGGTCCTGACGACATGTTCCCAATGTGGTCGGGGCACAGCTTGGTTTTATACATTTTAGGGAGACATGAGACATCAATCGATATATGTAAAATGTACACTGGTTCCGTCAAGAAAGGCGAGATAACTCGAAGTGGGGAGAGGACTTCCAGGTCATAGGCAGATACAAGACAAATGGTTGCATTCTTTTGGGTTTCTGATTAGCCTTTCCAAAGAAGGCAATCAGGTTTGCATTTATTTCACTGGGCAGAGGAGGGATGACTTTGAGTTCTGTCTGTCCTTTGTCCACAAGGAAATTCCTTGTGAGGGAGGTATGTAGCTTTTAAAAAACTTAGTAGCTATCTTTTTAGGAATAGAATGGGGGGCAGTTTTGCCCTAAGCACTTCCCAGCTTGACTTTTCCCTTTGGCTTGGTGATGATTTGGGTGATGATTTTGAGATTTATTTTCCTTTCATATGTCTGTTCTCTAAGTTTGGTCCTCTAGCCTCCCATTAGGATGTCTGACAACTTTCTGACAAATATTTTACTTATGATAGTTAAAATTCATTTCTGGCTGAGCGCGGTGGCTCACGCCTGTAATCTCAGTACTTTGGAAGGCCAAGGTGGGTGGATCACTTGAGGTCAGGAGTTCGAGACCCGCCTGGCCAACATGGTGAAACCCCATCTCTACTAAAAATACAAAAATTAGCCGGGCATGGTGGCATGTGCCTGTAATCCCAGCTACTCGGAAGGCTGAGGCAGGAGAATTGCTTGAATCCGGGAGGTGGAATTTGCACTGAGCCAAGATCACGTCACTGTACTCCAGCCTGGGTGACAGAGTAAGACTGTCTCAAAAACAAAACAAAACAAAACATTTATGAGCTTGTAACAGAGAATCTAATATATCAACTGAAGCCCAGAGAATTTACTGATTTACCCTAAAATCACATAGCTAGTTAGCAGTAGGGCTGGGCTTAAGCCCCCATGTCATCTGACACTCTGGGCAGCACTTTAACCCTTTATTCTGTGTTCGATGTTATTACAACAGGACATATTGCTAAATAATAGCTTAAACAACTAGCAGTTAAAAACACTGCCAGTTGAGGCTGGGCATGGTGGCTCACGCCTGTAATTCCAGCACTTTGGGAGGCTGAGGCGGGTGGATCACGACATCAGGAGTTCGAGACTATCCTGGCTAAAACAGCGAAATCTCATCTCTACTAAAAATATAAAAAATTAGCCAGGTGTGGTGGCATGCGCCTGTAATTCCAGCTACTCGGGAGGCTGAGGCAGGAGAATTGCTTGAACCTGGGAGGCGGAGGCTGCAGTGAGCCGAGATCGCGCCACTGCACTCCAGCCTGGGCAACAGAGCGAGACAGTGTCTCAAAACAAACAAACAAACAAAACCCCCCCAAAGAAAACGCCACTGGTCAGTCCATCTGAAGAGAACAAAGGCAGGATTTCACTGCAAAGCTTGGTATGATGCTTGTTCTGTTTCTCTTTTTCTTTCTTTTTTTTTAGCTTTTAGCTTTTGGTTTGAGTTTTAAATTACTACCAAATCATGAAAGATCAGAGCTGCAGGGCCTTTAGGGAGTCTAAGGCAGGGCTCTAAATGGAAGTAGTTGGGCCTAATTCACCATGTCTTGTGAGACCAAGCACAGATCTAAAATAATTTTGACTTCTGAATACCTTTGAAAAGAACACACCCTATCCCATTCCTCCAGGTAGCCACCATTCTTGGACTTATACCAAGCAGCCTTGCTACAAAACACTTCTGAGTTTGCTAAGATCCAAGAGACCAGACCTTCTCATGACACCACTGCTGTCTTCTTGTCTTCCTCTCTGTGCAGCCACCTTAGCAAGGCTCAGTCTCAGTCTTGCCTCCAGTCACCATCCAAAAATAACCACCACCTCCCTCACCCCCAAACAAAAACCTAGGTGCTCAGGAAAGGAACTGGTCTCAAGTAACTTCCCAACACACAACTGACCCAGGTCCTCCTGGTAACTGACAGTGGTGGAGAGTTTTGTTTTTGAGAAGGTCCTCCTCCAAAGAGAGGAGAAACTGCCTCAGCTCAAAGGAACCCATTTCCCTTACAGACTGAATCAACAAAGCTTCTTGGTCCTGCAGCCCTAAATTCTAGATGTAAATACTTTTTCAAAATGGAAAAATTTAAAAGCTGTCTGGACTCAAAAGTAAATGACCTGAAAAGTTCTTTCTTAGTATTTAAAATGCTGGATGTCTTGGTTACTAAGAGACATGATGATGACCAACATGTCTCTTAGTAACCAAGACATGGCACCAAGTTTAAAATAGGTGGGAATAAACAAACAAAATGAAAGGAGATTAACTCAGAAAAACTGTTCAGCATTTAAAAAATAATTTCATTTGCATGATTCAACAAATACCTTCCCAGGTATTTAAAAACACACCCGCAGAAGAAATGCAAATTAGGCTTTCAAGCATTTGGCCTAAGTGTCAAACCCTGCTTTCAGACCATTCTCTTTCACCCTTGGCAATGTGTCTTTGAGGCTAAGGTCATCTTCTGTTCTTTGTTGCTGTTACCTTCTGATATCCTTGTCACTCTTTTTTTAACCCCTTATCTTGTCCAATCTTCTTTCCCCAATTCCCCAAATCCTACTATAATCTTAAGACATTTCAGTGTTCATACAGATGAACATCCAACAACTTTGTCTCAAAATTTTCTCATCCTCTTGGTCTTCAAAGACCTTTACTCCTTTTAGACTTCTAGTTCACAGGGTCCCTCTGGAAGTCACGAGTTCTTGATGGACTTAATTTCAGAAATTAAACTCACTTTCTGATTACAACTCCCTCTCCTTGTAATTCCCATGTGCTCACTCCCTCTTCAAGCTGAGGGAGACTCCTAGACCCCTGATTCCTGAATTTTTTCTTTCTTTTTTTCTTTTTTTGTTTTTTGGGACAGAGTCTTGCCCTATCACCCAGGCTGAAGTGCAATGGTGCAATCTCGGCTCACTGCAACCTCCGCCTCCTGGGCTCAAGCAATTCTCCTGCCTCAGCCTCCAGAGTAGCTGGGATTACAGGCACGCACCACTGCGCCCAGCTAATTTTTGTATTTTTAGTAGAGACGGGGTTTCACCATGTTGCCCAGACTGGTCTTGAACTCCTGACCTCAGGTGATCCACCAGCCTCGGCCTCCCAAAGTGCTGGGATTACAGACGTGAGCCACTGCGCCCGGTGATTCCTCGGTTTTTTCTAGCTATCAACCTCCTTTTGGCTTTTTCTTTCCTAACCAACCTAGTCCCATGTCCTATTTCTTTCTTTCTTTTTTTTTTTTGAGATGGAGTCTCGCTCTGTTGCTCAGGCTGGAGTGCAGTGGCGTGATCTTGGCTCACTGCAAGCTCCGCCTTCCAGGTTCATGCCATTCTCTTGCCTCAGCCTCCCGAATAGTTAGGACTACAGGTGCCCGCCACCACGCCCGGCTAATTTTTTGTATTTTTAGTAGAGATGGGGTTTCACTGTGTTAGCCAGGATGGTCTCGATCTCCTGACCTCGTGATCCACCTGCCTCAGCCTCCCAAAGTGCTGCGATTACAGGCGTGAGCCACTGCACCTAGCCTCCATGTCCTATTTCTTAACTGGTTTCCCTACAGTCTATTCTCTTTGCTCCAGATTTCCCTTCATAATACTACAGCTTAAAATGGTATGGTTATTTGATGTGTTATTTATTATTATTACATGTCTGAGCAGTAACTCTCTGTTTAGCACATTACCTGACACTAAATAAATGTTTAGCAATTATAGTAATTATATGTGGAATAAATGAAAGAAAAGCAGCTGAACACTTAAGGAGATAAGAAACCATGTCTCTGGATGCCACAGCACATTCACGGTCTCAGTGCAAGGATATCAGAGATGACAGTAATGACACTGACTTGACTCAGCGGGGCACTTAACACCTCTGGACAGCTCCCTCTCCTACTCCTTTCCACTGTTATTCCAAACCCTCTCTACTCTCCCAAAGTCCCATTGCAACTTCTGTTTCCTTCAACTTTCCACAGTTAACTTGGCCTTCTATACTACCAAGAAAATGGAGGCTAGCTAGTGTGATTTCTCTCAATTACTTTCTCTCACCTGCAGACTTATCTCCTTTCTCCAATCTGAGAGAATGATGTGACCTATGTCCTTGGTCCCACTCCCTCATCTCCTAGTTTTCTCTCTCCAGTGACTACTTCTCCTCAGCCTGGAAACATGCTTAAGTCTGGTCTCTCATACCCTTAAAAGAAAACAACCTCCATGCCCCCAAACCTTAACTTGATCCTGTGTTCTAAGTTCTTATTTATTTATTTATTACAGTTGAACCCAGGTACCTTTCTCTTTGGCTTCTTTTTCTGATCATTTTCTTTCACGTGCTTCAGGAAGCTGTCTTGGCTCTTAGAGTGCTTTATGTGCTCAATACACACATTAATTAGAGTGCTTAATGTGCTCAATACACACATTAATTCTCTTGGCAAGAATCTTGCCCTCAACTTGTGTACAACAATGCCAGCAGCATGCTGGTTAACATTGTAGACTCCTTCAGTTCTGCCATGGTAACACTTGTGGGGCATTCCTTTTTGAACAGTACCCATTCCCTTGATGTCTACATTATCACCTTTCTTATAGATTCGCATATGCATGGCCAAAGGAACAACTCCATCTTTTCTAAAAGACCTAGAGAACATATATCGGGTGCCTCTCCTCTTTCCCTTTGTGTTTGTTTTTGGTGAATTACTGGAAGATGGCAGTTCCGGCTGAAAGTCTAAGTTCTCTTTATTAAGAAGGAAGTCTCTACTTGCTGTCCCCATTTTCTTCCCTTGCCAGTCAATTTTTCTACCCACTGGCATCTTGCTTCTGTCTCACCACTCCTCTGAAACTCCTCCCCCACTCTAAGTTTGCCAATGATTTCCCCAGTGATAGATCCTAAAGACAAAGACCCCTTTAGCTTAGCATCAATTTCTGTTCTTCATTTAATACCTAATGTGTACCGGCAAATCACTTTCTCCTTTTTGACTACCCTGCCCCTGCTCCCCTCAGTTTCTAAGACATTAAGTCCCTCTGGTAACTCTCTGACCATTCCAGTTCCATATCCTTTGTCAGTAACCCTACCCTATCCACCGCCCTTAAAACAGAGAGTCTGTTTGACCTTCAAAGTGCTTTGAAACATAAATTTATTGACAATTTTTTTGAAGCAGGGTCTCACTCTGTTCACCCAGGCTGTAGGGCAGTGGTGTGTTCATGGCTCACTGCAGCCTCAACCTCACAGGCTCAAGCAATCCTGCCACTTCAGCATCTTGAATAGCTGGGACTCCAGGTGTATGCTACCATGCATGGCTAATTTTTTAATATTCTATAGAGATGAGGTCTCACTATGTTGCCCAAGCTGGTCTAGAACTTCTGGACTCAAGCAATCCTCCCACTTTGGCCTCCCAAGGTGAGGAGATTATAGGTGTGAGCCACTGCGCTCAGCCCATTGACAATTAATTGTACTTAAAAATCCAGCTTCTTTTGAAAAATCATAAAATTTGAACACACATGTCCATCTAGCAACAACTGGCCAGAGATGAGCAGTGGCTGCCATTTTAGACATGAGATGGTGTTAAGTGCTATGGAGAAAAATGAAGCAGAGAAAGAGTAACAGGGAGTGCTGCTGTGTATACTTACTTGTGTTATAAGCTATGGCAGGGAAAATCTCTTCACTAAGCTGACATTTAAACAGAGATCTGTAGGAATTAGGGGAGGCAGCCATGCAGCTGTTTGGAAAAAGAACATTAAAGGCAGTGGGGGGAGCTAGGCATGGTGGTGTGCACCTGTAATCCCAGCTACTCTGGAGGATGAGGTGGAAGGATCACTTGAGCCCAGGAGTTTAAAACCAGCCTGGGCAACATAGCTTGTGCTATCTGAAAAAAAGGTAGTGGGAGCAGCAGATATAAAAGGCCCTGAGGCAGAAGAATAACTGGCTAGCTTGGGAATTAGCAAGGAGGTCAGGGGCACTGAAATGTAGTTAGCCAACAATGAGTGGTAGAAAATGAGACCAAAGAGGTAGAGAAGGGCAAGTGGTGTAGGGTTTCAGTGTTTCTACTTTCTCATTTGTAATTCACTTTCCAACACATTGTAATTGGGATTTTCTTTTGCCTGTAAAATCCAATGAACATTTTCTCAGTCCTTATCAAATGCCTGACCATTTGATATGGTTAACAACCATCCACCTTCTTGAAACTTTCTTATTATTCCTTCTATGTTTCTGACTATTCCTTCACATTCTCATTTGTGGGCTCCTATTCTTTTGTCAACTTCTTAAATAGGATGTCTTCCACGATTTCGTCACCACTCCTCTCCTTGTTCTATATACACTCTTCTGAATGTCTTTAGCCACACTTATGGCTATCACCATCCTGTATGTTGATGACTCCTTATTAGTTATCTATTGATGCATAGCAAATTATCCTAAAACTTAAAAGCCTAAAACCACAAAAAACATTTATTATCTCACAGTTTTTGAGAATCAGGAATTCAGGAACAGCTTAGCTGGATGGTTCTGGCTTAGGATCTCTTAAGAGGCTACAGTCCCGTCCTGGCTAACACGGTGAAACCTTGTCTCTACTAAAAATACAAAACATTAGCTGGGCGTGGTGGCAGGCACCTGTAGTCCCAGCTACTCTGGAGGCTGAGGCAGAAGAATGGCATGAACCCGGGAGGCGGAGCTTGCAGTAAGCCAAGATCGTGCCACTGCACTCTAGACTGGGCGACAAAGCAAGATTTCACCTCAAAAAAAAAAAAAAAAAAAAAAAAAAGAGGCTGCAGTCATCTGAAGCCTAGACTGGGACTGGAGGATCTGTTTCCAAGATGGCTCATTTACATGGCTGCTAATAGGAGACCTCAGTTCTTTGCCATGTAAATTTCTCCTCTGGGCTGCCTGAGTGTCCTTATGACGTGGCAGCTGACTTTCCCCAGAATGAGTGATCCCAGGGAGAACAAGGTAGCAGAACAATGCTTTGTGACTTAATTTTGGAGGGCACACATCATAATTTCTGCAACATTATACTGGTAATATAGGTCAGCCCTATTTAGTGTAGGAGGGGACTATACAAGGATAGCAATACTGGGCGGCAACAACCACTATGGACCACCCTGGAGGCCAGCTGCCACAACTCTCTGACTCTCTAAAAGATCAGATCTAACATCAGAGCCCCAGACCTATAAAATCAGCTGCCTACTGGATAGCTGTTGTTTATAATGGCAAGAACTTCACCATTACTTCAGAAACTTTCATTTGTAGAAACTCAGAATCTGTTACAATGGCACGTCCATCAATGTTCTCTTTGGGAGTTGTGTGATGGTCATGGTAGTGGTTAGGTGTTGGCTTTGAGCACTGTGAAATAAAGTTAAAGAGGAGTTTGGGCCCGGTGTGGTGGCTCACGCCTGTAATCCCAGCTACTCGGGAGGCTAAGGCAGGAGAATCACTTGAACCCGAGAGGTGGAGGTTGCAGTAAGCCAAGATCGTGCCACTCCAGCCTAACAGCCTAACTGACAGAGCAAGACTCTGTCTCAAAAGAAAAAAAAAAAAGAAAAAAAAAAGAAAAGGGGACTTTGTAACTATCATTTATTGAGTACCCACCTGTGTTAGGCATGATGCCTAGTACTTTACAACCACTATCTTAAAACAACTTGATGAACAGAAGTTCTTCCCATTTCACAGATGAGAAAACAAAGGTTTTGAGAGTAACTTGCTTAAACTTACCAATTACACAACTAGTAAATTACAGAGCAGGAGTCAAAATGTAGGCTTCTTTTCTTTTCTTCTTTTTTGAGACAGAGTTTTGCTCTTGTTGCCCAGGCTGGAGTGCAATGGCACAGTCTCGGCTCACTGCAACCTCCGCCTCCTGGGTTCAAGTGATTCTCCTGCCTCAGCCTCCCAAATAGCTGGGATTACAGGCACCTGCCACTGTGCCTAGTTAATTTTTGTAATTTTTTAGTAGAGATGGGGTTTCACCATGTTGGCCAGGGTGGTCTCGAACTCCTGACCTCAGGTGATTCACCTGCCTTGGCCTACTAAAGTGCTGGGATTACAGGCATGAGCCACTGTACCTGGCCTACAGGCCTATTTTCAAGTTTTGTTGTTTTTGTTTAAAACATCACTCCCTGGCTCTCTAGCATTTTGAATTCTTTGCCTGTTCTGTACAACAAGGACACCACAGTCCCATTGTAGTGTTATCCACCAATGTACCAATAGGGTTCTAAAAGTGAATTCTCAAATACTAGAACACCAAGGAATTTTTTTGTTATTTAAAAAATTGAGTCAGTTCAGTGCTACTTTATTTCAACCTTACCAGTAACTCTCAAAATTAATTGGCCACAAAAACTGAACTCCATCTGCAAAACAACAGTTTCTCAATTTTCCTTACCAAACCATCTCTTCTATAGTTGTTTTCTACCTTACTAGGCTGAACATAAAAAATATATTGCCAGTAGGACCTCTTAAAAGTTCCTCAAAGTTACTAATTCCCAAATATTAAACCACGGGGAACAGAGAAAGGCATGGTAAAGTATGTTGAATCTCTTTTAAATCTACTGCCTGGTTTTCTCTACTATCGCTGGACTGCCTGACTTTTTAAAGTCCCTGGACAAATTCTTCTTTTCGTAACTGTTTAAATGCATATTACAGATCCCTTGGGCCATGCACTAATGCACAAATGAAATCTAGGAGGGGCACTGCTGCCAGTGTTAGGTTCTGACACTTGCAAAAGCAGTTAACTTTTGTTAAAAAAAAAAAATTAACGATGATGGAGGAGGAGGAACAGGAGGAGGAAGAGAAAAAAATAGCAAAAGGCAAAGTCCAAATGACAATTTAAGGACCTGTCAAAGAAAAGGGAAAAGAGAAAGCAAGTAGAAGTCACTGTCCTTAATTACCTCACAATTTTTCACCCATCCAGTGTTCTCTGTTTCCTAGTCTTTTCCCCTTACAGAATCACTACAGAATTGTAACACCATTACAGATGAAAAATTCACTCTACTGGTTTCTTGCAAATTTAATTTATTAAGCTTTCTTGATGTCCAATCCAATGTTTAACAGTTCAAATTCACTAAATGCACATTTTAAAGTAAATTTATGAAGACGCAATGATCCACAGCTCTTGGGGAGCTGGGGACAAAGAGATCACACAGTAGTATTTTGCAGTACTCTAGAGTGGGATGTGAAATAACAATAATTCCAAACATTTTAGTTAGGGTTTAGAAAAAGAGGAAAATAACCTAATCAAAATGATCCAAGAGTAAATTTAACTTTCATATGTGTTTTAAATGTATCAGAGAAAAGAAGTTAAGATTCATTATATATTTGCTCCAGCATAGAACGGACATTGCAGTATAATCCTACACTTGTTCCCTGGATTGCTTTTAGGTTTTGGTCGAGCTAGGTCCTATAATCTACCCCAGTGGCAACTCAGGACCCAGGAAAACAAGGGAAAAAGGAAAAACTTTTAACCACCGGCTTTACTACTAAAGGCAAAATTTCTCTGCAATGATTGGAAGGAAAGCTAGAATTCTGAGGGTCTTTTGTTTTCTCACACAGTAAGACAGCTAGAAAAGCTGTATGTAAATCCTGCAGACTTCCTAAGTCATCAGGGGACCCTAGACACCACAGGTCCAACCCTTCAAATGTCTAAGTATTGGGGATTACGGTTTCTGAAAGGAAGGTGGCTGAAGATATTCAATAACAAACTTTCTACCAAAACAAGGAAACATGGTCCATTTTGTTCTTTTTGTCAAACAAGAAAGGGAAAATGATGAGGAGGCATGGATGTGTCCTTATTCACCATTAAGAAGACAAAGGGTGAGACATAACAGCTCTGAAAAGGGAGACGACCAGTTACAAGTGAAACACTATTACTAACAAGATTAGTCAGGTATTAGAAGAAATGAGGCTTGCAACTCAACAAAGGGCAGAAAAGTATAGACATGTCTTTTTTCTAAATGAGACTGTCCTTGGGTGGGCAGGGTAATGTTTCTTGAAAGTCAATGTAATTTGTAAGGCCGGATGCAGTGGCTCACGCCTGTAATCCCAGCACTTTGGGAGGCTGAGGAGGGTGGATCACGAGGTCAGGAGTTCAAGACCAGCCTAGTCAAGATGGTGAAACCCCATCTCTACTAAAAATACAAACATTAGCTGGGCATGGTGGCCGGCACCTGTAATCCCAGCTACTCGGGAGGCTGAGGCAGAGAACTGCTTGAACCCGGGAGGTGGAGGTTGTAGTGAGCCGAGATCGCGCCACTGCACTCCAGCCTGGGCAATAGAACGGGACATTATCTCAAAAAAAAAAAAAAAAAAGTCAGTGTAATTTACAACAGCAGTTTCTAAATATTAAAAAAATCCTTCACACATGTTATATGTCTTACTTTTAAAAAGTTGGATCTCAGCCATACTCTAGAGTACTTGGGTTTCAAAAGTCAGAAAGGAAAATAAAAATAAGGACTCATCGATGGAGTACTGATAAGCTGCAATGTCCTTTGAGTAACTCAAGACCAAAAACCAAAAGATAATGCCAGGAGAAAAACAGGGAAGTGGCTAAATGACAAAGTATCTGAACTTCTGCTTAAGACAAAGGACACAATTACGCAAAAAGCTATGCACGGGAAGATAACATGGCAGGAATGAAAACAGCTATCAATAAGGATAGTAATATTGTGGGTGATTTTTTTCTTTTTGAAAATTTTCTTAAATTATGTTATTATACTGTGTTTTCAGTTTTTAAAAAGGACCGAAAAGTGGGGAGGGGCAGTACAGGAAAACACACCGTGGGAACAGAGTCAAGCACACAGATGGTTTGCGTAAGCTAAATTTTCAGACATCTGCCTTTGTGCAAGACTGGAAAAAGTAGAGCTGCTGTCAACAAGTTCTCTGCAGTGAGAGAGGGGTGGAGCCTGAGAGAAAGTGAACCGTGAAGAAACCAACAATCCGAAGCCACAGGGCTGAAGAACAAATAATTTCTTAGATTAAGTTCCTCATTTATGAGCTACCCCTCTTCCCAAAATGCTTTGCCATCGGCAATGTCTACTACTCAAATAAGGAGACCTTAAGCTGCCCATATGTCTCCACTTAAGTGACTGAGGTTCTCTGTCAGTAGCACTACTTAGCTCTATGCAAGATATCCCATCTCTGTGGGCAAGATATCCCATCTCTGTGGGAGATGAGATATGGTACAATATACTGTATAAAAATCTGGGTGAGATGCAAATGGCCCCAAACCTCCCTTCATTTTCCAATTCCAAATAAAAAAAAGCTTATCATGTACAGAAAACTCATGTAAAAGCAAAGACAATACAGTTGTTCATCTGCTCTACTGCCTTGCTTTGATATATGTTTAACTTTATTTCTGTTTAGTTAAATGAATACTCCTAGGCCTATATTGTTTGCTCTTGCATGTAAGGCAATGAAGGGAAATTGCCATTCACACTGCTTTATATAGTGCCCAGTGTAACGCTATATACACAGTGCTTAATGAATGTGATCTGAAAATGGCAATAGGGAAGCTGAAGACTCAAGAACACTTTGGAAGATAAGAAAGTATGGAAGATATTACAAAACCTCTTCTCTGGTACATGTGAAGAACGGGAAGGTAACATGGCAGGAATGGAAATGGCCCTAAGTAAGGAACTTAACATTGTGGGTAATTTTTTCTCTTTTTGAAAATTTTCTTTAATGATATTATTCTGTGTTTTCAATTTTTATAAAGGACCAAAGTGATTCTGGGGTGGGGGGTAGGGCAGCTCTTCTGGCAGGTGAGAAAGCCCACATTTGTCATACAAACCACAGGAAAGGCCTTATTTGTTCTTGTTTGCAGCCTTTAATCAGGCCTCATGCTAGGGGGAACTTCTTCCACTTGAAAAATTTACTTGCAAAGTTCTATCTGGTGTTCTGTCTTGAACTTCCCTTTTCTGAGAAGTTGGGTGTATTGTATGGGATACTCCCATACATCTACCTTCTGGGCAAACTGACTACAAAAGATGTGGGAAATCTCTTGTTCAGGCACAGTAGCCTCTCTTAGGTCCTATATAAGCTCCTCTTCCTGAATTCTCAGTCAGTTAATTCCACATAGTTCACAGGACCCACATTTTCCTGTTGGTGACAGCAAAAGCTACAACAGACCAAATTATAATTTAATCAACTAGATACAGATTTTAACTCAAAGGTGTAATACATGCAAAACAGAGGAAGGTGCCTATTCTTTCTGTACTCATATAATCTAACTGAGGTTTTAAAATGTGGATGTCAGAACCTATTCTAGCCGGGCAGGGTGGCTCACACCTGTAATCCCAGCACTTCGGGAGGCCGAGGTGGGTGGATGGCCTGAGGTCGGGAGTTCAAGACCAGCCTGACCAACATGGTGAAACCCCATCTCTACTAAAAATACAAAATTAGCCGGGCGTGGTGGCACATGCCTGTAATCCCAGCTACCTGGGAGGCTGAGGCAGGGGAATCACTTGAACCCGGGAGGCGGAGGTTACAGTGAGCCAAGATTGTGCCATTGCACTCCAGCCTGGGCAACAAGAGCAAAACTCTGTCTCAAAAAAAAAAAAAAAAAACAAAACCCTATTCTAAGGACCCAGATTACCAAATCTTTTTTTTTTTTTTTTTTTTTTTCAAAGAGACAGAGTCTCGCTCATTGCCCAGGCTGGAGTGCAGTGGTGCATTCTCAGCTCACTGCAACCTCCACCTCACGGGTTCTAGCAATTCTCCTGCCTCTGCCTCCCGAGTAGCTGGGATTACAGGCGCATGCCACCATGCCCAGCTAATTTTTGGTATTTTAGTAGAGACAAGGTTTCACCATGTTGCCCAGGCTGGTCTCAAACTCTTGAGTTCAGGCAATCCACCCACCTCGGCCTCCCAAAGTGCTAGGATTACAGGTGTGAACCACCGTGCCTGGCCGTTAATTTTTTCTGAAGGTGTTCTAGTTGATTCTGAAACTCAGTTTGGTTTGAAAACTTTTCAAGAATACATCACAGATTTTCATTCAACAGGTATTTGTTGAGAGCTTATTATGTAGCAGGTCCCATTCAAGGCACTGGAATACAGCAATGAACTTTTATAAAAGCCAGGGAATCGGCCAGGCACGGTGGCTCACGCCTGTAATCCCAGCACTCTGGGAGGCCAAGACGGGCAGATCACGAGGTTAGGAGATCGAGACCATTCTGGCTAACATGGTGAAACCCCGTCTCTACTAAAAATACAAAAAATTAGCCGGGCATGGTGGTGCGTGCCTGTAGTCCCAGCTACTCAGGAGGCTGAGGCAGGAGAATTGCTTGAACCCAGGACGCCGAGGTTGCAGTGAGCCAAGATTGCACCACTGCACTCCAGCCTGGGCGACACAGCAAGAATCAGTCTCCAAAAAAAAAAAAAAAAAAAAAAGCCAGGGAATCCCATTACTGGGTATATACCCAAAAGATTCTAAATCATTCTACTATAAAGACACATGCCACATGCACATGTATGTTTACTGCAGCTACATTTACAATAGCAAAGACTTGGAACCAACCCAAATGCCCATCAATGATAGACTGGATAAAGAAAATGTGGCACATATACACCATGGAATACTATGCAGCCATAAAAAAGAATGAGTTTATGTCCTTTGCAGGGACATGGATGAAGCTGGAAAACATCATTCTCAACAAACTAACACAGGAACAGAAAACCAAACACTGCATGTTCTCACTCATAAGTGGGAGTTGAACAATGAGAACACATGGACACAGGGAAGGGAACATCACACACTGGGGCCTGTCGGAGGGCTGGGGGCAAGAGGAGGGAGAGCAGTAGGACAAATATCTAATCCATGTGGGGCTTAAAACCTAGATGATGGGTTGATAGGTGCAGCAAACCACCATGGCACATGTATACCTATGTAAGAAACCTGCATGTTCTGCAAATGTATCCCAGAACTTAAAAGAAAATTTAAAAAAAGCCAGGGAATCAATAGATTTGTGACAGTGGAGGTAGAGAGAGACAAATAAGTAAAATGTCAGGTGATAATAAATGCTGTGAAGTAAGCAGTGGGTAAGAGGCTAAAAAATGACAAGGTGCACTGCTGTTTTAGGTAAGGAGGTGGTCAAGATGATATTCGAGCAGAGACTTAAATAAAAAATAAAACAAACACACTAACCGCCCTCTCCAGAAGAGAGGGGAGGCAGAACGCTTCTTCCTCCATGGAAGGACATCTATTCAATCCATTCTGGAGCCTGGGTAGGCATTAGTCAGGTGAAAGGAGGTTAGGAGGGAAAAGAAAGGATGTTTCAGGCAGGGGGAGCAGCATGTGCAAAGGCCTGGTCAGAGGGACAGAACAACTTCAATCCTATTGTATGGGGAAACAGTGGAGAGGGCTTCAGTACAGATGGGGAGAGGTACAGATTTGGAAGGGTTTTCTATGGCTTGCTAAGGAATCTAGCTTTATTCTGAGGCTAAGAGAGAGCCAGAGTTTGCATTTCTAGAAAGATTCCTCCAACTACAATATGGAGAATGGATTGGAAGAGGGGTGAAACTTAGAAAAAGGGAGACAGATGTCACTTTGGTATTCCAGGCAAGTAACAAGGGTGGTCTGATCTGAGCTAATGAGAATAAAGAGAATATAGATACCATGGGGGCTATTTGTCTAGTTTATTTTTTAGTACAATGGTAAATTTACTCCATGAAGATATTCAAATTATAAGAACAATGAGAAATGTTTTGATATGTGAAAATCCCTTGCATTCATAAAGAATGTTTTTTCTTTGAAGTTCTTGATTCTTCTGACAGGTCCTTGTCTCTAAAAAATTGCAAGGCTTTGAGTCACCCAGCAGGGTCAAAAAAGGTCTATTTACATGGCTATTGCCTTTCATACCATCTGCCTTTGCCCAAACTTTTCTCAAAATAGGTTTTTTCCACCATCTCAATTTTGTCTTAAGTTACACTTGTGAATCCTCAGATTTGGATATCAAATCTCCCTTAATCTATCTACCGGCTGCCAGCCAATCATCCTGGACAAGCCAGGGAAGCTTACAGGCAATTCTTCCTTATGTCATTTTGTTATCACACATGTCTATATCATTTCCTGCCAGGCATCAAACTTACAGCATTAGGGAGGAACAGCTGCAGAGAATGCTTTTACACAAAGGACTTCCTTCCTTATCCCCCATTCAACGGATATGACAATATACTAATGGGCTCTAGTCAAATGAACAATAATGCAGATAAGTTCTGAAACTACCATTTTAAACCAATAATAGACAAAGAAAGTTCAGTTTCCTGAACACAGTAACAAGGAAAAGATGAATGGGAAATCTGAAGCCAGCTTCGATCAAAAGAAGACAAGTGAATTTTACAAATTCATCTGTATTACATTACAATAGGATGTTAGTGAAAAACTGGCAAGCAGGTAATATTAAATTTCTTTGACTCTCAGCTAAATTAAGTAATCCATTATTAAAAAATATCTATGAGAAGGCAGTTTTCAGGAACTTGAATTTCCCTAGTTCTAAAATCAGTAGTTGTGTAAAACATGGCTGCTGGAGAATGAAAAGATAATTTACGTTAAAGATGAACCACAGGCTATCCCTAGGAAATAACTGGTGGAGTAAGTCCAGAGAATAAGATTTGATCCAATATATATCTTAACCACAGAAAAGCTGTCATATTTTAATAGGTGACTAACTTTGCTTCTTACCTCTCTTCTATAAATGCAATTGTAACACTTAAAAAGATGTTAGAACCCACAGCTAGTAAGTCACTGAATGGGGAAAAACAGAAAACCCTTCCTCTAAGATCTGGAACATGACAAGGATGCCCACTTTTACCACTGTTATTCAAAATAGTGCTAGAAGTCCTAGACAGGGCAATCAGACAAGAAAAGAAACAAAGAGCATCCCAATTGGAAAGGAAGAAGTCAAATTATCCTTGTTTGCAGGCCAGGCGCGATCGCTCACACCTGTAATCCCAGCACTTTGGGAGGTCAAGGTGGGCAGATCACAAGAGGCCAGGAGTTCGAGACAAGCCTGGCCAACATGGCGAAACCCCTTCTCTACTAAAAATACAAAAATTAGCTGGGCGTGGTCTCAAACTTCTGGCCTCATGATACACCCACCCCAGCCTCCCAAAGTGCTGGGATTACAGGAATGAGCCACTGTGCCCATGCAGATGATATGATCTCACATTTGAAAAAAACCTAAAGACTCCACCAAAAAACTATTAGAACTGATAAACAAATTCAGTAAAATTGTGGGATACATAATCGGCATACAAAAATCAGTAGCATTTCTATATGCCAACAGCAAACAATCTGAAAACGAAATTTAAGAAGTAATACCATTTACAGTAGTCACACATAAAATTAAATACCTCGGAATTAACCAAAGAAGTGAACAACCTCTATAATAAAAACTATAACACACAGGTGAAAGAAATTGAAGACGACACCAAAAAAGGAAAACATATTCCATGTTCATGGATTGAAAGAATATTGTGAAAATGTCTATACTACACAAAACAATCTAAAGATTCAATGCAATCCCTATCAAAAAACCAATGACATTCTTCACAGAAATAGAAAAAATAATCCTAAAATTTACATGGAACCACAACATACCCAGAATAGCCAAAATCATCCTAAGCAAAAGGAACAAAACCGGAGGAATCACATTGTCTGACTTCAAATTATATTACCGAGCTATAGTAACCAAAACAGCATGGTAATGTCATAAAAAGAGACACATAGACCAATGGGATATAACACAGAATCCAGGAATAAATCCATACATCTACAGTGAACTCATTTTTGACAAAAGTGTCAAGAACATCCATTGGGGAAAGGAGAGTCTCTTCAATAAATGATGTCAGAAATACTGATGTCCATATGCAGAAGAGTGAAACTAGCCTCCATCTCTCGCCATATACAAAGTCAAATCAAAATGGATTAAATACTTAAACCTAAGACCTCAAACTATGAAACCACTACAAGAAAACACTGGGGAAACTCCAGGACATTGAACTGGGCAAATATTTCTTGAGTAATACCCCACAAACACAGGTAACCTAAGCAAAAATGGACAAACAGGATCACATCAAGTTAAAAAGCCTCTGCACAGCAAAGGAAACAACAAAGAGACCACCCACAGAATGGGAAAAAATATCTATAAACTACCCATCTGACAAGGGATTGATAACCAGATTAATATAAGAAGCTCAAACAACTCTATAGGAAATAAAATCTAATAATCTGATTTAAAAATGGGCAAAGGGTCTGAATAGACATTTCTCAAAAGATGACATTGAAATGGCAAACAGTTACATGAAAAGGTGCTCAACATCACTGATCATCAGAGAAATGCAAACCAAAACTACAATGAGATATCATCTTATCCCAGTTAAAACGGCTTTAATCCAGAAGATAGGAAATAATAAATGCTGGTGAGGATGTGGAGAAAAGGGAACCCTCATATGCTGTTGGTAGGTGTGTAAACTAGTACAACCACTATGGAGAACAGTTTGGAAGTTCCTCCAAAAACTAAATAGAACTACCATACGATCCAGCAATCTCGTTGCTGGGCATATACCCAAAGAAAGGAAATCAGTATAAAAAGAGATATCTGTACTTCCATGTTCTTTGCAGCTCTACTCACAATAGCCAAGATTTGCAAGTAACCTGTGTCCATCAACAGGTGAATGGATAAAGAAAATGTGGTACATTCATACAATGGGGTACTATTCAGCTATAAAAAGAATGAGGTCCTGTCTTTTGCAACAACATGGATGGACTGGAGGTCATTATGTTAAGTGAAATAAGCCAGGCACAGAAAGACAAACTTCACATATTCTCACTTATTTGTGGGAGCTAAAAATGAAAACAATTGAACTTATGGAGCTAGGGAGTAGAATGATGGTTACCAGAGACTGGCAAGGCTAGTAGTTGTGGAGAGGAAGTGGGGATGGCTAATGGGTACAAAAATATAGTTAGACAGAATAAATAAGATATAGTATTTGATAGCACAGCAGGGTGACTAAAGTCAACAACAATAAATTACTGTAAGTTTAAAATAAGTAAAAGAGGCCAGGCATGGTGGCTCACACCTGTAAACCCAGCACTTCGGGAGAGGCTGAGATGGGCAAATGGCTTGAGCTCAGGAGTTCGAAACCAGGCTGGGCAACATGGTGAAAGCCCATCTCTACTAAAAATACAAAAAATTAGTTGAGTGTGGTTGCACGTGCCTGTGGTCCCTGCTACTTGGGAGGCTGAGGCGGGAGGACTGCTTGAACCCAGGAGGTTGAAGCTGCAGTGAGCTCTGCTCACTCCAGCCTGGGTGACAAAGTGGGACTCTGTCTAAATATATATATATATAATTTTATATACATATAATTATATATATATATAATTTGTTTGTAACACAAAGGAAGGAAAAATGCTGGAGGTGACAGATACTCCATTTACCCTGATGTGATTTGACTTTTTCTTTTTTTTTTTTTTGGAGACAAGGTCTTACTCTGTCACCCAGGCTGGAGCAGAATGGCATGATCACCACTCACTGTAGCCTTGACCTCCAGGGCTCAGGTAATCATCTCACTTCAGCCTTCCAAGTAATTGGGACTACAGATGTGTGCCACCACACTCGGCTAATTTTTTTGGTAATTTTTGTAGAGATAGTGTTTCACCATGTTGCCCAGGCTGGTCTCGAACTCCTGGGCTCAAGCGATCTGCCTGCCTCGGCCTCCCAAAGTGCTGGGATTACAGGCATGAGCCACTGCACCCAGCCTAATGTGATTATTACACATTGCATGCCTGTATCAAAATATCTCTTGTACCCCATAAATATATATACCTACTATGTACCCACACAAGTTGTTTTTAAAATTTTAAAAAGATATGAAAATAAAATATGATGAAAAATATGATAAGGTGACTGTTACCTTCAGAATACAGCTATTTGAGAAGGGGCTCATCACTGGAAGTTCAAAATATCTCTAAATCAAACCTTTCCATAAATGGACTTACAGTTCTCAGATCATGTTTTCATTGACTTGATAGAGGCAGTACACAGTAGGTACACATTTGGCTAAGACTCAACTGACCAGGATTTTCTAATCACACTTCACTTATGTCTGGGTGCCTCTGAGTCAGTTTTAGCATTTTAGGCAGTTTCTCCATTCACATGAGATAAGGGTAGTATCTCAACATTTAAAGGCAGATAGGAAAAACATGGAATAGACAGGTGACCTGGAGTTCTTGCTCTGTCACTAATGAATTATATAATATGTGGTGAGATAATCCAGATTTCATTTCCTCATATTAACATTATAAATTCTTAAAGTTCATGATTTTAGGAGATTATCACTGGGGACCTTAAAAGCACTCTATTAAAGATGAGATCACCATATTTCTATAGTATTAAATAAGCAAAAATACCAACTAGGTTTTTCATAGCAGAAGTATTTTTTATTTATTTATTTATTTATTTATTTATTTATTTATTTATTTATTTATTTATTTTGAGATGGAGTCTCACTCTGTCGTCCAGGCTGGAGTGCAGTGGCACGATCTCGGCTCACTACAACCTCCGCCTCCCAGGTTCAAGCGATTCTCGTGCCTCAGCCTCCTGAGTAGCTGGGATTACAGGCATGCGCCGCTACACCCGGCTAATCTGTGCATTTTTAGTAGAGATGGGGTTTCACCATGTTGGCCAGGATGGTCTCGAATTCCTGGCCTCAACTGATCTGTCCACCTGGGCCTCCCAAAGTGCTGAGATTACAGAAGAAGTAATTCTTAAAGAATGCCTCTAAAGGTTATGTCACAATGGGCTGGGCTTCTCTGCAAATGTGACTGTTCAGACCCTATAGGGTACTAAACCCTATTTAGTAATGAAATGATTAATTTGTTCATTCATTGGATCCTTGCTTCCACTGGAAATTTTTTCTGCAGATAGAATCCTGTCCCTCCAACCCCCTCACCCCACAACCCCAGTGCTGGTCAATTAAAAAAGAAAGGGATGGAGGGAGAATTTCTCCCACCAAAATTCTTGTAACAGAGAGCCTGCTTGGGTGATTTTACGCTCACAAAAGAGGGTAAAAGACAGCTGCCTGAGCTAAAGCGTGGTGAAGTGATATCTCCTGCATTGGTTATATTACTGATTCACTTAGTCCCCTAGAAAAGTCATTTTACCTCTCTGCATCTGAGTTTCTTCATTTGTAAAACTAAATTAATGATATCTACCTTGTCTCACATACTTGGGGATAAAATATTTTCTTTCTTCTTAGTAGGCAAAAGTTTGCAGAAGCATTCTAAAAAGTAGCAAGCACCAGGAGTATATAAATGCAAATTATTATTCTAAAGAACATAAGGTACATGAAAAGCTTAGGCTTTACCTTTCACATTTGGAATAAATGTTGAATTCTGGACAATGAAATAGAAACAGAAGCCACCCTCCAGGCATGTTTTCATGTGGAATTAACTTCTGGCTTCTTTCTGAAATAATTTGCTTTGGCTTTTAAAACAATTTTTTGGTCTAGTGCAAAAAAATTTTACCTAAGGAAACTGAGCAGCTGGAAAGAGCATTTCAGCCTATAAGCAGAACAAAAAGTGTTCCTATTTCGTTAAATATAATTCTAACAGTAGAAATGGAGACCAGCTAAGGTCATTTTACTGTCTCTCTCTATATCAGCCAAGTTCACACCTCGCTATATTTAGGCAAGGTATGCACACCCATTAAAGATAGAAGGAGGCTTCGGCTCATAGCAGTGAGGTCATTACCTCAGCTGAGGGGAAAAGACACTAACAGAAAAACTGTATTGGTGTGTTCCTTGGAAACCAACAGAACAACCAATGATCAATTTTATTTCATCCGGAATAGATAAATGTATAATCTCGAATACGCACTGAGCAATCTCTACCACACATAACTCTGGTACAGTCATGCCTAAAGCAAAGCAGCAAATATCTTTCAGGTAACTCACTTTCCAGGACTGCCTGCCATGCCTTAGCCAGAGACAAGAGCTACCCAGGTCAACAGGGTAAAATGTTCAGCAGTTTAGTCTCCTGGGAAATGGAAAAAAAACAGGTTTTCAACCTGGGAATCATCATTGTATCAATTAACACCAGGGTCTAGCTGGGAAGAGTCTTCCAGCAGTCTTTTAGTTGACAGCTTCCTGGATCCAGCATCCAGCAAAGGAAGAACCAAATGGGGACAGAGCTCACTCACAGATTTAGCAAAAACAAGCAAACAAATAAAAAACAAAACAAAAGCAAATCTTGCGGTACACAGATTTTCTAATAAAGATTGTGTTGAAGTGAGTCAGGCACAATAGGTGCCCTCAAAAGGAAGCTAAGAAAACCCCACTAACAACCAGATGTTTTTGGAACCTCCTCAACTGTCAGGGGAAACCAATTAAACATATTGAAAGAATGCAGTAAACATACTTCTGAAACATAAGTATAACAAATAGAAATGTTTATCTTCAAAGAAACTGCATGTTGCAATTATGAAATTTCTTCTGCAGGAAAGTTAAACATATTCGATGTTTCCCCAAAGGTTTTCTAATGTCACTAAAGAGGATTATGAAATCTGCTGTACTTTTTTTTTCAAATCAGCAGTTAGTGCTATAAAGGTAATATTTTGAATGTTTTACTTTCTTCTTCATATTTAAACAATAGTTACCAAACAGAAACTTAACATAGTTCATATGCATTTATGTATTCATTTTCCAATATTTACTTCTAAACCAAAAGTTGTATAAATAGTTCATAGCTCAATACTTTAAAAAGGGTCAATTTTGAAAAATCTCATCTTGTTTCTTCTGTATTAAAAACACTATTTAATGAAAAATGTCTATCTAAATATTCTCATTTAACACTAAAAAGCTGAAATAATCCCCTTGGAGGAAAAATTTCTAAGATACATAAGTTTCTCCTTTACAGGGTGTTTAATTTCTTTCTTTTTTTTTTTTTTTTTTGAGATGGAGTCTCACTCTGTCGCCCAGGCTAGAATGCAGTGGTGCGATCTTGGCTCATTGCCTCACTGCTACCTCCACCTCCTGGGTTCAAGCGATTCTCCTGCCTCAGCTTCCCAAGCAGCTGGGACTACAGGCGCCCGCCACCATGCCTGGCTAATTTTTGTATTAGTCGGAGATGGTGATGGGGTTTCACCATATTGGCCAGGCTGGTCTCGAACTCCTGAACTTGTGATTCACCCACCTCGGCCTCCCAAAGTGCTGGGATTATAGGCATGAGCCACCGCATCTGGCCTAATTTCTAAGTGAGAGAAAATGGTCTGAGTTTTCTGAAGGCTTTCAAGACATAGAAAGGCTTTCTATGCCTTGAGAAAGCCCAGAAATTGCCAGCGCAAATAAGCAAATGGCAAGTTGGCAAAAATGGCACATAAAATGTGGTTGCTCACACTTCCAAAAATTCATAACTATGCGTGGTAGGCTGCAGAAATCAGCCTTAGTAGCAAAGAATGGCTTAATGGGTTGAATTCTTGGCCCTCAGTGCACAAACAGTTAAACAGCACATTCACTTCACTAAATATCCAAGCCTAGGGCAGTGGTCTTCATCCCTAAACCTCCTAACATCTCTTTATAATTAATTCAATAGGTACCCATACTAAAAGCAGTTAGAAACTCTCCTATTGCCTCTCGAACTTTTTCTTGAAAGTAACAACCTTAAATCATTTTTGCCTCCCTGGAATAGTTCAAGCACTAGCAATATTTTACCCTAACATTGCTTCATTTTATTACCACATAGGTTGTGCTGAGAAACACAAATATTCAGGCTTTATTGTAATATTCCAAGTTTTCTTTAAACAAATACCATTCTTGGAATATCTACTCTAAGATTATTAAGAAGGAGAGGGTATTCAAAGGGCTGCATAATCCTTCTCAATAGAGAGAAAAACATTAGCTCACATTCTTTCAGCTTGGGGAAATCATGAGTGATTGTTTAAAAATGGATAAATAAATCTCAGTGGTTAAGTTCAAAGAGCTTAAAAAGAGTTTACTTGGGTTTCTAAATCAAATACCTAAAGCACTCTATTCAAGGTTCAAAATTGGGGGTGGGGGAGATGTTGGGGTAAGGTCGTTAGATTCCTTTGAGAATCAGATGAAAGCTATGGCCTTTTCCTCCAGAAAAAATTAATGTTCTACTCATATATAGGCCCACATTTGCATATTATTTCAGTGTATTCATGAATTTCCTGGTCCAAAGCTCTGGACTAAAGGAACCTGATAAACACCCTAAAGAAATTATGGGTAGGTAAGAATTCATAGCCTCCCCACTACTACCCCTCACTTTTTAATAGATAACAGCTCACCTTTAACAAGAGGCAAACGCTCAGTGATTTTTGCTTGGCTTTAATTTTGAAACCAGAGGAAACACAATGAATGGGAGTTGCACAGGTTCTTCTGTTAATACTGTGGACTCTCATTTTAAAGCATACTACAGGGCCAGGTGCAGTGGCTCATGCCTGTGATCCCAGAACTTTGGGAGGCTGAGGCAGGCACATCACAGGAGGTCAGAAGTTTGAGACCAGCCTGCCCAACATGGTGAAACCCCATCTCTACTAAAAATACAAAAATTAGCTGGGCATGGTGGTGCATGCCAGTAATCCCGCTACTTAGGAGGCTTGAGACAGGAGAATCACTTGAACCTGGGAGGTGGAGGTTGCAGTGAGTCGAGATCGCGTCACTGCACTCCAGCCTGGACGACAGAGCAAGATTCTGTCTCAAAAAAAAAAAAAAAAAAAGTAAGTAAAGAAAATAAAGCACACATCAGGTAAATCCTATTAAGACCCTCTACCTGTCCCATCATGCTGTCTCCTTCACTCCCCATTTCTGAAAAATACCTCTACAATAAACATTTCTAGCTTGTAATCCCAGCACTTTGGGAGGCTGAGGCGGGCAGATCACTTGAGCTCAGAAGTTCGAGACCAGCTTGGACAACGTGGAGAAACCCCATCTCTACCAAAAATACAAAAATTAGCTGGGTGTGGTGGTGCGTGCTTGTAATCCTAGCTACCTGTGAGGCTGAGGCACAAGAATCACTTGAACCCAGGAGGCGGAGGTTGCAGTGAGCCGAGATTGCGCCACTGCAGTCCAGCCTGGACGACAGAGTGACACTATCTAAAACAAAACAAAACAAAAAAATTCTATATTACAAAGATTCCCAAGCATTAAGTGAGAGTTGACTTACTAAAGCCCTACAGTACTAGACGTAACAGGATTTCAGTATAATAAAGGATTTTGGATAAGATTTTGAAATTCATTAACATTAAATCTGCCAGCAAAAGAGGTTTTACACTTCTCTAAACCTGTTGGACACTCTAGAAATGTCAACAGCTACCCAGAGCATGCCATTTGATGACAGTACTTATTTTCCAGCAGTGTGAGAAATCTAAGATCTTATGCAGAAAGTGATTCAGCATCCAAGGAAATGATTAGATTTAGGGCTTTACTGATCTTGATTTTATAATCCATGCTACATGGGAAAAAAGATTAAACATAAGGTATAACAGTTACTATAAAGGCTAATTTTTCGGTTGGGCGCGGTGGCTCACGCCTATAATCCCAACACTTTGGGAGGCCAAGGCGGGTGGATCACAAGGTCAGGAGATCGAGACCATCCTGGCTAACATGGTGAAACCCTGTCTCTACTAAAAATATGAAAAATTAGCCAGGCACGGTGGCACGTGCCTACAGTCCCAGCTACTCAGGAGGCTGAGGCAGGAGACTTGCTTTAACCCGGGAGGCGGAGGTTGCAGTGAGCCAAGATCGCGCCACTGTACTCCAGCCTGGGTGACAGAGCAAGACTCTGTCTCAAAAAAAAAAAAAAAAAAAAAAAAAAAAATGGGCCGGGCATGGTGGCTCACGCCTGTAATCTCAGCACTTTGGGAGGTCGAGGCAGGCAGATCACAAGGTCAGGAGATCGAGACCATCCTGGCTAACACGGTGAAACCCTGTCTCTACTAAAAATACAAAAAATTAGCTGGGCATGGGGGTGGGCGCCTGTAGTCCCAGCTACTCGGGAGGCTGAGGCAGAAAAATGGCGTGAACCCAGGAGGCGGAGCTTGCAGTGAGCCAAGATCGCACCACTGCACTCCAGCCTGGGCGACAGAGCAAGACTCTGTCTCAAAAAAAAAAAAAAAAAAAAAAAAAAAGGCTAATTTTTGTAACAGTTAACAATCCTCATCTATTTTCATTACATCTATAAATGCAGTGGCCTTATATTATTTAGATTATCTGTTATATATACCTAAAAATCAACTTACACATTTACATAAAATGTCTACACTTCCGTTTGTGGTTCAAGTAACAGCTTAACAGTCTTCTGACCATTTTCTCTAAAATAGTCTCTCCCTCCCAGCTTTCCTTCTGTCCTCCATTATTTTTTCTTTAGAGCTATATCAGCTAATTATTTATTTATAATAATTTATTTACAGTCTGGAATGTAAGATCTAGAGCTGTGACTTGGTCTTTTTTTGTCCACTAATGCATTCCTAGTGCCTAGAACACGGTAGGTGACCAATAAATAAATGAATATTTACTAAGTAGGGATATGAAATTAACTACAGACAAATAAGGCACAGTACAAAAGCATGGGATATAAAGTTAGAAGACCTGAATTTCAGTCACTGCCCTTTCGTCTTCAACAAGTCATTTAATCTCTTTGAACCTCAATCTTGTTCCTTTAAAATGATGCTGAAATACAACAACACAGGGTTATTCCAAGGGTTACTGCAAATAACAGAAGTGAAAATTTGTAATATTACTATAACCCAGCAATTATTCTCAGAACACTAGCAAAAATTCCATAAAGTAGACTGATCTTGAGAAAGCAAGATATTCTGCTAACTTACCTTTGATCTTACAGAACAGTAAAGGCAGAAAGAAGTAGTGAGAAAAGTCACAGGCTTGAACTTCACTTACCAGCTGGCTGACCTTGAGAAAGTCTCTTATTTATTTATTTATTTATTTATATTATACTTTAAGTTCTAGGGTACATGCGCACAACGTGCAGGTTACATATGTATACATGTGCCATGTTGGTGTGCTGCACCCATTAACTTGTCATTTACATTAGGTATATCTCCTAATGCTATCCCTCCACCCTCCCGTGACCCCACAAGGGGCCCGGGTGTGTGATGTTCCCCACCCTGTGTCCAAGTGTTCTCATTGTTCAATTCTCACCTATAAGGGAGAACATGCAGTGTTTGGTTTTCTGTCCTTGTGATAGTTTGCTCAGAATGATGGTTTCCAGCTTCATCCATGTCCCTAAAAAGGACATGAACTCATTCTTTTTTATGGCTGCATAGTATTCCATGGTGTATATGTGCCACATTTTCTTAATCCAGTCTATCATTGATGGACATTTGGGTTGGTTCCAAGTCTTTGCTATTGTGAATAGTGCCGCAATAAACATACGTGTGCATGTGTCTTTACAGCAACATGATTTATAATCCTTTGGGTATATACCCAGTAATGGGATGGCTGGGTCAAATGGTATTTCTAGTTCTAGATCCTTGAGACCTTGAGAAAGTCTCCTAACTTCTCTGAGGCTTAATTTTCTTTTTTTTTCTTTTTTATTTTATTTTATTTTTTTTTTTGAGACGGAGTCTCGCTCTGTTGCCTAGGCTGGAGTGCAGTGCTGCAATCTTGGCTCACTGCAAGCTGCGGCTTCCGGGTTCACACCATTCTCCTGTCTCAGCCTCCCAAGTAGCTGGGACTACAGGTGCCCGCCACCATGCCCGGCTAATTTTTTTGTATTTTTAGTAGAGACGGGGTTTCACTGTGTTAGCCAGGATGGTCTCAATCTACTGACCTTGTGATCCGCCCGCCCCGGCCTCCCAAAGTGCTGGGATTACAGGCGTGAGCCACCACGCCCGGCCTCTGCGGCTTAATTTTCTTATCTGTAAGATGAGAGGAAAAAATACTAACTGCCTCAAAAGCATAATTGTTTGAATCAAATGTTATATGAATTGTGAAAACACTTTTAAAACTATAATGTGGTATACATATATTTAATTAAATAATCACTTTCCTAAAAACAAAACTCTAATCTTGATTGCTGCACCAGCCAAACAGAAGGAAACACTATCGCAGAAGTTCTCACATGGACTAAGAAAATAAGTATACATACTCCCAATTCTTACTGCAGGTTCTCCAACTTTGGTAAGAGGATAGACTACAACAAGAAAAATTTTATAGGAAGATAAAAAATAGAGAAAACAGGGGTTCAGAAACGACATAAATAAGTAGCAGAGTTCGAACCGAATCCACTATCTATTTAACTTCACATCCTAGTCAGGGGTGGACTTGTGACCTGTGCAGGGTTTGGTGCTTGAAGGGTCCCAGAATTGGTGTAATGCTCTGCTGTCTTGAAATTCTTGTTTCTCAACAACAGCCCCTGCCTTTTCACTTTGCACCAGGCCCTGAAAATTACATGGCTGTCCTGCTCACAACCTTTTACTAGACTAGAGGATAAGGACAATAGCTTAGCTTAGTCTCTCAATGATTCTATATATAAGGATCACTGCTAACTTAAAGGATATTCCCCAAAAAGAAAACTTTGAATCAGGCTGAAGATTACGTATTTGTAGTATCTGAATTCTGAAGTTAGCCAAATACTTAGTAAAAGCCAATTTAATTAAAAAGTGTTAGCCCTAATAATAAATGCAAATATGACTTGCCTTTCTTTCCTAATGCTCCATCAGATCCTAATAGGGCAAAAGGTGATGTTAGTATATGAAATACCTGAATCTAATCTAATTGACTTCCCATTAAAAAACCCAACAAAAGGCCCTAGTGATTGTAGTTTACCTTTGGTTTTTTTATTTGATATCTGCGTTCTCACAGTAAGCAAAGCAACACTCACACAGAAATCATTTCTGGAGAGAAATCTCCAATACATCACAATTTAATTAAATTGCATCCTTTAAAAAAGTTTTCTTTTCTGCTCCTGCTGACTGCAGAAACAGCTAGTGATTTTTCTCTGAGTGGAGCTGAAAGGCCAAAGCTGATGAACTGAACATCTCTCTGGCTGCAATTCAGTTTTTGATGCCTCCATGTCAAAACAACTGCTTTCTCCTTAAAGCTGGATTGACCTCGCAGTATCTGTTTTGACCTCTGAACTCCTTATCAGTCACCTTTGGTCTCTGACAGTAGGTGGACAGGCCAACCACAGAGGTCCACTCTCCAGTGAACAAAGGCTTGCTATGTAAAACAGATGAGCTGCGGGCAGAGATCCGATCTGAAGAGAAGGTGCTGAACTCATCCTCTGTTCCAGCACCATGTCCAGAACTGCTGCCACTACAAAGTGAAACTTCACCCAAAAGCACTTTCCCTGTCTGTGATTTAAACACACCTTCATTAAGGAAGCATCGCAGTCTCAAAGAGAGGCAGGCAACCAACACTACAGAAACCAGCAGTAATAGACAAGAAACCTCCTTCCTGTCTATTCTTTTTCTTTTATTTTATTACCCTCTTTTTTTTTTTTCAGTAAATTTGCCATAGGTGCCTATGGATACTGTTTAGATCTGCTGGTGACATTTAAAGAAAGAGCCTTTGAGAAACATGCATACTTTTCTCTTTTCTCCTATATTCAATACTCATATAGCCTAAAAGATGGAAACTGGTTCAAGAATTTAAATGACTTGTTCCCTAAAAAGTTAATCTCCTCACCTTTGTGAAATATATCAAGTGCTTTCTATAAATAAGGGCAGGAAATGCTAACTTCATAAGCATAGTCCTAGTCATTAAAATAATTTGATCATCTTCTAAAATTTAAGTATGATAGTAACACAGTAATATGGAAAATCTCAATATACTTAACACTTCCTAAACAGCACAATGAAATGTTGTTCAAGGTCTGAATTAATTTGCTACAGGACCTAAGCAAGTCTGTTTGCTTATCTTTTGGCTTTAAAATTCTTTAAGTCTAAAATGGTGATAATTTTAGAATAAACTGACAATGTGGGGAACAAACTTAAATTCACAAACACTACCCATATGCTCAAAAACTCTCTGGGATAATTAGTTTCTTCATTGTAACTATTGATGTACTATTATTTCATCTTTCCATTAGTTCTACTCAAATAGCTCACAAACTAGAGCATGTTTCACCAGTACTTAGGTATGAAACAGGGTCTTGATAACAAAGACAAGTAAGAATCAATTTTTCTGGGTCTTCAAGTAGCTCAGGTGAACTGAAAGAATCATATTTTTAAAAACTTTTATTTATAATTTCAGAAGCATTAGAAATATGAATTACTACAACTGTTGATGGGAGTGTAGACTGGTCCAACTGGTGAGCAAACCAGCAATCTGTATCAAAAGCCCTAGAAATATGTATGTCCTTTGTCCTAGCAATCCCAGAATTGACCCTTAGGATATGTCTTTTAGGGACATGGGCAAAGATTGAAGCATAAGGATGTTCATTAGGTGAGGTTTTGTTTATAACTGCAAAAAACTGGACATAATCAAAATGTTCAACAATCGGATTGAATATGAATCAGTCTTATGGAAAACAAACAACCAGTTAAAAGGATATGAAAGAAATGCATTTGGGGACAATGGCAGGATGTTCTCAATATGCTGAAATGAAAATAATGAGGCTGCAAAGCAATAGACACGAAACAATCCCCCTCCTTTTTTTTTTTTTTTTTTTTTGAGACATTGTTTTGTTCTTCTTGCCCAGGCTGGAGTGCAGTGGCGCGATCTCAGCTCGTTGCAACCTCCGCCTGCCAGTTTCAAGCTATTCTCCTGCCTCAGCCTGTGAGTAGCAGGGTTTTGCAGGCGTCTGCCACCATGCCCAGCTAATTTTTCTATTTTTGGTAGAGACGGGGTTTCACCATGTTGGCCAGGCTGGTGTTGAATTCCTGACCTCGTGATCTGCCCGTCTAAGCTTCCCAAAGTGCTTGGGATTACAGGAGTGAGCCACCATACCCAGCCAGCAATCTCATTTTTTTTTCTTTTTTTTTTTTTTTTTTTTGATGGAGTCTTGCTCTGTTGACCAGGCTGGAGTGCAGTGGTGCAATCTTGGCTCACTGCAACTTCCGCCTCCCGGGTTCAAACAATTCTTCTGCCTCAGGCTTCCAAATAGCTGGGATTACAAGCGTGTGCCACCATGTCCGATTAATTTTTTGTATTTTTAGTAGAGACAGGGTTTTCACCGTGTTCAACAAGATGGTCTCGATTTCCTGACCTTGTGATCCACCTGCCTTGGCCTCCCAAAGTGCTGGGATTACAGGTGTGAGCCACTGGCCCGGTTGCTTCACTGATAAGACTAGTTCGGTTAAAAACAAACAAAAAACCAAACAAACAAAAAAAAAATCACTCACCCAGGGCAAGTTCTTCTTTTTTTTTTTTTTTTTGAGACAGGTTCTTGCTCTGTCACTCAGGCTGGAGTGCAGTGGCACAATCACAGCTCACTGAATCCTTGACCTCCTGGGCTCAAACAATCCTCCTGGGTCAGCCTCCTGGGTAGTTAGGACGAGAGGTATGTGCCACCACACCCAGTTTTTTTTTTTTTTTTTTTCTTTTCAATTTTTTGTGGAGGTGAGGTCTCACTATGTTGCCCAGGCTGGTCTTGAACTCTTGGGCCCAAGCAGTTCTCCCGCCTTAGTCTTCCAAAGTGCTGGTATTACAGACATGAGCCACTGTGCCTGGTTAGTTCATTTTTTGTTTTTTGAGATGGAGTCCCACTCTGTCACCCAGGCTGGAGTGCAGTGCCATGATCTCAGCTCACTGCAACCTCCGCCTCCCGGGTTCAAGCAATTCTCCTGCCTCAGCCTCCCGAGAAGCTAGGATTACAGACCTGCCCACCATGCCCAGCTAATTTTTGTATTTTTTAGTAGAGACGGGGTTTCACCATGTTGGCCAGGCTGGTCTTGAATTCCGGACCTCAAGTGATCCGCCGACCTCAGCCTCCCAAAGTTCTGGGATTACAGGCGTGAGCCCCTGTGCCCAGCCTTCTTTTGATTTTTTGAGACACAGTCTCACTCTGTCGTCCAGGCTGGAGTTCAGTAGCGTGATATCAGCTCACTGCAACCTCCACCTCCCGGGTTCAAGGGACTCTCATGCGTCAGCCTCTTGAGTAGCTGGGATTACAGGCATGTCCCACCACGCTGAACTAATTTTTGTATTTTTAGTAGAGGTGAGGTTTTACTATGTTGGCCAAGATGGTCTTGAACTCCTGGCCTCAAGCAATCCAAAAGTGCTGGGATTACAGGCGTGACCACCATGCATAGCACAGAAGTTCATTTTTAAGCTGAGTTCATTATCAACTTTACTGTATATAATGGTAGAGAGTTCTTTTTTTAAATGCCTAGGGGATTCTCCATTTGGAAATTTCTCCTGAAGTTATTTATAAGATTGCCATAAAGAAGAGCACTGACATTCAATATTTATTTGTTGATTTTGATTCTAATTGAGGAAGAGGCTAGATTTGTTTTTTTTTTAAGCATAACGAACTTTTTCATTATGACACTATCATTTTCTGACAAATGGGGCATATGGCCTTCCTGAGAATTTCTCCAAGCATCTAAAGTAGCAACAAAACAAGAAGAGAAAATTCCAGTAGCATGGGCATAGTAGACTACGATAACTGGGACTGACTATGGGAGAGCCACAGGGGTGAATAAGCCCCGGCACACTAATAACCAGGATTAAAGCGTGTTCTTAACAAATGTACTCAAGCACTTCCAAGGGGAAACAATAAAAAAAGTATGATTAAAGCAATAGTTTTTCATCTTTACATTAGAGATAACTAGCTAGTCTACTACATTATTCACTTTTAATTTTGAAAAAAATTATACTGGGTTTAAATTCATTTGGTTAGAATCACTAAATGTTATGAAATATGCAGTTTCTCTTACCTAGTTTCAGTATGCCATTTTTCTTGGCATAGGCATTATTAGGGCATAATTTCTTTTTTCTTTTTTCCTTTTTTTTTTTTTTTTTTTTTTTTACAAAACAAAACGCTTTTATTTGGTCCATTGGAGCCTGAGTCGGAAGCCACTGTGGAGAATCCTATCATAAAGGAATGGGGCTGACAGTTGATAAAATAGTCTCTGTGTCACAAGAGCGGGCCGTATTCACAGGGTTAAAAATATTCACAGCTCAGAGTACAGGGACGCCAAAGGGCAGTGGGAATGTTTCTCTAGGTGAAAAGGCCCCAGAAGCCCCTGCTGGGGTAGGAGGGGGAGTGGGGGGCGCAGCTGGCCCGCTGCCGGGGGTGAGGGGCCAGGTGGGCCGGGTGGGGATGCAGGAAGCTGGGCTCAGACGTCCACACACTCCTGGGTTTCTGTGGGGAGGTGGGAGCGGCTGAGTCCTGCCGATGCCCAAGATGGGCTGGGGTCCCTCTCTGGCAGGGCCAGGCCGAGGGACAGGGTTGGCTGAGGAGCCTGCTGGTCCCGGCGTGTATTAGGGCATAATTTCTAACTTTTTAGTAGCTGCAGTATCTCTTTTTTGACTCAATATCATTAAATTATCATTTGGGCTTAATGTAACATGGCATTTATATAGTTCTTGATCTTTACTGATAATGTATAATCACAGGCTTACTATTTGTATGGAAGATTCTCATATCCACTAGGGTGATTTTCACGTGTATTTGACTTAGAAACTAAAGAGTTGTACATTGCTTATATAGAACATTAAATACATTAAGCCATTAATTGGCAACTAGGCCATTAAACTAGTAACCAAGCCAATAACAACAAGGAAAAATAGCTATCAGCACACCCTTCCCCTTATAGCTCACTCCATTGTAAATATTATAAGCCCTCTGTGTCATGGGAATAACCCTGCCTACGACGTGATGCTGATGTAATAATAATATCTAAAGCTAAGCACCTGGAGGAAGAAGAGAAAGAAGTTTTGCTTTGGATTACTTGAGTGTGTGTGTGTGTGTGTGTGTGTGTGTGTGTGTGTGTGTGTTTAAATAAACAAACCATAAAGCCACTAGCAGATAGTTTAATGATTTCTGTTCTTGTGTTGCCTGTGGGGATTTCACATTGTGCTCACAGTCACTGGTACTGATTCAATAACAATGGCCTTGCAAAATTGGCAACCTTCCTAAATAAACTATGTAAAATCTGCAAACACTGGTTACTGTGCTATGTGCCTAGTAGATACTCCGGATGCTCTGCCCATATGATATACCCAAAGTATGCTCAAAGTAATTTTCTTTTCGTTTTTCTTTTTTTTTTTTTGAAACAGAGTCTTTTTCTGTCACCTAGGCTGGAGTGCAGTGGCAGGATCTCAGCTCACTGCAACCTCTGCCTCCTGGGTTCAAGCGATTCTCATGCTTCAGCCTCCCGAGTAGCGGGGATTACAGGCGCCCATCACCACACCCGGCTAATTTTTGTATTTTTAGTAGAGACGGGGTTTCACCATGTTGGCCAGGCTGGTCTTGAACTCCTGAACTCAAGTGACCCGCCTGCCTCGGCCTCTGAAAGTGCTGGGATTACAGGCGTGAGCCACCGCACCCAGCTACAATGATACCCTTCTGTTCTCTGAATTTCTAAAGCACAAATTGTACTGTTCATCTGACACTTACCATGCAATAAATTGTGCTCTTATTTATCCCTTCATTGACGTCTTATTTCCTCAACAAACTGAGTATCCTGTCTTCAGGAACCATGTCTTGTACTTCTTTTTTATCTCTTACTTCTTACACAGAATAGATGCAATTTAGGATAATGATGGAAATGACAGAATGTTTACCATCATGCTAGTGTGCCACTCTAATTATTTCTCCTATAATTTGGCTCATATCAAAAGAGCAAAATGAGCAAAAATTTAAGCTACCATATCGTATTTAATCCTCATAGGTATTATAAGTTCCATTTTACTGATGAGGAAAAAGGTTTAGGGTGATTATATAATATGTTCAAAGTCACACAGATAATAAATGATGAACTCTGGAGCTCAGGTCCATTTCATTTCAAACACTGCACTATTACTGTTAGGTACAATAACAAATGGCAAGTAGTTATTCTGAATATGTGACCCAATAAATCTTTTAAGAGTTTTTAAAGAGAATGTTTAAGGAACGGGATACTTTAAGAATTAAGTGTGAGATTTTATTGAGGAGGGAAGGGCATCACAGAGGTAGGATTAACACAATGATAGATATCAAGTCTGTTCAAAGGGACTTCAAAGAGGTTCAGTTTTATTTGTTGTTTGAATCCATTTATTTCACTCATCTCTTAGGAAGAGAGATTTACATTGAGAATTCACATCCTGCCACAGAAACCCCAACTTTTCAAACTAAAGCTCCCCCTAAAAATAGATGAGGCCAGGTGCAATGTCTCATGCCTGTAATCCTAGCACTTTGGGAGGCTGAGGTAGGCAGATCACCTGAGGTCAGGAGTTCAACACCAGCTTTGCCAACATAGCGAAACTCCGCCTCTACTAAAAAAAAACAAAAATTAGCCGGGTGTGGTGGTGGACGCCTGTAATCCCAGCTACTAGGGAGGCTGAGGCAGGAGAATCCCTTGAACCCGGGAGGCGGAGGTTGCAGTGAGCCAAGATCATACCACTGCACTCCAGCCTGGGCGACAGAGTGAGACTCTGTCTCAAAAAAAAAAAAAAAAAAAAAAAAAGGAAAAAAGAGAGATGATACAATTATGGGAAATTAAAACTTTTGATGTTCATGAGAACTGTGTATATTAACATTAAGAGAAAGAGTAACTTAAAAGGGACGTGGGTCAGAGGAGAGTCCTGAAGAAATGGCATCTCCCAAGAGCTCTGTTGTAAGTGATATTTATTTAAAATCAGAGGAAAAAAACTCTCATTCAATTTAGCCCTCATGGAGACTAACTGGTTTTTATGACACAAAATTCAGAGAACAGCAGAGACAAAAATGCACCAATAAGATGCCAAGCTCATAAACCTGACCAGCTTTTTGCTGGGGTGATGAAGTATGCTTAAAGTGTTGCTTAAGTTGCAAACAGATAAAGCCATATGTAGCATAAACTTTTCCGCAGTCACTACAGAAGACAATCAATATAAAGTCCACAATTAGAACGCTCAGGACTTGAAATATCCTGTTATGGATCACGAATATCCATGTAAATTTTGATGGATAAATATTAAGTACAGATGATAAAAGTAACAACCATAACTGGAATTTTTATTGTTATTTCTTGTGAATAATTATCTCACGTGATATCCAAAATGTCCTGAAATGAGGCAGGTACCATCCTCAAACAAACATATACAACAATTTAAATAGTTTAGTTCATTACCAAAAAAAATCAAATAATTCTACTTCTTCTACCCTGGAAACCTAAATTGTTACAACTTTTAAAGAAAGCTTATAATTGGCTAATACTGAGGCTTCTCTTTATTTAGGAGTGATTCAAACCTCTGGATTTTGTAGCTTTACCAAGTGTAACTAAGCCAAATCCCTCGAATTACTAAAAGAGGGGTTATACCCCTCTAAAAATAGATTAATGCAGAAAACACAAGTTGTTAAATTCACACAACATGCAAAAAGGGTGAGCCCAGATTTGCCCTTTGGTGTGCAACAAGAACAATCTATTTATAAATTACTGGCTACACCCTTTCCAAATTACAGGAACACCTAAAAAGGCCTTGATGTTCTTAGCATATTTCTTTAAGGTAAACTTAATTATGTTAGTTATACAGCAACCATCCTGTATCATTCAACGATGCAAAGCTAACTCTAACCCTAACTAAAAATAGGATACTGATTTTTTCTTTCCACCTTAGAAATTGTAAAGTATGTGAAAGATTCAGAAATTGTGTGATAACATCTACATCACTGTTCTTTAGCCCCAAGGCAGTTTAACATATGGTAGATTAAGAGGACTCCCATTTACTGGAAGGACCCAAGAGCAGATGGGAGCAAGATGATCTACAGCAGTTTCAGCCTCTCTATTATTGCGAGACCCAACAGCTCTTGGAAACAGAGACTGACAACATCTTTAGTTATTTGGCTTTGGGCAGTGTTTATCAGTGTTAAGTCTAGAGACACTTTCCAATTTCAGGAGTAAATATAGGTGAGCACAAAGGCAAATAGTAGTAGTTTAGAAAAAAAAAGAAATCCATTCTAGACTTATCAAAAAGAAATCTTGACTTGAGCACATCACTACCTTACCATTCCTGTTCATCTTCATTGTGCAGATTTACTTCTCAGTTAACTTGGCTAAGCATGATTCCAAGAAAGCCAAAGTTGAGAGCTCTTTTTTTATACCCCTCAGTTATAGGTTAATTACTGCTCTGCTGATTTTAAACAATCACAAGGGTGGATAAAGCCACAGAAAGTTACCACCAATAATAAAAACACAAATGCATCTTTATACTTTGACAGGGGATCATTAACTGTTCTTTCACATTTGAAGGCCATAACACCCAGAAGATTCACTAGATGTAAACCAATTTGATCACTTTCTTAAAAATACTAAATTTTAAGGCTATATTCTCTAAGGATCAAAAATAACCACAAAAAGTCAGTATTAATTTAAAATCAAAGAGGCATCTCGTACCTCTCTTAAATATTAATATTAGTCTCTTTATCCACCAAAAAGAGAAAAAAAAAGCCCTTAAACCATAAATGAATGCCTGGTTTCAATTACTCAATTATCAATTATTCAGTTATGCTTGCCCATTTCTGTAGAAGACAAGATCTAGATTTTAAGAGCATCACAGATGATAATTATATTTATTCAATGCAAACATGGAAATTTAAAAATGTGAGTGGTAAAAAAAATTCATAAAATAAAAAATACTTGGAATAAAACTTCTTGGTTCTAAGCTTTAAAATACAGATAATCCTACTACAGAGCTGTTTCAGAGCACAGAAAAAAATGAAAAACTACCCAAATCATTCTGTAAATCAGACATAAGCTGGACGAAGACAGCAAAGATTCAATAAATATTTAGATCCCTAAATGCAAAACCTTAAATATTTGTAAACCAAGCCTAGCAATATGTTAAATGAATAACGCAAAAAGGGTGTAGTTCAGTTATGTAAGGATGATTCAACTTCAATAATTCAATGTGTCATTACATTAGCAGTAAAGGGGAAAATATTATTCCGTAGATATAAAAAAGCAGTCAGTAAAATTCAACTATACCTAACTGAAAAATCTTTGTAAATTAGCAATAGTAAGAAATGGCCTCAGCTTGATAAATGATCTGTGCCAGAACCTACACCACACAGTATACTCATTTACAACACATAAGAAGCCTTCTTTTCACACAAGCCCACTAGTATCGCACTACTTAACATTAGAAGGCCTAACCAAAGCAATGAGAGTTATAAATACAGTCATGCATCACTTAATGACAGGAATACATTCTGAGAAATTCATCATTAGGCAAGTTTATCATTGCGTGAACATCATAGAGTATACTTACACAAACCTAGATGGTACAGCCTACTACACACCTTGGCTGGCTATATGGGATAACCATATAGGTGGAAAACCTGTACAGCATGTTACTATACTGAATACTGTAGGCCAACTGTAACATAATGTTAAGTATTTGTATCTCTAAACATATCTACGCATAGAAAAGGCACAGTAAAAATGTGGTATAGAAGATAAAAAGTGGTACACCTGTAAGGGGCACTTACAATCAATGGAGCTTGCAGGACTGGAAGTTGCTCTGGGTGAGTCAGTGAGGGAGTGGCGAGTGAATGTGAAGACCTAGGACATGACTGTAACTACTGTGGACTTTATAAACACCATACACTTAGGCTACACTAAATTTATTTTAAAAACTTATTTTTTCTTGTTTGTTTTTTGAGATGGAGTCTTACTCTGTTGCCAGGCTGGAGTACAGTGGCATGATCTCGGCTCACTGCAATCTCTGCCTCCTGGGCTCAAGAGATTCTCCTGCCTCAGTCTCCTGAGTAGCTGAGATTACAGGTGCCCGCCACCACGCCCGATTAATTTTTGAATTTTTAGTAGAGGCGAGGTTTCACCATGTTGGCCAGGCTTGTCTCAAACTTGAGGCTAGACCTCAAGTGATCTGCTCACCTTGGCCTCCCGAAGTGCTGGGATTACAGGTGTTGAGCCATTGCACCCAGCCAAATGTTCTCTTTTTTCAACAATAACTTTATCTTACAGTAACTTTTTAACTTTATAAACTTTATAATTATTTTAACTTTTTGGCTCTTTTGTAATAATACTTAGCTTAAAACACAGAAAAACTGGCCGGGAGGGGTGGCTCATGCCTGTAATCCCAGCACTTTGGGAGGCCAAGGTGGGTGGATCACTTGAGGTCAGGAGTTCGAGATCAGCCTGGCCAACATGGCGAAACCCCATCTCTACCACAAAATATACAAATTAGCCAGGCGTGGTGGCACGCACCTGTAATCCCAGCTACTTGGAAGGCTGAGGCAGGAGAATCACTTGAACACAGGAGGTGGAGGTGGCAGCGAGCCGAGATCATGCTACTGCACTCCAGCATGGGCAACTGAGTGAGACTCTGTCTCAAAAAAAAAAAAAAATTTTTTTTTAAATAAATAAAAATAAAAAACAGAAAAATTGTACAAATATACAAAAATATTTTCTTTATATGCTCCTCCTCCTTCTTCTTCTAAGAGACAGCATCTCCTCTGTTGCCCAGGCTGCAGTGGCACAATCATGGCTCACTGCAGCCTCAAACTCCTGGGTTCAAGTGATCCTCCTGCCTCAGCCCCCAGAGTAGCTGGGATTACAGGCACAAGCTACTGTGCATGGCTATACCTTTATTCCATAAGCTTTTCTATTTTTAAAATGTATTTTTTTGGCCGGGTGTGGTGGCTCATGCCTGTAATCTCAGCACTTTGGGAAGCTGAGGCGGGCAGATCACCAGGTCAAGAGATTGAGACCATCCTGGTCAACACGGTGAAACCCCATCTCTACCAAAAATACAAAAAAAAAAAAAAAAGTATTTTTTTTTACTCTTGAAACTTTTTTGTTAAAGACACAAACACACACGCTAGCTTAGGCCTAAAGAGTCAGGATCATCAAGATCATTGTTTTCCATCTCCATATCTTGCCACACTGGAAGGTCTTCAAGGGCAATAACATATATGGAGCTGTCATCTCCTATGATAACAATGCCTTCTTTTAGAATACTTCCTGAAGGACCTGCCTGAGGCAGCTTTACAGTTAATATTTTCTTCAAAGTAGAGAGTACACTGTAGGCCAGGCGCAGTGGCTCATGCCTGTAATCCCAGCACTCTGGGAGGCCGAGGCGGGTGGATCACCTGAGGTCCAGAGTTCGAGACCAGCCTGATCAACATAGTGAAACCCCATCTCTACTAAAAATACAAAAGTAGCCAGGTGTGGTGGTGCATGCCTCTAATCCCAGCTACTTGGGAGGCTGAGGCAAGAGAATCATTTGAACCCAGGAGGTGGAGGTTGCAGTGAGCTGAGATTGTGCAATTGCAATGCAGCCTGGGCAACAAGAGCGTAACTCCTGTCTCAAAAAAAAAGAAAAAAAAACAAAGAAAGAGAGTCCACTCTACAATACTGATAAAATGTTCAATACAGTAAATACATAAACCAGCAACGCAGTCGCTTATTATCAAGCATTATGTACTGTACATAACTGTATGCACTATATTTTTATACAACAATGCAGGTTTGTTTGCACCAGCATCACCACAAACACATGAGTAATACATTATGCTACGACATTATGACAGCTATAGTCACTAGGTGATTTTTCATCCCCATTATAATCTTATGGGACCACTTCTGTATCTGTGGTCTGTTATTGACCAAAATGTTGTTATGTGGTGCATAACTGCACTCAGAGAGATAAAATTCATTTACAGATAATATAATCATCCATGAAGAAAAGTCAATAAAATCAAGTAAAAACATATACTAGATATTAGAACCAAGTAAGAGTTTTAGCAAGGTGGTCTGATATAAAAGCAAATATCAAAAGTGATAGTTTTATCACCCACCTGCTGTAACTAATTAGAAAACGTCATGGGAAAGTGGAGCTTATTCACAAGAGCAACAAAAACCTTATAAAATGCCCATGAATATACCTAATAAGAAATGTGTGATTACCATATAAGGAAAACTGTACAATTTAAATGAAGAATATTTAAAAAACAGTGAATAATAGATCCATACATCACATTCTTCATTGGGCAGGCTCATTTTGTAAAACTGTTAATTTTCTCCAAAATTAATTCAGTAAAATTTCAATCAAAATCCTAATACAATTTTTAAAAGTGAAAATTGATAAGCTGATTCTAAGATTTATCTGGAAAATAAAATAAAAATAGTTAGGACACTGAAAAATACCAACAAGGAGGTAAAGCACTGGCATACATTTGTCTACTAAAGGTGTAATAAGTAAAATGAGTACTGGCATATGAACAGAAAAACATGAACAGAACTTAAGAGTACAGAAGTGTACTCCAAGCATCTGTAAGAATTTAATATATATGTAGCATTTCAAATTAGTGAAGTAAGAATGTAAATAATGGTAAATTTGGTATTAGAATAACTATCCAATTGGAAAAAAAAGGTTAAGCTAGATTTTTCCCTCACACTATAAATAAAAATAAATTCCAGATGTTTTAAAGAGTTAAATATTTAAAAATGTAAACATGCCAGAAAAAATATAAAATAACACTTTGAGAATCCTGAGGATGAATGGCAAGAGGTTTTTAAAAAGCAACATGCAAAATCTTGAAATCATAAGATAAAATACAACAGATTTGACTATATAAAAATGTAAAACTTTTATATGGGACGCAAAGTTAAAAGTCAAGCAATAGGCTAGGAGAAAGTATTTTTGCCACATACTCAGAATATATAGAGAACATAAAAAAGAAAAAAGCCAAATATCAATAGAAAAATGGTCAGAAGCACACTCAAATCACAGAAAAAAAAAAAACCAAAAAGATCAGTTACACATAAAAAGATGCTACACCTCCATAGCAATAAGGGGAATTGTAAATAGAGAGGTATTTAAGAGCAGGGACTCTGGAGTCTGACTGCCTGTGTATGCATCCTGGCTGGATAATCTCAGACAAGTTAACCTCTCTGTGCCTCTCTTCTGTAATTGAGGATAATATCTAACTCATAAAGTTGTTAAGAAGAGAGAATGAAATAATATATCCACTGCTCAAAACAGTGTCCCTTAGATAGTAAATGTTCAGTAAAAAATTATCTGCCTTTTTTAAATTTTTTGAGACGGAGTCTTGCTCAGTCACCCGGGCTGGAGTGCAACAGCATGAACTTGGCTCACGGCAACCTCTGCCTCCTGGGTTCAAGCGATTCTCCCTCCTCAGCCTCCCGAGTAGGTGGGATTACAGGCACCCACCATCATGCCCAGCTAATTTTTGTATTTTTGTAGAGATGGGGTTTCACCATGTTGTCCAGGCTGGTCTCGAACTCCTGACCTCAGGTGATACCCCCAACCTCAGCCTCCCAAAGTGCTGGGATTATAGGTGTGAGCCACTGCGCCCGGCTTATCTGCTATTAATGTTATTATTGGGGTTGGTGAAGATATAGGGAAAGATATGCCTACACACTGCTGGTTAAGAGCAAATTGGTGGCCAGGTGCGGTGCCTCACGTCTGTACTCCCAGCACTTTGGGAGGCCGAGGCAGGTGGATCACGAGGTCAGGGGTTCGAGACCAGCCTGACCAAACATGGTGAAACCCCGTCTGTACTAAAAATACAAAAATTAGCTGGGCGTGGTGGCGGGCACCTGTAATCCCAGCTACTCAGGAGGCTGAGGCAGAATTGCTTGAACCTGGGAGGCAGAGGTTGCAGTGAGTTGAGATCGTGCCACTGTACTCCAGCCTGGGCGATAGAGTGAGACTCTGTCTGAAAAAAAAAAAAAAAAAGAACAAATTGGTAAAGTCTTTTTAGAAAGCAATTTGGCTATATGTATCAAATTTTTAACATATATACAACATTAGGTCCAGCAATTCCACCGCTAGAAATTTATCTAAAGAAATGTTTACATATGTATACAAAGATGTGTGTATCAGGATTGTGAGTGCAGCACTACAGGAGCTCTGGATTCAGAGACAAGAAATGCTTGTTCTAGTTTCAGTTCTACCATCAAGCCATGTAGCCTTGTGCAAATCACTTCAGCATTTTGATTCTCTAGTTTGTTATGCTATAAAATGTGGACGATGACTTGCCCAATCTGCCTCAGAGGAATACTTTAATTAAGGTAGGGTCCTTAGGCCATCATCATCAGCATCATCTAGGAACTTGTTAGAAATGCAAATTCTCCAGCCACATCCTAGACTTACAGAATCAGAAACTCTGGGGACTGTGGGTAGCAATTTGTGTTTTACCAAGCCCTCCAGGTGATTCTGATGCAAGCTTAAGTTTGGAGATAAGTTCATGTGAAACCCCTTGTACAACTACAAAGTGGAACTGAAAGAGCATTAGTACTATTACTAATACAAAAAATAAGACTTTCTACCTTTTGATTTCATGAAAAGGTACATTTTGGATGAACATCCAATATGCTCCTCTACTGCTGACGCTGAGCCTTAGAAAGCACTCATGTGCTTCTAGGAAGTCAAGTTCATATATGAACCAAGTAAATAAATAAAAATATTTTAGGTCAAGTATATAAAAAGCTTAAGATAACCTCAACAGCAAATCAAGCAATGTTTCAGTGCCTTAGTTTCAAGACAAGACTTTTTTGATCAGAGGTTTTCATAATGGGAATATTTTATTTTATTTTTATTTATTTATTTTTGAGACAGGGTTTTGCTCTGTTGCCCAGGCTGAAGTGAAGTGGCACCATCTCGGCTCACTGCAACCTCTGCCTCTCTGGCTCACACCATCCTCCCACCTCAGCCTCCCAAGTAGCTGGCACTACAGGCACGCACCACCATGCCCAGCTAATTTTTTGTAAAGACAGGGTCTCCCTGTGTTGCTCAGGCTGGTCTTAAACTCCTGGGCTCAAGGGATCCACCTGCTTCGGCCTCCCAAAGAATTGAGATTATAGGCGTGAGCCACTGCACCCAGCCGGGAATATTTTAAATGGTAGTCTTTGCCAGAATTTTATCTAACAATTTTTATTCTTCCCTGAGCTTCTTAGGACACAAAAATGGCCACTTGTTTAGTATATAATGATAACACTAACACCTTGGCTCCTTGCTTAGTGACTACTTCCCAGGGACTGGATAATAGCTCTCTAAAAAATAATACAGGCTTCCATATTTTTCAGAAGTTCAGCTTTTTGTTTTACTAAAATGCACGTACAGACTCTTAAAGGGTATGAACTTTTTATGATCATTCTCATCAGTCTAATCCAAGACTCCTGAAGTTTGACCAAATGATTCTCTGAGTTGCTCATATATATTTTTTTCTAGTAGAATTAACACTTAACAGTATAATAGTAACTACAGTTTATTTCTGGAATGATTTTGATCATTTATTAATGTTCTTCATTGACAGGTAAAAAATAATACCATATTTGGTGAGTTTTATATAGCGGCAAGGGTAGACCTTAATCTAATAATGATAACATAATTACCAATAAAATACAGTAATACCCCAGCTATTCCATAATTTCACCTATTATATATAACACAGTTGAAAGTAATAAGAGCCTATGAAATTACCAAAATAGATGCCCAAAACCCACACTCCGAAAGTCATAAAGTTTCCTTCCTAGGAGAGTCCATAGGATCTCACTTTGGTCTATTCACTTTTTTTAATTTTCTTTTCTTTTTCTTTTTTTTTTTTGAGATGGAGTCTCGCTCTTTCGCCCAGGCTGGAGTGCAGTGGCACGATTTCGGCTAACTGCAAGCTCCGCCTCCTGGGTTCACGCCATTCTCCTGCCTCAGCCTGCTGAGTGGCTGGGACTACAGGCACCCGCCACCGCACCCGGCTAATTTTTTGTGTTTTTAGTAGAGACGGGGTTTCATCGTGTTAGCCAGGACGGTCTCGATCTCCTGAGCTTGTGATCCACCCGCCTCGGCCTCCCAAAGTGCTGGGATTACAGGGGTGAGCCACCGCGCCAGCTAAATTTTATTTTCAAAGAGATAGAGGCTGGGCGCGGTGGCTCATGCCTGTAATCCCAGCACTTTGGGAGGCCGAGGCAGGCGGATCACCTGAGGTCAGGAGTTGGAGACCAGCCTGACCAACATGGGGAAACCCCGTCTCTACTAAAAAAAGAAAGAAAAAAAATTAGCCAGGCGTGGTGGTGCATGCCTGTAATCCCAGCTACTCGGGAGGCTGAGGCAAAAGAATCGCTTGAACCCAGGGGGCGGAGGTTGCGGTGAGCCCAGATCACTCCAGCCTGGGCAACAAGAGCGAGACTCTGTCTCAAAAAAAAAAAAAAAAAGAGAGGGAGATAGATAGTCTCCCTCTATTGCCCAAGCTGGAGTGCAATGGCACGATCATAGCTCACTGTAACCTCGGATTCCTAGGCTCAAGCAATCCTCCTGCCTCAGTCTCTTGAGTAGTTAGGACTACAGGCATGAACCACTACACCTGCCTGCCTGCCTGCCTGCCTATCTGTCTATCTATCCATCCACCCACCCACCCACCCATCCATCCTCTCTCTTATCTATTTATTAGAGACAGGGTCCTGCTACATTGCCTGGGCTGGTCTCAAACTCCTGTCCTCCCAAAGTGCTGGGATTACAAGTGTGAGCCACTGCCCTTGGCTCCAATTTACTCTTTAACACAATTCTCACAGGATTTGTTTTTTGGTGTTTTGTTTTGTTTTTTTTTGAGATACAGTCTCACCCTGTCGCCCAGGCTGGAGTGCAGTGGTGAGATCTTCGCTCATGGCAACCTCTGCCTCCCGGGTTCAAGCAATTCTCCTACCTCAGCCTCCGGAGTAGCTGGGACTACAGGTGCGTGACACCATGGCTGGCTACTTTTTTTGTATTTTTAGTAGAGATGGGGTTTCACCATGCTGGCCAGGCTGGTCTCGAACTCCTGACCTCGTGATCCATCTGCCTCAGCCTCTCAAAGTGCTGGGATTACAGGCGTGAGCCACCCTGCCTGGCTTGTTTCGTGGTTTCTAAACCCACAGCAAACCTGAGGGCAGCAAATGAGAAAGGGCAAAAAGCTCTTTTGAGAGGGTTCTCAGCAGTGACGAGAGAACCACTGGGCTAAGTGTACTCATGTATCAAGGTACTCCCTCCCCCAAATACAAAATCTTTTGAGTCAGTCTTCACTTAGGACCCTAAATCTGAATTGTTTAGCTGCTCCCACTAGTTATTGCTATGTACCACAGGGAAATACTCACAGCACTTGAGGTTTACAGAATCAGGTCTTAGAAATAACACTTCCCTTTAGGAAAGAGCTTCTTAATCTTTTTTGAGATCACAGATCACTTTGAGAATCTGATTTTAAAATATATTTATTTACTCAACATTTTCATATAATCTCAAGGAGTTTGACTTTCTGAAGCCAATCCATAGACCTCTAGGTGACCATGGACCTCAAATTAAGAACTTCTTTATTAGGTGCTAACAGTGGATATATTTAAGTTCATAAAGTTTAGTAGTTTACTCAGAATGATTCCTAATAATTTTTTTAATGATGATAAGCTGTGCAGCACTATAAATGCTAAATAAACATGACCTCTAAAGTAATACTAATAAATACAGTTTAGAAGAAGTGAATATTATAGCAAGTCTCTTTAAAGAAAAAAGAAGTGGCTGGGCACGGTAGCGCACTCCTGCAATCCCAGCACTTTGGGAGGCCAAGGCAGGAGGATCACTTGAGCCTGGGAGTATGAGATCAGCCTGGGCAACAAAGTGAGATGCTGTCTCTACAAAAAAAAAAAAAAAAGAGAGAGAGAGAGAATTGCTTGAACCCAGTGGCAGGGGTGGGGGGTGGGGTGGGGGGCCGGGGTTGGGGGCGCCAGAGGTTGCAGTGAGCCGAGATCATGCCACTTCACTCCAGCCTGGGTGAAAGAGTGAGACTTGGTCTCAAAAAAAAAAAATTAGCCAGGTGTGGTGGCATGTGCCTGTGGTCTCAGCTACACAGAAGTTGAAGCAAGAAGGCTGCTTGAGCCCAGGAGATCGAGACTGCAAGTGAGATGTCTTCAAGCCATTTCACTCCAGCCTGAGTGACAGAGCAAGGGCCTGTCTCAAAACAAAACAAAACAAAACAAGAAACAAAGAAAAAAGAAGTGGGAAAATAGAGACAAAAATAAAAGACAAATATTCCAAAAATTCTTTAAAAGTTTGTCTTAGTAGGAAAACTCAGTATAGCAAATATATTTTTCAGGAAGTTGAAGATTTCAGCAGTCAAAGATAATTCCTCAGACTGCCAAGTCTCAAAAGTGACCTTGCAACTACTAAGGCAAAATATCATTTTTATAGCGGTTAAGGGCAGTGGCCTAGGAAATAGATCTGGATTCTAAGGACAGTTTTGTCACTTACTACCCATGCGGCCTTGAGCAACTACTTACCTTCTCTAAGCCTCAGTTTCATTATCTGTAAACAGAAAAATTAGTTCATAAGGTTGCTATGATTAAATGAGATAGATGTACATTAAACTCAGCACTGTGAAAATGGTCAATAAACAGCAGCTATTAGTTATTAATTTCAATTAACTTTTTGTGCAGAGATTTACAGTTCACAAAGTGTTATCAAATATATGATTTCTTAGGATCTTATGGGGTAAAAACCACTGTATCCCCATTTGACAGTGGAAGAAACTGATGTCAAATTATTTACCCAAAGACATTAATTAGTAGGAAAAAAAATTTGGACTTGATTGACCAGAAAACATGATTTACAACTCCTTTCCCCCCAAAAAGCTTATAATCCCTGTCTTTTAAAAATTATTTTATTATTATTATTTAAAGAGGCAGGGTCTTGCTCTGCCACCCAGGCTGGCATGCAATGGCACACTCATGGCTCACTGCAGCCTTGAACTCCCGGGCTAAAGTAATCCTCCTACCTCAGCCTCCTGAGTAGCTGGGACTACAGGTGTGTAACACCACACTCTGCTAATTTTAAAAATGTTTCATAGAGACAGAGTCTCAGTATGTTACCCAGGATGGTCTTGAACTCCTGGCCTCAAGTGATCCTCCTGTCTCCCAAAGTGCTGGGATTACAGATATAAGCCACTGTGCCTGGCCTTTTTAATTCTTTTTTATTTTTTTGAGACAGGGTCTTGCTCTGTCACCCAGGCTGGAGTGTGGTGGCATGATCACAGCTTACTGTAGCCTCAAGCTATCTTTCCACCTCAGCCTCCTTAGTAGCTGAGACTATAGGCATGCGCCACCGCACCTGGCTAATTTTTTCTATTTTTCTTAAGATGGAGTCTCACTATGTTGCCCAGGTTGGTCTCCAATTCCTGGGCTCAAGCAATCCTCCCACCTCAGCCTCCCAAAGTGCTGGGACTATAGGTGTGAGCAACCACACCAGGCCCTTTTAAATTCTTTTTATTGTGCTTATTAGGTTGGTGTAAAAGTAACTGCAGTTTTTGCTATTACTTTTACTGGCCATGAATATACATAGCATAAAATTTACCATTTTAACCATTTTAAGTGTACAGTTCTAGGGTATTAAATATTTTCACACTGTTGTGCAACTACCACCATCCATCCCCAGAATTTTTTCATCTTCCTCAAATGAAACTTTGTTCTCTTCAAATACAAATTTCCTACCCCTTCTCCTTCAACCCCTAGCAACTACCATTCTACTTTACTTCTCTCTGAATTTGACTTCTATAGATAGGTACCTCATATAAATGAAATCATATAGTATTTATACTTTTGTGACTGGCTTATTTCACTTAGAATAGTATCTTCAAGGTCATTCATACTGTAGCATTATGTCAGACTCCTTCCTTAAGGCTAAATAATATTCTACTATATGTACATACCACATTTTGTTAATCCATTCATCCATCCATGGACACTTGGGTTGCTTCCACTGCCATTTTTAAAGTACTGTTAACACTATTATTTTCATACTGGTTATCAGTGTCAGATTATTTACCCATTAACTTCTTCACTCTATGACCGTTCCCGTTTTTAGACGGAAAATGCAAGTCAGTTTATTTAATTGTGGAGCTTTTACAGTACAGGGCAGTAAAACAACTTTTGTGACTTTTTTTCTATTTTTTTAGAAGCTCCACCATGAATCAACACACGGGAGAAAAAAAGAAACTCAAACGAGTTTAATTCGATTTGGTAGGATAGGAGGGCAAACCATCTCTGAAAATAATAAATTAGTTGTGAGATTATCTAGAAATCACCTTACATGCTATTCTCTAGACCTTTAATAAGGGATAATGTAAAGTTTCTGTTGTTGGACATTAAAAAGTTGACCTGGGAGGGAGACAGTAGCTTTGCTTAAGTGCAAAGAGTCTAGGAAAATCCCAGCAGGTGACTCCTCTGAAGCCACTTGGAATGAGTGTCAACACACTAACACAGACCCAACTGCTGCTATCTAAGTAACCTTAAACCACTGCATTGATTTAAGGATGGAACCTGAATAGGAAAAGTTCCTCTACTTGATAACTGTGAAGTGATATTAACCACAAGCTTCAGCACACACACTTCTCAGAAACAGCTAAACCACAGTGGAATGACAACTCTCTAGAGACTTCAAAAACAGCGACGATTTAAAGATGCATTTGCGCTTTGGTGAATGAAGGTGTGCGTGCAGGCTTGGGCTGTGAGCACGTACCAGTAGTACAGGAGGAGATAAAATAGAAACTACCGAAATCTAGCCTTCTGGAATCACTCCAGACTACAACCAGCAGGAGCGAAGAATGGTCCTTCTTTTTGTAAATGGTTAGCAATAGAAACTTTAAAAAAAAAAAACCCATAATCACGGAAAGCTGCTCACCAGCAGGACCCACAGGGACTCCCGCTTCCGATTCTGTCGACTACCCTTCACCCAAGTCTTCCAAGTGCCAAACAGCTCAGCTGTCACTCGGTCACCACAACTTCTGAGGGACAACCCGCACTTTCAAAGTCCCTCAAAGTTAAACGGAAATTCTCCCAAAGGATTCTTCCGTCCACCCCCACCCCGGGACACTTTCCGCCTCCATGAATCCCCCCACCGTTCTACCCCAGCATCCTTCCCTCCAGACGCACGGAGACCTCCAGGCAAGCAGGATGCGCGCTCGCCCTCGCTTGATTGTTTGCTCCCCAGGATGCTGGGGAAAGCGGCTGCTGAAAGAGCAAACTTTCTGAGCGTTCGCGGAGGCGGAGGGCGCGCGGCGGACTCACAGCTGGTTGATGGCGTTCTGCGAGATGACCGCGTTGGCGGAGAAGTAAGGAATCATGTCGGGGCCACCGAGGCTGCAGGTGCAAGCGAGGGGCGCCTTCCTCTTGCGGGCCAACGTGCTCAGGGTCATGGGGCCGGCTCAAAGTGCACAACTCCGCATCCTGGCCTCTGCTCTGCTCCGGCACGAGGCGCAGGCTGCGCGTGCACCCGGCGGCGGAGGCGGGCCCGCCGGGTCGCGCGGAGGCAGCCGCCGAAGCCCCAGGGCTCGGCGGTAGAGTCCGGACTGACGGGCGTCGCCAGCAGTTCGCCCCCACCCGCGTCCGGGGCGGGACGGGCGGGTCCTGAGAGCGGAGAGGGTAGGCCCGGCCGGCGCCCCGCCCCAGATCTCGGGACGCCCGCGCGGATCCCGCAGCGCGCGTCACAGCCTTTAGGGCATCCGGCGGCCCCAAGACACTGCTGCCTCGGTAAGGGAGTGAAGCTACTCAAGGGTGGACGAGAAAGGCTTGCATTTCTCTAAAGGAGGATGTTTCAACAGAAAAGTCCTGCCTCTTAAAGATTGGCTCTATACATTGTACCTCAAACCCGTTTTTGAAAGATCTTAAAAAATGTAAAGGCCATAAATTCACAAGTGCAACAAATATTTATCAGAGACTTCCTATGTGATTTGGAAATTCAGAGATTACACTCACATACATATGTGTGTGTGTGTGTGTGTGTGTGTGTGTATATATATATATATATTTTTTTTTGAGATGGAGTTTCTGCTATTGTCGCCCAGGCTGGAATGCAATGGTGCGATCTTGGTTCACTGCAACCTCCGCCTCCCAGGTTCAAGCGATTCTCCAGCCTCAGCCTCCCGAGTAGCTGGCATTACAGGTTTGCGCCACCACGCCTGGCTAATTTTTGTATTTTTCGTAGAGATGGGGTTTCAATGTGTTGGCCAGGCTGGTCTCAAACTCCTGACCTCCGGTGATCCGCCCGTCTCGGCCTCCCAAAGTGCTGGGATTACAGGCGTGAGCCAGGGCTCCCGGCAAGATTTTTTTTTTTTAAACAGTTGAAGTAATGGTCAAACAAACAAAAAACAATTTAGATTGTCGATAACATCTACTAATGTTTGTAAGTAAATCTATAGAGGGCTTTCTTAGCCATCCCCCAATTCAAAGATTCACAGCCTTAGCTGCACATAGGAATTACTTGTGGTGGGTTTAAAAATCTCAATGCCCAGGCTGCACCTTAATAAAATTGGAATCTCTTGAAGGTGGGATTTAGACGTATTTTTCAAAGCTCCCCAGGTGATTCCAAAGTGCAGCCATGGTTGAGACGGCAGAGTAGAGATCATATCTTCACTTTACAGATACAGTAACATTTAAGGTCTAAGCAGATGACCTCGTTTATAAATAATGTCATTCAGGAACCCAGGTTTTATGACATTTGATCTAGGGCTTTTACCTTCAAATTGTATTCCCTGACGCCTTTACAGTTTTAAGCCCTTACCATGTTCCTTCCAATTCACTGAGCAGTGCCTTTCACCTGACCAGGGACCAGCTCTTTGTAAAATATGACTGCGCTCTCTCTCTCCTGCATGTTGTGCTCACAAATGGGGCTGGCATGGTGCAGGCATTCAATAGAAGTTAGCTTCCTTTTATTTTACCTTTCCAGTCTCATTATGCTACAGCAAATATTTTCAGGTATCAGCATTTTCAGCATTTTTGAATACTAGACTAAAATATATATCACTGAAGCTGCCTTAGAATTCTGGAGTCAGAAATTAATAATAATTTCTAAAAACTTCACTAACCAATTAGATTAAAATTAGGAAGAAGTGACTTTAAGACTCAACATGCTATAATCAAGAAAATAATAAGCCTTTGTTTTATATAAATATTTATGCTCTTTTCCCATTGGAAAGTTTGGCAATTTTCAAGATACTAGTAATGAAATAATCAATCCAAATTATAAGGTCTATGCCTAAAACCAGAATTACTCGTTAGTTGATTCTTCTATAAAACTTAAGCCTGTTGCCAAAGCACCTTGAGGGACTTGAAATACTGAAAACTCATGCTGTAAAGAGTTATCTAAGTTTCTGAGATATCTGGTAATAGGAAAGCACCAGGTGGCAAGTGAAGAGTTAACGGAAGGTCTGGATCTTGGAGTTCATCATCTTCATCCATCTCTAGGAAGGAAAATGTTTGAAAGATTTATTCAGGCTGTGTCAGCAGCCACCCAAATGGTAGTGTAAAAAAAAATCTGCTGATACACCCCAAAATAAATTGCTTAAAATATCTGGCAAACTTGCCAGTTTGAAACTTCTTCCAGACTGTAATTTATTACAGCCTCCTGCTGTGATTAAAAAAAAAAAAAAAAGCAGGCGCGTTAGAACAGCACTATTAAGGTGAGTCCAGTTCCTTTCATGACACAGCAGAGAGAGGATTTTATTGAAGTCAACACTAAATGATGCCATTTAGGACAGATGATGGCATGGTAATCATCTGTATCTGTCTGAAAAAGCAGGAAATGTATATTATTCAATTCATACTTAATATCTCTTGCATTTAAAAATGCCAGAGATAAAGATTTCATAAATATGTATCTTGTCTTTTATAAATAGGTTCCTATAGCGACGCCCCAGAAGTGCATAGTCCTTTCCTTTCTCCTCAGAAGACCTCTGTCAGTGTCTGTTCAGCTAAGGAGGCTATGTTAACGTCCCTATCCAGGCTTTTTCAAAAGCTTCTCAAAGTTAAATTCTCACTTTGAACTGTAATATAGGAAATTAAGAAAGTGCTAGAACATGTCTCCTGCTTTTTTTTTTTTTTTTCCCTGAGACAGAGTTTCACTCTTGTTGCCCACGCTGGAGTGCAATGGCGCGATCTCAGCTCACTGCAACCTCCACCTCGCGGGTTCAAGTGATTCTCGTGCCTCGGCTTCCTGAGTAGCTGGGATTACAGGTGTGTGCCACCATGCCTGGCTAATTTTTTGTATTTTTAGTAGAAACAGGGTTTCACCATGTTGGCCAGGCTGGTCTCGAACTCCTGACCTCAGGCAATCTGCCCGCCTTGGCCTCCCAAAGTGCTGAGATTACAGGTGTGAGCCACTGCACCCGGCCTGTCTCTTGCTTTTTTAAGAAAAAAATTAAATCATCTTTGCAAACTGGGATACCTTTAAGAAAATAGTTCTTTGTGCTACTGTATGTTTTTAAAAGTTGAGCAAATTCCTTTTCTTTGCACAGTGTGCAGAGTGTCAAAATGCCAATCAATTTAGTTTCAGCTCAATTTAATTCTTTACTCTCCACTGTCGGGAAACAAGCCTCTAGGGAGCAAGCTCTCTGTACCCATGCATCTAGGAATTCAAAAATGATTTCAAATTAGATTGAGCAGCATGAAATAAACTAAGTTAGTTTTCTACTCTACATGAAGTCAGAAGGGGCTTTCTGTAAAAAACAAATTTTGCACAAAGGCCCTGAAGAAAAATTGCTGCCTTTCTTTACATTCTTGCTTGAGTTGGAACATTTGAAATTAGCTTTATCATGTCATTTGCTGACCATTTCAAGATTCAAAATGTGAATATTCTAAAATGTTGGCTCTTGACAACATTAGCTATGACCAAATTAAGTTTTTGTAGGATGACACATTAATAGTATTAAAAATGCTTAAGTAGAAAATGCTTAAGGGACTTCCATTACTGTGTATCCATGTATCCCTTATGGTATAATCACTGTAAAACAGTGAAAACTGGAGACTTACATGCTGACCTAACTGTATTCCAGGACAGACCTGAAGGTGTGCTGAAATGCGAATGAAGGATGTAGTAAATATGTTTTTGCTGCTGTGACAAAATTTCAACATGAGTAGATCACTTGAACTGATGCCAAAAGCAATGTGCTATAAGCCAGGGGACCTAGTCTGTAGTTCTAACATGGTCACTTAATAAACTAAGACTGGCCAAGTCCCTTCATCTATAAAATGGGGTAGCAAAACCCTAATGAAATGTCCCTAGATCTGTTCTTATGAGAGTTGGGGAATTTTGAGAAAGGAATCTCATCCTTCTGGAGAATCCTGAGAAAATGTATCTAATCCAGTTAAGATAAACAGTCACCTAGTGCAAAGCAGTAGAGCCCAGTAGTTAAAAACTCTGGCCTTGGAATTAATAGGCCAGGTTTGGATCGTACTGCAACCATTAGCTATGAATTTCAGTTACTTAGTCTTTGGCTCAGTACTTGGCACTTAATTTAGAAAGTTATCGTGAGGATTAATTAATTTACATAAAGTACTTAAAAGAGTACCTGGCACAAAAATTTACTCTTTCACTTTAATGTCTGGCAACTTGAAGGTAAGACTCACCGTGCACCTTAGTTTATTCACTGAGAAAATGAAAATGTTTAGATTAGAGATTATCCTCTATGCTCTTTTCCACAAATCTGAAAAATAGCTAAAGTGGACAACATTAGAAAGTGGCAATGATGCTGATATCAGAAGTTCCAGATTCTAGCTGCTTTGTCTATGGGCAAACCTTAATCTATCCTAGCCCTACTTTCTTTAATCTTAAACTGAGGTAATGTTTACCTCACGGGCTGATTAAGATACAGGGACAAAAGGCTGGGCATGGTGGCTTATGCCTGTAATGTCAGCATTTTGGGAGGCCGAGGCCGGTGGATCACTTGAGGTCAGGAGTTCAAGACCAGCCTGGCCAACATGGTGAAACTCCTTCTCTATTAAAAATACAAAAATTAGCCAGGCGTGCTGGTGGGCGCCTGTAATCTCAGCTACTTGGGAGACTGAGGCAGGAGAATCGCTTGAACCTGGGAGGCGGATGTTGCAGTGAGCCAAGATCGCACTGCTGCACTCCAGCCTGGATGACAGAGTGAGACTCCGTCTCCAAAAAAAAAAAAAAAAAGATACAGGGACAAAAGTACTTTGTGAACAACACCAAATTCAAATTTATTATTATTATTATCATCATCATCATCCATAAATTGGTCAGTCAGCTTTCAATAATAGAAAGCTAATTGTATTTGTTTTCTTTCATTACCCTGAAGTTGACAAATGAATGAATGAACATTAAAATACCTGTCTGGGCACAGTGGCTCACACCTGTAATCCTAGCACTTTGGGAGGCGGAGGCAGGAGAATTGCTTGAACCCAGGAGTTTGAGACCAGCCTGGGCAAGATAGTGAGACCCTGTCTCATTAAAAAAATAAAAATAATGCAGGAGGCTGAGGCAGGAGAATCGCTTGAACCCGGGAGGTGGAGGTTGCAGTGAGCTAAGATCGCGCCACTGCACTCTAGTCGGGGCAACAGAGTGAGACGCTGTCTCAAAAAAAAAAATAATAATAATAAAGAAAAAAATAAAATATATGCAAATTTCCCCTATGTACCACCATTTCATCCAAGAAGTCTTTACTATGATTGTTTGCCAGGTAGTTTTACATTAACTCAGTATTACCGTCTGTAGTAATGTGAGATGTGCAGTGCTCAATTTTTGTATTTTTAAAGCTTTCATGTAATAGCTTTAACTTACATAATTTTAGTTTTAAAATACTTACTCATAAGAAAAAATGATTATACCACAGGACCTATTTGTATTTTTATGTTTTCTCTAAGGGCTCGATGTAGAAAAATAAACAGTAAGTTAATCCCCTGAGTATCAAAAGGAAGAAAACCAACACTTAGAATTACAGAGTAATGCAACATTCTGTCTCCTGTTAATCTGTAAAACACTAGGACAAAACTCTCAAGATAATATCTGAATTTTCACCAAGAGGTATCTTACTACACTTAGTCAATGGCATTCTTTATATAATACAATAAACCAAACTTTGTAAACAAAGGCACTTAAAAGCAATCATGTTTTGCAATCACCATGTGGCTAATTTTTAAAAAAAGAATATCTGACCATAGTTTTAAACACTGGATTAAGCAATGTCACTGAACCTTTATAGTCTTTTCCATGGAACTTTTCCTCCATAAGAGCAATGGAAAACACTGAAAAGATCTGCCTATCAACTCTAGGAGAGGTGATCTCTAAGGCATTCATCCCCCCATAGTCTTAAACACCATATGCTCCTGTAGGAAGAGATGCTGAAATGCTGCTTTCTTCAGGTTACAAAAGCCCCAAACTCTATTGTTTAGTAAAAATAATAGGTATTTACAGATCACTTTTCACATCAAACACACTTTACAAAACATTTAACCATTTAGTCCCCACTTTATCTCTTTAAACGTTTTCTTTTTTCTTTTTTTTTTTTAGACCTCTCAGGGATGAAACATTTTATTTTTTAAACTAGTTTTTTTTTTAAATAACATTAACACATGCTGAATGCTTAAATCTTTTTAGAATTCAGAAAGGTAAAATGAAAGTCACCATTCTCATTCTCATCATCTTACTCCCAGAGATGATTGTTATTAATATTTCCAGAAATTTTGCTTGTATATGCAAACAGCAATATATTGTAGCTGCTCTTTAAGAAGCATACATGCACACACACGCACACACACACACACACACACAGAATTATACATATTATTCTACTTGCATTTCCCCCTACTTATCACTATACCTTAGACATTTTTCCATGTTATTGTAAGTCTCCCTCATTCTTTTAAAGGAGTATAAGGCATTTTATTGTACAATCATATATAATCTATTTAAATAGTCCTTTACTTATGGGCATTTAAGTTGTTTCCAGTCTTTACTATTATATACAATATCACTATGAACATGTGTTTGTATAATTTTTGTTCATGTCATGACAGGGATATTGAAAAAAATATTTGTGCATACATGTGAATATACTTGTTGGATCAACACCTAGAGGTGGAATTGGCAGTTTGAAATATTTTAAACATCTTAGGACCTGGTAGATATTATCAAACTGCCTACCTAAAGAGTTTAGTTTTTTATTTTCCTGTGCATTATTAGTGTCTCCTGCTACTCCATGATCTATTAAATTAACTCAGGGCCCAAGATGCTCTTCTATACCCTGTCTTTTACACATTACATTAAAAGCTAAAAATATATATATTAGAAAAGTAAAATATGTTTATGGGAATAAAGTAGAAAATTTATAAAGAAAAATATTATGAGGAACTATATTATGGATTATTTTTTCCAAAGAACTACTTAGACTATAACAAGATAAATGTAAATTTTTTTTTTTTTTTTTTTTTGAGACAGGGTCTCGCTCTGTCATCCAGACTGGAGTGCAGTGGCACAATCACAGCTCACTGCACTCTTAACCGCCTGGGCTCAAGCAGTTCTCCTGGCTCAACTTCCAAGTAGCTGGGACTGCAGGCATGTAACACCACACCTGTCGAGACGAAGTCTTGCCATGTTGCCCAGGCTGGTTTCAAACTTCTGGGCTCAAGCGATCCTCCTGCCTTGGCCTCCCAAAGTGTGGAGACTACAGGTATGAATCATCATGCCTGGCTGGTAAATGTAATTATTAAGCTACTTTGAAGATAATACAATTTTAAATTCAGAAAATTTTAAAATTATTTACTTCTAATTTAGGAATATATTGGAGCTTTTCTATAAATTCAGAAGATATTTTGAGATCTGTTCAATGATAATGCTGTAGAACTTATTAACATTATAGGTGAATGAACCTAATGTGGCCTAATACCATCAGTGTCCTAGAATGTAGTAAGACAGAGATAGAAAAATGGGAAGTGATTTTGGGAGTAACAAAGAATGGAGGCTAAAAGAGCCAAGAAGGTTTTGAAAATAAAATAACTGAAATTTTTGAGCTGACATTCAGTGTGTGTCAGGTGCTCTATTAAGAGTTTACATGGCCAGGTGTGGTGGCTCACACCTGTAATCCTAGCACTTTGGGAGGCAGAGGCAGGAGGATCCCTTGACTCCAGGAATTCGAGACCAGCCTAGGCAACATAGGGAGACCCTATCTCTGTAAAAAATAAAAAATAATAAAAAAATAGAGTTTACATGCACTATCTCAATTCTTATAAACAATCCTATGATTCTATTATTATCTCTATGAGGCTCAGAGAGGTTAAATAATTTGCCTAAGCTTATACAGCAGTATTTCAAATCCAGCCAGTTATTCTGGCTCCAGAACCTTCTTTCTTAAACAGTATTCTATATTGTCTCCATGATGATGGAGGTTCATTACAGGTTTAAACTGAAAAGGTCTATTGCCAACAGGGAGAAAGAACTCTTGGGGACCTTAAATACCTACCTGACTGCATCTGGTATTTTCTTCTCTACTTGATCCTACTTATGCCTAGCAGGTTCTGACAATAATAGGGACATAACCTGGTACTAAATATAGCAGTAAGATGATCTTTTGGCTGCTGTATACCATCCTCTTGCTACCAGATCCTTTGGAACTCTGTATTTCAAACTTGTATTCATCACATTTTCCAAAGCACTTATATCTAAAGATATTTTTGTGTTTGTAGTTTTTACACAACATCCTACATGAAGGAGGCATTTAATGTATTTGTGAATGATGATGGCATCACCATCATCTTATTTGATGTTTAAAATAAGCCTACTAGCTGGGCCAGTATTATCATTCCTTGTTATAGTTAAAGAAAAAGATGAATCAGACTAACATTGAGTTGATAAGAAGCCTAGATTCTAGGCTTATCGAACGTGTCCAATTCATCCTACATATTATTGACAGATTAACTAAATTCAGTTTGACTAATCTTGAATACCTGTATGCCAGGCACTATGTTACATGCTGATTATCAAAATGAATGAGTTAAATAACTTTTACACTAATTCCCTACTCAAACTCCCCAAATACTTCTCTATTCCCTTTCAGATCAAGTCTAAACTCTTCCTTCTAGCCTACAGATCCACCATAATTTAAATCCTACTATAATCCAGTCATTACAGCATATAATCCTCAACTTCATCCTTTCTCTAACACAATCAGTGTATCAGTGTAACTACCTTTCAAAACAAATTTTTGCTATATTTAGTTTTTTTTTTTTTTTTTTTTTTTTTTTAACAGAGTCTCACTCCATTACCCAGGCTGGAGTACAGTGGTGCGATCTCTGCTTACTGCAACCTCTGCCTCCTGGGTTCAAAAGATACTAGTGATTCTCATGCCTCAACCTCCTGAGTAGCTGGAATTACAGGCTCGAGCCACCACCCCCGGCTAATTTTTGTATTTTTGGTAGAGACAAGGTTTTGCCACCTTGGCCAGGCTGGTCTTGAACTCCTGACCTCCAGTGATCTGCCTGCCTTGGCCTCCCCAAGTGCTGGGATTACAGGCGTGGGCCACCTTGCCCAGCCTAATTAGATTATTTCTATCCTGTCCTTCTATATTCAAGTCTCATTCTCTTTTTTTATAATTAAGTCACTTTTTTTTTTTTTCAAAATGGAGTCTTGCTCTGTCACCCAGGCTGGGGTGCAGTGGCATGATCTTTGCTCACTGCAACCTCTGCCTCCCAGGTTCAAGCGATTCTCATACCTCAGCCTCCTGAGTAGCTGGGACTACAGGTGTGCACCACCACGCCCAGGTAATTTTTGTATTTTTAGTAGAGATGAGGTTTCACCATGTTGGCCTGACTGGTCTCGAACTCCTGACCTCAGATGATCTGCCCACCTCGGCCTCCTAAAGTGCTGGGATGACAGGTGTGAGCCACCGTGCCCGGCCCAAGTCTTATTCTCCTATGTTTAAATTGTTCCCATTCTGAGACCACTTCTATTCAGCCTTTCAGGTTTTTCATGTATAACATATTTTTCAGACCTAGTTTAATTCTCAGCTCTTTCAATAATCAGAAACTCTATAGTGTTTTCATATCCATCTTCACTTAATTCTAATTAAAATCCTGTGTAGGTAAGGAGAGCTAGCTAGGATTATCAGCTTTATTTTACAGATGAGGAAACTAAGGCTCTGAAATTAAGGGACCTGCCCAAACTTACATAGTAAATGTCAGAGCTAGGATTTGAACCTACGTCTTCTGATTAAGTCCAGTGATCAATTCCTGGTTTATAGTACGCTGTGACACTTTTCTAAGTCCTCTAGAATTTATAATATGTATTACGTTATTCAAAGTCTTATTTTCTGTCCTCTATTTTGTGGCACATAATGCATATTTATATAGACAACAATGAGAGCATATTTATTTGTTGTCCTCTAATTGCTGCCTATATAACTTATCTCTCTACTGGAGCAAATCAGACACTAACTCTTTTGTGGACTTTATATAGCCTAGCACAGTGCTATGCAGGTCATAAGCACTAAATACATCCTGGTTAGATGACTGATCCTTTGCACTACATCACTTTATATCTTTCTTAAGATATATCATCTTTCTTTCACACACACATTATGCTCTAGTAAATATTTCCTTAAAGAATCAGTACATTAATGATGGAAGTTCTTTCTCCCTGGGAGCACTGCCTCACTAAATAAGGAGTAGCCCTTAAGACTCCTTTTCACTGCCTTTCATCTCTCTCTTGCTGCCTCTTGTTCTTTGGATAGATACCTCCTTCACACACAGAATTCAGTAGAGGGCCTGAAACACAACCTAGTAAGTAGGTAAGGGTTTTATTTTTATTTTCAAGCCTGCTCTAGACTTTCAGGAGCCAAAAGTTCAAATCACAGCAGGATTGATTCAGCCCTTTCACAAGCAATTTAGTACTATGCAGTTTGTTTAGGATGGTCAAGTTTCCAGGCCCTGGCAGAGCAGCATCATTATCTCTCTAAGCCTTCGTGTATCAACTTCCCTGGCCATATTTCACTTTCTATGTCTTTCTTCTCTGAAATCAGGTGAACATGCAAAATCAGACACTTACACAATTATACACTTTTCAACAACCATGTCAAATATGTTCAAGAATTTACCACAACATTGGAAGTTGTTTTTTCTCTCTGGATTAGATAAAACCAACAAGTATGCAAAAATTAACTCCTCAGTCCTTAGTAGAAAGGGGGCAGTATTTATCATTCTTCAGCTAGTACATCAATTAACTGAGAAAAGATGTGGTTTTTTTTTTTCCAGATTCTATTCAGTCCACCTCACAGCAACCTAAAAGGATAGATGGGCAGATGTTATCCTCATTTTACAAAATGAGGAAATTGAGGGCTACCATAGTGTGAGGTGAGACGGAACTAAAATCAGGTCTTTTTTTTTTTTTTTTTGAGACGGAGTCTCGCTCTGTTGCCCAGGCTGGAGTGCAGTGGCGTGATCTCGGCTCACTGCAAGCTCCACCTCCCGAGTTCACGCCATTCTTCTGCCTCAGCTTCCCAAGTAGCTGGGACTACAGGCGCCCACCACCATGCCCGAATAATTTTTTGTATTTTTAGTAGAGACGGGGTTTCACCGTGTTAGCCAAAAATCAGGTCTTCTTACTCTTACTTAATTGCTTTCTCTCTGTGGTAGTTAATTTTAGGTATCAATGTAACTGGATTACAAAATACCTACAGAACTGGTAAAGTATTACTTCTGGGTTTGTCTCTGAGGCTGTTTCCAGAGAAGATTGGCATGTGAGTTGGTGGACTGAGTGGGGAAGATCCAGTCTCAATGTAAGCAGGTACCAACCAATCTACCTGGGCTACAGGCCGAGATAGAACATAAAAGGAGAAAAAAGCTTTCCTCTCTCCTCCTGGAGCTAGGATACTCTTCTCCTCCTGCCTTTGGACATCAGAACTCCAGGCTCTCTGGACTTGGGACTCCAGGCTCTCTGGACTTGGGACTCCAGGATTTACTCCAGTGAACCCCTCCAGGTCCTTAGGTCTTTGGCATTTGACTGAGAATTACTCTAAAGGCTTCCCTGGCTCTGAGGCTTTTGGACTTGGACTGAGAAACCCTACCAGTATCCCGGTGTCTCCAGCTTGCAGATGGCCAGTCATGGGACTTCTCGGCTTCCATAATTGCATGAGCCAATTCCCCATCTGTCCATCCATCCATCCATCCATCCATCCATCCATCCATCCATCATCCACCCATCCATCCATCATCCACCCATCCATCCATCATCCACCCATCCATCCTATTCTGTCTCTCTGGAAAACTCTGACTAATATATCCTCTACTACTCTGCTGGACGTCCAGATTTCCCTTTGTATATAAAAAGAAAATCAACACTGCACACTTGGAATCCTACCTAACTAAACAGGAAGATTAAATCAGAACTGAGTTTCTATCCATAGAAATAATATTACAATGTAGAAAAGAAAAGACAAGGGGTCCTATTCCTTGTCATTACACAGTAGAATAGAAAATATATATTTAAAACTCATATACATTTTTTGTTTAATTACATTTTTTAAAACATTTTAATTTTACCTGGGAAATCTTTTGTTTTTCAGAAATCTTGTTTTCTAAGCACCTCATGAATAGATGGCAAACATTTTGACTCTCTTTTCTGAAGACCAATATTCTACAAATAATACTAATCTTCAACATCTTAGTTTTATTAAATGCTCCTTAATTTCACTTTGTAAGATTTCTCCATCAGATGGTTTACACATCGCCTTTTGAGATTATTAAATATGAATTTTGTTAAAGTGATATGAAGATATTGGCAGTTTGAGAGATCATTTGGGTTATTTTTTTTATTTATTTATTTTTAGATGGAGTTTTGCTCTTGTTGCTCAGGCTGGAGTGCAATGGCACGATCTCGGCTCACCACAACCTCCACCTCCTGGGTTCAAGCAATTCTCCTGTCTCAGCCTCCCAAGTAGCTGGGATTACAGGCATGTGCCACCACACTTGGCTAATTTTTAGTAGGCATGGGGTTTCTCCATGTTGGTCAGGCTGGTCTTGAACTCCTGACCTCAGGTGATCCACCTGCCTTGGCCTCCCAAAGTGTTGGGATTACAGGCGTGAGCCACCACGCCCAGCCATTTGGGTTATAATAGGAATCTTTCCATAGTGTCTGTTTCCTTTAAAATATATTTAAGACATAAACATATGCATAAGGAGCATATACATACAGGTTTCAAGGTAAGAAAAACCAAGTATATAAGGAGTTCCTAAAGTTTATACTGTTTAAACTCATAAACATAAGATCAGAAGAGACAAAAAACAAAAACTTGACCTTATACTAAACTCAGCAGTTCTGAATTGTGTTCATAATAAACCTTTCCTAATAGCCTTTTACTTTTTCATCCAAAACAAATAACTTGTAGTGAACAAGAAGGAAATTTTTTTTTTTGAGATGGAGTTTTGCTCTTATTGCCCAGGCTGGAGTGCAATGGCGGGATCTTGGCTCACTGCAACCTCCTCCTCCTGGGTTCAAGCAATTCTCCTGCCTCAGCCTCCCAAGTAGCTGGGATTACAGGTATACACCACCATGCCTGGCTAATTTTGTATTTTTTAGTAGAGATGGGGTTTCACCATGCTGGTCAGGCTGGTCTTGAACTCTTGACCTCAGGTGATCCACCCGCCTTGGCCTCCCAAAGTGTTGGGATTACAGGCATAAGCCACTGCACCCAGCTTATTAATTTTTTAAAGTTTCCTGCATACTTCGTGGAGGAAAGTGAGATTCTAATTTTGGGGGTTGGGATTGGAGAGTAGAGAAGTGGATAAGCATGATGGGCAAAACTTTGGTTCTTATATATATGCTGCTGCTTTTTTAAAAATGAAGTTTTTATTCAATTGGGAAAATCATACTGGGAGAGGGTAATAGTACTATAAAAAGTTAATCATCCGGTCATGAATTACATTTAAAACTGTAAGGTGCAGGATGGCAAGAGCAGCAAGAAGATCAACATTGCCAACTGTGGACAACTCGAATAAGTTTGACTTGTGTTTCACCTTAACCACCAGACCATTCCTTCTGTAGCTCAGGAGAGCAGCCCTCCACCCCATTTGCTCGCAGTATCCTATACTCGTTGTGCTCTCACTGCAGTTCCCTTTGAGTTCTGTGTTTTCCTTGTTCCCTTCCATGCCTAGCTGGATTGCAGAGTTAAGTTTATGATTATGAAATAAAAACCAAATAACAAAACAAAACTGTAAGGTGCCTATTGCTATACAAACTTCCCTAGTTTCAATTTATACATTTATCACTCATTTACTCAGTAATTTAACAATTAGGTAATTCATGCCTATTAATTGCCAGGGCTTGGATTGGACCTTGAGGATGAAAAATGAAGAATGCATGAGATCTGGCAGCCTAGAAGGGAGACAAACTGGAGTGTGAAAAATGAAGTCCTTCTTTCCTTTTTTTTTTTTTTTTTTGAGACAGGGTCTGGCTCTAGCGCCCATGCTGAAGTGCACTGGCGCAATCTTGGCTCTCCTCAACCTCTGCCTCCCAGGCTCAAGTGATCCTCTTGCCTTAGCCTCCCATATTATGAACTTTTCATTACTAGATTTATTCACCAAATTAATATACAACAGAACTGCAAATAATACAGTTCTAGAACAGAATTAGCATCAAATTCACTAAAACATTTTTCTTTTAATCAGTGAGGAAACCATCCTGGGAATGTCATTTTTTGAGGATATATAGCTGTCTTTTATTTGTAGGTTCTGGTTTTCTTTATTCATAGAAAAGAAAGTCCTCTCCTGATCTGAATTTATGCATTCAAACTTGTTCCTTAGATTTAACCTTGGCTGTTTCATTTTGTAGGGTAGGGACTTATCCTGAGACAATGGTCTTGTTAAGTTGGTAAAGCCATTCCATTACAAGTCATCAGTACTCTATCCGTGCCCTTGAGTTTTTCACAACATGAGTTGGTTTTAATTTTAAACATAACCTGAAAAAAATTCTTCAAATGCTTCAAATACTCTGTGTTCCAGGGGAGATATCAGGCCTAGCAGGAATTTGGATCATGAGCAGCTTCTAGAATCAGGCTCTGGCTAATAGAATCCACATATCTGCCTGTGTAGACTCCTTCAGTAGCAGCTTGGCATGGTTCTTGCCAAGGTCCTCTGGAGCACTGCTGCTCTGTTGCCCTAAAGGTTGAAGGCCAGTTCAGTACTGAAGAAGGTTCTATTGGTGGTCTCAGCAAAAAGTGATAGCCCAAAGCCCAGCGACTCCTCAGGGTTGGCTCCTTTCATGTGATCCAAGTAAATAAAGTAAGAACTTGTTGAGCATGCTCCTCAAGCATGCCGTGATTTAGTCAGCCATCTGAGGTGATACACCTACGGAGTATGCTATTCCTCTAACACTTTGGATTTATCTAGGATCTTTGAGCTGAATAGGTCTCAAGATCTTCCTTCAGGACGTGAGAAAAATATTTTACCACCTCTATGAGGCATGCCCAACACACCGTCTTTAGCTCAAATAACTTACCAACAATCCCAAACTATTTCAGCAGAAGGTTGTGGTCATAAAGAGCCAAGCAAAGAAGGTTTCCAAGTAAAGCCACCACTGTGATGGACATTACAGTTGTGTTCCACAGACCCACCATACAAAGGCCTACTTAATAATAAAGGGTTGTTCTTGTTTGGTTTATTTTCATTCAAGAATCATTAGTTTTTCTGTCCACCAGCTTTGTAAAGTTGACTTCAGAATCTCTGAGGCCTGCATTGTGGTCTTTGCATGGATCTTTTGGAATTTGATGGGGCGAACAGGCACTGACACAAGAAGTTGCAGCCTACAGAGCTGAAAAAGTGGATCTGGATTGTCACGTGGGTGCCATGGAATTATAGGGGGCTATCAGTGAAGCTTGGAGGTGATGCCACAGCATGGAGCTGTGGCTTCAGCTCCCTCTTGCAGTCCTCCTGACTATGCCTTTTAAAATGGATTAACTTTTAAAAGGATATTTGTATAGCATTTTGCAATTGCTGAAAGCAGCCTTTTAATTCAAAAAAGTACAGAAACCACATTTTAGATTGTGGCTAAAATTTTAAATTCATGGCTGGGCATGGTGGCTCATGCCTGTAATCCCAACACTGTGGGAGGCTGAGGCGGGCAGATCACCTGAAGTCAGGAGTTCAAGACCAGCCTGGCCAACATGGTGAAACCTTGTCTCTACTAAAAATACAAAAATCAGCTGGGCATGGTGGCGCACATGTGTAATCCCAGCTACTTGGGAGGCTGAGGCAGGAGAATTGCTTGAATCTGGAAGATGGAGGTTGCAGTGAGCCAAGATCTCGCCACTGCACTCCAGCCTGGGTGACAGAGTAAAAGAGCCAGACTCCATCTCAAAAAAAAAAAAAAAATTTTAAATTCATTATGATTATCAGCTATTTAATCATTAAATCTTATACCTTACAGCATCTATCTAGTTCTTATTGGAAAGGCCTCCTTGGCTTTAGTAGTTAACACATACATACTTATGGATTATTGAGAATTATTTATTTTGCTGGAGGCAAACTCATATACTTTTAATTACTAGCCCATCCTGTTTAAGGACTCATGCTTTACTTATAAAGTGTTATTCAGGAACAACCTAATACGAAAATGTATGGTGCACTGAAATAATGAAAATGCACAATTCCATGGTACCTACATTCATTATACAAAGAATAAGGATGGAAAGAGAATCTTCCAAACACCAATCCTTGTCTTTAGAAAATTGAAATGTCATTACAAACAATTCTTTCTACAACCAGCTACTGGTTGATCTTACATTTGATCTGGTGTGCAATGGCTGCAAACAGCAGCCTCCTTGGTGGTGTTTGCAGCCTGTTGCTTGTATGAGTTGCCCTAATGGACCTTGGAGACAGCCCTTTCCAATGTATATTCATGCCTCTGACCCTGCACTATCCCCAAACTAGAAAAAAAAAAAAAAAAAAAAAACCTGATCTGGACGGTCTTTGAGATAGAGGTCACTGTTGCCACATCCCATCCTGCCTTGCAGCCTGCCATGAGTAAGGGGCCAGCAGATGGGAACAGTATCCTCTCAACTGTTCCTCAAGAGTTCTTGACTGTCAGCTCTTTCCCCTCCCATGAAAGGAATTCTTCTCTTCTGATATGATTATACTGTTGCTTTTCCCCATTCCTCTTTCCCCTACTAGAAAAAAAAAAAATAAGTACTGCAATGAATGTGAGAATATTTGTTCTAACATTTTACAGTTTTTCAATGAGAACTGAATTATGGGATACATAAATGTTTTGCATGGTGGAAAAAGGGTAGAGGCCACAATTTCACAGCTACCCAAATCACATTTCTCTTCTAGTAAAGGATTTCTGCCTTAGACCTTTTCCCTCTGGAATACAGAATTTCTGCTAAACATTGACCCTGGTAATGAGAGAGAAAGTCCAGCTGAAAGGAAAGTATCATGCTCTCTTTTCTCCAAGATGCAATCTGTAAGAATCTATAGTCATAAGTCATGTAGCCTGGATGGGCGTGGTAGCTCACGCCTGTAATCCCATCACTTTGGGAGGCTGAGGCGGGAGGATCACCTGAGGTCAGGAGATCGAGACCAGCCTGGCCAACATGGTAAAACCCCATCTCTACTAAAAATACAAAAATCAGCCGGGCATGGTGATGTGCATCTGTAATCCCAGCTACTCAGGAGGCTGAGGCCGGAGAATTGCTGGAATCCAGGAGGCGGAGGTTGCAGTGAGCCGAGATCACGCCACTGCACTCCAGCCTGGGCGACAAGAGTGAGATTCTGTCTAAAAAAATAAATAAATAAATAAAAATAAATAAATAAATAAATAAAGTAGCCAGGTGTGGTGGCAGGCACCTGTAATCCCAGCTACTCGTGAAGCTGAGGCAGGAGAATTGCTTGAATGTTGGAGATGGAGGTTGCAGTGAGCTGAGATCATGCCACTGCACTCTAGCCTGGGTGACAGAGTGAGCCTCCGTCTCCCAAAAAAAAAAAAAAAAAAAAAAAAAAAAAAGTAAGTCATGTAGCCAAGAGGATTTTGTTACTACTAAATAATCATTTGAGTTTTTATTAGTCTGGGTTTTCATAATATCCAGGAAAACAACTCTTCCAAAAGTCAATTTGGCAAAATTAAGAATCAAAGGGACATTTACTTTACTTTTGTTTTTCTTATATCATGAATAACATCTAGGGGGGAAAAGTAAAATTATTTACCTAGATTGGAAAGATATACCTAATTTTTTTTCTAACGGAAGGAAGGAAGGAAGTGAAGGAGGGAGGGAGGAAGGAAGGCTGGCCAAATTTAATTATGGCTGTGATAATCAGATTTGCTTTTCAAATCAGATTTAAGAAGTATGGCTTTCACATCCACCAGACACAGTACACATCAGATAAATATAAAATAGTGTCTGTGAATACATTCTTCAGAAACAAAGAATACTTCAGTGAAATGAAAATTCTTACTGCTGTTAAGTAGCTAGGAAAAGAGGCTTTAAAGGTGTACACTTAACCATCCCAGCGAGGCTACTCTGTATGATAGCAGAAATTTAAGAAAATGAGAAGACAGCTCACCACACCCCCTGGTGGCCACCCCCCAAACATTTATAAACGGCAGATAGTTCTCTATTCTGTACAGGAAAGTGTAACCCACATGGTGGGAGGTGCACAGTCAGGGTGCAGAAAGGCCCACAGCAAAAGATGAACAGTGGCTGGGCATGGTAGTTTACGCCTGTAATCCCAGCACTTTGGGGTCAGGATTCGAGACCAGCCTGGCCAATCCTGACAGATGAAACCCTGACTCTACTAAAAGTACAAAAAATTAGCTGGGCGTGGTGGTGGGCCCTGTAATCCCAGCTACTTGGGGGGCTGAGGCAGGAGAATTGCTTGAACTCAGAAAGTGGAGTGTGCTGAGATCGCCCCATTGCATTCCAGCCTGGGCGACAGAGTGAGACTCTGTCTCAAAAAAAAAAAAAAAAAAAAAAAAAAAAAAGATGAACAGCTTCAATGTGATCAGTTACAGCCACTTTCTAATAAATGGAAAGCTCTACTTTTGTTTAAAAACAACAACAACAAAACAAAAAAACAACTCTGGCCGGGCACAGTAGCTCACGCCTGTAATCCCAGCACTTTGGGAGGCCGCCGGATCACCTGAGGTCAGTTGTTCGAGACCAGTCTGGCCAAAGTGGTGAAATCTCATCTCTACTAAAAATACAAAAATTAGCCGGGCATGATGGCACGTGTCTGTAATCCCAGCTATTTGGGAGGCTGAGGCAGGAGAATTGCCTGAACCTGGGAGGCGGAGGTTGCAGTGAGCCTAGATTGTGCCATTGCATTCCAGCCTGGGTGACAGAGCGAGACTCCATCTCAAACAGCAACAACAACAAAAAAACCCTCTGTTTCTCTTTCTAATGTATATTTCCTGTCATAAGTGCAATCAATATTCAGTTTCTCCATGAAATGTTAACATCATCACTCTATTTCTTAAAGAAGAGTGAGGTGATAGAGCATTTTATTGCCAAATGGCTCAGAAAAAAAGTTCCTTGTATTGTATTTGTAATTTCTCTGTAAGTATGAGATTGTTTCAATTTTTTTTTTTTTTTTTTGAGATAGGGTCTTGCTGTCTCCAGGTTGGAGTGCGATCTTGGCTCACTGCAACTTCCGCCTCCCGGGTTCAAGCGATTCTCCTGCCTCAGCTTCCCAAGTAGCAGGGATTACAAGCGCGCGCCTCCAGGCCCAGGTAATTTTTGTATTTTTAGTAGAGACGGGGTTTCACCATGTTGGCCAGGCAGGTCTCGAGCTCCTGACCTCGTGATCCACCTGCGTCAGCCTCCCAAAGTGCTGGGATTACAGGTGTGAGCCACTGCGCCCGGTCTAAACATTTTTTTAAAGATAAAAAAGATGAGGATTAAATTATCAGCTCATATTTACAATGGACCTACTTTTTTCCCCACTTTTCCTCCCTTTTTTTATTTTTTATTTTTGAGAGGAGTCTCGCTCTGTCGCCCAGGCTGGAGTGCAGTGGCACGATCTCGGCTCACTGCAAACTCCGCCTCCCGGTTCACGCCATTCTCCTGCCTCAGCCTCCCGAGTAGCTAGGACTACAGGCGCCCACCACCATGCCCGGCTAATTTTTTGTATTTTTAGTAGAGACGGGGTTTCACCGTGTTAGCCAGGATGGTCTTGATCTCCTGACCTGGTGATCCACCTGCCTCAGCCTCCCAAAGTGCTGGGATTACAGGCGTGAGCCACGGCGCCCGGCCTTTTTCTCCCTTTTTAAAATTTAAGTACAATGCTCATATTCTCAAAGTTAATATAGTCTTTAACTAGAACATATACTGAGGCAGAAATAAATTTGTCCTCTTTTCACTGCTGAAAGATGGGCAAAATAGTATATATATTGTCATGATATTTAAATCCATAGAAAAATTATTTCACCAAATAGGTTTGAATAAAGATGAAGTCCTATCTCAAAGATAAAAAATAAACAGAGCAAATACACAATAAAGAAAACTTGACAAGGTACCAAAGACAGAAATCTGGAAGAAAAATTTAGCTGCAAATTAGTAACAGTGCCACTGAGAAACCATCTCTTATATAAGGACATGCCCTAATCCTGTGTTTTCTTTTTTTTTTTTTTTTTTTTTTTTGAGATGGAGTCTCACTCCATTGCCCGGGCTAGAGTGCAATGGCGCAGTCTCAGCTCACTGCAACCTCCACCTCCTAGGTTCAAGCGATTCTCCTGCCTTAGCCTATCGAGTAACTGGGACTACAGGTGCGTGCCACCACGCCTGGCCAATTTTTGTATTTTTAATAGAGACAGGGTTTCACTATGTTGGCCAGGCTGATCTCGAACTCTTGACCTCGTGATCCGCCTGCCTCAGCTTCCCAAAGTGCTGGGATTACAGGTATAAGCCACGGTGCCCAGCCCAATAACTTTTTTTCTTTTCTCTTTTCTTCTCCTCTCCTCTCCTCTTTTTCTCTCTCTCCTCTCTCTCTCTCTTTCTTTCTTAACAGAGCCTCGCTTTGTCGCCCAGGCTGGAGTACAGTGGCAAAATCTCAATCTCGGCTCACTGCAACCTCTCCCTCCCAGGTTCAAGCAATTCTCCTGCCTCAGCCTCCAGAATAGCTAGGATTACAGGTGTGCGCCACCATGCCTGGCTAATTTTTGTATTTTTAGTAGAGATGGGGTTTCACCATGTTGGCCAGGCTTGTCTTGAACTCCTGACCTCAGATGATCTGCCCACCTCAGCCTCCCAAAGTGCTGGGATTATAGGCACGAGCCACCATGCCGGCCCTATGTTTTCTTTTAACTGCCTTCAAACTGTTTCTACTTGAATAATGCCCCGTTGTTTCATATATCCAAAGTCAAACTCTTCATATGGTTTCTGACAGAGTTCCCTTTCTTAACTAGTATTATTTCTAGTACAGTAATCAATATTCTTCTATTCCTGTTCATTCACTAAGCATTTACTGAGTGCCAACTACATGCTAATTGGATACCAAAGTAAAATACATAATCCCTGTCCTCATGCTGCTCTCGTACAGGAACTAGCCATTTGCCTGAATTACTGCAACAGCTTTCTTGATAGTTTTCTTGCCTCCCCTCCCCTCATGCTGTATAATACTGCCAGACTCCTTCTGGAAGTCATGTTATACATTTTTTCTTTTTTTGTGCGAGACCAGAGTTTTATTACTACTCAAATCAGTCTTCCTGAAAACTTGAGGATCAGAGTTGTTTTTTGTTTTTTTTTCTGAGACGGAGTCTCATTCTGTCGCCCAGGCTGGAGTGCAGTGGTGCGATCTCCGCTCACTGCAACCTCTGCTTCCTGGGTTCAAGCGATTCTCCTGCCTCAGCCTCCCAAGTAGCTGGGATTACAGGCATGCGCCACCACGCCTGGCTAATTTTTGTATTTTTAGTTGAGACGGGGTTTCGCCATGTTGGCCAGGCTGGTCTCGAACTCCTGACCTCAGGTGATCTGCCCGCCTTGGCCTCCCAAAGTGCTGTGATTACAGGCATGCGCCACTACACCTGGCTAATTTTTGTATTTTTAGTAGAGACAGGGTTTCACCATGTTGGCCAGGCTGGTCTGGAACCCCTGACCTCAGTTGATCTTCCCGTCTTGGGCTTCCAAAGCGCTGTGATTACAGGCATGAGCCACCGCGCCTGGCCTGGATCAGAGTTTTGGTATAAAGGATAATTTGTTGGGTAGGGGGCCATTGAATTGGGAGTGCTGATTGGTTGGCTCAGAGATAAAATCACAGGGAGTTGAAGCTGTTCTTTTATGCTGAGTCAGTTCCTGAGTGGGGGCCACAGAACTAGTTGGCAGGTCCAGGTGGGGTCATTCGGTTGTTAGAAATGGAAAAACCTTATTTATTAGGGTTCTCTATAGGGACAGAACTTTATATAAATATAATATTTATATTTATATATTATATATATAATATTTATATAGTTATATAACATATATTATATATATATATATATATGTAAAGGAGAATTTTTTAAGTATTAACTTACATGATCACAAGGTCCCACAATAGGCTATCTGCAAGCTGAGGAGCAAGAAGAGCCAGTCCGAGTCCCAAAAGTGAAGAAGTGAAGAACTTGCAGTCCAATGTTTGAGGGCAGGACGCATCCAGCATGGGAGAAAGATGTAGGCTGGGAGCTAGGCCAGTCTGTCCTTTTTATGTTTTTCTGCCTGCTTTATATTCGCTGGTATCTGATTAGATTGTGCCCACCAGATTAACTGTGCATCTGCCTTCCCCAGGTAATCTCTTTTGCAACACCCTCACAGACACACCCAGGATCAATACTTTGTAGCCTTCAATCCAATCAAGCTGACACTCAGTATTAACCATTACACCTGAAAAGGCATCTCAAAAAGCTGATCTTAGGTTCACAATAGTGATGTTACCTTTAAGAGTAATTGGGGGGGCCGGGCGCGGTGGCTCACGCCTGTAATCCCAGCACTTTGGGAGGCCGAGGCGGGCGGATCACGAGGTCAGGAGATCGAGACCATCCCGGCTAAAACGGTGAAACCCCGTCTCTACTAAAAATACAAAAAATTAGCCGGGCGTAGTGGCGGGCGCCTGTAGTCCCAGCTACTTGGGAGGCTGAGGCAGGAGAATGGCGTGAACCCGGGAGGCGGAGCTTGCAGTGAGCCGAGATCCCGCCACTGCACTCCAGCCTGGGTGACAGAGCGAGACTCCGTCTCAAAAAAAAAAAAAAAAAAAAAAAAAAAAGAGTAATTGGGGGCTGGACGCGGTGGCTCATGCCTGCAATCCTGGCACTTTGGGAGGCCAAGGTGGGTGGATCACCTGAGATCAGGAGTTAGAGACCAGCCTGGCCAACATGGTTAAACCCCATCTCTACTAAAAATAAAAATAGGCTGGGCGTGGTGGCACGCACCTGTAATCCCAGCTACTCAGGAGGCTGAGGCAGGAGAATCACGTGAACCTGGGAGATGGAGGTTGCAATGAGCCAAGATTGTGCCATTGCATTCCACCCTGGGCGACAGACCAAGATTCCATCTCAAAAAAAAAAAAGAGTAATTGGGGGCCGAGGCAGGTGAATCGCTTGAGGTCAGGTTACAAAAATTAGCTGGGTGTGGTGACGGGTGCCTGTAATCCCAGCTTCTTGGGAGGCTGAGACAGGAGAATCACTTGAATCCAGGAGGCGGAGGTTGCAGTGAGCCGAGATTGCACCCCACTGCACTCCAGCCTGGGTGACAGAGCTAGACTCCTTCTCAAAAAAAAAAAAAAGAATAATTAGGGAAGTTGTGAATCCTATGACCTCCTGAATAATGGTTGGTGATATTTAGAATTAGTCATGTCATTCTTCTACACATAGATCTATCAAATTGAAACTCCTCTGCTTTTAAGGTATAGACAGTTACCTTCTTACTTTCCTAAAACACATTAGCTCCTATTTTCAGACTTTTGATGATATCCTTCCATTCTCCCCACTCTCCTATGTTTGGAATGCTACCCTTTTCTTCTGTTCTCCTATCTAAATCCCATTCATTCATCATGACTCAGCTCTGGCCCACATTGCTTTTTTCCTCTCCTCTGCTGCAAATTTTATTTTCATTGCTATCTTTGAAACAACTGAGGAAAAGACCAAATTTTCTTTTTGTTTTGTTTTTATTTTGCTTCATTTTTCCCTTATAAAGACCAAATTTTCAAAGGTGAAGAATTTTTTCAGCAGATGGTGAGTAATTTTTTATGTCCATGAAAGACTAAAGAGGAAGAAACCAGGCTTAAAAATAGGGGAGGGTTTCAGCTGAACATGAAAAATAATTTCTTCATTTTCAAAGTAATCAAAAAAAGTATAATATATTATATGTATTGCTGGAATTGAGAGAAGAAATGTAAAACTCCTTACTTTATACAGTTCTTATCTTGGGGTTGGCACACACAAGAATGAAAGAATTCTACTATAATTAAAATTAAATTAAGATCTCAAAGTACTTTGTTTCCTATCATAACTATTCACTATTCACCTTAAAAAAGGTGTCCTGAGATTGCAAGATATATTTCAGTGCAATCTTGTTCATTTTTATTTATCATCTTATAATTGTATTAGGTTGACCCATATGAGACAGCTGTTTACAGTTAATATGTTTGAATATTGGCGTTTCATTTTTTTTTTTTTTTTTTTTTTTTGAGACAGAGTCTTACTCTGTTGCCCAGGCTCTGGAGTGCAGTGGTACCATCTCTGCTCACTGCAACCTCTGCTTCCCGGGTTCAAGCGATTCTCCTGCCTCAGCCTCCTGAGTAGCTGGGATTACAGGAGCGTGCCATCACGCTCAACTAATTTTTGTATTTTTAGTAGGGATGGGGGTTTTGCCATGTTGACCAGGCTGGTCTCGAACTCGTGACCTCGAGATCCACCCACCTCGGCTTCTCAAAGTGCTGGGATTGCAGGCGCGAGTCACCGCGCCCAGTCCGTTTACTTTTTTTTTTTTTTTTTTAGACGGAGTCTGCCTGTGTAGCCCAGGCTGGAGTGCAGTGGCGCGATCTCGGCTCACTGCAAGCTCTGCCTCCTGGGTTCACACCATTCTCCTGCCTCAGCCTCCCCAGTAGCTGGGATTACAGGCGCCCGCCATCACGCCCGGCTAGTTTTTTGTATTTTTAGTAGAGACCGGGTTTCACCGTGTCAGCCAGGATGGTCTTGATCTCCTGACCTGGTGATCCACCCGCCTCGGCCTCCCAAAGTGCTGGGATTACAGGCGTGAGCCGCCGCGCCCGGCCCTGTTTACTTCTATAGTTATTTTCCTGGCTATTCCCCGGTCAGCAAAGTGGGTCATCACACAAGAAAAAGTTGAGTTCATAAATATGCAAAGGAAATACTGGCATCAAATTTCATCCATTTATCTTTTGACCAAATAGTGAGACAAACAGGTTGGAAAGGTTCCCTGGCAAAACTCCAGCCAGCCTGCATACTGAGGTGGAGCTTCGGGAAGTTCGCACAATTTGCATGGGGAGGAGCCTGGCCCCTCCTCTTCCTTTGTGAAACCTGGGATTCAAACTGCAAGGCAGGAAGGAACCAGCAGGAATTCTAGCCTTGCAGAAAGTCCCTGTTCCCCCTTTGTTTTCCTTTTTGCCCCATAAATCCCATTATTCTCACCCTTCAATCATCTGTGAGCCTAAATTTTTGTTGCCATGGGACAATAACTCTGTCTTTAGCTGAACTAAGGAAAAGTACTGCAACAATAGTCAATGATATAAAACCTGATTTTCTGTAATTATGTTATCTTTTTATGCCTGTCTTCTGAGAAAAAAAAAATATTGCTGGAGTTCAAATATCACAAAAAGGTGGCCAGCCATGGTGGCTCACACTTGTAATCCCAGCACTTTGGGAGGCTGAGGCAGGAGGATCACTTGAGCCCAGCAGTTTGAGACCAGCCTAGGCAACATAGGGAGACCCTGTCTCTACAAAAATAACAGAAAATATTAGCTGGGCATAGTGGTGCATGCCGGTGGTCTCAGCTACTTGGGAGGCTCAAGTGGGACTGAGCCCATTACTGTATCGCTGCACTCCCGCCTGTGTGGCAGAGCAAGACCCTGTCTCAATCAATCAATCACAAAAAGGGGCTAGTATGGCATAAATACATTGTTTCTTAATTGTGGTAAAATAAACATAAAAATTTCCATCTTAACTACTTTTAAGTGTACAGTTCACTGGCATTAAGTACGTTCACAATGTTGTGCAACCACCACCACTATCCATTTCTAGAACTTTTTTCATCTTCCAAAACTGAAGCTCCGTACCCACTAGGCAATAACTTCCCACTCCATCCATCCCCCAGTCACCATTATTCTGTCCGCATGAATTTGATTATTCTAGGTATCTCATGTAAGTGGAATCATACAGTATTTGACTTTTTGTGATTGGCTTATTTCACTTAGCTTAATGTCCTCATTTTTACCCACGTTGTGGCATGTCAGAACTTATTTCCTTTTTAAAGGCTGAACAATATTCCACTGTACATATAATACCTCATTTTGTTTATCCATTCATCGTTGATGAACACTTGGGTTGCTTCCATCTCTTGGCTATTGTGAATAATGTTGCTATGAACACGGGTGTATGAATCTCTTAAGACCCTGCTTTCAATTCTTTTAGGTATCTACCCAGGAGTCCAGAAGTGGAATTGCTGGATCATATGATCATATTCTATTTTTAATTTTTTGAAGAATCACCATACTATTTTCCATTGCAGCTATGCCATTTTACATTCCCACCAATAGTGCACAAGGCTTCCAATTTCTCCATATCCTCACCAACGCTTTATGTTGATAGTGGCCATCCTAATGGGTATGAGGTAGTATCTCACCGTGGTTTCAATTTGCATTTCCTTAATGATTAGTGATTTTGATTTTTTTTTTTTTTTTAAGAGACAGGGTCTTGTACTGTTACCCAGGCTGGAGTGCAGTGGAACCTTCTTAGCTCACCACAGCCTTTAATTCCTGGACTCAAGCAGTCTTCCCACCTCAACATTCTGAGTAGCTGGGACAGGTGTGTGACACCACACCTGGCTAAATTTTTTTATCTTTTGTAGAGATGGGGTCTTGCCATGTTTCCCAGGCTGGTCTCAAACTCCTGGGCTCAAGCAATCCTTCCTTCTCAGCCTCCCAAGTGCTGGAATTACAGGCATGAGTCACTGCATTCGGCCTTGAGCATCTTTTCATATGCTTATTGCTTATTTGTTTATCTTCTTTGGAGAAATGTCTATTCAAGTTCTTTGCTTATTTTTTAATTGGGTTGTATGATGGTTAATTTTATGTGTCAACCATCAACCTGACTGGGTCACAGGATGTCCAGTATTTGGTTAAATATTATTCTCGGCTTATCTGTGAGGGTGTTTCTGGATAATATTAACCTTTGAATCAGTAGACTGGGTAAAGCAGACTGTCCTCTCCAGTGTGGGTAGTCCTCACTCAATCTATTGAAGGCCTGAATAGAACAAAAGGCTGAATAAGGGAGAAGTTCCTCCTTCTGCCTTTGAGCAAGGACATTGGTCTTCTATTTTCGGACTCAGACTTGGACTCAGCAAATGGTGGACTGAGCCACCATTGGCTCTCCTAGTTCTTTAAGCCTTTGGACTTGGACTGGAACTATACCATTAGTTCTCCTGGGTTTCCAGCCTACAGATCTTGGGACTTCTCAGCCTCAATAATGTAAACCATTTACTTAGAATCAATTTCTTTCTTTTCTTTCTTTCTTTCTCTCTCTTTTTTCTTTCTTTCCCTCACTCTCTCCCTCCCTTCCTCCCTTCCTCCCTTCCTCCCTCCCTCTCTCCCTCTCTCTATATATATCTATCTATCTCTATGAGATACCCTTTTTGGTTCTATTTCTCTAAAGAACCCTGACTAATACAGATATTGGTCCTGAGAAATGGGGTGCTGAGGCTTTGAAACCAGGTAATGGGTAGAAGAGTTTTGAAGTGCATGCTAGAAAAAGCCAAGATTGCCATGAAGGGATTGCTAAAGGCAATTCTGGTGAGTGCTCAGAAAGGATAGAGGAGATCTGGAGAAAATGCTTCCATCTTCTTAGAGAATACATAAAGAACCACGAACAGAATATTTGTAGAAATATGGATGGAAAAGCCCTTTCTGACGAAGGCTCAGATGGAAACAAGAAACATGTTAGTGGACAATGGAGAAAAGGCAATCCTTGTTATAAAGTGGCAAAGAACTTGGGCTGGATTGTGTTTGTGTTCTAGTATTTTGTGGAAGGTAGAACTTGCAACAGTGGAATTGGACATTCAACTACAGTGGTTTCTAAGCAAAGTGGTGAAGGAGTGGTTTGGCTCCTTCTGGCTGCTATAATAAAATGCAAAAAGAGAGAAATGAATTGCAGAAGGAATAGTTAAGCAAAAGGGAACCAGAACTTACTTGGAACATTCTCTGCCTGTGCATATTGCAAAAAATGAGAAAGCATGTTTGGAAGGGAACACCAACAGTGTGGCTGACTGACCATATAAGGAGGGTAGTGTTGGTGTGAACCACAGGCCTAATCAGCCATCTCAATAGAAGCCAGGATAGAGAAGGGATTATGCAAACAGAAATACTGCCAGCTAGGACTAAGGGAAACAGAGAAAATGAAATGGAATAAAGGAAGACTGTGACTACGCATTATCCTTCAAGAAAGGGGAAGAAGGATCCCCCCAAAGGCAATTCAGTGATGATCATCAGGGCTTCTACTCTCATCACACCCACCATGGGTGGCGATCAGGGAGCAGGCTGTCTTCACTTCAGTTTCAAAGGCTAGGACCACTGGCAAGCAGAGTTGTGTGGGCAGGGCTCTTGCAGAGAGCCCTGTGGATGGCACTCCACTGAGCTGAAGGGGCAGGGCCACCACATGAAGCAATGAGGGTGACGCTGCCACTCAAGTGCATCTGGAGAGCAGAGCATCAAACCAAGAAGGATTATTTTCAAGTCTTAAGACCTAAGGGGATTTGCCTTGCTAAGTTTTAAACTTATTTGGGACCTATCAGTCCTACTTTCCTTCTGATTTCTACCTTTTGAGATAGGAAATCTATCCTATGCTTACCTCACCATGGTATTTTGGAAGTGCTTAATTTACCTGGTTTCACAGGTTCACAGCTGGAGAGGAATGTTGGCTCAGAATGAATCATTCCTGGTCTTACTTGTATCTGATTTAGATGATATAAAACTTTGGACTTTAGGCTTCAGAACTGATGCTGGAATGTTTTGTCTTTTAAAGATGTTGAGATGGAATGAATATATTTTGTGTATGAGAACATGAATTTTGTGGGTTCCCGGGCAAAATATTATGGACTTAATGCTTGTGCCCCCTGCTAATTCATATGTTGAAGCCCTACCCTCGAAAGTGAGGCGAGGCCTTTGGGAGGTAGTTAGGGTTAGATGAGGTCATGATGGTGAGCCCCCCATGACGTGTCCTTAAAAGAATAGGAAGAGACCAGAACGTGCTCTCTCTTTCTTTCTCCCCACCAAGTAAGAACACTGAGAGAAGGTGGCTGTCTGCAAGCCCGGAAGAACACCCTCACATGAACATTCTGGCACCTTGATCTTAGATTTCCCAGCCTCCAGGACTGTGAGAAATAAATGTCTGTTGTTTCAGCCACCCAGTCTAGGTATTTTGTTATAGTGGACTGACTAGGGTTTTGTTTTTATTGAGCTGTAGTTCTTTATATCCACATTCTGGATTTAACCCCTTATGATTTGCAAATATTTTCTTCTGTTCCATGGGTTGCCTTTTCACTCTGTTGATAGTGTCTTTTGATGCACAGAAGTTTGAAATTTTGATGTAGTCTAATTTATCTATTTTTGTAGTTATGGTTGTTATCTGTGAACAAAGCCATCATAGTTTGGTCTAATTGTACTGAAAGATTTTTTTTTTTTTTTTTGAGACAGAGTCTTGCTCTATTGCCCAGGCTGGATTGCAGTGGCGCAATCTCAGCTCACTGCAACCTCTGCCTCCCGAGTTCCAGTGATTCTCCTGCCTCAGCCTCCTGAGTAGCTGGGATTACAGGCTCATGCCACCACACCCAGCTAATTTTTGTATTTTTAGTAGAGACAGGATTTCGCCATGTTGGCCAGGCTGGTCTCAAACTCCTGACCTCAGGTGATCCACCCACATGGCCTCCCAAAGTGCTGGGATTACAGGTGTGAGCCACTGCACCTGGTCTGAAAGATTATTTTTATGACTTTGTCAATAAATGGCATTTGGTTAAGATTTATTATTATTATTATTATTAATTTTTGAGACGGAGTCTTGCTCTGCTGCCCAGGCTGGCGTGCAGTGGCTTGATCTCGGCTCACTGCAACCTCCACCTCCAGGATTCAACCAATTCTCCTGCCTCAGACACCTGAGTAGCTGGACTACAGGCATGCACCACCACACCCGGCTAATTTTTTGTATTTTTAGCAGAGATGGGGTTTCACCATGTTGGCCAGGTTGCTCTTGAACTCCTGACCTCATGTGATCCGTCTGCCTCAGCCTCCCAAAATGCTGGGATTACAGGCATGAGCCACTGCCCCTGGCAAAAATAACAGATTATTAATGCAATGTCTTCTTTGTTACCTGGAACTGGCCTTTAGTTTTAATGATATGCTGTTTACTATTTAATTTCCTACTACAAGCTACATTTGAACCCACAAACTGACAAGATGAGTTCAGGCATGCTTAATGAAATGATTCAATGCTGGTTTATTCTGTGGTGAGTGATGGAGAACTCTGAACAATCTGTAGCAGTCAAACATACAAAAATCAATCTCTTACATACCGTATAGCTACAAGGGGCATTCAACTGGCAGGTAAGATAAGTTTCTTTGCTTCGAGTCGGACTAAAGCCTTTAGATTTAGAAATAGCTTGGCAAACACACTAAATGTAAGACATTATAACAGATTAGCAAATTTTGATTTTTTAATAGTTGCTACTAGGTTTTTTTCATTTCTTATTTTTATAAGTAATCCTCTTGTGAATAGAAGAAGCCTGCAAAAACCCTCTGCTGGTCAAAGTGACAAAGTATTGCCAAAAACTTAAAAACAGGTCTTTATGATTCTTCTTCTTCCTCTTTTTTTTTTTTTTTTTTTTAGTAAGACAGAGTCTCACTTTGTTGCCCAGACTGGAGTGCAGTTGTGTGGTCTCTGCTCACTGCAACCTCCACCTCCTGGGTTCAAGTGATTTTTCTGCCTCAGCCTCCTGAGTAGCTGGGATTACAGGCATGCACCACCATGCCTGGCTAATTTTTTTTTGTATTTTTATTAAAGATGGGGTTTTACCAGGTTGGCCAGGCTGTTCTCAGACTCTTGGCCTACCAAAGTGCTGGGATTACAGGTGTGAGCCACCGCGCCTGGCCTTTATAGTTCTTAATGGCTTGACAATTCAGTACTGTGAATAAGAGAATGACTTCCATTGCCTCATCATTAGGTAATTTTTTGGAACAACATTATTCCAGTGGATATTGAGTCAATATATAAAGCTTGAAATTGACTCAGAGAGCTTTAAATCTGACCTTCTAGAAAATATAAGAATTATTTTTTCATTCTAATGGGAATATGATTACGATGCCTCTGGTACACATTCAGCTAAAATTTATTTTTGGTTTCTACCTCCTTAGCCCTATGCAAAAGAAGGACACTTCTCTTTGCTAAGAGACACGAGAAATTAAGCCTTAAGCCCACAATTTATGTGTTAACAAATCAGGAAAAAAACTACCGATAATCTCAGTTACTGATGAAAAGGAACTATTTTTATATTAAGTTGTAGTTTACAAGAAGGAGGTATATATCAACAAACACCTGATAATAATAATAATAATTTTTATTATTTTTTGTTTGTTCTTGTTTTTGAGACGGAGTCTCGCTCTGTAGCCCAAGCTGGAGTGCAGTGGCGCGATCTCGGCTCACTGCAAGCTCCGCCTCCCGTGTTCACGCCATTCTCCTGCCTCAGCCTCCTGAGTAGCTGGGACTACAGGCACCCGCCACCATGCCCAGCTTATTTTTTGTATTTAGTGGAGACAGGGTTTCACCGTGTTAGCCAGGATGGTCTTGATCTCCTGACCTCGTGATCCGCCTGCCTCGGCTTCCCAAAGTGCTGGGATTACAGGCGTGAGCCACCGCGCCCGGCCTGATAATTATTAAAGCAGCATTCCCTTTAGCCAGCTTCTTCACAATGAGCATGCTTATTGATCCTTTCTCTGTATCATCTAGAATGGCTCATTTGAGTTCAGAGGATACAAGTTTGGTAACATTGAAATGACCATCTAGAACTTACCAGGCCTGTTTCTTGTGGGAGGGAGTTACTTTTAAAAACCCTTAAAGGAGATAAAATAAATGTTATTTTATACTTCCTAGATTTCTCTCACAATTGTTTTCTTTTAATGTTACTGGGTACTGGCACCCTTCTAACAACATGCCCACTATTCCATGAGAAGAGGGTAAAAATATTTCATTGCATTTTAAAAGATTAGGTAGGTTACTCAGTATACTTACTCAGTATACCCTTTGTATAGAAACAAAGTGAAATATTTACCAATCTGCAAGAATTGCCAAAATTTATCAAATATGAATGACAAATTAAGTACAAAACTGAAGGCTGAAATGTTCTTCAGTTGATATTTTCCTGAAAGGTAAGGAAATTTTGCTTTTTTATTACCCCCAAGATAATTCCTTGGATGCTTGGGTGAAAACTGAGCCAAAATTGACCTTTCTGCCTCTTTTTAAACCAATGTACCATTGAAAAATCTTTCTGAGTCAGTAACTGGATTCCTAAAGCATTCGCTCTTACTCTTTTTTTTTTTAAAAAACGGAGGAAGGTCCTGATACGTTGTCTCAAACTCCTGGCCTTAAGCAATCCCAAGTAGCTGGAATTACAGGCACAAAATACCATGCCCAGGTGCAATCTGGTTTCTTGAGAGACCAAGGAAGCACGTTGAAAAACAAGGATAAGCTAATCTGATAAGACTGAAAAAGAATTAGAGAAAAAACAATAACTACTACAAAAATATCCTACAACAAAAATGCCGTAGGATATAATGAACAAACATACCTCCTGGGCTGTGACCGGCATTCTTCCTCCCCACTGTCTGCCTCCTGTATAGACAGAAAATGAAAAAAAAAATTAAAACCTGAGGTTTCATATCATAATATCACTAATATAATTTTACTAAGTTTCACATGTTGTGTACTTGAACTAAATTACTCATGTTGTATACTTGAACTAAATTCTCTTCAAAAAAAGTGACTTCAACCAACCCAGGAAGTTGATGTCAATAGAACTTACTCCTGGAGGTAACTTCAACAGTAGTCCATGAACAAATTTCATTGACAATGAAGTGCTATTCATTAAAACAATTACCTCCAAAAACCAACTAAACATGTTATTTTACTGTTATGCTACTTCAGCTTCAAAACGAGTGGGCATTCTGACTACCACCAATAAATCTCATCAATATAACCTATTAATGATTCTGACCCCCAAAGAACAACCTAAACAATGAACACCACTTAAAAGAGAGTGCTCATGATCAAATCACCATCAACATCAACATAATGGCTACCACTTGTTGAGTACTTACAATGTGCTAGGCACTGTGTTCCTCAATTTAAGTACATTACTGTACTTATTCTTTATAAACCCAGAAGGTTGATGGTACCAATTATTTTTAATTTATTCAAATACACACAGTAACATAGGATAAATCAATGTCATATAAAAGCACTGATGGTTAATGACCCACCCAGGGATGCCAAACAATGATGACAACAAAAAGCACTGAATCATAGTTCAATTACAATATTTATTTCTTCTTAGTGTGGCACATAAAATAATAGAAAGTCTTATAACTTATGTCAATTTAGACTCAATGAATATTTTACAGATGAAGAAGCAAAAGGGAAATAAGCTGTCCAAGGAGACTCATGTGGTAAAGAATTAAAACGAAGAAATATTGACTCCCAGCTAGCTGAAAAAGCTTATCATTTACCTCTCCTTGCCCTGGGTTAAAAATTAGTATATGTTATGATATTATACTGATCTTCACAGAGGCAAGAATATTGACATGAAGGAAAAGTGAGGAAAGATGAAGAGGCTTTTTCTTTAAATTTGCTCCCTGACAATTTGTATTTGTTCTCTCATCACTTTTGCCCTATCTGGCAAACACAGAACTATTAGGTAGAAGGAGAAAAATAATCTCAGAGAATATGTGTACTGTCTGCCCAACAAGTCACCTGCATTTTCATTTATGAAGCCATCCTCATCTACCTTTACATCATTCTGCCTCCTTTCCTGGGCAACCAAGCCTAGCTCTGTAACTTTCATTCCCATGTAGCTGGAATTACAGGCACAAAATACCATGCCCAGCTGCAATCTGGTTTCTTGAGAGACCAAGGAAGCACGTTGAAAAACAAGGATAAGCTAATCTGATAAGACTGAAAAAGAATTAGAGAAAAAACAATAACTACTACAAAAATATCCTACAACATTTCATTATTCATTTCAAACATGTCTTTCTCTCTGTCTCTCTTTTTTTATTTTCCACAAAGGAAGAACAAAACAAAGATTCTGCTTCCAGAAGGAGTACAGGTAGAAAGTGTCATAGTGTATTACACTCTTTGCATATAAGAGAGAGGTTTTAGGTTAGAAAGGTATGCCCTTTAGAGACTGAAAAAAGGTTTAAAATGGGAAAGAGCTGTCTCTAGAATCAATAATCAGAACCTGGAAAGTTTGCAAGAATGAAAATAAAAGACTCAGATAAACAAATGTAAATGTTAGATTTTTGTGCCCAAAGAACTGTAATAAATAGAAATGATTTCCTGGAATATCATTTAACAAAGAGTGCTTCAGTACTGTTATTATTAATAGATCTCAAATTATAATGCAGTCTTCTCACATTTTTTTCCTTATCTTTTTTTTAGACGTTGTCTCACTCTTGTCACCCAGGCTGGAGTGCAGTGATGCGATCTCGACTCACTGCAACCTCCACCTCCCAGGATAAAGCAATTCTCCAGTCTCAGCCTCCCAAGTAGCTGGGACTACAGGTGCCCGCCACCATGCCTGGCTAATTTTTGTATTTTTTAGTAGAGATGGGGTTTGGCCATACTGGCCAGGCTGGTCTCAAACTCCTGAACTCAGGTGATCCACCCCCATCGGCCTCCCAGAGTGCTGGGATTATAGGCGTGAGCCACCGTGCCCGGCCACATTATTTTTTAATTGCATTAAATATTATATAAGAATATGTTTAACATATAAGTTATGAGGTACAATAACAAAATTAATACCTATGAACACCATTCCACCTAAGAGCTATAATAGTACCAACACTGTTGCTTCTGTTTGCCTCTTATTTCCCATTCCTCTTTCTATTATGTGACTACTATCCCAGTTTATACTTTTTTTGTTTCCACCTCATTTTATTATTTAAAAAATTTCAAACATAAAATTGAAAGATCTTATAGCGAACTTGTATATCTACCATCTAGATTGTATCATTAATATTTTCTATACTTTTTTTTGAGACGGAGTCTCGCTCTGTTGCCCAGGCTGGAGTGCAGTGGCGCAATCTCAGCTCACTACAACCTCCACCTCGTGGGTTCAAGTGGTTCTCCTGCCTCAGCTTCCTGAGTAGCTAGGATTACAGGCATGTGCCACCATGGCCTGGCTAATTTTTGTATTTTTAGTAGAGACGGGCTTTCTCCATGTTGGCCAGGCTGGTCTCGAACTCCTGACCTCAGGTGATCCGCCCACCTCGGCCTCCCATGGTCTAGGATTATAGGCGTGAGCCACCATGCCTAGCCAATATTTTCTATACTTTTTAAAAATCATATGTTTATTCATCTATCTGTCCATCTATCCATCTTATTTTTTGGATGCATTTCGATTTAAGTTACTGATATCAGTACATCTGCCTTTAAATGCATAATAATTAATTAGAATTCAGTATTTCTTTATAGTTTTTTCCTTTCTTTTTTTTTTTTTGTTTAGAGATAAGATCTTGCTCTGTCACTTAGGCTGTAGTATGTGCAGTAGCATTATCACAGCTCACTGCAGCCTCAAACTCCTGGGTTCAAGCAATTCTCCTGCCTCTCCCTCCTGAGTAGCTAGGACTACAGATGCACACTGCCAGGCCTGGCTAATTTTGTTCTTTATTTTTAAGTTTTTGTAGATACGGGGTCTCACTATGTTGTTCAGGTTGGTCTCAAACTTCTGGTCTCAAGTGATCTTCCTGCCTTGACCTCCCAGAGTGCTGGGATTACAGGCATGAGCCACCACACCTGGCCAGTTTTTTTTTTTTAAGGTAAAATTTATATACAATGAAATATACAAATCTTAAGTGCGCCATTTAATGAGTTTTGACAAATGTATGTGTCTACGTAATTCAAACTGCTATCAAGAAATGGAACATTTCCATCACCTCAGAAATTTTTCTCACAGCCATTCCCAGTCAAAATGTGGCACCACCCACTCCTGAGGCAACCCTGTTCTGGTTTTCCACCACAGATTTTTGCCATAAAAAATTAGTACACAGGATATGATTCCATTGTTCATTAAATGGGATTATATACTATGTACTACTTTATGGGAAGATTTTTGAAAAATATTCAGCATAATGTTTTCGAGATTCATCCCACGTTGTTGCATAAAATAGCAGTTCATTCCTTTTTATCGCTGAGGATTCCATCACATGAATATACGAGTTCATTTATTTATTCTCTTATTGATGGATACATTTGGGATATTTGAGTTTTTGCCTATCACGAACAAAGTTATTAGCCAGACATGGTGGTTCATGTCTGTCATCCCAGCACTTTGGGAGGCTGACGCAGGAGGATCACTTGAAGTCAGGAGTTTGAGACCAGCCTGGGCAAAATAGCAAGACACAGTCTCTACCAAAAAAATAAAATAGTTAGCCAGACATGGCACCTGTAGTCCTACTCTGGAGGCTGAGGTGGGAGGATCGGTTGAGTCCAGAAGTTTGAAGTTGCAGTGAGCTATGATCACGCCACTGCATTCCAACCTGAGAGACAGAGTGAGACTCTAAAATTAAATAAATAAATAAAGCTATTATATGAATATTCTTTTGTGAAGTTTTTTTTTGGGGGGGATTGACATAAGTTTTTATTTCTTTTGGGTCACAAGACAGAGGCATGTATAGTTTCATATAAAATTGCCAGGTCTTCTCCCAAAGCATTTACACCGCTTTATACCCTCATCAACAATGCGTGAGAGTTATAACTTAACTCTAATTGGCAATTCTTTTCCCCTATGGTTATTGTTTTCAGGTTCTTAAAAACCTTTGCCTACCCTCTAGTCATGAACATATTCTATCATTTTTTCTTTCTTTCTTTTTTGAGAAAGTCTTGTTCTGTTGCCCAGGCTGGAGTGCAGTGGTGGGATCTCGGCTCACTGGGTTCAAGCGATTCTCCTGCCTCAGCCTCCCAAGCAGCTGAGATTACAGGCGTGTACCACCGTGCCCGGCTAATTTTTGTAGTTTTAGTAAAGGTGGGATTTCACCATATTGGCCAGGGTGGTCTCGAACTCCTGACCTCGTGATCTGCCCACCTCAGCCTCCCAAAGTGCTGGGATTACAGGTGTGAGCCACCGTGCCCAGCTCAATCTTTTATATTTTAAAGAATGTCTCTTTAAAGATATCAATAGGCCATATTTTTGGCATATTTGAATTTTTACAGAAAGAACATCATAACCATTATGATTATTATCGTTATGCATATTACATAACCTCATTGAGTGTTTATTCTACACTAACACTGTTCTACAAATGTGAGACAGCATTATAATTATCCCATTTTAGGAATGAAGAAATTGAGGTACAAACTGGTTGTTGCTTTTTGCCCACAGACAGCATTTGAACCTTACTTTATCCATTATGACAATCTTTGCCATTAACTGTGGTGTTTAGTACGTTAACATTTAATATAATTTTTGATATTGTTAGATTTGTGTCCACCATGTTACTATTTATTTTCCGTTTGTCGCCTGTATTTGTATTCCTCTGTTCTACCTTTTCTGCCTTCTTTGGTATTATTTGAATATTTTTTAGAATTTTGTTTTAACTTGCCTATTGGGTCTACCTCTTTGCATTATTTATTCCCTTGTTTTTTAAAAAATTACATATGCCTACATTCTTAAACAATGTATTACTCATTTTTGATTGTTTGAGGGCTTAAAAACTGTGTTATACTGTGTGTAGTTTTCCCAATATGCTTTTTAAAAACTAAATATTATCCTGAAAAGATTCATCTACTTATTACATATAGCTATAGTTCACTCATTTTTGATGGGGTAAAATTCGAATATATCATAGTTTATCCATTCTATTTACATAGACTAGATTGTTTCTATTTTTTTGGTGACATACACAATGCTGCTATCAGCATTCTTGTACGTGTCTTTTGGTGTACATGCAAAATATATCAACAGTATATATACCTATGAGTGAAACTGCAGGGTCATAGAGTAAATAAAGGTTCAACTTTACAAGATAGTACCAAATTATTTTCCAAAGTGGTTGTACTGATTTATACTCTCACCAGAAAGAGTAAGAGTTTTAGTTGATCTAAATTCTAGCCAACACAGGATCATCAGATGTTTTCTATTTTTGCCAGTCTAATGTTTTATCTCATTATGGTCTTAATTTGCTTTGTCTTGAGATTAACTAATGAGGTTGGGCATCCTTTCATAGGTTTATGGGCTACTACTAGTTTCATAGCCTTGCCCTTATTTCTAAAATAAGCACACCAAAAGAAGGATAATTCAAATTATTTTCAGTTTTTTGGTGGATTTTTCTACCTATGAGAATTGTGATGAGAATATGTGGATAAGTAAAAAGCAAAAACACCCCTGATGCTTTCTTATAGGGCACAAGCAGCCAAAACCAGTTATGTCTACAGGGGTGAACTACATTTATTGAGTACTACGATGGGCTAGGTACTTTATATGTTGTTTCACTGAATGGGTACCACACCCTATGGGACTTATTCAAGGTCATAAATGGTGGAGTCAGGATTTGAACGTGGGTCTATCTTTCTGCTATAATCAGCTGCATCTAAACTAAAAATCTTACTTTGATACTTATAACCCAAGATGGCAATTCAGAGGGAGCTGAAGAAGAAGGAATATCTTTTTTCATGGCTTTTAATAAAGTAATATCCTTTGCATCTTTCCTCTATGACTTCTACACTTCAAAGTAGTGCCAAAAGCGTAGAAAATTCCTTTGGCTCCCCCAAAAAGCAAATCAGAACAGTGTTTTTAACACAAGATCCCCAAATAATTTTTTCTTTCTTTATGTTTCAATAGCCAGCCAAATGAATAATTTGCTTTCCCTTCTGTTTACTTCGAAAAAAAAACTTGAGGGAAAAAAAAACTAAGCATATCAAAGCATTGTAGGTCTTAGGGTAAAATGGATTTAAAAGGAATGAAAAAAATGTTCAATTATGTTAATTTCAGCAGAATTCACCGCCAAAAAAGCAAAGACACAACATTTCTTATTTAATAAGAGTAACTATCGGGTAATGCAGTTATCTTGAACAATAGCATTCAAATGGTAGCTGAAGGTGGAATGCTTACCATTCTATTCTAACAAGTGCAGAAACCAGATATAACAGCCTTTCTTGTCAAGTAACTTCACACATTGTTACTGAAAAATGCCAGTCAATCTCTTCAAAACATTGGAAATTACCAGGAGAAAAGTGTAGAGACAGCTCTTAGTTTCTTAGTGAACAGAATAATTTCTGATACATAACGAGAATATCTAAATTAAATAATTAAATAATTAAATAAATTACTAAATGTTTAATTAATTAAACATTTAATTAATTTAATAATTAAATGACTAAATATTTGTTGGCTTTTTTATGATCAAATTTCCAAGAGCCCTATTGTTAAATAGCTTTTAAAGAGTATAATTACTTCTTATGTTCTTAAGAAAAAATTGACCTAGAAACAGTAAGGTATTACATTTAATTTTAGGGTGTTCAGGAACCATTAAGTCTTTTTTTCTTTTTTTTTTTCTTTTTTTTTGAGACAGAGTCTCACTCTGTTACCCAGGCTGGAGTGCAGTGGTGCGATCTCGGCTCACTGCACCCTCTGCCTCCTGGGTTCAAGCGATTCTCATACCTCAGCCTCCCGAGTAGCTGGGATTACAGGTGTCTGCCACCACCCCCTGTAATTTTTGTATTTTTAGTAGAGATGGGGTTTTGCCATGTTGGCCAGGCTGGTCTCAAACTCCTGACCTCAAGTGATCCACCTATCTCAGCCTCCCAAAGTGCTGGGATTACAGGCATAAGCCACCATGCCTGGCTCCATTAAGTATTAATTGAAAGATTAATGCATTCTTATTAATCTGTTTACTACCTGATCATAAAAACAGGTCACTAAATAAAATATGTCTGGAAAATATAGAAGCACTGAAGTAATATTTGCTGAGAAGTAGGCTTGGTGGAGGGAGATGCTGTCAGCCTTGAACACTGGGCTAGCAGAGTGTTAAGCAATATTTTCCCAAATCTTATCATTCAAGATTCTTTACACTTTCTATTTGCTCCAATCCAAGTCATCTCATTTATCATTCTCCAAACGTACCTATTGACTTCCTTTGTTCATGCTGTTGTATCAACCTAGAAAGCCCCTCTCCCCTCTCCTATATTCTTTTCCAGTCTTCAAAGCTAGTTTCAAACACTAGTAGTTTGTGACATTTCTTTTATCACCTGACTGATGCTCTCTGTCTCCCTCCAAACCTAACGGTTGCTGTGCATCATTTTTGCGACACTACCAGTTCTGTTTCTGGGTTACAACTGGGTACTTGTTTTATCTCCCATCATCAGATTGTAATCTCCTTAAGGGCAGGAACTATGCCTCATTGCCCTTTGCATCTCACTCTGTGTTTAGCACAATGCCCTATGTGCAGATGGAACTCAATAAAGGGTCGAATGAGTGACTGGAGCAGCTAACTAATGCCATGTGAATGCTTGAAGCTAACTAGCTATACATTTTCTGCTAGTAAGGACTCTATGCCAGTTACATTTTAGCCTTACCAGGTTAAAAGAATGGTTTTTGTTGCTCAGGAGTAGCCTGTGGCTAAGATCTGGCAGTAATACCTTAATACCTTACCCAAAGACTATCCTTTTGGTTAAGCAGACAGAATCATTTACTTGATCTCAATTTTTAAAACATATTATTTTTTTTGAAAGATGAGGTCTCGCTATGTGCCCAAGCTGGTCTTGAACTTCTAGCTTTAAGCAATCCTCCCACTTCAACCTCCCAAAGTGCTGGGATTACAGGTGTGAGCCACTGCACCCAGCCCATCTGCTCTCAATTATATATTCATTCATTCTCATTCATTCATTCATTCAACATTCATTGACTACCTATTATGTTTTAGATACTAGGCACCAGGGAATGAAAGTAAGCACAACTGTCCTTATTCTTAAACAGTTAGTATTGTAGTGGGGGAGACAGTTCCATAAAACAGAAATTATAACGATATGTCATTTAGGCCTACAGCAAAAGGACATACAAAATGTTATAGAAGCAACAGAGGAAGAAGTGACTAACTATGGTGTTGGGAAATCCTTCACAAAAGTTAATTTTTTGGCCGGGCTTGAACTAGTGGGTTTTTGTCAGATGGAAAATAAGAGTATTGGCCAGGCATGGTGGCTCATGCCTGTAATCTCAGCACTTTGGAAGTCCAAGGTAGGAGAATCCCTTGAGGCAGGAGTTTGAGACCAGTCTAGGACACATAGCGAAACACTGTTTCTACAAAAAAAAAAAAAAAAAAAAGAAAAGAAAAAAAAAGTAAGTAAGAGTATTTCAGGGAGAAGAACAGGCAAAAGAGCTGAAAACTGTAGAAGAATGAGAGTCTGATAAATTTGGGGAAGAGTGAGCAGCTGTGGATTTTTCAAGCAAAGGTACAGGTATTGGGGGTTAAGGCTATCAAGTAATATTACTGTTATGAGTCTGCAATGATGGAAATTCCAAGATAACAGTTCTATGATCAGAAAAGATGGTTATGAATTGTCAATTCACTGGATATCAGATTATCCATCAGTTACCTCAGCCCTTGGAAATAAATGAATAGTAGGAGGTATCTATCAGACAGGAAAAAGGAATCTAGTAGTCTTTCTAAGAGACATATGTGCTTCGAAACTGGAAGAGATAATGCCATGCTTCTGGCTTTTGAAAAAAGCAGATATAAAACACACAGGCTTGAGGAGGAATAAAGGCATCAGGTCTGCCACTTGGCCACTTGAAAGAGAAGGCTTAGATCCACTGCTAGAAACAGAAAAAACAGCTGTTTGGGTTATCTATTGCTTTATAACAAATTACTGCTTTATTATATTTTATGATTTTATGGGTCAGAAATTCAAGCAGCACTTGGCTGGGTGATTCTTCAGTTCTACATGGTATTGCTAAGGGTCATTCAGTGCTATTCAGGTGATATTTAGTTAGCATATGAGCTGGTATGGAGGATCTAAGCAGCTTCATTCACATGTCTAATGTCATAGCCTAGATGGGTGGAAAGCTGGGCTCAACTGGAAATGTAAACTGGAGTGCCTAAACATGATTTCTAATTTATCTTGGGCTTCCTCAAAGCATGGTATCCTCAGGGTTGGTCTTCTTGAATAATGGCTCAGGGCTCCAAAAGGACTAGTCATCCTAAAGGCTAGGCTCAGAGCTGGCATAGTGTCATTTCTGCCACACTTTATTGGTGTACCAAAAAAGTCCAACACAGATTCAAGGAATCTGTGAGAGGAATTAGATTCCCTTCGCACAATAGCAGAAGTAACAAGAATTTGCAGCCATCTTTCGACCCTGGTGATTAATTGAATAAGTAGACAAAATTAACAGGACAGAAAAACAGGTAGTTAATGACAGTGAATGAAGTAGAGCTCCTAAAGCCTAGGGCCATAGAGCTATTTAGGAGGGCAAAGCAGCTAACTCTTAGGTCAGTGCAAGGAGGACTGAAGGCCATATGGATATTTTTACAGGTTAATGTCTATAAAGAAGTGTTCTCTTTATTGGGAGGCTAAGGACAAGAAAGGACCTGCAAGCATGGCAGTAAAGACACACAGTATGGTCCAGGACCAGAGTGAATACCTAGGCACTCATAATCTGAGAAAGCTGGTTTGGAAGAGGCTCAGACATGATCAAATCAGTAGTTCCCATATAATCTGACCTTGTTTTAAAGTCTAATTTAGATCAAGATATATAGTATTGGCTGGAATCAGGAATCAGAGATTCAATTTAATCATATTTTATAGAGATATGACATGCATTAAAGTAAAAACAAAGTCAGAGGATCCTGGAATACTTACAATTAAAATCAAAGTCACATCATGCTCCTATTAATATTATGACAGGGTTTAAGAAACCTTAAATAAACAAACTTTCTTCCCTATAATTTTCAAGCAATAGAAAACCTCTGTGAGACACCTACTATTTCTCTAGTGTTTCTTTTAAACTCCTTTAAAATACAAATAGGTGTGAATCACAGTCAGGATGGTCAGCAACAAGAAAGCGAGCTTGATTAGAATTTTGCTGAAATAGCTTTGATTCTAAAGAAAAAAAAGTCCTTGGACAACAGCTAATTTAAGAGACATCACAGTCCAGTCAATGCCCTATAGAAAAATCTGAGCTCTGGATGTGAAACTGTTACTGGATGTCTTTTGTCTTCAATCCTTATTCCACTTTTTAAAAAGTTATTTAATGTGTGCAACCTAACTCACCCACTTGTGATAATTTCAGAGTTGTTATACAGTCTTTTCTATCACTAGAGATCAAATTCATTGGTTTTAGAAAGCAACAAGTCTTTGTTGTTGTTGTTGTTTTTTGAGCCAGGGTCATGCTCTGTTGCCCAGGTTGGAATGCAAAGGCACGATCATAGCTCACTATAACCTCAAATTCCTGGGTTCAAGTGTTCTCTCGCCTCAGCCTTCATGAGTTCACAAGTAGCCAGGACTATAGGTGCATACCACCACATCTGGCTTTTTTTTTTTTTTTTTTTTTTTTGAAGGGGGAAGAGATGAGGTCTAACTAAGTTGCCCAGGCTGGTCTCGAACTCTTGGCTTCAAGTGATCCTCCCACCTCGGCCTGCCAAAGTGCTAGGGTTACAGATATGAGCTACCACACCTGGCCATAAAAGGCAATAAGTCTTACAGTGTTCTGAACCTGTCACATCTGACAGGCATGCAATATGGAAACTTCACAAGTCACTGGTTACCTCTGGGTCCCTTTTAGAACTTTTTTAGTAACAAAAAGCTCCAGGCCTCATGCCTATAAATTATTATTATTAATATTATTATTATTATTATTTTCGAGATGGAGTCTCATTCTGTTGCCCAGGCTGGAGAGCAGCGGCCTGATCTCGGCTCACTGCAAGCTCTGCCTCCCGGGTTCACGCCATTCTCCTGCCTCAGCCTCCCGAGTATTTGGGACAACAGGTGCCACCACCACGCCCGGCTAATTTTTTGTATTTTTTAGTAGAGACGGGGTTTCACCATGTTAGCCAGGATGGTCTTGAACTCCTGACCTCGTGATCCGCTCACCTCAGCCTCCCAAAGTGCTGGGATTACAGGCGTGAGCCACCATGCCCGGCCCTCATGCCTATAAGTTCTTATTCTTTAGCTCTGACGTTGGTCCGCTGGTGTGCTGGAGCTGGCTAGGTTGTTAGATAACAATTGTTACATTTTTAGGAACCTTGTGAGACACGTCGGTAGCCAAGGCGGATGTGTTTATCAGCAAAATCAGCAAATGCCACACATGAGCCCCTGCTTAGAAAACAGGCTTTTAAACATTTACTAGCATACAACAAGTTGTGGGGCCTCGGAATCAGTACATTAAAAAAGCTCTGTAGATAACTGATAAGCAGTTAAGACTGAAAACCTTTGGCTTAAAGGTTTGGAGAAACAACATCAAAAAGCCCAGGGTACACATAGCCTCTGCCTACTCAAGGTACCTGTGCTAGGTAACCAAGGAGAGCAGTATGATCATAGAAACTCAGCTATCAAAAAAAAAAAAAATTCCCTTCCTAGACTGTAAGCTCTGTAGAGCAGGACTATGTTTTTATAGTGCTAAGCATACAGAAGATGCTCAGTAGATATTAGACAAATTAATAAATGTGGTTCAAGATTTCACAACCAGTAAGTGGCAAAACCAGAAATAAACTTAGGCTAATTTCACTATATTTTGTACTTTTTTCCTCCATTAAGTTATTAGTCATATACTTGGTTTGCCAATCCAAGATGAGTGCTTAAATATGGGGCAGACAGCATGCGGCACCCATCATAAGATAGTAAGAAGACTCTGCCTCTGTGTCATTCTCTTGTTTGCCAGAACCAGAAAAGTCAACAAAGTCTCTTCATGATTATTGTCTCATTTGAACCACTCCGGAATGAATGCCATGTAGGTATGATTATAGCCTTATTTTTCAGTTGATGAATCTGCCTCATGGAAGTGAGATAATTTGCTCAAAGTAACCTAAGAGTACACAGCCAAGTCAGGATTCTGTCTGAAAAGGTCAAATAACACCTTCTACCAGAACAGGTTGCTCCTCTTGTGTTAAAGGAATGCTCCAGATTCTGCTCCCTTCCATTCAGGTGAAATTCCAGATCCCACTTTCTGAAGACCCCACACTTGGTCCATTTCCTTCATTGTAGCCTGAGCCCTCAATATGGACATAGAGTCTTATGTTCAGCCAATACATACTGATACAGCTGTACTAACTGTTAAAATATTGAAATAGTGACTGCCTGGAGCCCCTCTGAGTGTGTCATGATCCAGCCACAACCAGGTAAATGCCTAGTGCAGCAGGGGACGTCCAGGTCTTGCTCCCATCTTTTCTGATTGGTTGATGGCTATACCATACTAGTTGTGAAATATTTTGAATATCTCCTCCTCTACTTATAGCCACATCTCTTCTGTTCTCTAAACTTTGGTTTAAAACTCTTAACTGTGATCTTAGCTTCACCTGGGGGATCCTACCTGTATGCCTCTTTTGCCCATATATGTTTTCTTATTCGTCTGTCCTACCAGCTATACCAATTGCTTAGCCTGGCATCTGGGTTTAGCACCAGGCCTCTGCTACACGTGATTACCACGCTTCCACAAGAAACTTAAACAATGAGAAGCACTCATAACACCTGGAAGAGGCTAAATAAAATCCATCTGTTATGTTTCTTGTAGCATTAAACATTCTAATTGTTCATGGATATAAAGAACAAGAGGACTAACCAAGGTTACAAAAGGAAACATTATCTAGAAATAAGGACGAAGAACATGTAAAGAAGGATAATGAAGCAACACCGATTACTTAACAAATACTCCTAAATGAACAGCATAATTTTCTCAAACTTTCTAAAATCACTTTCAAACTACAAAGTAGGGAAATACAGTTAGTGGCCCAAGTAAAAAAGAAATTAGAATATTTAAGATGTAGGTATACTGCTAAGACAGTTTTCATTAGGGGGAAATGAATTGTTACTACGTTAATATTTTACTATTTATATTTAAATCTAGACAATTACCTTTTCAGCTATCAATAGAGGAAAAGAGGATATTGAATATCTCTGAACAGCAAATAATCAATATACTCACTGAGAGCTGCTGGAGTCTATAGGGGACACAGAAAAGTGTGAAACAGTACCATACTCAAGGAGTTCATCTGCCTGAAGGGGAGTTCATCTGCCTGTTTTATCTGAAAAGTTGTTCCAAAATATACAGTATAAATGTATGGCACAGGAAGTACATGTCACAGGAATTCAGAAGAGAGATGAAGAAAAGGGAAGAGCAGTAGAAATACATTTGACATCTTGGAGTGGCAGTGAACTGACTAGCTGAGTTAAAACCCAGAGCTTTCCTTAAGGTAGGCTGCAAAGATAAGCTGCAGGAGACAGGACTTTGAACCTGATCCTATGAGGTAGCCAGGGAAGGTATTTATTAGCATCTTAGAAAATTATAAATATGTTGTTTTGATGGCTTTTTTTTTTTTTTTTTTTTTTTAGGAAACACTACAATTTGGAAAGCCAATCGAGAAAAGTTAGGTAGTTTTTCCAAAGCCAGTGACACTGCTAATTTAACTATGGGCCTCCACTAGAGGGCAGACGAGTCGAAGCTTACACTGTGGTTGAACTGGAGAAAGCAGTGCATTCATAGAAAATTCTGAGAAAATTATTTTGTTTAAAGACCATTTTCAGTGCCTTCAAACTTGGACAGAGTCTTTAGCTAGCAGATCAGTCTTTCACAGAAAATCTTTCTGTGGTATAAAATGCTTCTTTTTTTGTTTTGTTTTTGAGACGGAGTCTCGCTCTTGTCACCCAGGCTGGAGTGCAGTGGCGCAATTTCGGCTCACTGCAACTTCCGCCTCCCAGGTTCAAGCAATTCTCCTGCCTCAGCCTTCTGAGTAACAGGGATTACAGGCGCCCGCCATCACGCCTGGCTAATTTTTGTACTTTTAGTAGAGACGGGGTTTCGCCATGTTGGCCAGGCTGGTCTCGAACTCCTGACCTCAGGTGATCCGCCCGCCTCGGCCTCCCAAAGTGCTGGGATTACAGGCATGAGCCACCACAGCCGGCCTAACGTGCTTCTTAATTGCAAAATAGACCAGTAGAAAAGTTATACTTTGGGAGTCTGGCTCAGCTGACAGCCACATGTGCTTATATGTGGTAGGCATATCTGGAATGCCAACAACAGCACTCATCACTGACTATCTTACCTCAATCTTCCCCACTCATCTCAGGCACATCCTAACCACCACCCAAGTTGATGTCTAACTATGTGTATACTATCTGGACCATAATTTCAATCTAGATTTTCCTTTTCATTTTGGTCAACTGGGGAAGTTCTTTATCCCTTTAAAGTCAGAGGTAAGGTGAGGCCACTAGACAAAGACTCTGATATGTGCATTTGCCTCAGCAGGCTGAGGAGCTGTTATATGGTGGAGTGGGGGTTGGTAGGAGCCTTCAGTTCTCATTAACTAGAACACAAGGTGAATGATAACAACTAAATAAAAAGGTTGAGAATTTCATTAAACTTTTGAGAGGCTAAGGCTAGATTTTGTAAAGTACTATAAACTCCTTTTTCTGCTTTGATCTCTTGTCAAAAAAAGATGTATGAGCAGGCTGGGAATGGTGGCTCATGTCTGTAATCCTGGGACTTTGGGAGGCTGAGGCGGGCAGGTCACTTGAGGTCAGGAGTTCAAGACCAGCCTGGCCAACATGGCAAAACTTCGTCTCTACTAAAAATAAAAAAATTAGCCATGCGTGGTGGCACACGCCTGTAGTCCCAGCTACTCAGGAAGTTGAGGCACAAGAATCACCTGAACCCAGGAAGCGGAGGTTGCAGTCAGCTGAGATTGCACCACTGCACTCCAGCCTGGGCAACAGAGTGAGACTCTGTCTCTAAATAAATAAATATGCAAAAGCAATCCTATTTAGTAGCTTGATAGACTGCCATTAGCTGGAAGTTAATTTTCCTCTACTCCTCACCAGTGTTAGTATCACAAGTATTTTCTTTTACCCATATCCTACAAAATGATATCATTTAGTTTCAGATATAGGTACACTTCAACTGCAGGTGAATTTTGCTGTACTTAAAGTCTTGTAGTATCTCTAACATACCACTCCGTCTTGTCTCAGACTTTACTGTTCCCTCTGCCTAGAATACCCTTCATTCCCCCTTTTGCTTGCCTACTTCTATTAATCCTTTATTCCCTCATTCATGAGATGAAATCTAACTCTGAAGCCCAGACTGCAGGGCAGTGGTGTGATTATAGCTCACTGCAGCCTTGAACTCCTAGGTTCAAGAGATTCCCCCACCTCAGCCTCCTGAGTAACTGAGACTACAGGCACACACCACCGTGCCCAGCTCATTAAAAAAAATTTTTTTTAGAGACAGGGTCTCGCTTGGTTGACCAGGCTGGTTTCGAACACCTGGCTCCGAGCAATCCTTCCACCTCGGCCTCCCAAAGTGCTGGGATTACAGGCATGAGCCACCCCACCAGCCCTACTTATCTTTTAGATTGGAACTTAGGTGTCCCTTTCTCCAGAGGCCTTCCTTGATCCCTCTAGGACTGGGTTCCACGGTCTTTCCAAATACAACCATACTCCCTCTACAGTTCTCTAGTGTAGCAATTCTCACACTGCCTGTTTACTTGTTGGTCTCCATATTATAAGCTTGAAGGCAGGAACTGTCTCTTGATCACTGCTGTATACTCAGCACCTAGCAATGCTGAATAAAAATTTTGAATAAATGACTAATGTAAAAGAAAGAACAAGTATTGTAGGACAGATTCTCCAACCAAGGTGCCCCATTTTCTATAATGTAGATTCAGTCTGCAAACACCCTGATTTAAAATACAAAAAGATAGTAATTCCTCAAACAAGAATATTCTTAGCTATAGCCATCCCACATTTTCACATACGCAACCATTTTAGAGACTGCACAACAGAATTCTCATAGAAACAAAGATGAATGGGTCAATGTTGTCAATAATAATCATAAATTAGGGAACTAATCATCATCATCTGCTTTTAGAAGTGGGTTCTATTTATTTTATTTTAGATAGTCATATCTAGCAATCTTTATAGCTTCTATTTTTTAACTTGCATATTTAAATAAGTTTCCCAGAAAATAGTTCATTAATTCATCTACAATTTATTGTGGTATATGGTTGAAGATAGAGCTATCTAACTTAATTTTCTCCCCAAATAGTTAATTGTTATTACAGCACTACCTGGCTATTTATCCATTTTCCCCAACTGACTTGAAATTCTACCTTAATCATACACTAAATATTTTCATGTACTAAGGTCTATTTCTGGGCCTTCTAGGCAACATCTTTCTTGTACACCATGCTATTATTAGCTTATAATTGTTTTCAATATGTGACTGTGAGAATCTCATCTTTTAATTTTGAGTGCACAATTTCACCCACTTAGTCTTCCAAATGACTTTGTTAGGTTTTCAACACCCTAAAAATCCCTTTAGAACAAGCTTGTCCAACCCATGCCCAGAATGGCTTTGAATGTGGCCCAACACAAATTCGTAAACTTTCTTAAAACATTATGATTTTTTTTTGTAATTTTTTTTCTCAGCTCATCGGCTATCATTAGTGTATTTTATATGTGGCCCAAGAAAATTCTTTTTTTGTTTGTTTTTTGGAGACAGAGTCTCGCTCTGTTGCACAAGGTGGAGTGCGGTGGCACAATCTCGGCTCACTGCAACCTCTGCCTCCTGGGTTCAAGCGATTCTACTGCTTCAGCCTCCCGAGTAGCTGCGACTACAGGTGCGCACCACCACACCTGGCTAATTTTTGTATTTTTAGTAGAGATGGAGTTTTGCCATGTTGGCCAGGCTGGTGTTGAACTCCTGGCCTCAAGTGATCCATCCTCCTTAGCCACCCAAAATGCTGGGATTACAAGTGTGAGCCACTGTACCTGGCCAGGAACTTTTTAATATTACATTTGATTATATTATATATTACGTAATATATAATGGTTATTGCCGGCAATATACAATAGCAAATCATTTCTATATATTTATTTTGATATTAACTGGTTTATTGCAGTTTTAAAAAATAAATTTTTATATATTTTTTCATTTAATAATCACTTTTCAAAGAGTAAAAATGTAAAAAGCTATTCATTGAAGTTACGTAAACAAGTGCTTCCACTCACAAATAAGATAGAAATACTTATAAATGAAATGTGAACCACAAGTTTTTTTTTTTCTTGGAGACAGAGTCTAGCTCTGTTGCCCGGGCTGCAGTGCACTGTTGCGATCATACCTTACTGTTGTCTTGAACCCCTGGGCTCAAGTGATCCTTCCACCTCAGCCTCCCAACTAGCTGGGACTACAGGTGTGCACCACCATGCCCAGCTAAATTTTATTTTTTGTAGAGACAGAGTCTCACTATGTTGTCTAGGCTGGTCTTGAACTCCTAGGCTCAAGTAATTTGCCTACCTCAGCCTCTTGAAATGCTGGGACAGGCATGAACCAAATAATTTAATGCAAGCTTCACCACCTAATTCTCTAAGAATTTGTATAATCTCAAGTATAAAAATATCTAAAGAGTTTGATTTTCTATCGACTATTTTAATTTACATTTAAATATATTTATGATTTTTATATAAAAGAGGAGATTACATATATCCAACATAAGAACTGTTGTCAGGGAGCAAGTGGTAATACTTATCTCTAACCCTCATGAAAAATAAGAAAAAAAGACTCATTCATTAAACTGTGAACCTTTTGAAACAGGGACTGTGTCTTATTTTTATACCCTGATACCTGGCCATAGTATGTGTTCTTTTTTTTTTTTTTTTTAAGTCTTATTGAGAAATAATTCATATACCATACAATTCACCTATTAAAAGTATACAATTCAATGTTTTTAGTATCTTCACACAATTATGTTTTTTAAAATATATATTTCTGCCTTTTTTTTTGAAGATAGGGTCTTATTTTGTTGCCCAGGTTGGGGTGCAGTCACACAATTTTGGCTCACTGCAGCCTCTGCCTCCCAGACTCACGTGATTCTCTCACCTCAGCCTCCTGAGTAGCTGGGACTACAGGCACATGCCACCATGCTTGACTAACTTTTTAATTTTTTGTAGAGATGACAGCTCACTCTATTGCCCAGGTTGGTCTTGAACTCCTGGATTCAAGCGATCCTCCTGCCTTGGTCTCCCAAAGCACTGGGATTACAGGTGTCAGCCACTACGCCCAGCCTATTTATGCATTTTAAAACCATGCCAGCCGGGCGCGATGGCTCATGCCTGTAATCCCAGCACTTTGGGACACCGAAGCGGGTGGATCACGAGGTCAGGAGATCGAGACCATCCTGGCTAACACGGTGAAACCCCGTCTCTACTAAAAATATAAAAATTTAGCTGGGCATGGTGGCGGGCGCCTGTAGTCCCAGCTACTCGGGAGGCTGAGGCAGGAGAATGGCGAGAACCAGGAGACGGAGCTTGCAGTGAGCCGGGATCACACCACTGCACTCCAGCCTGGGTGACAGAGCAAGACTCCGTCACAAAAACAAACAAACAAACAAACAAAAAACCAACCATGCCATATATTCAAAACCAAAAGTGTATACAGAGAGAGGGAGAAGAAAAAATAAAAATAAAAAACAAAATTTAAAGTCCAACGAAAAGATTTTCACCGTATATAAAAGAATGAATTAATAGTCTCAACGAACAAGGAATTCCAATTAGAAAAAGATAAACACCAATAAAAAAATGGGGGCAGGGCACGGTGGCTCACGCCTGTAATCCCAGCATTTTGGGAGGCTGAGGCGGGTGGATCACTTGAGGTCAGGAGTTCAAGACCAGCTTGGCCAACATGGCGAAACCCCATCTCTACTAAAAATACAAAAATTAGCCGGGCGCAGTGGTGAGCGCCTGTAATCCCAGCTACTTGGGAGGCTAAGGCAGGAGAATCGCTTGAGCCCTGTAGGCGGAGGTTGCAGTGAGTTGAGGTTGCGCACCACTGCACTCCAGACTGGGTGAGTGAGACTCTGTAAAAAAGGCAAAGACTAGAAGCAGATAATTCACAAAAGAAATACAAATGAAAAGGAAGTGAAAATGTTTAGCTAGAAATTTATAAAACAAAAAATTTAAAAAACAAAAATCCAAACAAGGATGCTGTACTATATTTTCCCTAAAAAAATCATTTAAGCAGCCGGGCACGGTGGCTCACGCCTGTAATCCCAGCACTTTGGGAGGCCGAGGCGGGAGGATCTCTTGAGGTCAGGAGTTCGAGACCAGCCTGGCCAACATGGTGAAACCCCGTCTCTACTAAAAATACAAAAATTAGCCGGGCGTGGTGGCAGGTGCCTGTAATCCCAGCTACTTGGGAGGCTGAGGCAGGAGAATCGCTTGAACCCGGGAGGTGGAGGTTGCAGTGAGCTGAGATTGCGCCACTGCACTCCAGCCTGGAAGAGAAGAGCGAGACTTCATCTCAAAAAAAAAATTAAATTAAAATTTAAAAAAAGGCTGGGCTTGGTGGCTCATGCTTGTAATCCCAGCACTTTGGGAGGCCGAGGAGGGCGGATCACCAGGTCAGGAGATCAAGACCATCCTGGCTAACATGGTGAAACCCTGTCTCTACTAAAAATACAAAAAAATTAGCCAGGCGTGGTGGCGCGCTTGTAGTCCCAGCTACTAGGGAGGCTGAGGCAGGAGAATGGCGTGAACCTGGGAGGCGGAGGTTGCAGTGAGCTGAGATGGCGCCACTGCACTCCAGCCTGGGGGACAAGAGTGAGACTTCGTCTCAAAAAAAAAAAAAAAAAAAAAAAGGCCGGGCACGGTGGCTCATGCCTGTAATTCCAGCACTTTGGGAGGCCGAGGTGGGCGGATCACCAGGTCAGGAGTTCGAGACCGTCCTGGCTAACATGGTGAAACCCCGTCTCTACTAAAAATACAAAAAATTAGCCGGGCGTGGTGGCGCGCTTGTAGTCCCAGCTACTCGGGAGGCTGAGGCAGGAGAATGGCGTGAACCCGGGAGGCGGAGCTTGCAGTGAGTGGAGATTACACCACTGCACTCCAGCCTGGGCGACAGAGCAAGACTCTGTCTCAAAAAAAAAAAAAAAAAAAAAAAAGAAAGTCATTTAAGATAAAACAATAATATGCAATACTGTCGAAGGATCAGGAAAAATGGGCAATCTGTATCAACAGCTTTAGTATTGACCATGTTTTTGATACCTTAGAAAAATGCATTCTAATAAAAGAAATCAGATATCATCAAAGGTTTATGCAGACTATTCATAATGGCAAACAAACTGTAAGCCACTTTAATGTACAAAAACCGGGAAGTTGAGTAAATTAAAAAACTGCCACGTAATAGAACTTTATTAAGCCATTAGCTTATATTGCCTAAGTATTATATATTTAAAATAAAAACATGAGCAGAAAATAATAATTACTGGGGAAGAAGCAGGTTTCTTCTGGTATGTGAATTATAAATGATTACTTTCTTATATATGACCATCTATATTTTCTAAACTTCCTACAATGATCATATATTACATATATTATAATGGGAAAGTGAATTAGGGATGGGGAAAATGTATAAATTACTGTTCCTTTTCTTTCTTTTTTTTTTTTTTTTGAGATGGAATTTCACTGTTGATACCCAGGCTGGAGTGCAATGGTGTGATCTCAGCTCACTGGAACCTCCACCTCCCAGGTTCTAGCGATTCTCTTGCTTCGGCTACCCAAGTAGCTGGGATTACAGGCGCCCACCATCACACCTAGCTATTTTTTGTATTTTTTTTTTTTTTTTTTTTGAGACAGAGTCTCGCTCTGCCCCCAGGCTGGAGTGCAGTGGCTCCATCTCAGCTCACTACAACCTCTGCCTCCTGGATTCAAGTGATCCCCTGCCTCAGCCTCCCGAGTAGCTGGGATTACAGGCACAGGCCACCACACCCAGCTAACTTTTGTATTTTTAGCAGAGATGGGGTTTCACCATGTTGGCCAGGATGGTCTCAACCTCCTGACCTCGTGATCCGCCCGCCTTGGCCTCCCAAAATGCTGGGATTACAGGTGTTAGCCACCGTGCCTGGCCCCTATTTTTTGTATTTTTTAGTAGAGACGGGGTTTTGCCATGTTGGCCAGGCTGGTCTTGAACTCCTGACCTCAGCTGATCTGCCTGCCTCGGCCTCCCGAAGTGCTGAGATTACAGGCATGAGCCACTGTGCCCAGCCTGTTCCTTTTCTTAATTAGATGTCTTATGAGGTATTAGGTAGATGAATACACATATCATCTAACCAACGTTTTAAGAGAGACTTAATAAGTTGGAAGATCATCAACAAGTGAAAGCCTCTGCTGGCAGGTGGCTGGCTACCTAAATAAATGACACTCTCCCTTTCCTCCTTCTTTGTACAGCAGCTTCTAATCTCCTGCTACAGCCATGTGAACTCAGCTCAAATTCACAATCTTTTCTATCCTATTCAATGTCCTTTTTCTCTAGAGCCCTGATTGTTTATTTTTTATTTTTTTTCTGGGGCGGGGGGATAGAGTCTCGCTCTGTTGCCCAGGCTGGAGTGCACTGGCGTGATCTCGGCTCACTGAAACCTCAGCCTCCCAAGTTCAAGCAAATCTCACGTCTCAGCCTCCTGAGTAGCTGGGACTACAGGCGCGCACCACCACATCTGGCTAATTTTTGTATTTTTAGTGGAGACAGGGTTTTGCCATGTTGGCCAGGCTGGTCTTGAGCTCCTGGCCTCAAGTGATCCACCCACCTCAGCCTCCCAAAGTGCTGGGATTACAGATGTGAGCTACCATGCCTGGCCTAGAGCCCTGATTTTTAAACTGGGGTACAAGTATCCCAGGGTCATACCTCAGTGCGGTAGGGATTATGGAAGCCAAAGAACGAATATAAAGTTTATTCTCAGAGCATCAAATTTACTTAACGGGAAGTAATATTTTTATAGTAACAGATATAGAGGTAGATCTATAGAGATATATTCATTTACATAAGGCTTAAAATAAACCATAAAAATTCAGGTAATGGGCTCCTTTAAATTTTCTATACCCAGACTGCCAGGGGTTGCCTATTCACTCTCCACTACTGTTATAGAAATTTCTTGTGGAAAGATTTGAGAAGCACTGCAGAGGATTGTTGTATGTAACTTTAAAATCAAGCCTGTGTTTAATTAATATTGAACAATTAAGACATAAGCTAAATGTTAGGGGGTATGGTAGGTTAGTAGATATGAAGAGAAGATCGGATGCTTAAGATTCCTAGGTCTAATTCCTTGATCTAGTTCTAGGACTGAAGGCATGTCACTTAACTTTATTGGGCTTCCAATACAAAATACTGAAAAAGAAGATTCTGCACTTAAAAAAAAAAAAAACTCAAAGCCTCCATGCTTAATTTACGGAAATGAAGGAGAAAATTTGGAGTCAGAAATCAGAATGTGATCTCATCCCTAATATAAATTAGGCCTAGCTAGTGATCCTTGCTAACACACTGGAAATCATAAGGAGACCAATTACTAACAGCCTTTTGCAGTTAAACACTCCTGGTTTTATTAATGAAAATAAATGACAGAAGAAAAAATTAATTGGCAACTTAATACAGGAAGATTTTAATTATACTTACAGAACTATTAACCTTGACAACCCACCAGCTCATGTATAATAAGAAAGCACCTCCCTCACTAATATAAATCTAAGTAAAACTACACGAATACAAAATATTATATAGAGAAGGGTAAAATCTCCTGAGAAGCACTCTGTCATCTGAATTTCCTCTGCAATTTGTTGAAAATCAGCATCATGCATTGTCAGCTTACAGACCACTAAAGCTACCTCAAAAGCTGCTCCGCTACATATTTAAAACAATATCCACTGTTTTTCTTTAACAACTTCCACACTGTCCTCTCCATTCTCTCCTCCAACCTCACTCTTACTTCCTTAAGGCTCCCATATACCTTACCCTCCCATTTTACACAAGCCTCATGAAGTTCTCTTCTTGGACTTCTTTGTTTTTATCTTGAGATTACTTTAGAAAACATTTATGATCTAAAGTCTGAGAACACTTTATTGATGCATCTTATCCCCTTGAAGAGAGAAGAAATGGTTATAACCAACTTTTCAATACAATCCTTTCCTTCTGCCATCCTCAGGGAGTCATAATATGCTTCATCCATGATACTCAAAGTCATTAGAATTTTTATAATCAAGCTAAATAACTACAGGAAGCCTATGATGATACAGTCATATTATTCTGCTAATTATCCTACATTATCTATTAGTAATACAGAGTCATCCCTCCATATCCATGAGGGATTGTTTCCAGGACCCTCCTTCAGATACCAAAGTGAGTGGATGCTCAAGTGTCTTATGTAAAATGGCATAATATTTGCAGATAACCTATGAACAATCTCTTGTATACTTTATTTATTTATTTATTTGAGTAGGGGTCTCGTTCTTGTTGACCAGGCTGGAGTGCAGCAGTGAGATCATGGCTCACTACAGGCTCAAACTCCTGGACTCAAGGGATCCTCCCGCCTCAGCCTCCAGAGTAACTGGGACTACAGGCATGTGCCACCATGTCCAGCTAATTACTATTATTATTATTATTATTTTTGTAGAGACAGGATCTTGCTGATTTACCCAGGGTGGGCTCAAACTCCTGGATTCAAGCAATCTTCCTACTACAGCCTCCCAAAGTGCTAAGATTACAGGCATGAGCCACTGTGCCTGCCTCCCATATACTTTAAATCATCTCAAGATTACTTATAATACATAAAACAATGTAAGTGCTATATAAATAGTTGTTATGCAGTATTTTTATTTGTATTATTTTTTATTATTGTATTGCTATTTTTTAAATTTTCTGAATATTTTTAATCCATGGTTGGTTGAATCTACCATGGGTATTCTTCCTTTTTTTTTTTTTTTAAGAGATGGATTCTTGCCTTGTCGCCCAGGCTGAAGTGCAGTTGCGTGATCTTGGCTCACTGCAAGCTCCGCCTCCTGGGTTCATGCCATTCTCCTGCCTCAGCCTCCCGAGTAGCTGGGACTACAGGTGCCTGCCACCAAGCCCGGCTAATTTTTCGTATTTTTAGTAGAGACGGGGTTTCACCATGTTAACCAGGATGGTCTTGATCTCCTGACCTCATGATCTGCCCGCCTCAGCCTCCCAAAGTGTTGGGATTACAGGCATAAGCCACTGCGCCCAGCCCGCCAAGGGTATTCTTAAATCTAGATCTGCCCCCTCCCCAAAACTGAACAGAGCTGGGGAGAAAAAGGAAGAAAAAATGGCAAACAACAAAGAGCAAGATGAGTACACCTGATAGGAAGCCCCCTCCTTTATGTCTTATTCTAATATAAATGAGAGTAACTTTGAAAACATCTATCCTTATTGTCATTAGTTAAATATTTTTTTTCATGAGAAACTTGTACAGTCCCAATAGAGAGTTAGCTGTATGTATAAATTAAAAGAATCAATAAAAGGCACCAGCTGGCCATCCCAACACTTTGGAAGGCTGAGACGGAAGGACTGCTTGAGACCAGGAGTTCGAGACCACATCTCTACAAAAAAAAAAAATTTAATTCTTTGTTTAAAAAAAGGCACCAGTGGCCAGGTGCAGTGGCTCACACCTGTAATCCCAGCATTTTGGGAAGCCGAGGCGGGCGGATCACCTGAGGTCGGGAGTTTGAGACCAGCCTGACCAACATGGAGACACCCCGTCTCTACTAAAAATACAAAATTAGCTGGGTGTGGTGGTGCAAGCCTGTAATCCCAGCTACTTGGGAGGCTGAGGCAGGAGAATCACTTGAACCGGGGAGGTGGAGGTTGTGGTGAGCCAAGATCGCGCCATTGAAAAAAAAAGCACCAGCAATTTCATAAAAATGCAATTCCTGGAAGCAAACACAAATGTAGAAAAGCATTCCCCAAGCATATCCTGGGGTCAGTAAACACTTTCCTTGAGCAACTAGCAGGAAATATTACTTGCCTAATTTCCTAAGAAGCATAACTTTCCTGATAAACAATGCCTTGAACAGCCCATGAAAGGAATAACCAAGGCTACTAAGCATTGGTAAAATGAAACATTACACAAAACTATTTTGTATAAAATAAATAGTCAACTGAAAATATGGAATAAGATGGTAGTTATAAAGTATGCTGCAGATTAAAAAAAACTCTCAAACTATCAGAGTAAATTGAGATGGCACACAAAATGGTTTCGTTCTATATTTTCTGCAAGATCTAAGACACTAACAATAAGAAAAACTAAGCTTTGAAGAAAATCAGGAATAGCTTTCAGTTCTATCTATGTGTATTATGTGAACACGTGCACATTCATTATCAGTCCAAAGTGCTTCCACAGAGACTCTGCTTTTTATAAAGTGATAATTTCCAATTTTCCTATGTTTAAGGAGTCACAGAATTGAATACTTGGTATGCACAATCCACTGGGAAGTAGGCAGTCATTAATAGACCATTACCTGGGACAATTATAAAAGCTATGTAAAAATATTCAGATCTGATCCTCAGCCTTTAGAACAACTGCAATGAATAGATAATACTTAATCAATGTTGAGTTCATAAATACTTCTTTCTTGGCCTGTAATAAGGAAAGGTTTAAAATATTTTCATATAAGTAAAATATAAGAAATATTTAAAAACATTTTTCCAGTGAAGTCAAACAAATCTACTTTTTAAATTCTAAATTTAAAAAGGTGTACTCATCTTGCTCTTTGTTGTTTGCCATTTTTTCTATTTTACGTGAACCAGTCCCCTCACATTTTCATACCAGGGAGGATGGGCAAATAATTCCAAAGGCACGGTTCTTGTCCTTGTACTGGTTAAAGACCTAATGATAATAATAGCTATGTGAATAATGTAAAGAGTCAAAGTAAATGTGAACTAAAGGGCAGAACACAGATTGTAAACACCTAATTTTTGTTTCATACTTCACTTTAAAAAGCCTGTGTGAGCAAAGAAAGATCTGTTTCTGTATTGGCTCTTAACACTCTAAGATTCTGCAAAATTAATTCACCACAGGAACATGGGACATGTCCATTCATTCAAGAGCTATCTCTTAAGTTTCTCCAGGCACTGTGCTAGCTGCTGGTATAAAACAGATCGAGTCCTTGCTTCAGTCTGATGAAAGAAGCAATCAAATGAACACATAAGCAAAAGTAAAATTACAACTACAAATAGGAAATACAATACTACTTCTGGTGTTGGTAATGCATACACACTGACAGCATACCCCATGTCTAAACTCTTATGCTATCTACAGTAAAAACTCCCTTCTAGAAAGTATTCCCCAGCTTCCTTTCATTCCTCATCATCTGTTTACAGAATAAAGCAAATTTAAACAAAACATGCACACTGAATTTCTGATACAAAGAGTGCTGCCCTGGAGACCACCTCAACCAGAGGCCATGAATGTAGACTTTAGATTTTTAATTCTAAAGAAGTCTACTAGAAAACTAGCTAGAAATAAAAATTCCAATACATATGCAGTGCAGATTCGATTAAATTCAGCCCCTTGTCACCTCTCTCTTCCCAGGGGTACTTGGACTATGCAGAAATTTCTGCCTCTTCTACTTGGGGGAATCAACCGTAAGAACTCCAGACACTTTCATTTCTCTCATATGCCCTCTAAAAGCATCTGAAGAGTCCATGAATTCCAAACCATATCAAGTTATTCTTAGCACTGCATCCCAGGGAAATATCTCAGTCAAAAACATATTTTGTTTTGACCCCCTTTCATCAAAGACTTGGCTCCTGCTTTTCAGGAAGAAAAATAATGCAAAATTCAAAGTCTCTGATCTTCAACTGGGTATAAGCCCTCCTTTCCTAAAGTCCTGTTCTTTCTTCTCGCCTTTATCTTCTTCCTTGTATTATAAATTACATGCATTCACATCTTATTTATTTATCTATCTATTTATTTGTTTATGAGGGGGGTCTCACTCTGTTGCCCAGGCTGGAGTGCAGTGGTGCAATCATAGCTCACTGGAGCTTTGAACTCCTGGGCTCCTCCTGCCTCTGCCTCCCAAGTAGCTGGGACTCCAGGCATATGCCATCACACCCAGCTCCATATTTACTAAGAGTAAAGCACTTAATGGGTACTCAACAAATATTTATTGAACAAGCGAGTTATTGGAGCAAATAAATTATGAAAAAAAAAAATTCTAAGTAAGGAAAGGGAAAAATCAGTAAGGACTTAAAAATGATGAAAAACCATGGAGTAGGAAAACTTCTGATACAGTATACAGCTTTTAAGGAATAAAAATCCAACCAATCAACTAACCTGATAACCAAGTCTATTTTTTTTTTTTTTTGAGGTGGAGTCTCGCTCTGTTGCCAGGCTGGAGTGCAGCGGCGCGATCTCGGCTCACTGCAACCTCTGCCCCCGGGTTCAAGTGATTCTCCTGCCTCAGCCTCCTGAGTAGCTGGGGCTACAGGCACACGCCATCACGCCCAGCTAATCTTTTTGTATTTTTAGTAGAGACGGGGTTTCACTATGTTGGCCAGGCTGGTCTCGATCTCTTGCTCTCGTAGTCTGCCCGCCTCGGCCTCCCAAGGTGCTGGGATTACAGGCCCGAGCTGCCAAACCAAGTCTATTTTAAGAATCAAAAGAATATCTATAAACCTTGGAATTCATGGTCATAAGAAACTGGAAACATGAGCTAAACAGTAACCTGGGTCAAATTTGTAGCTAAGTAAGGGCAAAGGCCACACTTAATATGATCACAGATGGAACCAGATTCATCAGTGTCTTATCATTCAATGCATTTGTCCTGTGAATTCAAAGATGCTGCTACCTCTGTGTACACAAGCCCATCCCCTTCAGCATCTCCAGTGATAAGTGACTTACCAGGTCACCTGAGACTGGCATTTAGTAAATGAGTACTGCACTTCCTTGGCTTCATTAAGTTAAGCAAATTTTAAGATATGAAAAGATATTTCTAGATATGAGAATCTACTGTTAAAATGATGTCATATAATCATTGAAAAAAACTTCGTATGAGCCAGGGACCCTTTTTTTTTTCTTTCTGAGATGAGGTCGCACTCCGTCACCTAGGCTGGGGTACAGTGGCACAATCATAGCTCTCTGCTGCCTCGAATTCCTGGACTCAAGGTATCCCCCTGCCTCAGCCTCCCAAGTAGCTGGGACTACAGGCGTGTATCACTACGCCTGGCTCATTTTTAAATTTTTTGTAGAGACGGAATCTTGCCATGTTTCCCAGGCTGGTCTTGAACTCCTGGGCTCAAGTGATCCTCCCACCTCAGCCTCCCAAAGTGCTGGGAATACAGATGTGAGCCACCTCATCCAGCTGAGCCAGGGACTCTTAAACTTTCCTTTCTTCTGGTCCTAGTTTCCTCCAATTCCTATTTCCACAAAAGCAACTTTAACGGACAGTACTCTTGGCTTTCCTGGCTCTAGTTCTACGCAAATATCACGATGGGAGCTAAGACTGACCATATTTATCACTAATAAGGTAGGGATAATCTTCACTACCTAATCACATCTGCAAAGTGAATTCACTGTACTGTGCTGTGGTGTCAGTATTAGTGGTGAACTGAAAATTTTGTTTACAAAACTCAAAGAGTTTGGGAGGGATAGCAGTGTGCCTGATATTTTTTCCTCAAAATACAATTTTTATCAGATTGCATTTGAAACCTAAAAAGAGTACCAGAGAACAGTTGTGAAAAAATAAACTTCTTTAGTTCTATTCCACTGAAAATTAAAATAAAAAACATCTATATAGATGAAAGGCAGTATAGATTATAATTAGTAAAATATATACATTATAGAAAATAAACTGACTTTCTGTGATGGCAAAGTTGCTTTAATCAGAGATGTCTTTGAGGAGTTTCATGTAATATATTCAAATAAATAATAGTTTCATATTTTTTAAAAACATATGAGGCATTGGAAATATTAATTTTGTGACAGTTTACAAAATGAAATACAGGTACATTTTGGGTACATATGATTACAAACTTATAGAAGAATTTCCAGAACAGTATAAAGCAGGTATTTTCTTCACCCACCTCAGGCTTTGACCCTTGCACTGGGCTAATGTTCCTCTGTGTGGATGATGCCTTCCTTACATTCCTCCAGCTCTAACACCCCACATTGGGCCACCCTCTAATCCCTTCTCTCTGCAGTAACTCCCTCACCCTGCTTAGGCTCTAACATCGAACTCCAGGGTACCTCCCCCATGCGGATGCCCTCCTAACCCACTTGGGCACCAATATTCCACACTGGGGTCGGGTGCGGTCTCATGCCTGTAATCCCAGCACTTTGGGAGGCCAAGGTGGGCAGATCACTTTGAGGTTAGCGGTTCCAGACCAGCCTGGCCAACATGGCGAAACCCCATTGCTACTAAAAATACAAAAATTAGCTGAGTGTGGTGACGCGTTCCTGTAATCCCAGCTACTCGGGAGGCTGAAGTAGGAGAATTGCTTGAACCCAGGAGCCAGAGGTTGCAGTGAACCGAGATCATGCCATTGCACTCCAGCCTGGACAACAGAGTGAGACTCTGTCTCAAAAAAAAAAAAAAAAAAAAAATTCCACACTGGGCCTTGCTGCCCACTCAAAGACATCTATTTTGTTTAATCCCATCTAAAGGCTTTTATACTGAATTGCTACAGAAGAAAGGTGTTTTATTTTTTAGTGCTTAAATTACAAATACAAATAAAGACAACTGAGCTTCAACTATGTACAAGGCACTGTTCTAGGTCTAGTGGAACTATATAGCCCTCTAAGAGCTTCTTTCATGACTGAGGAACCCACAACATCTCTACTTACTAGTCATGATATTTTTCAGTCACAAGTGGTAAAAACAAAAACAAAAACAAAACTACCTGAACATGCCTTAAATAAGGAAAACTATCATCTTACATAACAAAAGGACCACAGTTGGTTACTTCAGTGGCTGAACTTTATCAAAGATGCAGTTTCCCTATCTTTGTGCTATGCCATCCTGATTGTGTCAGCATTGCTCTCAGGCTAATATGGCATCACGATGACTGCCACAGTCAAGGTTCATCACATACATCCCCAACAGGCCCTGAGAAAAACAGACCCTCCCCTGTGTCTTTTTAAGTGCAAGGAAAATTGTCCCAGAAGCCTCCCAGACTCCCAAGCTTCCCCTCTCATTTCACTGCCCTGAAGTGGATCACATGCTCATGCCTAAGCCAACCTCTGGCAAGGGGATGGCACCCTCTGACTGGCTGGGTCTAATCAGGATTCATGGGATAGGGCTTGGTCAGTTTCCCTTGAGGTATTCGGCTACCTGGAGGAAATGGATACCTACCAACCTGAACAAAACCGAGTTTTTAGGAATGGCAGTAGAGAATGGATATAGGGTATTCAACCTGCTGTGTCTGCTACAGACAACTGTGCCTGTAGCATAGCTGTACACTTTACAACTTTGAATTTATATGTAATGAACATTTGTTGTTTTTGCCTGCCCCATCAATTCCTCTTCTGATAATAACTTATTTTCTTGCAGGGAACCATCCTTTTGTATTCTCCAGCTAGAACTACTGAAGAAAAAGATATCTTTCCATTAGGGTGGCTTAGCTGATAAAATGTACAACTAGAGTTATAGATGGCTGTTTTTTTCATTGCCTTATAGGGAGGGCCTGTACAAAAATGAAACCAACATAGAAAAAAGCAGAGGTATGTGGTGAAGAGAGATTACCTCGATGAAATAATTTGATGCCCTGAATCCAGTCATACCTTAAATTTATCCCTTACACTTCCCAGTTACATGAACCAACAAATCTTTATTTTCCTACGGACAGTTTCTATTACTCTCAATCAATAGTCCTGACAAATACATTATATACCACATTTTCCTATGTGCACAATCAAGGAGAAGTAGGAGAGGAAGAGAAATGTTTATTTCCTTTTAGAGGCAGAGAAATTAAAGTACCCAAAGGTTAAATGACAGGTTAGTATGTTCTGCCCATGAGAATATGCTATCCTTCATGTAAGCTGGAGAATCCAATACAAAGATTATAATAATTATACAAATATTTAGCAAAATATTCCATAAAATTTCAGTAAAAAAATTTAATACATTGCCTTTGAAGTCCAGGATTGCAGAAGTGGGAGAAAAGATGACATGTTTTATGTGGCATGAACAAATGGCATTGCCCGTAATACTCTAACATGGCTTAAAGAGGATGTTCATGCCCACAGAGCTCACTGCTGTCTGTAGTATATACTTACTTTGAAGACTAGAGGGACCTTCCTTGATGGTTATCTGACAAGGGCTGTTAATTTCAAGGCCTCAATACTGATACTACATGGCTGCAAATCAGGCTTTTGTTTAATCTGTCCTTGAAACATTTCTCTATTTTCAGATAGCAAGGCCTGGTCGGAAGACGCCATCATTGTCCTGCCCACATAAGAGGAATTGTTATGGGCAAGGCTAGAGTGCTTACATAGTGTCTGAGTTTTAAACACCTGTCATTATAGACTTTGTCCTGCCACATGATACGAAACAAGGCAAACTATAATTTGGTCAGAGGTCACAGCCCTAAAAGCAGGTTTAGTTCCTGTATGGTAAACCAGGAAATACTGCTGCTTACCTCTGGCCTACTCTTAATTCTGAACAAGAATAGCTACATATATTAAATATTTTAATAACCTAATTCTGTAGACATTCATGTTTTTAGATGTTATATTAAGATATTTTTTCACCTGAAGTGTTTAGAAAAATTTAATATAGAACAATGTATTCCATACAGGTATTAGTCAGAGGGGCTGCAAAAACACAAAGCATCAAAATCTTAGTGACTGAAAACAACAGTTTCTCATTTATGTTACATGTCCATCCTAGGTTGGTGGATATTCTGTTCCATGTTGTTCTCTCTCATCTTGACTGGTCACTGTGACAGGGAAAATGGAATATAATGAATTATGCAACAGCTCTTAAGACTTAAAAGCTTCCACCTAGAAGTGACAAAAACCACTTATATTTTGTTTGCCGAAACAGTCACATGACCATGTCAGTTCCCAAGGAAACATAATCCTACCAGTATGGAGAAGGAGAACCAAAAATATTGACAAATGCAAACGATGACTACAATCATAGATAAGGATATTGTATTATACAAGATGCTTTCAGTTGCAAGCAATCTGACTCAAGAGAAACAAAAAACATAGTAGTTTATTTAACTGGTAAATTCAACAGGGATTCAGAAATGCATTGATGTTATTAGGTCTTTATTTTCCACTCTTTCTCTTTGACTTTGCTTTCTTCTTATTCTTAGGTAGACTGTCTCTGTGTGGTGGTAAGATGACCACCTACCACACTAAGCATATATCATCCTTTTAATCAGAGTCCAGAAAAAAATTAACCCTTTTTACCTCCAGAGAGACCTATATCCATCTCTCAAAATGACAGTGGCCCTGCTTGGGTCATGTGCCACCATAATATCCAGGGAAGAGGAGTGCTTTGATTGACCAGCCTGACATGGGTCTATGGACATATGACCATCCAGTGGTAGAAAAGCAAGGCCGAGTGATTCTCAGCCCTACCAGAATCAGATGGAGTAAAGTAGACACAGTTCCCAAAAGGAAAAGATGAAGACTATACCAAAAGGTAGCAGCTACCTACCAAGAGAGCTCGACTTTTTCATTTCCTTCATCATTCCCCTCAACTCTGATGACATGTATGAGACTAAATTCCATAAATATAAACCTATGTAGTCTTGGTGTCATACTACAAATTGTTGCTGATGTTAAGCCAGGTCAATTGTAAAAATACACACTAGGGAACACATATGGGTAAATGCTGGGACAAAACTTCTTTAACTTATTTTGCATAAGGCACTTCTGAGTACAAATCCAAGCAAGTTACAAGGAAATTCCCTCTTGCAGAATGAACTGCTAACAAATTATTCTTGAGATGCTTATATAAATGATAAAATGGCAACATGATTACCAGGCTTCTTACTAGTAAAAGGCTCAAAGAAGATAAATGACTTCCCAGTCACAGACAGCATATAGTAGTGCTAGGATTTAAATCCCAGTTTGATTGTTTCCTTGGCAGGGGCAGAGGGTGAAATGGTAACAGGCATCAGATTACTAACTTCAGAAGGACAGCAATTTTTGTTTTTGTATCTCAAGCAACTAGAACAGTGCTTGGAACATACTAAGTTAGTGATAAAGAAGCCCAAGAATTAAGCTCCTTTTCCTATTTTAAGTAATAGTCAACAGCAATAAAAATAAATTTGGTTTTCTCACTTTGTCATTCTTCTAAAACTTGGCTAAACACATTTCCACAGGAATAAAATGCTTGGTTTCCAGGAAGTTCCAGGTAATATGCATTATGACTTGGCATATCCCTCAGTATAGCTTTTTGAAGCTGGAAAGGACAAACACAAAACAATGAAGAAATAATTTAGGGAAAAAATAAATAGAATGAATGAGTACAGAAAAAAAAAAAACCCCAGCATAGCTACAATATCTGTAATGTGAATGTTTTTCTAAATCAATATAAGCCTTAGGTTTTAGTAGTAATGCTATCTAATACATTTCTTAACCATTTTAAAGAGGATAATTACATATGATAGAACCTCTGCTTACCTTCCTGCCATAGCTGGGTTAAGCTGTATTTCTAGCCAATTCCTAACACTCTCCTAATTACTAGAACAATTTAGCTGATGCTTTTGGTTCTTCACTTAGAGAACTAAGTAACAGAAAAGGCAGCCATGGAGGTAGAGCCATCATGTTAGACTAGATAAAGGATAAGATACAAAACTCACCTGTATTTACAAAAACAGAATTATTGATCATCTGTGAACCCTGCCATCACAGGAAGTCTTTAACAAATTCAGTAAGTGATCTTGATTGCAATGAACTCTCATTGACTACACAAGAAACTTTTAATTTTTCCTTTCGTAGCACTTGGCAGCAAAACCCCCTTAAGAATCCTGCTCTTTTATCTTCTTAAGCTACACAACAAATTTAAATACAAAGTAAAGACTTTCTCAGCAGGGTCTGAATCTACTGTGAACTTTTAGAATAGATTCCCAACCACTCAAAACTCCCTAGGACTCCTACAGAAAGATGGCATGCTTTAACCCCTCTTCCTAGTTCCACAAAAATGGATCAAAAGCAGAAATGTGTGTTTTAGAGAAAAGGCTAAAGACAGTGAGAATCCCTGGAAGCAAGTGATTTGCCAAACTTTAAAGCAGAAGAGAATACACATTTTCTGGGTACCAATTCCTTAGAAAATATTAAATCAGAAGATCCCAGTTTCCAGGCCTAGAATTACATATTGCTGAATGAAATAAATCAATGGTATTTAAATCCTTTGTGAAGCTAGAACAATCTATTTTGGTAAAGCAGTTTTTGGGGAGACATTATTAACATTTCAAATACTATCAACAATTAACCTTGATCAACCTGAAGCTTTGTTCAGCAGTATAATTACAGACGTTACCTAGTATTGTGGGAAACAAAGACACACAGACATTTCCAAGCAACTAACTACATTCTGTCATTTCCTGCAAGTGACAGAACCTTTTCATTGGTGTTTGTGAAAAGCCAGCTTCAAAGCAAAACCCCAGTGGCGTTAAAGTAAGCAACCCTTCTGCTTCCATTTCCATCTCCAAATGACATTTGTAAAATTAAACCATATACATGTTTCTGTACCATTTGAGACTAGAGTCCTAAAGTCCATTAGTGTAGGCTAGACAAGTCCACATGTGACCCATGAATGGAGTGCTATTCCATGAGCCACAAAAAGTGGGTGGATCTCAGAGGGACATCTGAACCTTTCATGAGATTGTTAGACTGTAATAGTGGCTGTTTATTAAAGGCTAACAATGTGCCAGGCCTTAGTCGAAGTGCTCTGCAACCATTATCTCATTTAATCTTCACACTAATCCTCCCTCCAAGGTAGGTATACTATTTATCATTTCCATTCCTTGGATGAAGAAATTAAGACAGAAGAAAAGTAACTTAACTAGGGTCATATACATTCCTTACCACCACACCATAACACCATACTACTATTCTGCCAACTTCCCTTTTATTAAGAGCTCCATTCCCTGACAAGTGAGTTAACCAAACTAAATCACAGGGATATGAAGCCCCAACTGTCGATGGCTTGTGTGTGTGTGTGTGTGTGTCTGTACATATATATATGGAGAGAGGAGAGAGGGAAGAAGGGAGCCTGGGTTCTTCCTTCGCTGCTGTATTCACATTTCCTTGCCTGACCTCTTTCTTCAGGGTATGACTTTAGCTTCCATTTATTGTGTATACGTTACCTATCACTCATTTATTCTTCTTTTAACCAATATGTACAGAGTACCTCCTATGTGCTAGACATTGTACTGATTGCTGGGGAAATAGTTGTGCTCATATAGAAGCCCATTCTCCATAGCAAAGACAGGCAAATATTTTTAAAAAATCTCAACCTGGTCACTCCCCAGCTGAAAACTCTTCAGTGGCTTTTTGTTGTCCAAGAAATAAAGATCAAGATTTTTTTTTTTTTTTTTTTTGAGACAGAGTCTCGCTCTATCGCCCAGGCTGGAGTGCAGTGGTGCAATCTCGGTTCACTGCAAGCTCCGCCTCCTAGGTTCATGCCATTCTCCTGCCTCAGCCTCCCGAGTAGCTGGGACTACAGGTGCCCGCCACCTCACCTGGCTAATTTTTTGTATTTTTAGTAGAGATGGGGTTTCACTGTGTTAGCCAGGATGGTCTTGATCTCCTGACCTGGTGACCCTTCCGCCTCGGCCTCCCAAAGTGCTGGGATTAGAGGTGTGAGCCACCGCACCTAGCCAAGATCAAGATTTTTGACTTAGTTTATAAGGCTGCAGCATCTGGCCTTTTGCTGACTTTATCAGCACCAGCTTGAGTTATTTTCTCCCTTATTTTCTTTGTTCCAGCCTTACTGACCTTCTGTCAGTTCCTTGAATGTGCCAGTTTCCTGATCTGTAAGTTTTTAATTCGTGTCTTCCCCACCTAACTTTTCCCTGGTTGACTTCAACTCATCATTAGAGTACAACTCAAAATACCATTTCCCCAAGAAAGCTTTCCCTTGACCATGAACCTTAACATCACTTTTTCCCCCAAGCCAGGTTAGGTCCCTGATTGCTATATTCTCATAGTATTGTATACTTTCCGATTTGCAGAATTGATCATAATTTAAAATTTCACTGCATAATTAGCTGTTTAATCCCACCTTTCTCCACTAGAGTATAAGTTTCAAAGGGAAGAATCATGTTTATGGTTTATCACATGCACCACCATATCCTCAGCAACCACTGCAGTGTCTAGCACATAGGAGGTACTCAGCACATATTGGTTAAAAGAATAAATGAGTGAAAGGTAATAATATACATAAGAAATGGGAGCTAAGGACATGCCCTTAAGACATAGGGGTCAGGCAAGAAAGAGTAAATACAGTCAGTGAAGGAGTACCCAGGCCAGTTCTGCTCTCCTCTTGGTATTATGCCTGGTATAGCTGCTCCAGTCTGAGCCAGTTTAATTAGTTCAAGATAGAGATGTAGAACCAGACTAGTGGAAACCACAAATGGGAAAGGAAATGAAGCAGTAGTGCTTTAATGCATGACAATGAGAGATGGAGGCTGATCATAAGTCCTGGGCATAACTTTGCATAGTAGAATTTAAATTATTACTACACAGCAACATTACATTTGATTAACGTGCCAGTGGATTTTAATTTTTACTTGTTATATGGAGCTCATAACAGGATAAGCCATAAATTCTGGGTGCCAGAATTGTTTGATATAGTCGTGGCTGCTTTGCAGCTCACCTTTAAGGCATCTAGCAGACCCGGGTGAGGGTCTGCTACTGTTAAAGAAATTTGAGAAGGAAAAAAGCAGTTACATGTAGAAAGAAACCTCCCCCAAAGGACATTGAACACGTCTGCAGACATAACCTATACGCTACTCAGTTCCAAGGCTCTTCACAGTAGCCTGCAGAGATTCAGACTTAAATTGAGGAGGGGAAAGGTAAAAGGATGTGTGTGATAAAAACCTCTTTCTCTCCTGTATTAACTTAGGGCAAATACAGTATTTCCTATATTTTCATCTTTAAGATTACAAATAAGAGACGCTAATCTAGATGTAAGACTCCAAAGAATCCCAGCTTATTTTTAAGTCTAAAGTGAATTTTAAAAATTTTCACTGTAAGATACCAATAAAACAACTTTGACACTTCTTGCCATCTCACTACCAGAATGCAACTGTTTATCTTTTTTTTTTTTTTTTTTTAAGATGGAGTCTTGCTCTTGTTGCTCAAGTGCAATGGTGCGATTTCGGCTCACTGCAACCTCTGCCTCCTGGGTTCAAGTGATTCTTCTGCTTCAGCCTCCTGAATAGCTGGGATTACAGGCATGTGCCACCACGCCCAGCTAAGTTTTTTTTTTTTGTATTTGTGGTAGAGACGGGGTTTCGCCATGTTGGCGAGGCTGTCTCCAACTCCTGGCCTCAGGTGATCTACCAGCCTCGGCCTCCCAAAGTGCTGAGATTACAGGTGTAAGCCACTGTGCTCAGCTGCAACTGTTTATACTTAAGGCCTCTTGTGTGTTTTCATTCTTCTTTTGTTATTTATTTATATATAGTTTTTATGTAGTTGTAATCAGAGCGTATATGTAAGTTTTGCTCATTTTTCAAATTTGGCAAGGAATGGACTATTCTCTTCTTGTGCCGCAACTGTACCTATTATACACATTTTCTCTATTACTGTACTTACCACACTGTATTTCAATCATTTTACTTATAAATCTGTCTTTCTAGGCTTTGAGCATTTGAGGATAAAAGCTATCTTCTGTTTTTTTTGACATGGGGTCTCGCTCTGTTGCCCAGGTGAGGGTGCAGTGGTGCTATCACAGCTCATTGCAGCCTTGAATTCCTGGACTCAAGGGATCCTCCCACCTTAGCCTCCTGAGTAGCTGGAATCACCATACCCAGCTAATTTTTTAAATTTCTGGTAGAGATGGAGTCTCCCTATGCTGCTTAGGCTGATCTTGAAGTCCTGCACCCAAGTGATCCTCCTGCCTTGGCCTCCCAAAGTGCTGGGATTATAGGCGTGAGCCTGGCCCTGTTTTTCCTTTAAGTAATGTTTGAATAAATGAATGATGGCTATAAAATTTTGTTCTACCCATTTGTTTCAAGAAATTTTAAAATTTCTTTCTTAACTGCTTCATTGACCTGCTGGTCATTCAGGAGCATACTGTTTAATTTCCATGTATTTATATAGTTTCCACAGGTCCTCTTGTTACTGATTTCTAGTTTTATTCCATTGTGGTCAGAGAAGATACTTGATTTCAATTTTTTTTGGTTTTCCAGTTTTTTCTTTTCTTTTTTTGAGACAGTCTTACCCTACTGCCCAGGCTGGAGTACAGTGGCATGATCTCAGCTCACTGCAACTTCCCCCAGGTTCAAGCGATCCTTGTGCCTCAGCCTCCCGAGCAGCTGGGATCACAGGTGTGCACCACCACACCCAGATAATTTTTGTGTTTTTAGTAGAGACAGAGTTTTACCATGTTGGCCAGGCTGGTCTTGAACTCCTGGCCTCAGGTGATCCACCTGCCTCGGCCTCCCAAAGTGCTGGGATTACAGGTGTAAGCCACAGAGCCCAGCCATTTTTTTCTTTTACTTTGTTAAGACTGGTTTTGTGGTCTAACATATGGTCTGTTCTTGAGAATGCTCCATATGCTGAGAAAAAATGTGTATTCTGTAGCCATTGGAAGAAATGTTCTGTAAATATCTATTAGTTCCATTTGGTCTATAGTGCAGATTAGGTCTGCTGTTTCTTTGATTTTCTGTCTGGATGATCTTTCCAATATTGAAAGTGGAATGATGAAGTATCCAACTATTATTGTATTGGGGTTCATCTCTCTCTTTCACTCTAATAATATTTGCTTTATATATCTGAGTGCTCCAATGTTGGGTGCATATATATTTACAATTGTTATATCCTCTTGCTGAATTAATTCCTTTATCATTATATAATAGTCCTCTTTGTCTCTATAGTTTTTGTCTTGAAATCTATTTTATCTGATATAAGTATAGCTACCCTTGCTCTTTTTTGGTTTCCATTGGCATGGAATATCTTTTTCCATTCCTTTATCTTTAGTCTATATGTGTCTTTATAGGTGAAGTGTGTTTCTTATAGGCAACAGATCATTAGATCTTGTTTTTTCTCTATTTGGTTATTCTATGTCTTTTGATTGCAGAGTTTAGTCCATTTACATTCAATGTTAATATTGATAAGTAAGGACTTACTGTTGTCATTTTGTTATTTGTTTTCTGTTTTTTTTTCCTTCCTTCCTTCCTTCCTTCCTTCTTTCCTTCCTCCCTCCCTCCCTTCCTTCCCTCCCTCTCTTTCCCTCCTTCCCTCCCTCCCTACTTCCCTCCCTTCCTTCTTTCCTCCCTCCCTTTCTCCTTCCCTCCCTCCCTCCCTTTCTCCTTCCCTCCCTCCCTCTCTCCCTCCCTTCCTTCCTTCCCTCCCTCCCTTTCTCCTTCCCTCCCTCCCTCCCTTTCTCCTTCCCTCCCTCCCTCTCTCCCTCCCTTCCTTCCTTCCCTCCCTCCCTGCCTCCTTCCCTCCCTCCCTCCCTGCCTCCTTCCCTTCCTACCCTCCCTTTTTTGAAAGTTATTTTCTTTGATGTTATGTTTTAATGTCTTGCTTTATGTTTTTTGTGTATCTATTGTAGGTTTTTTGCTTTGAGGTTACCCATGAAGGTTGCAAATAATATCTTGTAACCCGTTATTTTAAACTGATGACAAATTAACTTGATATAATATTTTTTAAATATCAGAAACACAATAGAAAAATACACAAAAGAAGTTAAATGACTTTCACAGAAGAAAAAGATATACAAATGGCTCCTCAACATTTGAAAAAAATATTCAATAGTTCTCATATCTAATACATTGTTTTTACCTCTCAAACAGGCAAAGATAAAAATAAGTCTGATATCACATTGAATTGGCAGGTAACAAAGAAATGATGAATGCTTGACGTGATTGAAACCCCATTTACCCTGGTGTGATTATTACACATTGTATGCCAGTATCAAAATACCTCATTTATCCCATAAATATATATACCTACTATGTATACATAAATATTAAAAATCTAAAAATATTATAGAACACATTATGTATTATAGAAAATAGCTCTTTGTCATGTGTTGAAAGTCTTTTTCCCAACCTGTGGTTTTGACTTTGTTTATAAGATCTTTTAATGTAGATTTTTTGACTTTATGTACTTGAATTTAGCAATGTTTTCTTTTATTGTTTCTGGGTTTTGTGTCATAAAAAGATCCTCCCTACTCTAAGATTATAAAAAAATTCTCCTACATGATCTTCCTTGTGGTGTCAAATTTTTTACACTTAATTCTCAGATCCATCTATATTTTGTCACAGAGTGAGGTAGAGAGGCAACTTAATTTTTTTCCATTCATTTAATATTAATTATACAATTTCTCATGGAACTATATAGTTTTAATTAAGTTTTTCACTTTAATGGCTTCACTATATTACCATAGTTTACTTAACCATTCCCTCCTCTCATTACTAAAATATTCATTAAAATTTTAGTACATATCCTTTTTAAAAAATATAATTTCCTCAGAGGAAATATTCAAGAGTTAGATTTCTGGGTCAAAGCATTTGATCATTATTATAACTCTTGACTAAAATGTCAGATTGCCAGGATCAAGTCAATCTATAATCTTTACAACCAATCATCAGGTAAGATGCATATATGACTATGGTATATGAAACCTTTCCAAACAGAAATTCCCACTAGGCATTATTCAAATCTAAGCAGGTTTATAATCCAGAATCAGAAAAACTGCATCACACTTCTACAGAATCTGACTAGCCTAAGAACTGCTGTTATTTCTTTGGGGCAAAAAGAATAAGTGGACAGATTCTTTTGGAGCAAAGGGCATTTCAGAAGAACTCTGTTGGAAAACCCTAAAACAAAAACAACAACAAAAAAAACTTAGCCAAAACGGCATTGCACTGGACTCAGAAGAAGACCATAGCATTCAAATTCAAGGTTGTATTTCATTGTTCACATTGGTCCTTTCCCTTCCCAAGAACAGTTTCCCTTTCACCCACATTCTTTCCAGATACCTTAAGGATCTAACCATCATCTGACACTTCGTAGTCAGGTTCCTCCATGAGCAGTCTTCTGCTCAGCTCCTGGACCAGGCCCTGCAAATTCAGTTCAAGTAAGACCAGGAAGTAAGATGTTGATCCAAAGTGGAATTTCCAGCCCCAGCTCATGCATGATAGGAGGGCACTTCCTCATGCAAATGCACCTAGTGCAGCTAGAGCAGATTTTCAGCTTCTTTGGAGCTGTGTCTCTCTCTATAATTTATTGAAATTCATATACTGTTTATAGCCCTTTCTTCTCTTTCCCTTGTCCCTGCTGCCTCCTGGGCTCTCCTTAAAGAAACATTTTACCCTATCTCTACTAAAAATACAAAAAAATTAGCTAGGCGTGGTGGTGGGCGACTGTAGTCACAGGAGAATGGCGTGAACCCAGGAGGCGGGGCTTGCAGTGAGCTGAGATCACGCCACTGCACTCCAGCCTGGGCGATAGAGCAAGACTTCGTCTCAAAAAAAAAAAAAAAAAGGAAGCATTTTAGGAGACAGGTTTCTTTTGAAAGAATTATTATTATTAATAATTTTATTATTTATAAATTTTATAATGCCTCTTCTGAAAATTTGGTACAGTGTCATGGTATGAATGCTTATATGACCAGAGATGTGAGTCACAACCCTGGGGTGGATTCCAAGTACATATCTGACAGGCAAAATGGCATGGTGAGCATAGCCTTGGAAATCAGACTTGAACTTTATCACTTAATAGATGTGTGATCCTAAGCAAATCCCTTAAATATATCACCACGTTAGAGAGGCCCTTCTTGAACATCCTTTATCTAAATGATAAATCTTATCATCGTTTTTCCATTTGAATTTTTCATAACATTATCATATTCTGTAATTGAATATTTATGTTTTTTATTGTGTCTTCCCCGATGGACTGTAAATTCCATAAGGGCAGAGTTTGCTTTGTTCATCACTGAATACCCATTGCCTAGTGCTCTGTGCCTGCCACAGAGTAGACTTAAATAATTGTGGAATAAATAAGCTCAGTTTTCTCAAAACTCAGAAAACAAGAATATCTCTTCTAGAACAGGGATAAATACTACTGACATCAGAAATGTAATGTGAAATAACGTACGTACTAACATTTGTTTTTACTAACCAGGCACATGGTAGTGCTCAAGAAATGTTAGCCATCTTTTCAGTTATTTGTGGTTTTAACAGCAAGTCATGGCCTTTGTAACTCTACTTTTCTAATTATAAAGTGAGAGGAAAAATTACTACCGCTTTTCTACTGCCAAAGCACACTGTTGAGATTACAGAAAATATACAAAAGGCATTAGGAGTGACTCAGCAGACAGGATCCACTGAGATTAAGAATTTGTTAAATTTACAACTCTCATGACATTTGTCTTAACCGGGGTCATCCATTGCTCTCTACAAGGTTAACACTTCTTGCCTAATAGCTTTGAAATTACAGCTTCACCAGGACTTTACATTCAGCACTAAGAAAATAGACATCTTAGGCTGGGCGTGGTGGCTCATGCCTATAATCTCAGCACTTTGGGAGGCCGAGGAGGGCGGATCACTTGAGGTCAGGAGTTCAAGACCAGCCTGGCCAACATAGTGAAACCCATTCTCTACTAAAAATACAAAAATTAGCCAGGTGTGGTGGCAAGCACCTGTAGTCCCAGCTACTTGGGAGGCTGAGGCAGGAGAATCACTTGAACCTGGGAGGCAGAGGTTGCAGTGAGCCAAGATCATGCCACTGCACTCCAGCCTAGGTGACGCAACAGAGTGAGACTCTGTCTCAAAAAAAAAAAAAAAGTAAGAAAATAGACATCTTAGATAGCAAACTAGGGTTGAGAAAGATTGTGCTTGAGTACAATAGTGGCAGCACTCTAGAAATTCACGGAAAGAAAGGAAAAAATTAATCTGGCTATAAAACACCCCAGTAATATCCAATTTCCAGTGATAGATACCATCTTACTGGTGGCAGCAGTGGGCTATCCATTGTAGCTGCCAGCTGTAGTGGGGAGGCATGGGTGGTGGCAGCAGGAGCAGCTATGGGAGCAGCAGTGGTGGCGGTGGGACCCCTGTGGCCCATGTCCCCGAGGCAGCCAACTGCACCACCCCCACCCTCGCACGGCTGGTCAGGACCCACTCTCCCAGGCCCAGAGCCTCTGCTGTGGCCTCAATCTTGCTCCCTGCCACATCCCAGGAGCCTGTGAGAACCCAGCCAAAGACACAGCCAAGACTTGCAGGGCTGGTCCCAGGAGCATCAGGTTTGTTTGCACAGGGTTGGCTGGGGCCACTGTGCCACCTGCATCTTGCCCGCTGCCACTGTGAGGGAAACGCAAAGAGGAGGCATGGCCAGGGCTGCGCACTCCATGGAGCTGGGGGGAGCTGGGGAAAAGCAGAAGCCCTGCCCCTTGCAAGCTGGCAGGGTGGGAGCTCCCCAGGCACAACTGCAGCTGCACAAGCTCTGGCTGCAACCTGGGCACCCCTGTGCTCTTGGGAGCCTGGAGCAGGCGGGAGCCCTGCCCTCCCAGGCATAGCTGCAGCTGCCCAAACCTCGGCTGCAGACCCAGGCATCTCTATACTTTTGAGGGCCCAGGAAGGTCCCTCCTTCCCCAGCAGGCTTGGAAGTGCCTACTCTCACTGTCTGGCTTCTCCTGGCTGTTGGTGCCCACTCTGATCATGGAGCAAAGCTGAAGCTGAGCCTGGGCACTGGTGCAACCCAGCCACGTGTATGCATGCTCAAGGCAGCACTGACATGCCAGCCCCCTGGCACCCTGGTCCCCTCCACACACTGGGTTTGGTCACTGACAAGCATGAGATGGAGGCTGAGGGGGCAGGCCAAGGGCAGCTTGGTGTTGGCCTGCAGGTGCCCCTTGGCATGAACAGCCTGGGCACCATGAATGGAAGCAGGAAGCAGGCAGACTCCTAGGCAGACAATGGTCAGTCCCTGGTGAAGTCCCACCTGCAAGCCACGAAGGACCTGAAGCATGGAGGCCAGGCTGCTGGTCCCGCAGACTGCAGTGGGAATTTGTAGTGCTTTTTCTGGGCTGCCCACGTCCACTCATGAACCAACTGGCATGCACTTCCTTCCCTCTGAGGCCCATGAAAAGCCCCGGACTCAGCCAGACCAGAAGAGAGGACGGGATGATCTGCCTGTAGAGAGGAGTTACCCTCTCTGTTGGAGCTGAACACTCATCGGGATGACCTGCCTAGCAGAGAGGGGCCACCCTCTCTGCTGAGAGCTGAACAACACCCTGGCTATGGAGAGGAGCTACCCACTGTGGGTCTCCTCTGAGCTGTTCTATCGCTCAATAAAGCATCTCTTCACCTTGCACACCCTCCACTTGTCTGCATACCTCACTCTTCCTGGACACAGGACAAGAATTCGGGACCTGCCGAATGGCGGGGCTAAAAGAGCTGTAACACAAACAGGGCTGAAACGTGCCCTTTGCTCACCATGTTGCAGGCGACAATAGGGAAAGAAGACAATAAGGAGAGAAGAGCTGTGGCCCTTTGGGGAACCCAGACCTAGGAGCTCAATGAGCCAGGGTTGTGACACCCTCTTTAGGGATCTGTGGTTCCTGGCATCTCTAAGCTTCCAGGAGCCATCACGTTCCCCAGTGTCAGCCGTGGAAGCTGGCTGCTTATGGTATGCCAGGCTTCCATCACCATGGCAACAGGGGCTGATGTCATACCAAGCCAAAAGATCAGGCTCTGCCTCTCCCATTGCAGCCAGTGTGCCTGGCTGTGCACAGTGGCTGGACCCTTGCTTACACACCCCTCGCCACCCCATGCCTGGCTCGCCCTTGGCAGGTATGGGATCCAGGCCGGTAATGTGTAACCTGCCAGGCCGAGTGGGTGGAATGAGCCCAGCAGGCCAGAGCAAAAGTTGGGCAAAGGCGCCATTGGCCACAGAGGTTTCTGGCTGGCAAAGCAACACCCCAAGGATGCTGTAACATTACCTCCTGAAATAGGAAACTTGATTATTAAGCTAACTCTTCCTTCCCTGTACTTCCAATAACAGTGTATCTTTACAATATTCCAAATTCAGTCTTCAGATGCCCCCAAATCTGTAATCTTATAATTCCCCACTAGTGAATTTCTGAGAATTGTGATTTTCAACTCTGGCACACAATCACCTATGGACCTTTGTGAAGAAGAAATATGTCAGGTCTCATTTAAGACCTACTGAACAAGAAACTTCCTAAAGTGAGACTTAAGTTTCTATATTTTTAAAATAAACTCTATAGATTATTCTTGTATAAAACTAGAGTTGAGAATCACTACTGCATTTGACCCTGACCTCCTAGCACCAGAATAACAACATTACATTCAAGGGCAAAGGCAATCCAGCATAAGTTAAAGAGCACCGGCTGGGAGTGTCAGGCAGACTTAGCTGTCACTACCAGCATGGTCACATACCTTAAGCAAGCCTGGTTCCTCACCTTTAAACAGGGACTACTAAAAGTATTTGCCTCAAAGACTTGGATTCAACACTAAACTGTATAAAAAGCATTTAGTACAATGGGTGTCACATGGTAAGTACTCATAGTAAGGGGTCCTTCCCCTCACCCCACCCTTTCCAAAGGGTAAATTTTTCCCAAGCTATAATCTTAAAAATCTGAGAAAACCTACAACTCCTCCTGTTTTGCTTGCTCTCCCAAACCAAAATAAGAGGAAAATATACCTCAGCAGGACCTGCCTCAGATTATGGAAGCAAGATAACTCAACTAGTTGGAGCTTTTATTTGGTTAATTTTGCAAATTTGGCCGAGGCTCCTTGTTTCTGCCTACAAATTGTTTCACTGCCACTTTCTGCATTCTTTGAAACATGCCAGATGTTTCAAAAATACAACTCTGGTAAAAAGAGGGATCAGGAGCCTAGACCAATACAAATCCAGCACAGGAGAGCATGGTGTGTCTGAAGTATCATTTTAGATTCCTTTAGCCAAGGCATCAACTATGTGCAATTTACAATTAAATCACTGTGCTAAGAGCTATTGATAATATAAAGATGTCTAAGAGAATATTTTTGGCCTTTCAATAGCCATTTCATGTACTTAAATAATATATTTTAGAAGTTGTCACAAGTTAGCCAAGCCACAAGCCAAATTAGGGATGGTGAAGAAAATGGAAGATGGTCAGGATGCCCACTTTTTCTTCTTCTTTTTCTCCAGAGCTGAAGTATGAACTTCATTATGTCTGCAGACAACAGTGGCACTGCCTTGACTCTGTTGAAGAGCTGGTGACATGAGGGAATCCTGCATCTGCCCTGCTCTCTACTTGGCACAGATAATGCGCCAGGCCCTCTAAGCACTTTACATAAGTTATCTCATTTAATTCTAACAACTCCATGGGATAGGTACTATTATTATTCCCATTTTATAGATAGGGGAAATGAGGCTTAGAGTGAAGTCACAGTCAGTAAGTGGTGAAGCTGGGCTCTGACCCAGATTGTCTGAACCTTCAACTTGAGCTCTTTAACTACTACATGATGCTGAGCCCTCTCTCTGATTCTGAAAGTCTGAGAGAGCCCTCTAAAAAGCATAGCCTGATAGCCACATCAAAATCACATGGTCAAGAAGTCAGGAAAGTGGTTATTCCTGGTGTATGATGGCTGGGAGGGTGAGTCAGTAGTGACTGAAAGGAGCAAGGAGGGATTGGCAAAGGGGGAAATAGTACTGAGGAGTTGTAATATTCCATTTCCTGATCTAGGTACAGGTTACTTACTTCATGATTGACCTGTGTTTGTGAAAACATCAGTTTGTGAAAATTCATTGTTATACATAAAAGCACAAGATAAGTACACTTTTCTGTATGTATATTTTACTTCAGTAAAAGTATAAAACACAAAGTATAAAGTGATCTTTAATTATTTTTTCTTTACTCTAGCTCCCTAGCAATGTTGACACAGGAAGAATAAGTCTTTATACCCTTTATACCTTATGGAAAAGACATGGAAAACTTTACCCTTCACTGACTTAAATTTATACTAGATTTGGATTATCTCATTTCAGTATCTTGCTTTTAACAGAAGACTAGCCAAGGAATTTCACTGAATAGAAAGAATGTAAGTTAATTGTGTTGTACCTGAGTAATCAAATGCATACAGCCAACTCTTAAAAAATTGTAGTCTATCTCACATTTTATCCTGCTGCTCAAGGAATAGATGTTACAATGTTACAAATGTTGCAGATTAGATTTCTAATATGGAGGTGCAAAAATTAGCATAGCTAGAGTTAAACCAGTGTTCTTTTTCTGTTTTTTCTTTTCTTGAGACAGGGTCTCATTCTGTCACCCAGGCTGGAGTGCAGTGGCATAGTCCTGGCTCACTACAGCCTCAACCTTCTGGGCTCAAGTGATCGTCCCATCTCTGCTTCCCGAGTAGCTGGGACTATAGGAGTACACCACCCCCTTGGCTAATTTTTTTTTTTTTTTTTTTTTTGTAGAGACAGAGTTTTGCTTTGTTGCCCAGGCTGGTCTTGAATTCCTGAGCTTAAGCGATCCTCCCGCCTCAGCCTCCCAAAGTGCTGGGATTACAGGTGTGCACCACTGTCCCCAGCCCAAACCAGTGTTCTTAACCCTTGATTCATATTAGAATAATCCTGGAAGCATTTAAAAAAATACCAATACCTGGGCCCTACTCACAGAGATCCTGATTTAACTGGAGGAGACCCTGTTATTAATTTAAAAGATCATCACAGCCAGGCGCAGTGGCTCATGCCTATAACCCCAGCACTCTGGGAGGCCGAGGCAGGTGGGTCACCTGAGGTCAGGAGTTCAAGACCAGCCTGGCTAACATGACGAAACCCTGTCTCTACTAAAAATACAAAAATTAGCTGAGTGTCATGGCAGGCACCTATAATCCCAGATACTTGGGAGGCTGAGGCAGGAGCATCTCTTGAACCTGGGAGGCGCAGGTTGCAGTGAGCCGAGATCACGCCACTGCACTCCAGCCTGGGCGACAGAGTGAGACTCAGTGTCAAAAAAAAAAAAAAAAAAGATCATCAGGTGATTCTAATGGGCAGCCACAATGAGAACCACTGAGTTAAATAAGGCTAATTTCAAAAATAGCCTTTGTACCCAAGATTACTACAAATCTTATTTCTCCTCAAATGTCACTCAAGAGCGTAAGATTTTTAAAAGAAAATTATTTCTCATAATAATTATTCTGGGATAAAATCATTGAGCTATGCTTTCTTACATCTTAACCTGGAACAAAATAAGTTTAACATCACATTCCTATTAGTGTAAATTTGCATCAGACCCCTTCCAAAGTAAAAAATAAGGATATTGTTCATGGTAAAACTATGTTTGCCACTAGCAACACTTTTTTTATCTTTTTTCTGACGATGGGCCCTAACAATCTCTCTACAATGCAGCAGAGGTGATGCAGAAACAATTCAAGTAATCCTAAACTCCTGTGGGGCAGCTGTTTGCTATTGGCCAACTGGCCATTTGAAACTCATAATAAAACTCATCTTCTTAGCACCAAATTTCCCTTTTTCCCCCCTTTTTCTATTTGTGTATGTTGGCTACTGAAAGGTGTTCTGCAAATGAGTCTGAAAAAATAAACAGAAAATACACATGGTACAGATAGCAGAAACGAAGAGAGTAAATACAAATTATCAGGAATGACAGGACGTGCTTGCTGTAGGCTTAAACACCATCCCCACCTTCCAGCTAACCAGTTTGTTGTTGTATCTGGATGTTCATCCACTACTATCTTGTTTTTGCTTATAATCTCTAGAGATTTACAAAAGTAGATTTAATTACTATAGCAGGCTGGGCGCGGTGGCTCACACTTGTAATTCCAACACTTTGGGAGGCTGAGGTGGGCAGATCACTTAAGGTCAGGAGTTCGAGACCAGCCTGGCCAATATGGCGAAACCCCATCTCCACTACAAATAAAAAATAATTGTTAAAAATAAAAAAAATTAGCCAGGCATGGGTGGTGCATGCCTGTAGTCCCAGCTACTCAAGAGACTGAGGCATGAGAATCGCTTGAATCCAGGAGGTAGAGGCTGCAGTGAACTGAGATCGTGCCACTGCACTCCAGCCTGGGTGACAGAGGGAGACTCAGTCTCAAGAAAAAAAAAAAAAAATTACTATAGCAGTTTCCCCCTCCTAAGTGTAGTTTTCCTTTCTGAGCTAACCATTGTTTTCATCGTTCCAATACACTACATTCCAAAACTTAAAACATACAAGAACAGGATATCTCAGAAGAACCCTGAGAATTGAAGTCCTTTCTATCTTCAATCTATAAGGACTGGCTACTCCACATCAGGCCTTGAATTAGGGTTTACCCTAATGTTGATAACTTTTAAAAATTCTTAAATCCTTCATCTTGAACTTACTATTAGGCTAAATCTTCTCTCTCTCTCAAGCCATTTTTCCACTCCCCAAATGACTCCATGTTAAAAATCCCATAGAAGCTGATTATCAACAAGGATATTGTATTCTGAGACACTGTCCTTCCCTAGAAGAGAATGCAGATCTATAGTCTAAAAATGTAAAAATATTCTAAACCAAATAATTCTTACATTTTAGACTTTCTTTGCATCTGCCTTTTCCACATTTGATTCTAGGGGGTGGCTTTTTCTTTTCTTTAATAACACAAAAGGCTAACATCTCTTCCTTTCACTGGGCTATTCAAACATAAAAGCTTTTTTCTGATTGCACAGAATATAATATTATATCCTTCAAGAATATAACAAACCAAGCAAAGGAATGAAACAGACCATAAAAATAGTATGACTATTCTATATATGACCTTCTGCCTGTTTGGTTGGGTAGGGGTTGGGGTGAGAAGACCAGGGAAATGAGATAAATAAGTTTTATTTTTAGGAAATAAACTAATATAACAAATATTTTCCTGACCACCAGGCTGGGGAAGAAATAGCCCTACAATGGTAAATGAATCCAGTTGTTCCTAGGAGACCACCCATAAGCACAATAATTGGAATCCCAGCTCATCCAGAGCTTCTTCCTCCTTTTAGGTAGGATAGCAGTGGGTACAGGAGAGGGAAATGAAGAGAAGCCTCAGGAGTCTCAGTGCCTGTTGCAGTCACTAGCATCCCAACCTGCTCTAGTCACTGCCTACATTCCTTCTTATCTGAAGCCAAGGTGAAACTCCTGCAGCTAAAGCCAGTATCTTCTTTCTCTGTGACTTCTTCCAGTCACACTGTTACCTTTCTCTGGGGGCAGACAGATCCTCTCCCCATTATGGAGACCTCTAACAAACCTGTGCACAGTAGAGGGAGCAAGTAGCTGCTTCTATCTATTATCTGGTTTCCTGGAGACTGAGTGGGATCAGAAAAGGGGCAGGGGCCTCTCTGCACTCCTGCCTTCTCTTCCAGGAAAGCCCCAAGAGATCTAAGGCAGCCAGCCCTCCAGCCAAATTGGCCTCCAGCCAAATTTATTTCCACTTATCCAGATTTCTTCTCTTCTTCCCACATACTGCATGTAATGATTTTCTCCTTTCCTTTTCAGGGCTTTCCACGAATAGCCATAAAACTAATTTGTGAAGTGTAGATTATACTTTCTCTAAGGGCCCCTACTCCCCTGGGCCCAGTGATTTGCACATGAGTCAATCAATACTTGGTGAATGAATGAATTATGCAGAAGCAAATGAATGAATAAAACTAACCAAAGTTCATACTTCTGTTATCCCAAAATTGAAGAGAAAGTTCTTCGACGATTGACTTTATCTTCTACTCTTCTTCTTTACATCAGTATTTCTACTTCAAATACTTATCAAGATCCCATACCACTTCCTTTGCAGAAAACTAAGTAATGGAGATTTCAATCATTTTGCTCTGCAAATAACTGCCCCCCACCCCACCCCCAAGGTTAAGGCTTCAAATTACAAAGAAGCTCTTCAATTCCATTTGACATGGGGGTGGGAACAGGGAAGTGAGAAAAGGGGGAAAAAAAGGTGTGGGAAATACTCCCTGAAAAAACAAAACAGGAGGAGGATCTAACACCTTTAAAAAGCCAGCCAAGTACATGAAACAACTTTTGCCTCTTGAGGAAAAGACGACAACAAATCTGACTTAAATGAATGAAAGGCTTGGCAATAAAATAAAGCAACCCAGAGTAATCTATAAATACATATACCCAACTAATTGTTTCTCTTTATTTTTTTTGGAGACAGAGTCTGACTCTGCTGTCCAGGCTGGAGTGCAATGGCATATCCTTCCGCCTTAGCCTCCCAAGTAGCTAGGACTACAAGTATGTGCCACCATGCCCGGCTAATTGTTTTATTTTCTGTAGAGACAGGGTCTCGCTGTATTTCCCAGGCTGCTCTTGAACTCCTGGGCTCAAGTGATCCTTTTGCCTTGGCCTCCGAAAGTGTTGGGATTACAGGCATGACCCACCGTGCCTGGCCCCAACTAATTGTTTCTAAGGGAGAAAAACCATTAAAACTAAAGTTACCTTTTCCCCACGCGTCCAACTTCATGAAAATATTCTTCATGTAGATTCCCATGCACTAGTCTCTTTGAGACAAAATCAGTCGAAATAATATGCCAGTATAATAAGTCCAGAGGACTCCACTGCAAACTGAACAATTTTTTTTTTTTTTTTGAGATGGAGTCTTGCTCTGTTGCCCAGGCTGGAGTGCAGTGGTGCAATCTTGGCTCACTGCAACCTCCACCTTCTGGGTTCAAGCAATTCTCCTGCCTTGGCCTCCCAAGTAGCTGGGACTACAGGCATGCACCACCACGCCAGACTTTTGTATTTTTAGTAGAGACGGGGTTTCACCATGTTGGCCAGGCTTTCTCAAACACTTGACCTCAAGTGATCTGCACACCTCAGCCTCCCAAAGAGCTGGGATTACAGGCATGAGCCACTGTGCCCAGTCTGAACAAAATAAATCTTATAGGATACCATATAAGGAGACTGGTACATATTCCATCAATGAGGTTGCCCACTGGTGATGAGCTCATGATGGCTATCAGCTGAGATTTCATGTCAGCACTGCTCCTGCTTATCACACAACACTGGACAAAGATTATAACCTTTCACCCTCAGTTTGTCATCTGCAAAATACTGATAATAAGTGTTCACATGGATTTATCAGTTAACGTTTGCAAGCACTAGGAAAATGAGCACCACTCCAGCTATTAATGAATCACAATAACTTAACTCATGCCATTCCAGATTCATCAACACTGAATGAAATGCAGTTGTGTAAATAAATACGTGAATGAGGTCCTGAAATGGTAACTGCATTCACTGTGACATGAAGATGAGGAAGCCAGCCTAAGTGCAGGTAGTAATATGGTGATATACTTGAGACACATCTTACTTCAAGAGATAGTTTACATTAGTGAAACTTCAACAATATGTATGGAGTGCTACTATGAGCAATAAATATCCTGATACAGACAATTCATTTTTTATGGTCAAGGTTTGTAGAACCTAGTTTTGGTGACAGCTACCTGTTGGAAGAGATCAAGTCAAGTAAAATTATAGAAAACAATCAAATCTGTAAAAAACAATACAGTTTTGAAATGTGTTATGATTCGGTTTATATAAACTCTACTTTTTAAAATTTGTGAAGTAGGATTCATTCTATACCAAGACACAGAAAAAAAATGTCCAAGTGGGAAAAAGGTTTGCTATGTTTCTAAACTTCAGTTTGATACAAGGCCATCTTGAACCTCTCATAAAATAGGGGGGAAAAATTCCAAGAGCGGCCCAGTCTCCTATGGGTATAACAGTCCAAAAATATGCTTGAATAAAGTCTTTCCTCACAGTGCCATCCCTAATCTGCACAAGCTTCACAGTAAAGGGCAGTACACCTTAAAAAAAATCAGGTTGTCACCAAGTCTTCAACTTAGAGCCAGTGAGAAGCAAATAGATAAAAATGTCAGGCATCTGGGCTGAAAGGTGAAGCAGAGGGCAGAGACCAGGGCCTCTCACAAAGAGCTGGTCCTCTCTATTTCTAATTTTCATTAATACAACTGGGACGGTGTCTGCATTTTTGTAGCCGACCCCCTCAGGTTTTTTTGAGGGAGGGTGGTGCTCAATAGGAGACAGTTATCTAAATGACAGTTGGAGAGCTCATTAGTTTTCCTGACCCACAACTCTTCCCTTCACTTCCCTCCAGAATACTTCCAACACCCCTTTAAGGTAGAACAATGTGTATGAACTAATAAGGCAAGAGTCCAGCAGGACTTGTTTTCTGGTCACAACACTGCTGAACAAAGTAGGATCTGTTCCAGATGGGATAAAGCAAAGAAACTGGCCAAAACCAGCAGACTGTGACAAGGGCAATCCCTGGCTGCCCTCATTGCTCATTAGCATGGACACTCCCACCAGCATCATGACAGTTTACAAATGCCATGGCAATGACCCAGAAGTTACTGCCCCTTTCCTAGAAAGTTCTAAATAACCCACCCCTCAATTTGCATTAACCTGCCCCTTAATTTACATGTAATTGAAAGTGGGTATAAGCGAGTATATATACAGTTGCCAAGAGCCCACACGTTGCAGACTCTGGGTACACTATCTATGAGTTAGTGCTGTTCCACAAGGAGCAGTACTGTTCAATAAAAGATTGCTGTCTAACACCACAGGTTTGCCCTTGATTTCTTTCCTGGTGAAACTAAGAACCCTCCTGGGCTAAGCCCCAGTTTGGGGGATTATCTGTCCTGCATCACTACTAGGCCATTCAATACTCAGGGGGAAGTTCACTTATATCTCAGGATATACTGAGAATTTCCACTGCTCATTGCAACACACAAAAATAAGTCAATTTAAGTTGTTCTCTAACTTCAGCCTGACTCTTGTGGGTAAGTAAGCAGGAGGTCAGATGGGATAAGTAAAATTTATAACATCCCATGAAATGTAGTTAGATAAAGTTCTACATTTAAGATGATCAGGTCGGGTTTCCAGTCCAGTGATTATAACACTATTTGGCTTAACATTATCAATAGCTAAGACATGTGAGGCCCATGTACGTGAGGAATAAAGGCCCTGTGGCAGCACCAATACCAAGCAGTTGCCACAGGGAAAAGAATAATACTATTGACCATTAAAAAAATGTGTGCATGAGGGGAAAAAAATCCCACAAAAAGAGTCACACTCTTTATTGAAGGAGACTCACTCAAGGTTCCAAGATGCCACATTTTTTCTACTTTGATAAATAACTTTTGAGTGGTCATTGCCATGGCATTATGCATATAAATGTACCATACTGTTTATATATACACTCATTCTAAGCCACCTATTTGCCTTCCCAGACATTTGGCTGAATGGGGTCAAATAGATAAAATAATAGGCACTATATCAGTTGCATTTAATAGCCAAATTTACCCAATAAGATTTTACTTGAATCACCAAAGTCTGTATAAAAACATATACCTACGTACATTGGAATCAGTAAAGATTTCTGATTCTTCACATTCACAGCAAAGTAATGCTGCTGATTCACTGTCTTCCAAATGAGAGCTCTGTAATACAAACAAGATCATTTCAGAGATCCAAACGAATGGGCCCATAAGCACGAGGGGAAAAGCAAGCTGAAATCACTGAGTCAGTGGTGTTAGCTCACAGGTGAGAAGCTGCAATTCTGATTAGTGATGGCTATTTTGAGAGAACACTGCCAACAAGGTGACTGGTTAGTTGATTGAGGAATGCTTGATCAACTGAAGCATTTCCTATGGTTTCCCGATTTGGGGAAAGAGCCAGCACATCTTTTTCTGTAAAGATGGTGCTGCTAGCCGGGCACAGTGGCTCACGCCTGTAATCCCAGCACTTTGGGAGGCGGAGGCAGGAGGATCACAAGGTCAGGAGATCGAGACTATCCCAGCTAACACAGTGAAACCTGGTCTCTACTAAAAATAGAAAAAATTAGCCGGGTGTGGTGGCCGGTGCCTGTAGTCCCAGCTACTCGGGAGGCTGAGGCAGGAGAATGGCGTGAACCCGGAAGGCTGAGCTTGCAGTGAGCCGAGATCGCGCCACTGTACTCCAGCCTGGGCGACAGAGCGAGACTCCGTCTCAAAAAAAAAAAAAAAAAAAAAAGATGGTGCTGCTAATCCTTTGTAGTATGTACTCTGAACTCTTCTCAGACTGGGGATAGATTTGTGTTCATTTATCTTCACATCCAAAGATACACATTTGATGTATTTGTTTAGAGATAGGCTATAGAATATAGCATAGGGCCTGATTACGGGATCTAACTCTTAGCCTAGCCTCATTAGCTCTCTGCTGCCAAGTGTTCATATGAGCCAAGAGACAGGCCAGGCACAGTGGCTCATGCCTGCTAATCCTAGCACTTTGGGAGGCTGAGGCAGGCAGATCACCTGAGGTTAGGAGTTTGAGACCAGCCTGGCCAACATAGTAAAACCCTGTCTGTACTACAAAAAAAAAAAAAAAAGTATATATATATATATATATATATATTAGCCGGGCATGGCAGTGTGTGCCTGTAATCCCAGCTACTAGGGAGGCTGAGGCAGGAGAATCGCATGAACCCAGGGGGCGGAGGTTTCAGTGAGCTGAGATCACGCCATTGCACTCCAGCCTGGGTGACAGTGCAAGACTCCATCTCAAAAAAAAAAAAAAAAAAAAAGAGCCAGGAGACATGCCCTACCCAAGTCCCCCAACAGGCACCAGAAAACAATTTAAAACCTTTTCTTCTGTTCTCTAATCTCTTTCTAAAAATCTGTCTAGAAGACAGACAAGGAAAATAAGACAAAGGAGTGAAATAATTAGCTGGTAACATAGGAGTATTTTTCCCTATGACTAACAACTCAAAAAAGGGAACAGAAAAGGCTCCAACTCTGACTCATTAGATTCTATTCAAATGTTTGCTGTTTAGCTAACAGCAGCTGGAAACTGAGTTATCCCTACATGGATCATTGATGCATAAGCTTACGTCATTAAAACTTCTCACTACCAGTGGCTGAAACTTATAACTACTTCATGGCTATCCTAGTTGATTCCTACTTTAATTTTTCACAGGTAGGGCTGTGTTTCATCTAAAGTATACCCTCAGAGATAAGAGTTTTAGAGTGCAAATAAACTTAAAGAAAGTAAAGCTCAGAGTTACTCTTTCTGATAACAGCCTTGCTCCTGGTTTACTTCCTTCTCATTTTTTTTCTACTCTGACCCTTTGTCTACTTTTAGTTTTCTGTCTTAAAACCAAGTCTCATCTGGCATTGTCCCTCTCTCTTCCTCTTTTAGAAAATAATCAGAAATAACCAAATATTTAAAATCATTGTTGCCCGAGCGTGGTGGCTCACGCCTATAATCCCAGCACTTTGGGAGGCCGAGGCGGGTGGATCACGAGGTCAGGAGATCAAGACCATCCTGACTAACATGGTGAAACCCCGTCTCTACTAAAAATGCAAAAAATTAGCCGGGTGTGGTGGCGGGCGCCTGCAGTCCCACCTACTCGGGAGGTTGAGGCAGGAGAATGGCGTGAACCTGGGAGGTGGAGGTTGCAGTGAGCCGAGATCGCGCCACTGCACTCCAGCCTGGGCTACAGAGCGAGACTCCATCTCAAAAAAGAAACAAACAAACAAAAATTATTGCTAAAAATCCTACAAATGTAAAGTCTTTTTAATTCTTGTTCTCTTATATTTTGGAGGGGGGAGAATAAGAACATTTACTCTCCATCTAGCTTAAAAAATATATAAAATATTTGAAGACTTCTGGAACTCGTATTAGGAAAGCTAAAGGCTTAATAATAAATATTTGAAAGAATTAAAATGGTAGAGATCAGAGCTGTTTTCAATCTTCCCAAGCTCTCATACTACAACAGATAATAATATAGATAATACTAAGCACATCAAAAGTGGCTTGTCATTGTCACAGTATAAAAACTAGAGAGAGGCTGGGCACGGTGGCTCACACCTGTAATCCCAACACTTTGGGAGGCGGGTGGATCACCTGAGGTCAGGAGTTCAAGACCGGCCTGGCCAATGTGGTCAAATCCCGTCTCTACTAAAAATACAAAAAATTAGCTGGGCATGGTGGCGGGCACCTGTAATCCCAGCTACCCTGGAGGCTGAGGCAGGAGAATCGCTTGAACCCAGGTGGTGGAGGTTACAGTGAGCCAAGATCATGGCCATAGCACTCCAGCCTGGGCAATAAGAGCGAAACGCCATCTCAAAAAAAATTAATAATAATAATAATAATGATAAAAACTGGAGAGAGCTTGAGCCCAGGAGTTGGAAACCTGCCTGGGCAACATAGTAAGACCCCATCTTCATGACAAAAAAAAAATAATAATAATCAGCCAAGTATGGTGGCACACCTCTGTAGGCCTGGCTAGTTGGGAGGCCGAGGTGGGAGGATAACTTGAGTTTAGGAGTTCGAGGCTTCAAGTGAGCCATAATTGTGCCACTGCCATCTGGCCTGGGCAACAGAGCTAGATCCTGTGTCCAAAAACAAAACAAAACAGACCTGAAGAGAGAAAAGTAAAAATTAAACCAAATTACACTAGTTAAGATGTTGCAGCTTTCATTCTTATAAATATTTCAGATGTCCACACTAGCTCTTTCAAAATGACCTTTCGGCTGGGCACGGTGGCTCATGCCTGTAATCCCAGCACTTTGGGAGGCCAAGGTGGGTGGACCACCTGAGGTCAGGAGTTCGAGACCAGCCTGCCCAACATGGTGAAAACCCGTCTCTACTAAAAATACAAAAATTAGCCAGGTGTGGTGGTGCTCAATCGTAATCCCAGCTACTGGGGAGGCTGAGACAGAAGAATCACTTCAACCCGGGAGATGAAGGTTGCAGTGAGCCAAGATCACGCCACCAGAATGGGTGACAGAGTGACACTCTGTCTCAAAGAAAAAAAAAATGACCTTTCAAGAAAGAGGTCCTGTAACCACACTTGCATTCCTAAAGTTATTTTAAGACTTTATATATATATTCATCAATTGAAACAATTCATTAAGATACAAGGTATCCATTAAAGTGGGCTGATGGCATTACAACATAATTGGTTCATGGAACAATTGTTTACTTGCAACCAACATATTTAGTTCTAAATTAAATTCTGAGAAACCTAAAGGAAGACAAAGGACAAAGGTCAAGTTCATTTCCCTGCCTTCTGAAACCTGGTAATTTTTTTTTTTTTTTGAGACGGAGTCCCGTTCTGTCATCCAGGCTGGAGTACAGTGGCGCAATCTTTGCTCTCTGCAACCTCCGCCTCCTGGGTTCAAGCAATTCTCCTGCCTCAGCCTCCCGAGTAGCTGGGACTACAGGCGCGTGCCACCACGCCGGCTAATTTTTTGTATTTTTAGTAGAGATGGGGTTTCATGGTGTTAGCCAGGATGGTCTCTATCTCCTCACCTCGTGATCCACCCACCTCGGCCTCCCAAAGTGCTGGGATTATAGGCGTGAGCCACCATGCCCAGCCAAGACCTGGTAATTCTAATTCCTGAATTGTTTCCGGGTTCTGCAGAGTGAACAGTCTTTCTCATGAGTATATGGCTTATTCCAAGATTGCAAGGACGAATTAATATTTAGGACCTCTACTAAACTACACAATTATTTAAATAGATGCTAAAAAGCGTTTGACAAAATAGTCATTTCTGGTTTCAAACATTTTTAGTAAGCTAGGAATACAAAATGCAGCCTTAATTCACTGCAGAGATTTTTTTTTTTTTTTTTTTCCAGAGTCTCACTCTCTGTTGCCCAGGCGGGAGTGCAGTGGCGCGATCTCTGCTCACTGCAGCCTATGCCTCCCGGGTTCAAGTGATTCTCCTGCCTCAGCCTCCCGAGTAGCTGGGACTACAGGTGCACACCACAACGACCGGCTAATTTTTTTATTTTTAGTAGAGACAGGGTTTCACCATGTTGACAAGGATGGTCTCCATCTCCTGACCTTGTGATCTGCCCACCTCGGCCTCCCAAAGTGCTGGGATTACAGGCATGAGCCACCGCGCGCGGCCTAGGTGGGCTTAATTATACATAGCAACTCTCAGTGGTAGGCCTTTACCTCAACCTTGTTGCCTGAATTTCATATTGTAAATTCCCTCAATGTTTCTTCTAGCATGAAGGTGGTGATCTTCCCCAGTTTGTAGTGCAGATACCAATTCTCTTTTCTTTATTTTCTTCTTTTGCATGTCCCTTTGGCAGGAATTTTGAGGAGGGCAAAGTCAAACTCATATTCTTGCATTGGATGTATCAAGCCCAAATCTTAACTAAACTGAGTTCATATCCTGGTTCTGCCACCTACTAGCAGTGTGATTTTGAGCACATTCCTTAATTTCTTTGAGCTCAGTTTCCTCATCCATAAAAATGGACACAACAATAACATCGATCTATTAGGGTTGTTGGAAAGACTGTATGAGAGATAACATAAGAAAAGCATTTAGAGACTTAGAGCCAGGTGTGGTAACATGTGCCTGTAGTTCTAGATACTCAGCCGCTCTAGAGGCTGATGAGGGAGGACTTGAGCCTGGGAGTTCAAGTCCAGCCTGCACAACATAGCAAGATAGGTGTCTCTACCAAAAAAAAAAGTAATTAAAAAAAGCACTTAGAATAACTTAGCTTCTGATGTTGCCACTATTACTGCTGCTTCTAATAATAATAATAAATATTACTGTAATAATATTAATCTCCTTCCTAGATGTAAAAGGCTTATACATTTGGGTTAAAATTTTCTTTCAAAGAAACTTTTGTCTTCAAGGGAAATTTTGCTTATATCAAGTCTTAAGTGCTTTTCATTCTTAAAGACAAAATCATATTCCCTACATAACCTGGAAGCAACTGAGCTCACAATGAGTCATTCATTGCCATTTATTGTACCCCTACTGCGTATTAAGCACTTTTCTGGGTGCTGAATTATTAGTAGCTAAGGTAAAACACCAAACAAAAAGGGAAAGGTAACTGAACAGGTTACAAAAACAGTTTTTTGCTTTTTATGGGGACGCAAAAACTACAAAGATAAGATATGACTTGGGGAAACATGTCCCTTTAGCTAAGTATTGTGTGGAGAAAAACAGGGGTTAAGATTGTTGGTAAGAAAAACATCTGCACCATAACAAGAAGTTTCAATCCAGAACAGCTTCTAAGGAACAATTATAGTAATAAAATGTTGCAATTTTTATATGGACTGTATGATGCAAGAACTCATGTACTAAGAAGGAGGTTTTCAAGAGTGTAAAATCTAACTTGTTCAGTTACCCAACAATTTACAAGCAGAAGTCTTAAGAAATAATCCCACAAGAGGCCGGGCACGGTGGCTCACACCTGTAATCCCAGCACTTTGGGAGGCCGAGGCGGGTGGATCACCTGAGGTCAGGAGTTCGAGACCAGCCTGGCCAACATGGCAAAACCCCGTCTCTACTAAAAATACAAAATTAGCTGGGTGTGGTGGCAGATGCCTGTAATCCCAGCTACTCGGGAGGCTGAGGCAGGGGAATCACTTGAACCCAGGAGGCAGAGGTTGCAGTGAGCCGAGATTGCGCCACTGCACTCCAGCCTGGGAGACAGAGCAAGACTCCATCTAAAAAACAAACAAACAAACAAACAACGAATAAATCCCACAAGAGTCAAAACCTGTTGCCCTGTTGTTACTGTTAAGTCTCTTTTACCCTATTCTTGTTATAGATTATATGGTTTTAAGAGGCAGAGAACATTTACTATTTCTTTCCTCTTTCCTTTTTTCCTCCATCTTTCATCCTCTCCTCTTTTTTTTTTGTATCTTTTTTTGTGGTTCTAAGTGAATACATTGCAGGTGTACTTAAAAAAGCTAGTGACTGAAAATGTACTATTAGACATAGGCTGGGCGTGGTGGCCCATGCCTGTAATCCCAACAATTTGGGAGGCTGAGGCAGGCAGATCACTGTAGCCCAGGAGTTTCAGACCAGCCTGGGCAACATTGGCAAAACTCTGTTCTCTACTAAAAATACAAAAAATTAGCTGGGCGTGGTAGCATGCACCTGTAGTCCCATCTACTCAGGGGGCTGAGGTCGGAGGATCGCCTGAGCTCAGGAAGTTGAGGCTGCAGTGAGCCGAGATCACGCCACTGCACTCCCGCCTGCACAATAAAGTGAGATCCTGCCTCAAAAAATAAAAAGAAAAATATACTATCAGACATCAAACAATAAAATATATTTATACCCCAAAGCCCAGCAACTTTGGGAGTAAGCTTTTAATCCTTTAAAGGCCAAGACATACCCTGGCACTTAGGTGTAACTGCATTGACAAAGCAATTTCATAGTCTGTGTCTGATCCAACTAAGGAAATTCTCTAAAGTCTTTGCTCAAATTATACATTTAAAAACAATTATTTCAATTCTTTCCTGTATCTACTGAGAGAATGAAGACCATTCTTGGCAATCAGACTATTGACATTCCAGAAAATGCAGACATCACTCTGAAAGGATGCACAGTTATTTTGAAGAGCCCCAGAGGAAGTTAGGGAGGGACTTCAATTACATCAATGTAGGATGCATTCTCCTTGGAAAAGAAGAGGCGCTAGGTTGACAAATGATTGGGAAATAGAAAGGAAGTGGCTACTGCTTGCACTATTTGTAATCATGTACAGAACATTATCAAGGGTGTTACACTGGGCTTCCATTACAAGATGAGGTCTGTGCATACTCCTTTCCCCATCAACTTAGTTATCCAGGAGCATGGGTCTCTTGATAAAATCCAAAATTTCTTGGGTGAAAAATACATCTGGATGGTTTAGATAAGGCCGGGTGTTGCTTATTAAGTTATCTTAAGTCCAGAAAAATGTATTAATCCTTGAAGGAAATGACATTGAGTTTGTTTCAAATTCAACTGCTTTGATTTAGCAATCCACAACAGTTAAAAACAAAGATAACAGAAAACTTTCAGATGATCTGTATGTCACTGAAAAAGGAACAGTTTAGCAGGCTGATGAATAAGATCTAAGAGTTGTCCAGCTACAGCAACAAGATACTGTATGGTTGATAAGACCTGTTTGTGATATTTTAATGATGCATTAAAATACCTCTATTACAGCTGGGCTTGGTGATGCATGCCTGTAGTCTCAGCTATGCAAGAGGCTGAGGCGAGAGGACCATTTGAGCCCAGGAGGTTGAGGCTGCAGTGAGCCGTGATCCCACCACTGCACTCCAGCTTGGGCAACAGAGTGAGACTCTGTCTCAAAAAACAAAAACAAACAAACAAAATCCCCAAAAACAATTATTTTAGTATGTAACACATATATGTGGTAAACAACTAAGAAGGTGTCAAAGAGTATTTTTAAGTCTTCCTCCATCCCCGTCCTCCCACCTACCACAACCCCATTCCTAGAAGTAATCACTATGCCAGTTCCCAAGGAATCCTTTCAGGATTATTCTGTGTACATACAAGCATTGTGTGTGTAGATGTTCTTTCTCCAAAATACACAAATGAAAGCACACTGCACCTATTTTTCTGCCCTTGCCTTTTAAACTTAGTATCTTTGTTTCACTATTTTTTAAAAACTACATAACATAAAAAATAACATAACATAAAATTTACCCATGATTCAATTACCTCCTACCGGGTCCCTCCCACAACATGTCGGAATTCAAGATTTGGGTGGGGATGCAGCCAAACCATATCATTCCACCCCTGGCCCCTCCCAAATCTCATGTCCTCACATTTCAAAACCAATCATGCCTTCCCAAGAGTCCCCCAAAGTCTTAACTCATTTCAGCATTCTACTGGTACCAATTTACTGTATTAGTCTGTTTTCACGCTGCTGACAAAGACATACCCGAAACTGGGCAATTTACATAGAAAGAGGTTTAATTGGGCTTACAGTTCCACATGGCTGGGGAAGCCTCACAATCATGGCAGAAGGCAAGGAAGAGCAAGTCACATCTTACATGGATGGCAGCAGGTAAAGAGAGAGCTTGTGTGGGGAACTCCTTTCTTTAAAACCATCAGATCTCAGGAGACTTATTCACTATCATGAGAACAGCACGGGAAAGACTTGCCTCATGATTCAGTTACCTCCCACCAGAGTTTCCCTTCTACAACACGTGGGAATTCAAGATGAGATTTGGGTGGGGACACAGTCAAACCATATCAACCATCTTAACTGATTTTTTTGAGACAGAGTCTTGCTGTCACCCAGGCTGAAGTACAGTGGCATGATCATGGCTCACTGAAGCCTGGACCTCTCAGGCTCAAGCGATCCTCCCATCTCAGCCTCCCTAGTTGCTGGGACTAAAAATTACCACACCCAGGTAATTTTTAAAATTTTTCTGTAGAGATGGGGTCTCACTATGTTTCCCAGAAAGGCTGCAAACTCCTGGGCTCAAACAATCCTCCTGCCTTGGCCTCCCAAAGTGTTGGCATAAGCCATCACACCCGGCCCCATCTTAACTATTGTTAACTGTACAGTTCAGTATATTCACACTGTTGTATAGTCAATCTCTAAAGCTTTTTCATCTCAAAAAACTGAATCTATATCCACCAAACAACTCTTCATTTCCCCCTATTCCAACCCTTAGCAACTACCACTCACTTTGTTTCTATGAGTTTTGACTTGTCTAGATAATTCATGTAAGTGGAATCATACACTGTTTGTCTTTGACTGAGTTATCTTACTTAGCATAAGGTCCTCAAGATACATGCATGTTGTAGCATGTGTCAGAATTTCCTTCCTAAGTCTGAATAATATTCTATTGCACACATATGGCATTTTGTTTATCCATTCATCTGTTAAGACATTCATTTCATTGTTTCTGATTGCTGCAAATATTTCATTGCAGAGATATCCCATGATTCAGTTAATCAGCCTCCTACTAATAGATTCAAGTTACTTACAATTAAACTCATTTTCTAATATGCTATAACAAATTACCACAAACTCGATGGCTTAAACAACATACATTTATTATTTTACAGTCTAGAGGCAAGGAGTCCTAAAATCAAACAGGTGGCAGACCTGTGTTCCTTCTGCAGGATCTAGGGGAATGTTACAGGCTAAATTGTGTCCCCTAAAATTCACATGTTTAAGTTTCAATCCCCAGTATCTCAGAATGTGGTTGTATTTGGAAACGGAGCCTTTAAAGAGTAATCAAGTTAAAATGAGGTTTAGTAACCTAGGGGTGGTTCCAATATGGGTAGGCCCTAATCCAATATAGGTGGGCCCTAATCCAATATGACTCATATTCTCATGAAAAGAGATTAGGGCCACATGTAGTGGCTCATGCCTATAATCCCAGCACTTTGAGAGGCCAAGGCAAGAGAATCACTTGAGGCCAGGAGATCGAGACCAGCCTGAGCAACATAGCAAGATGCCATCTCTACAAAAAAATAAAAACAAAATAGCTGGGCATGCCTGTCGCCCTAACTACTCGGGAGGCTGAGGCAGAAGGATTGCTTGAGCCCAGCAGTTCAAGTTTACAGTGAGCTATGATCACACCACTGCATTTTAGCCTAGATGGCAGAGCAAGACCCTGTCTCAAAAAAAAATAAATAAATAAAATAGAAAAAGAGAAGAGATTAGGACACAGATACACCCAGAGGAAAGACCATGTGAAAACAGAGGGAGAGGACAGCCTTCTACAGGCCAAGAAGGTCAGCCTCAGAAGAAATCAACACATTGCCAACACATTGATCTTTGACTTTCAGCCTCCAAAACTATGAGAAAATAAATATTTGTTATTTAAGTGATCAGTCTGTTTAAATGGCTTATACTTGTTATGGTAGCCCTAACTATTTTTAGGAGAATCAATTTCTTTGCCTTTTCTAGCATCTAGTGGCTATCTGCATTCTTTGGCTCATGGCTCCCTTCCTCTATCTTCAATATCGGTAAAGGTGGGTTGAGTTCTCTTAACGCATCAATCTGACCTCCTTTCCTGGGTTCCTCTTACACTTTTTTTTCTTTCTCTTTTTTTAACTTTTAAGTTCCTGGGTATATATGCAGGTTTGTTATATGAATAAACTCATGTCACAGGGGTTTGCTTTATAGATTATTTCATCATCCAGGTATTAAACCTAGGACTCATTAGTTATTTTTCCTGATCCCCTCCTTCTTTGCACCCTCCACTCTCTGGTAGGCCCTGGTGTCTGTGTTCCCCTCTATGTGTCCATGTGTTCTCATCATTTAGCTCCCACTTATAAGAACATGCGGTATTTGGTTTTCTGTTCCCATGTTAGTTTGCTAAGGGTAACAGCATCCAGCTCCATCCATGTTCCTGCAAAGGACATAATCTTGTTCTTTTTTATGGCTGCATAGTATTTCGTAGTGTATATGTACCACATTTTCTTTATCCAGTCTATCATCGATGGGCATTTAGGCTGATTCCATGTCTTTGCTGTTGTAAATAGGGCTGCAATGAACATACACATGCATGTGTCATTATGATGGAATGATTTATATTCCTTTGGGTATATATCCAGTAAGGGGATTGTTGGGTCGAATGGTAGCTCTGTTTTTTTGTTTTTGTTTTTTTGAGATGGAGTTTCGCTCTTGTTTTCCAGGCTGGAGTGCAATGGCACGACCTTGGCTCACTGCAACCTCCACCTCCTGAGTTCAAGCGATTCTCCTGCCTCAACCTCCTGAGTAGCTGGGATTACAGGTGCCCACCACCAAGCCCAGCTAATTTTTTGTATTTTTAGTAGAGATAGGGTTTCACCATGTTGACCAGGCTGGTTTTGAACTCCTGACCTCAGGTGATCCACCAGCCTTGGCCTCTCAAAGTGCTGGGATTATAGGCGTGAGTCAGCATGCCGGCGGTAATTCTGTTTTTAGCTCTTTGAGGAATTGCCACACTGCTTTCCACAATGGTTGAACTAATTTACACTCCCACTAACAGTGTATAAGCATTCCATTTTCTCCACAATCTCCTCAGCATTTGTTATTTTTTGACTTTTAATAATAGCCATTCTGACTGCTGTGAGATGGTATCTCACTATGGTTTTGATTTGCATTTCTCTAATGATCAGTGATGTTGAGCTTTTTTTCATATGATTGTTGGCAACATGTACTTCTTCTTTTGAAAAGCGTCTCTTCATGGCCTTTGCCCACTTTTTTTTTTTTTTTTTTTTGAGACAGAGTCTCACTCTATCACCCAGGATGGAGTACAGTGGTGCAATCTCAGCTCATTGCAACCTCTGCATCCTGGGTTCAAGCAATTCTCTTGCTTCAGCCACCGCGATTACAGGAGGGTCCCACCATGCCCAGCTAATTTTTGTATTTTTAGTATGGACAAGGTTTCGCCATGTTGGCCAGGCTAGTCATGAACTCCTGACCTCAAGTGATCCACCTGCCTCGGCCTCCCAAAGTGCTGGGATTACAGGCATGAGCTACTGTGCTCAGTCTCCTTTGCCCACTTTTTTTCTTTTTTTTTTTTGAGACAGAGTCTCGCTCTGTCCCCCAGGCTAGAGTGCAGTGGCATGATCTCAGTTCACTGCAACATACACCTCCCAGGTTCAAGCAATTCTCGTGCTTCAGCCTCCCAAGTAGCTGGGATTACAAGCGTGTGCCATGACGCCCGGCTAATTTTTGTATTTTTAGTAGAGACAGGTTTCACCATGTTGGCCAGGCCACTCTTGAACTCCTGACCTCAAGTGATCCTCCCATCTCAGCCTCCCAAAGTACTGGGATTACAGGTGTGAGCCACCGTGTCCAGCCCTTTGGCCCACTTTTAAATGGAGTTTTTTGTTTTTTTTTCTTGTATATCTGTTTAAGTTCCTTATAGATGCTGGATATCAGACCTCTGTCAGATGCATAGTTTGTAAACATTTTCTCCCATTCTACAGGTTGTCTGTTCACTCTGTTGATAGTTTCTTTTGCTGTGCAGAAGCTCTTTAGTTTAATTAGAGTCAACTAGTCAACTTTTACTTCTTTGCAATTGCTTTTGGCATCTGTGTCATAAAATCTTTGCCTGTTCCTATGTCCAGAATGGTACTGCCTAGGTTGTCTTCTAGGGTTTTTATAGTTTTGGGTGTCCCTCTTCTACTTTAACAGCCTTTGTGACTGATTATGTTGCATCCTGCCCCGATAATCCAGGGTAATCTTCCTATTTTAAAGTTATATATGATCAGCAACCTTAATTTCTCGTTTACTATGTTAAGATAACATATTTACAGGTTCACAGCTGATTAGAATGAGGACTCTACTGGAGGCCATTATTCTGCCCACCACCATAATCTTCTTCTTTTTTTTTTCTTGAGACGGTCTTGCTGTGCTGTCCAGGCTAGAGTGCAGTGGTGCGATCTCGGCTCACTGCAACCTTCCACTGCCGGGTTCAAGAGATTCTCCTGCCTTAGCCTCCCAAGTAGCTGGGACTACAGGCACCCGCCACCATGCTCGGCTTTGTATTTTTAGTAGAGATGAGGTTTCACTATGTTAGCCAGGCTGGTCTTGAACTCCTGACCTCATGATCCGCCCACCTGGGCCTCCCAAAGTGCTACAGGCATGAGCCACTGTGCCTGGCCCATAATCTTCGTCTTTGAAGGCTTTACTGGGGGGAAACAATTGTTTTCTAGAATCCAGTGTTTACACCAATAAACTGGGAAGCAAAAAATTAATTAAGTACAATGGGAAATACAACACTATAGTTATATACTTTGCACATAAAGAGGATCGCAAAAACTTAATATCAGCCACAGAATGTTTGAAATAGCTTTTTCTGGAGAGGTGATGATTTGGATTTAATCCACTCATAGTATTTTACATAGGCTTTTTTCGTGATAAATGGTACAGATTTGCAAATTGTCTAGTATTAGGGATACAATCTGTGGTTACTGAATTTAACTGAGTCAATTTGAAAATTTAAATCAGGATAAATTGACTGGTTCCTTCTTCCAGGCATCCACAGTTCCTTGTGCACACATTTTCTAACTCTTAACTCACTACTGTAATTATTGCTATACAGGTTCTTTATCCCCCTCTGGACTATGAGCTTCTCAACTTGTACTGCCAGGGCCTGGCACACAGTAAACATTCAATAAATGTTCAATGAATCAGTGACTTAGTATTAGTTGTTGCAATTCTTCCTTGTTGCTATAAAAATAACACAACTTGAAGATAAGTTATAATCTTTGTATGTAGGTATAATTAAGAGACCAACAGTCTTCACTCCCCTGAACACATGATATTTGTTCCTTAATAGTAATAGTAGCAACAGCTCCTACTGGAAGAGCCGTTACATGAAACACTGCCTCCCTTGGGCTCCAGATCAACATGGAAGCTTTAAGCCAAAAGAGCATCTTCATTTCTCAGAGCCTCTTAGCAGCTTGGCCTGTCAGTGGCTAAGAGAGTCAAGATACTCATGCCACATTACTCCCTAACTCTGGCCTGCAATTAGCCTATTTCATTTGCAAAGGTATTGCTGCTCTTCACTCATTGCACGTAACACACAACTGTGTTATGGTAAGTATCATAGGCTTGTTTCTCCTCTCACTGTGCCCTTTAGAAGGAACACATCTCTCAGTCCAAATCTCACCCATCCTTCAAAGCACCAGTCAAATCCCAGAATTTCAGGAGGCTTCAAAATGATTACTTCAGCCCCACTGAAGTAGGAGATCCCTTCTGAACCTTCCTTATGTAGGCAGGGGTTGGCAAACTATAGCCTGTGGGCCAAATGTGGCCCATGGTCTGTTTTTATACAGCCAGCAAGCTAAGAATGGCTTTTGCATTTTAAAAAGGATTGTTTTTTTTTTAAAAAAAAGGACAAAGAATGTGCAACAGAGACCATATGTGGCTTTTGGCATCTTTAGGGGAGGCCTGAAATATTTACTAACTGGTCCTTAACAACAACAACAAAAAAAGATTGCCAACTCCTGGCCTAGAGCACACAATTCAGCCTAATGATAAATTGCCCAGAACTGTTCTCTAATCTGTGCAGTCTTGTCTCCCTGTGGCTTCTGTTTCTGTTGTCTACCCAACAGTCATCTCTAACCTCTTTTACCTACCAGTCCAGTACTCAGGCTAACAATGCCAAGTACCTGCCTTTTCAGCTTAGCCTCCCTGAAGCCCAGAACAGTCATACATCTTAATACTGGTCTTCAAGGCTTGAGGACAAGTCTGCTGTGGCTTGTGGGAAAAGTTTTCCACCATGACAAAGGAGATTTGAGAAAACAAACTGCCCTTTCTATGCCTTTGGATGCAGTTATGCAGATTTGATATCTAGAGCTGTGACAGCCATTTTGTGACCTCAAAAAGAGAGGCCCAAGGACAAAAGGAAGCAAGTTAAAGATGGTAGAGCAGACAGACAGAACTCAGAACCTTGACAACTGCATTAATCACTGTATCAAGTCTATAATTGCCTTGCTCCTGGCCTTCTCATCTTAAACATTATCTCACTTTTAATATGGTATTCTGGTACTTCAAAAGAAAGAATCCTAAATCTATAAGTAGATTTTGTGTGCTTGGAGAGTAAGTCCCACATCTTCTATGTCTGCACTTCTACAGATGCACAGGGGTGTAATTGTTGGGATCCAATTATTTTACGAGTAATTACTTTGGATAAAATTTATCACCCTTAAACTTTGAAAAGATTCCTGAGTGTACAAAAGCAACTGAGGATGCCAGCTTCTATGAAAGTAACTTTGATGGACAGCTACCATAGGTAAAGCATTTCAGATTTCTTATCTCATTCAATACTAGGCTGGGCGCGGTGGCTCACGCCTGTACCCCTGCACTTTGGGAGGCCGAGGTGGGTGGATCACCTGAGGTCAGGAGTTTAAGACCAGCCTGGCCACCATGATGAAACCCCATCTCTATTAAAAATACAAAAAATTAGCTGGGCGTGATGGCAGGCGCCTGTAATCTCAGCTACTCAGGAGGCTGAGGTAGGAGAATTGCTTGAACCCAGGAGGCAGAGGTTGCAGTGAGCCAAGATTGCGCCATTGCACTCCAGCCTGGGCAACAACAGCAAAACTCCATCTAAATAAATAAATAAATAAATAAATAAATAAATAGATAGATAGATTAAAAAAATACTAAAAGAACCCAGTAAGGTTACACACTCCAAATTCATATAAATGAAGTCTAAGTGGTAGAGTAGAGATTTTAATTCAGGTCTCTTATAGATATACTCATACTTTTTCACAATATCTCTCCTTGTCTTTCTAAGTCTTCTATTGCAACTAACGGTGATAAGATTTAAAGATTTTGCTTATCATTCTTTGAATGTTCACTTGATCACATCTCAGATCCCATACAAATGCCACATTACTTGTAGTTGCAAATTCACACCCTCACACAGAGATAATCTGAATACTTACTAAAAAAAAAAAAAAAGAAACAACGCTGTCATCTCCTTGAGGTAGTTTTGTTTGTTTTTTGTTTTTGAATTTTTTCCCTTCTCTTTTTCTAATATAATCAGCTTCCCTAAAAGGGCATGTTTCTGAAATGAGAGAAAAAAATCCTCTAAGCAGTGATTCTCAGTGTGGTCTCCAGACCAGCAGAATCACCTGACAACTTGCTAGAAATGCAAATTCTTGGGCCCCACCCCTGATCTACCAAATAAAAATCTAGTGTAGTGCCCAGAAATGTGTTTTTCACAAGCCCTCCAGGTAATTCAGATATAAATTAAAGTTTCAGAGCCACTGGTCCAAAGTATTTGCTTCTGTATATAGCACTTAAATCACTGCATTAAAACTAGAATGGTGGAATCATATCACTCCTATGAAAACAGTTAAGCAGTGGGTTTCCAAATTCCAATGACTTCTCCAGGCACTGAAGAAACAGTTTCTCTACAACCAAATTGAAATAAGAGATAAATGTCTTCTCTATTATACATATTTGACTCAGATACAAAAACAGACTTAATATTCTAAAATGGTAAGTCTACAATTAAAAGAAGTGTAAAGTAATTTCTGCAACTTAAGATTGATACAGCACAACAATTAAATCACTGCAGCTGTGTGGAGAGATAACATTTATTTTAACATCAGAGCTTGGAGGGAAGAAAGAGAATCAGCAGTTTAAACTCAATTTGGAAATTAGAGATCCCCAGCAGGAAAGCTTTACAACCCAGTTTCCTATCCAGTCTATAAAATAAAGAGGGAGGACTTGGGATTCAACCTCTTCCTGGCAGATAATTTGCTGAGAGTAAAAATGCACTGTATCATTTGTCAGGGCTCTAAGGAACTTCTAACCCTAGTTTAAGGAAGAATCATGGATACCAAGAATAAATCACAAATACTCTAAAAAATCATTCCTTGAAGGGGAAGAAGACTTTGCTGACCTTAATTCCTATCACAGATTTCACTGAACCCAAATGGGGTTTGGTTTCATTAATTTAACCTATAAAAGACAGAAATAGTTGAAGCTGCAGAGAAAATAGCAATGGAACCTGAAACAAAGTCTAATTGTGATTAATTAAAAATTAGTGTCTTCTAAAGACTACCAGAAGATGAAGAACAATAAATTTACAAATATCAGAAATGAGGGAGCAGGCTGGGCATGGAGGCTCACGCCTGTTATCTCAGCACTTTGGGAGGCTGAGGCGGGCGGATTACCTGAGGTCAGGAGTTCGAGACCAGCCTGGTCAACATGGTGAAACCCTGTCTCCACTAAAAATACAAAAAATTAGCCAGGCATGGTGGTGGGTGCCTTGCAGTCCCAGCTACTCAGGAGGCTGAGGCAGGAGAATCGCTTGAACCCAGGAGGCGGAGGCTTCAGTAAGCCTAGATCGTGCCACTGTATTCCAGCCTGGGTGGCAGAGTGAAACTCCATCTCAAAAAAAAAAAAAAAAGAAAGAAAAGAAATAAGGGAGCAAAGGAGACTATATGCTGGAAGAATTTGAAACCAGTTTAGAAAAATCAATTAACTGAAAACAAGCAGTACAAAGATCATTTAGAAATTTATGTGTAGATATTGAATTATGTTTTCTCACAGAAACATTCCTAACTAATGCTTGGATTCCTAAACTAGCAACTGATAGCAAAACTACCAAAAGCAAAGTGGGGTTATCTCCAGTGAGATGCAAAAGCAGTCATTCATATGTACAAGTTATTCGGTTTACATAGAGGGCTGCTACTTGTATTTGATCAACACCTATATAGTGCAAAATGCACACCAAGTTAGGTACTATGACAGATTCTGAGAAGTAATCATCCACAAAAAACAACAAGTTAATAAACAAGTTTATACAGACAGGGAAAAGCCAAGGAGCCAGAGGTAGATGTTCACTCCTGTCTGAAAACCCATGAAAAGAACAATGAGAAAAAAATGGCAACAGCATCTCAGAACTTCTAGACCTAGAATATCAGGGCACAAAAGAGAAGCTCTTGGAGTTATGTGTCTAGTTGCTAATTAAATGGCTGAGGAGAACTGAAATGGAAATTCATAGAGAGGCTGGTTTCTCTCTCCTTAGGCAAACCAAATATTCTATTATTTTCCATTTTGGGTTAGGCTTCTGCTATTAAGTTAGCTGCTGATTTCCCTCCTGTTCTGTGTAGTTTTATTTATTTTATTTTTATTTTTAGAGACAAGGTCTCGCTCTGTTGCCCAGGCTGGAGTGCAGTAGTGCCATATCGGCTCACTTCAAACTCCATCACCAGGGCTCACACGATCCTTCCATCTCAGTCTCCTGAGTAGCTGAAACTACAGGCCATGTGCCACCACGCCCAGCTAATTTTTTGATTTTTTTTTTTTTGGTAGAAATGGGGTCTCCCTGTTGCCCAGGCTGATTTCAAACTCCTCGGCTCAAGTGATCTTCCTGCTCCCTCCCAAAGTGCTGGGATTACAGGCATAAGCCAACATATCCAGCCCTGTGTAGGAGTTTTTAAAAGATCAGTCCTGTTAACTTCATGAGGTAACAGCAGGCTGGCAAAACAAGGAGATACTGCAAGGTTAACTCTGTGTGTGCTGAAAGCATGCAATTCTTTTGACCTCCATTCACTTGTAAATCACCTTACATATTAGTTTTACAGTCTTTAAAACTGTAGCATTCTAGTTATTTATTTCTCTCCTCAGACCAATATATGAGAGCTATCTGTGGTTTAAATACAACCATCAACTTCCCCCAGCCCCTGCCACAAAAACACTTAACAAAAAAAATCTGTGTAGCTTGATTTGGGACCTGGACTATGAAAGTAAATTAGGTTTTAGAGATGCTAACGTGTGTATCAGGTAGTATGATCACTGTATGTGTGCAAAGAGGTGGAGTTCTGTTATTTCCTTACAGAATGAAGGTTTGAACAGCAAAAGGCAGATATTTTAGAGAAACTAAGCAACTTCAGAAAGGCATCTGAAGAAAAGAAGACACTGAGTAAGAAAGGAGGGAAAAGCATCCCTTGAACATTTGTCTGGGGATGTATGCCAGGAAAGAAAGACAAGTGCAGAAAGATCGCTGTTACTTAGAATGCTGAGACTACAAAGTTAGGTGTCAGATGATTGTGAAAAGAGCCTATTTCCTCGCAAGTAAAGAGCTCTATTCCTTCTTTAATAAATAAGAGAACTGAAAGATTTAGCTCTAGTATTAGAAGAGGAACCTAGATTGATATCAAGGAAGGCTAGAGATACCTAAAATTAAGAACTACCAGGCTGAACTGGGGGTAAAGTGAGTGATGGTCTTATATTTGCAATTAATTTCCTATATAGCATTCTGACCACAAGATGTCCTCACACTGTAACAAGGTCATTTTGTATTCTAATTGATTAAGTGCACTATGATGAGAGAAGCTGCCTAGAAGGAGCTAAGTGAAAGCTTGTAAACCTCAGGTATAATCTTTCAAAGAGATTCATTCCCTATTCTTTGGAGAAACAGTTATACCAATGATTAAAACTCTCTGAGAAGAATATCACCTGAATAACTCTCTAGGGCTCTTCTTCCCTGATCTAAACCCTTGACATGTACTAAAAACTCAGTTAATTTTGGGTACAGCAGAGGTAGTACCTACCCCTCAAGATCCTTGAATCCATAAAATTGTTAAAGATGAGAGAAGCCCAATTACACATTTTGTCCTAGTCTGCCTTTCTTCTCGGTCACCCACAGTTCAGTAGCCAACACCATAGGGAGGTTGCCAAGCGCCTTGGGGGAACCCTCATGGAGGCAGAAGACAAGGTGCTCACATAAAATTCAGTTCCCGGCTGGGTGCGGTGTCTCATGCCTGTAATCCTAGCAGTTTGGGAGGCCGAGGCGGGCAGATTGCCTGAACTCAGGAGTTCGAGATGAGCCTGGGCAACAAGGTGAAACCCCATCTCTACTAAAATACAAAAAATTAGCTGGGCGTGGCAGCTTGTGCCTGTAGTCCCAGCCACTTGGGAGGCTGAGGCAGGAGAATTGCTTGAACCCAGGAGGCAGAGGTTGCAGTGAGCTGAGATCGTGCCACTGCACTCCAGGCTGGTCGACAGAGCAAGACTCCACCTCAAAAAAAAAAAAAAAAACTCAGTTCCCACCAGGAAATTCTTGGAAGAAGCCCTGTCGAATATTGGTCATGGGCCTGCAGAATCCTCCCCGTTCCCTTGGATGGGGAGAAAAATTGGCAGACTTTTCAGTCCCTCTCATCCAGCATCATGGAAAATAACCTAGAAAAGTGGGACTTTATAGAATGCTAATAGAGGTAGCTCAGAGCTGATTACAGGTTGAGCAATGTCAGGAAATAAGTAAAGGGATAAGAGTAGAAGTGTTTCAAAAGATTCTAGCCATAAAATAGCAATGCCCCAGAGCCAGAGAACAGAGGAGTGAGAGTGTCTAAAAAGAGATGTTTCTCAAAGAAATGAACATTTCTCTAAACTAGTTTCCATCTTAGGAAAAGGATTTTGGAGATGAATTCAGAAATTGCTTCAACGGACAGAGATTCTAGAGAGATGGTCAATACAAGGGGTCTTACCTACTAAACCATAATTGGGAGGTGTCATGAGAACCACTGGGGTGAGAAACTCCCAAAAGCTAAAGGAGGATCTTAGTAATCTAGGGACTTCAGTAATCAAGGAATGCCTCCTACAATCAAGAGTGTTGGTTGCCCGAAATCCAAGCCAACCATAACTTAAAGAGCAGCTTGCTGGTGAGCGGAAGCTCAACTTTGAGGTAGGGCTTCAGAGATAGCCACAAGGCTGTCCCCTTGTAGTGTCCCTTGCCTAGGATGCTTTGTGTCTTTATGGAGGCCAAAGAGAAACACCTTGGGTCTCTAAGCTTTAGGCCAAAGGGAAGATTCAGGACAAGAATTTAGCCCTAACTAACAAAAGCAAGAGACTAGAGACCCAAAATAGGAGAGCATCAAGGAAGAAATGAAAGATCGGGGAACTGCCAAGTCATAGGGAAGAATTACCCTGCCCAGGGCAAGAGATTAGCAGAGACCCTTGTGAATAAGACCCCCTGATTATTGCCAAAGAAAAGAGTTCCTCTGAAAAGAAAATTGCAGGAAAGAATAAGCTGCTTTTGACAACGGCTTTTTCTCATAAACCATATGAAGTGCAGGAAGGTCGCCTGCAGAAATCAGTCTGTGTTGATCTCTGCACAGAGTGCAGGCCCAGTTGAAATCAGAACTCTCCTCATAGGCAGTAGGAATAGATACTAAATCATAGGTGTTTATGATAGTCATTGGCCTGATCCTAGAAAAAAACCTGGAGTTTAGGCATGGACTTCTTGCATGGGATATTGGTCGGTACTATTTTTTTTTTCAGGTTTGGTTTTAGGATAGGACCTTGGGTCCCATCCTAGCTTTATGTCTATTAAAAATAAAACTATTCCCTTTGGGCCCGCAATTCTATTTCTAGGAATTGATTATAATTATGTTAAATGACATTTTCCCAATGTTACTCATTGCAGCATTTATTATAATAACGATATCCTGGAGACTGGTTAAATACATTATGGTGTATCTATATAATGGAATATTATCTGAAATAAATAAAAACAAGGAAGTTTTTGATGTACTAATATGGAAATATTTCTAAAGCAGAATAGGTAAAAAAAAAAAAAGCAAAATATGCAATATTGTATATAGTATGTCACCATTAGTGTAAAAGAGAAGAATGTGTGTGTGTATGCTTGCATGTCTATGCATGCAAAGAGACAAAGAAAACTATTAATATTGTTTGTGAAGAGGAGAACTGGATGGCCAGGGTACGAAAGTAGAGGATGACTTCATTATATACCCTTTATGAGGTTTTGACTTTTGAACTTTGTAAATGTCTTACCTAGTTTAAAAAATTAAACAAAAATAAATTTTAAAATCGAATAATAACAAAAGAACGTCTTTAGCCTTTTAGCAGTAAGCAAGTCCCAGGAAAAACCAGATTTGATTAAACTCTGACATGTGAGTGAGGATACTGACAAGTGTCACACAGGCATCTACTGGGGTCTGTGTGAACTTGTTTGGAGATCTGGAATACTGATACCATAAATCTAAAATCTGTACATGAAATCATTCAGACACTGATTTAGCAAATTTCTACTGAACTACCATGCCTTCATTGTCTATTTGATAAAAATAAGAGTTTTCTCTTAGAGTTTTTCTCTTCATAATCTGTAATTTCTACCTCAATACAAAACAAACAGGCTTTCTTTTAGATGGATATGATACAATTGAAGTCTGCACACCCCAAAGGTCAGAATGGAATCTTTCATGAGTAAACTCTAATTGCAGACAAAGACTCTTCTATATATGACAACATCATACAGGGCCAACTGAAGCAGTACTAAGACTTTTTGAAGTTGTTATATTCCCTTAAGCATTTCTAAAACTTTTCACATGAGAAAGTAAGGAAGCAAAATATGGTATTTTTGGAATGAAACTCTGGCTAACAGGGTTATGGGGCATCTGAGAAGTCACGGGATAGGTCTAACTTTCTCAGAGGGGAGGCTGCAATTGTTTTTTTTTTTCTCTTTATTTCCAACATCTGCTCTTAAAATTAGTTCTGCACAAATGTTTGCAGATACAGAGCAGCTGGCAGTCTTGCCTGCATTTTGCCCATTGGTGGATTGTAAGGAAGTCACTGAAGTAGGGCTATTGAATTTTCCATTTCTGTTCCAGTGTTTTCAGAGAACTGGCAAATTTATGTTCTGGAACATTGGACTCAGAATGTTAACATCCTACTGAATACTGTTTAGAGCTTGAGATATTCATAGCAGAATTGTAAGTTTACATCTAATCTCTCAAGACAACAAGATTTGAAAATATACTCTCTTGCAGCCATTTGTAGGCAATTCTTTTTCATGTCAGTGTGGAATAAAGATACACTGTTCTATTTATATTAGTGCTTTCTGATTCATTTGATTTTTTAAAATAAATAAGAAAATAAATCATAAAAATAAACATGCCCTACTTAATTAATAAAAAATGCAAAATAAAACAAGCTCCACTTTCATCTTTCAGACTGGCAAAGATAAGAGATTATAAATGTTTCCAAACCTGGGAAAAGTGAAAGAGGAACTCTCACATACTAATGGCTGGGAGTGTAAAATAGTAAAATTTTTCTGAAAGTAATATGACATTGTGTCAAAAATCTTAAAGATGTTCATGACCTATTAGTCGATTACAGAATTTAAAGAAATAGAGAGGTGTATAAATATTTATACAAAAATATTCCCTATTTTTTCTTATATTACATATATCAGCTCAAATGTTCAACAACAGATGAATAATTACATTGTAGAACACTGAAATGAGTTACTGTCCTTAATACAACATAGGGAACTCTTATTTCAGCCAAATCCTTTAATAAGCCTGATTGATTTTGTTAAATGGAAAAACACTGGTGGAAAGCAGTTGTCTATTAGACATTATGATTGCTCTTTGTTTTCAAAGTTATTAAAGGGTTAAATTGTTTCTTTTGTATTATGCACATGTTTGTTTTTAAACTAACTCCAGCTCTAATTCTTGAAAATGGAGAGTTTACAGCTTTCAATTTGTTTTACAATCCCATGGAATTGGTGACTATTATTAATATTACTCAGTGGCCATAACAGCACAGTATAACATCAACATGAACTCTTGGCTCCCATTCAAGAATCAAAATAGTAATATTAAAAAGAGTGTATATCCCTATTCCTAGAGACTACATTAACAAAGAAAGAAATCTCCCTCCCTCCCAAAAGAGAATAATGATATTTACAAAAGGTTAAGTGGGTACAGGAACAATAACTAAAGAAGGCAGAGAAGTCCTGGCATGGTGGCTTACGCCTATAATCCCAGCACTTTGGGAGGCTAAGGCGGGAAGACAGCTTCAGGCCAGGAGTTTTAGACCTGCCTTAGCAACACAGCAAGACCCCCATCTCTACAAAAATAAAAAATAAAAATAAAAAAAAGGCAGAGGAGCTAGCGGTCTCGTAACAAGGTGCTATGGAGTACAAGAGGAGGGCTTATAGGTGGATATTCCTGGTAGTGTAAAAAGTATTCTGGGGGCCGGGTGGGGTGGCTCACGCCTGTAATTCCAGCACTTTGGGAGGCGAGGCAGGTGGATAGCTTGAGTCCAAGAGTTCGAGACCAGCCTGGACAGCATGGTGAAACCCCATCTCTACTAAAAACACAAACATTAGCTGGGCGTGGTGCCGCGTGCCTATAATCCCAGCTACTCAGGAGGCTGAGGCATAAGAATCACTTGAACCGGGGAGGCAAAGACTGCAGTGAGCCGAGATCACACCACTGCACTCCAGCCTGGGCAACAGAGTGAAACTTGGTCTCAAAAAAAAAAAAAGTATTTTTTGGTACAGTAAGGTGAAAGTAATAGAACTCTGAAGTGCTTCATGTTAGAAAGAATAATTTTTAAAATTAACTTTGGTGAGTTTTAGAGCTACGGAGTTAACAAGGCAAGCAAGCCAACCTGCAAGCAAAACAAAATATCCACAGTTACTTACGGGTTACCTAAAAAGCCAAGAGAAATGGAATTGGGTAGGATTGGTTTTAATATGACTTTTAAAACAAAAAATCTTTAAGATGTACATCTAGCTCAAAAATCTCCAAAGAGGCCGGGCGCAGTGGCTCACACCTGTAATCCCAGCACTTTGGGAGGCTGAGGCAGTAGATCACCTGAGGTCAGGAGTTCGAGACCAGTCTAGCCAACATGGCGAAACCCCATCTCTACTAAAAATACAAAAACTAGCCGGGCATGGTGGTGCACGCCTGTAATCCCAGCTGCTCGGGAGGCTGAGGCGGGAGAATCACTTGAACCCGGGAGGTGGAGGCTGCAATGACCTGAGCTCGCCCTGCTGCACTCCAGCTTGGGAGACAGAGCCAGACTATGTTTAAAAAAAAAAAAAATTCCAAAGAAACACATGGAACAAACATATGGAGACAAGAAATATAAAAAACAAAGCCATAAATCCAGAAGAAAGGTTGAGCTGTAGCATTATCACCTACCAAGGCAAACATCAATCAACTTTTACTATTGATATAGGACATAGGGCCTGAATAGAGCAAATTTAAATTGGAAATCCCCATCCAAGGGAAAGTTTCCTTCCATTTTCCATTCTGTTTTTAGAAGAGGTTATAGACAAGAACAGAAATTGCTATCAGTGACTGACTGACTTACTTAAACAAGCTTCTAGGGAAAGTTCTTGGCAAATTAGATATTTGGTTGAGTTTCCTCCACCTTCTACATTTATTTTCCCTTGAGAGGGAAGTGTTCAAAATAATGTTTGGTTTCCAGAAAAGTTTATTAATAGGCTAAAGAAAGATATTTTATTAAAGGGGGTTTTCAGGCTGGGCGCAGCAGCTCATGCCTGTAATCCCAGCACTTCGGGAGGCTGAGGTGGGTGGATCGGATAAGCTCAGGAGTTTGAGACTAGCCTGGGCAACATGGCAAAACCCCATCTCTACAGAAAATACAAAAATTAGCTGAGTATGGTGGTGCGTGCCTGCAGTCCCAGCTACTCAGGAGGCCAAGGTGGGAGGATCGCTTGAGCCTGGGAGGTGGAGGTTGCAGTAAGCCAATTGTGCCACTGCACTCCAGCCTGGGTGACAGAGCAACACTCTGTCTCAAAAAAATGGGGAGGGGGTGGGTGGGTTTCAGGTTAACACATTTAACTTACAAAATAAATTTGGTTTTATAAATAAATATTTTGATATGGTTAGGCTTTGATATGGGTCCCCACCCAGATCTCATCTTGAATTGTACTCCCTATAACCCCGATAAGGGAGAGACCAGGTGGACTTAATTGAATCATGGGGGCAGTTTCCTGCATGCTGTTCTCATGATAGTGAGTGAGTTCTCATGAGATCTGATGGTTTTATAGGGGGCTCTTCCCCATTTTGCTTGGTACTTCTCCTTCCTGTCATCTTGTAAAGAAGGTGCCTTGCTTCCCCTTTGCCTTCCACCATGATTGTAAATTTCCTGAGGCCTCCCCAGCCATGCTGAATTGTGAGTTGATTAAACCTCTTTATAAATTACCTAGTCTTGGGTATGACCTTATAGCAGCATGAGAACAGACTAATACTTTAATTATTTACAAATAAATAATTAAATTGCCTTTATGAGCTGTGAAAAGAACATGGAGATGCAGAATTCTCTGTGATTGTCAGATAACATCTAAATCAGTCAGAAAATTAAGTTAATTATAATGCTGCAGATTTTCAAAAGATTGGGCTGGTCCTGAGCTCTCTTTTCTCTCTCTATAACTTTCCCCCAAGTGATCCCATTAGTACCAGGACTTTAAATATCAACTATTTGCCGGTGAATCCCAAATGTACAGATGCTCCTCAACTTACAAGGCTCAGTTCTGATAAAGTCAAAAAAATCATAAAGTCATAAAATCATTGAGTCAAACCATGGTAAGCTGGAGACTGTCTGTATATCACTCTCTCTAAACTCTGAACTCATATATTCAACTATGTGTCATCTCCAATGACAGTCTCACAGTCATCTGAAACTTATCATGTTAGAACTATACTCCCCACTTCAACTTCCATTCTCTCCCCATAAGCCTGCCCAGGACTAGTATTCCTTATCTCAGAAAACAATGCAAACATACACCTCAGTTTCTCTAATCAGAAATCTAGAGTGATCCCTGACCCTTTGCCTCAAGCCTCCTGTTCAGCTTATCAGTAAGCCCTGTAGGTTCTATATCCAAAATATGTCTTAAGTTTATCTAACTCTTGTCATCTCCTCTTGAGTATCACCTCTTATCTGCAATTGCCTCCCTACTGGCCTCCTTCTTTCCATCCTTATCTCCTATAGTCTCTTCTCCACACAGCATCCAAAGCCATCTTTTGAAAGCACAAACATGGTCACTCCCATGTTGAAAACCTTTCAGTTGTATTCCCATAGTTCTTGGGGAAAAAAATCAAAACTTCTTACTACAGTCTGTAAAGCCTCACATGATTTCATCCTTATCTACTTCTCCATAGTTTCCTCATTCAGCCCCACTACATTATGATCCGGCCACATTGCCCTCCCTTCAACCTCCTCAAACATGCCAAACTCTCTCCCACCTTGGGGCTTTGAATATGCCTTTTGTTTAAATGACTCTTTTTCTTTTACCCCATGCCTGGCTCCTACTTATTCTTCAAACCTCACTCGGTATAACTCCATCATGAAGGCCTTGCCTAACATTTAATCTATGTACTGCTCCCTAGTTATTTCAGTCATAGAATTATAATTTGTAACTACGAATTTGTACACATGCTTATAATGAAAACTATAAACCACTGATGAAAAAAATTGAAGAGGACACCAAAAAAAAAAAAAAAAAAGGAAAGATATTCCATGTTCATGGATTGGAAGAATCAATACTGTGAAAATGTTCACAGTACATACACAAAGCAATCTACACATTCAATGTAATTTCTATCAAAATACCAGTGACATTCACAGAAATAGGAAAAACCCTAAAATTTATACAGAACGATAAAAGACCCAGAATAGCCAAAGCTATCCTAAGGTAAAAAGAAAAAAAAAAAAAAAGGAGGAATCATATTACCTGACTTCAAATTATACTACAAAGGAATAGTAACCAAAACAGCATGCTACTGCCATGAAAATAGACACATAGACCAATGGAACAGAATAGAGAATCCAGAAAGAAATCCACACATCTATAGTGAACTCATTTTTGGGAAAGGTGTCAAGAACAAAATTGGATTATTAGATTTTTTTTCCTATAGAGTTGTTTGGAGCTCCTCATGTGTTCTGGTTATTAATCCCTCGTCAGATGGGTAGTTTGCATATATTTTCTTCCATTTTGTGGGTTGTCTCTTCACTTTGTTGATTGCTTTCTTTGCTGTGCAAAAGCTTTTTACCTTGATGTGATCCCATTTGTCCATTTTTGCTTAGGTTGCCTGCGAGTTAAACCTCAAGAACATACATTGGGGAAAAGACAGTCTCTTCAAAAAGTGTGCTGAAAAACTGAATATCCATATGCAGAAGAATAAAACTAGACCTCTATCTCTCACCACATAAAAAATCAAACATAAATGGATTAAAGAATTGAATCTAAGACCTCAAACTATGAAACCACTACAAGAAAACATTGGGAGAACTCTCCAGGACATTGGACTGGGCAAAGATTTCTTGAGTAATACCCCACATGCACAGGCAACCTAAGCAAAAATGGACAAATGGGATCACATCAAGGCAAAAAGCTTTTGCACAGCAAAGAAAACAATCAACAAAGTGAAGAGACAACCCACAAAATGGAAGAAAATATATGCAAACTACCCATCTGACGAGGGATTAATAACCAGAACACATGAGGAGCTCCAAACAACTCTATAGGAAAAAAAATCTAATAATCCAATTAAAAAATGGGCAAAAGACTTGAATAGACATTTCTCAAAAGAAGACATACAAATGGCAAACAGGCATATGAAAAGGTACTCAACGTCACTGATTATCAGAGAAATGCAAATCAAAACTACAATGAGATATCATCTCATCCCAGATAAAATGGCTTTTATCCAAAAGACAGACAATAATGAATGCTGGTGAGGATGTGGAAAAAAGGGAACCCTTGTAAACTGTTGATCGGAATGTAAATTAATACAACCACTATGGAGAACAGTTTGGAGGTTTCTCAAAAAACTAAAAATAGAGCTACCATATGATCCAGCAATCCCACTGCTCAGTATATACCCCAAAGAAAAGAAATCAGTATATCACAGAGGTATCTGTACTCCTATGTTAGTTGTGGCACTGTCTACAATAGCCAAGATCTGGAAGCAACCTAAGTGTCTACCAACAGATGAATGGATAAAGAAAATGTGGCCCTTATATACAATGGAGTACTATTCAGTCATTTAAAAAATGAGATCCTGTCATTTGCAACAACATGAATGAAACTGGAGGTCATTACTTTAAGTGAAATAAGCCAGGCACAGAAAGACAAACATCTTGTATTCTCATTTATTTATGGATCTAAAAATCAAAACAATTGAACTCATGGAGATAGAGAAGGATGGTTAACAGAGGCTGAGAAGAGTAGTAGAGGGGTGAAGGGGAGGTAGGGATGGTTAATGGGTACCAAAAAAAAAAAAAATAGAATGAATAAGACCTAGTATTTGGCTGAGCAGGATGGTTCACATCTGTAATCCCAGCACTTTGGGAATTTGGCAGACTGCTTGAGCCCAGGAGTTTAAGACCAGCCTGGGCAACATATTAAGACCCTGTCTCTACAAAAAAAATTAAAAAATTAGCCAGGCATGGTGGCTTGTGCCTGTAGTCCCAGCTACTTGGGAGGCTGAGGTGGGAGGATTGCCTGAGTCCAGGAGGTCAAGGCTGCAGTGAGCCAAGATCATGCCACTGCACTCCAGCCTAGGTGACACAGCAAGACCCTGTCTCGAAGATAGCACAACAGGGTGACTACAGTCAATAATAACTGTACCTTTTAAAAGAACAAAGAGGCCGGGCATGGTGGCTCATGCCTGTAATTCCAGCACTTTCAGAGGCCAAGGAGGGCGGATCACCTGAGTTCAGGAGTTCGAGACTAGCCTGACCAACATGGAGAAACCCCATCTCTATTAAAAATACAAAATTAGCCAGGCGTGGTGGTGCATGTCTGTAATCCTAGCTACTCGGGAGGCTGAGGCAGGAGAATCGCTTGAACCTGGGAGGCAGAAGTTGCAGTAAGCCGAGATTGTGCCATTGCACTCCAGCCTGGGTAACAGGAGCAAAATTGCGTCTACTGCTACAGATAAAGCAAGCTTCATGAGGGAATTATGCATGGTTTATTCATCAATGCATACTTATTGCCTAGCATAGTGTGTGACACATAGTTGATGCTCAAAATATATGTTTAGAATAAATAAATCAATGGATGAGATTTTAAAAAAAACAATTGGAGAAATAGATGGAAACAAAGATCAAATAAGTATAGACTACAAATCTCCCTTACTACCTTATTCAGCACTCATATTTCTTCTAGATTTCCACTACAGTAGATATTCCATATTAAATAATGAGTTACTAGTCATAGTATTACCATAAGGCATATGCAAATAAAAGAAAATCCAGCTGTGCCCTACTAAATATACTATGTTATGATTGTAATAAGCAAATTAATGGTATAATATGAAACTCAAGATCTCAATTGTTTAATTTTCTGAGCTATATAAAAAATGGATAGGCAGAGAAACAAGCTCAAAGCAGCAAATGAATAACAGAAAAAGTCTGGTTTAAGATTCATTGATATTCTGAAGTCAATCACAGGAAAACTTAACAAATACAGACAGCATTGTGTTATTTGTCATAATTATACAAACTGCACAAATTGGTGGCTAAATTACATGATTTCCCCTCACATCTCATGTCTGTACATTTTACTTTTTAAAATGTGTCCAGAAGTATATGGTTTTAAAATTCCATGGTAAAAAGTCCAAGAGCTGAAATATGATGACCATATTTTCCCAACAAAAAAATCAGAATGTTGACCTAATTTAAACTAAGAATATTGAAAATCTGTAATATAGTTTAAGTATTATCATTTCCATATTATGGATATACACGGACTCAGCCATGTTATCTATCCAAGGTGAGTGATAATTGTGAGAGGTAGAATCAGTATTCAAATAGGTTTTTCTTATTCAGAGGCTCATGCTGTTTCCACTTCTCAGGAACAGTGCTTTCTGCTGTTTTTTTTTTTTTTTTTAATAAACTTTATTTTTTAGAGCGCTTTTAGGTTCACAGCAAAATTGAACAGAAGGTAGACAGATTTCCTATATATCCCCTGCCTCCACACATGCATATAGCCTCCCCCATTATCAACATCTCCGACCAAAGTGGTACATTTGTTACAATTGATGTGCTGCTCATTTTCTCATTCATTCCAATATGAACTGAATACCTACTAGGTGTTTTTGTGAACAAATGGATATTAGAAAGAAAATGCAACTCATCCCTAAAGTTAATAAATACTCCCCAAATCAAACAAAACCTAAACTGAGGGAACAGACCACCTGAAACAAAGAAGATCAACTGTCTTTTTCTTTGCAAAGTCTGCTCTAACAGCATGTGACATCCATTTGAGGCTTCCAGCCAATCAGAAAATCATCAAAACAAGATGCAATGTTTCCAAATCCCAGCCAAAGCTCATGAAATTAAGCTGGTGAAAGCAATGCCACAAATTTAATGTTGGGCATACTAAATTTTGACACCTAAAGATGTAAGAGACTAGAATGTTAAAAACATAAAAGATGTTTTCAAAAATCTATTGTTATATTTTGCTCATGAGACTCAAATAAAAAAAAGAGCAAACCAATTGCAAAGACAACTCAATATACTGTATACACATGCTGCTAGGATGAACAGCCTTCTAGTCATTCATTCGATTATCCATCCATCCATCCATTATCCATCTAGCTAGCTGGCCATCAAACATCATTGAGTGCCTACTACATGTTTGGCACTCTGCTGAACAGTATACAGGATAAAGTGCAGTGACACAATCACAGCTCACTGCAGGCTCGAGCCCCACCGGGCTCAAATGATTCACCTCAGTCTGCCGTGTAGCTAGGACTACAGGCACGTACCACCCATGACCAGCTAATTTTTTCTATTTTTTGTAGAGACAAAATATGTTGCCTAGGCTGGTCTCAAACTATGTTGCCTAGGCTGGTCTCGAACTCCTACACTCCAGCAATCCAACTGCCTTGGCCTCCCAAAGTGCTGGGATTACAGGCACAAGCCACCACACCAGGCCCATTTTTTTCTTTAAACCAGAGGTTGAAAACTGGAAGCTCACAGGAAGAATCCTCCCTGTAGAACTGTTCTGTATAACTTTCATGGTATTTATTTTTAATTAATCTGATTTTTAGACAAGAGAGATACACAGAGACTCCAACAATTCCCTAAGTCTTATATAGGCCCAATTCATATATTCATGCTTCCCTCCTGGCTTTGGTAAGCAAATGAGTTCTGACTCTTGCTTTGCACTGTGCTGCCTTCTCTAATAGTACAGGCTGAATTTAATTAAGAAAGTTACTTCCCTTCCATCCCAATTCTCAAAGGCAAAGGTTTTTTCTTCTCCCTGAGAACACTACCTCATATTTGAGTAATACTTTCATAAAAATAACATTTTTTGTGTAGGACATTTTATAAGGATGCAAAGATAAATGAATTTGCTCATGGTTACAAAGCCAATTAGGGCTAGACCTGGGGATTCCTGGCTCAGTTCAGGAGTCTTATTAATATTAAGCCTTGAGCCCAAAGGACCAAACAGCATATCCCACAACAATTCATTTATGGCTCAATTCTTTCTTTTCAGAAAAATATTTATATCAAACTTAAATGAACATATTGAATTCTGAATAACATCTTTCATAGGTATAAGGAAATCTAAAAGATACAGAGTAGTATCTGTGTGCTCCTTATATATTCTAAATTGTGATTAATGTCTTCAAATACAAACATGTTAATCAATTATCACAAATGAAATGTAAGAATAACAAAGTGACTAAAGAGTTTTTAAAGAACTAAAGACTAGAAACTAGAATTTGATACACTGCCAGCATCTATACATATGTGAAGTATTGAAGATTTCCCAAACCTCAGTTATAGTAGCTATAAACTAAGTTTGTTATCATTGGCCACCAAAGAACAGTAGGATAGTTTTTCAGTGAAAAGGAGAAATCAAAATCCTTATATTAAATGGAGTTAGGGAATTGTGAACAATCTGTAGTGCCTATTTTCCCTCCTGTCTTTCTTTTGTTTGTTCTTTCATTCTTTCTTCCTTTTCTTCCTTTCTTTTCTCTCTCTCTTTCTCTTTCTTTCTTTTTTTCCGAGACAGAGTCTTGCTCTGTCACTCAGGCTGGAGTGCAGTGGCACAATCTTGGCTCACTGCAACCTCTGCCTCCCACGTTCAAGCAATTCTCCTGCCTGAGCCTCCCGAGTAGCTGGGATTATAGGCACCTGCCACCGCACCCAGGTAATTTTTGTATTTTTAGTAGAGATGGGGTTTCACCATGTTGACCAGGCTGGTCTCAAACTCCTGACCTCGTGATCTGCCCACCTCGGCCTCCCAAAGTGCTGGGATTACAGGTATGAGCCACCACACCCAGCCCACCACTGCGCCTGGCCCTACTTTGTTAATAAAATGAAATAATTATGAAAAGTACACGTGGGAGATGAAATCAGAACTTGAAAATTTCCCCAAAACTTTAAAATGAACTCAAACTTTTACAGGCTTCAAGGAGAAAAACAAACAAACAAACAAACATCTCCAAACATTTCAATTGAGGAAAAAACTGCATTATTTGCTTCTTAAGATGTACAGGAAGTCATTTGGTTACAGAACTCAATGGCTGAAAGCTTCAGGGAGATACAAAGATTGATACATAGCTGTCCTATTATACAATGCCAGTCTTCTAAAATGAGAATGTAATTTTTAATATTTGGAAAATGATGTCTGGAGCATACTCACTGATGTCTGGAGCATATTACTGATGGAAGTGTAAACTAATACAACTTTTCTAGAAAGCAATTTGGCACACTTACCAAAACCTTTCAAAAACTCACAGCCTTTTCTCTAGTAAATCCCTTTTGATGTGCATATTTCTTTCTCCCACTATCATCACCATCAAAAGAATCCAACAAATTTGAAATCATCAAGGATTTATAACTGGCCTTAAGATAGTAGCCTGGACTTTTCCCTGCACCTCATTATATACTCAAGGTAGCATTCTATTCTCACATGGAGCTTTACAATACATGCTTTTAAATAAAGATGCTCTGGCCGGGCGCAGTGGCTCACACCTGTAATCCCAGCACTTTGGGGGAGGCCTAGGCAGGTGGATCACAAGGTCAGGAGTTCGAGACCAGCCTGGCCAAAATGGTGAAACCTCGTCTCTATTAAAACTGCAAAAATTAGCTGGGCGCAGTGGCGGGCACCTCTAATCCCAGCTACTCAGGAGACTGAGGCAGGAGAATCGCTTGAACCCGGGGGGTGGAGGTTGCAGTGAGCTGAGATCGCACCACTGCACTCTAGCCTGGGCAACAGAGCAAAACTCCATCTCAAAAATAACAAATAAATAAAATAAAGATGCTCCCAGCTGGAAGTCTACCAAGTTATCATCAAAGACAATTTTTTTCTTTTTAAAAATTTTTCTGTAGAGACGGGGTATCACTATGTTACTCAGGCTGGTCTTGAACTCCTGGGCTCAAGCGATCCTCTCGCCTCAGCCTCTCAAAGTGTTTTTATTAAAGGCATGAGCCACCATGCCCAGCCCAATTTTTTTCTTAATGGCCAAATCATAATCTTATGCCTAGAATCCTTTTGTGATTCATAAGCATGGTGACTGGGTTTTCATGCTTTTGTGTGAGATGTGCCTCCCTTAAACCTTGTTACAATATCAGCACATTACCTGTCTGATGTGAAAAGAAATAAAATAGAAAAGAAAAAAGAAAAAAAAAACTCTTATGCTTAGTGACAAGTTGAATTCTGGTATGGTAAAAGGCTTCTATTAAAAACTGGTATTAATTTTTAGAGTTAGTAAGTTCAAAGAATTTAAACTCTGAATAATGAGTACCTTTTATATTTTGGGTTATATCTTTGTAATTCACACATTTTCCAAATCCTATGTTAGGTGTCATTTTATTGAGTGCCCACTATGTGCTTAACAGCTGTAAAAAGAAGAAAGAATTTTAAAAGAATCAGAAGACACATTATCCTATCGTGTTTCAGAAAGGTTTCTGCTAATCTCTATAGTAGTCAGGGCAACAGATTAGTCTTAACTATACATGACATACTATAATATCTAAATATAAGTTATACTGTATATAAATAGAAATTTTTATCTATGCATGATGAATTGATAAAACTGCACATTGGATACACTTTATAAGTTCTCCTGGAGTAAAGAATGGTAATGTCATCCTGTATAGTAAGGTTAAATCATAACAGGAAATAGATATTTAAGTCACAGAGGATGAGTTAATTCTCTTCCTGGACAGCCTAACTTCTCCTGTTCCAGACTAACTCCTTATTTAGTGTCTTAGACCAGTCCCCTGAGACCTGTTCCTATCAATTATCTCCTGTCTCACTTTTATCTTCTATCTCTTTCCCCACTGCCATTACTTTGGTTCATTTCCTTTAGCACAGAAACATTTTCAAGTCTACTGCATACTTTAAAAACAAGAAAAATATTTGACCTTGCATTCCTCCATCTAGATATAATCCTTTTTCTCCTTCTATTCATGAGAACTCTTGTGAAAATGAATACTCTATTTTTACTGTTTCTTTACATACATATATATATGATGAGTGAGAGAGGTTACTATGTTGCCCAGGCTGGTCTCGAACTCCTGGGCTCAAGCAATCCTCCCACCTTGGCTTCCACAAGTGCTGGGATTACAGGTGTGAGCCACTACACCTGGCCTATATTCACAATTTGTTTGATCAATTTTCTCTTCAACTTACCTCAATCAGGCTTCTCTGTCCCACCTCTCCACTGAAACTACTGTAGCCAAAGTCACAGGTGGCTTCCACACTACCAACTCATAACACTTTTCTTTGTATTATCGAATTTCTCAGTTGCATTTGACAGAATTGGACCATTGATTTCTTCCTAAAACTTTTGGCACACTATTTTCTACTGGTCTTCCACAAATTGCTTTCTGATTGCTCCTTTCAGTCTGTCAAATTCTCCTTTTCTACTTTTACCCCTTACATATGGGGGCTTTCAGGGTTCTGTCCTTGGCATCTATCTCCATGGGCATTCCTTGAGTGATGTCATCTCTCTCACAGCTTCAAGAGACTACAAACATTACTTTAGGATATTTTCATCACTGGTCTTCTTGGATATCTTACTGCCTAATTGGAACATGTTTGCTAACATATTCCACAGGATTACATACCTCAGCTGGTCCGCAACTGAACTCATCTTCCCACTAAAGCTTTACTTCTTGTACTTTTGTTAATATCATCTGCCATCTACTCAGCCCAACCAAGCTCAAAGTCTTCAAGAGTTAACCAGTCTTCTATCTTTATTTCACCTCATAATCCATCATCAGGCCTCTACCACTTCACTTTTTATATATTTCTGTAATCTATCTCATCCTGTCTATCCCAACCACAACTGCCTTAGTTTGAGTCTATGTTAGTTCCAGGACTTGGCAACTGCAACAATCCACTCTAAATTGTAACTCTGACCTTACATCTCTACATAAAACTTTTATGTTCCTCACTGCCAAAAGCAGTATTTTTTGTGTCAGGGTTACCTGTGGATGCTTGTAAAGATGCATATTCCTGGGTCAATCTGCATTTTTACATATTTTTCAACTTATTCTGATGCAATGTAAAGCCTGAGTACGGGCTAAAGTTTAAGTTTAAATTTCTTACCAAGGCATAAAAAGCCTCCAAGGTCTTGGCTCTTGCCTACTTAGTTCTCTAATCTAGCACCTCCCTTTTTCTCCCATCACGTGCTTTATTATCTAGAGTACTGAATTCATTTACACTTATCCAAGTGTCTCTGGCTTCCATGCTTTTGCTGTTCCTCTTTCTTCTCACCAAGTCTTATGCAACCTATTGCATATTATGCTTTTTTTCTATCAAGCAGGTACTAACTTTTAACTCTTATTAACCAAAGACTGGGGTTTCTTGCTATTGTATCATAAAAAAAAAAAAAAAAAAAAAAATCAGGTCTTTTTCCCCAGTTCCTGACACAGAGCTCCTAAAACCCTTGGAATTTCCTGAGTGACACGAGTGATAGAAGCATCTTTAGTTTTAAGGAAGTGTCTCTTGGCTGGCCCCTAGATAGCTTTAGGATGGGAGCTAGTCACCAGAAACACCAATCCTTGATTAGAAGCTTGTAATTTTCAGCTCCATCACATAACCAGGGAAGGAGTGGAGATTGAGTCAGTTACCAATGACCAATGATTTAATCAATAATGCTTACTGATATGGTTTGGGTATGTACCCACCTAAATCTCATCTTGAATTGTAGCTCCCATAATTCCCACATGTGATGGGAGGGAGCCAGTGGGAGGTAATTGAATCATGGAGGCTGGTTTTTCCTGTGCTGTTCTGGTGATAGCAAGTCTCACGAGATCTGATGGTTTTATAAAGTGGATTTCCCCTGCACATGGCTCTCTTGCCTGCCGCCATGTAAGATGTCCTTTTGCTCTTCCTTATTCTTCCACCATGATTGTGAGGCCTCCCCAGCCATGTGGAACTGTGAGTCCATTAAAACTCTTTCCTTTATAAATTACCCAGTCTCAGGTATGTCTTTATTAGCAGCGTGAGAACAGACTAATACAGTAAATAGGTACCAGGTAGTGGGGCACTGCTATAAAGATACCCGAAAATGTGGAAGCAACTTTGGAACTGAGTAGCAGGCAGAGGTTGGAACAGTTTCGAGGACCCGGAAGAAGACAGAAAAATGTGGGAAAGTTTGGAACTTCCTAGAAACTTGGAGGGCTCAGAAGACAGGAAGATATGGGAAAGTTTGTAACTTCCTAGAGACTTGTTGAATGGCTTTGACCAAAATGCTCATAGCGATATGGACAATAAGGTCCAGGCTGAGGTGGTCTCAGATGGAGATAAGGAACTTGGGAACTGGAGCAAAGGTGACTCTTGCTATGTTTTAGCAAAGAGACTGGTGGCATTTTGCCCCTGCCATAGAGTTCTGTGGAACTTTGAACTTGAGAGAGATGATTTAGGTATCTGGTGGAAGAAATTTCTAAGTGGCAAAGTGTTCAAGAAGAAGCAGCGCATAAAAGTTTGGAAAATGGCCGGGTGTCGTGGCTCACACCTGTAATCCCAGCACTTTGGGAGGCTGAGGTGGATGGACCACCTGAGGTCAGGAGTTTGGGACCAGCCTGACCAATATGGTGAAACTCTGTCTCTACTAAAAATACAAAAATTAGTCAGGCATGGTAGCGTGCACCTGTAGTCCCAACTACTCGGGAGGCTGAGACAGGAGAATTGCTTGAACCCAGGCGGTGGAGGTTGCAGTGAGCCAAGATCATGCCACTGCACTCCAGCCTGGGCGACAGAGAAAGACTCCATCTCAAAAAAAAAAAAAAAAAAAGTTTGAAAAATTTGCAGACTGATGATGTGATAGAAAATAACCCATTTTCTGGGGAGAAATTCAAGCCTGCTGAAGAAGTTGCATAAGTAACAAGGGGCTGAATGTTAATCACCAATTATAGCGCTCCTTCAACTTCTATTACACAGTTCTGAAGACACTTTACCAAGAGTATGTGGTATCCTTAAGTGCTAAAGCTGGACAGGACCTTAGAGATTAAAGATTTTTTTCTCGGATAAGAAAACCAGGACTAGAAAGATGAAAAGATTGACCAGAGCCAGAGTTAAGTGGTAGCAAAGCCAGATGAATGGCTCTCCTATCGAGCCAATGTAATTTCTTCAACATCATGCAGCTTATACTACTTTGGGGCCACCTATCTTATTTAATTATATGCCTATAGAGGATATTTTGTTAACAACTTAATACTTGAGATCAGTAGTAGTGTTATAAAAGCAAGCTATTAGCATAGAACACAATAAAAAAAAATCTTGGAGCAGGCATAGAAATTTTTGTACATCTTAGATATTATAACTACGAAATTATTTAGTGAGGATCAATAGAGGATAAACTTGAGCTTTAGTAAGAATAAACAAAAACAAAACAGAGTACTTTAGGTGTATTTCCTAGGTCCTATTTCCTAGACCCATCAAAAATGACATGGAATTCAAGACTGGAGTTTAAGACAAGAAGGGTAAGGCAGGCCAATCTTTGGTACGTGCTTTCAAGACAAGGGTCTCTGAAGTCGGATTGCCTGGATTCTAATCCTGTCCTACCCCTTATCTGTGCCTCTATTTCCTCATCTGTAAAATGAGGATGGTAATAGTACACATCTTCAGAGGGTGGTTGTCAGGACTGAATCAGATCATATTGATAAAGAGTTCAGAATAGTGCCTAGCACAGAGTAAGCCAATGTTGGTTGTTCTTATTTCTTTCTCTTTGAAGAGCAGAAACCTGGTCATCATAGTAGAGGGAACAGAGCTACTTTTAAATGGTCTTCTGCAGTTCAGGTTAGGGAATGCTATTACTAAATACTAATTTTAGAAAATAAATAAGTGCTTTCAGCTTATTTTAATGTAATTTAATGTGAAGAAAACATTTCCTTATCTTTTATAAAAACTAAGATGACCTTACAGAACACAATATAGTTTTTGCAGATTAGTATATGTGAAGATTATGAAAGAAACTATGCTGAGGCCAGGCGTGGTAACTCATGACTGCAATCCCAGCACTTTGGGAGGCCAATACTGGAGGATCACTTAAGCCCAGGAGTTTGAGACCAGCCTGGGCAATGTAGTGAGATCTCATTTCTACAAAAAAATTTAAAAGTTAGCCAGGCATAGTGGTACATGCCTGTAGTCCCAGCTACTCAGGAGGCTGAGGCAGGAGAATTACTTGAGCCCAGAAGGTTGAGGCTGCAGTGAGCCATGATCATGCCACTGCATTCCAGCCTGACCGAAAGAGTAAGACCCTGTCCCATCCACCCTACCCCCAGAAAGAAACTATGCTGAGACAGAGACTGCACTTGACTCTACCATGGAAACTAACAGATAGTGGTGAGAAAAAGCCTAAAATCACGAAGTCTAAGACTGAGGAATCTTTATGGTTCCATTGGATGGTTGGAAAGAGATTTGGAGAGAATCAGGCATTCAGTGTATTTCTTTCCCACTGAAATCCCAAGAAAGCAGAGTTGGAGTTTTATGTATGAGACTTAGTGCCATAGCATGGACAGCTTGGAAACTGGACAACTCTCTGGGATGGAATCCGTATAAGTGTAAAGCAAAAACCTAGTAATTTTTATAGACCAAATATTTTGATGGTTTATATTTCTACAGTATTAACAGCAACCTTAACCATACAAACAGTAGAAAAAGTCAGTATAAAGAAAGTGACAGCCAGCTGCAATGGCTATGCCTGTAATCCCAGCCCTTTGAGAGGCTGAGGTGGGAGGATCACTTTAGGCCAGGAGTGTGAGACCAGCCTGGGTAACATGGCAAAATCACATCCCTACAAAAAACTTAAAAAAAAAAAAAAAGCCAGGCGTGGTGGCACACTCCTGTAGACCAGCTACTCAGGAGGCTGAGGTGGGAGGATCACTTGAGCTCGGAGGGTTGAAGCCATGATAGTGCACCACTTCACTCCAGCCTAGGTGAAAGAGTGAGACACTATCTCAAAAAAAAAAAAAAAAAAAAAAAAAAGGAAAGAAAAGAAAAAAAGACTACTATGTTTCTAATTTAAAATAAAATTAAAGGCATTGTATATAAAATTTGAGTTTAGTTTTCTTAAAAAAAAATGGTGCTAAGACACCTGCAAAGCCACATGCAAACAAATACCATATACAAAAATTTACTCAAAATGGATCAAAGGCCTAAATGTAAGAGAAAAATCATAAAACTGTCAGAAGAGTCTGGGCATGGGGGCTCACACTTGTAATCCCAGCACTTTGGGGGGCCAAGGCAGGTGGATCACTTGAGGTCAGGAATTTGAAACCAGCCTGGCCAACATGGTAAAACCCCGTCTCTACTAAAATACAAAAATTAGCTGGGCATGGTGGCACACACCTGTAATCCTAGCTACTTGGGAGGCTGAGGCAGAAGAATTGCTTGAACCTGGGAGGCAGAGGTTGCAGTGAGCTGATATTGCGCCACTGCACTCCGGCCTGGGTGACAGAGACAGACTGTCTCAAAACAAACAAACAAAAAACCAAAAAACTCTCAGAAGAAAACATAGGGGTAAATCTTCATGATGTAGGATTTGCCAAAGAATTCTTAGCTATGACACCAAAAGCATGAACAACAACAACAAAATAGGTACACTGAACTTCACCAAATTTAAAAATTTTGTGCTTCAGAGTACACCATAAAGAAAGAAAAAAGACAACCCAGAGAATGGGATAAAATATTTGCAAATCACATATCCGACATGGGACTTGTATCTGGAATACATAAAGAACTCTTACAACTCAATAATAAAAAGACAAAAAGTCCAATTTAAAAATGAGCAAAGGCCAGCCTGGGCAACACAGTGAGGCCCCATCTCTACCAAAAAAAAAAAAAAAAAAAAAAAAAACCAGCCAGGTATGAGATCAGACACCAAGACTGGGGCAGGAGGATGGCTTGAGCCCAGGAGTGTGAGGCTGCAGTGAGCTGTGATTGTTTCACTACACTCCAGCCTGGGAAACAGAGCAAGACCCCAGTCTCTAAAAAATTTTTTTAATTAAAAAAATAAAAAATGGGCAAAAGATCTGAATAGATATTTCTCATGTGAGGAAGATACACAAATGGCCAGTGAGCACATGAAAAGATGTTCAACATCATTAGCCACTAGGGAAATGCAAACCCAAACTGCAATGAGATAATACTTCATATTCACAAGAATGGCTAGAATCTGAAGTTAGGTTACAACAAGTGTTGATGAGGATGTGGAGTAATCAGAGCCCTCATACACTGCTGGTGGGAATGTAAAATGGTGCAGCTGCTGTGGAAAACAATCTGGCAGTTCATCAGTTAAAAAGAGTTATCATATGCTCTAGCAATCCCACTCCTAGGTATATGCCCAAGAGAAATGAAAACATATGTCCATACAGAAACTTGTACACAGATGTGTACAGCACCATTCATAATAGCCAAAAGACAGAAACAACCTAAATGTCATCATTTAGGTGGATGAAAGGATAAAACACTATTATTATTTGGCCATAAAAAGGAATGAAGTGCTAACACAGGCTATGACATGGATAAGCCTTGAAAACATTATGCTAACTGAAAGAAGCCAATCACAAAGACAACATATGATCCCACTCATAGGCCAGTCCAGAATAGGGAAGTTATAGAGACAGAGATTAGTGTTTGCTTAGGATGAGGTGAGGTGTTGGGTGGGATAGAGTGGTCATAGATAAAGGGGTTTCTTTCTGAGGTGATGAAAATTTTCAAAAACTGACTGTGGTGTTGGGTGCATATATCTGTGAATATACCAAAACCAATGTATTAACTGTATAGCATTTGAATTATATTTCACTAAAGCTGTTCGCTCTGTCACCAGGCTGGAGCGCTGTGGTGCGATCTCGGCTCACTGCAACCTCTGCCTCCTGTGTTCAAGTGATTTTCCTGCCTCAGCCTCCCGAGTAGCTGGGACTACAGGCACACGCCACCAGACCCAGCTAATTTTTGTATTTTTAGTAGAGACGGGGTTTCATCATGTTGGCCAGGATGGTCTTGATCTCTTGACCTCGTGATCTGCCTGCCTCAGCCTCCCAAAGTGCTGGGATTACAGGTGTGAGCCACCACGCCCGGTCTGAAAAAAATCTTTAAAAGATCATCCTGTGAGAAGCACCTGAACATACACTCCTCTGATTTGGGTTCTAACCATGGACACTTTTGCTACAGTCAGTGTAAGGACCAGCCTGGATCAGGCCTAATCACAGGCTGGATTCCCTGCACCAGTACTTTTCATATGTTAGTACTTAACAGAATCACCCAAGAGCCTGTTAAAAAACACACAGTCCTGACTATCTCAAGAGAGACTGAGTAGGACAGAGATGAAACCCACAAATCTACTATGCTTAAGTTCCCACATGAATCTAGTGCAAGTGGTTAGCAACCACATTTGCTACAAATAGTTCTCTGCACTGTTATCTAGACAAAACCCATCAGATTTAGCCTTCACTTCTAAATAAATTTTTTTTTCAAAGCAATGAAAGAAAGAAGCAACAAAAGCACAGATTTATTGAAACGAAAGTACACTCCATAGAGTGAAAGCAGGCTCAAGCAAGCAGCTCAAGAGCCCTAAATAAATTCTAAATTCTAAAATGTTGAATATTATGTCATAGTAATAGAAAAAAAAAAACAAAATAGCCTTCAAACTTCTGACAGGTGAAGAGCAGACCAAAGGTAATTGCAGAATTTCCAGACTTCTCATTTGACCAAAAGGGCTATTCAATTATAGACAAAAGAAACATAATTAGCTAAAAAAGTACAGAGCAGAACCGCATCATTATATAGTGACCCACTATAAATCAAAAGGTCTCAGTACAGACCACACCACTAAGAATATTTAATCTTGCACAATTTTATGGTTATAAGTCAGAACCTTATGTTCTGACTAGCCCATTAGCTTTCCAGATTCTAGTTAAAACCCATCTTCAAACTGAAGAGATTTTGTATAAACAATATATAGCTGAAGATATCTACCACTAAGAAAGAAGCTTTATAAAATTAGGAAAATGGCTTTTAGAATTTACAAAAGAAATTCTAAAATGCACAAATGAAGTAATAGCCGACTTTCTTTTTTTTTTCTTTCTTTTCTTTCTTTCTTTTTTTATTAAAAAGAGACAAGGTCTTGTTCTGTTGCCCAGGTTGGCCTTGACCTCCTTGGGCTCAAGCAATCCTCCTGCCTTATAGTCTCCCAAGTAGCTGGGGACTACAGACATGTGCCACAGCATTTGGCTAATAGCAAACATTTTAAATAGTAAATACATATAAATTAAAAACATCTGAAAGTTTCCAAAGCAGCCCCCACCCCCACCTCACCTATAAAAGGAATTCTAAGTGCAGAAAAGATGCCCCAAAGTTTATAAACTGCTTCCCTGGTGTGGATGAGGGTGTTGCTCTTTAGACCTTCAGGTTATTTACTCTTAATTCCTGAAAAGTCTGGTTTTCTAGTTGGAAGCAGATAGGAAACAGCAAAGTAAAAGTAAAAGCTGCTAGAGGAAGGCACAATGACAGTAGGGAATGTCAACAGCCACCACTGTGACAATGAAGAGGAAGATTCAGTAAAGCTATACAAAGTAGACCCAAGTTGGTCTGAAGGTTGTGGGTCACTGTTAAGCTCATTAACATTGTCTCGACCATGACTGACTAGCTTAAATTTTTTTTTTGTAAATTAAAATAAAATAAAAAGTAGACAAAAACAATAAACATAACAATCTTACTAGGAAAAGAAGTTCCTAAGGGCATTTCTGTACTAGAGCTCACTGTAATATTATCCAACCTTCCAAATCTCTCTCTCTCTGTCCTCTGGAACCTCTCTCCTCCCATTTCCTCCAGAAACTTGCTCCATGAATCATTCCCTCTTCCCTACCCTCTTCCCGTACCCTTTTCTTTCCTAATGATCACTTCCCCTCAGCAGAAAAATATTCTCAGATCTCTTCCAAATAACCAAAAAGAGCCCTTCTCTCACCCTAAATTTCCCTCTAGCTACTCTTCCTTTCCTTGATACTAGGTTTTAAAAGAACAGTCTCTACTTGCTACTTTCCTTTCCTCACCACTAATTTACCTTCTAACCTGCTGCAACTGGTCTTCTGATCACCCACTCCACCAAAGTTGATCTTACGAAAGTCACTAGTATCCTAACTGCCAAAGTCAATGGACTTTCTACTCTTCCTTCTCTTCACCTCCTCAATACATCTGACCCAACAGTGCACACTTCCTTCCTGAAACTCCCTCTTTGCTTAGAGTCTGTGATGCCACACTCACCAGAATTTCATCCTAACTAGAGTACCTAGTCCTGGAATGTCAATGGAATTTAGGCAAAAAAAAAGGGGGGGTGGGGGAGAATTGCTATAGTCTGAATGCATCCCCCCAAAATTGATATGCTGAAACTTAATCACCAACATGATAGTATTAAGAGGTCAGGCCTTCAGGAAGTAAGTCATGAGGATAGAGCTCTCGTGAATGGAATTAATGACCTTATACAAGAAGTGCCATATAACTGTTCACCCGTTTTCCCCTTTTGCTATATGAGGACACCACATTTGTTCCTTCTACATGAGGATGCAGCAAGAAGGCTTTTCCCAGACACCGAATCTGCTGGCACCTTGTCTTGGACTTCCCATCCTCCAGAACTGTGAGAAATAAATTTCTATTATTTATAAATTACCCATTCTGTGGTATTTTGTTATAGTAGCAGGAATGAGACTATGACAAGGGTACATGATCAAATACTTTTGGGAAATGTGGTATTAAAGTTAAGTATTTTTCTTTACTACAGATTTTCTCAGATCTTCAATATACTGAGGTGTATTGTGACTCTACAAGATGAGTTTCTCCAATGTTTTCCCAAATTTCTTGACTATTAAATTCTTCCATCCCTTTTAAAGAACTATCTTAAATAACAAATTGAGTTGGGAAACACATTTTGGGTTAACATTGCTCTTGATGTTCTTTTTCAGTCTTATTTGCAGGATTTTCCTTCATTAGTCTCCCAAATGTCCCATTCCCCAAAAGTCTATCTTTAGGCTTCTCTCATCTCACACCTTAGTCACCTTTTAGTTCTCCACTTGTCTCATGTTACGTTCTCCATAAGTGATCTCATTCATATCCTCATGGCTTCAGTACAGCTTTAGAGCCTATAAGTTTCTCTGCCACTTACTGTGTAAGCTTGGATCTTGGTTTCTTAATTTATAAAATGAGAATAATAATAATTCCTAAGTACTAAATGACATATATAAAGTTTCTGCCACAGTACCTGACATATTTATGCAAAGGCTCAATAAATGGTCACTATCATTTTTTCTTTCTCCAGCCTAGATCTCCTTGCTGAGTAACACATGTATCTCTTCAGCTTGGGACTTTCCTTTGCTTGTTTTGTATATAGTCATCTCTTGGTATCCACAGAGGATTGATTCCAGGACCCCTACAGATATCAAAATCCACAGATGCCCAAGTCCCTGTTATAACATGGCATAGTATTTGCATATAAGCTATGCACATGCTCCTGTACACTTTAAATCATCTCTAGATTACTTACGATACCTACTTCGATGTAAATACTATGTAAATAGCTGTTATACTATTTTTTAATTTGTATTATTTTTATTATGGTATTGTTATTTTTATTGGGGTTTTCCCAAATAGTTTCAATCCACAGTTGGTTGAATCTGCAGATGCAGAACTTCCAGCTACAAAGGACTAACTATTTACCTCCAACTCAAGATGTTCACCACCCACTCCCACCACTTAAACTGGCCCCAGTATTCTTTACCTCAGGGTATGGAACCACAATCTACCTAGATGCCTAAATCTGGAACACTGAAGCCATATTCTAGACCCTTCCTTCTCAATTACCATCCTTCCACCTTCCCCCAATTAAGTAACTAAGTACATCTAGCTCCACCCCCGCCCCCCCAATACAGCTTCAGATGTGCAAATCTGATCATACTTAAATTCTTCCATATTCCTCATGGTTTTCAAGACAAAATTCAAACTGCTATCACATAAGGCTCTTCATGATCTAGCCTCTTGAGTCTCATCTCCCATCATGCCCCTTCTCTGACATAGACTCTCCACTCCAACCACATAAAATCACATGTATTTCTACAAATGGCTATGCTGTCATGTTTTCATATATTCTATTTATAGATAGATGTATTTTATACATTCTATTTTATTTATAGATCGCAGAATGTATAAAATACATTATACATATATTTTATATACATTATATTATATATTATATATATTTTATAAATACATTTTATATATACATTATATATACATTTTATATATGAAATATATAAAATATATTTTATATATACATTTTATATATGAAATATATAAAATATATTTTATATATACATTTTATATATGAAATATATAAAATATATTTTATATATACATTTTATATATGAAATATATAAAATATATTTTATATATACATTTTATATATGAAATATATAAAATATATTTTATATATACATTTTATATATGAAATATATAAAATATATTTTATATATACATTTTATATATGAAATATATAAAATATATTTTATATATACATTTTATATATGAAATATATAAAATATATTTTATATATACATTTTATATATGAAATATATAAAATATATTTTATATATACATTTTATATATGAAATATATAAAATATATTTTATATACACATTTTATATATGAAATATATAAAATATATTTTATATACACATTTTATATATGAAATATATAAAATATATTTTATATACACATTTCATATATAAAATGTATTTTATATACACATTTCATGTATAAAATGTATTTTATATACACATTTCATGTATAAAATGTATTTTATATACACATTTCATGTATAAAATGTATTTTATATACACATTTCATGTATAAAATGTATTTTATATACACATTTCATGTATAAAATGTATTTTATATACACATTTCATGTATAAAATGTATTTTATATACACATTTCATGTATAAAATGTATTTTATATACACATTTCATGTATAAAATGTATTTTATATACACATTTCATGTATAAAATGTATTTTATATACACATTTCATGTATAAAATGTATTTTATATACACATTTCATGTATAAAATGTATTTTATATACACATTTCATGTATAAAATGTATTTTATATACACATTTCATGTATAAAATGTATTTTATATACACATTTCATGTATAAAATGTATTTTATATACACATTTCATGTATAAAATGTATTTTATATACACATTTCATGTATAAAATGTATTTTATATACACATTTCATGTATAAAATGTATTTTATATACACATTTCATGTATAAAATGTATTTTATATACACATTTCATGTATAAAATGTATTTTATATACACATTTCATGTATAAAATGTATTTTATATACACATTTCATGTATAAAATGTATTTTATATATACATTTCATGTATAAAATATATAAAATATATTTTATAAAAATATTGCATAGCTTATATGCAAATACTATGCCATGTTATAACAGGCACTTGGGCATCTGTAGATTTTGGTATTTTATAAAATATATTTTATTTTAAATATATTTTGGCATTTTATAAAATACATTATAAAATGTATTTTATACATTCTTTTATCTATATGGTCCATTCAATCCCATTCCCACTTTATTGCTGGTCTTTTTCATTTCATTTTAATTACATGATATTCTAATCCTATCCTTTAAATTTTCTATGTATCATATGTAAAATGCAGCCTACACATTTAAATATTCATTCTCAACCTATTTAATATTACAAAATACAAGCAATTCATCCACTATGCTTAGGTAAAATTATCAACTCCAGAACTGTCTTATTTTAGTAATGAGTAAGTCTGTAATTAAATGAGATTAACAGTTCTTCACTGACATCTATTTATTACCTATTTATCATATTCCAGACACTAAGGGGGGTACGAAAATGAACAAGAAAGGTTCCTGACCTCAATCTAATGTGATAGGGTGACAAAAATACTACTGTAATGCTATAAAGACATACATATATGGGTGTGTATATATATATTTATATAATTTCTATGAGAACAAAGAGGAATAAATAACTCACTTAAGTAGTTACAAAAGAATTAGAACAAGCTCTAAATAAAACGAGCTCCTGAAGGAAGCACTAAACATGGAAAGGAACAACCGGTACCAGCCACTGCAAAAACATGCCAAATTGTAAAGACCATCGAGGCTAGGAAGAAACTTCATCAACTAACGAGCAAAATAACCAGCTAACATCATAATGACAGGATCAAATTTACACATAACAACATTAACCTTAAACGTAAATGGCCTAAATGCTCCAATTAAAAGACACAGACTGGCAAATTGGATAAAGAGTCAAGACCCATCAGTGTGCTGTATTCAGGAAACCCAACTCATATGCAGAGACACACATGGACTCAAAATAAAGGGATGGAGGAAGATCTACCAAGCAAATGGAAAACAAAAAAAGGCAGGGGTTGCAATCCTAGTCTCTGATAAAACAGACTTTAAACCAACAAAGATCAAAAGAGACAAGGCCATTACATAATGGTAAAGGGATCAGTTCAACAAGAAGAGCTAACTATCCTAAATATATATGCACCCAATACAGGAGCACCCAGATTCATAAAGCAAGTCCTTAGAGACCTACAAAGAGACTTAGACTTCCACACAATAATAATGGGAGACTTTAACACCCCACTGTCAACATTAGACAGATCAATGAGACAGAAGGTTAACAAGGATATCCAGGAATTGAACTCAGCTCTGCACCAAGTGGACCTAATAGACATCTACAGAACTCTCCACCCCAAATCATCAGAATATACACTCTTCTCAGCACCACACTGCACTTATTCCAAAATTGACCACACAGTTGGAAGTAAAGCACTCCTCAGCAAATGTAAAAGAATAGAAATTATAACAAACTATCTCTCAGACCACAGTGCAATCAACCTGGAACTCGGGATCAAGAAACTCACTCAAAACCGCTCAACTACATGGAAACTGAACAACCTGCTCCTGTATGACTACTGGGTACATAATGAAATGAAGGCAGAAATAAAGATGTTCTTTGAAACCAACGAGAACAAAGACACAACATACCAGAATCTCTGGGACATATTTAAAGCAGTGTGTAGAGGGAAATTTACAGCACTAAATGCCCACAAGAGAAAGCAGGAAAGATCTAAAATTGACACCCTAACATCACAATTAAAAGAACTAGAGAAGCAAGAGCAATCACATTCAAAAGCTAGCAGAAGGCAAGAAATAACTAAGATCAGAGAAGAACTGAAGGATATAGAGACACAAAAAAACCCTTCAAAAAATCAATGAATCCAGGAGCTGGTTTTTTGAAAAGATCAACAAAATTGATAGACCGCTAGCAAGACTAATAAAGAAGAAAAGAGAGAAGAATCAAATAGACACAATAAAAAATGATAAAGGGGATATCACCACCGATCCCACAGAAATACAAACTACCATCAGAGAATACTATAAACACCTCTACGCAAATAAACTTGAAAATCTAGAAGAAATGGATAAATTCCTCGACACATACACCCTCCCAAGACTACACCAGGAAGAAGCTGAATCTCTGAATAGATCAATAACAGGCTCTGAAATTGAGGCAATAATTAATAGCTTACCAACCAAAAAAAGTCCAGGACCAGATGGATTCACAGCCAAATTCTACCAGAGGTACAAGGAGGAGCTGGTACCATTCCTTCTGAAACTATTCCAATCAATAGAAAAAGAGGGAATTCTCCCTAACTCATTTTATGAGGCCAGCATCATCCTGATACCAAAGCCGGGCAGAGACACAACAAAAAAAGAGAATTTTAACCAATATCCCTGATGAACATTGATGCAAAAATCCTGAATAAAATACTGGCAAACTGAATCCAGCAGCACATCAAAAAGCTTATCCACCATGATCAAGTGGGCTTCATCCCTGGGATGCAAGACTGGTTCAACATACGCAAATCAATAAACATAATCCAGCATATAAACAGAACCAACGACAAAAACCACACGATTATCTCAATAGATGCAGAAAAGGCCTTTGACAAAATTCAACAACCTTCATGCTAAAAACTCTCAATAAATTAGGTATTGATGGGACGTATCTCAAAATAATAAGAGCTATCTATGACAAACCCACAGCCAATATCATACTGAATGGGCAAAAACTGGAAGCATTCCCTTTGAAAACTGGCACAAGACAGGGATGCCCTCTCTCACCACTCCTATTCAACATAGTGTTGGAAGTTCTGGCCAGGGCAATCAGGCAGAAGAAGGAAATAAAGGGTATTCAATTAGGAAAAGAGGAAGTCAAATTGTCCCTGTTTGCAGATGACATGATTGTATGTCTAGAAAACCCCATCGTCTCAGCCCAAAATCTCCTTAAGCTGATAGGCAACTTCAGCAAAGTCTCAGGATACAAAATCAATGTGCAAAAATCAGAAGCATTCTTATACACCAATAACAGACAAACAGAGAGCCAAATCATGAGTGAACTCCCATTCACAATTGCTTCAAAGAGAATAAAATACCTAGGAATCCAACTTACAAGGGATGTGAAGGACCTCTTCAAGGAGAACCACAAACCACTGCTTAAGGAAATAAAAGAGGATACAAACAAATGGAAGAACATTCCATGCTCATGGGTAGGAAGAATCAATATCGTGAAAATGGCCATACTGCCCAAGGTAATTTATAGATTTTCAATGCCATCCTGATCAAGCTATCAATGACTTTCTTCACAGAATTGGAAAAATCTACTTTAAAGTTCATGTGGAACCAAAAAAGAGCCCACATTGCCAAGTCAATCCTAAGCCAAAAGAACAAAGCTGGAGGCATCATGCTACCTGACTTCAAACTATGCTACAAGGCTACAGTAACCAAAACAGCATGGTACTGGTACCAAAACAGAGATATAGACCAATGGAACAGAACAGAGCCCTCAGAAATAATGCCACATATCTACAACTATCTGATCTTTGACAAACCTGAGAAAAACAAGCAATGGGGAAAGGATTCCCTATTTAATAAATGGTGCTGGGAAAACTGGCTAGCCATATGTAGAAAGATGAAACTGGATCCCTTCCTTACACCTTATACAAAAATTAGTTCAAGATGGATTAAATACTTATATGTTAGACCTAAAACCATAAAAACCGTCAAAGAAAACCTAGGCAATACCATTCAGGACATAGGCATGGGCAAGGAATTTATGTCTAAAACACCAAAAGCAATGGCAACAAAAGCCAAAATAGACAAATGGGATCTAATTAAACTAAAGAGCTTCTGCACAGCAAAAGAAACTACCATCAGAGTGAACAGGCAACCTACAGAATGGGAGAAAATTTTTGCAATCTACTCATCTGACAAAGGGCTAATATCCAGAATCTACAAAGAACTCAAACAAATTTACAAGAAAAAAACAACCCCATCAACAAGTGGGCGAAGGATATGAACAGATACTTCTCAAAAGAAGACATTTATGCAGCCAAAAGACACATGAAAAAATGCTCATCATCACTGGCCATCAGAGAAATGCAAATCAAAACCACAATGAGATACCATCTCACACCAGTTAGAATGATGATCATTAAAAAGTCAGGAAACAACAGGTGCTGGAGAGGATGTGGAGAAATAGGAACACTTTTATGCTATTGGTTGGACTGTAAACTAGTTCAACCATTGTGGAAGTCAGTGTGGCGATTCCTCAGGGATCTAGAACTAGAAATACCATTTGACCCAGCCATCCCATTACTGGGTGTATACCCAAAGGACTATAAATCATGCTGCTATAAAGACACATGCACACGTATGTTCATTGCGGCACTATTCACAAAAGCAAAGACTTGGAACCAACCCAAATGTCCAACAATGAGAGACTAGATTAAGAAAATGTGGCATATATACACCATGGAATACTATGCAGCCATAAAAAATGATGAGTTCATGTCCTTTGTAGGGACATGGATGAAGCTGGAAACCATCATTCTCAGCAAACTATCGCAAGAACAAAAAACCAAACACCGCATGTTCTCACTCATAGGTGGGAATTGAACAATGAGAACACATGGACACAGGAAGGGAAACATCACACACCTGGGCCTGTTGTGGGTTGGGGGGAGGGGAGAGGGATAGCATTAGGAGATATACCTAATGTAAATGACGAGTTAATGGGTGCAGCACACCAACATGGCATATGTATACATATGTAACAAACCTGCACGTTGTGCACCTGTACCCTAAAACTTAAAGTATAATAATAAAAAAAAAACAATGTTTTCTCTCTCAGTAAGATGAAATTTTTTACTTAAGAGTTAGATTAGGATAAAATTCAATCACTATCAAGATAAATTCCTGTTTCTAAACAAGTGACAAGTTTTTGTATTCCTCTGTTGCAAAGCCTCACAGTATAACAGGATGTGGGCATACTTAAATTTTAAGTAAAAATTCTAAGTAGTCAAAAAGGCAAACATTAGAATATTCAGGAAAATCCAGCAATATATGCTCATGAATACAATATAGGTTTGTTGAGTCTAACCATCCCATTTCACAGACGTTCTTTGACCTCTGATTAACAAGAAATGGTTCTTCCTCTAAACTGCTACAAGAGAGAGAAATGAACTTTAATCTTACTAATATGTCTCAGTGTGCTGAGGCTCCTTCCTTCCTTCCCCACTCCCTTCCTCCCTCCCTCCTTCCTTTTCTTTCTTTCTCCCTTCCTTTCTCCCTTCCTTCCTCCCTTTCTTTCTCCCTCCCTCCCTTCCTTCCTTCCTTGTTAAGAGACAGTGTCTTTCTGTGTCGCCTAGGCTGGAACGCAATGGCATGTGATCATACCTCAATGCAGCTTTGAACTCCTGGGCTCAAATGATCCTCTCACCTCAGCCTCTCAAGTAGTAAGACTATAGGCACATGCCACCATGCCTGGCTAATTTTTAATTTTTTTTTTGTAGAGACAGAGGCTCCTATCTCTTGCTCAGGCTGGTCTTGAACTCCTGGCCTCAAGGGATCCTCCTACCTTGGCCTTCCAAAGTGTTGGGATTACAGGCATAAACCACCCTGTCTGGCCATGGGCTCTCTTTTTTATAGCAGCTTGGCCTATTCCTTAACTAATAAGGCAGAAATGGCAATGAATGTACACTACTTTCTGAAAGATATGATACATGAAACTTAAAAATTAGTTTCCAAAATTCACATTTAATATGCTGTAAGGTCTCTTCTTTACTCAATTGCAAAGTAAAATACCAACTCATATAGATGCATAAAAGCAGCTTTGTTATGAGTGTGTCATAACTACTTTAAAATAGCAACCCCATGAATGTTCACCTTAGATTGTTTTCTAGAATCCCCATCACTATGGTAGCCATATACCCCAGTTTGCCCGTTCTAGTTAACACTTGTTGCACAGTGAAATGATCACTAGCATTCCTTTTATTCCATTATTATCCTGGAATAAAATTTTTGAATAGCAAATTATAAGTTCACCCTACCTATCATCTACTTTCTGTTGCCCTTAAAAAAAAAAACCCCAATAATTTGTCTTTTCATTCTGGAGGTCAGTTTCTATCATTTAACATCTTTAATATCTTTAGGAAAAAAAGGTATCCAGTTTTAACTACTCAGTCTCTGAGAGTAATTGGCTAAAAATATTCTTCAATTTTACTATTAATGTACCTCTTCCCCCCTCCCTCACCCCCATATTTGCTGTGAAAGAACACCCTTGCCTTCTTTAGCTCAGAAATTTTTTAAAAAGGACATCGTAGAGGCATCTAGGAGAGGTAGGAAAAATGGACCAATTCTGTATTAATTTTCCATGGTGAATACTTTTTGAGACTATCTCAAGGTAAAAACATAGAATTCAATTTAAGTCTATAAAATAATAAACTGTCCAGGCACAGTGGCTCACACCTGTAATATGAACACTTTGGGAAGCCGAGGCGGGAAGATCACTTGAGGTCAGGAATTCAAGACCAGCTTGGCCAACATGGTGAAACCCCGTCTCTACTAAAAATACAAAAATTAGCTGGGCATGGTGCCGGGCGCCTGTAGTCCCAGCTACCCAGAAGGCTGAAGCAGGAGAATTGCCTGAGCACGAGAAGTAGAGGCTGCAGTGAGCCGAGATGGTGCCACTGCATTCCAGCCTGGGCAAAGAGCAAGACTCTGTCTCAACTTAAAAATATATATATACACACACATATATGTGTATATATATTTATATATTAAAAATATATTTATATATTTAAAATATAATTTCAAAATATATTTAAAATATATATATATAAATTAAAAATAATGAATACTTTTTAACCAACACAACAGAATATATATTTTTAAAAGTGTTCCCTTCAAATAGTCATTTTGAGAAGTTCTATGATATACCACAACTTGAAGCATTTTCAGAATATCTGCTTGGAAACTGTGTTTAAGCCAGTTCAAGATTTACCAAAAAAAAAAAAAATCATTTCACTAACTTATAGACAAGCCTATTTTTACTGCCTTTCCTTTACTAAAATTATTAATTTTGTGAATAATTCTCCATGGCCAAGAGCCCCTTCTCTGTTCTGCATCTCCCTGATAAATCCCTTAGTCTTTTGATGTGCCATCTGCCCCAGTGCTATGTATCAACCATTCCTCTACAGCTCTGAAAGCAGGAACTGATTATTTCGCTCTTTTTCCCCTAGGGGCTGAAGTACAAGACACTCAATTAAGATGTTTGGGATTAATTAATTAATATTCACCAAATATGGATACAAGTTATTTTTGGCTATTTCCAAAAATCAAATTTACCTTCAAAGGAAGATTTGCTACCCTTGGAAATATTTAAAAGAATTGAAGGCGATGCCAGAAAAAGGAGCTCCAAAGATGCTAAACAAATGTTGCATCATTTGCATAAATACATTATCCAACATACACCCTCCTGAGACTGAACCAGGAAGAAAATGAATCCCTGAATAGACCAATAATGAGTTCTGAAATTAAGGCAGTAATAAATAGCCTACCAACCAAAAAAAAAGCCCAGGACCAGATGGATTCACAGCTGAATTTACCAGAGGTACAAAGAAGAGCTAATACCATTCCTACTGAAACTATTCCAAAAAATTGAAAAGGAAAGACTCCTCCTTAATTCATTCTATGAGGCCAGCACCATTCTGATACCTAAACCTGGCAGACATACAACAAAAAAAGAAAAATTCGGGCCAATATCCTTGGTGAACATCGATGGAGAAATCCTTAATAAAATACTGGCAAACTGAATCCAGCAGCACATCAAAAAGCTTATCCACCACGATCAAGCTGGCCTCATCCCTGGGATGCAAGGTTGGTTCAACATATGTGAATCAATAAATGCGACTCATCACATAAACAGAACTAAAGACAAAAACCACATGATTTTCTCAATGGATGAAGAAAAGGCCTTTGATAAAATTCAAAATCCCTTCAGGTTAAAAACTCTCAATAAACTAGGTATTGAAGGAACATACCTCAAAATAATAAGAGCCATATATGACAAATCCACAGCCAATATCATACTGAATGGGTAAAAGCTGGAAGCATTCCCCTTGAAAACCGGCACAAGACAAGAATGCCTTCTCTCACCACTCCTATCAACACAGTATTGGAAGTTCTGGCCAAGGCAATCAGGCAAGAGAAAGAAATAACAGGTATTCAAATAGGAAGACAGGAAGTCAAATTACTTTTGTTTACAGATGACATGATCATATGTCTAGAAAACCCCATTGTCTCAGCCCCAAAGCATCTTAAGCTGATAAGCAACTTCAGCAATGTCTCAGGATACAAAATTAATGTGCAAAAATTGCTAGCATTTCTATACACCAACAACAGGCAAGCAGGGACAAATCATGAATGAACTCCCATTCACAATTGCTAAAAAAGAATAAAATACCTAGAAATACAGCTAACAAGGGAAGTGAAGGACCTCTTCAAGGAGAACTACAAACCACTGCTCAAAGAAATCAGAGAGGACAGAAACAAATGGAAAAGCATTCCATGCTGATAGGAAGAATCAATATCGTTAAAATGGCCATATTACTTAAAGTAATTAATAGATTCAATGCTACACCCACTAAACTATCATTGACATTCTTCACAGAATTAGAAAATCTATTTTAAAATTTATATGGAACCAAAAAAGAGCCTGAATAGCCAAGACAATCCCAAGCAAAAAGAACAAAGCTGAGGCATTACACTACCCAACTTCAAACTATACTACAAGGCTACAGTAACCAAAACAGCACAACACTTGTACAAGAACAGACACATAGATCAATGGAACAGAATAGAGAACTCAGATATAAGACCACACACCCATGACTGATGGTGGCAACTGCTCCAGTCAGCCTGCCATCACTTGCCCAGCAGGGAGGTGTGGCTGGGGCTGCATGCTCCAAGACGCAAGCAGGAGCCCTGCTCTCCTGGGTGAGGCTGCAGCCACCCAAGTTGTAGCTGCAGGTCTGAGCCTCCTTGTGCTTTTGGGGAGCTGGGAGCAGGCAGGAGCCACCACTCCTCAACCCAGATGTGCCTGCCCCTGCTGCCTGGCTTCTCCCTGCTGTCCACAACTGCTCAGATCTTGGAGCAAAGTCAGGCGAGCCTGAGTGTCATTGAACAGCAGTGGGAGGCAGACAGAGTGCCAGGTGGAAGGGGGCGGGTCCCTGGTAAGGTCCCTCCCTCAGGCCAGGGAGGGCCTGTGGGCTGGGGGCTGGGCTGCCAGTCCCATGGACCAGAGTGGAAACTGGTGCCTTTCTCAGGACTGCCCATGGGCCAATCTGCATGCACTTCCTCACCTCTGAGGCCCATAAAACCCTGGGCTCAGCCAGAGCTGAGCAGACAACTGAACTGGATGACTAACTGCAGAAAGGAGCTACCCTCTCTGCTGAGAGTTTCAGAGACCTGCAGAGATCACCAAATGACCTGCCTGCAGAGAAGAACTACCCTCTCCAGGGCCTCCTCTCTGATGAGAGCTGAACACTCGATGGATGACCTGCCTGCCTACAGAGGGGAGCTACCCACTGCGGGTCTCCTCTGAGCAGTTGTAAACCTAAATAAAGCTCTTCTTCGTCTTCTTCACCCTTCATTTGTCTGCATACCTCATTCTACCTCATTCTTCCTGGATGGACAAGAACTCAGGCAAAGGCATAACTGGCCACAGAGGTTTCCAAAAATTGACACCCAAAGATCCCGTAACACAACCATCTGAACTTAACCTGACAAAAACAAGCAATGAGGAAAGGACTTCCTAGTTAATAAATGGTGCTGGAAGAACTGGCTAGCCATATGCAGGAAATTGAAATTGGACCCCTTCCTTACACCACATGCAAAAATTAACTCAAGATGGATTAAAGACTTAAATGTAAAACCCAAAACTATAAAAACCCTAGAAGAAAATCTAGGCAATACCATTCAGGATATAGGCATGGACAAAGATTTCATGACAAAAACGCCAAAAGCAAGTGCAACACAAGCAAAAACTGACAAATGGGATCTAACTAAATTAAAGTGCTTCTGCACTCCAAAATAAACTATAATCAGAGCAAACAGACAACCTATAAAATGGGAGAACATTTTTGCAATCTATCCATCTGATAAAGGTTAATATCCAGAGTCTACAAGAAACTTAAACAAATTTAAAAGAAAACAAACAAACAACCCCATTTAAAAAGTGGGCAAAGGACATAAACAGACAATTCTCAAAAGATGACATACATGCGGCCAATAAACATATGAAAAAAAGCTCAACATCACTGATCATTAAAGAAACGCAAATCAAAACCACAATGAGAAACTATCTCATGCCAGTCAGAATAGCTATTGTTAAAAAGTCAAAAAACAGATGCTGGTGAAGTTGTGGAGAAAAAGGAACATTTTTACACTGCTGGTGGGAGTGTAAATTAGTTCAACCATTGTGGAAGACAGTGTGGCAATTCCTCAAAGACTTAGAGGCAGAAATAAAATTTAACCCAGCAATCCCATTACTGGTATATACCCAGAGGAATATAAGTCATTCTGTTATAAAGATACATGCACACGTATGTTGACTGCAGCACTATCCACAGTAGCAAAGACATGGAATCCATCTAAATGCCCATCATTGATAGACTGGATAAAGAAAATGTGGTACATACATACCATGGAATACTATGCAGTCATAAAAAGGAATGAGATCATATCTTTTGCAGGGAAATGGATGGAGTTGGAAGCCATTATCTTCAGCAAAGTCACACAGGAACAGAAAACAAAATACTGCACGTTCTCTCTTATAAGTGGGAGAGAACATGTGGGACACATGGTGGGGAAGTACACACACTGGGGCCTGTTGGGGGTGGAGTGGGGGGAGGGAGAACATCAGGAAGAATAGCTAACGTATGCTGGGCTTAATACCTAGGTAATGGGATGATCTGTGTGGCAAACCATCATGGTACATGTTTACTTATGTAACAAACCTGCACATTCCTGCACATGTATCCCTGAACTTAAAAGCTGAAGGAAAAAAAGAAAAAAAATACATTGTCTATTTTCCTTAGGCACTAGAGAGCAGTCTTTCGAATATACAAGCTCTGTTATGTTTGTTAAAAGAATGAGTCTTATTGCCCCATGGCCTAGAGCTCCTTAACTAACTGAAATCTTCCAAATAAAGAAAGAAAAAACTCAGTCCAGAGCCAAACTGGCTATTCTTCATCAATATCTGGCCTTAAAAGTGTTCTTACTTTTAAAGACTCTAATTCTTCTCTCCCAGATAAAACTGCCAATCAGTCAGTGTCAAAATGCATCAACCCTGACAAAACCTTTTTTTTTTTTTTTTTTGAGACAGGATCTCACTCTGTCACCCAGGATCTGGGTTTCAGTGGTGTGATCATGGCTCACTGCAGCCTTGACCTCCTGGGCTCAAGCAATTCTCCCACCTCAGCCTCATGAGTAGCTGGGACTACGGGCATGTGCCACAACCCTGGCTGTTTTATTTTTTGTAGAAATGAGGTCTCACTATGTTGCCCAGGCTCGTCTTGAACTCCTGGCCTCAAGTGATCTTCCCACCTCGGCCTCCCAAAGTGCTGGGATTTTGGCGTGAGCCACTGTGCCCAACCCTGACAAAACCTTAATTACTTTATAATCCTTTCCCTAAATTTTTCACTAAACATTTCCCCAAGGCCAGGTAATCCATCTGTAATGATAGCACTTTGGGAGGCTGAGGTGGAAGGATTGCTTGAGTCCAAGAGTTCAAGACCAGCCTGGGCAACATAATGATAACCCATCTCTCCAAAAAAATAAAAAATAAATTAGTCAGGTATGGTGGTACACACCTGTCTTAGTCCTGCTACTCAGGAGGCTGACGTAGGAGGATCACTTGGGCCCAGGAGATCAAGGCTGCGGTATACAGTGAGCCATGATTGTGCCATTGCACTCTAGCCTGTGCAACAGAGGAAGACCCTGTCTCTTAAAGAAAAGTTTCTCTGGCTGGGCGCAGTGGCTCATGCCTGTAATCCCAGAACACTGGGAGGCCAAGGTGGGCAGATCACTTGAGGTCAGGAGTTCCAGACCAGCCTGGCCAACATGGTGAACCCCGTCTCTACTAAAAATACAAAAATTAGCTGGGCATGGTGATGTGCACCTGTAATCCCAGTTACTCGGGAGGCTGAAGCAGGAGAACTGCTTGAACCTGGGAGGCGGAGGTTGCAGTGAGCTGAAATCACGCCACTGCACTCCAGTTTGGGCAACAGAGCAAGACTCCATCTGAAAAAAAAAAAAAAAAAAAAAAAAAAAAAAATTGGCCGGGAGTGGTGGCTCACGCCTGTAATCCCAGCAATTTGAGAGGCCAAGGCGGGTGGGTCATGAGGTCAGGAGATCGAGACCATCCTGGCTAACACGGTGAAACCCCATCTCTACTAAAAATAAAAAAATTACCCAGGCGTGGTGGCGGGTGCCTGTAGTCCCAGCTACTTGGGAGGCTGAGGCAGGAGAATGGTGTGAAGCCGGGAGGTGGAGCTTGCAGTGAGCCGAGATCGTGCCACTGCACTCCAGCCTGGGTGACAGAGCAAGACTCCGTCTCAAAGGAAAAAAAAAAATTTCTCCAAACCTTAGCTTTAAAGGATTTATTATTAAAAACTATACTCTATCCTACTGTAAAAATAGCTTGGGTTTAAGTTTTAACATGACTTCTCTTATAGGAAATTAGAAAAATCTCTAAAGATATATAACTAGGAGAATAAATTTCTATGTATCTTTCCAATTAACTAGACCTGTCCCCCTTTTTACTAACAAACAATATTTCCGGGTATCATGGCAATGCTTGTATAGCTATAAAAATGCCAAAATCAAGTTTCCACGAGACCTAGTTCTATAACCACGGTAAGATTAAAAAAAAAATAAGGCTCAGTAGCTGAACTTAATTAACTTTAAATGAATAAATCATCCAATCACAGATGAATGAGTCTCAAGGGGCAGTAAAAGAAAAATTATCACAGGTAAGGGAGACTGCTCAATATTTAAAGACTTGAAAAAGCATAAGCTAATTATAACTCAGACGTTATAAATGCCATACCTTAAATTTCCATGATCACATAGTAGTGAAATTTAGCTGTTTTCTTACTATTAAGACTATCATGGAACCAGGTTGTACACACAGATTCTTAGGAATTCCCAAATATAAGAGTTAAATTATATGAAAAAGTTACCAGTATTTGTTATTTCCAGTGCTTACACTGAGCAAAAAAACCACCCCATTACCAACCTACCACATCACTGTATGAGTCACCTTAAAACAAGATTTTCCTCCTTTGTTAGAAACAAGACAGTCTTATACCTAGCAACAAGTGATAAGGTACAAGTACGACTTTATTTTCAGTAAAGTCAGCACCTGACAGCACTTGAACAAAAGCATATTACTATTCTTAGAGTTTTATTCTATCATTGTTGTTGTTATTGTTGTTGTTTTTAGAAACGGGGTCTCACTCTGTCACCTAGGGTGGAGTGCACTGGCATGATCACAGCTAACTGCAGCCTCAACCTCTTGGACTCAAGTAGTCCTCCTGCTTCAGCCTCCCAAGTAGCTGGGACTACAGGTGTGTGCCACCACAATTGGTTAATTTTTTTATTTTTTGTAGAGACGAAGTCTTGCTATGTTGCCCAGGCTGGTTTCAAATTCCTGGCCTGAAGCAATCCTCCTCTCACCTTGGCCTCCTAAAGTGCTGGGATTACAGGCTTGAGCCACCATGCCCAGCTCACTGTTATTCTTACTTTTAAATGTTGGATCCTCAAGAAAAATGTTCAGAGGGTACACCCCTGCCCATTGTAACCTATAAAAAAAAATTTCCTTTAAGAAAAGGAAGGCCCTATTTGTCTTCCTGTATGGCAATGCTGCAGATACCTAGGCAATATTTATGCCTTACTCTACATATGATTCATTAATTTGAGCACCACAATCTGACCCAAGCAACTGAATTCCCAAAATAACAAATACACATTTATTCAGAGAGTAAGTGTACAAAGATTATATCATTATATACATAATACTTTTTGTCAATAGTATAAGATCTTCTTAGACATATGTGTCAACACTGTAAAACAGATCATTTGTAACTGTTTATGGTTGCATAAGCTTTGGATGAAAATGGTTAACATCCTTGATGAATGACTCCCAGATGAATTTTATCATTAAGGTTTCCTGACATCTTGCATTCTACTTAATACCACTTTGTCTTTTGAAATCTTTACATCATCAACTTAAAACAAAGCATTATTTTTTGCTTTTGAAATCAAAATATTCATTTGTGTGAATGATATACTTCACAATTCAAACTGAAAAAAAATAAAATTTGCTTATTATTTGTATGGGATTGTGTTAATTTTGGCCCATAAACTTGGAAGCAGTTATGTTAGCATTTTCCCTTGAAATATAATTGATAATTCTATATCCTTATCTCTGAAATGGTGACATTATTCCCTTGGCCATATTCATGTCTTAAAAATCTTGGCTGATGTGGCAGAAAAAAAATCATCATTGATCCATGCTGTTGAAGCCCTGGACAACCTCCATTTCTTCATCCTCAAATATCACATGCTACACCTATGGTAACAGTAACAGTTACCATTTATTGAAGGCTTAAAAGGGCTAGGTGCTATGCTAAGCTGAATATGCGCTGGGTAGAAAATAAACATGAATAAAAATGTAAGTTATATTTTAGTGCACATGATCTTACCTGCCATTCCACTCAACAAGTGTAGGTAACAAAGTAAGCATGAGATGGAAGAAACTGTGCCCCTCAGACAGTCTCAGTTACAGAGTTGTATGCCCAAAACCATTTACTTTGTTCTTTGTGAGGGATTTAAGAGATTTTTTAAGGATAATTTTTACTGTATTTGATTTTTGCCCTATATGCTCACTTTAGAATCCTAAGGTGGGACTTCACTGTATCACACTTGGCCCTCATAAATGACTACGTGAGGTAGTATACAACTATAAGCCCCATTCTACAGAGACGGAAACACCAAGAGAGGTTATGCAACTTGCTTGGCAGAGACAGGATTCCAACTTAGGTTGTTCTGATTCCAAAACCTCTGCACTTAATTACTATGCTATATTGCAATGTTATATATCAATTTTCCAGATAAGAAATGGGAGGCTCAGAAAGATCAAGCAAACTTACCCCCAAAAAACACTGCTAACAAGTCTCTATACCAGGACTTAAACTCAAGCTTTCTAATTTCAACTTCCTTGGCCATATAATAAAATGACTGATAGAAGCTAAGAATCAGTAGTAGAGTAATGAAATGGAAGGAAAATATATTGTTTATAGTGTCTACACATTGGTGACTCACTAGTTAAATCTGGGCCTCAGATATGTTCTGTTTAGCCTTCAAGATATAGTTCTTTAAATCTGTATTAGTTGTTATACAAAGTGTGACAATAGCTATTCCAAACATTCTTATCCCTTGCTGTCACTCAATGATTAAAATGGAAAGCCATATACTTACTTTCCCAGGCTCTATTGCAACTAGAGTAGGCCATGTAACCTAGTTCTGGTAGGAGACTTAAAGAGAAAGCTACTGGGAATGAGCAGTTGGTTTCTGGGAAAATTTTTGCTTCCTAATGAATGGTACAGCCACTGCTGGCACTGTACCTTTTACCCCTTTCTGCAACAAATATGGATGTACTGCCAGAGCTACAATAGCCATCTTTTATGTGGAAAAAAGCAGAAAGATGGGAATCAAATACACTATTAATGGCAAAACAGGAAGATATAAACAACTTAGATCTTTATGGTATTGCTGAGCTAAGTTAGTCCTAGACTATATGTATCTTCAAATTTATTGTTAGATAAACCATATTCCTACTGTTTAAATTTGGTCTTCTGTTACTTACAATCAAAATAATTTCCAGCCAATTCAGTTGCCAACATTTAAAAATCAGAGGATTTCAGACAGGCAGAGTGGCTCACACCTGTAATTTCAGCACTTCGAGAGCCTGAGGTGGGAGAATGGCTTGAAGCCAGGAGTTTGAGACCACCCTGGACAATATAGTGAGACCTCATCTCTACAAAAACTAAGAAAAAATAGCTGGGTATGATGGTATGCAACTATAGTCCTAACTACTACTCAGGAGGCTAAGGTGGGCAGATTGCTTGAGCCCAGGAGTTGAAGGCTGTAGTGAGCTACGATCTTGCCACTACACCCCAGCCTGGGAGACAGAGTGAGATCCTGTCTCTAAAGTCCACCCCTCCCACCAAAAAATATCAAAAGATTTCATATAATCTGCTAATTACTAATGTTTCTCGAGATATAAGACTTTTCTGGCAATACTGGGTCTACACAGAGTCACACTGGCAGCCTCTGAAGACAGAGCTCATAGTCTCCTACTTACCACAGATCCTATTTGGCCAGCTTCACTAATGTATGTCATCTGCCAAATCTTATAGCCACACTTAAATGTACAACTTCCTATATCTCAATCTAAGTCTGGTCTAGAACCCAAGTGGCCACCTGAACACCTAGCATTAAAAAAAAATCTCCAGCCAGGCACAGTGGCTCAGGCCTGTAATCCCAGCACTTTGGGAGGCTGAGGCAGACGGATCACCTAAGGTCGGGAGTTTGAGACCAGCCTGGCCAACATGATGAAAATCCATCTCTACTAAAAATACAAAAATTAGCCGGGTGTGGTGGCACACATCTGTAATCCCAGCCACTTGGGAGGCTGAGGCACGACAATCGCTTGAACCTGGGAGGTGGAGGTTGCAGTGAGCCAAGATCACGGCACTGCACTCCAGCCTGGGCGACAGAGCGAGACGCCATCTCAAAAAAAAAAAAAAAAAAAAAAAAAAAAAAATATATATATATATATATATATATATATATATATATCCAATTTCTACTAAAGATGTAGTAAAGGGCTTTTACACTAGCAAAAGCTCTCCTGAAACTGCCCAAGAGGTAAGCTGTTCTGACCTTTATTCTTGGAGCCAAACTCTGGCAATTATTTAACAGTAAAATGGGCAATTAAAGTAGTCAATTTTCCAGTTATGAAATTCTGTGAACCCCTAGGAAGCAATATTTATGAATAAATCCCAAGATTCCAATAATAAAGAGTCCAAGAAGCTTCCTATATTTCTTTCTTTTTTCTTTTTTTTTTGAGACGGAGTTTCATTCCTATTGCCCAGGCTGGAGTACAATGGCGCAATCTCGGCTCACCGCAACCTCTGCCTCCTGGGTTCAAGTGATTCTCCTGCCTCAGCCTCCTGAGTAGCTGGGATTACAGGCAAGCACCACCACGCCGGCCTAATTTTGTATTTTTAGTAGAGACGGGATTTCTCCACGTTGGTCAGGCTGGTCTTGAACTCCCGACCTCAGGTGATCCGCCCGCCTCAGCCTCCCAAAGTGCTGGAATTACAGGCATGAGCCACCGCTCCCGGCCAGCTTCCTATATTTCTTACATAGAAGTGGCAAGGCAATATAAAACCACAGCATCTAAAATCCCCCAAGCAAGAAAATAAGGTTGTCATTTGGTAGTCTCAGTAGCAAAGTAAGCTTGTACCACCACTGCACAGTCCTAGTGAAGGGTTTAGGATTCCTGTATCCAAAGCTATCTTACAAGTGTATATCTTATATCTTATATACAAAGCAGACCTTACAAGTCACAGTTGAGGTGATGTTCTGAGACATTTCAAGGAGACTGTCATTTAGGATAAACTGCTTGACTTTCACTACAAGCAGTTTCAAGAAATGACACACCTATCTCGACTGCCAAAAGACTATTTCTGGCCAGGTGTGGTGGCTCACACCTGTAATCCCAACACTTTGGGAGTACAAGGCAGGAGAATTGCTTAAGCCAGGAGTTTGAGACCAACCTGGGCAACACAGCGAGACCATGTCTCTAAAAAAATAATAATAAAAAAAGTAGGCAGGTGTGGTGGTACGCACCTGTAGTCCCAGCTATTTGGCAGGCTGAGGTGGTAGGATGGCTTGAGCCCAGGGGGTTGAGGTGAGCTATGATCATACCACTGCACTCCAGCCTGGGTGACAGAGAGAGACCCTGTCTGAAAAAAAAAAAAAAAACAAACAAAAAACCCCAAAGAGTATTTCTTGTCAGTTCTTCAAACAAACATTAATAATTTAAATGAAGAGCCAATTATTTTAAAATCATTCAACTGTGCCCAATGAGCATTAAATGAGGATGCAAATGTCCAATGTAAAAGTTCATTGCATCTCTATCTAAAAAGAATTTTAATAGCTTTAATGGTAGCTGTAGATAACAACAAACAACAGTTCTATCTTCAAATATACTTCATTACACATGACTTCATTACCATTACCAAGATGGTCATGCCACTTTCAATCTAAGGTGTACTGTATACAACTTCTCATAAAATAACACGAGAGAAATATATATTTGACAAATATATATTTGCAACCATAAACAGTTACAAATGATCTGTTTTACCTAACCAAACTTCCTTTACAGTCAATACAGTTTCCTTTAAAATTTAATAGAAAACCATGGAATCAGCATAAAAATGCTCAGAGTTGTGAAAGTTTCAGTTTGTATAGACAGGTCAAGAAGACAAATTAGCATATTATGTTCACAGAAAACTCAGTGTCATTTTTTTCAGTACTCAAAGAAGAAATAGGTTGTTTCTATTTTTTGATAGGATTCAATAAAAACTGTAATCTTAAAGCAACCAAAGCTTGAACCAAAGATCTCTTGTTATATTATATGTGAGTTCATTCACATGTTCTCCTATTGTTGCTTCAGACACTTATAGAAAAAGCACATTCAGTTGCTTTGGAAATGCATCTAAGAGCAGCATTCAATTTCAACTGCCAACTGCTCGTAATAGCTGGATTAGACAGATCATTCTTCTCACCTATTGTTTCCCTTTACAAAGATATATTTAAACCCATGAATACACTCAGTGTCTTTGGATCTCCATATTTTAAAAAAAATCTGGCAATTTCTATTTTGCCACATGATTTATAGTCTCAATCACTAAAAATACCAACACATTCATTCTATGATTTGACTATACAAACTAAAGTGACCACTTGCAACGATCTGTCCCACTATATTGAAAAACAGTCAATGGATTAATATGCTGCTAAGCATAGCCTATTAAATTGATAAACTTTCAAGGGAAGAAGAATTTTAAAGATTACAGTTGGATTAATCATTCTGTATGGTGCTCCAGGGTCATCACAAAATCAAACACAAAAGACTTTGCTGTGGAAATTGGCAACTAAAACAAAGATTCTCTAATTAAAAAAAAATGAAGCCATTATGAAATAACAAAAATTTATTTTTTTAAATTTTTTATATATATATTTTTATTATACTTTAAGTTCTAGGGTACATGTGCACAATGTGCAGGTTTGTTACATATGTATACATGTGCCATGTTGGTGTGCTGCACCCATTAACTCGTCATTTACATTAGGTATATCTCCTAATGCTATCCCTCCCCCCTCCCCCCACCCCACAACATGCCCCAGTGTGTGATGTTCCCCTTTCTGTGTCCAAGTGTTCTCATGAAATAACAAAAATTTAAAAAGCGATAAAGAGAAATTAAACTCTGAAATAGGCTTTCCATGTGAATTACATTGTCATAAAAAAAATAACTTCCCCACCAAATTTGTTATAATGAAAAAATTGCTTAATAACCAAATAGCAACCCTAAATCACCATCATTATAAAAATGACTAATACTTTGTGAATACATGTTTATTTGGTGCCAGGCATGGTGCTAATGCACTCCCTGGCTTAACACTAACAATATTTTTGTGAAAGAAGTACCATATTGCCCCTATTTTACAGGTGGGCAAACCAAAGCATAGAGCAGTTAAGTGACTTGTCTAAGTCTAGCAAATTATAAACTCAGGATTCAAATTTAAGCAGACAGTTTTCCAGACCCTGTACTGCCACTGCATCATGTTGTTAAAGATTTTTTTTTTCTTTCTTTTTTTTTTTTTTTGAGACAGAGTCTTGCTCTGTCACCCAGGCTGGAGTGCAGTGGCGTGACTCACTGCAACCTTGGCCTCCCAGGCTCAAGTGATACTCGTGCCTCAGCCTCCAGAGTAGCTGGGATAACAGGCGTGCACCACCATGCCCAGCTAATGTTATAGGTATTTTTGAAGTCCTAAGGAGAGAAATAAAAATACTTTTAGGGCTTCTCCACCCTCATAAGGTTTATGTTAGGATAACTGGCAGGTAACATTTTTATTCTAAATCACAATCACTTTATCAAACTCCAAAGAATCAATGAGCTTCCTTAATAGATTAAGATAATGTACTACAAGATGCTAACACGTGGTTTATCCTAATACTTGCCTGAGATGTGCTAAATATTGTAATTATGAAGAAAAGGCTATCTCAAATTCCTACTGTTTCTATTTGTGTCTGATGGAACAATAGGAGAATCACTGCTCCAATCAGCAAGCTGCATGGAGGTGTCTTCTTTAACTTCAATAAATATAATTTCTTACATTTCCTGATCTGTCTGTAGCAGTAAAAAAAAAAAAAAAGGGTTTGTCAGGTTTTTCCCTTTTTCTTTAAGTGAGGAAAAGTACAGAGGTGGGAGAGCAAAGAATAGGTGAGGGGCAAATACCCACAAACACACACTTTCCAAACATAGAAGTTTCAAATCTGGCTGCCATGTCTTAGATAACAGTATCTTATAATAATCATTCAGTAGAAAAAAAAACTGGCTTCTAATTATAAATGAAACTGAAAGGAATTAATATCTAGAAGGAAAAAATTTATCTCATTTTGCTAACTGCAAAGATATTTTGCTCTTCCATCTTTTCCAATTTAGTTTTTTCCAAATTCCCTGACCATTATCCCCTTTGGAACTGATGTTTTCTTCACATGTACACATTTGGTTTGTGCCTTTCCCACTGCTCACCATACGAGGCAATTAAACATGCTTAGTTTATAGCTGCCTTCCCCACCAGTCTTGTAAATTTGAAGGCAAAGGTAATGCCTTATATCATCCCTCAGTGTTTGAGAAGGCTCTCAACAAACTTCTGCTGAACTGCCTTCATATCAAGTACTAAGGCAGGAGCAGCAAAATGACACAAATTGCAATGATTCAAACTATGGCAGGGCAAATCTAAAACTAAATGATTAAAAAATAGAATAAATCCCATCCTGGCTAACATGGTGAAACCCCATCTCTACTGAAAAATACAAAAAATTAGCAAGGCATGGTGGCGGATGCCTGTAATACCAGCTACTCGGGAGGCTGAGGCAGAAGAATCACTTGAACTCAGGAAGCGGAGGTTGCAGTGAGCCGAGATTGCGCCACTGCACTCCAGCCTGGGCGACAGAGCAAGATTCCATCTCAAAAATAAATAAATAAATAAATTTTAAAAATAGACTAAATCAGGCCAGGTGCATATGGCTCATGCCTGTAATCCCGGCACTTTGGGAGGCTGAGGTGGGAGGACTGCTTGAGCCCATGAGTTTGAGACCAGCCTAGGCAACAAAGTGAGATCCCCATCTCTACAAAAAATAAAAAAAATTAGCTGGGCATGGTGGCGTGAGCATCTGTGATCCCAGGTACATAGGAGGCTGAGGCAGAAGAATCCCACTTGAGCCCAGGAGGTTGAGGCTGGAGTGAGCTGTGTTTGTACCACTGCATTCCAGGCTGGGTGACAGATGGAGATCCTGTCTCAAATAATCAATCAATCAATCAAACAGTACTTTGATTGACACTGAGAAGGTAACACCTAAGGGCAGGGGGGTGGAATTTAGTAGTTGCTTTCTGACTCTGACAAAGTTCAAATCCCAGCTCTGCCATTTCTAGCTGGGGGAGTCTAGACACCTCCCTGAGACTCAGTTTCTTCATCTGTAAATTGAGAACAATAATAGTACTACTTCCAATGGTTATTGTGATGCCTATTTAGTGCTGAACCCAGTGTCTACAATCACAAATTTGCACAGTCACTTTAAAGAAAAGCCAACTGTATTCAAGGTAAAAATAAGGGTGCAGATGTTAAAATTCAGAAGAAATTATCTTTACTTCTCCAGCCTTATTTTCTGCACTTTACATGGCATCAGCACTGTACTGCCTGTGGTTCCCAGCATATATCATGCTATTTGTAGCCCTGTGCCTTAAGTTCTTGCTTAATAATGTTTCTTTTGACTGGGCACTGTGGCTCACGCCTGTAATCCCAACACTTTGGGAGGCTGAGGTGGGCAGATCACTTGAGGTCAGGAGTTCAAGACCAGCTTGGCCAACATGGCGAAACCCTATCTCTACTAAAAATACAAAAATTAGCCAGGTGTGGTGGCCTGTGCCTGTAGTCCCAGCTACTCGGGAGGCTGAGGCAGAAGAATCACTTGAACCCGGGAGGCGGAGGTTGCAGTGAGCCAAGATCGTGCCACTGCACTCCAGCCTGAGCGACAGAACGAGACCGTCTCAAATAAAAAAAAAAAAAGAATGCTGCTTTCCCTCCTGCCACTCACCCCTAACCCTCTGTTTGCTGACCAATTCCCACTCACTCTTCAAGGCTCAAGTTATAAGTCCTTGCTGGCCTTCTTCCTCTTTCTCAAGGCTTATGTATTTGTGACAACTACACTGTAATCTACTGACCTATTTAATATCAATCTTTCTACTTCTACTGTAAGCTTCCTGAGGTTAGAGACTAACTGGCTGCTGGATTCCCAGCAGTGGTATAAATGAGTAAGTAAATAAATATGTCTCAGACACAAAAAAGGTACTAAATAAGTTTTTCAGAAAATTAAATCAAACAGTTCCATAAAAACTAAGCTGGAACAGAGTATTATCTCTCCCCATCTGTTTCTAAGCACATCCTTTCCCACTCAATAAATGAAGTACTTCCCTCTATCTTTCAGGAAGTCTAGGGAACCATGGGACCTTTCATTACATTTCAGAGCCACGAGTACCTCACCAGACTTTACCTTGAGAGGAAAATGAGGGGCACTGTGATCAGTAGCTTTGCTGCTCAGATGGGCAAGAAAATGCAGGGTAGTTTATAAAGGTATCTGAAGAGAACTCAGTGCTGAGAAACAAAGGAAGGGAATGTATGAGATCACCTGCACAAAATAGCACTCACTAAATACTTCTGATTAACAAGATTCTTAAGGTTTTACTCATGTACATCCAGCCTCTGGCATATTTCAGGTTGGGCAAAGGGGCTCATCAAGAATTACACTTTTTTTTTTTTTAATTGGAAATACTTTCCCTACTACTAGGTTTACTGAATGGAAAAACTACAGCTAGGTGTTTTTTTTTTTTAATGGATTAACAAATAAACATAAAACATGGACATGTGAATAGCTTCAAAAGGCTAGGCACTGCTGCAGACAACACTACAGCAGGCATTTAATGGAAAAACAGTAAATCTTAAGCTGCTGAAACCAGGAGTGATTTATTTATTTATTTATTTTCTGAGACGGAGTTTCCCTCTTGTTGCCCAGGCTGGAGTGCAATGGCGTGATCTCAGCTCACCACAACCTCCGCCTCCCAGGTTCAAACCATTCTGCCTCAGCCTCCCGAGTAGCTGGGATTACAGGCATGCGCCACCACACTCAGCTAATTTTGTATTGTTAGTAGAGACAGGGTTTCTCCATGTTGGTCAGGCTGGTCTCGAACTGCCGACCTTATCTGCCCACCTCAGCCTCCCAAAGTGCTGGGATTACAGGCATGAGCCACCGCGCCCAGCTATCAGGAGTGATATTTAATGGTGAAACCTAGGAAGGCAGTGCTGCACAGTGTCTTTTTCAGCGTGAGCATAATCTAGAAACTGCTCCCTCTCACTTAAAGCCGGATAGGAAAGATGAGAAACCTGAAGATACTTTTTGAGGACCAAAGGCCTTCTCTTTTTCTGGGCTTCCCAGGTACTTGAGTGAAAATTCAAAATGTAAGCTAGTTTAAAGTTTATTTTCTATGCATGCAATTTAATAAATACTAAGTAATATATGCTAAACTAACTAAATTCCTATGAGACTTGCAATGGAACTTCTATGGAACACCTTATACCTGAATTAAGTATTTGGGAATTTAGTACTTCCCAAGGAGGAGTTCCACACCATTGGAAAAAAGGAGTGACTGTTTCATATAATGAACTAAGAAAAGCTGCTATTTGGAATAAAATAAACATAATCCTTACTTCACATCATGTAGTAAAATTAATTTCAGACAATTAAAAGATATAAAAATAATACTATAAATAGCTTTAAAACATATAGGTCTAAATTTTTTCAATAAGTAGAATATTTCTATCCTTATTGACGGAAAAGTGAACTAAGAAAAATAATTTTAAAAACCCACACACAAGACTGGATTGATGGCATTAAAATTTTGTAAATGTCTGTATATACAAATGAATGAAATAAACAAAACAAAATGGCAAATGAAAAACCAGAGGAAAATTTGCAACATAACAGAAAAAGGTTAATATTCTTAGTATATAAAGAATACTTACACATCAATATGAAAAAGTAAATAGCCATGAAGAAAGCTGGGCAAAGAACATGAACGATTTACAAAACAAGGAATATATAATAAAACATATAATAGTAAATATTTGAAAAAATGTTTAGCCTCTAATTTTTAAAAATGTAAATTAAAACAACAATAAAATACTAGTGATTAAGAGAAGGGGTTGTGAGGTCAGACACCAGGCCTATAATCCTGGACAATTCACTTCACTTATCTGAGTCTGTATTTTCTTGGTAAAATCAAGAGAATAACAATGCTTACGCCACAGGAGTGATGTGAAAATTAAGCAACATGAGGCACAAAAGGTACTCAACACAGTGTCTAGTATACAGTAAGTGTTCAATAAATATCCCTATGATGATGATGCTACTTAAGGCTGTGAGACTACACTTAAACATTTTTATACAATGCTTGTAAACAAAGATTGATTCAACCTTTCTGCTGGATAATTTGGCAACATGTATCAAAAGTCTTAAAAGTGATCATATCCTTTGGGCTTCTCAAGATATCTGTCTATGCTTAAAAACAGTAGAAGAACTCAAAATAGAAGATTGCTAAATATGACTATATCTGTTGATCATCCATTGATCCATGTGTCAAATACTTTTTTTTTTTAAGAGGGAGTTTCATTCTTATTGCCCAGGCTGGAGTGCTATGGCGAGGTCTTGGCTCACTGCAACCTCTGCCTCCCGGGTTCAAGCGATTCTCCTGCCTCAGTAGGAGTAGCTGGGATTACAGGCATCCACCACCGCATCTGGCTAATTTTTGTATATTTAGTAGGCTGGTCTCAAACTCCCGACCTCAGGTGATCTGCCTGCCTCAACCTCCCAAAGTGCTGGGATTACAGTAGTGAGCCACCGCGCCCAGCCCCATGCGTCAAATACTTTTGAGCTCTGATAATACAAAAATATGTAAATGACCCAGTCCCTGACTTATAGGTTAGTGGGGGAGATAAGTAATAAAACAAGTACAGTAGAAAGATAAGAGCCACCATGGGTAAGTATAGGGTGCTATGCTGTGCGTAGAAGGAGCACCTACCATGATCTGAGGGGGTGGAGTCAGGGAAGCTTCCCAGAAGAAGTGACATTTAAGCTGAGACCTGAAGGATGAGTAGGAAATAGTTAGGTAGAGAGATGAGGGAAAAGTGTTCCAGGTAAAGGAAACAGCATGTGCAAAAGCCTAAAGACCAAAGGGAGCATGGGCATGTCAGCTTAACTGTGAGCAGTGTGCAAGGCAGGGACTTGGGAAGAGACAGGGCTGAAGAGGTAAGCAAGGCTGGATCATTTAAGGTCTCACTAGCAATTCAAATTATAGACTTTATTCTAAGAATAATACAAACTGAATTAAAAAGCAAATAGTTTGTAACAAATATAATAGTTAATATTTGTAATACATCGAGGGTACACAAACTGAAAAGAATAGCTCATAAAAAGGAAATACGATTGAAGTGAGTGTTGCACAACTCTGTAAATTAATTAAAAATAATTGGATTGTATACTTATTAAAACAGGTACATTTCAGAGTTTGTAGATTATACCTCAAAAAATATATCTTTTCAAAAACTTTAATGTAAATGCCTAATAAGCATTTGAAAAATACGTGACCTAACAATAAAATACAAATCAAACCAACTAGGTACTACCCTTTATCCTAAAAAATTAGTAGTGATTAAAATAAAAATGAAATGAGGCTGGACACATTGGTGTGTGCTTATAATCCCAGCTAATCAGAAGGCTGAAGTGGGAGGATTGCTTGAGCCAAGGAGTTCAAGGCTAGCCTGGGAAATAACAAGACACCAATTCAAAAATGAAAATGAAATGAGAATATCCAGTGTAAATACAGTTAGGAAAAATGAGCATTCTTATACTATGCTAGCTGGAATAAACATTAATTGGAGTAACTTTTCTAGAAAATATATATAACAGAAGTCTTTAAAAAAATTGGGTTTTTTTGACGGAGTCATGCTCTGTTACCCAGGCTGGAGTGCAGTGGCACAATCTTGGCTCACTGCAACCTCTGCCTCCTGGGTTCAAGCAATTCTCCTGCCTCAGCCTCCCAAGTAGCTGGAACGACAGGCATGTACCGCCACACCCAGCTAATTTTTTGTATTTTTAGTAGCGACAGGGTTTCACCATGTTGGCCAGGCTGGTCTCAAACTCCTGACCTTGTGATCCGCCCACCTTGGCCTCCCAAAGTGCTGGGATTACAGGTGTGAGCCACCGTGGCTGGCCTTAAAATTGTTTATACCCTATAATCTAGTAATTGAATTTCTTGAAATCTTAATAAATGTTCCAAACTGAGTCAAATATTTATAGCCAATGATGTTCATTGTAATGTAATTTATAATAGAAAAAAAAGGGCTGGGTGTGGTGACTCACATCTGTAATCCCAGCATTTTGGGAGGCTGTCGTGAGAGGATTGCTTGAGCCCAGGAGTTCAAGACCAGTCTGGGCAACAGGATGAGACCCCATTTCTCCAAAATATAAAATATTTAGCTGGGCATGGTGGTGCATATCTATGGTCCCAGCTTTTTGGTGGGGCTGAGATGGAAGGATCACTTGAGCCCAGGAGGTCAAGGCTTCAGTGAGCTGTGATTGCACCACTACACTCCAGCCTGGGCAACAGAGTGAGATCCTGCCTCAAAAAAAAAAAAAATCCGGGGGCAGGGGGGTTGGAAAAAAACTGAATGCCAACCGATAATGGAATGGAAAGGTTAGAATGAGTTAAAACTACTGAATGGAGCCGGGTGCGGTGGCTCACACCTGTAAGCCTGTAACTTCAGCCAGGCGTGGTGGTGCACGTCTGTAGTCCCAGCTACTTGGGAGGCTGAGAAGGCAGAATCGCTTGAACCCAGGAGGCGGAGGTTGCAGTGAGCTGAGATCATGCCACTACACTCCAGTCTGGGCAACAGACTGAGACTCTGTCTCAAAAAACCAAACCAAAACAAACAAACAAAGACTACTGAATGCAGTGATTTAAATGATATGGCAATACATCTGTGATAGACACCAAACTTCTAAAAAAACAAAGATATGAAATTATATATACAGCAGCACTTCAGCTTTATAAAATAAATGGCACATGTCTTTTTTTATCTTTTCTGTACTTCTCTGTATTTCTGGATTTCCTACAATAGTCATTTCTAGAGTTTATGAAAATTTCTAAAGCTGTCTTCAAAAAATTCAAAGGCATCACTTTTTTTTTCTCTGTCACTGGTGCCTAAATAAGGAAAAGCATCACTTGTGTTTATACTTAATAGAAATCAATTTTGTATTTGCCTTGGCTTTATTTTCTCAAGCTAGGCAGAGAAGTGTGCTATATTTAATCCATATGTACATATAACTCAATAATATTCATTCAGCATCAAGAAATAAAATGTATATGTAAATTGATTTACCCATTAATTAGAACGTGCATCTTAAATGTCAAAACTTTGGTGAAACTTAGATGGACATCTATCTAAAAATATACCACACTCAATCCTGATCGCTTAAATCAAGATTTAAAACAAGAGTAAGCCTTCTTATGATGATTCAGAATCATCATTAGGAACGTATAATAGTAGCTCTCAGGAACTACTGGGTCCTAGAGGGCTATCTGTCCCTATATTAATTAGGCAAGAATTGCTCAATTTTTTTATTATGCCAGGTACTTGTGGGTTTTTTTTTTCCTTTTCCCTTGTGGTGAAACCAACAGCTATCCTTTCCCAGCACTATAGGGAACCTGCCTTTAGCAGCACCTGTAATTTTCCATTATTATGTTGCTTTTGGTAATCTAAGAATAAGGAAACTTAATATCCACATTTATAAGATTTATGTATAAAGTAAGAGTTAATAGGCTTCAAACAAAGCTGTCACCTAAAATGGTTTGCACAAACTTAGATGATTCTGTTCTAGGTAGTCAAGGTTGCAATATAAATGATCTCCAAAGAGAGTGTGAGTTCTTGATTGTGCCTCATATCTTGCACCTTTACTCAACTGGCAGTCAAGTCTCTGGAACAGAAACCGCATATGCTGTTTCTCTTATCACATCATGGAAAGAGATATAAACCAGGAGCCAAGGAACTTACTTCTATGCAGTTATTACACCCACAAGTTTTGTCACTTTCAGCCAAGTCTTTAAACTGTGGTACCTGTCCTGCATAATTTTTGGGGCTACTTGAGAATTAAATTAGATCACAAACACACACACCCCAAAAACCACTCTGAAAAGTATAGGGCACTACAGAAAACTAAAATATTATTATAGTATTATACTTTGTTTATTTAACCCTGGATCAATATAGGTATCAATTCAGAAAATTCACACCAGATTGGGGATTGGTGGGAGAATGGGGAGGAGATGATGGTCAAAGGGTACAAAGTTTCCATTAGACAGGAGGAGTAAGTTATGAAGAGCTATTGTACAATATGGTTTCTACAGTCAATAATAATATATTGTAGACTTGAAAATTGTAGCCGGTCACAGTGGCTCATGACTATAATCCCAATTCTTTAGGAGGCTGAGACAGGAGGATCCCTTGACGCCACGAGTTCAAGACCAGCCTGGGCAGCAAGACCCCAAGCAAGTCCCCATCTCTACAAAGAAAAAAAATTAAAATTAGCTGGGCAGTCCCAGATACTCAGGGGGCTGAGGCAGGAGGATCACTTGAGCCCACGAACTTGAGGCTGCAGTGAGCTATGACTGTGCCACTGCACTCCAGCCTGTGCTACAGTGAGACCCCATCTAAAAAAAAAAAAATAAAGGAAAGAAAGAAAATTGCTGTGAGTACATTTTAAATGTTTTCACCACAAAAAAAGCTAACTAGGTGAAGTGATAGATGTTAATTAGCCTGACTTAATTATTCCATAATGTACACATATATCAAAGCATCATGTTGTATATTATAAATGTTTTGTCCATTAAAAGTTAATACATTTTTTAAAATAAAAAAGTTTAAAAAAAGAAAATTTATACCAGAAAGAATCAAAAGAGACAGAGATAATTCTTATATTGCCCTCTAATAATCAGGAAACATCTATTATCTAGGAAGAACAATATCTATCCTAAGAGTTGGCATCTCTGATCCCTCCCTGCAAATCTAATCAGTTCCCAAGTATTTTCCACAACCCCTCACATCTGTCTCTTTCTTTCCTTTACCACTTCAAAATCCCAGTTTGGGCATTTATTACCTCACACCTGGGCTTCTAGAACAGCCTCTCACTGGCTCCACTCATGGCCTCTCTCTCTTTCTCAAAGCCCTCTGGCTCATATCTACTAGATCAATTTTCTTAAAATAGGCCAGGTGTGGTGGCTCATGCCTGTAATCCCAGCACTTTGGGAGGCCAAGGTGGGCAGACGGCTTGAGCCCAGGAGTTTGAGACCAGCCAGGGCAACATGGCGAAACCCCATCTCTACAAAAAAAAAAAAAATACAAAATACAAAAATTAGCCAGGTGTGATGGTGCGTGCCCGTAGTCCCAGCTACTGGGGAAGCTGAGGTGCGAGGATCACTTGAGCCCAAGAGGTGGAGGTTGCAGTGAGCCGAGATTGTGCTGCTGCACTCCAGCCTGAATGGCTGAGTGAGACCTTGTCTCAAAAAAAAAAAAAAAAAATCTTAAAATACCACTGTGATCATTTCTACTCAAAACCTCAGCAGACTCTCCACTACCTTCTCCATCAAGTTCAAACTCCAAACTCCCAAGCTCAGTAGTCCCTGTGCAGCCCTAGCTGCCTCCTCGCCTTTATCTCTTACTACTGTCCCATACAAATCCTTCCTCAAACTGGTCTATTTAATTCCTTCAGATATGCCCTGTACTTTTCTGCCTCTAAGTTTTGGTGTACACAATTTCTCTTCACTTGCAATACTCTCTTCTTCACAGCTTGTCTCTTGGCCTATAGAAATTCAATCCATCCTTCAAGAACTAGTTCGAGAGCCACCTATTAGGCATACTTTTTGATCACCAAGGAGGAAAAGATGGCAGATTCTAAAGTTAGACACATCTGGGTTTGAATTATAACTCCAGTCACTTACTGGCTGAATGACACTGCGCATATTCCTTAATAACTCTGCCTCAGCTTCATCTTTAAGATGGGGATAAGAGCAACTTCCCTAAGGCATACTGTGTAAAGTAAATGAATTAATTCATGTAAAGCGCTTAACATGATGCCTGGCATAGATGAGGACCCAAGAAATGTTAGATATTGTTATACTCTTATTATTAACATTGCCATTAGTGAACTTATCTTAATCTGAATTCAGACAATACTTATGACCATCACAAACTCTTCAGGTACCTACAGTATCATTCCCCTTCTTCTTCTTTTCCCTCTTACCTTATGTTTGTTCTTCCTCCAATGCCCCAGCCCCCCAGATTGCAAGATCCTGATGAACAGGTCAATTTCCTATACATCTTAGTATCTACAATGGTCACTCACACCTAGCATATTGTTTAATGCCTAATGAAACAACACTAAAGAGCTGGCAGTATTAAAATGCCCTGCATCCTATAGTGTAAAAGTATTAACAGCGTACTTAAAGTGATTAATAAAAAAATGTAAATTTCCAGTCTCACAAAATTAAATCTCTTCTTTCATGGTCCTCTAGGTTCTTTTTGCTCTCTATTTTAAAACAAACAACCCAACCTATTCATACAGCAAGAGATAGAACAGCAAAATATATGGAGGTCAGACAGCAGCCAAATGCTAGAGTACAAGGACCTCGAAACAACTCAGCTGAACACAATTCTGGATGAAGTCCAATAGGAAGACAATTTAAAGAGAAAGGAAGCTGGCTTATCAGTTATACTAATGATGCTGATTGTTACACCAGCCTTAGGATTCCTTTGCATTCAGGGCCAAGTATAAACAACTGAAATAACCAGGCTAGTAGATATAGAAATATTAGTGATTTTGCTCAACAACTGAGCTTATTACATGATCAATTTAATTACCTATGTCAAAAGTGACTATTAACATACCTCAAGATTCTAAAGTAACTCAAGTTTTGGCTAATGAAGTCATATCAAGTGTACACGGTCTTACTGTATACTAATCATTCACTTCAAGTAAATTAGTATGATGACAACTTGATATACATATATTATCATAGCATAAGCTATTTTCAACAGTGCCCAAGGAAAATAAATGTTACTATAGTACTGATTTCTAGTTTATTTGCATGACTCTACTAACTTTCAATCGATTTCTTCAAAATCAGGCCTAGTAACCACAAACCAAAGAGTTTACTAGTGGAGTGAATTAAGAAGGTTTGATGGTATGTTAATGACTTTCCAAAAACTAGCATAAAGTACTACACATAAGAATAAATTATATTAAAGATTTATTCCTATGATACTTGTCTTCAGATGACCCTAAAATGTTTTACCAGCTTTGAAGTACAAGTATTCTCAAATCACAAAATCTTAGATTAGAAATAGTCTTAGAAGTCCCCCACTGCAGGAATTCTTTATACCACCTCCCAGGCAAAATGTTCTCCAGCCTTTGCTTGAATATTTCCAGCAATGTGCACTCACTATTTTGCAAGGCAGTGCACTCCACTGTTACAAATTCTTCCTTACAATCACTGGAAATCTGCCTCCCTGAACCAAGAATCCCAGTTCTGCTCTCTGAAACAACACAAGATATATAACCTTTGAAATAAAATCACTTATTAAGATATAGTTGTCAATTTCATCACACAAAATGCAATTAAAGCTCAGAAAAGAAGAAACCACAACCATACACAACAAAACTTTGAAATTCAGGAAATTATACTGAAATGACAAGCCAGCAAATTTCAGGATATCAAAGCTCACACCTCAGTTAACATACAAATATTAAGGGTAACCTGATGATTTTTTTACAGTGGAAAGTGGTACAGTGTTTATTAAATACCTTTTTTTGCAACCTGATACTACCAAATCCACCAACACCGTTTTTAAAATTACAGTTCTGTAGGAAGTTCAAGGTGGTTTTCCCAGTTGCTCGCATTTTCACTCAGTTTATTTCTCTCTAAAACATCTGGATGTTGGTTTTTTAAAGCCCATTTGCCCCACTGGTGCAATATATTGTTTTTAAAAATAAATATTTTCAAAAATGGAGCCTAAGAGAATGGAGTGTAAACGAATGGGGGTGGGGCGAGGAGAGAAGGCAAAGACGGGCCCAGCGGGGAAAGGCTGGTTACTGGGTATTTTCCTTCTGAGAGCATGCTTTATTGGCATAGGCATCTGAGGTAACGAGCCATACAAACACGACCTTAGAACAAGAATGATCACGAGCAATGAGTGTAAGGCATAAATATCTGTAAGACGGAAATAATTTGACACTGATCACTAAGCAGCACCAGATGCTTCGGGACCTCATAAAGGAAAGGTAAGAGGTCCAGGAAACAGAGATCATTGCTACCCTCTGGGGTGGGGGGCAGGCGGGAGAAACCAAGGAATAACTACGGTTGGGCAGTTCAAAGCCTGAACAGTACAGAGCAAAAGAAAGCCAGCAAGTGACTAGGGGAAGGCACACACCCTGGCGAGTACGAAGAAGGGTGTGCAGTGTGCAAATACTGAACAGGTCTATGAAATGGTGTGGGTAAGAGATGTGGGTGTGGGTAAGGGGCAACGCAGGAGGCTCACGGTCCCCTCCCTGCAGCAGAGCAACAGAGGGTAAAAGAAGGGGGAGGGTGAAAAGCAAGAATGACTCATTACCAAAAGGAAGTGCTCAAGCCATAGGGAGGCATGCCACAGGGGATTTCAGGGCGAGGATTGTGAGGAGCTAGGTGCTCAGGGTGATGGGGGCAAAAATCAACGTCTTGTAGTTCCTGCTGCTAGTCTTTAACATGGGGGTGTGGGGGGGTTCGCGGCAGCCGAGTGCCAAGGCCTGGGAAGCGGCGCGGCGCGTGCGCAGTGGCGTTCGGCGGGACCCGCTGAGGCAAAGCGGAGCCGCAGTGACAGAAGCAAGCGGAGCGGCCGCCAGGAAGGACTCACCGAGGCGCAGGGGCTGGAGGTGGTGCTGGGGGTAGGTGACCGCTGGACCGTGACCAAAGCCATCTAGGCGCTGCTGGGTTGTTCCGGGCAGGGCATTCTTGTCCTGAGTGTGGGGGACGGGAGGGTGACGGAGCCGGGATGGGGAAAGGGGTGCGGGGTGGGGGTGAAGGGAACGGGGAGGAGGAGGAGGCCGCGGGAACGGCCGCAGACTCCGCACCCACCACCAGACTGTCGCCGACTGACGCTCCGAACGGGCGGCGGGCGGGCGGTTCCGCAGCTGCGGGGCACAATGAGCGCTCCCAGTGCGCAGGCGCCACCTGTCAGCTACCGCCTCTCCCCTCGGCGCGCGCCGCCGCCTGGTCGTAACCCTTGAGTTGCCGGAAGCTGGCCGAGTGCGTGCGCCTCGGGCCGCCGCACCCTCCTGGGTTTCCTCCTTCGTGCTGGAATCGCGCGGTTTGCCAGCACTGGGTGCTGTGGAGTGGGGTGGGGGAAGGGGCCGAAGGGAGCCAGCCCGGTGAGGGGTCCCAGGGCGGGGGGCCGCTGGAGTCTTCACTCCTGAGAGACAACCATTTTATGAGGTGGGGCGGCGCACAGCTTAACCAACCTTAAAAAAAAGCAGCTGAGATGAAAATCCTGAAGCAAACACGTTTTCTATTGGGAAAGGGCTCCGCGGAGTTTCAAACCCTCTCACTGGGCGCAGACAGAACTGGGCTAGACCAGTTTACTCCCTTCACCCCGGCTCTCGGGGGCTTTTTCTTAACTTTTCCCCCCCTTCCGTCTATGTTTTATGATGAGACTTCTGGAAAGAAAACCATTTTCCGTTTGATACCCTGGAAAGGTTTGTGGTACCCTCATGCTTCCTCTATTGCCTGTCTAAAGACTTATTCATTATTCCTGAGGAGAAGAGAAGCTGAGCGCGCCTGGGAGTCCGAGGAAGCCGGTTGTGAGGGTCCAGCCTGCTATTGACCTCTCACTTGCCTCCTGCTGTGAAGACAGTCTTTTAATTAAACAGGATTTGCTCGTTAAGCTTTCTTCTCCTTCGTCTCTAAATGTCATTCTTTCATAGACCTATGTAAAAATGTAGATTAAAAGATATTTTAAGGGAATGGTTTTCTCAGGGGTAAATTGTCTGCAGAACATAAGCAAAGAATGTAATGGAAAATCAAGATTAAAAAGGAAAAAAATTGCACAATGCAAATATCACTGATTATTTACACAAAGAAAGAGAGTTGACAAGGCTATTTCTCAGCTTGAGTGGATGAGCTGGTAAATACCACCGTACATATCAAAGCTGTAGAAAACACACACACTTGGGAGTTTGCAGTTATTAAAACCCACCCCCTCCTGTTTGTCACTCAAACACTCTTGGATCTCATTGCTTCTTTTAAACTGACAGGGCTGTCATGAGCTCTTTCTGGCTGCTGTACGGTTAAACGCCACAAGAGTCCTCTGTGCTGAGCCTTTGTTCTCTCCCTGGGGCCCTGTGGTTGAAATAATTAGCAGGGAGGTTCCATCAAGAATCAGACACTGAGGGTCCCTGTACTGTACAGTCCTATGTAGAGTGTAGTGCAGAGAAGCCAGCTGGTAGGCTTTTGCCCCCTGGTGGTGATCAGGAGTGCCTGTGAGACAAAATTAAACAAAGATGTATGGTTCACAGATTAAACAATCTGACTGTGTTTTCCCCAGAGCTCCGTAGTAAACAGGAAAAGAGAAGGCAAGTTTCAGAAGTAAGAACTTTGAACCAATGCATGGGAGACCAAAGAGGAAACTAGATACATAGCCAAAAAATACACATAGCTAGAAGCTGAATGAACTCAAATAAATGAAATATATGTGCTTTATGAACCAAAGTATCATTCTAGAAAAAGTAATATTCAAATCTGTAGGTCTTAGTACTTGTATGTTGATTCTCTGACTCAGGGAGGGCAACAATGATGTTCTACTTTTTCATGGTAACATACTCTTCAGAAATTCTTTTGGAAGATGAAAGGCTTAAGTCCATTAACCTTGCAGTGAGAAAGAGCACTACCATAGGAATCAGAAGACCTGGTTTCTAGTTCCAGCTCTAAAACCTTATGCAAATGGCTTGAACTTTTTGAGCTTTAATTCCTTTATCTCTACAATGGAACCCTAACTGACAAGATTCTTGAGATAATGTATGGTAAAGTTCAGAATAAACTGTAAATAAAGCCCTCTATGCAATTAAGATAACTTTTTTTTTTTTTTTTTTTGAGACGGAGTCTCCCTTTGCCACCCAGGCTGGAGTGCAGTGGTGCAATCTCGGCTCACTGCAACCTCCGCCTCCCGGGTTCAAGCAATTCTCCTGCCTCAGCCTCCCGAGTAGCTGGGATTACAGGGGCCCGCCACCACACCCGGCTAGTTTTTATATTTTTAGTAGGGACGGGGTTTCACCGTATTGGCCAGGCTGGTCTCGAACTCCTGTCCTCAAGTGATCTGCCCACCTCGGCCTCCCAAAGTGCTAGGATTACAGATGTGAGCCACTGTGCCCGGCTTTTTTTTTTTTTTTTTTTTTTTGACACGGATTTTTGCTCTTGTTGCCCAGGCTGGAGTGCAATGGCACCATCTCAGCTCACTGCAACCTCCACCTCCCGGGTTCAAGCTATTCTCCTGTCTCAGCCTCCTGAGTAGCTGGGATTACAGGCATGTGCCACCACGCCCGGCTAATTTTATGTCTTTTTAGTAGATATGGGGGTTTCACCATGTTGGTCAGGCTGGTCTCGAACTCCTGACCCCAGATGATCCACCTGCCTTGGCCTCACAAAGTGCTGGGATTACAGGTGTGAGCCCCCGCACCCGGCCATCATTCTTTTTCTTAATAGTAGAAGTAGATTAGTGGTCAAGACATGTTTCATCTGTAGGTAAGTGTGGAACATTTTTGTTCCACATATCTAAGGTGATAAAATCCTGATCAAAATTGAATTATGGGATGACAAAATTCACATTGTTTGTATCAGGAAGTTAATTTATTAATTTTCAGGGGAAATATCTCTTCCTGGTATATACCTTTTAAGGAAACTAAGATTTGGAAATTATTGGTGCATGTTCATTAATTTATTTACTAATAATTGAGAAAATATTTATTGAATGTGTATCATATACTAGACACTGCTTTAAGAACAAGACAAATGTTTATCTACCTCTTAGGGGCTCAAAGCCAATTAGTAGGGGAAAACACATCAACAAATAATTAGAGCGTAGCTTAGTGGTACCATGGCTTCTGTCACCTCGGCTAGGCGCGAAAGGAGGTATGTAGAAATATAGAAGAAGTCTATATACGTACAAAGTTCTATAGAAACAAAGGAGAGAAGGTCTGGGCAAATGTGCTCTTTATGATATTGGCTTTCAGGCTTTGTCTGCAGATCCCAGTACAGTCGCTTTGCGAACGGAGCTGGACCACACTAAGCATTTGATGAAATCTATGCTTTGTGCCCCATTTATACCTAATTTCCCTAGGCTCCACCCTGGTTCCTCCTAGGTCTTCTGGTGAACTGAGAGAGGAGATATCTTCTAATAGAGTGAAGAGCCTAGGATCCTCTTACTATTCTAGCTGAATTTGAGGAGAGAGAGGCCAAGAGCAGGATTCCCAAAAGAGGGAGCCAAAGAGACAAAAGTCCTCCTAGTTCTACTTAGAGCACTTTCACTCTTCCCACCTGCGATGCTGGAGGCCTGGTTGTACCACTGGAGTCCATTTAACCCTTAACTTGTATCAATACTTCTTCCGGGGTGAAATTATAGGGGAGCTTGAAATCTCTGAGGTTAGCTGGTTCTCAAGCTTTGAGAACCTGATGAAAACTATTGACCTTCTCTCCAGAAAAATGTACTTGCATATTTCTCATACCTACTAAAACCTATCAAGGAACCAAGGTGAAGAATCCTGATCTAAATGTTAAAGGGGTGGTTCTCTACCTTTTTTTTCCACATCATGACATCCATAGAAATAGTATTTGTACAGCACACTGGGATAAATTAAAGGGGATTTGGAGGCAGCTAATTACATGGGGCTTGGTGAAAAAAATTGTTTCTTTATATTACTTACTTTTAATGACAAAAATAAACATATTAAGGATGACACTAAATATTGAATTTGTATACATTTCCAAACAAAGATGTCTAAAAATTTAATGAAAAACCTGAGATTGCTTCTGTAAACATAACATTTTTTATACAGGATTTTATGATTGAAATGACGGCTTGCAGTTCTTGAATGAGACAGTTTAACAGTGATGTCTTCAAATTCTTGGTAGTCATTATTGATGAGAATTTAGTTCATACAAGTAGGTGATAAAAAAACTTTTAAACAATTTTCACAACAATTCAAAATTTAAAAGTATAAATTATAATTGATAATATATCCACATTATCACAGGGTATTTCCTCGTTACATTTGCCAATGGGAATTTCCCCATCTACCCAAACACTTTTTGTGTCAAGTATCTATTGCAAAATATTGATAAAGGTCTAATTTGCAGAGTTAGATTGTGTTATTAGATCAATAATTCTTCATCTAACTTGAACATAATTAAAAGGGCGCATCAGATATAAACAAAAGGAAGAATGCTATATATATAAAAAGAGAGATCATAAGCTGAGTTCATCAGGAGTACCTAGCAGGCCTCCCTGCATTTCCTGGCCTTATCTGAGGCTGTAAGTCCTGCTCTTTTGGTACCTGGAACATCCTCCAAAGCTCAGTGTTTACAATAGGCAGCAGTGTGTACTACAATTGTCTTGTGAAAGTGATGACCTGGTGGTAGAATACTCCTTGGCTTTGCTTGGCAAGAACTTCATTGTGCTGTCCACCAGTGGGACCATGGGCATACTAGGGTGGGTATTCACACCCTGATTTTGGGGGGCTGCTGAGAATCTCTAGATCACACTGCTTCTTGCCAGGAGTGAATTACCTAGATTTATCAACCACTCCAGTTATTTTAAGTAACTCCTCAGGCTGAATAGATCCCTATCTTGCAATATATCTATAACTCATTCATTGCATACCAAATGAAGTATTTCACTTAAAAGATTATGACTTATATAGCTAAGCTTAAGACAGAGCAAAAAAAAAGTGAGTCAAAAAAAAAGACACAAGAAATCATGGTCCTATCCTTGATAATCCAATCCCTTATATTTGAAACAATTTGGGCATAATTATAAGTATAAATTAATATAGCACAGATATATAAGAGCTGAGAGCAACTGCAGTATTATTGAGTCATGTGTTGCCTTCACTTGGTTGTATTTTTTCTTAAGTTTTATAAAAACTTTAACTTTTACTAACTTCATTTAACTGTGTCCTGACAGGAGACAGAAAGAACACCAGCTTGGGTGGGGTGTGGTGCCTCATGCCTGTAAGTCCAGTACTTTGGGAGGCTGAGGCAGGAGGATTGCATAAGGCTAGGAATTTGAGAGCAGCCTGGGCAGCATAGTAAGACCTCATCTCTCCAAAAAATACCACAATTAGCCAGGTGTGGTGGTACACACCTGCAGTCCTAGCTACTTAGGGGGCTGAGGTGGGAGAATTGCTTGAGCCCAGGAGGTTGAGGTTGCAGTGAGCTATGACTGTGCCATTATACTCCAGCCTGGGTGACAGAGCAAGACCTTGTCTCAAAAAAACAGAAACTCTACCAGTTATTTGCCAAGAAATTTTAACAAAGAATTAATAACTAGATATAAAGTTGTTAAGTAGATACCTAAAAAAGTAAAAAGAGAAATCTGAGGTATCACAATGGTGAGTAATTCATCCCACCTTAAGGGCTAGAAAAAAAAAAACAAACAAACAAAAAACAAGAAAAAACAGAGGAAGCAAAGGGAAAAATTTAGAAATTTAGAGGATTGGCCCCACAGAGCTAAAACTAAGGTCTCTGAAGAGAAAGTGCTGCTCAGCTGGTGTTAGTGCCTCTGAGATTAGAGGAGGGGCTTCATGGCACCCATGGTTCTGAGACACAGACTTCTGAAGCAGGAGCACTGGCTGGCTGGTGGTGGTGCCTTAGAGTAATGAAAATTATAGAACTATAGAAAAACTACTACAAACTGGATTCAGCTGTTGCTACAAAAAGGAAATGCTGCTACCAGGATGAAGAAGCATTACTAGGTGAACCACACAGGAACCAAAAGGCCACAAGAAGCAGTCAGGGAAAAAGTGGCACATATACACCATGGAATACTATGCAGCCATAAAAAAGGATGAGTTCATGTCCTTTGTAGGGACATGGATGAAGCTGGAAACCATCATTCTGAGCAAACGATCGCAAGGACAAAAAACCAAACACCTCATGTTCTCACTCATAGGTGGGAATTGAACAATGAGAACACTTGGACACAGGAAGGGGAATATCACACACTGGGGCCTGTCGTGGGGTCGGGGGAGAGGGGAGGGATAGCATTAGGAGATATACCTAATGTAAATGATGAGTTAATGGGTGCAGCACACCAACATGGCACATGTATACATACATAACAAACCTGCACGTTGTGCACATGTACCCTAGAACTTAAAGTATAATAATAATAAAAAAAGAAGCAATCGGGATAGACAAGAAGGAGCAAGTCTCTTGTCTTCCCTTCAGGTATGGGATGTCCCTCTGGTGCCCCCAGTTAGCACAGTATAACAAAGCCAGCTGGCAAGGCAAAAGAAATGTGATTTTCAGGGTCTCAGCTTTAGCAACAAAGAAGAGTAAAAATGGGTGAATTTGGAGATGAGACAATAATTTAATAACTGGCACTTGATTGATAGGGAAATTGATGCCAGAATGGAATTTATTTCCCATCCTCTGGTTTGCATATATCTCTTAAAGACAGTTAAAGACCTTGCTACTTCCTGCTCCTCGGATACAATCAGCATACTTTCATCAATGTGATGCTGACTGGGAAGTCAAGATGCTCAATATCTCTGTAGACTATATTATGGCAGAGAGCTAGAGAAATGATGTAGCCCTGAGCAAGACTGTGAAGGGATATTGTTGGCCCTGCCAAGTAAAACCAAACTGCTTCAGGTGTTTCTTGCCAATTTATATGGAGAAATAAGCATTTTTCTGGGACAATAGCTACATACCAGGTGTCAAGGACTGTGTTGATTTGCTCCAATAAAGATACTACGTATGGAAGAGGAGGTGCAAGTGGAGGCATAATCTGATAAAATTTACAGTAATCCACAGTCATTCTCCAAGATCCATCCACCTTCTTCACAGGCCAAACAGGCAAGTTAAATTGGTGTGAGGTAGCTTTCATCACTCCTGCTTCTTTATTTATTTATTTTTTTTTTGAGACTCCTGTCGCCCAGGCTGGAGTGCAGTGGTGCAATCTCGGCTCACTGCAACCTCCGCCTCCCAGGTTCAAGTGATTCTCCTACCTCAGCCTCCCAAGTAGCTGGGATTACAGGCATGTGCCACCACGCCCGGCTAATTTTCATATTTTTAGTAGAGACGGGGTTTCACCATGTTGACCAGGCTGGTCTCAAACTCCTGACCTCAGGTGATCCACCCGCCTCAGCCTCCCAAAGTGCTAGGATTACAGGCATGAGACACTGTGCCCAGCCTCACTCCTGCTTCTTTCAGATCTTTACCGGTTTCATTAATCTTTGTAATCCCCCATCCTCCCAACCCCAAGGAAGCAATATTTTTGTTTACTGTCCTGGTGTGTTTGAAGGGAGTTTGAGGGGAGGTTTTCAAAGGCTTCCACTTGGCCCTTCCTACTATAATAGTCCTTATTCCAGAGTCAGAGAAAGGATATAGAGATCCTGCCAGTTACCAGTATCTCTGTTCTAATTATATATTCAGGGACTGATGAAATCACCACAGGGTGGTTCTATAGCCCTACTAAACCACTGTGATTCAAACTTGAGTTAAGACTCCATCTGGCCACCGCAAACCCCCACTTAACCTTATGGACTGAAGTGGTATTTTGGATCCCCAGGATTAACATCAGTTTAGAATCAGTGTTTAGATATCTCTGAAAAACCTGGATATTCCTTTTCCCTAGCACAAAGCCATTTTAGGAAATGGCCATCAATCTCTGTGGAAAAGACTTAGAGGAAGATTTTTCAGTATATACTAGTGGCAATGCTACAGAGCTCTTTCTCAAAGGGACCCACCTTTCAATTAAGGAACTGGGTGAGAGGTTGGAATTCTCCATTGTGGTGACTAAAATTATATTTTTGGCCCTCATACAGGCAGACCTGGGAGATATTTTGGGTTTGGTTCCAGACCACTACAATAAAGAGAACATCACAATAAAGTGGTCACATGAAGTTTTGGTTTCCCAATGCATATATAAAAGTTATATTTATACTATAGTCTATTAAGTGTGCAGTAGGATTATGTCTAAAAAATGTGCATATCTTAATTTAAAAATACTTTTTTGCTAAAAAATGCTAACAATCGTATGAGCCTTTATCCACTCAAAATCTTTTTGCTGATGCAGGATCTTGCCTCGATGTTGATAGATGATAACTGATCAGAGTAGTGGTTGCTGAAGGCTAGCATGGCTGTGAAAATATCTTAAATTAAGACAATTGAGTTTGCCACATTGATTGACTCTTCCTGTCTTGGATAATTTCTCTGTAACATTTGATGCTGTTTGATAACTTTTTACCCACAGTGGAACTTCTTTCAAAATTAGTCAGTCCTGTCATATCCTACCACTGCTTCAACAACTAAGTTTATGTAGTATTCTAAATCCTTTGTTGTCATTTCAATGATGTTCACAGTGTCTTCACCAGGAGTGATTCCACCTCAAGAAACTGCTTTCTTTGCCCATCTATAAGAAGACACTCCTCATTCATTCAAGTTTTATCATGAGATTGCAGCAATTTAGTCACATCTTCAGGCCTCACTTCTAATTCTAGTTCTTTTGCTATTTCCATTACATCTGCAGTTACTTCCTCCACTGAAGTCCTGGGGCCCTCAAAGTCATCCATGAGGGTTGGAATCAACTTCTTCCAAACTCTGTTAATGCTGATATTTTGACTTCCTTCCATGAATCACAAATGTTCTTAATGACATCTAGAATGGTGAATCCTTTCAAGAAGGTTTTCAATTTACTTTGCCCAAATCCATCAGAATCATCACTGTCTATGGAAGCTATAGCCTTATGAAATGTATTTCTTAAGCAAGACTTGAAAGTTTAAATTGGTCTTTGATCCATGGGCTGCAGAATGGATTCTGTGTTGACAGGCGTGGGAACAACATTAATTACCTTGTACATTTCCATCAGAGCTCTTAGGTGACCAAGTACACTGTCAATGAACAGTAATATTTTGAAAGGAATCAATTTTCCTGAGCAGTAGATCTCAAGGGTGTATTTAAAATATTCCTTAAGCCATACTGTAAACAAATGTGCTGTCATCCAGACTTTGTTGTTCCATTTATAGAGTACAGGCAGAATAGATTTAGCATAATTCTTAAGGGTTAAGATTTTTGAAATGATAAATGAGCATTGGTTTCAACTTAAAGTCACCAGCTGCATTAGCCCCAAACAAGAGAGTGAGCCTATCCTTTGAAGCTTTGAAGCCAGACGTTGACTTCTCTCCAGCTATGAAATCCTAGATAGCATCTTCTTCCAATAGAAGGCTGTTTAGTCTGCATGGAAAATCCATTGTTTAGTGTAGCCACCTTCATTGACGATCTTAGTTATATCTTTTGGGTAACTTGCTGCAACTTCTACATCAGCACTTGCAGCTTCACCTTGCACTTTTAAGTTATGGAGATGTCTTCTTTCCTTAAACCCCATGAATCAACTTCTGATAATTTTCAGCTTTTCCTCTGCAGCTTTCTCACCTCTCTCAGCCTTCACAGAATTGAAGAGAAGTTAGGGCCTTGCTCTGGATTGGGCTTTGGCTTAAGGGAATGTTGTAGCTGATTTGATCTTCTATCCAGACCACTAACACTTTGTCCATATCAGCATATCTGCTATATGAATTCTTCAAACACTTTTTGAACCTTGAGTGTTTGTTCCTTCTGCTTCAAATTTCTTACTAGTCTTTTACTATCCAGCTTCCTTTGTGAAAATGTCCCTAACTACCCTGGGAAAATTAACTGCTTATTTCTCTGTTCCTTAACATTTTGTGTGTACCTCTACTCTTGCACTTTGCAGATTGAATTGCATCTCTTTCCCTCACTGAACTGGGAACTCTTTTTTTTTTTTTTGAGATGGAGTTTCGCTCATTGCCGAGGCTGGAGTGCAATGGCATGATCTTGGCTCGCTGCAACCTCCGCCTCCCGGGTTCAAGCCATTTTCCTGCCTCAGCCTCCTGCGTAGCTGGGATCACAGGCACCTGCCAACACACCCAGCTACTTTTTTGTATTTTTAGTAGAGACAGGGTTTCACTATGTTGGCTAGGCTCGTCTCGAACTCCTGACCTCAGGTGATCCACCCGCCTTGGCCTCCCAAAGTGCTGGGATTACAAGCGTGAGCCCCTGCGCCCGGACTAAACTGGGAACTCTTTAAGGCAGGTCTTATTCATCCTTTTAAGACCTAACCTTTGCCTGCATATAGAAAGCACCTAATAAAGTCTTATTGAGTTGAATTTATCTGAGTGCATCCAAACCAAATAGATTTTAAAAGAAATGGAAGGAAGCTTCTCAGCAATTTCAGGAGATGGACACCATAAGCAAAGAAATGAGGCTGTTGAGAATATACAGTTGGGAGCTATCACATAAATTTATTTTCTATTATTTATTATTTATTAAGTGAGTCAAAAAGACTTTGAGGCAGCTATTTTTAAATGTTGGAAACTCTTCTCTCCAAAGGCAGTACTTTTGGTTTATTTAGCTAGAACATGTGTTATGTTGATAAAAAGAAAAGGGAATGGCCGGGTGCGGTGCCTCACACCTGTAATCCCAGCACTTTCGGAGGCTGAGGAGGGTGGATCACTTGAGGTCAGGAGTTCAAGACCAGCCTGGCCAACATGGTGAAACCCTGTCTCTACTAAATGTACAAAAATTAGCCAGGCATGGTGGTGAGCACCTGTAGTCCCAGCTACTCGGGAGGCTGAGGCAGGAGAATCACTTGAACCCAGGAGGCGGAGGTTGCAGTGAGCCGAGATTGCACCACTGTACTCCAGCCCGGGCGACAGAATGAGACTCTGTAAAAAAAAAAAAGAAAAGAAAGAAAAGTGAATACGCTAGAGCATTAGATACATACTATTTCAAATTAGAGTCTCTAGACTGTAACTGTCCTGGAGGCAGACTGTGTGAATATAATTTACTCTTTACACAACACCTAGCTCATATATATACAAACTCTTAAATGATTTTTGGCATGGCAGTGATTTGATAATCTGTGAATCTACAGTCATTTGCAGTAAAGTGGGGATCTGGTAATTATTTATTTTAATACCTCAATATAAATGAATAAACCAGATAAGTCACATTCCTCTGGAATTCTCCCTTCCCAAAAAAATGCCTTTTGAGATATTATTATTCTATTCTCTATCTACCTTTCTTGCATGAATTAGGTAGCCATAAAAGTTTCACTTTACCTCACCTTGTTATCTCAAAAATTAATGAGGATGACAATCACGTTAAAAATGCAATTGCATTACTGCTGCTGTATTTTTTTTTTAATGATAGTAGTAATGATTACTATGGTGAGTTTTCTTGTCTCCCTGAGCAATGATCTAGCTTTGGTCAGTAGCAACAGTCATAACAGTAATACAGTTGGAAAAGTTCAGCAGTTGAGAATTTATCATTCAATAGAATTGTGGGGTGAGGTGAGGGCAGGAGTGAGGGAGCTTTTTTAACTTCTGGAGTACTTTGTGATGTTTATTAATATTTTCTTTCTTTTTGTTATTAATACTGGTCTAGTAATATTCTTCTATACCATTTGGTGATAACTTTTGGAGTCCAAATGAATGAGTCAGCATCTCAAGAGGAACTCAGACCTGCTCAGGTTCTTGTCCTACATAGGTTTATCACATTTATGGGAAGATTTGAGATTCAACATTCTTGGGAAAATTGAGATGCAATATCACAGTCTATCATTTAATTATTTCTCTTTTTGGTTGAAGTATTCTGCATCAGGTTTTGACAGAAATGCTGTAAAAGGGGTCAAAATAACAGTTGAGTCATGGCGACCTGCTTCTAGTTGGTTGGCATTCCTTGACTATATATAAAAGTCTGTTATTGTTTGAATTTGTTGATACAACTACTTTGTGTAATTTTATTTCACATGATATTTACTCATTATGTGAAATTTTTAAAAATTAAAAGCTTACTGTATTAAAGTATGAGACAGTAGTTTAATCCACAGCTCTTTTTGGATGCCATTTACTAACACTGTTTGCATTTCAGGAAAACAGAAAAGAAGACAAAGAGAGGAAATGGAACTTAACTGAAGTGAAAGAGCTTCATGAGGTAGAGTTGGCATGAATAAATCAGATATTAATGCTGGAGAATAAGCTAGATAAATCAATTTTCTTATGATAAAAGAAAAGATGTGGGTATTCAAAAAGATAACTAAAATTGCAAAAGGAAAAGGACAAACTCATGTTGATTATTAAGCTGATTCATTTGAGTAAGTTGCAGGAAACTTCCATGGACAGGTAAATTATTTGTGAAGAACTGTTATAAATTACAGATAAATAAAGACTGCTTTCTAAAGTTACCCTAAAAACTGTAACCACCAGCTTTTAGGGTCACTTTACTATCATGCTGAAAATGTAATTTCCAGGTTAATCATTTAAGTAACTTTGTGTTTAAATAAATACAAGGCTACAATAAAGAAGAACGTTTCATAGAAAAGGGGAGGCAATTAAAAATAGTCCTATAGATTCACAAGTGAGTTGACTAATATGAGTTTTTAAAATATCCTATTGATTGTCGATGGCTCACACTTGTAATCCCAGCACTCTGGGAGACCGAGGTGGATCACTTGAGGTCAGGAGTTCAAGACCGGACTGGCCAACATAGCGAAACTCCATCTCTACTAATAATACAAAAATTATCTGGGCTTGGTGGTGCATGCGTGTAATCCTAGCAACTTGAAAGGCCAAGGCAAGATAATCACTTTAACCCAGGAGGCGGAGGTTGCAGTGAGCCGAGATCATGCCACTGCACTCCAGCCTGGGCAACAGAGTGAAACTGCATCTCCAAAATATATATATATATATATATATAGTCAGATTTTTAAAGTACATTAGCATGTATACAAAAACTATTTTGTTGCTATTCATAAAATTAATCTTTAATTTCCTCAATTAAGATTAAATGCTTTTTCTTTTTGCCACAAATACAGAAAGTGATTCTAGTAGTAAAACAGTAGCATTTCCAAAGGTCTGATTTCCTTATGCTATGGTCTCAAATCATGTTTCTATAAACTATTGTATAATTCAAGAATTAATGTACATCTAAAATGATATTCCTAGCATATTACTTTGTTAGTAACAGGAAGATGTGATGACATTTTGAACCAACACATTTTATCTTGTAAATGCAGAAAATACACTGTGATTACCTCTTTGCTTCTAATATACAGCATTAGATCCCAGAAAAATTAACTAGGAATGTTTGGTTAACTCTTACAAAGCAATTAACTTTCCTTTAATTGGAATAATTTATACAACTTTGTTGAAAATCAAGTCACATTGAAATTGGTGATTTTTTTCCTCTTTTCAAAGACCTTACAGAGTGTGCCAGACGTTCCTGTAAAAGAGGACACCAACAGTGTGGTGGAGAAAGCAATGGATGAAATCAAATCCCAAGGTAGAGAACTAGCCTTTCTCTTATACAATAGAATCTAAAACTGGCTGGGCGTGGTGGCTCATGCCTGTAATTCCAGCACTTTGGGAGGCCGAGGCGGGTGGATCATCAGAGGTCAGGAGTTCGAAACCAGCCTGGCCAACATGGTGAAACACCATCTCTTCTAAAAATACAAAAAATTAGCTGGGCATAGTGGCGGGTGCCTGTAATCCCAGCTACTCTGGAGGCTGAGGCAGGAGAATTGCGTGAACAGGGAGGTGGGGGTTGCAGTGAGCCAAGCTCGTGGATTGCACTCCAGCCTGGGTGACAGAGCGAAACTCCATCTCAAAAAAATAAATAAATAAAAGAATCTAAAACTATCATTAACATTTTACTGGGGATGCGTTCTTCAAGATTTTGCATTTTAAAGATATAATTTCAGGGGATATTTTATTTTATTTTTATTTTTAGAGATGGATCTTGCCCTGTACCTAGACTGAAGTTCAGTGACACGGTCATAGTTCACTGCAGATTCAAAGTCCTGGGTTCAAGTGATCCTCCTATCTCAGCCTCCAGAGTTGCTGGGACTATGGGCACACATTACCTCACCTAGCTAGTTTTTTATTTTTTATTTTTGTAGAGAGAATTTCTTGCTATGTTTCCTGGGCTGGTCTCGATCTCCTGGACTCAGGCGATCCTCCTGTCTCAGCCTCCAGAGTCACTGAGATTATAGGCCAGAGGGTATTTTAAATGCAGTTTGGGAAACAATTTAAAATGTATTTCATTCACCTTCTATTAATGCTTTTGAGGCAATTTATGATTATTCATCTTGCACTTAAAGAGAAAATTTATCTAAGAAAGCTGACTGACATCTAGCAGGCAACCCACTAATACAATAATAAAATGAAGAACTCCAGTGATTTGGGCTGCTTATTGTCCTTGGCCCTGTTTATTGTTTTTGGGTTTTGTTGTTGTTTTTTTGTTGTTTTCTGTTTTGTTTTGTTTTTTTTTTTTTGAGACGAAGTTTTGCGCTTGTTGCCCAGGGCAGAGTGCAATGGTGCAATCTCGGCTCACTGCAACCTCAGCCTCCCGGGTTCAAGCGATTCTCCAGCCTCAGCCTCCCGAGTAGCTGGGATTACAAGCACGTGCCATCACACCCGGCTAAGTTTGTATTTTTAATAGAGATGGGGTTTCCCAATGTTGGCCAGGCTGGTCTCAAACTCCCAACCTCAGGTGATCTGCCTGCCTTGGCCTACCAAAGTGTTGGGATTACAAGTATGAGCCACTGTGCCCGGCCAACACTGTTTACTGTTTTTACTCCTGTACTTGACCACATATTTATTCCGTTTGATCCAAAGCTTGACTCCTAGCCCCATCCTTAACCCAAATTCCACATAATTATGCAGATTGAAAATTTATAGGATTAAAAAGTCTTCAAAAAAGTAGAGAAGACATTCATCTCTTTCATTACAGCTCTTTTAACTCCAAATACTTAGTGAAATCCATACCACCAGAAATTCTTTACAATATTTAAAATTTAATAATTTTACTATAATTTTTCTTCAATTTACCAGTATTGAATGTTTAGTATACGCTAGGCTGAGCTAGGACTGAAGTATAGCAATATCAAAGTGTTTTCTAAACTATAAATTGATATATAGATGTTAGTTGTAATTTTTAGGTGCTGGGTTTTTTTTTTTCCCCAAAGTGTTCTTCTCTCTTTTTAAACCAACTAAGAGTAATTATTTACTATTTCTTCCTAGTAATACACATTACAATACATATTCATTAAAACCCGAACTTGCACTTGTTGTGGTGGCTTATGCCTGTAATCCCAGGACTTTGGGAGGCTGAGATGGGAGGATCATTTGAGGTCAGGAGTTCGAGACCAGCCTGGGCAACACAGCAAGACCCAATCTCTAAAAAACAATTTTTTTTAAGAGAAAAAAAAAGGAACCAAACTTTCCTTCAAATTATACTACAAGGCTATAGTTCCTGAAATAGCATGGTACTGGTATAAAAGTAGACACACAGACATAATAGAGAACCCAGAAATAAAACCAAATACCTACAACCAAACTTGACAAAGCACACAGAAACATAAACTGGGGAAAGGATACTCTATTTAATAAATGTTGCTGGGGAAATTGGCTAGCTACATGTAGAAGAATGAAACTGCATCCCTATCTCTCACCTTATACAAAAATCAACTCAGTATGCATCAAAAACTTAAATCTAAGACCTGAAACCTTAAAATTCTATAAAATAACCTAGGAAAAACTCTTTTGGACATTGGCTTAGGCAAAGAATTTATAATGAAGACTCCAAAAGCAAATGCAATAAAACAAAAAATAAATAAATGGGACCTAATTCAACTGAAAAGCTTCTGTACAGCAAAAGAAATAACCATCAGACTAAACTGACAACCCACAGAATGGAAGAAAATATTTGCCATGTGTCCAACAAAGAACTAATATCCAGAATCTACAAAGAAACAAATCAGCAAGAAGAAAAAAATAATTATCCCATCAAAAAGTGGGCAAATGACATGAACAGACATTTCTCAAAAGAATATATACAAATGGCCAATGAACATGTGAAAAAGTGCTGAACATCACTAATCATCAGGAAAATGCAAATTAAAACCACGATGAAATACTACCTTACTCCTGCAAGAAGGATCATTATTAAAATGTCAAAAAACAATAGATGTTGGCATGGATATGGTGAAAAGCTAATGCTTGTACACTGCTGGTGGGAATGTAAATTAGTATAACCTTTATGGAAAAGAGTATGGAAATTTCTTTTTTTTTTTTTTTTTTTTTTTTTGAGACAGAGTCTCGCTCTGTCACCCAGGCTGGAGTGCAGTGGCATGATCTTGGCTGACTGCAAGCTCCGCCTCCCAGGTTCACGCCATTCTCCTGCCTCAGCCTCCCAAGTAATTGGGACTTCAGGCACCTGCCACCAAGCCTGGCTAATTTTTTCTATTTTTTTAGTAGAGACTGGGTTTCACCATGTTGGGCAGGATGGTCTCGATCTCCTGACCTCGTGATCCACCCGCCTTGGCCTCCCATAGTGCTGGGATTACAGGCGTGAGCCACCACGCCCGGCTGAGTATGGAAATTTCTTAAAGACCTAAAAGTAGATCTACCATTCAATCTAGCAGCCCCACTACTGGGTATCTACCCAAAAGAAAATAAGTCATTATATTAAAAAGACACCTGCATATGTATGTTTATTGCAGCACAATTCACACTTGCAAAGATATGGAACCAACCTAAGTGCCCACCAACCAATGAGTGGATAAACAGCACTTCGGAAGGCCAAGGTGGGCAGATCACAAGGTCAAGAGATCGAGACCATCCTGGTGAAACCCCGTCTGTACTAAAAATACAAAAATTAGCTGGGTGTGGTGGCAGGTGCCTGTAGTCCCAGTTACTTGGGAGGCTGAGGCAGGAGAATTGCTTGAACCCAGGAGGCAGAGGTTGCAGTGAGCTGAGATCACGCCACTGCACTCCAGCCTGACAACAGAGCGAGACTCCATCTCAAAAAAAAAAAAAAAGAAAAAGAAAATGTGGTATATATACACCATGGAATATTACTCAGCCATAAAAAAGAATGAAATGATATCTTTTCCAACGACTTGGATGGAGCTGAAGGCCATTATTCTAAGTGAAGTAACTCAAGAATGGAAAGTCAAATACCATCTGTTCTCACTTAGAAGTGGGAGCTAAGCTATGGGTATGCAAAGACATGCCGAGCGATATAATGGGCTATGGAGACTCAGAAGTGGGAGGGTGGAAGGAGGGGCAAGGGATTTAAAAAAACTGCATATTGGGTACAATGTATACTACTCAGGTGATGGGTGCACTAAAATCTCAGACTTCACCACTATACAATTCATCCATGTAACCAAAAATCACTTGTACCCCTGAAAATTTAAAATTTTTTTTTAAAAGAACCAAACTTTCCAACACTTATTCTGTCTTTCTTATAAACTTAGTACTGTTTTCACAGCTTCACTAACTTCTAAAAATTTTCTTCCTGGCAAGTCTTTACTTATCCTCTTCTACCTGTCCCCACCTCCTGTTTTTCTGATTTTACTTCCTTATGCCAAACATCTACCACCAACACCACATACATATACTTTGCCTTTACCTTAATCGCTTGGGCCAGGTTTATAAATTAACTCATTCATTTTATTTTATTTTATTTTTTGAGATGGAGTCTTGCTCTGTCGTCCAGGCTGGAGTGCAGTGGCGCAATCTCAGCTCACTGCAACCTCCGCCTCCCGAGTTCAAACGATTCTCATGCCTCAGCCTCCCAAATAGCTGGGATTGCAGCCATCTGCCACTCTGCCCATCTAATTTTTGTATTTTTAGTAGAGACGGGGTTTCACCATGTTGGCCAGGCTGGTCTCAAACTCCTGACCTCAGGTGATCCGCCCACCTCGGCCTCCCAAAGTGCTGGGATTACAGGCTTGAGCCACCGCGCCTGGCCTAAATTAACTCATTCATTTTAAAAATGCCAAACAGAATTTTGATATAGGTAATTTGTTATAAATTTAATTAGATGTTCACTTTAATTAGTTTGTGGCCATATTTGCACCTACAAAACTGTACATATGTATTCCATCAGGTAATTTTTCACCTCCCCAGAAAACATATCAAGCAAGAGTTTGTGGTCTTTCCTCTTCTTCTACTTTCAATTTCTCTTATTGCTTTTCAATGTATGGTAGAGAGAAATGTGTTTTGTTTAAATCGATTTATCCCAGTATATGATATGTACTGAAAACATTGCAGTTGCTTATTCTGATATCAAACACAATGCGGTGTACTTATTTATTAAATAATCATTATTTATGATTATTAAAACTTTTTACTCTAAATCCCTCATTTGTGAATGTGTGTGTGTGTGTGGGTATATACAAAGTAGGAAGAGGAACTGTTACTGCAATTTCAACAGGTCAAAGGAAGTGTCTTCATCCTTGTTACATACTTGTCAAAATTAAAGTCATGTTATCTTGATAAGCAGCTCCCAACATGCACTCAAATACATATCGTTGCATAGAAAATACTGTGGTTAAATATATCATGTCAGTTCCTCATTTCTTTACCCTTGTTTTTCTACTTTTCAGGCTGAGCTTAACTTGCATTTTGAGAATTTTTTTTAACTATCAGTTTGCTCAGTTATATTCTTATTACACAGCCCTAAGATTAAGAGTGTTTTGTAGGAAACTGCCTTTTCCTTTATCTATTGAATTTTAATTCCAGTGGTGTTTAGTAGTACTTCTTTACCTCCTTCCTTTGCAGCAGTCATTCTACATCATGTGCCAATGTTAAGAAATCCTGATAATAAGGACAAAGCCGCTGAGTTTCAAACAGGGCCTGTGTTTAAAGAAAACATCATACAGCTTAAGTAGCCCTGCTGGGTCAATTTTCACCAGTTTAATCAGCAGCCAGACCCACTAATGTTATATGCCTCCTTGTGAAGAAAGAGCCTGCTAAGACTTATTACAATATGAATTATAATTCATTCCTATTTATGTCCTTAAATAGGCTTTGTACTGAGGCTCTGCCCAGCAGTGGACCATACACTGAGAGCTGAAAATGATAAAAGTCATTATAAGGCTAGACTTTTCAAAATATGTACAAGGAATTCTTTTGTGTCCCTACTTATTTAGTTGAAAGCACTTATACTCATAGTGCCTGGATAGTTCTTTTTATATTAGAAGGTAGACCACTAGAGTGGCGAAGATGTACATATTGGGGGCAGAGCTTGAAAGGCTCTTGATTCTTGGAAAAGTTTAGGAAGATGATCCTGAAAAAGAATTCCAGTGCCTGGCACGCAGTGAGAAATTAATAGTTATTTATTGAGTCAGTATATAAATGAATTAATCAATCAATCTTAAAAGGTTTAGGATGTCCAACCAGAGACCTGCTAAAAAATCCAGTACATCTTTGAAACTATTCAGTTAAACCTCTGAATTAAATTGCCCTTGGGGCAGTGCTGTAATTTGTGATCCATGAATTCAGAGGTCACTCAGTCAAAAGACAGCTTCATATAGGCTTGTTCAGAATCCTGATTTGTTGACCCTGCTGTTGCTGTGCTTCTTTTTCTTGTTTTTGTGGTTCTAAGAGAGAAGTGTTTGACTACAGTGGTAACCAAACACATGTCTACTTCCATTCTGTACATCAGTGGGGACAATGCAAGCACTAGGATTATTGCTTAGCAACCAATGATAGCCAAGTACACTAGAAGAGCACTAACAGGCTGCAATGAAGATGGAGAATGCCTTAGTTCACATGTGAGTTTACTAATGAGCCATGACAGATGGGTAGATATTAAGTTGCCATATATCCTTAATGCAGGAGGAGGAATTGTCTGCCTTGGGTTATGGGAGACAGGTTAAAAGGAAAGAGTACAGTTGACTCTTGGACAACACAGTTTGAATTGCATGGGTCCACTTATACACAGATTTTCTTCCACCTCTGCCACTCCAAAACAGCAAGATCAACCCTTCCTCTTCCTCCTCTCCTCAGTCTATCGAACATGAGGACAATGAGAATGAAAACATTTATGATGATCTGCTTCTACTTAATGAATAGTAAATATATTTTATCTTCCTTATGATATCCTTCCTTTCTTCCTTTCCTTCCTTCCTTCCTTCCTCTCTTCCTTCCTTCCCTCCTTCCCTCTCTCTCTCCCTCCTTCCTTCCTCCTCCCCACCACCTCTCTCTTTCTTTCTTTTTTAAAAAAATACAGATACATGGTCTCACTCTGTGGCCTAAGCTGGAGTATAGTGGTGCAATCATAGCTCACTGCAGTCTCTCCCTCCTGGGCTCAAGGGATCCTCCTGCCTCAGCCTCCTGAGCAGCTGGGACTACAGGCATGTACACCACACCCACCTAAGTTTTTAATTTTTTTTTGCAGAGACTGGGTCTTGCTATGTTGCCCAGAGTGGTCTTGAGCTCCTGGCCTCAAGTGATCATCCTGCCTCAGCCTCCCGAAGCGCTGGGATTACAGATGTGAGCCACTGCACCTAGCCTCTTATGATTTTCTTCATAACATTTTCTTTCTCTAGCTTACTTTATTATAAGAATACAGTATATAATACACATAGCATACAAAATATGTGTTAATCAACTGCTTATGTTTTCAGTAAGGTTTCTGGTCAACAGTAGGCTACTAGCAGTCAAATTTTGGGGGAGTTGAAAGTTATACATAGGTTTTTGACTGTGCAGATATTGCTTCCTCTAACTCCTACATTGTTCAAGGGTCAACTGTACATTAGAACCTATAGACTTGAATGAATTCCTTTCTTTTTACACTTATTTAAAAATAAAAATAAAAGCATTATATATTTATGAGCATTGTGACAAAACAGAAGGGAAACACACCTTTCCCTCTTCCCCCACCCAAAGCAGTTAATAAGTTTGCAAATCCAACTTAGAGTTGAAGGGAAGCATTATACTACCCTCTTTACTTTTCCCATATTGGAATAAGAGAAGAGGCCAAGGAAGAAATCAAAACTTGGGAGAGAGATTGATAAATACTATCCACTGTTAGATTTAAGACATTCTGTAGATGAAATGTTGGCTTTTCAAGGGTTTCTTCACAGACCAATTTTTCTCCTGGACAGAAAGATGGATACTATCTAAATAAGATTTAAAAGTATTCTTCAGGATATTGTTTTTTTGTTTTTGTTTTGTTTTGTTTGGTTTGGTTTTGAGACGGAGTCTTTCTCTGTCTCCCAGGCTGGAGTGCAGTGGGGCGATCTCCGCTCACTGCAACCTCCACCTCCTGGGATCATGCCATTCTCCTGCCTCAGCCTCCCAAGTAGCTGGGACCACAGGTGCCCGCCACCACACCTGGCTAATTTTTTGTATTTTTTTTTTTATTTTTTTTTTTAGTAGAGACGGGGTTTCACCATGTTAGCCAGGATGGTCTCAATCTCCTGACCTTGTGATCTGCCCGCCTTGGCCTCCCAAAGTGCTGGGATTACAGGTGTGAGCCACCGCACCCAGCCAGGATATTGGTTTTTAAACTTTTCTAAGGCAGGAAAACCTTTTTTTTCAAATGAAAATTTCCTATGCTCTACAATTATGTAAAACAAATTGAAGCATAGCTGTTCCAGTCACAAACAGTACAAGGGGCTTAGAGTCCTATGGCCTTTGAAACTCCCTCTTGGGACCCTGAGAAGCATAGTTCAAAAACCACTGCTCTACAGTAGGAACTCTTATTCTTGCAGGTGGTGACATAAATTGGAACCAATCACTCTGGGAAATAATTTAATAATATCTCCTTAAGGTGAAATGCACATACTTATGACCCTGTGCCAGTCTGTTCCTGCTGCTATAACAAAATAGCATAGACTGGGTAATTTATAAACAGTGTAAATTTAGTGCTCACAGTTATGGAGGCTGGGAAGTCCAAGATCAAGGCACCAGCAAGTTTCATGTCTGGTAAGGGCCTTGTCTCTGCTTCCTAGATGGCACCTTGAACATTGTGTCCTCCAGAGGAGATGAACACTGTCCTCACATGGCAGAATAGATGGAAGGGCAAAAAAAAGGGAGGTTCCTAGCTAGTTCCCTCCAGCCCTTTTAGAAAGGTACTGTTAATCCATTCTTGAAGGCAAAGCCCTCATGACTTAATCACTTCCCTAAAGGTACCACCTTTTAATACTATCACATTGGGTCTTAGGTTCCAACATATGAATTTTGGAGGAACACATACATTCAAAACATACCACCTACAATTGAAATCCTAGTAATTATATACCAGAGAAACCCTCACATGTGGACACAAAGAGACATATGCAATACTTTTCATAATAGGATTGTCTTTATAGTAAAAAAAGAAAAACTGGAAATAACCCAGTCTATCTAAAAGAGAATGAATAAGCACATTACAATACAGTTATATCATAAGGTATTATGCAGCAGTGAAAATGAATGAACTAGACCTATACCTTTCAATATAGATGAATCTTCCAAATACTAAGTATAAAAAAGACTGTAGAATATATATAGTATGAAATTTTTTATGAAATTAAAAAACAAGAACAATGTTGTATTCCTTAGATAGAATAAAAATAAGTGCATGGAAATGATAAACATGAAATTCAGAATAGTCTATCTCTCAAAGTAGCAGTCTATGGGAGGCTTTAATATATAGGTAATTTTTTTCTTAAGCTAAGAGTAGATACATGCTACTTATTATATCATCATTATACTTGCAGGTCTTTAATATTTTGTAATAAGTAAGGTTAAAAAAACTGCTCTAGAGTTATAAAAATTCTTATCTCTTGCTATTATTATATGATATTATTTATTGAGAGTTATTAATGATTGAAGCACATCTTAATAACTACTTTCCAGTTAAGGTTAAAAATAGCGAGTTTACCTGGCCAGAACAATCAGGCAAGAGAAATAAATAAGGGGCACCCAAATAGGAAGAAAGGAAGTCAAACTATCCCTGTTTGCACACTACATGATCCTATATCTAGAAAATGCCATATTCAGCCCAAAAGCTCCTTAAGGTGATAACCTCAGCAAAGTCTCAGGATACAAAATCAACGTACAAAAATCATTAGCATTCCTATACACCAACAACAGTAAAGCCAAGAACCAAATCAGGAACACAGTCCCATTCACAATTGCCACAAAAAAAATAAAATAAAATACAGCTAACCAAGTGATATGATTTGACTGTGTCCCCACCCAAATATTGAATTGTAGCTCCCATAATTCCCATGTGTCATGGGAGGACCCAGTTGCAGGTAATTGAATCGTGGGGAGCAGGTCTTTTCCATGCTGTTCTCATGATAGTGAGTAAGTCTTACAAGATCTGATGGTCTTATAAAGGGGAGTTCCCCTGCACATGCTCTCTCTCTCTTACTTGCCACCATGTAAGACCTGACTTTGCTCCTTCTTTGCCTTCCACCGTCATTGTGAGGCCTCCCCAGCCACATGGAACTGTGAGTCCATTAAACTTTTTTCTTTATAAATTACCCAGTCTCAGGTATGTCTTTATTAGTAGCATGAGAACAGACTAATACAGTAAATTGGTGCCAGAACTGGCATGCTACTGTAAATATACCCAGAAATGTGGAAGCGACTTTGGAACTGGGTAACAAGAAGAGGTTGGAACAGTTTGTAGAGCTCAGAAGAAGTCAGAAAGTTGTGGGAAAGTTGGAACTTCCTAGAGACTTGTTGAACGGCTTTGGCCAAAGTGCTTATAGTGATATGGACAATAAAGTTCAGACTGATGTGGTCTCAGATGGAGATGAGGAACTTGTTGGGAACTGGAGCAAAGGTGACTTGCTATGTTTTAGCAGAGACTGGCAGCATTTTGCCCCTGCCCTAGAGATCTGTGGAACTTTGAACTTGAGAGATAATTTAGGGTATCTGGGGGAAGAAATTTCTAAGCAGTGAAGGGTTCAAGAGGAAGCAGAGCATAAAAGTTTGAAAATTTTGCAGCCTGACTACTATGCAATAGTACTATGTGTAGTACTATGCAATAAAAAAGAAAACCCCATTTTCTGGGGAGAAATTCAAGCCAGCTGCAGAAATTTGCATAAGTAACAAGGAGCCACATTTTAATCACCAAGACATGTGTAGAAAATGTCTCTGGGGCATGTCAGAGACCTTCATGGCAGCCTCTCCCATCACAGGTCCAGAGGCCTAGGAGGGAAAATGGTTTCATAGGTCGGGCCCAGGGACCCCCTTGCTGTGTGCAGCCTTGGGACTTGGTGCCCTGCATCCCATCCACTCCAGCTGTGGCTAAAAGGGACCAATGTACAGCTCAGGCCATTGCTTCAGCAGGTGCAAGCCCTAAACCTTGGCAGCTTCCACATGGTGCTGGGCCTGTGGGTGTGCAGAAATCAAGAACTGAGGTTTGGGAACCTCTGCCTAGATTTCAAGGATGTATGAAACTCCTGGATGTCCAGGGAGAAGTTTGCTGCAGGGATGGAGCCCTCATGGAGTACCTCTACTAGGGCAGTGTGGCAGGGAAATGTGGAGTTGGAGCCCCCACGCAGAGTCCCTGCTGGGGCACCACCTAGTGGAGCTATGAGAATATGGCCACCATCTTCCAAACCCCAGAATGATAGATTCACCGACAGCTTGCATCGTGCACCTGGAAAAGCCAGAGACGTTCAATGCTAGCCTGTGAAAGCAGCCAGAAGGGGAGCTGTACCCTGCAAAGCCACAGGGGCAGAGCTGCCCAAGGCTGTGGGAGCCCACCTCTTACATCAGTGTGACCTGGATGTGAGACACAGAGTCAAACGAGATCATTTCAGAGATTTAAGATTTTACTGCCCTGTTGTATTTTGGACTTGCATGGAGCCTGTAGCCCCTTTGTTTTGCCCAATTTCTCCCATTTGGAATGGATGTATACCCAATGCCTGTACCCCCATTGTATCTAGGAAGTAACTAACTTGCTTTTGATTTTACAGGCTCATAGGCAGAAGGGACTTGCCTTGTCTCAGATGAGACTTTGGACTGTGGACTTTTGAGTTAATGCTGAAATGAGTTAAGACTTTAGGGGACTGTTGGAAAGGGATGATTGGTTTTGGAATGAGGGAACATGAGATTTGGGAGGGGCCGGGGCAGAATGATATGGTTTGGCTGTGTCCCTACCCAAATCTTGAACTATAGCTCCCATAATTCCCACGTGTCATGGGAGGGACCTGGTGGGAGTTAATTGAATCATAGGGGTGGGTCTTTTCCATGCTGTTCTCATGATAGTGAATAAATCTCACAAGATCTGATGGTTTTATAAAGGGGAGTTCCCCTGCGCATGCTCTGTCTCTTGCCTGCTGCCATGTAAGACATGACTTTGCTCCTTCTTTGCTTTCCACCATGATTGTGAGGCCTCCCCAGCCACGTGGAACTGTGAGTCCCTTAATTTTTTTTTTCTTTATAAATTACCCAGTCTGGGATATGCCTTTATTAGCTGCATGAGAGCAGACTAATACACCAAGGAAGTGAAAGATCTCTACAAGGAGAACTACAAAACACTGCTCAAAGAAATCAGAGATGACACAAATGGAAAAACATTTCATGCTCATGTATTGGAAGAATCAATGTTGTTAAAATGGCCATACTTCCCAAAGAAATTTATAGATTCAATAAAATTCCTGTTAAACTACCAATGACATTCTTCACAGAACTAAAAAAAAAAAACTATTCTAAAATTTATGTGGAACCAAAAAACAGCTCGAGTAGCCAAGCAATCTTAAGCAAAAAGAACAAACCTGGAGGTATCATGCTACCTGAGTTCAAACTATATACAGGGCTACAGTAATCCAAGCAGTATGGTACTGGTACAAAAGCAGACAAATAGACCAATGGAACAGAATAGAGAACCCAGAAATAAGGCCACACACCTACAACTATCTGATCTTTGACAAAGCTGACAAAAACAAACAATGGGGACAGAGCTTCCTATTCAATAAATGGTGTTGGGATAACTGGCTAGCCATATGCAGAATATTGAAACAGTTTTTTAGGGAATAGCCAAATCTGGAATCTATTAAATTGTCTATCAACAGTAGAATAAATAAATTGTAATATAGTTATACAATAATATACTACGTAGCAATGAATAACAACTGTTAAAAGAAAAGCTTTAGACAAATTGAACAGAGTGTAATTGAACAAAGAACAATTCAGGAATCAGGCAGCTTCCAGAACCAGAAAAGGATCAGAGCAACTCCAGGGCTATCACAAGGTCACATGACATTTATGGACACAAAAAGGAAAGTGATGTACAGAAAACAGAAGTGAAGTGCAGAAACAGCTAGATTGGTTACAACTGGGCACTTGCCTTATTTGAAGCTGGTTTGAACAGCTGACTGTCTGTGGTTGACAGAAGTTTGGCTGCTGTGATTGGCTCACACTCAGCTACTTGTTACAACAGTAGGTTATGGTCTTTTTACACATCAAGTTTGGTTACAGTTCACTATGTATGGAGAAACCTTTAGGCCAAACTGAAAATTTGTATGGATGCAGCTTTAGACCAAACTTGATTTAACACAACTAATGCCACACAACATGACCCTAAGTGGTTATGTTGTTGAGTAACAACAGATATAAAAGAGCACATACTCTGTGATTCCGTTAATATGAGGTTCAAAAGCAAGCAAAATTAACCTGTAGTGTTAGAAGTCACGGGAGTGATTGAAAGAAGGAAAGCGGGGAGGGAGGGAGAGAGAGAAAGAAAGAGAGAGGTGGGCTGGGGAGAGAGAAAAAGAGAAATCCTGCAAATAAGGATAATTTGACTTCTTTCTTTCCATTTTGGATGCATTTTATTTCTTTATCTTATCTGATTACTCTAGCTAGGACTCCAGTACTATGTTGAATAACAATGGTAAAAATGGGCATCCTTATTTTGCTCCAGATTTTAGAGGAAAAGCTGTCATTTTTTTTCCATTCAGTGTGATACTAGCTGTGGGTCTGTCATATATGGCTTTTATTCTGTTGAGGTATATTCCTTCTATACCCAGTGTTTTGAGGGATTTTATTATGAAGAGCTGTTGAATTTCATCAAATGCTTTTTTGGCATCATTTGAAATGATCATATGGTTTTTGTCTTTCATTCTGTTGATATGATGTGTCACAGTGATTAACTTACATATATTGAACCATCTTTGCATCCCTTGCATCCCTGGCATGATGAGGGATTTTTTTTTAATTTTTATTTTATTTTAAGTTCCAGGATACATGTGCAGTACATGCAGGTTTGTTACATAGGTAAACATGTGCTATGGTTGTTTGCTGCACCTATCAAACCATCACCTAGGTATTAAGCCCCACATGTATTAGCTGTTTATCCTGATGCTCTTCCTCATCCTACACCCCTCCAACAGGCCCCAGTGTATGTTGTTCCCCTCCCTGTGTCCATGTGTTCTCACTATTCAGTTCCCACTTATAAGTGAGAACATGCGGTGTTTGGTTTTTTGCTCCTGTGTTAGTTTGTTGAGGATAATGACTTCCAGCTCCATCCATGTCCCTGCAAAGGACATGATCTCATTCCTTTTTATGGCTGCATAGTATTCCATAGTATATATGTACCACATTTTCTTTATCCATTCTATCATTGATGAGTATTTGGGTTGATTCCATGTCTTTGCTATTGAGAATAGAGCTGTAATGAACATATGTGTTAATGTATCTTTATAACAGAATGATTTATATTCCTTTGGGTATATACTATATACCCAGCAATGGGATTGCTGGGTCAAATGGTATTTCTGGTTCTAGATCTTTGAGGAATCACCACACTGTCTTCCACAATAGTTGAACTAATTTACATTCCCACCAACAGTGTAAAAGTGTTCCTATTTCTCCACAGCCTTGCCAGCATCTGTTGTGGCTTTACTTTTTAATAATTGCCAATGAATTATCTTTTTAATGTGTTGTTGAATTTGGTTTGCTAGTATTTTGTGGAGGATTTTGCTTCAATGTTCATAAGACTAAAGAAATATCTGACTACAGAAATATTGGCCTGTAATTTTATTTTATTAAGAAAAAAATATTGTAGCTGAATATTGTTATCTTTTTCTGGAAAATCTTCTGTTTTTATCCTTTTAAATAAACTTTCTACCCAAATCTCTCTCTCTACCTTCTCTTTAAGGTCAATAACTCTTAACTTGGTCCTTTTGAGTCTATTTTCTAGATACTGCAGTCATGCTTAGTTCTTTTTTATAGTTTTGTCTCCTCTGACTGTGTATTTTCAAATAGCCTGTCTTCAAGCTCACTAATTCTTCTGCTTGATCAATACTGCAACTGAGGGAACATCATACATTCTTCAGTACATTAATTGAATTTTTCAGCTCCAGAATTTCTGCTTGATTTTTAAAAGATATTTCAATCTGTTTGTTAAATTTATCTGATACAATTCTGAATTCCTTCTCTGTGCTATCTTGAATTTCATTGAGCTTCCTCAAAACAGCTATTTTGAATTCTCTGTCTGAAAGGTCAGATATCTCTGTGACTCTGGGATTGGTCACTGTGTTCTCTTACTTTGTTTGATAAGGTCATGATGTTTGTGGATGTTCATTGATGTCTGGGCATTGAAGAGTTAGGTACTTACTGTGGTCTTCACAGTCTGGGCTTGTTTGTACCCATCCTTCTTGGGAATGCTTTCTAAGTATTCAAAGGGAATTGAGTGTTGTGATCTAAGCCTTCAGTCACTGCAGCCATATCTGCATTAGAGGGCACCCCAAACCCACTAACACTGTGAATCTTGAAGCCTTGTAGAGGTACTGCCTTGGTTGTCTTGGGTAAGATCCAGGAGAATTCCCGGGATTACCAGGCAGAGACTCTTGTTCTCTTCCCTTACATCTCCCCAACCCCCTGCCAAAATGGAGTCTGTCTCTCTCTCTGTGCTGAGCTGCCTGGACTTATGGGAAGAGTGACACAAGCCCCGCTGTGGCCACCATCACTGGGACTGTGCCAGGTCCAACCTGAAGCCGGCACAGTACTGAGTCTCACCCAAGGCCTTTGGTAACTATTGTCTGGCTACTGCTGATGTTTATTCAAGGCCCAAGGGCTCTTTAGTCAGCAGCTAGTAAATTCAGCCTGTGTCTTTCCCTTCAGGGCAACGAGTTCCTTTCTGGCCCAGAGTGAGTCTAGAAATGCTGTCCAGGAACTAGAGCCTAGAGTTGATACATTTAGAAATCTACTTGGTGTTTCATTTTACTGTAGCTTAGCAGGCACCCAAGTTGCAAGACAATATGCTTTTTACTCTTCCCTCTTTTTTCTTCAAGCAGAAGGAGTCTTTTCCATGACCACCACAGCTGGGAATGTACTGGGTCATACCTGAAGCCTGCACGGCACTGGGTCTCACCCAAGGCAGTGAGTACTGCCTGGCTACCACTGATGTTTATTCAAGGCCCATGGGCACTTTAGTCATCAGGTGATGAATCCTACTGGGTCCTTTCCTTCAAGAGAGTAGATTCCCTTCTGGCCCAGGATGTGTCTAAAATTGTCATCTGGGAGGCAGGGCCTAGCATGGGGACTCCAGGACTCTGCTTGGTACTTTATTTTACTGTAGCAGAGCTGGTATCCAAGTTGCAAGACAAAGCCCTCTTTACTGTCCTTTCTCCTTTCCTTAATTGGAAGGAGTCTCTGCCGAAGCTACGAGCTGCACTGTCTGGAGTTGGGGGAGGGGTGACACAACCACTCCCTTGGCTGCCCTAGCTGGTGTCTCACTAGGTCATGTACACCCCAAGTCCACTGGCTTTGAGCCCAGTACAGCACCAAGACTTGCCCAGGAACTACAGTCCTTATAGCCTAGATTTCCTTTCAAGTTTATTTAGAACCCCAGAGCACTTTAGCCCTCAGTGGTGGGCTAGCTGGAACTCAGGTACTGACTGCTGGGATGGAAAATTCCCCTCTGGCCAGGGCTGGTCTAAATGCTCCCTCTGTGGGCACCAGCTGAATTCTACCCCATGTTGCTTTCCACTGTGACAGGGCAACACTGCGTGACAATGCAAAATCCCACAGTCACTGTGCTCTCCCTGCCCCAAGCATCATATTCTGTCTCTGTACTGTGAGGCCACTGCTGGGGGATGGAGGAGGGGTGGTATACGCATTTCAAGACTGTCTTTCCTATTCTCAGTGCCTCTTTCCTTGATATGATATTAAAACCAGGTATTGTGATCAGTCACCTGATTTTTGGTTCTTATGAAGGTGCTTTCTTGTGTGGATAGTGGTTCAATGTGGTGTTCCTGTGAGGGGGATGATCACTGGAGGGTTCTGTTAGGCCATCTTGCTCTGCCTCTCTCAAAATTTCATTTTTTGAAATATTTTATTTTAAGTTCTGGGATACATGTGCAGGATGTGCAGGTTTGTTACATAGGTAAACATGTGCCATGGTTGTTTGGTGCACCTATCAACCCGTCACCTAGGTATTAAGCCCCACATGCATTAGCTATTTATCCTGATGCTCTCCTTCCCCTACCCCCAAAATTTCATTTTTTCAATGGGTGAATGATATTTCATTGTACATCTATACCTCATTTTGTTTACCCATTCATCTGTGAATGGATGCTTGAGTTGTTTCCACTTTTACTGATTATGTATACTGCTGCCATGAACACTGATGTGCAAGTATCTGGGCCCCTGCTTTCAATTTTTTTGGATATATACATAGAAGTGGGATTTCTGGGTCATATGTAGTTCTAGGTTTACCTTAAAAAATTAAACTATATTACTATTATTGATTATTATTATTATTTTTTTAAGAGACAGGGTCTTGGTATGCTACCTAGGCTGGAATTGAACTCCTGGGCTTAAGCAATCCTCCCACCTCAGCCTGCCAAGTATCTGGGACTACAGGCACATGCCACTGTACCCAGCTCTACGTTTAATGTTTTGAGAAGCCACAAGAGTTTTCCACAATAGCTGCATCACTTTGCATTCCCACCAGCAAAGCATGAGAGTTCCAATTTCTGTACATTCTTACCAACACTCGTTATTTTCTGAGTTTCTGTTTGTTTTTGTTTTCTTATAACCATCTTAGTAAATGTGAAGTGGTATCTCATTGTAGTTATGATTTGCATTCCCTAATAACTCATAATGTTGAACATCTTTTCATGTACTTATTGACCATTTGTATATTTTCTTAGGAGAAATGTCTGTTCAAATCCTTTGCCCATTTTTGAATTAGGTTGTTTTATTGTTATTGAGTTTTAGAAGTTCTTTATATATTCTGAATATTAATTCCTTATCAGTTATATGCTTTACAAATATTTTCTCTCATTTACCACATCATCTTTTCACTTTTTGACATAATTCTTTGATGTACAAAAGTTTTTTAATTTTAAAGTATATTTTATCTTTTTTTGTTTGTTTTCTGTGCTCTTGGTGTTATATCCATGAAGTCATTGTTAAAGCCAGTGGCATGAAGATTTTCCACAGGTTTTCATTTTTCATCTAAGAGTTGTATGGTTTTGTTTGTTTGTTTTTAGAGACACAGTCTCACTCTGTTGCCCAGGGTAGAGTGCAGTGGCATGATCATGGCCCACTGCAACCTTGACCTCCTGGGCTGAAGTGATCCCCTCCTACCTCAGCTTCCCAAGTAGCTGGGACTATAGGTGTGCATCACCAAGCCTGGCTAATTTGTTTTTTTAATTTTTTGTAGAGACACAGTCTCACTATGTTGCCCAAGCTGGGAAAGTCATATCGTTTACTCTCTTCAGTTTAGATCTTTGATTTGTTTTCAGTTCATTTTTGTATATAAGGTAAAGGACCAACTTCATTCTTTTACACGATGTATCAGGTAGTCTCAGTACCACTTCTTGAAAAGATTATTCTTTCCCTATTGAATGGTCTTGACACCCTTGTCACAAATCAATTGACTATATATGAGAGTTTATTTCTGGTCTCTCTATCCTATTTTATTAGTCTATATGTCTGTCCTTACTCCAGTACTGTTTTATTTGTTGTAGCTTTGTAGTAAGTCTCAGAGTTGGGTAGTGTGAATCCTTCAAGTTTGTTCCTTTTGTTTTTTCAAGATTTATTTTGGCTATTCAAGGGCCTCTGCAGTTTCATATTAATCTGAGGATCACTTTTTCTATTTCTGTGAAAAAGACTATTGGAATTTTGATTGCATTGAATCTGTAGATCACTTTGGGTAGAATTGATATCTTAACAATGTAAAGTATTCCTATCTATGAATAGGGACATCTTTCTATTTATTTATGTTTTCTTTAATTTCTTTCAGCAATGTTTTATAGTTTTTAGCATATATCTTTCACTTCCTTGGTTAAATTTATTCCTAAGTATTCTATTCTTTTAGCTGCTTTTATAAATGGAATTGCTTTCCTTTTTCCCCCTGTTTTTATTTTTTTAGAGATAGGGTCTCACTCTGTTGCCCAGATTGGACTGCAGTGATGTAATCATAGCTCACTGCACCCTTGAACTCCTGGGCTCAAGCAATTCTCCCACCTCAGCTACCAACAGCTGGGACTACGGGTACGTGCCACCATGCCTGGCTTTTTTTTTTTTTTTTTTTAGACAGGGTCTCGGTATGTTGCCCTATTGAATTTGTTCAATAGCTCTAGTAGCTTTCTTATGGATTCTTTCTATATATAGGATCATGTCATCTGTGAAAGGAGACAGTTTTACCTGTTTCTTTCCAATTTGGATGCCTTTTGTTTGTTCTTCTTGTCTTATAGCTCTGGCTAGAACTCTGGTATGATGTTGAACAGCAGTGGTGAAAGTAGGCATTCTTTTCTTGTTACTCATTTTAGGGAGAAAGCTTTCAGTGTTCCATTACTGAGTGTCGTGTTAACTGTGAACTTTTTATTTTTATTTTTGTTTTGAGATAGGGTCACTTTCTGTCTCCCAGACCAGAGTGAGTGGCATGATTATGGCTCACTGAAGCCTCAAACTCCAGGGTTCAAGTGATCCTCCCACCTTAGCCCCCCAAGTAGCTGGGACTATAGGCATGTGCTACCACACCCAGCTAATTCTTAAATTTTTTGTAGAGACAGGATCTCACTATGTTACCCAGGCTGGTCTTGAACTCCTGGACTCAAGCAATTCTCCCACCTCAGCCTCCTAAAGTGCTGGGATTAGAGGCATGAGCCACCACACCTGGCCAACTGTGGATTTTTAAATAACTACCTTTATTATTTTTAGGAATGTTCTCTCCATATGCATTGATTATGTGGCTTTTTTCCCCTTCATTTTATGAATGTAATGGATTACATTGCTTGATTTTCTTATGTTGAGCCACCTTTGCATTCCTGAGATAAATCTGGAAAGATTTCATGTTGAAAAGGCTTTTACTATGGTCTTGGATTTGATTTGTTAATATTTTGTTGAGGATTTTTGCATCTATATTCATAAGGAATATTGGCCTATAATTTTACTGTGATATCTATCTAGCTTTAGTATCAGAGTAATTCTATCCTCATAGAAAGAATTAGGAAGTGTTCCCACCTCTTCAATTTTTTACAAGCATTTGGTAAGAGTTCATTTCAATTCTTCTTTAAATATTTGATAGAAGTCACTAGTGAAGCCATCTGATCCAAGACTTTTCTTTGTTGGGAAGTTTCTGATCACTGATTCAATCTCTTTACTTGTTAGAGGTCTGATATGGTTTGAATGTGTGTCCCTTCCAAATCTCATGTTGAAATGTGACCTGTGATGTTGGAAGTGGGCCTAGTGGGAGGTTTTTGGGTTATGGGGTGGATCCCTCATGAATGGTTTGGTGCTGTTCTTGCAGTAATGAGTGAGTTCTCACTCTATGAGTTCATGTGAGATCTGGTTGTTTAAAAGAGCCTGGTACCCCTTCCCTCTCTCTCTCTTGCTCCCTCTCTCACCATGTGATATGCCAGCCCCGCCCCCACCTTCCACCATGATTATAAGCTTCTTGAGGCCTCACTGGGAACAGATGCTGGCACTGTTTCACACACAGCCTGCAGAACCATGAGCCAAATAAACCTCTTTTCTTTGTAAATTACTCAGTCTCAGGTATTCCTTTTTTTTTCAGGTATTTCTTTATAGCGACACAAAATAAACTAACTAACACAAGATCTGTTGAGACTTTCTACTTCTTCTTGAGTCAGTTTAGGTAATTTCAAGGAATTGGTTCATTTCTTCTAGGTTATCCAATATGTTAGCATAAAATTGCTCATAGTATTCTCTTATAATCGTTTTTGTTTTCCAAGACAGAGTCTTGCTCTGTTGCCCAGAGCTGGAGTGCAATGGTGTGATCTCGGCTCACTGTAACCTCCACCTTCTGGGTTCAAGCAATTCTCCTGCCTCAGCCTCCCAAGTAGCTGGGTTTACAGGTGCATGCCACCACACCTGGCTAATTTTTGTAATTTTAGTAGAGACGGGTTTTCACCATGTTGGCCAAGCTGGTCTCGAACTCCTGACCTCATGATCTGCCTGCCTTGGCCTCCCAAAGTGCTGGGATTACAGGTGTGAGCCACCGCGCCCAGCTTATAATTGTTTTTTGTTTTTGTTTTTTAATCTCTGTAAGGTTGGTGATAATGTCCCCACTTTCATTTCTGATTTTGGTTATTTATGTATCTTTGCTAATGTTTTTTTCAGTCTAGCTCAAGGTTTATTCATTCTGTTGATTTTTTCAAAGAACCAATTTTTGGTTAAATTGTTTTTCTCTACTATTTTTCTATTCTCTCTTTTGTTTATCTCTACTTTAACCTTTATTATTTTCTTTCTTTTGCTAGTTTTGTGTTTAGTTTGCACTACTTTTTCGAGTTTCTTAAGGTGTATAGGTTACTTATTTGACTTTTTTTTTTTCTTTTTTGAGACAGAGTCTCACTCTGTCGTCCAGGCTAGAGTGCAGTGGCCTGATCTCGGCTCACTGCAAGCTCTGCCTTCCGGGTTCACACCATTCTCCTGCCTCAGCCTGCCGAGTAGTTCGGACTACAGGCGCCTGCCACCACATCCGGCTAATTTTTTTTTTTTAATTTACAGAGATGGGGTTTCATCGTGTTATCCAGTATGGTCTCGGTCTCCTGACCTTGGATTTGACTTTTTTAAATGTAATCACTTACAGCTATGTTTCCATCTGAGCCCTTTTTTCACTGCATCCTATAAATTTTGATATGTTGTGTATTTATTTTCATTTGTCTCTTATTATTTTCTAATATCCCTTGTGATTTTTTTGACCCATTAGTCATGTAAGAATGAGTTGTTTATTTTCTGTAGCTTTGTGCGTTTTCTAGTTTTCCTTTATTGATTTCTAACTTCATCAAGCTTTGTGCTCTTCATTAAAGAGCAGATATTTTATATGGTATCTATTTTTTTAAATCCATTGAGACTAGTTTTGTGGCCTAACATATGGTCTATCCTGGAGAATGTGCCATGTGCACTTGAGAAAAATATGTATTCTGCTGTTATATTGGGTAGACTATTGTATATATGACTGTTAGGACTAATTTTAATTTTCATATATGGTGTAAGGTAGGCATCCAGATTCATCCCTTTGCATGTAGATATCAGTTGTCATGGCACCGTTTGTTGAAGAGACTGTTTTTTCCATGAAATTGTTTTGGTACCGTTGTCAAAAATCAATTGGTTTCAGAGTACAAGAGGAACTTTAAAAAATGTAATCAATTGGTCATAGATGTATGGGTTTATTTCTGGACTCTCAATTTTATTCCATTGATCTATGTGTCTATCCTTATGCCAGTACTACTTCAGTAAAGTTTTATAGCTTTCTTCATATTAGTCTGACACATTTCTGTTTAGTTTATTTCTAGATATTTTAAATTTTTGTTGCTATAATGACATGAAGCTTTATAAAATTATATTTTCATTGATAACTAAAAATATAAAACATTTTAAATTGGTTATTAATTGGTAGTTCCAAGGAAATAAATTTACTTTTGTATTTTAATCTCGTATCCTGTGTTTATTTGGTAGGCTTTTAAAAAAATCGTGGTAAATACATATATCATAATATTTACCATTTAAACTGTGTTAAAGTGTACAATTCAGAGCCATTAAGTAAATTCACAGTGTTATGCAACCATTACCACTGTCTAGTTCCAGAAAGTTTTTATCATTACAAATGGAAACTCCATTTAGTAAGCCTTTCAAAGCTGAAGATTTGTGTCTTTCTTCAGTTCTGAGAGATTTCTTACATTATTTATTTGAATATTTCATTATGTCTAACACTTGGCTTACACCTTCTGACACTTTTATAAGATTAATATTAAATGTTCTGGATTGGCTGGGCATGGTGGTTCATGCCTGTAATCCTAGCACTTTGGGAGGCCAAGGTGGGTGAATCACTTGAAGCCAGGAGTTCAAGACCAGCCTAAGCAACATAGTAAGACTTTGTCTTTATCAAAAAAGAAAAAAATACAAAAATTCGCTGGGCATGGTGGCATGCACCTGTAGTCCCAGCTACTTGGGAGGCTGAGTATATGCTGTCATATACTCATATACGTATACATATGGGTATATGGTGTCAACATGATGTGTTACTGTTGATGTTAATAATGATTGTTAGGCTGTGATAGTATTTGTCAGGTTTCTCTACTGTAAAGTTATTTTCCCTCTCCCATTTCCATATTGTACTCTTTGAGAGGAAGTCACTATATGCAGTCCGCACTTAAAGAGAGGGGAGTCATGCTCAACATCCTTGAGTGTGGAGTATCTACATAAATTATTTGGACTATTTCTGCACAGGAAATTTGTCTTTTTACTTATTTACTATAGTTTTTTTTTTCAGCACTTCCTTACTTTCTGGCACTACAAGATATTCCAGGCACTACAAGATATTCTTGTATATATTTCCTATATACAACATGAGCCCAATCCTATAATCAGCTGTATCTCCAAGGAGTTCTGATTTTTTTAATTGGAGAGTGATATTAGAAACCAAGATGTGAGCACTAGATGGTCTACGTTCTCTTAAGTGTTCTTTTTAATAACTTTTAATTTCTTCTAATTTCTCTGCTCTGAGGATATTCTTTTAAAGACTCCTTACATTTGTTCTATTTAATGGTATTTCCTTGGGTGGCATTAGTTATTCTGTTTGTTGAATTTAGTCATGGGGATGATTTTTCTTAAACATTCTGTGAATGTGTGCTTACATTTGAATTTGAGATTCTCTATTTGCTTTCCTATAGAGTTACTGTTTTCTATAGTCTGATGCCAGTGGGGGAAGGACAAGATGTGCAGACAGTGAAGCTGTCAATAGGTCATTTTCTCTGCGTGTGGAAATCTTGCTTCTCTAGCCTAAACATCTATATACCTTAACTCAGTGCAGGGGAAAACCCTTCTGGTGCCTGATGATTAGCTCAAATGGGAATTAAGATACACAAAAAGGTCAGTCTTTCTCCTATGACCCATATCTACATCCTCTAAACTTGGGGTGCCTCAAATCTGCTCCCAAATTTTATAGTGGTCTCCACCGTATCTTTTTAGTCCTATAGTTTCTTCAATCAGTTGAATTCCCCTGCTTTACATTTTTCAGAGATCTTCAAAATTCCTGACTCCTGAAGGCCCCCTTCATGATTGTAGTATTCTTGCGCATTTTTTAAATTTTAAAAACATACACACAACTTTTCCTGTCATTGCTAGAGATTTTGGTAGGGGAGGGGATATAGGTGCCTGTTCTCAGTCTACCATCTTGGTCTAATATCTCCGTCCTGCATTTAAAAAATGAAGACATAAAGGAAGCTGGGAATAAAATGAAGAGAAATGTATTTAAATATACATGTGTGGTAGACTCTTTGCTTACTCACCACACATTTCCTCACCTTTTTTTTTTTTTTTTTTGAGACAAAGTCTCACTGGAGTGCAGTGGCATGATCGTGGCTCACTGCAGCCTCGACCTCCAGGGCTTAAGTGATCCTCCCACCTCAGCCTCCTGAGTAGTTGGGACCACAGGTGTACGCCACCATGCCTGGCTAATTTTTTTATTGTTTGTAGAAACAGCATCTTCCTAATGTTGCGTAGGCTGGTCTTGAACTCCAGGGCTCAAGCAGTCCTCCCGCCTTGGCCTCCCAAAATGTTGGGATTACAAATGTGAGCCACTGCGCCCAGCCTTCCCTACCTTTTTGCCTGCCAACTGAACCTCAGTGTTGTAGCAGATGAAAATCACTTGTTATCAGAGAATTTGAACCAAACCCTGGCACCAAGAAATAAGTTATAATTTGTCTATACTATTCATAGTAATCCCATTTCCCTTTACCAGCGATTGGTCTGGGCGTGGGCATGTATCCTAGTTAGGGCAGATGAAATGTAAAGGGAAGTCTTAGAGTGGGGAGTCTGGGATCTTCTCCTCTTGGATAATAAAACAGAGCCTCAAGAGGAGAAAAACCCTTTGTCCTCTATGCTTTTTTGCTGTGAGGAAGTGATGGCTGGAGCTCTAATAGTCGTCATGTGATCATGAGGTACAAGCAAAAAAATGAACGAAAATAAACAGAAACAGCCTACGTATTTAATGAAATCACTGAACTGCTAAATGGCTTCTGATTAAGTCAACAATAAATGTCTTTATGGTTAAAGTCACTTTGTCTGATTTTCTGTTATTTTCAGCTGACATTCTTCCAATCCACTGTGTAAATGGATATAAAAATTTTTTCAAATATTATTCTAAAGTCACATAGATTAAAATTTACTTCTAACATTTCTTACATTTCACTTTTTTTTCCCCTCAGAATTAAACCTGGAGGGGCAGCGAAAAATTTCACCTGGTTCAATAAAGGACTCTAAAACTGAAGCCTCAGGTAATATTGCAATTAGAAAATCTGCAAAAGTGATTTTTGCTTTAGATGAAACTGAACTGAAATCAAAGCCAGAGCACACATGGAAGAAAAACCTTTTTGAAAGAATGGAGGCAAGAGCCCAAGCAATGCAGCAGAAAATAATAGATAAGGAAAATCTGAAGAAGGAACTAGAAAAAAAGGCTGAAAAAAAACTCCCTAGGGATAATTTGGCCAAAGAGTGGTTTAATACTGACAGCATGACACTGAATAATACTGCATATTTGCTTGACAAACTTCTACCCACCTTAGTTCCTGGAGTAGAAAACATGTTAACTCAAGTAGAAAAGAAGAAGGTTTTGACAGAAGCTGATACTCCAAGCAAGTTTGACCCAATTAATTATTTGGGGGAATATTTAATAAGAAACAATCCTAATTATATCAAAGACCCAGGAATGTCTGGTTACCAGAGGTTGATGAAAGAAGTCACAGAAGACCTGAAGATATATGTTCCTGACACTATCTGCAACAGGTACAATCTGTTATAGTTTCAGTTCATGATCTGTCTCCTTACATTGAAAAACTAGTAGAAAAAATAACATAATCATGGACAGGACTTAAAACAAGTGATTCTACAGTTATTCAGAAAGTATTTATTGAGCTACTAGTATGTGCTTCACTCTTTTTGAGGCACTGTGAAGACTAACAAAATAAATAAGTTCCTTGTATTCATAGATTTAATTATCTCACTATGACTGCAAGTGTATAATGATTTGTATTTTTATTTATCTGCCTGCACTGGAAAGTAAGCTATATGAAAGTTGGAACTTTTTAAAAATTTAATTTTCCATATAGGCAATCTGGTTTAAAGGTCAATATGTAAAAAAAGTTATATAGTGAAAAGTTTCCCTCCCATTCTTATCTTCCATCTACCCAATATTCCACCTCCACCATAAATAACTACTATTCTTAATTTTCTATAGATCCTTATAGAATTTCTTTATACATACATAAGGAAATGCAAACATGGATTATTAATTTTTTCTTTTACACAAAAGCATGTGATACATGTTACAAATACCCATTTTTACCTGCCATTTATCTTTTTTCATGTAGAAGATTTTTTATTTCTATATAGTCAAATTTAACTTTTCTTTTATGGCATCAGGATTTTGAGGCACTGTTACATTTCAAAATATTAAAAGAATTCTTCCATGTTCTCTTCCAGAATTATTATTTTAATTTTCATTTTAAATACTGACTCATTTGGAATTTAACCTACTGTAACATGTAAGGATTCAACTTTATCCTTTTTCAAATGTCTACTTAGTGGTCCCAATAAGAGTTGAGTAGTCTATCTTTGCCCCACTGGTTTGGGATTGAGCCTTTATTAATAAATTCATATATATTTTGGGGTGTATTTCTGCATTTTTCCATCCTATTCCATTGGTCAGTCTCCCTTTCATGCATTCGTACCACACTGCTTTAACAATTGAGACTTTTAAATATATTCCATAGATCTGACAGTGCTGGTCCCCACTATTTGCTCTTCTTCTTTTCTGATGTTTCCTGGCTATTTTTGTTTGTTTACTTTTTTTATATGAATTATGGGAGTAACTTGTCTACTTGAAAAAAAATGGGGAGGGAAAACGAAAAGACAAACCTTACAGGAATTTTTATTGAAATCTGATTACATCTATTAATACTCTTAGAAAACCAACATCTTCAAGGCTGCAATTAGCCAAAATTACACCACTGCACTCCAGCCTGGGTACCAGAGCGAGATCCAGTCTCAAAAACAGACACACACACACACACACACACACACACACATACACACACACACACACACACACACCAGAAAACCAACATCTGTAATAATGATGAGTGTTTCGGGGTGTCTTTCCATTTGCTCATCTTATTTTGTGTGAATTATTGTTGCCCTAAAGTTTTTTGCAGCTGGGCATGGTAGCTCACGCCTGTAATCCCAGCACTTTGGGAGGCCAAGACAGGCTGATCACCTGAGGTCAGGAGTTCAAGACCAGCCTGGCCAACATGGCAAAACCCTGTCTCTACTAAAAATGCAAAAATTAGCCCAGCGTGGTGATGCATGCCTGTAATCCCCGCTACTTGGGACGCTGAGGTGGGAGAATCACTTGAACCTGGGAGGCGGAGGCTGCAGTGAGCCGAGATGCACCACTACACTCCAGCCTGGGCAACAGAGTGAGACCCCATCTCAAAAAAAAAAAAAGATTTTAATGTAGGTTTTGTATCTCTTTTATTAGATTCATTACTAGTTATTTTTATCATTCTTTGTTGCTATTTTAAGCAGGGCTTTCTTCTGTTACTATATTTTCTATCTGGATGTAGTCTGAAGACATGAAAGCTACTAATTTCTATATATTTTTGTACCCTGCTACCTTACTGAGTTCTCTTACAGTAACATTTTAGTTGGTTTCTTGGGTTTTCTAGGGAGGTAACCATTGTCTGCAAATAATAGTAGTTTCCCTTCTTCCTTTTCAATTTTTATACTAATATCCTACTACCTCCAATACAATATTAAATAATAATGGTGATATGGGCATCCTTGTCTTTTTACAACTTTAGTAGAAATGCTGCTTCTGTTACTGCTTCATTATGGGCAGTTTTTATATTACTAGTTCTGTTCCATTTGGATATGAAAAACATTTTATCTCAATGGGAAAATGTACCTAATTTCTACCTTTCAGAGTGATTTTTAAAAATTAAGACTTGATTTTATCAAATGCTTTTTCAACACCTATGAAAGTGATAATATGATTTTCACCTTAGATTCCTTAATGATGAATTTTACTAATAGATTTCCTACTATTCAATTACCTTAGAATTCCTGAAATAAATCCTGCTTGGTTGCTATGTATTTGGGTACACTGAAATATGCTTTCTACTTGTAAGACAGAATATTTCTTTCCTTTTAATTACAGATTTTTCAGAATACGGTATATATCTATCTACCTATCAATAGTCACCACTAGTGGCAGCAAATGAAAAATGTTTTCCCCTTTTGGGAAAGGGTTCCTTTTTCAGTATCATCATGGATGCATGGATTTTAATATATATTCAATATATTTTAATCAGTTATAGTCTTTTTTTCTGTTAGATGCTCAAATTGCACCAACTTTGGCTTCTGTTTTCTGACATTACCCCTTTAGTCTTTGAAAACGTCATGCATTTTTTTTTTTAAATGGAGTCTCGCTCTGTCGCCCAGGCTGGAGTGCAGTGGCGTGATCTCGGCTCACTGCAAGCTCTGCCTCCCGGGTTCACGCCATTCTCCTACCTCAGCCTCCCGAGTAGCTGGGACTACAGGCACCCGCCACCACGCCCGGCTAATTTTTTTTTTTTTTTTTTGTATTTTTAGTAGACATGGGGTTTCACCGCCTTAGCCAGGGTGGTCTCGATCTCCTGACCTCGTGATCCGCCCGCCTCGGCTTCCCAAAGTGCTGGTATTACAGGCGTGAGTCACCGCGCCCGGCCCAGGCATTTTTTAAATGGATTCCTGGCTCCTTTTAAAATGGGGATCACTCACTTGTGAGCTAGGAGTGCTCATAAATATTGTGTAGTCATTGTTTCTAGGCCCTTCAGGACTAAAACATATAATTTTTAGAGTCAATGACCCGTGACCAGACATCACCTGCAGCCTCTTCAGGCGTGCCACCGCTGCCGGGCCTGCTGTACGACCCGCGGGCTCTGGGCCATGCCTGCTCTTGCGCCCGGCTCAGGAGGACCCTTCTTGATCCAGGAGTGGACCCTGGTCTCATTGGAGCCAGTTGGGGTCTTGTGGCGGCCTGTTAGGGATGTGATCCAGCGCTTTGGAGGCAGGGCTTCAAGCTGGTAGGGATGAAGATCCTGTGGCCGGCCAGAAAGCGTCCTTGCTGAACACTACCAGGACCTGCGAAGGAAGCCCCTCTACCCAGCCCTCCTTAGCTATGTGAGCTCCAGGCCTGTTGATGGCCATGGTCTGGGAAGGGTACAATGTGATCCATGCCTCGAGGGCCATGATAGATACCCTGACAGGGTTGAGGCTGACTCTGTGACCATATGGGGAGACTTCAGCGACGTCCACATCAGCAGGAACATCATTCACACCAGCTATTCAGGGTAGGGGGTCAGAAAGAGATCCAGCTGTGGTTTGAAAGCAGTGAGCTGGTGAACTAGCTCCCCTAGACAGGGGCCACTGCAGGAGCGTCTTCCCAGCCAGAGGGCTCAGGCTCCCCTTGGCCACCCCAGCCTTGGTCCACCAGGACCAACTACTTCTGTCACAGGAACCCAAGCCCACACTCCTACAAGTCTCTCCCAAACCACTTCCCTGTGTACATTCTGCCCTACCCCACCCTGGAGGACTTTGAGCCACAAACTTTATGTGCCTTTCTGTATCTTAGCCAGCACAAGATTGGGCCAAATCCTTTCTGCACCAAACTGCCAGACAACCTTTGGGGTGTCTTCAAAAGTGGGTAAGGCAACCTCTCCTCCCGCAAAAGGGAGACATTAAAATTCGCTGTGCTGAGAAAAGAAATATGTAATTTAAAAAATGAGTTAATATTGACAGTTGCATATTAATGTTTCAGGTCTTTATCTAATTTCTTTGACATTTATATTTCCTTTTTCCTTTTTTTTTTTTTTTTTGAGACAGAGACTTGCTCTGTCACCCAGGCCGGAGTGCAGTGGCGGGATCTTGGCTCACTGCAACCTCTGCCTCTGGGTTCAAGAAATTCTCTGCCTCAGCCTCCTGAGTAGCTGGGATTACAGGCACCCGCCACTACACCCTGCTAATTTTTGTATTTTTCGTAGAGACAGGGTTTCACCATATTGGCCAGGCTGATCTTGAACCCCTGACCTCGTGATCCACCCGCCTCGGCCTCCCAAAGTGCTGGGATTACAGGCGTGAGCCACCGCGCCTGGCCTGTATTTCCTTTTATCTTACATAGAAAATCTTGGTTCCTAATGACATTGACATAATTACTGATTTGTTTTATCCTACAGTTTACATAAAAGCTTCAAAATGGCCCAGCGCGGTGGCTCAAGCCTGTAATCCCAGGACTTTGGGAGGTCAAGATGGGTGAATCACCTGAGGTCAGGAGTTCGAGACCTCCCTGGCCAACATGGTGAAACCCTGTCTTACTAAAAATACAAAAATTAACTGAGTGTGGTGGTGTGTGCCTGTAATCCCAGCTGCTCGGGAGGCTGAGGCAGGAGAATTGCTTGAACCTGGAAGGCAGAGGTTGCAGTGAGCTGAGATTGTGCCACCTGCACTCCAGCCTGTGTGACAGAGTGAAACTCTATCTAAAAAAAAAAAAAAAGCTTCAAAATAATAATACCAACAAGCTTACTAATAATAAAAATATTAAACAAGGCTTTACATTTATTTGCAGCTTTTTTGTCCTTAGAATATATCCTTGCCAGGTGCAGTGACTCACACCTGTAATTCCAGCACTTTGGGAGGGATCTCTTGAGCCCAGGAGTTCGAGACCAGCCTGGGCAACATAGCAAGACCCCGTCTCTACAAATAATAATAAAAAAATTATCTTGGCTTGGTGGCACATGCCTACTACTGCCAGTTACTCCAGAGGCTGAGGTGGGAGGATCACTTGAGCCTGGGAGATCAAGACTGCAGTGAGCTGGGTCATGCCACTGCACTCTATCTTGGGTGACAGAGCAAGACCCTGTCTCAAAAAAAAAAAAAGAATATGTCTCACTAGGTATATATATGTAAAAAATAGAGCCATGCAAAAAACTAGAAAAAAACAGGGATTAAATCCCTTTATGCTGGAGATAATCCTTTTTAACCATGACTCAAGATCATGAAAATTTTGGAAAATTTCATTACATAAAAAATGAAAGCGTTTTGCCAGGTAAATTGAGTCACAACTTCTCAGTTCTGCTGCTGTAGTGCAAAAGCAGTCATAGCATATATGTAAATGAGAGAGCATGGCTGTGTTCCAATGAAACTTTATTAGTGGATACTGAAATTTGAATTTCATATAATCTTCACATGGCACAAAATATTATTCATCTTTTGATTTTAAAAAATGATTTAGGCTGAACACAATGGCTCACACCTGTAATCCCAGCACTTTGAGAAGGTGAGGGCAGGAGGATTACTTGAGGCCACGAGTTCAAGACCAGCTTGGGCAACACAATGAGACCCTATCTCTAAAATAAATAAATAAATAAATAAATAAAATAATAAAATTTTAAAATACAAAACTAAAAATATAACAACCCCTCAGCTTTTGAGCCATACAAAACCAGTCAGTGGGCCAGATTTAGCCCCCAGGTTGTAATTTGCTGACCTTTTGTCTAAATGGTATCTATTAGGTCTCTTCCAGGTCTAAAACAAAAGTGATACACTTTTCCTTTTAATATCTTCTGACATACAGACCTACACTAATTTTTTTTTTTTTTGAGACGAAATCTCACTCTGGTTCCCCAGTCAGGAGTGCAATGGCACAATCTCAGCTCACTGCAACCTCCGCCTCCCGGCAGCGATTCTCCTGCCTCAGCCTCCCGAGTAGCTGGGATTACAGGTGCGTACCACCATGCCCAGCTAATTTTTTGTATTTTAAGTAGAGATGGGGTTTCACCATGTTGGCCAGGCTGGTCTCGAACTCCTGACCTCAGGTGATCTACCCACCTCGGCCTCCCAAAGTGCTGGAATTACAGGCGTGAGCCACCACACCTGGCCCACCTACACTCAAATTTATAATTTCTTTTGACTTGTTTTAGTGTCTTTCCTATAGGGTAAACAACTAATTAGAAGCTTTAGAATAGTAATTCTTTTGGAATTAGGCACAGATATCCCTCTGGGATAAAGTAAGAGATATGTGCAGAACTCTTGTTTTATGTGTGGTTATGAAATTTTTATTTTCAGTTGAAACAGGCTTTCTAAGATCATGGTTGTCTATCAGTGACACCAGAATCACCTGGGGTGCTTGGTTAAAAGTGCAGATTCCTAGATCCTTCCTCAGATCTTCTGAATCAGAACCTCTAGGAATGCATTTAAAACAAGTTCCATAAGAGGTTATTATTGCACACTAAAGTTTCAAGACCAAATTAAAAAGAAAACAAATTAAGAGAGGTTTAGTACTAGTGAAAACTTCCAGTAGTATGCAGGAAGCAGTTTCATTAAATTTAATAAATACCTTAAGGAACATTTCTGCTCACCATCTGTTCTTGCAGTGCAATAAATTAGACTGTATTTAGATCTATTTCCACTAAAAATACTTACAATCTGTGAACTGATTTTGTCTGTAAACAAATATATTGACAAACACTTCCTCTTGTTACAGATATGTAAATCTCAATGGGTATGTAAAACTCTAGACATTTATTAATGTCTATAATAAGATAGTAATAAGCACACTAGGACATTGGGTTCCATGACACAGGAGAATTAGGTTGTTTCACTGATATTTCTTGAACTGGGAGTTTGACTTCTTAGGGTCATTTGAGGCTTGGTAAAAGTTTTAGTTAAAGGTTGCTCTATTGGAGCAGGAATTTCATGAAATAATCAAAGTTGCTTTGTTTACCTGGATTGTTAGAATTGGGGCTTCATCTTTTTCTGGCAGAAATCCAAGATCTGTATGTCAACAGATGACAGTGTCAGGCATTTGTAGAATATTCAGAAATCCTAAGGATGTTTTACAACAGTGTGTTCTGCTCCTAATCCCTATCGACTTAAAGCTTATATACCCAGCAATATTAGTAAAAACAGTCCTGCTTTGAAATTCTCAGAACTATACCATTGTTTGTGTTACCTTCAATCCATTGCAAAGCCTTAGAAAAGTCCATTCACTTTAGGAATGAAATTTTCCTGAATTATAGCCAAGAAAAAAAGTCAAAAGAAAATGTATTTGTTTTAATGAGACTCTATCTTCTTGTGGTAATGTTTAAGTGTTCATTTGCTTCAGCTTGATCCAAAAAGCTTTTGTCTGCCTACTTTCTACGACAAAAGGGATTCATCTCTGTTAGGTCTCTAAAAACAACAGATAGAGAAGACACTGCTTACTTATTTGGAACAATTTTTATAGTGGTAGCCACTATATCTGAAAAATACAGTATCACTGCTGTTTGTAGGTTTTATATGTGCAATGTAATTTACTACTTTTCATTGGGGCTCTTGAAAGACATAGATATAGAATTAAAGTGGACTTTAATTCTTACGTGCAATTTTGGACAACTGTAAAGTAGGTTAAGTTTGTATCATTCACTTTTCTTCATATTTTCTTTTCTTTTAGTATGCTTTGTAAAAAGTATCTTTTCCCTCTGACTCTTGATTTCTCCAGTGTTTGGGATTGCATATTTGAAGGTCATTACCACCTTATTATGAATTGATAATGAAAAATATTTGCTCCTAAAATAGGATTACAAACTTTCAATAGCCTAATTATGATGGTGGTTACACATACTCATATATGTTAAAATTCATAAAACTATGTGCCAAAGAAGGTAAATTTTACTGTATGATATTTTTTAAAATATAAAACTTTTAAGCAGTAAAAAAAGAAAACTGTTAATGTTAGAATTTCAGACTATTCTACTTTACTACAAATTTCCTCTCTTTTCTCAACTAGTCTTGAACCATAATAACCTAGAATGAGTTCAAATGAACCGGAAAGTAGATCTAAGAGACCCCAAACAGAAGCTTGTATCTTTTCCTGTATAATGCATACCCAGTTCTGCCTTGGTAGTGATCTCTGATAATTGCATATTCACTATGGGGTCTGTGTTGCAGTTTGAGATATCTTTTGGGCATTTTTCCTGTGACTCCTCTTTATTAGCTTTATGCATTAATGATGGAACATTTAATCCATAAAGAGAGAGAAACACAAAGAGGTATTTCAAAGAATTACTTTCTCTACCACAGCTACATACAAGAGAAGACCAAGTTAGTATAAATATTCAAGCCTTAAGGATACACAAACCAAGTAAAATTTCAAGAAGCGAGGGACACAGGCCTTTATTTTATTAATTTCTTGCATATTAAGTCGTGTAGTGTTCAAAGAATTTATGTAAACTATGTGACAAAAATCTATTGTGTGTGTTTCTATTGGAATGTGTTATTTGCAGAGTTCTGAAATCTGCTTCAAAGTACTTTTTGTATTTTTTTTAAAAAAAGCTTCAAAATATCTTACTCATCCTTACAAGATGCCAGCAGTAGGATTTGGCAAGACAGAGGGAATGTTTCATCCTTGATATGGGTCTTCCTGAGTTGCCAGGAGACAGTGGCTTCCTAGACAGCTGTCTGCTCATATTCTACACCAGCTGCCACCCATTTACTGAGCCATGTGCTTATATTATGCTAGGAAAACCCACAGGTGCTTCTGCACAGGTGATATTAGTAATATTAATCATCTTGTTGATTTATACTGAATATCAAATTTTGTCAAGCCAGTAAAACAGATTATGAGTGATGTGAGTGAATGGACAAGGAAAATATTTTTGTAGTATTCAAATGACTGTTACATCCAATGGAATTGTGGTAGGACTTTATCCAAACAGGTTCTACTCTTGTTCAACCTGAAGCATAATGATAATTTATGTACACTGACTAGTTTCATGTCCATCTCTAAACCTTACTCTGTTGAGTATGTATATATCCCATTATTAAATACTTAAGAAATTCAACCACTTATGGACTGCAAGATCATGGTCTCCCTGGATGACATCCTTGTATTCTACACCCTACCCTGCAACTTGATATTAAATGAGTCTCTGGTTTGCTTCAATGATATAGAATGTTCCTAATGTTAGAGACTGAGGTAGAGTCCCTGAGTCAACTTCTCTCCAGCTAGGGCTGGGTATCTGGTAAAATGCCTGACAAGGTGTGGTTGTCCTGAAGTAGAAACTCCTAAGACTATTGAGAATGTCCAGAAATTTTTAGGATTTTCCGTATAATTCCATTGATTCATTTAAAAGTATCCAGTGACAGCCTCAAAAGAAGATAATTTGTCTGTTCATAGAGTAGGTTGTGGCCTTCTAATGGCTGAAGACCTTATATGCAATTGCTTTGGTTTTTACATCCTCTGTGCTAACTCAGTCTTTCACCATCGAAACATGCTTCCCAGCTTCCCTGGGGCAGGGGGGATGGGGGGAGTGGGGAGTATGCTTACTCTGTTGGCCTCTGCCCTGCTCTTGCTTTTCCAAAAAGGTGGCTCAATTGGAACTCAACTCACCTCATTTAGAAATAGGAAATCCTGGCTGGGCACGGTGGCTCACGCCTGTAATCTCAGCACTTTGGGAGGCCGAGGTGGGTGGATCACGAGGTCAGGAGTTCAAGACCAGCCTGGCCAACATCGTGAAACCCTGTCTCTACTAAAAATACAAAATTTAGCCAGGTGTGGTGGCACACACCTGTAGTCCCAGCTACTCGAGAGTGGGAGAATTGCTTGAACATGGGAGGCGGAGGTTGCAGTGAGCTGAGACCACACCATTGCACTCCAGCCTGAGTGAGAGAGTGAGATTCCATTTCAAAAAAAAAAGGAAATCCTCACCATTGAGGCCAGCTGTAAAGCTTGGAGGCATTCTATCTGAGCTACCCAGCATATAGTCACAATGACCACTAAGCCCTGATTTAGTCCATCCTGGCCAGATAGGCTGCATTATTTATGCATAACAGTTTTACTACCATACATATTAACTAATCAAAACCACCAGCCAAGTGTCCTCTTTGGGAATCCAGAGTGCCAGCTTTCTCTGTCTAAAACATCCCTCCCTTTGTTTCTTTAGCTGGCTAAGTTCTCCTTGTCCTTCAGTAGTCAGCTATAGCACCACTTTTGTCACAGTTGGTCTGGATTAAGTACTTTTTCTATATATTTCTTACATTTCTGAAACACCTGTAGGCTCATGTCAGCCCCCTTAGCACACTGTAATGTAATTGTTATTTACCTTCCCATAATCCCTTTGAAGACAAGGGCTATCTTCTATTATACCTATATTTGAAACTGAGCACAATGCCTGGCATGAGCTGGGGCTCAATAAATGTTAGATGAATTAATTAATAACTTAAACTTACTAGCCGGCCACGGTGGCTCATGCCTGTAATCCCACCACTTTAGGAGGCTGAGGCAGGTGGATCACCCGAGGTCAGGAGTTCGAGAGCAGCCTGACCAACATGGTGAAACCCCCATCTCTACTAAAAATACAAAATTAGCTGGGCATGGTGGTGCATGCCTGTAATCCCAACTACTCAGGAGGCTGAGGCAGGAGAATTGCTTGACCCCGGGAGGCGGAGGTTGCAGTGAGCTGAGATCAGGCCATTGCACTCCAGCCTGGGCAACAACAGTGAAACTCCGTCTCAAAAACAAACAAACAAAACTTAAACTTACTGAGGAACCTTTACTCAGTCAATTAGTATTTATTGCATAACTACTGAGTTCTCAGTGGTGAGCTATACCTTATAGGGAAAAAATACAAAATTTGATTTTTGTCATGAAGAACTTATACAGTCTATTTGAGGAAATATAACTAAAACAGCCAGTTTTATCAAAAGCAGTTGTCCGTATACACTCTCCCCACTTCCCACACATTTTTTAACCTGTTACTTCTGGCTTTTGTGCCAGGCTTTCTCTAATAAATGGCACTTGCCAAAACCACAATGTTTTCCATGCTTCTAGGCCCAGTAGAAAGTTTGCCATTTTTATCTTACTTGACCTCTTAGCATTATTTCCATCTTGAAATACTTTTTCCCTCCTCTTCCATGATATCATACTTGTCTAACTTTCCTTCTGTTTCTCTATTTAGTCCTTCTCAGTGTCCTTTTCTGGCTCATTCTCTGCTACTTGATCTTCAAATATTAAAGTTCTTTAACCTGTCACTCTATATTCCATCCCTGAGTGCTCACATTCCAACATGACTTAAGTTACCATCTATACATTCATGACTTTTAGATTTATATCTTTGGTTCAAACACCTTCTTTGAGCTCTATCCCAGTACATCCAACTATTTATTCAATATCTGTACTTGTATGTTTCATAAGCACCTCAGTTTCAAGAAGTCATTGTCCTCAAGCCAAAAACTAGCAAATCAACCTGGACACCTTCTGATGATCTCTCACTGTTCATTTCTAGTCAGTCATTAAGTCCTGGTGATTTCACCTTCTTTTCTTAAATTTGTTCATTTCTGACCATCCCCCACTGCTTTCATCCTAGTCTGAGCTACCATTATCTCTTGCCTCCACTATTGCAATAGTTTCCTAATTGGTATGTTTACATCCAGTTGCCTTCTTCCAATCTATTCTTCATCCATAACTAAAGTGATTTTTTTAAAGGCTAATATTACCATGTTGTTCCCCAATGTGAACCCTTTCAGTGGTACCCTTTTACCCTCAGAATAAAGAACAAAATTCTTAACTAAGCCTATGAGACCTTCTTTGGATGACCTTGTCCTTGCCTGCTTTTCCAAGCTTGGCTCCTGCCTCTCTCCCCACACTATACTCCAGGCACAGAGGATTTCTTTCGTTCTTAAACATACTGTGCTTCTCCCTACCTCAGGGTCTTCACATATGCCATTCCCTCTGCCTATACTACTTTCTTCCTCTTTACTTAATCCTACCCATCCTTTAGAGTTCAGGCTCAGACACCATTTCATCATGAAATTGGGTTGGGATCTTCCCTTATGTGCTCTCATAGCATCCTGTGTTTCTCCTTCATTGCACTTATCACAGTTGTGATGGTGGTTTCCTCTGCTACAATATAAGCAGGAACTATGTCTGTCATAGTCACCACTGAATCCTCAGCATCTAACACTGTGTCTTATGAGTAATGCTCAATAAATGTTTGTTAATTAACCTATTCCAGTCTGCCTTAATGATGAAAGTTTTCTTCTGTTTTTATTTTATTTTTGCTTTTTGGTTTTTAGATACATAAGATTATTATGAGATATGTCTTAAAGCTCAATAACTATGGGAGAGTCACCTCATTTTCACACATCCCTTAATTTAGAGTAATTGAATTTTTAACTTTGAAATATCTGGAATTAATCATCACTATTTAATGAGGATGCTATGATAAATGTTCTTTATCATTTTATAAAATTCTGAAGAGGCCTAATTATTCATCTGCTTAAATATTATTGATTAATTACTTAGATTTTTCTTAAATCATTAAATTATATCAGCATCCTCATTTATGTAGTAAGATATAAATTGAATAAGCAAAGAGAAAATAAGTAAGTATAAGAAGTAAGTAGGCATATATTTCATATATGGATTTTTAATAGGAATACTCATCATGGGACTAATATGGACATACTCCAGGAATGGCAAGAAATTCAGTTTAGCGGCTGGGCACGGTGGCTCATGCCTGTAATCCCAGCACTCTGGGAGGCCGAGGCGGATGGATCACAAGGTCAGGAGATCGACGCCATCCTGGCTAACATAGTGAAACCCCATCTCTACTAAAAATACAAAAAATTAGCCGGGAGGCTGAGGCAGAAGAATCGCTTGAACCTGGGAGGTGGAGGTTGCAGTGAGCCAAGCACCACTGCATTCCAGCCTAGGTGACAGAGCAAGACTGTCTCAAAAAAAAAAGAAAGAAAGAAATTCAGTTTAGCTTTGTGAAACTAAGACCACCAGAGCTTAAAAACACCTTCAAACAAACAAACACTGAGTTTATTAACTTGCCAGGCAAAGGAATATACACCAGTGAAGACTTCACTGAATGGTATGTGGAAGGGGGAAATTCAGGGGCTTTTAATTGTTTTATAATAGCTATACTTATAAGAACTAAAAACTTATCACATTGTATAGGACAGAGTGAGTCCATAGATCTGTACATGATTGATTAAAACAAGTCCCAGTTTTTAGTGGTCAAGAAAGGGTCTTCAGTTACGTATAGCAATGATCTGGTATACTGAGGTCACTCAAAGTTCATGGTCAATTATCCACTTAAGCTGATTAGAACCAATTTTGATGTAATACAACTTTCACTTTTGATATAATCTAGGCAAATGTTTCTGTAAATAGAAGATTTTCCTTATACAGCTTGAATTGATGGATAGAATTTGGATTGTCACAACTAGGTGGGGAAGCATTTTTACTTCTACTCTTTAATCAGATTTATATTATGCTTTTCTTTAAAAGGTCTCGAAACACTCATTCATATAGGAAAACTCTTTTCTTAGTTAGCTTTTGCTGCATAACAAAATACTCCAAAACTTCATGGCTTAAAGCAATAGAATTTATTTGCTCATGATTTTGTAGATTGGTAACTTTGAGCTGGGCTCATGGCCCATCTCTGTTCCACATGGTATCAATTAGACTCACTCATGAGATGCAGTAAGATGAAACCTTTCAATGATATCCCTTTACTTTCAGAATAACAACCAAAAGTGATGACCTCAATCACTTTTGTAGTGGTTGGCAGTCTCTTTGCAAAAGCAATGGAAGTAACTGGATCATCATCCAGCAGGCGAGCCCATGCTCATTTCCATGATGGTATTGTAGTGGAAGGGCTCCCAAGTTCAATAAAAGAGGGCAAGCCCCAGTGTTCAAGTACTTTTCAACTTTCTGCTTACATTCTGTTTTCTAATGGCCCATTGGCCAAAGCATGTCACATGGCCAGAAGCAGACAAGGAGTACAGGAACAGACTCCACTTCTTCATGGGAGGAGCTGCAAAGTTATGTTGCATTCATAGAGACATGCATATAGGAATGGGAAGAATTTATGACTATTTTTGCAATTTTTCCATAATGTAGTTTTTCTTCCCTTCCAGTCCCCTTACACTTAGAATGAATCTGCTTATAGGTTATGTCTACCCTGTACTGCCCAAATTAAGAGTTTTGGATGCTTTAGAATTCTCTGGATTAATGTAAAGTAAACATCTTCATGAGATAATGCAGGCTACAGAAGACAAATTTTATTAATTCCCTGAATGGGTGACACAATCAATTTAAAATCCATTTGGATTATATTTTGAGTCTCATGTACAGTGGCCCAGAAGCACAAAAGTAGATTTTGTTTCTAGATATGGACATCAATAAATGGGAGGAAATGATGTCTGAGGTGAGACCTAAAGCATGTGGAGGATCTAGTCAGGCAAAGAGAGGGAGAAAAATATTTCAAGCAGATGGGAAAATGACAGAAAACCAATTTTGTGTATTCATTTTTGTGTCACATGAGAATCTGGAGACACTTAGTACTTACCCTAAAATTCGTTTACTTATCTGTTCTGCCATTGGACCCTAAGCTTTATAATGGCAGAATCCATAGTAGGTGCCGAATAAATATTTATATAATGAATGAGTGAGTGAGTGGTTTAGTGAGTGAGTGTATGAATGAATAATGCAAAAGAGCTGGGTGAAAAACACAGATACAGAAGACAGAGCCACAGAGGAATGAAAACAGAAATTGAGAAGAATCCTAGCTAGAGATGAGGGGGAAAGGAAAAAGCAGCAGAGGATGAAACAGATAAATAGCAGAAGGGGAGACAAGCAGAAGAAGCAGAAGAAGACAAGCAGACAAGCTCTCAGAACTTTGGTAGCTGACCGGTAGAGCTGACTGGTAGAGATTTGGTTGGTTAGCAATTGCATCAGAGAAACTTAGCACTCCTTTAAAATACTCATTAAGGCCAGGCGTGGTGGCTTACACCTGTAATCCCAGCACTTTGGGAGGCCGAGGTGAGCGGATCACGAGGTCAGGAGATTGAGACCAGCCTGGCCAACTTGGTGAAACTCTGTCTCTACTAAAAATATAAAAAATTAGCCAGACTGGTAGTGGGCACCTGTAATCCCAGCTACTTGGGAGGCTGAGGCAGGAGAATTGCTTGAAACTGGAAGGCAGAGGTTGCAGTGAGCCAAGATTGTGCCACTGCACTCCAGCCTGGGCAACAAGAGCGAAACTCCATCTCAAAACAATAAATAAATAAATAAAAATAAAATACTTATTAATCTTCCAGCAGTTCAGACCCAGCCCCTTCTGTACTATTAAACTGCTTGTCTGCTTTTATTTTCAAACTTCAAAGTTCATTTTTGAACACTTGTTTTTCTAGAGAATTTTGAAGGCCTTATATAGGCATAAGGTAATGACTTAGATTTTAGTAGTTTCTTTGGTTCATCAGATGTATCCAATTTACCAGTTCCCACTGAAAATCTTTTTGCATTTTAAAATATGTCAGATTGTCTTAGTCTTTCTTCTTTGAAAGATGAAGACTTGCCTCCAACATTGTTGGGAAAAAATTGTACTTGAAACCAGCGACTATTTTTATTATTCTGAGCCATTCTATTTGATTTCAATCAAAACCAGTTTGGGGTTTTTGGAGTCCTAATAGGAGTGATGCACATAGGTACAATTAAAAGCACAGTTTTTCCCCCATTCTCAACCTGGGTGATGCAGTTCTGGCTGCAAGGGTAACTCTTATGCTCAGCACTTCAGCAGTGGCTGGCAAAGCATGAGACTTTGGCTAGATAAAGGCAATTAGCTGAGATATACCCCTAGACAGATTTCTCAGAAGTTTGATCCAAGGCATCAGAATGACCTGAGATGCTTGTTATAAATGCATCTTCTAGGCTTCCACCCTAGACATGAATGCTGAGACCAGCTCAGTCATGGAGACCCTAACCCAGTGGCACTAGAGGAATTAAAGACACACACACAGAAATAAAGTGTGGAGTGGGAAATAAGGGCTGACAGCCTTCAGAGCCGAGAGCCTGGAACAGAGTTTTACCCACATATTTACTGACAGCAAGCCAGTGATAAGCATTGTTTCTATGGATTGTAGGTTAACTAAAATGGGAAACAAAGGGATGGGCTGAAACAAAGGGATGGACTCTGGCTAGTTATCTGCAGCAGGAACATGTCCTTAAGGCACAGATCGCTTATGCTATTGTTTGTGGCTTAGGAACGCCTTAGGTGGTTTTCCACCCTGAGTGAGCCAGGTGTTCCTTGCCCTCTTTCCGGTAAACTCACAACCTTCAGCATGGGGATCATGGCCATCAGGAACATGTCACAGTGCTGCAGAGATTTTGTTTATGGCCAGTTTTGGGGTCAGTTTATGGCCAGATTTGGGGTCCTGTTCCCAACATGTTCCCCATTTTTGTTTTTGCAAGACGATAAAAGCAAAGGCGGCTTTATCACAGTGAGCTACTTCTTTCAGTAGTCAGGATCTGCATCTACAGACTATACAAAGACAAACAATACAGATTAAAAGCACAATCATCATTGAAATCACAGAGCTTCCAAGTGTTTTTATCCAGTCTAATGGGTTAATAGCTGCTAATCCATCTGTAGCTCCTTCAAGCGCTCCAGTTCCTGGCATTAAGGTCAGGTGTGTCTGGGATACTTTAAATATTTGTTCTTTTAATTTTGCAATATCCAAAGACAAGTTTGTAGAGTGTCCTTCTAGACGTTTTTTATTCTTTCCCAAATTTTGATCTTATTAAGAGCCATGAATAGTTTCCACAAGTCCTTATGTTTAGCTCCTACAGCGGGCCATATCATTTGAGGTTGAGGTGCCACTATATGGCCATGTTTCCAGATAATAGGAACTCTTGCCATACTTCTTACCATTTCTACCATCTGACCATTTTGTTTAGACCAGCTGAACATAGTGTGGCCATGGCACGCAGACTGAGAGGTGAAATTCAAGGTAAACATCCCCTTAGGGGACCAATCAATAATGATTCCATAGGAATCGTTGTGCAGCACCTCTCTGCCTGTTCTGCAGTGCAATCTTCCCAAACAAGTACATTCATTATTTCTGGCCAGGTCCAATTCTGCTTACAAATAGGTTTTTGAGGGTGGTATGCCTCAATTATAGGAGTATATTCATTTTTTTTTTTTTTTTTTTTTTTTTTTTTGAGACGGAGTCTCGCTGTCGCCCAGGCTGGAGTGCAGTGGCGCAATCTCGGCTCACTGCAGGCTCCGCCCCCTGGGGTTCACGCCATTCTCCTGCCTCAGCCTCCCGAGCAGCTGGGACTATAGGCACCCGCCACCTCGCCCGGCTAATTTTTTGTATTTTTAGTAGAGACAGGGTTTCACCGTGTTAGCCAGGATGGTCTCGATCTCCTGACCTCGTGATCCGCCCGCCTCGGCCTCCCAAAGTGCTGGGATTACAGGCGTGAGCCACCGCGCCCGGCCGAGTATATTCATTTTGATAAATACTGAGACCAGAAAGCATGTGTAACTGTGCCATAGAGTGATTACGTCCAGGCATTATTGCCAGCCAAGATTGATAAATATGCCCAATAAGTATAATTGTTCTCTGTGTCAGCCCTTGTTGAAGGAATACTCATGGCAGTGGTGATCACCACTATCATAGCTATCATTAAATTACTCATTGTGACTGATTATCCCACTTTCCTCAGGTTTTCTTCCACCATCTGTGACACCTTCTTGATCTGTCCCCAGGTAGGTGGCTGTGTTCGACAGGTGTTGCTTGTGACAGTTGGAGTCTTCCTCAGCGTCAGTCTTGATATGTCTGCAACCGGTGGGTCTTTGGGATCTTCCCAAAACCTCTTCCTGGGTATCTGGATCTTAGTAAGGCTTTAGATGTCTCGATCGCACCCAAATTGGCTGTTGATTCAATCCTGGAGAAATACAAGCATAACCTCTACCCCAAGTTATTATTTTACCTATTTCCCAACTTTTTATTATCAGATCTCTCCACCAAACCAGTTGTTCTGCTTCTGTCTTTGCAGCTGGTTTCTGTAGATGCTGTTCAGCTGCTGATAGTATTTGGTCTTTAGGCAGGCTAAAAAAATTTACAGTCAATAATGCTAGATTCAGTTGCATATGTGGTGTCCCATAATCCCTGTTTTCCCCCCTCTGCTTTTGCAATTGGTGTTTCAGGGAGAGATTCATTCTTTCCACTATGGCTTGTCCTTGAGAATTATATGGGGTATCAGTAATGTGTTTAATATTCCATATAGAGAAAAATGTAACTAGAGCTTGTCTAGTATATACTGGGGCATTGTCTGTTTTAATAGAAACTGGAATGCCCATACCACAAAGCACTGCAAAAGGTGATGTTTAACACGGGCAGAAGACTCTCCTGTTGGCATGTAGCCCAGATGAAGTGAGAAAAGGTGTCCACACATACATGTACATAAGCTAGTCTCCCAAACGAGGGAACATGTGTGACATCCATTTGCCAAAGAGAATTAGGTTCCAATCCTCGAGGATTAACTCCTCCTGTGAAAGATGAGGAATGCACCATTTGGCAAGTTGGGCATCGCTGGATAATGGCTTTAGCTTCTTTCCAGGTAATGCAAGTATCTGTGTTTGAGACCAAAGGCTCAATTTAACATGGGTTAAATTGTGAAAGTGTCTAGCATTAGGTATTGCAGTAGCAACTAGGTGATCAGCCATTTGATTCCCTTCAGTTAAAGGTCCTGGAAGAGGTGTATGAGCCCTAATGTGAGTGATGTAAAAAGGGTGCATTCTACTCCTAACTGCTGTTTGCAATTGGGTAAATAAAATCATCAGTTGTTCATCTGTATGAAATCATAACTGAGCATTTTCAATTAATTGTGTGGAATGAACCATGTATGAAGAATCAGAAGTCAAATGAATAGGCATATTAAAAGCAGTCAATACCTCAGTTACAGCTACAAGCTCCACTTTTTGAGCTGAAGTATAGGGTGTCTGGAAAACTTTACCCTTCGAGCCAGAATAAGAAGCTTTACCATTAGTAGACCCATCTGTAAAAACATTCTCAGCACCTTCAATTGGTTTAAATTTAGTTATTTTAGGGAGAATCCAATTAGTTAATTTCAAAAATTGAAACAGTTTTGTTTTTAGGAAAATGATTATCGAGAATACTCACAAAGTCAGTTAAATGGGTTTTCCAAGTAAGACTATTTATAAAAGCTTGCTGTATTTGTGCCTTTGTGAGAGTGACAATAATTTTTCCAGGATCATATCCATGTAATTTAACTATCTGAGTTCTCCCATTTCCTATCATAGTAGCAATTTGATCCAAAAAAGGAGTTAGAGTCCATGAATTAGTATGTGGAAGAAAAAGTCACTCTACAAGATCTTGCTCTTGAACAATAACACCAGTAGGTGAATGCTGAGTTGAAAAAAATTAGCAAATCTAGAGTCTTCTCTGGATCTATTCTATTTATTTGAGTCTTATGCACTTGCTTTTCAATCAGCTGCAACTCTGCCTCAGCCTCCTTTGTTAATTGCCGAGGGTTAGTGAGACTAGAATCTCCTCTAAGGATAGAAAATAGATTACGTATGGCATAGGTAGGAATGCCTAGAGCAGGTCGTATCCAATTAATGTCCCCTAGTAATTTTTGAAAGTCATTTAATGTTTTCAATTGATCCCTACATATGGTTACTTTCTGTGGCACTATTGTAGGGTCATTTACTAAGGTCCCCAAGTAGGAATAAGTCTGAATTTTGTCAGGAGCTATAATTAAACTGGCGTGAGAAATCGAGTTTTGCAAGTGATCATAACATTGGAATAATATTTCTTGAGTGGGGGCAAGCACAAAGTATATCATCCATATAATGAATAATGTAACACTGTGAAAATTTTTTACGAGTAGGTTCAATTGCTTGACCTACATACGTCTGGCAAATTGTTGGACTGTTTAACATGCCTTGTGGCAACACTTTCCAATGAAAACACTTAGCAGGCCGCAGGTTGTTTACCACAGGAATTGTAAATGGAAACTGTTCACAGTCTAGCTCAGCTAAGGGAATAGTAAAGACACAGTCTTTTAAGTCTATGACTATTAAAGGCCAATTTTTTGGAATCATAGCAGGAGAAGACAGTCCTGGCTGCCATGTCCCCATAGGTTGTATAACTGAATTAATGGCTCTTAAGTCAGTTAACATTCTCTATTTACCTGATTTTTTCTTAATTATGAAAACTGGAGAATTCCAAGGGGAAAATCTTGGAGCTATGTGTCCTTTTTCTAATTGTTCAGTAACTAAGTCCTCCAAAGCCTCCAGTTTCTCTTTACTTAGTGGCCATTGTTCTATCCAAATTGGCTTATCTGTTAACCATTTTAAAGGTATAGGTTCTGGAGGCTTAACAATGGCTGCCATAAAAAATGATATCCTAAACCTTGGCGGGAACTTTGTCTTTCTGCTTGAAGCAGTTCCTACAAACCTTGCGAATTTTTTCCTAGTCCTACACCAGGGACACACCCGATTTCATGCATCATATGTTGACTTTGAGGACTATATCATTGCTCTGGAATTAGAACTTGTGCTCCCCATTGTGGTAATAAATCTCTCCCCCCACAATTTATAGGTACAGAAGTTATAATTGGTTGAAGAGTCTCAAGTTGTCCATTGGGCCCTTCGCAATGCAAAATATAACTACTTTGATATACTTCAGGGGCTTTACCAACTCCAACTATGTTAAATTGAGCGGGTTGAATTGGCCATGCAGATGGCCAGTGCTGTAGATAAATGATTGAAATGTCTGCTCCTGTATCTAACAAACCTTTAAATTTCTTTCTCTGAATAGTTATAGGATGTTTATCAGTAATTTGATTGACCCTATAAGCTGCTTTGCCTTGTTTATTTGTGCTTCCAAATCCTCCTGTTCATTTAATTTCATTTTTCCCCATTTCCACATATGGCACAATCAGGAGCTGTGCTATATGCTCTCCTGGCTCTGCTTTCCAGGGAACAAAAGTAGATATAACAATTTGAATTTCCCCATTGTAATCTGAATCAATGACTCCTGTATGTACTTGCACTCCTTTTAAATTTAAACTAGATCTACCTAGAAGTAATCCTGTCATCCCCACTGGCAACAAATGACTGGAGACAGCAACATTCTTTAACAGTCTCATTACAAAAAGAGAACCTGGTCCATATTGATTAATAGCTTGTTTAAATTCTTTGAGTAATTTAAAAGGAAAAGGCTCAAATGTAGCTATAATATTTCCCTGTTGATCTGGTGGGTGTATCCTAACAGAGAACTGCCAGGCCTCTAAATCACCCTCTCTTGTAGCTTGCTGAATTCCTGCCTGAATAGAACTGAGAGCAGTCGCTCGAGGTGCTGCTCGAACAGTCACTGGGGCAACTACTTTTCGCCCAGTGTCCTCCAGAAAAGAAAGATCTGGAGGGTCAGGCCACTCTTTTTCTTCAAAATAATGAGGGGGTGCAGAAGGGTAGGGACAAACCTCTCCCTCCTTTGCCACTTTAGATTTAGCTGGCAAACAAACCTGCTCTGTCACCTCTTCGGTTACTTCATCATACTTTCCTTCCTCCTCATTATCAGTGTGAAAAGGTTCCAAGGTGGAATGAACCAGGGCCCAAACTTGTCCCATTGTTACCCTGATGCTTCCGAGCTCCCCTTCTTACTCACCACGGGGACTGCTTAAGAGTACTCGGGTGTCCTCCAGCTTAGTTCCACATTCTCCGACTGTCACTCCAGTGACCCTTCGACCCAGGTTCCAGCCCCATGTATGGGCGCCATTTGCTGAGACCAGCTCGGTCATGGAGACCCTAACCCAGTGGCACTAGAGGAATTAAAGACACACACACAGAAATATAGAGTGTGGAGTGGGAAATCAGGGGGCTGACAGCCTTCAGAGCTGAGAGCCTCGAACAGAGTTTTACCCACATATTTATTGACAGCAAGCCAGTGATAAACATTGTTTCTATAGATTATAGATTAACTAAAATGGGAAACAAAGGGATGGGCTGAAACAAAGGGATGGGCTCCCTGGCTAGTTATCTGCAGCAGGAACATGTCCTTAAGGCACAGATCGCTCATGCTATTGTTTGTGGCTTAGGAATGCCTTAAGCGGTTTTCTGCCCAGGGTGGGCCAGGTTTCCTTGCCCTCAGTCCAGTAAACCCACAACCTTCAGCATGAGCATCATGGCCATCACGAACATGTCACAGTGCTGCAGAGATTTTGTTTATGGCCAGTTTTGGGGTCAGTTTATGGCCAGATTTGGGGGGCCTGTTCCCAACACCTGAAATCAATCCCTTCAGATGATTTCTCTGTCCAGGGAAGAGAGAAGCTCACTACCCTAAGGCCTTATTGCATTCAACCTTGCCTTTTCAGTATATATAGCAGCTTCTAGAGCTATTTTTACTACCTGTTTTTTAAGTTGTAAATCAATATCTTATAATTATATACATTTGCAGGGTCAAAGTGATGTTATAATTTGTGAATACAATGTGAAATAATGAAATCAAACAAATTAGCATATCTATCACCTCAAATACATATCATTTTTTTGTGGTGAGAACATTTGAAATTTACTCTCAGCAATTTTGAAATGTACACTAAAACTTATTCATCTTGTCTAAATGAGATTTTATACCCTTTGACAATCATATCTCCATTTCCCCCATTCCCAGCCTCTGTAACCACCATTCTACTCTCTGCTTCTATGTGCTTGTTTGTTTTATATTGCACAAATAAGTGAAAACTTGTGGTATTTGTCTTTCTGTGCCTGGCTTTTTTCACTTAGCATAATGTTCTCCAATTCCATTCACGCTGTCAGAAATGACAGAATTTCTTTCTTTTTAAAGGCTGTATAGTATTCCATTGTATTTATTTATTACTTATTTTTTGAGACAGAGTTTCACTCTGTCACCCAGGCTGGAGTGCAGTGGCGTGATCTTGGCTCACTGCAAGCTCCACCTCCTGGGTTCACACCATTCTCCTGCCTCAGCCTTACGAGTAGCTGGGACTACAGGCGCATGCCACCACACCCGGCTAATTTTTGTATTTTTAGTAGAGACAGGGTTTTGCCGTGTTAGCCAAGATGGTCTTGATCTTCTGACCTCGTGATCCGCCTGCCTTGGCCTCCCAAAGTGCTGGGATTACAGGCATGAGCCACTGTGCCTGGCCCCTCCATTGTATTATAAACCACATTTCTTCTATCCATTTGTCTGTTGGAGGACACTTAGGTTGGTTCTATCACTTGGCTATTATGAATAGTGTCACAGTGAACATGGAAGTGCAGCCATCTCTTTGACAAACTGATTTCAGATCTTTTGGGTAAATATCCAGAAGTGAGACTGCTGGATCATGTAGTAATTCTGTTTTTAGTTTTTTGAGGAACCTCCCTACCATTTTCCACAATGGTTGTACTAATTCACATTCCTACCAATACTTCTTAAGTCTAGTATTTAGTTGGGTAAAATAAGGCCTACCTCTATAAAAAGTCAAATAGTAGAAAGCACTCTGTGATTAATGCCAAATTCAATAAGTGCTTGTGGAAGAAGGGCTCACTACAGGCCTGAATCAAAGATTTTATGGAGAAAAGACAGGCAAACATTTTCAAAGAGAGTCTGAATTCCTGTGTTCCAATCTGGACCAAATCCAAGGGTATTAACTCAACATGTTTTCTATATCTACATCCTGCAGAGTATCCAAGATGAAGGAGAATGTTAAACAGAATAGAAAACAAAGAGAAAGCATAGACAAAATCATAGTCAAGGTGGCCAACACACGGAAACAGGCTCTGCAGGAGCAATTCGATGAATGGATTCTAGACCCTAAAGGAATGATTCCTAAGTCAGTGGTAAGAAAATTGGGGGTATATGTGAAAGGTAGGTGGGGTAAGTGGTAAAAGGGCAATTGCTAGAATACTGAGTAGCATACTAGAAGCCTCCCTTGAAATTTTCAGTATTGCTGAGGTAAGTCTTGACCTGTCTGGTCCGTGAGTGTTGATTCCTTCAATTTCTTTTGAGCATTACCAAAAAAAAAAAAAAATTCTAGCTAGATTTCTAAAATCTTGACTCTGGCTGAGGTTCCCAAACTCATCACTATAAACCAACATATATTTCATTTGTTTGTTTGTTGTGTGTGTGTTTGTATGTGTGACTACTTCTGTGAGACCTGCAAGACTATCTCTTAGCTCTAGAGAACAACTGTACTCTGAGAGTTAAATGCTTTCTCTTAAGTGTATGTGGATTTGGAAATACTTTTTCATTAGATACAATGCTAAGCATATTTTCAGTTTAAAGTGAATGATTAAAAATAGATCAAGGAAGACAAGCCACAGACTGGGAGAAAATATTAGCAGAAGACATATCTGGTTGGGTGTGGTGGCTCACACCTATAATCCCAGCACTTTTGGAGGCCGAGGTGGGAGGATTGCTTGAGGCCAGGAATTCGAGACCAGCCTAGGCAATATAGGGAGACCCTACTTTTATGAAGAATTTAGAAATTATCCAGGCTGTGGTTCCAGCTTCTTGGGTGGCTGAGGTGGGAGGATTGCTTGAGTCCAGGAGGTCGAAGCTGCACTGAGCCATGATCATGCCACTGCACTCCAGCCTGGGGAACAGAGAGGGACTACGTCTCTTAAAAACAAAACAACAACAACAACAACAAATATATATATATATATATATATATATATATATATATATATATATGTGATATATATATCACACGTGCACACACACGCGGTGGGGGAGCTCTTTGTACTTTCCGCTCAATTTTCCTGTGCACTTAAAACTTCTCTAAAAAATAAAATGTTTTTAAAAATGGACTAAGAAGAACTTGGATATTTCATTTTTAGTAATTGAAGAATGAGAAAGTATAGAGGATTCTTTGGATGGCCAAAGTGCTTGCCAAAAGTGCCTTAGCTCCATCATGCCGTGTCTGAGAGTTGCTAGAAGTGTCCCCTGGAGAGGGCAAAATGGGGTCACTGTCAGCATCCCAATCCTAATCACACAAAAAGGTTGGGAATCATTGAGAATATATGTGTAAAATAACTTTATATACCCTTAAGTATTCTAAGAGGAGACTTCAAAAAGTGTGTGGAAAAATTGAATTAAAAGATAATAAAAATATAAACTTTATATCTCAACATAAGCTCTATCAGGCTGGGCGCCATGGCTCAGGCCTGTAATCCCAGCACTTTGGGAGGCTGAGGCAGAAGGATCGCTTGTGCCCACGAGTGCAAGACCAGCCTGGCCAACATGGTGGAACCCTGTCTCAAATACTATCTTGGTGCAGAAGTAATTGTGGTTTTTGCCATTACTTTTTAAATGGCAAATAAATAAAAAGAGGCTCCATCAAGTTTAAGACACTTGTAAGTGATGATACCAGCCATTTAGTCCATCCCTAAAGAACTGAGGGTCCTGGGAATTTAACCATTTCAATGCAGTATTTTTTGCATTATTAACTGACGAAAAACAGGTGTCCTTTAATGATTTTTTTAAGATTAGAAAATAAAAAGTCAGAAGGAGTTAAATCAGTACTGTAAGGTGGATGCCTGATGATTTCTCATTGAAACTCTCACAAAATTGTTCTTGTTTTGTTAGTGGAGATGGGTGTTGCTATTTTGTCCAGGCTGGCACAAACTCATAGTTCTTCTACCTTAGCCTCCTGAGTAGCTGGGACTACAGGTGTGTGCCACTGTGCCCAGCTTGCCCTTGTTTGATGAGAAGAATGAGCAAGAGCATTGTTATGGTGGAGAAGGACTCTCTGGTGAAGCTTTCCCAGATGTTTTTTTGCTAAAGCTTTAGCTAGTGTTTCTCAGAACACTCTTATAGTAAACAGATGTTATTGTTCTTTGGTCTTCCAGAAAGTTAACAAGCAAAATGCCTTGAGCATCCCAAAAACTGTTGCCATGACCTTTGCTCTTGATCAGTCTGCTTTTGCTTTGACAGGACCAATTCCACATCTTGGTAACCAACCATTGCTTTGATTGTGCTTTGTCTTCAGGATCATACTGGTAAAGCCATGTTTCCTCTCCTGGTACAATTCTTGGAAGAAATGCTTCGGGATCTTCATCCCACTGTTTAAAATTTCCATTTGAAGCTCTGTTCTTGTCTGCGTCTGATCTGGGTGCAATGGTTTTGGCACCCATTGACTGGAAATTTTTTCAACTTTAATTTTTCAGTCAGAATTGTGTAAGCAGAGCCAACTGAGATGTCTATGTGTTGGCTATTGCTTCTGCTGTTAATTTTTAGTCCTGTTCAATAAGGGCATGAGCAAGATGATTTTTTTCTTGCAAATTGGTGTGGATAGTCTGCACCATGGGCTTTATCTTCAACATCATTTCATCCTTTCTTAAAATGAATTATCCATTTGTAAACTGCTGATTTCTTTGGAGCATTGTCCCCATAAACACTTCATAAAACACCAGTGATTTCACCATTCTTCCCGCCAAGCTTCACCATAAATTTAATGTTTTTGCTTCAATTTTAGCAGAATTCATGTTGCTCTAATAGGGGCTCTTTTCAAACTGATGTCTTATCCTTTTTAGTTCTTCAAGCTAGATCTTGTTCAGACATAACAAGTTAACGACAAGTTTATTTTGGTGCAAAAAAAATTGAAATCCATGCATTTTTTTTCATAATACACATTTTCCATGAACTTTTTGAAGACCCCCTTGTAGAAAGTATATGTGACTTATTACTATTTCTGTCCTTGGGTTGGAAAGATCACCCAATACTAAAACAGAAAGACTATAGATGGCTTTTAGTCTAAAATAACAAATATGTGGTAACTGAGGAGTGGCATATGGTTTCTTTCTTTTTTTCCTCTTTTGAGTTGCAGATTCAGAATGTTCTTCAAGAATTCTTTCAAAATCCAGATTTCAAGCTTGGTAAGTCTGCCTATTACTCTGATATTTTTATTTTTATTTCTTTTTTGGGTGGGGGACACTGAATTCAGATGAAGAGTCAACATGAGACAGATGTTATTCAAAACTCTTGCAGGGGCAATTAGGCTCTTCCATGCTGTCCAGATACAGAATGTATACAAGCAGAAAAGCAATCTGTGATTCTCAATCCTTTTAGTCTGGTGTCCATTTTATTACCAGTACTCTGCAATACTCTTTTATTATCCTATGACATTCCTAGAAAATATTTCTTACATACATAGAATTTTAAAAGAAAGATATGATGTCATAACTGTGATGTAAACGAGAAATAAAAGTAAAGGCATAAGAAAACTATATGCACTGGCTAGGCATGGTGGCTCACGCTAATATTTACCAGAGTTGAACACTGCCTCCGTAAATTCCTTAGTTTGAATTTCCTTGACTCTACCCAGTCTTATATCCTACACCTTCACTATAACCCTCCTGGGGTCATTCTCTGTTTCTCAAATGTTGTTTCTTGAGTTCCCTTTTCATGTTACATAAATTTCCCTGGATAATCTCATCCAGTTCTGTTACTATATATACTAGGATTAAGACTTCTTCAGAGGCCGGGCACAGTGGCTCACGCCTGTAATCCCAGCACTTTGGGAGCCCGAGATGGGCGGATCATTTGAGGTCAGGAGTTTGAGACCAGCCTGGCCAACATAGTGAAAGACTGTCTCTACTAAAATACAAAAATTAGCCGGGCATGGTGGCGGGCGTCCGTAATCTCAGTTACTTGGGAGGCTGAGGCAGGAGAATCACTTGAACCCAGGAGGCGGAGGTTGCAGTGAGCCGAGGTGACGCCACTGCACTCCAGCCTGGGTGACAGAGTGAGACTCCTTCTAAAAAAAAAAAAAAAGAAAGAAAGAAAATTATATGCACTGTATTTCAATATATAAATGCTTTGTTACGACTTCGCTAGAAGACGTAATAGAGTAGTCAGACATTTCTACCTACTTATAATGTACCTTTAGATATAAGAGAAGTAAAATTATATACAGTTGACCATTTTATTTGTTTTTGACATTTTGGAATAGGGCAAAATGAATATATATATATATATAGAATTCCCAGAAATGCAGACTGACACAGGTGTGTTGTATTAGAATTCAGATACAATTTATATTACTCCCTATTACATAAGTCCTGAAATGGTGAACAACTCTTGGTAAAGTTCCAGAATTAAACAAAGTATAATTCTCCCTCAAATTTTCATATAAGTTATATTCTTGGAAAATTCCACAGCAAAATTATATTCTGCATTTATATGTAAAATAGAGTTGGGTTCTAAGTTCAAAATTATTATAATCAGGTTTTTCATCTACTTGAATGTCCTGCAGAAGGGGGAAAGTCTATGTGCAAGAATTCCATGTGTTCTGCCTCTGCTCCTATTCCTCATCACTGTGGCAATAAAAATTCACCCAAAAATTTCCACCATGCTCCCTGGGAGGAAAGGAGGACAGCACCACCCCTATGGAGAGTCACAGATTTTGGTGCTTTTGTTTTCAGAAAGATTTCCCTATATGAAATTAGGTGGAAAAAAAAAAAAAACCTCACTTGTCCCATAGGAACTAGAGTTTGGGTCCTGAGATTTACATAATTAATATCCAGTAGATTTTTTTCCAATTGATTATTTGACTACTTTTGTTACATTGACAACAATACATTGTCTGAAGTCTGTTGTCACTTTTAAAAATAAAATATGCTTCCCGTCTTCCTGATCACTGATCTCCAAGCATGATTTGGGCCTTACTGATAACCTTTTGTCCTTCTACCTGTTCTCACATTTTCCAAAAACCGTAATTCTTCAGTCAGCTCATCTTTTACTCTTGTTTCAAAAAATCATTGAAATAGCTTCCTTTATTTTTGAATGAGGGTACAGAAGGAGTGAGTTAAGAGAACTCAATTTGGGATCCTGATAAAATTACAGAAATTCCAGAGCATTCCAACTGACAGTGATTGTTTCTCCTCTCACCTCCTATACTACAGTATTTATTTCTGTACTATTCATTCGGTCAATATTCATTGAGCCCTCACTTAGTTCCAGATACTGTAATGAGTAAGAGAATGCAAAGAGGACTGACAAGACATGTTTCCTACCCTTAAGTTGCTCAAACTCCAGTCAGAGACAGACAGACAGGTATACTTAATAGCAACTGTTACTGCTAGAAACGTCTGGTTTGCATAATCATCTGGAGCTTGGGGGAAGGTCTGGGATGGAAATGTCTGCATCTAATGCATAAGTTTATATGAAAATTTATATAGCCTTCCTATGGCCACAATAACAGATATCTCATAATTAGCACTTACCAAATTCAAGAGTGATTGAAAAATCTTTTCTATGCCCTTGTGCCAACCCATGACAGGCAGGAAGAGTTACTATTAGAAGTAGGAGAGGAAGCCAGTGTATAGTTCTTTCATCATGAGCTTTCATACAATTTATGTATTTTTCTCTTGTAAGGTCAATAAGGATTACATAAATTGTCATATCAAATGAAGGTTTAAAAATCTGTATTTGAACTAACGGTCACATTCATCATTACTGATCACTCTAATTTATGAAACTCTTTTTTCTTGGTTTTTGTGATATCATTCTCTTGATTTTTTTCTTCTATTTTTGGTCACCTTTTAGTGTTTTTGTTTCTTGACTCTTCTTTTGCTTGCACCTTAAATTTTGTTTTCCAGAGTTTCCTTTTAGGCTTTCTTGTCACTATACACACTATACACATTCTGTGGGTTTTCTTATTCAAGTCCATGACTGCAGCTGATGACTCCCAATCTATATACACATTACGAACTTTCCCTGAGCCCCAGGTCCTATTTGAAAAAAAGCTACTATGAGTGGTAAATGAAAAAGCAAGTTGCACATCAAAATGATCATATTTATAAGTAGAAAAAAGGTACATGTGTATATATATATACATTTGTATACATACAGAAATGCATAGAAAGGTTGCTGGAAGGATGATAAACTGTTGACAGTGGTTACATCTGGGGCAGAAAGGAGTGAGAGTGCTGATGGGAGGTAGAGAAAAAGGAAGATATTCATGTTTTGTTGCTTATATTTTTGTATTATTTGAATTTGTTAACTAAAAGAACATTTTTATGCATTATTTAATTTAAGAAACATTAAAGACAAAATAAAGTTTTTAAAAAGAAAGCTTGCAGAAGTGTTTTGTTTAAGGACCTGCTAGCATAAACCAACACAGATGTTTTTGTAGCCTTTTATACTATTGATGTGCATATTTATTTCTGCTTTATCCCAATCCAGACATTAAAAATATAGGCTCTTTTTTTTTAGTATTTGGTTTGCTTGCTCAGCCAGGAAAAGTAATAATTTTGTAGTATTTGGTATGTTACCCAACTATATGTAATTCACTTTATTGTAATTATGGTTAGACATTAGCTAATAAATAATTTTATGTTCTTTTAAAGCACTATAGTATAAATATCAAATATATATTACAACCTAACTAACTAGCAAATAATCTTCATTCCATAAATAGGATCACACTGCAAACAACTGGATATTACTGACTCAACAGAACCAAGATTGAACAAAATGGAATTTACAGAAGTAAGAGTTACATTATTTAATGTTTGAATTGAATTATTTTGTCAGTTTCAATTGTCTGTTGGTGGCTGTCACACATCATTAAATTAGTATTAAATGAAAGCACAAAACTTATTTTATACATTCTAAAATATGTACTTTAAAATATTTCAACTCCTCTGAAATTTTACAATTTCTTTCAATCAGTATCACGCATGATGTGAGAGTATAAAAATCGTCCACTGACACCTTCTGGTAAGATCAAGAAAAACCAGCATCTTATATTCAGTGAAATCTGGTTATTCAAACAATAATGAGATCTAAAACTTACAAAAACTTTCCTATGGGCCAGGTATCATACATGAACTTGGTTAACCCTCTCAGCAACCCTTTCCTCTGCTTTTACAGATGAAGACACCAAGATGCAGAAAGGTTAAATAACTTGCACACTGTTTCACAATTAGTAAAACTGGGAAAATTTGTATTCAGTCAGTTTGGTTTCAAAGTCTACATAATATTGCATATGAAAAAGTATGATTCTATTGTAATGGAATAAGTGAAATAAGCAATTTAATGGTACTAGAGTCCTAAGTCTTCCACAGCCTACTTATATATTTTTTCATGTTTCTCCATTTCCCCTTGTTTTTCTCTGATGAGTTCCAGAGTCAAGGTAACTTTCTGTTTCTCTTTTCATACACCTTTGCACGATTGAAGGTGAAGATTATGCACTATATACATTTTCAAAGCTCTGTATGAGGGATTTCTGGAATTCTTTTAAAAATTATTGTATAGATAAGAATTTGGCAAATTCTACCTCAGTTATGTTCTAACTGTGTTTTCTTAGATTCTGTGTTTGTCTATTTGTCATGCATTACTCACAAGGCCAAACTAATGGCCACAGTTGTTTATATCTCCCCTGTGATCCAGAATCCATACTATGAACCATCTCCTTACTAATTCTCACACACTGAGCTAATATTTCTCCTGCTCTAAATCAACCCAGAACCAGGTACCAGACAACCAGAGATAGCCCTTCTGCCTCAGAGTCTGCCAGAATTATTCAAACCAGCCAATCCTCAACTGTTTAACCTCTCGTGGCTTGCATTTCTGGAAACTCCAGTAAGGATTCTGGCTTAGGCTGTCCCTTTGCTCCTTTCTGTTCTGCCTCCTGACCCAAACCTGGTGCTTCCCCTGTGGCCCTGCATGGTGTGGCATGCTTTCTTCACTCGGAAGTCTTAAGTAATAAAAATTTTCTTTCAGTGGCATTAGCCTCTCCATGTCATCACTCAGTCACCTCCATAAATTAAAATTCCACAGATACAAATGAGACAAGCTACTGGAAGAAAAATACACAGAGGAACAAATGATAGTATTAAAATTGTTCATGAAAAGTCAAAGCTTTATCTCTTTAATACAGTAATAAACATAACTTACATTTCTTTGCAAGGGACTGATGTTCAGTGGTACTTGCCTATTTGTCTTATATTAGTTTCCCTAAAAGTACGCAAGTTAGAACATTTTCCTATTTTTTTCATTATAAAAGTAGGCCTGATGTGGTGGCTTATGCCAATGACTAGGGAGGCTGAGGCAAGAGGATTGCTTAAGACCAGGAGTTTGGGACCAACCTGGGCAACATAGTGAGACCCTCATGTCTAAAAACCATTATAAAATATATTAATTTTATGATATGTGAATTATGTCTCCATAAAAGATAATATAAGTTCATTATAAAAATTTAAAGGCATAAAAATGTAAAGAAGTAAACAATTTTAAATCCACAATTTACCACCAATAAAAGCCACAGTTAACACTATATTTTTTTGTGTAATAATAATAGCTAACACTTTTGACTCCTTTTTATGTGCCATATTGTGTACTGAGGTTATTACATGCACTTTCTTGTGTAATCGTCACACAACTCAGTTATTATTATGTTCATTTTGCAAATGAGACCTAAAAAGGTTGAACACTTGCCTTGAGATCACACAGCACATAAGTGACAGAGCTAGACTAGACCCAGGTCAGCCTGACTTCAAAGCTCATCATAGTCTTGACCCTTGTGCTTTATAGTGTCTATTATATTCATAGTGAGACATGTAAGTTTTTAGTTTTAATTTTGTGGTTTTTCCATATAGATTTTTGGTTATGCCTAATATCCTACTTTTTTCACTTAATATCATCTCTTGATCATTTCTCTATGTCAATAAATATTCTTTAAAACATGTTTTAAAATTTTTTTATTTTGAAATAATTATATATTTACAAGAAGTTGCAAAGATAGTACAGAGAGGTCCCATATGCCCTTCATCCAGTTTCCCCAAAGGTTATATTTTGCATGACTTTAGTATAATATCAAAACCAGGAAATTAACATTGATATAATGTGTGTGTATAGTATTATGTTATTTTAGCACATGTAGATTTCTGTTACCACCACCAAAATTAAGATACAAAACTATTTCAGTACCACAAAGGTCTACTGGGTCTACTGGTAATGACATTTTGCCAGTTCAGGGGAAATGTAGAAATCTTACCTTCCTTTAAGTCATTTTCCACTTTGCCAATTAAAACATCATTGTCTGAAATATTTCCCATACATCCATCACATCAGGCACTGTTACACTTTGCTTCCACTGTTAAACATCATTTAGAAAACTCAAGATGAGAAGAAAAGTCTGTTGTATTTACCTGTGTTTTTTGCTTTTTTCATTGTTCTTCCTTCCCGATGTTTCAAGATTCCTTCTTTTATGCACTCTATTTAGAGAATTTCTTCTATAGCCATTCTTTTACAGCAGATCTACAGATGAGACAACTTCTATTAGTTTTACATTGTCTGAGAATGTCTTTATTTTCCCTTTATTCCTGAATGATAATTTCACTGGATATAGAATTCTTGATTGAAAATTCTTCTATTTTAGCCCTTGAAAATGTTCTCTCATTTCCTTCTGATCTCCATGGTTGGTGATGAAAAATCCACTTCATTCCAATTAATTTTCCTCAGTAGGTAAAGTATTGTTTTTCTCTTGTTGGTTTGTATTTAGTGTTCTGAACTCTGAAGACATGAATGTTAGATCTTTTATTATAATCCCACATGTTGCTGAGACTCTGAGATTCTGTTATTTCTTTTTTCCTCTTTTTTTTTTGTAGCGGGGGGGGGGTCTGATATTTCCTCTGTTGTTCGGGTAAATTCTACTGTTCTGTGTTCAAGTCCATTGATTCCTTCCTCTGTCTTTTCCACACTGATGCTAAGCCCATACCTTGAGCTTTTTATTTCAGTAGTTTTTGTTGTTGTTGTTCTTTTTCAGACAGGTTCTTGCTCTGTTACCCAGGCTGGAGTGCAGTGGCATGATCGCGGCTCACTGCAGCTTCAACCTCCCAGGCCCAAGCCATCCTCCCACTTTAGCCTCTCAAGTAGCTGGGACCACAGTCATGCACCACCATATAAGGCTAAATTTTATTTTTGTAGAAACAGGGTCTCCCTATGTTGCCCAGGCTAGTCTGAAACTCCTGAGCTCAAGAGATCCTCTCATTTCAGCCTCCCGAAGTGCTGGGATTATAGGCGTGAGCCACTGTGCCCAGCCTTGTTGTTTTTTTAAGAAATGTGGTTTTGGGGAGGGGAGAAAAAGAAAAAAAAAAAAAAAGAGATGTGATCCTCCCACCTCAGCCTCCTGAGTTGTATTTTTCAAAATTTTCGTTTTTCTTCATGTCTTTTATTTCTTTGCTGAGACTTTTAAGTTTTTAATTTATTTTAAGCATGTTCATAATTGCTTGTTGAATTATTTTTATAGTGGCTGCTTTAAAATCCTTCTCAGATAATTCCAACAGCTGTGTCATCTCAGTGTTGGCATCTGCTGATTAAATTTTCTCATTCAAGTTGAGATTTTCCTAGTTCCTCATACAATATGTGATCTTCTGTTTTGTCTTGGACATTTTGGTTATAATGCTATTGATGCAGGATTTTTTGCTCCTTAGTTCAGCTAAAATCCAAGTTCTTGTCTCACAACTAGGGAAATGAGGCATGCAGACACATTGAAGGGTGAAGATGGATTTATTAGGCAAAAAGAAAACTCTCCACAAAGAAAAAGAGGGTCCATCCAACAGGTTCTCACTTCACAGACTGAATACCAGGTCACCACATGGGAGCCGAAGAGGCCTGGCTTCTCCCCTCTCATAAGGCGTGAATTATTGGTGGCTCTGCCCCATTCTCCCAATGCACATGTGGTCCCCCAATCATTTGCAGGCATGCCCAGGCAAGACCCTGTGCAAGGTTTCCTTAGCTTCTCCTGCATCTATCACTATGAGACTTGGGATCTTATTTGCATCTTCTTTTAAAAAGCTTCCTCTGATACCATGCTGGTGGAAGAAGGGGAGTGCCACCTCTCTACTGCCAGGTGGGCATAAAGATCCAATTTCCCCATTCAATCTCCATTGACATTTTGGAGGCAGGGGCAAGGTGCCTTGTTATTGCTCAGTGGAGGCGAAATTTTCTGATTTCTTTAAAGGTTAGATAACAATTTAGTTTTAGTTTAGTGTTGTGGAACCTCAGTCTGAGTTACTCCATTTTGATTTTTAGTCTGGTCTGTTGGGCCTGGTTCAGGAGCTTAGTCCAAGACAACTGCCTTCTATAATTTTTATTCAATAACCCTCACCAGATACTAACTCTGTGGGCACTTTTTTTTTTTTTTTTGAGATGGAGTCTTGCTCTGTCGCCCAGTCTGGAGTGCAGTGGTGCAATCTTGGCTCACTGCAACCTCCACCTCCCAGGTTCAAGCGATTCTCCTGCCTCAGCCTCCTGAGTAGCTGGGATTACAAGAGAGTGCCACCACTCCTGGCTAATTTTTTTTTTTTTTTTTTTTTGTATTTTTAGTAGAGACAAGGTTTCACCACGTTGGCCAGGCTGGTCTCGAACTCCTGACCTCATGATCTGCCTACCTCGGCCTCCCAAAGTTGTGGGATTACAGGTGTGAGCCACTGTGCCTGGCCTCTGTGGGCACCTTGATTTGGACTTTCCAGCCTCTAGAGCTGTAAGAAAATAAATCTCTGTTGTTTAAGTCACCCAGTCTATGGTATTTTGTTATTGCAGCCTGAGCTAAGACACAGTTTCAGTGTTAGAGTCCCAGAAATGGAACAAATATGTTAAAGAATAAATATTTGAGGTTTTAGTATATATTTGTCAAATTGTGTTCTTGGTTATACTGATTTATTCTCCTCAGCAATGCATGATGGCTCTCAAGGCACCGTCTTATCACCAACAGTAGGTATTATTGAGTATAAGAAATCTCTTGGTGAGGCCAAGTCAGGATTGCATGAGCCCAGGAGTTCAAGGCTGCAGTGAGCTATAATCAAGCCACTGCACTCCAGCCTGGATGACAGAGCAAGACCTTGTCTCAAACAAATAAAAGTAATTTGATGGCATTTTGTTTTTTAACTCTTATCTTTGAGATTTCTGGTGAGATTAAAGATTATTCTATGTAATTTAAAAATTTCTTCTTACGTAAATTATGCATTCAGATCCTTTGGCCATCTTACCTGATTTTTATTTTTTCTTATGGAATTGTAAATGTTCATTATATATTAAAGACATTATTTATGATCACAAATTGCATATGTTTGTAAACTAAAAATATAATCCTAAGCCTTCTGCTGACTGAACAGACCCCCTCTTATCCAAGGGAACCCCAGAAAAACCTTAAAAACTGAATTCCCTGCCATGACAAGAAGGGAGGTCAGGCCTGCCTCATTATATCTCCTCCCCTTTGGAGTTTAGGCACAGTAAGTGACGATTGTTAATGTTAAAATACAGATCCTAAAACTGACAAAACAGACTCTTTTTGGCAATAAGATACTAAGTTACAAACAAGACCTAAGGCCATGTCAGGTAAGGGTTAAGTCAAGCCTGTAGGCCATCAGTCTTGCCACATAGCAGCCTTATCTTAACTTAAAACATTCCTTTCTGCTGACTCCAAGTTTTAGACAGAGCCTTACTCCTTTAAACAATTGCAAATTAAATAATCTCTGAATCCACCTATAACCTGCAAACCCCTGCTTCACGATATCCCATCTTTTGGGGCCTAACCAACGTATACCTTCCGTGTATTGACTTATGTCTTTGCGTGTAAATTCTGCCTCCCTAAAATGTATAAAACCAAACTGTAATCCGACTGCCTTAGGACCACTTACTCAAGGCTTCTTGGGTTTGTGTTTTCCTCAGGCTGTGGTCACTTATATTATCTCAGAATAAACTTCTTTAAAATATTTTATAGCGTTTGGTTTTTCTGTTAACATATTTTTCAACGTTTCTCAATTGTTTTAAAATTTTGGTGGTTTCTAATTTACAAAAAAATTTTAAAATTTTATGCAAACAAATTTGTAGATTTTTTTTGGAGATCTTTTTTATTGCTCCCATGCTTAGAAGATTCTCTTCTTCCCAAATCAGTTAAATATTCACCTAGTTTTTTCTAGCTCTTTTTACTTTTTAAAATTAACTTGAAAATTGTTTTGATAAGTAATAGAAGGTGAGAATCTAACTTAATTTTTTCCCCCTAAAATGGCTAGCAAAGCATATCACTATGTTTATTAAACAAACCTTCTTTTTATAGGTAGCTAATTTTCCAAATAAAAGTTTTTCTACATTACTATTTTCTTCCTTTCCAATGGAAAATAAAAGTAGAACATTTTACAAAATTTGAATTACTGAGATTTTATCTTATTTTTTTGAGACAGAGTCTCACTCTATCACCCAGGCTGGGGTGCATTGGCACAATTTCGGCTCACTGCAGCCTCAACCTCCTGGGCTCAGGTTATTCTCCCACATCAGCCTCCCAAGTAGGGGGGATGCCACTTTGCCTGGCACATGCCACTTTGCCTGGCTAATTTTGTTTATTTTTGTGGACATTAATCTCCCTATGTTGCCCGGGCTGGTCTCAAATTCCTGGATTCAAGCGATCCTTCCACCTCTGCCTCCCAAAGTGCTGGGATTATAGGTGTGAGCCACTGCGCCCAGCTGAATGAGAGATTTTTTAGTGTCCATGTAAATTTTGATTTTTACAGAAAGAAGAGTATAGCATGAATTTTTTCAAGAATGTATATATTTTAATACACTACCTATTGTCCTGTTGATAGAAGATAAATCAAAACCAGAAGAATGGAAAACAGTCTTTTTTGTTGTTGTTTTTGCTTTTAGCAAACTCGGCTGCAAATAGCATACACAGTATTAGGTAAAATTTTTTCAGTCATCCCAAGATTTATTAGGGGAAGAAATGGGTAGACAAGCAGTGGATAAATTAGAAGTGGTAAGAAAACCCTAGTTCCATGTGGCTTCTTGTTACTTTGTCTGCTGTTGATGAAGCTGTCATCCCTCCATTATCTTTTCATATTTATTGGGAAATACAATTTAATCTGCCAGACTGAAATGAAAAGATAAATCGAGTATGACTTCTTATTCTTGTTCAGTTGGGAATAAATTTATTCCAGAGTCTTATTTTACTCATAAACTGCCCAAGTAACATCACTGGAGTAAATTTTTAAAAATTACACAAACTATTATTAAGAGAATATTGTAAAAATGAACCCCTCGTTCTTCCCAATTTGTAGAGACAGAGGTCTTCTCTGACCATGTCAGTTTAAAATGTAACTTTTCCTATTCTTCTGTGTGGTTAGAGACTTCTAAACAGGAAGTCCAAACAATCATATTTCCATAATTCCAAGATGAGTGGTTTTCCTTTTGCATCTCTGAAATCAGGGTGCATCATTTAGCCCAGAGTGGTGACCCACACCTGTTATACCACCATTTTGGAAGGCCAAGGCTGGAGGATCGCTTGAGCCTAGGAGTTCAAGACCAGCCCGGGCAACATAGTGGGACCCTGTCTGTACAAAAAATTAAAAACATAGCCAGGCATGGTGGCTCACGCCTGTAATCCCAGCTACTCAGGAGGCTGAGACCTAGGAGGATTGCTTGAGCCTGGGAAGTCAGGCTGCAGTGAACCATGATTGCACCACTGCACTCTGGGCAACAGAGTGAGACCCTGTCTCAAAACAAAAAAACGAAAAGCTGCGTCATTTGATAAAGCAGTATGTTTTCCTCTCTTCCCCAATCCCCCAATCTATTAAGTCAATAGCAATCTAATGATTGATGGGTTTTGCTGATTAAAAAAATAAAAGCTGTACTATATGCATTTTATAAGCTAAACATCTAATATAAAAGGATGAAAAAAGATGAAAATAAGAAAATTGTTAAAGGAATAGCAGATACATTAAATAAACAAGTAAATAAACAAAAAGCAGATTTCAAGGTTAAAAATCATTTAATGAGATCAAGACTATTTTTTATATTTGTAAATGTGAAAATTTTATATTTTAAGGCTGGGTGAGGTGGCTCACGCCTGTAATCCCAGCACTTTGGGAGGCCGAGGCAGGCAGACCGTTGGAGGTCAAGAGTTCAAGACCAGCCTGGCCAACATGGTGAATCCTGTCTCTACCAAAAATACAAAAATTAGCTGGGCATAGTGGCATGTGCCTGTAGTCCCAGCTACTTGGGAGGCTGAGGCAGGAGAATCACTTGAACCCAGGAGACAGGTTGCAGCGAGCTGAGATCATGCCACTGCACTCCAGCCTGGGTGACAGAGCAAGACTCCATCTCAAAAAAAAAAAATTTTTTTATATTTTAAAATTTAAAATTAATGAAGTTAATAGGACTCTCTTAAGCTTTATGAGTTTATAGCACATTGTAATAGAATATATAAAAATATAAATAAAAGGTAAAAAATTTACAATAATTGTGCAGATTTTTAAACTTTTTTTGGTAGCAGCTTTATTCAGATATAATTTACAAACTGCATTTATTTCCTGTGGCTGCTGTAGCAAATTACTGCAAACTTGGTTGCTGAAAACAGCAGACATTTATTTTCTCACAGCTCTGGAGGCCAGAAGTCCAAGATCAGTATCACTGGGCCAAAATGAAGGTGCTGGCAGGGCTGCACTTCTCTCAGGAGGGTCTGTGGAAGAATTTGTTCCTTGGCTCTTCCAACTTCTGGTGGCTGTTGGCATTCCTTTACTTGTGGCTGCATCACCAGTCCCTGTCTTTGTGGTCACATTGCCTTTTCTTCTCCTGTCTGAGAAATCTCCTTCTTAAAAGGATATATGTGATTGCATTTTAGGGTCTACCTAGATAATTTAGGATAATCTCCCCATCTCAAAATCCTTAATCACATCTGCAAAGACTCTTTTCCCATATAAGGAAGCATTTACAGATCCAGGGATTAGGACTTTACATCTTCGAGAGCCATTATCCAACCTACTATACCTACCTTATACCCATTTAAAGTGTACAATTGAATGGGCTTTAGTATATTTGCAGAGGAGTACAACCATTAAAACAATCCATTTTAGAACATTTTCACCCACAAAAGAAACTTCATACCCATTAGCAGTCACTCCCCATTTCCTTCCAAACCTCCAGCCCTAGGCAGCCACAAATCTCTTTCTGTCTCCATAGCTTTGTCTATTCTGAACATTTCATATATATGGAATATACAATATGTGGTCTTTTGTTTTTGGCTTCTTGTACTTGTCATAATGTCTTCAAGGTTACTCCATGTTGTAGCATGTATCAGTACTTCATTTCTTTTTATTGCCAAATGATATTCCTTTTTATGAACATACTACCTTTTATTTATCCACTCATCAGTTGGTGGACATTTCGGTTGTTTTCATTTTTTGGCTACTGTAAATAATACCACTATGAACATTTGTGCCTAAGTTTTTACATGAATATGTGTTTTCTGTTCTCTTGGGAGTGGAATTGTTGGGTCATGTGATAACTTTGTGTTTAACCTTTTGAGGAACTGCCAGATTGTTTTCTTTTCTTTTTTTTTTGTTATACTTTAAGTTCTAGGGTACATGTGCACAACATGCAGGTTTGTTACATATGTATACATGTGCCGTGTTGGTTTGCTGCACCCATTAACTCGTCATTTGCATTAGGTATTTCTCCTAATGCTATCCCTCCTCCATCCCCCGACCCCATGACAGGCCCCGGTGTGTAATGTGTCCTATGTCCAAGTGTTCTCATTGTTCAATTCCCACCTATGAGTGAGAACATGCGGTGTTTGGTTTTCTGTCCTTGTGATAGTTTGCTCAGAATGATGGTTTCCAGCTTCATCCATGTCCCTACAAAGGACATGAGCTCATCTTTTTTTATGGCTGCATAGTATTCCATGGTATATATGTGCCACATTTTCTTAATCCAGTCTATCATTGATGGATATTTGGGTTGGTTCCAAGTCCTTGGTATTGTGAATAGTGCCGCAATAAACATACGTGTGCATGTGTCTTTATAGTAGCATGATTTATAATCCTTTGGGTATATACCCAGTAATGGGATCACTGGGTCAAATGATATTTCTAGTTCTAGATCCTTGAAGAATTGCCACACTGTCTTCCACAATGGTTGAACTAGTTTACACTCCTACCAACAGTGTAAAAGTGTTCCTATTTCTCCACATCCTCTCCAGCACCTGTTGTTTCCTGACGTTTTAATGATCACCATTCTAACTGGTGTGAGATGGTATCTCATTGTGGTTTTGATTTGCATTTCTCTGATGACCAGTGATGATGAGCATTTTTTCATGTCTGTTGGCTGCATAAATGTCTTCTTTTGAAAAGTGTCTGTTCATATCCTTTGCCCACTTTTTGATGCAGTTGTTTGATTTTTTCTTGTAAATTTGTTTAAGTTTTTTGTAGATTCTGGATGTTAGCCCTTTGTCAGATGGGTAGATTGCAAAAATTTTGTCCCGTTCTGTAGGTTACCTGTTCACTTTGATGGTAGTTTCTCTGGCTGTGCAGAAGCTCTTTAGTTTAATTAGATCCCATTTGTCTATTTTGGCTTTTGTTGCCATTGCTTTTGGTGTTTTATTCATGAAGTCCTTGCCCATGCCTATGTCCTGAATGGTAATGCCTAGGTTTTCTTCTAGGGTTTTTATGGTTTTAGGTCTAACATTTAAGTATTTAATCCATCTTGAATTAATTTTTGTAAGGAAGGGATTCAGTTTAAGCTTTCTACATGTGGCTAGCCAGTTTTCCCAGCACCATTTATTAAATAGGGAATCCTTTCCCCATTTCTTGTTTTTGTCAGGTTTGTCAAAGATCAGATGGCTGTAGATATGTGGATGTGTGGTGTTATTTCTGAGGCCTCTGTTCTGTTCCATTGGTCTATATATCTGTTTTGGTACCAGTACCATGCTGTTTTGCTTACTGTAGCCTTGTAGTATAGTTTGAAGTCAGGTAGCATGATGCCTCCAGCTTTGTTCTTTTGGCTTAGGATTGTCTTGGCGATGCAGGCTCTGTTTTGATTCCATATGAACTTTAAAGTAGTTTTTTCCAATTCTGTGAAGAAAGTTATTGGTAGCTTGATGGGGATGGCACTGAATCTATAAATTACCTTGGGCAGTATGGCCATTTTCACGATATTGATTCTTCCTATCCATGAGCATGGAATGTTCTTCCATTTGTTTGTGCCCTCTTTTATTTCATTGAGCAGTGGTTTGTGGTTCTCCTTGAAGAGGTCCTTCACATCCCTTGTAAGTTGGATTCCTAGGTATTTTATTCTCTTTGTAGCAATTGTGAATGGGAGTTCACTCATGATTTGGCTCTCTGTTTGTCTGTTATTGGTGTATCAGAATGCTTGTGATTTTTGCAGATTGATTTTTGTATCCTGAGACTATGCTGAAGTTGGTTATCAGCTTAAGGAGATTTTGGGCTGAGACGATGGGGTTTTCTAAATATACAATCGTGTCATCTGCAAACAGGGACTATTTGACTTCCTCTTTTCCTAATTGAATACTGTGGGTGGCAAGCCACCCAGGTGCCAAGGCAAGAGACCGAGGACGCGAGCTGTTCCAGTATAATAAAATATAAAACAAGAATAGTTATACCATATATAGATCTTAGATATGATTATATATGAATATAATTAATCATTAGTAGTACTTATTCTTTATTCCAATATTGTAATAATCCTCGCTCTATAATCATAACCTAGGAAAAACCAGGCCATACAGAGATAGGAGCTGAGGGGACATAGTGAGGAGTGACCAGAAGACAAGAGTGCGAGCCTTCTGTTATGCCCAGACAGGGCCACCAGAGGGCTCCTTGGTCTAGTGGTAACGCCAGCGTCTGGGAAGACGCCCATTGCCAGGCAGACCGTGGTCTAGCAGTAGCGTAAGTGTCAAGGAAAAACACCTGCTACTTAGCAGATCGGGAAAGGGAGTCTCCCTTTCCCAGGGGGAGTTTGGAGAAGACTCTACTCCTCCACCTCTTGTGAAGGGGCTGACATTAGTCAGGCTCGCCCGCAGTTGTCTGGAGGCCTAACTGTCTCCCTGTGATGCTGTGCTTCAGTGGTCACGCTCCTAGTCCGCCTTCATGTTCCATCCTGTACACCTGGCTCTGCCTTCTAGATAGCAGTAGCAAATTAGTGAAAGTACTAAAAGTCTCTAATAATGGTGTAAGTTGTTTCTCTCTTTGTCTCCTCTCTCTCTCTGCCTCGGCTGCCAGGCAGGGAAGGGCCCCCTGTCCAGTGGACACATGACCCACATGGCCTTACCTATCACTGGAGATGGCTCACTCTCCTTATCCTGCCCCTTTGTCTTATATCCAATAAATATCAGTGCAGCCTGGTATTTGGGGCCACTACTGGTCTCCGCGACTTGGTGGTAGTGGTCCCCCGGGCCCAGTTGTCTTTTCTTTTATCTCTTTGTCTTGTGTCTTTATTTCTACACTCTCTCGTCTCTGCACATGGGGAGAGACCCGCCGACCCTGTGGGACTGGTCCCTACAGAATACCTTTTATTTCTTTCTCTTGCCTGATTGCCCTGGCCAGAACTTCCAACACTATGTTGAATAGGAGTGGTGAGAGAGGGCATCCCTGTCTTATGCCAGTTTTCAAAGGGAATGCTTCCAGTTTTTGCCCATTCAGTATGATATTGGCTGTGGGTTTGTCATAAATAGCTCTTATTATTTTGAGATACATCCCATCAATACCTAGTTTATTGAGAGTTTTTAGCACAAAGGCTGTTGAATTTTGTCGAAGGCCTTCTCTGCATCTATTGACATAATCATGTGGTTTTGTCTTCGGTTCTGTTTAGCTGATGGATTACGTTTATTGATTTGTGTATGTTGAACCAGTCTTGCATCCCAGGGATGAAGCCAACTTGATCTTGGTGGATAAGCTTTTTGATGTGCTGCTGGATTCGGTTTGCCAGTATTTTATTCAGGATTTTCGCATTGATGTTCATCAGGGATATTGGTCTAAAATTCTCTTTTTTTGTTGTGTCTCTGCCAGGCTTTGGTATCAGGATGATGCTGGCCTCATAAAATGAGTTAGGGAGGATTCCCTCTTTTTCTATTGATTGGAATAGTTTCAGAAGGAATGGTACCAGCTCCTCTTTGTACCTCTGGTAGAATTCGGCTGTGAATCCATCTGGTCCTGGACTTTTTTTGGTTGGTAAGCTATTAATTGTTGCCTCAATTTCAGAGCCTGTTATTGGTCTATTCAGAGATTCAACTTCTTCCTGGTTTAGTCTTGGGAGGGTGTATGTGTCCAGGAATTTATCCATTTCTTCTAGATTCCCTAGTTTATTTGCATAGAGGTGTTTATAGTATTCTCTGATGGTAGTCTGTATTTCTGTGGGATCAGTGGTGATATCCCCTTTATCATTTTTTATTGCGTCTATTTGATTCTTCTCTCTTTTCTTCTTTATTAGTCTTGCTAGCGGTCTATCAATTTTGTTGATCTTTTCAAAAAACCAGCTCCTGGATTCGTTGATTTCTTTGAAGAGTTTTTGTGTCTCTAGCTCCTTCAATTCTGCTCTGATCTTAGCTATTTCTTGCCTTCTGCTAGCTTTTGAATTTGTTTGCTCTTGCTTCTCTAGTTCTTTTAATTGTGATGTTAGGGTGTCGATTTTAGATCTTTCCTGCTTTCTCTTGTGGGCATTTAGTGCTATAAATTTCCCTCTACACACTGCTTTAAGTGTGTCCCAGAGATTCTGGCATGTTGTGTCTTTGTTCTCATTGGTTTCAAAGAACATCTTTATTTCTGCCTTCATTTCGTTATGTACCCAGTCGTCATTCAGGAGCAGGTTGTTCAGTTTCCACGTAGTTGTGTGGTTTTGAGTGAGTTTCTTAATCCTGAGTTCTCATTTGATTGCACTGTGGCCTGAGAGACAGACTGTTGTGATTTCTGTTCTTTAACATTTGCTGAGGAGTGCTTTACTTCCAACTGTGTGGTCAATTTTGGAATAAGTGCAATGTGGTGCTGAAAAGAATGTACATTCTGTTGATTTGGGGTGGAGAGTTCTGTAGATGTCTATTAGGTCTGCTTAGTGCAGAGCTGAGTTCAAGTCCTGGATATCCTTGTTAACCTGTCTCGTTGATCTGTCTAATATTGACAGTGGGGTGTTAAAGTCTCCCATTATTATTGTGTGGGAGTCTAAGTGTCTTTTTAGGTCTCTAAGGACTTGCTTTATGAATCTGGGTGTTCCTGTATTGAGTGCATATGTATTTAGGATAGTTAGCTCTTCTTGTTGAATTGAACCCTTTACCATTATATAATGACCTTCTTTGTCCCTTTTGATCTTTGTTGATTTAAAGTCTGTTTTATCAGAAAGTAGGATTGCAACCCCTGCTTTTTTTTGCTTTCCATTTGCTTGGTAGATCTTCCTCCATCCCTTTATTTTGAGTCCATGTGTGTCTCTGCACGTGAGATGGGTCTCCTGAGTACAGCACACTGATGGGCCTTGACTCTATCCAATTTGCCAGTCTGTGTCTTTTAATTGGAGCATTTAGCCCATTTACATTTAAGGTTAATATTGTTATGTGTGAATTTGATCCTGTCATTATGATGTTAGCTGGTTATGTTGCCTGTTAGTTGATGCAGTTTCTTCCTAGCCTCGATGGTCTTTACAATTTGGCATGTTTTTGCAGTGGCTGGTACTGGTTGTTCCTTTCCGTGTTTAGTGCTTCCTTCAGGAGCTCTTGTAAGGCAGGCCTGGTGGTGACAAAATCTCTCAGCATTTGCTTGTCTGTAAAGGATTTTATTTCTCCTGCACTTATGAAGCTTAGTTTGGCTGGATATGAAATTCTGGCTTGAAAATTCTTTTCTTTAAGAATGTTGAATATTGGCCCCCACACTCTTCTGGCTTGTAGGGTTTCTGCTGAGAGATCTGCTGTTAGTATGATGGGCTTCCCTTTGTGGGTAACCCGACTTTTCTCTCTGGCTGCCCTTAGCATTTTTCCGTCATTTCAACCTTGGTAAATCTGACAATTATGTGTCTTGGCTTTGCTCTTCTCGAGGAGTATCTTTGTGGTGTTCTCTGTATTTCCTGAATTTGAATGTTGGCCTGCCTTGCTAGGCTGGGGAAGTTTTCCTGGATAATACCCTGAAGAGTGTTTTCCAGCTTGGTTCCATTCTCCCCGTCACTTTCAGGTACACCAATCAAATGTAGATTTGGTCTTTTCACATAGTCCCATATTTATTTGAAGATCAAATTAATGAAATGAAGCGAGAAGAGAAGTTTAGAACAATGCCAGACTGTTTTCTACTGTAGTTGCACCATTTTACATTCCCACCAGCGGTTTACAAGGGTTGCAATTGTTTCACATCCTTGCCAACACTTATTCTCTGTTTTGTTTTTTATTATAGCCATCTTTATGGGCATGAAGTGGTAGCACATTGTGCTTTTGAAATGCATTTCCCTGATGGCTAAAAATGATTTTGAGCACCTTTTCATGTTCTTATTGTTCTTATTGGTTATTTCTTTTTTTTTTTTTTTTTCTTTTGAGGTGGAGTCTCGCTCTGTTGCCCAGGTTGGAGTGCAATGGTGCAACTGGCTCACTGCAACCTCTGCCTCACTGCAACCTCTGCCTCCCAGGTCCAAACGATTCTCCTGCCTCAGCTTTCCAAGTAGCTGGGATTACAGGTGCTTGCCACCACGCCCAGCTAATTTTTGTATTTTTAGTAGAGACAGGGTTTTTCCATGCTGGCCAGGCTGGTCTCAAACTCCCAACTTATTGGTCATTACTATATCTGCTTTGGAAAAAAATGTTTATTCAGATCTCATTTTAAAATTGGGTTGTCTTTTTATTATTGGATCATAACTGTTCTTTATATATTCAATCCTTTATCAAATATGTGATTTGCAAGTATTTTCTCCCATTCTGTGGGTTGTTTTTTAACTTTCTTGATGGTGTTATCTGAAGCACAAAAGTTTTAAATTTTTATGAAGCACAAAAGTTTTAAATTTTTATGAAGCCCAATTTGTCTATTTTTTTTCTTTTGTTGATTTTGCTTTTGATGTCATATCAAAAAACCATTGCCTAATTCAAGGTCATATATTCCTGTGTTTTCTTCTGAGAGTTTTATAGTTTTAGCTTTTACATTTATGTCTGTTTAAGTCTTTGATCCACTTTGAGTTAATTTTTGTCTATGGTGTGAGGTAGTAAAACTTTTTAAAAGTCTTTGATAAACTGAAGAGGTAAGAAACAAATAAGAATATAAAGAACCTATTAATATCAATAACTCATTATATGTGTATATTGAACTTTAATCCTTACAGTGACCCTCTTCCAATTTTCATAAAATTTTGGTCAAAATTCATTGACAATAGGCCACAAAGATTGCCTTATAAGTTCCAAAAGGTAGAAATATGACATGGTATATTCTTTTCTTATTATGTAATACAATTGGAAAACAATAAACTTAAAAATTAAGTCCAACCATTTGAAAATATTTAAAAAACTCTCCTCAATAACTTTTGGATCAAAATCTTATATCTAATTTTATGGAATGCTACTAAATGTGTACTCAGATGAGAAATTATAATCTTAAAACTTTTAAATGAGATAGGATGAGGAATTTTTGAAACACAGATAAATACAAAACAATAGAATAACAGCCAGCCACAGTGGCTCATACCTATAATCCCAGCACTTTGGGAGGCTTAGGTGGGAGGATCTCTTGAGCCCCAGGAGTTTGAGACCAGCCTGGGCAACATAGGAAGACCTGTCTCTACAAAAAATTTAAAAATTAGCTTGGCACAATGGCACGCACCTTTAGTCCCAGCTACTCAAGAGGTTGAGGTGGGAGTACCGCTTGAGCTCGGGAGGTTGCAGCTATAGTGAGCCGTGATCATGCCACTGCACTCCAGCCTGGGTGACAGAGCGAGAACGTGTCTCAAAAAAAGAAAAAAAAATCAATCCAAAAACCAACCAAACAAAAAACCACACAAAAAATAGAATAACAATATGCATATTACCGTCACCCAGAATTAAATCTTGTTACTTTGGCATATTTTTCTAAGGAAAATTATTCAATGTTGTAAAAGTGATACAGGACCATTAAAAAGAATCCAAACAACACATAAAAGTGCAAAGATGAGAATTTTTAAATCATCATTAATTTCTTAGGTGAACATCAAAACAGGTTTATATACTACGCCACTACAGATAGATGGGTACATAGCAAGTAGATGATCATAAATAGTTACAAGCATTTGATTACTTAGAAAATAAAAATATAATTGTACTTGACTCCAACAGAGGAAAAAGACACTAAAGTGAAAATAAGGGAATTACCGAAATTAAACATACCTTCACAAAATTTATTCTAAAGACATTCTAAGAAATAACTATACATATCTGTATATCTCTATAGCAATATATATCACAAAAGAGTGCAGTCATTTTTTAAAACTACATATTTTAATTTTGGAAATAACAATTGATATCCTACCATAAAAGATGAGAGTATTTAATATTTTCTCATATCTTTCTTTTTGTCTATTTCCCAGTTTTAGTTATTTTATAATTTTTATTTTATCCAGATTTACACTATTCACCTTCTTTTCTGTAATTACAATTGCCATAGTTGATTAATCTTAATTCAATATTTAAATGGATCCAAGGCTCATTTCCTGTCCTTTTACAATGTGTTTTGCTATTCCCAAATTATTTATTTTGATTCATCTCTTACTTGGCTGAATTTATTGTAGTTTTTTAAAGAAGATCACATGGGTGCTATATTTTCTGAGTTCTTATATATTGAGAATGTCTGCCTACACAGTGCCTTTATACCTAAACCATACCTTGAATGGTATACTGTAATTGGGTCACTTTTTTTTTCACCTAAAACAACATAAACATTGCTTAATTGTTTCCTGGTATTGAATGTTGTGGAGAAGTCTGATGTCAGTGTTTTTTTTTTTCTTCATTCATTTTAATTAGTTCAAAAAATATTTTATTGATTGCCAGGCATTGTTCTATGTTCTGTTATTAAAACACTGGAAAAAAAGAAAACAGAAAACAGAAAAGTCAGTGTCTTCCTGTTGCTTATTTTGTAGGTGACTTGGTTGTTAGCTTGAAGTTCATCCTCAAAGTTAAAGAGTTTAAGTAGAATTGTCTTGGTATAGAGCATTTTGTTTTAAAAATGTATTGAATATGGTGTGATCTTTTGATTTTTATTGTTTTTTTTTCATTTCAGGAACATTTTCTCATGTCTTTGAATACATCTTATATTCTATTTTTGGACTGCCTACATTAGGGAAACTAAATATCCTTATGTAGGATTAGATTTGTTCTTTCTAATTTTATTAATTTTCTTGTCTTTTCACCTGAATTCACTGTGATAATCTAAACCTTTCTCTCTGTCAATAATTCCATTTTATGATGCTTGCGCTTTTAAATTTTGATGCTCAATTTGGCTGCTTACACCTAAACTCTACCCTTTTATCTCATTCTGCTGTTTCATCAGCTTGTCTTTGAGTTCTTGTCATATTGAATCTGTGTTCCTATTAAGTTGTTCTATAGCTTAAAGCAATGGCGAGGAACTTTTTTTGTTTTTTAGCTATTTTTTGCTAGATTGAGTTTATCTATTTGCTTTTATTCTCCCTGTGTTGTTTGCACAGTTGCCACAATCCTATGTTACTTCTTTTTGTAGTCCTTGTGCTTGCATGATCCTGCCCTAATTTCTATTTATTCTGATATGGTATGGATGCTTTCTTGACTTTCTTCCTAGCCTGACACCAGTTTGTTTTCACTTTGAATCTTCAGTTTAGAGGCTTGACATTTTCTTTTCTGGTGACTCTTCTGATTCCTCCTGTTAGAGTAAGAGAGGAAGAGAAGAGGAAAGTGCCTCTGGAACAAATGCAGTCTTTGTAAGCATGCCTGGGCTTTGTATTCTGTTTTATTCCATCCATTTATTCATTTATTTATTCAATAAATATGTTTGCTCTTATTTATAATGAACATTCTGATAAATACCAAGCTGAAGAGTTTCCCTCTATGCTTAATTTAATTGAGTGTTTTTAAAGCAAAAATTGATTTTGAGTATTATCAAAAGGCTTATTTTATTTATTGAGTAATCATATGATTATATTGATTTATTCTATTAATATAATGAATTAGATCAACAAATTCCCAAATATTGAACCATCCCTCTCTCCCTCTCTCTTTTTTTTTTTTTTTGAGATGGAGTTTCACTCTTGTCGCCCAGGCTGGAGTGCAGTGGTGTGATCTCAGCTCACTGCAACCTCCGCCTTCCTGGTTCAAGCAATTCTCCAGCCTCAGCATCCTGAGTAGCTGGGATTACAAGTGCCTGCCATCACACCTGGCTAATTTTTGTATTTTTAGTAGAGACGGGGTTTTCCCATATTGGCCAGGCCGGTCTTGAACTCCTGACCTCAGGTGATCCACACACCTCGGCCTCCCAAAGTGCTAGGATTACAGGCGTGAGCCACCGTGCCCAGCCCATCCCTCTGTTTCTAGAATAAGCCTCAGTCATGCATATTTTAGAAGAATTCCTAAAATCAGTCTTTTAATTCTCAGTTGTGCTTTTGTTCTTCATCTATTATTCAGCGCCTCTATTTAGTTTATTTTTATCAACATTTTTAATTGACAAATTATAATACGTGTATTTATGTACAACGGGATGTTTATATATATAAAATGTAGAATGATTAAATCAAGCTAATTAACATATTCATCATCTCACATCATTTTTCAAGATTTTACATATGTGAGATCGTGTTGTATTTGTCTTTCTGTACTTGGCTTATTTCACTTAGCATAATGTCTTCCAAGTTTATCCATGTTGTCACAAATGACAACATTTCCTTCTTTTTTAAGGCCAAATTATATTCCATTGTGTATATACACCACATTTAATCTACTCATTGTTAATGAATACTTAGATGGTTCCATATATTGGCTATTGTGAATAATACTGCAAAGAATATTAGAGTACAGATTTCTTTTTGGCATAGTCTCTATTTAGTTAAAAATTGTGTTATAATTGTTATTTCTATGAATATTTTCCTTCTTTCGGCTTAGTTTAAGTTGGATTTTACCTATGCACTATTCTTTTTTTTTTTTTCTTTTTTTTTTTTGAGACAGAGTCTCTCTCTGTTGCCCAGGCTTGAATGCAATGGCATGATCTCGATTCACTGCAACCTCCGCCTTCCAGGTTCAAGCAATTCTCCTGCCTCAGCCTCCCGAGTAGCTGGGATTACAGGCGTGTGCCACCATGCACAGCTAATTTTTGTATTTTTAGTAGAGGCCAAGTTGGCCAGGCTGGTCTCAAACTCCTGACCTCAGGTGACCCACCCGCCTCGGCCTCCCTAAGTGATGGGATTACAGGTGTGAGCCACTGTGCCTGGCCCACATATGCACTATTCTTAAAATCTGTAGTATGTAGTCTTGTTTATAATTATACTCTGAGACCCTATAAAGAGACATCCCAAGATAATATGAATTCATCTTTCATGTGATGGCAGTTGACTCTCATCCTCCACAGCAGGCTCAAGCCTGACCTTCCAATAAGGTGACTCTGAACCAGTGCAATTAAATTTTTTGGACCCCACTGTGGTCACTTTTTAATGTGTATGCCAGCTGTTGGGGTTACAGAGGTAAGTGAGGAGACAAACAGGCAAATAATTACAAATTATTGTATCAGCATGTCAGAGGAGGAACATTAACAGAGTAGGTGAGCCAAGATGTCTCAGATAATATATATAGCTGGGTCTTAATATGTATGTAGCTGGACAGATGTAGGAAAAGCAGAAAGGCTTTCCAGGAAGGAACAACATGTAAAAAGACATAAAGGTCTGAAAGAGTATGGTTTGTCTACATGATAGGAAATAATTTTTTTTTTTTTACTAGGATGTGAGGAATATGACTGGGGAAGGATGAGAAATAAGAGAGGAAAGTTAGGTTAGAACTCCATCTACAAAGATATTATATAGAATGCTAATGAGTTTATATAAGTACTATTAGGTATATATCACCTTTACCCCATTTTCTCCTTTGTGTCATTTTTTATATATATAACATATAAATATTTAATAAATATGGTATATATTATATGTAAATATATAAATATTTTTACATTTATATAAAATATGAGCATGTATTTGTGTGTTGTTATATATAATATAATGTTTATTAAATATTTATATATAAATATATATAATACATGTATATAAAACAACACACAAATGAGAAAATGGAGTGATATACATTATTTATTTTATATATATAAACAAATATAATTTTGTTTTAATGGATGGCTTGATCTAATTAATATTAGTTTTCCTGAAATTTCCCACTTTCTCTTCTTGAAGTGCAAACAGCACACAATCAGACACTTTCATTATAAAGAAGAGCTGTTACCTGAACAGAAACAAGAAAGTATTTCTTACATAGAAATATTTATTGAAAGTTTTTAGTTATCTCACCAACAAATCATTGGGCCATCCCATATGACATAGAAGTAGTGTTTGGAGCACTTGCTTTCAAAGAGATTGCTTTAAAGCTATCTTATCAGTACTCATTTAACGAAACTGGAAGATAATGTAATAATAAATGTTGGGCTTGAAGTAGAGATGTTACACACAGGTGCCGCCTAGTGGAGATACTATGTCATACAATTGCCCCTCAGATCATTTGTAAAGAGCAATGTAATTAGTACTCAGGATGGAGTATGGAGAAAACTGAGTCACTGAGTAATAATTAATATAGAGAAAAAGAGAAATGGAGAGAATGAATGTCACAGATGCCTTCATATTCCTACCATTTTCCTAGCGTATCTGTTTTCTGATGGATAAATGAACAGGTGATAATCTGTTTGTTGACTGTGACCTCTCTCACTTTTCATCTGTTTTATCATAGTAAATGAAGACCCAAAGTAACTACTTTAGAATGTTTACTTCTGGTCTCTTAGTTATTAAGAAAATAAAAAATATTTACTCAATACAATAATGCATTGTTGTATGGGAGTGTGTCTGTAGGTATATGCAGGAATTTATTTCCCCGTCTGAGGGTTGGAGACACACATGTGCACAGACATACTGGATTGGACTAGGGTAGAACCAGAGAAGGAGAGGATCAAAATATTAGTAAATTAAGGACACATGCAGGCACGCACACAAGCACGTGCACACAAACACACACATATAATTACAAAGCAATGAACAGACGGCAATGAACAGATGCAAACATTATAAACTAGTATATTCATTGCTGCTGAGGGATGCATAGCAGAAGAAAAGTGAGACTTCAGCAGGGTGGGTTAAGTGTAGGAAACTCGTCTGGTGGTCGTGAGTTTTAATTTTCTTCCACCTTCCACTTTGTTTCCTTACTTCAGAAAGAACCTTAAGAACAATGTTTTCAAAATTCATATACTGACGGAAACAATTTAAAAGGTAGAATATACTGGTTTATTTTGTTTTGTTTTATAAGTCAAGTGTTTAGAAATATGTTTTAGGACTATATCAGGTTTGTTTTAAATTATCAGAACACTAGCAAATGTAAAAGAACAGAAATTATAACAAACTATCTCTCGGACCACAGTGCAATCAAACTAGAACTCAGGATTAAGAAACTCACTCAAAACCACTCAACTAAATGGAAACTGAACAACTTGCTCCTGAATGACTACTGGGTACATAACGAAATGAAGGCAGAAATAAAGATGTTCTTTGAAACCAACGAGAACAAAGACACAACATACCAGAATCTCTGGGACACATTCAAAGCAGTGTGTAGAGGGAAATTTATAGCACTAAATGCCCACAAGAGAAAGCAGGAAAGATCCAAAATTGACACCCTAACATCACAATTAAAAGAACTAGAAAAGAAAGAGCAAACACATTCAAAAGCTAGCAGAAGGCAAGAAATAACTAAAATCAGAGCAGAACTGAAGGAAATAGAGACAAAAAAAACCCTTCAAAAAATTAATGAATCCAGGAGCTGGTTTTTTGAAAGGATCAACAAAATTGATAGAGCACTAGCAAGACTAATAAAGAAAAAACGAGAGAAGAATCAAATAGACGCAATAAAAAATGATAAAGGGGATATCACCACCGATCCCACAGAAATACAAACTACCATCAGAGAATACTACAAACACCTCTACTCAAATAAACTAGAAAATCTAGAAGAAATGGATAAATTCCTCGACACATACACTCTCCCAAGACTAAACCAGGAAGAAGTTGAATCACTGAATAGACCAATAACAGGCTCTGAAATTGTGGCAATAATCAATAGCTTACCAACCAAAAAGAGTCCAGGACCAGATGGATTCGCTGCCGAATTCTACCAGAGGTACAAGGAGGAACTGGTACCATTCCTTCTGAAACTATTCCAATCAATAGAAAAAGAGGGAATCCTCCCTAACTCATTTTATGAGGCCAGCATCATCCTGATACCAAAGCCGGGCAGAGACACAACAAAAAAAGAGAATTTTAGACTAATATCCTTGATGAACATTGATGCAAAAATCCTGAATAAAATACTGGCAAACCGAATCCAGCAACACATCAAAAAGCTTATCCACCATGATCAAGTGAGCTTTATCTCTGGGATGCAAGGCTGGTTCAATATATGCAAATCAATAAATGTAATCCAGCATATAAACAGAACTGAAGACAAAAGCCACATGATTATCTCAATAGATGCAGAAAAGGCCTTTGACAAAATTCAACAACCCTTCATGCTAAAAACTCTCAATAAATTAGGTACTGATGGGACGTATCTGAAAATAATAAGAGCTATCTATGACAAACCCACAGCCAATATCATACTGAATGGGCAAAAACTGGAAGCATTCCCTCTGAAAACTGGCATAAGACAGGGATGCCCTCTCTCACCACTCCTATTCAACATAGTGTTGGAAGTTCTGGCCAGGGCAATTAGGCAGGAGAAGGAAATAAAGGGTATTCAATTAGGAAAAGAGGAAGTCAAATTGTCCCTGTTTGCAGATGACATGATTGTATATCTAGAAAACCCCATTGTCTCAGCCCAAAATCTCCTTAAGCTGATAAGCAACTTCAGCGAAGTCTCAGGATACAAAATCAATGTACAAAAATAACAAGCATTCTTATACACCAATAACAGACAAAAAGAGAGCCAAATCATGAGTGAACTCCCATTCACAATTGCTTCAAAGAGAATAAAAGTACTTAGGAATCCAGCTTACAAGGGATGTGAAGGACCTCTTCAAGGAGAACTACAAACCACTGCTCAATGAAATAAAAGAGGATATAAACAAATGGAAGAACATTCCATGCTCATGGGTAGGAAGAATCAATATCATGAAAATGGCCATACTGCCCAAGGTAATTTATAGATTCAATGCCATCCCCATCAAGCTACCAATGACTTTCTTCACAGAATTGGAAAAAACTACTTTAAAGTTCATATGGAACCAAAAAAGAGCCCGCATCGCCAAGTCAATCCTAAGCCAAAAGAACAAAGCTGGAGGCATCATGCTACCTGACTTCAAACTATACTACAAGGCTACAGTAAGCAAAACAGCGTGGTACTGGTACCAAAACAGAGATATAGATCAATGGAACAGAACAGAGCCCTCAGAAATAACGCCGCATATCTACAACTATCTGATCTTTGACAAACCTGAGAAAAACAAGCAATGGGGAAAGGATTCCCTATTTAATCAATGGTGCTGGGAAAACTGGCTAGCCATATGTAGAAAGCTGAAACTGGATCCCTTCCTTACACCTTATACAAAAATTAATTCAAGACGGATTAAAGACTTAAACGTTAGACCTAAAACCATAAAAACCCTAGAAGAAAACCTAGGCATGACCATTCAGGACATAGGCATGGGCAAGGACCAAAAGCAATGGCAACAAAAGCCAAAATTGACAAATGGGATCTAATTAAACTAAAGAGCTTCTGCACAGCAAAAGAAACTACCATCAGAGTGAACAGGCAACCTACAAAATGGGAGAAAATTTTCGCAACCTACTCATCTGACAAAGGGCTAATATCCAGAATCTACAATGAACTCAAACAAATTTACAAGAAAAAAACAAACAAACCCATCAAAAAGTGGGCAAAGGGTATGAACAGACACTTCTCAAAAGAAGACATTTATGCAGCCAAAAGACACATGAAAAAATGCTCATCATCACTGGCCATCAGAGAAATGCAAATCAAAACCACAATGAGATACCATCTCACACCAGTTAGAATGGCAATCATTAAAAAGTCAAGAAACAACAGGTGCTGGAGAGGACGTGGAGAAATAGGAACACTTTTACACTGTTGGTGGGACTGTAAACTAGTTCAACCATTGTGAAAGTCAGTGTGGCGATTCCTCAGGGATCTAGAACTAGAAATACCACTTGACCCAGCCATCCCATTACTGGGTATATACCCAAAGGACTATAAATCATGCTGCTATAAAGACACATGCACATGTGTGTTTATTGTGGCACTATTCACAATACCAAAGACTTGGAACCAACCCAAATGTCCAACAATGATAGACTGGATTAAGAAAATGTGGCACATATACACCATGGAATACTATGCAGCCATAAAAAATGATGAGTTCACGTCCTTTGTAGGGACATGGATGAAATTGGAAATCATCATTCTCAGTAAACTATCGCAAGGACAAAAAACCAAACACCACATGTTCTCACTCATAGATGGGAACTGAACAATGAGAACACATGGACACAGGAAGGGGAACATCACACTCTGGGGATTGTTGTGGGGTGGGCGGAGGGGGGAGGGATAGCATTAGGAGATATACCTAATGCTAAATGACGAGTTAATGGGTGCAGCACACCAGCATGGCACATGTATACATATGTAACTAACCTGCACATTGTGCACATGTACCCTAAAACTTAAAGTATAATAATAATAAAAAATAAATAAATAAATAAATAAATAATCAGAACACTTTGATCCCCAAAAGACAACTCATTCCAAGAGACAAAACTTAACAATTTGTATCACTTTTAACACTGGTGCCGAGTTCCCTATACAAGTTTGAAAAGACATAGAAGTCTTATCCCTTAGACTTCAGTGGACTTCCATTAGAAAAACAAGCTGCATTGTCTTGTGTTCAGGCCAAGAGTATGCAGGTGTTGTTAGGCAGATCCTTTCTGAAATTCCCATCATTTAATCTGACAGAGGATCTACTCTTTCATTTCATTATCTAGTTGGTTAATTTGTTTACCAGCAAAAGAAAACCACTATAAAAGTATATTTGTTTTATTCAAACGTCATTAATGTAGTTATTAAAAATTTAATTAACTTTTTAGGTAGGAGAGTTCTCTTTTATTTCCAGGACTTTTTTAGTTGTACATGTTCCTCTCATTTTATTGTTCTAACAAGGTCCATACAGAATTCTCTTGGTTTCACCTTCCCATCCTTGATGATAAGAATATTGCTTTCCTTCTAGTATAGAGAGGGCATATTTCTTTTGTGTTTTAATTTTTTTGTAGAAATGGGATCTTGCTATGTTGCCCAGGCTGGTCTCAAACTCCTGACCTCAAGTGATCCTCCTACTTCAGTCTCCCAGAGTTCTGGGATTTCAGGTGTGAACCGCTATGCCCAGCAGGGGGCATCTTTCACAAGAAAATTTCATCTTCTGCTTTTAAAAGACAAAAGGAGGTCAGAATGATTTCCTTGTACCTCCTTGTACCTTTTTTTTTTTTTTTTTTTTTTTTTTTTTTTTTTTTTTTTTTTGAGATGGAGTCTCGCTCTGTCGCCCAGGCTGGAGTGCAGTGGCGCAATCTCAGCTCACTGCAAGCTCTGCCTCCCAGGTTCATGCCTTTCTCCTGCCTCAGCCTCCCAAGTAGTTGGGACTACAGGCGCTTGCCACCAGGCCTGGCTAATTTTTGTATTTTTAGTAGAGACAGGGTTTCACCGTGTTAGCCAGGATGGTCTCAATCTCCTGACCTCGTGATTTGCCCACCTCGGACTCCCAAAGTGCTGGCATTACAGGCGTGAGCCACCATGCCCAGCCACACCAGTCTTTTTTTTTTTTTTTTTTTTTTTTTTAGGCACTTTTAGCTCAGAATAATTCTTATGGCAAAGTAGCATATTTGGGGGTGGCATATTCTGAACTTCTTCACATGTATACCACAGAATATGAACTCTCTTTATACTTTATTAGGTGTGGTTGTCCCAATGGAATGATGACAGAAAGATGCTGCAGACACAGCTAAAGGCTGTGACGTTTCTTTTATGGCAAAGGATACAGATATAGACAGTTTGTTATGTAAAGCAGGATATGATACAGCATACGTCCAAACAGAAGTCTCCCAAAGGTCTCCACAGGGATTATACCATCGGCATGCATCGAGGTATAGGGTGTCAAGCCATCCTGGCTTGCCTGGGACTGAGGAGTTTTCTGGAACATGAAACTTTCTGTGTTAAAACCAGGTTTTTGGTTCCAGGCAAAGTGAGGCACTTGGTCACTCGATTTGAGGAGTTTACTTGGCTATACTTACATGCTGTCCAGACCTTACTGCCCACCTGATTATTGTGGCGACTCTAGCCCCACGTCTTCCTGCTTACCAGGGGCAAGTGAAAACACCCAATACATTCTTCTTTACTATGAGACTATATAAAGCAAAGGTCAGTTTCCCAGGTGCATTCTTCAGTAGACCTGGGCCTCAAGCAGTCTGAGGTCCACTCCTGAATCATATAATGGGTTTAAGAATAATTATATGCAAAACTACAAATACTAGAAAGTATGGGATTCAGATATTGACTTTTGATTCTGCTACACGGAGGAACTGTTGTATCCCTTAGCCAGGAGGAATAAGGGCCATGCCTCTGCCTGGATTCTCTTTTTTGGGACCCATTCTGTTCTTGCTCAGTGGTGGTCCACTCTGAGATGGTCACTTCCTTATGGGATTGTTTAATATCAGTCATACAATCTGAGGCCTTCAAACTGATGTGGCTCCAAGTTTAAATTTTAAAGAGAAAGGCTTCGTCAACTGTACCCAAAGATTCTGTCTTTCCTTTAATATACTCTAATAAATCCAGGCTGTGCATTTTTCTTACAATGATATTTATCTGAATGGCTTTCTATTCTGTCTCTAGTTCATCTGTATCTTGTATTTTTTGCTTGTTTTGCTCATTTTGTTTTTTATGTGCTTTGAGCTGTAGCATGGAAAGACAGAAAAAATAATCACAGCTTTTGGCGAGGTTGAGGCAAGTATGTTGTGAAAATATATGAGAAAAACTTGGGGAGAAATGAGAGAATTTTAAGCCGGGAAAATAGGTGAACTACCCTCCAATTGGATGTGTCTCTTCCTAGGCAGTCTTCAACTATGGGAAACATAAATCAAGGACCTGCCTGATCAACAAATCCTTATTGGCTGTATTAGTTTGCTAGTGCTGCCATACCAAAGTACCACAGATTGAGAGGTTTAAACAACCGAAATTTAATTCCTCACAACTGTGGAAGTTAGAAGGCTGAGACAAGGTGTTGGCAGGGTTGGTTTCTTCTGAGGGCCTCTCTCATTGGCTTGTAGATGGCTGATTTTTGCCCTTGTCTTCATAGTCTGTACACTCTGTACATGTCTTTAAGTCCAAATTTCCTCTTCTTTAAGAACACTAGTCAGATTAGAGCCCACCCTATTGACCTCATTTTAATTTAATTACCTCTTTAAAGACCCTATCTCCAAATACAGTTATATTTTGAGATACCGAGGGTTAGGCTGTCAACATATTAATTTTAGGGAGTAAAACTTAGCTTATAACATTACCTAAGCTATCGTTCACCATCAGAGGCACATTTTTAATTTGTCATTTTTATTATTACTAGATAATAAATGTGGCCTTTGTTCAATTCATTTGTTAAGCAAAGTTTTGAAAAATCAGAAGAGTTAAAAGTATGTTACTACTTTGTTAAGTACAGATGCTCTTTGACTTATGATGGGATTACATCCTGGTAAATTCATTGTACGTTGAAAATATCTAAGTAAAAAATGCATTTAATTCATCTAACCTACTGAACATCACAGTTTAGCCTAGCCCATCTTAAATGTGCTCAGAACACTTATATTAGCCTACAGTCGCAAAATCATCTAACAAAAAGCTTATTTTATAATGAGGTGTTGAGTAGCTCATGTAATTTATTAAATATTATACTGAAAGTGAAAAACAGAATTGTTGTATAGGTACTTCAAAGTACTGAATGCATATCACTTTTGTGTCATCATAAAGTGGAAAAATTGTTAAATTGAACCATCATAAGTCAGGGGCTGTCTGTATATAATTAGCACTAATCTTTTTTTTTTTTTTTAAAGTTTCCTCCCTAAAACTGGAAAGCTAATTTTCTGCCCACAGGCTATAGGAACACACCATTTCTTCAGTGATAGATAACAAATATAACCTGAGTACTTCAATATTCTGTACTCCTTGTTTGCACTCCTCGTATACTACCAGGGCTTACAAATACCGTTTGGAAGTTAATACCTAAGATAGATAGTTTCCAAACATAGTTTTCTTTCTATTGCTCTTATATCACCCACTTCATCAACTCTTCAGTATGTCTACAATTAAATAAGTATGAATCCCACTGGCCCAGAGCTATAGAATCTTATAATAGCTATTAAATGTGATATTTACCACATTCTCAGCATTAAGTCAGAAAGGAAAATCCCAGAATTCATTACATTGGGACTTAGCACATAGAGATAACTTGACTAAGTACAGTTCAAATGTTTAACATCTCACAGAGATATTAACTGAAAGGTATTGGTAATTATATTCTTAAATTAAGCAATCTTTCCTTGGAAAGGTATGAAAACACAAAGGCTCCCATCGATTTTCACCTTTTTCTGTTTTTACAAGAGACATTGGCAAACTTCTGTAATTATCTGGAATTTGATTTGTAGTTGATATCGCCAACTGTTAGTCTTTATGCCAGCTAGCCTAAACTTACAGAACAATCAGAATATGCTAACTCAGAAAACCGACAGACTATAGCTCCAGAATATTTTTTTTTTCCATCAGAACTTTCAGGGATGAAAAATCCAGAAGTGTCTCTCAGAAAAAGGTTTGTTTGTTTGTTTGTTTGTTTTGAGACGGAGTCTCGCTCGCTCTGTTGCCCAGGCTGGAGTGAGATGGTGCAATCTCGGCTCATTGCAACCTCTGCCTCCCGGGTTCAAGCAATTCTCCTGCCTCAGCCTCCTAAGTAGCTGGGATTACAGGCACCCACCATTATGCCTGGCTAATTTTTTATTTTTAGTAGAGATGAGGTTTCACCATGTTGGCCAGGATGGTCTTGAACTCCTGACTTCAGGTGATCCGCCCACCTCGGCCTCCCAAGTGCTGGGATTACAGGCGTAAGCCACTGCGCCCAGCCCAGAGAAAGGTTTTTTAACTAATTCTTTTTTTTTTTTTTGAAACAGGGTCCCGCTCTGTTGCCTGGGCTGGAGTGATGTGATCATAGCTCACTGAAACCTTGAACTACTGGGTTCAAGTGATCCTCCCACCTCAGCCTCCTGAGTGGGACTACAAGCGTGCACCACCACTCTTGGCTAAATTTTTAAATCTTTTGTAGAGATGAGGTCTTCCTATGTTGCTCAGGCTGGCCTCAAGCTCTTGGCCTCAAGTGATCCTCCTGCCTAAACCTTTTAAAACTAATTATTGATTCAATAGCATTCCCACAGCCAGAAAGCTCATATGGCTTTGAAGTCAATTCCCAAACACTTAATTTAAAATTGGTGTTCTTCCAAATACCAATTTTTTTTTCAGCATTAGAGGATTGAGCTACATTGTTGCCAGAAAAGGTCAATTATTCAATAATTCTGACTTATGAGTAATATAGAAAAATACCTACTAGTCAAGTAAAAAGTCATTAAGGATCAAACAACAGGATCTTAGGATACGGGACTAATCAGGACCAGATACCCCAGATCATGTAGTTCAGTGGTTCTCAAACTTTAACAAGCATCAGAATCACCAGGGAGGCTTGTTAAACTATAGATTATTGGGCCCTACTCCCAGAATTTCTGATTCAGTAAATATGGGGTGGGGCCTAAAAATTTGCAGTTCTGACAAGTTCTCAGATGATGCTGATGCTGTTGGTCTAGGGATCACACTTTGAGAACCGCTGATCTTGTTGGGTTTTCTCCTTCTAAAGTTGTTTATCAGCTAAGAGGACTGTTTATTTAATGAAGAAGATGTTCTTGGCCAATTTGTTACCTACCTCAAGAGTAGACAAACACAATGGCTGAAGAGAACTTACTACGTGAAACACCCAGATCGTACATACCATAACTCAGTGAGGTAACTACTACTGTGATACCCATTTCACAAATGAACGGATATGAGAACAGGGAGTTGAGCCCAGACAGGCTTCAGAGTGAGTTCTTAACCACTTCCACTACTCTGCTTGTTCCCATGGTAACAGCTAAGAACTTAACTGTGTGCATTGATCCATCAAGAATAATGATAATGATGCTGGGTACAGTGGCTCATGCCTGTAATTTCAGTACTTTGAGAGGCTGAAGCAGGAAGATGACCTGAGCCCAGGAGTTTGAGACCAGTTTGGGCAACATAGTGAGACCCTATCTCTACACACACACATTTTTTTTTTTAATTAGCCAGGTGTGGTGGCTCGTACCTGTAGTCCCAGCAACTCAGGAGGCTGAGGTAGGAGGATCACTTGAGTCTTGTGACCAAGGCTGCAGTGAGCCATGATTGTGCCACTGCACCATTGCACTCCAGCTTGGGCAACAGAGTGAGACCCTGTCTCTAAAAAAATAAAAATAAAAATTATATGTCAATGAAATATGCCAAAAACATGTTCCATTTTAAACAAATTACTAAAGTGGAACATGATTTTTACAAACCATGTTAAATACATGCTAATTACAAGAACCAGAAACCAACCTGAGCTGAATATGTACAACTGAATATGAAATGTGCACAATCCAAGGGCTTCAGGAAGAGACTAGAACAAGGACTTGGAAAGTGTTAAGACTGTTTCTCTCTGCTTTGCATTTCATCTGTTTCTCTCCATAACAGACTTTCCCGGCAGTCTCAGTTCACATGGAGGAATCTGGCCACCCCAAAACTCTTAAATTTACATTTGAAGGGTGGCAAAATATGCTACCCCGAAACATTCCACTTTGGCATAAGGATTACTTTCAGCTAAAGGCACTTGAAAAATAGATACAAGAAGGGCATTCTAATCTCTTTTTCTTCTGGAGAATAGGAAGTTAAAATCTCCCATGTAAAAGATGTCCTCCCTGTATCAGGAGAAAGGAAACATTATTCAACTGGGAGTCTTAGCTGAGAGAATTCTGTACAAACAGACCTTGTTAAAATAATTATTATCTTCCTTTTAGTTTCCCAACATAATTTAGTTACTTTTCCACAATTGCCTCTCTTTGTTCAACTCAATATATTAATAAAAGCATGTAGTTTTTGCCATTTCTTTGGATCTTCATTTCTTTATGACAGCTCCTATGTCACATAAAATTTATATTAAATCTTTATTCCTTTCTCCTGCTAACCTATCTTATGTCAATTTAATTCTCAGGCCCAGCCAAAGACCCTAAGAGAGTAGAGGTAAAATTTTGCCTCGACTACACATTCACAAATTCAGGCCCACTCAGATTAACTGGCTGTTACTCAGTTCTAATCCCCAATTCCTAGTGGAGAGAATCTGAATGGCCTTAAGTGTTCCCCCTGGTTCAATCATTTATGGCTATGGAAGTGGGATCATGCAGTGTAACTTTGGCTACCTCTGTGCGTGAGGCAGGGGAGGAAATCATCGGCTGTGAGCTGAGCTCACACTTTTTTTTTTTTTTGAGACGGAGTCTCGCACTCTCGCCCAGGCTGGAGTGCAGTGGCGCCATCTCGGCTCACTGCAAGCTCCGCCTCTCGGGTTCACGCCATTCTCCTGCCTCAGCTTCCCGAGTAGCTGGGACTGCAGGCGCCCGCCACCACGCCCGGCTAATTTTTTGTATTTTTAGTAGAGATGGGGTTTCACCGTGTTAGCCAGGATGGTCTCGATCTCCTGACCTTGTGATCCGCCCGCCTCGGCCTCCCAAAGTGCTGGGATTACAGGCGTGAGCCACCGTGCCCGGCCGAGCTCACACTTTAAAAGGAGTGCACTCAGAAACTCTTGCAGTGCTTGATCACTTCTCTCTATCACAGGATACCTTCTATCTCTTAAAGTGTAGACCAAGAATGTAATTCGTTCCTGACCTATCAAATTGGCAAAAACCCAGATGCCAATATACACTGATGGTGAGGCTGAGAAGAAATAATCACTCATGCATTAGTCATAGGAGTGCAAAAGTGGGCAAGCCCCATGTCAAACCTACAAAATATTCAGGTGCATTAATCCTCTAAGCTAGAAATTCCACTTCTGGGAATCTACTCAACAGGGATCAAGAGAAATGGCCGAAGAGTATAGACGTTTTCAGTCCCTATACTTTAAAAGAAGATCATAGACAAAGGATATCTTATTGCAATATCAAAAAACAAAAAGCCACCCATGATCCTTGTCGCTTACACTCCAGTAATTAAATGCAGCCAGTCTTGCAATACACATGCTTTTATATACCATATACCATAGAAAAACTGCATTCAATTTTTAGGACTTTTAATTTGCAGGTAGCATTTTACAGGCAACTACTGCTATTTCATACTGTGAGGAAAGTCTGCCCTATATAATGTTGATGTGATATAGAGGGAAATTGCTCCAAAAATATCTAGTCCCACTGATGTGTGGTATTGGGGACTGCATTAGTTACCTCTCTCTGCATCACAGCTTTTACAGCAGCTAGCATGAAAATGCTTCATCTAAGTGATAAGCAAATCATATGGAAACATTTTACAGCCAATGTATTTCATGCACATTGGTTGAATCCTGGGGAAAATCCAAGTAGAGCATGGTTTTAAGTCAATCGTTTATCCTCTTTTTTTTCCCCTGTAGTACATCTCTTCACATATTAAAGACTTGAAGAGTGAAATGTTTGAGGAACTTCTTAAGCACCTTTGCCACTCTGCAGATGAATTTCGGGAGGTCATAAAAGCTGACATGCGGAGGCAGATGTTCGCTGAACTCTTCCTACATTGTGACCACGGGAAGGTGGGTTAAGACATTTAAATAATTGCTTCTTGGCCAGACACTGTGGCTCACGCCTGTAATCCCAGCACTTTAGGAGGCTGAGGCTGGTGGATTACTTGAGCCCAGGAGTTTGAGACCAGCCTGGACAACATGGTGAAACCCCATATCTACAAAATAGATACAAACTTTACTGAAATATATTTGTTTATGAACCTTATATTTATTTGTTTGTATCTCCATGTCCAGAAAGAATTTAAGTAAGCCTGCAAGAATAGATAAGATGCAAAAACAAAATGTAAACTAAAAGTAGGATGAAAGAAGAAAAAAATAAGAGAGGGGATAGTAAATGAAGCTGGGAACAAAGCCCCAAAATGCATAACATAATGACCTAAATAGTCATTGTGGGTTGTTTACAAGCTTGGATCTGAGCTTCCTAGCAGTGAATGTGAAAAGGGAAACATGACCAAACACACTATTAACAATGTTTATAAGATAATTACAAACAAGTGCTAAGAAGCACAGAAATTTGGGGTTCAAATTATAGTTAGGAGCTTCTCTTTATAAAGGGGCCCTTATGTGCTGAAGTCAAAATCTTTCATGATGGGCTTGTAATAAATTAAACAATGACTTTTTTAGGGCAGTTTCTTATAGTTACTTCAAATGTAGGCAAACGATGCCACACTGGACTGCAATTCAGAAAAAGCAATTCTTAAAAGAACCGATATATTGCAATCTAGGTTCTTAGATTCCTGCTAATTTAAATGAAGTCAGGAATATATTTTATAAAATCTGAAATGTCTATGTGTCTTTCAGTTAATCCTTATTGAATATTGCTTCTTTTAACAGAGCTTGTAATAAATATTGAGTGACAAGTGTCAAAGTTTTACTCCCTGGTAAAATGCCTGAAGGACAACTATTCTCTGTTGGCCAATTTAACACCAATTCGTGTGCTGTAACAAACATAGTGGGATAATATTTAGAGCAATTAATTGAGGTTTGCTTTCATTCTTTGCTTTTCTTCCCATCATTCAAGCAGTAGTTATATGCTGATATTGAAAGTGCAGGGGCAGAAAAACTACACTTCCATCCTCGTAGGATTCCTGCTGGGTCTGAGCATTAAACTGACAGAAGATAGAATAACAGGAGAAAACCATACAAATTTAGTTACAAGTTTTATATGGCACAGGAGTCCTCTTAAGGAAATGAAGACCCAAAGAAGCAGTTAGAGCCAGTTACTTATGTACTGGATTGGACAAAGAACAGTAAACCGTGAAAATGTGATTAAATTATGTGGGGAGTCTTATAAGAGTTATTCTAACAAGGTCTGTACAGTATTCTGTTGGTCTCAACTTCTCATCCTTGAAGATAACAATTATGCCTTTCCTTATAGTATAGGGAGAGTTACTTTCACAGGGGAATTTCATCTTCTGCTTTGAAGAAACAGCACGAAGGTCAAGTGATCTTCTCATATCTGTTGCTTTTCAAGTATCTTTAACTTAGTCAATATGCCAGAATAGCATATTTTAACCCCTTCAGAGGAAAGATAGAGTCTCAAAAAAAGAAGTTAGATGAGTTTCTGAATGGAATATATATCTGGGAACAAAGCCCCAAAATGCATAACATAATGACTATGTATATGTCTTATACACACACATGCATATATATAACTATATATTTGTATATATTTTATATATAACCATATATTTATATATATTTTATATATAACCATATATTTATACATATTTAATATATAAATATATATGAGGCACTCTATATATAATATATAATATATTATTATATATAATATAATATATGTATGTATAAATATATCTTATAATATATATGTATATTATATATGCATATATAATGTATGTATATATAAATATAGAATATACATATATAATATATAATTATATATAATACACATATATAATATATAATTATATATAATACACATATATAATATATAATTATATATAATACACATATATAATATATAATTATATATAATACACATATATAATATATAATTATATATATAATATTAGAGAGAGAGAGAGAGAGAGGGAGATTGCACCTGTGAGAGACAGAGCCTCACTCTATCACCCAGGCTAGAATGCAGCGGCATCATCATACCTCACTACAGCCTCTACCTTCTGGGTTCAAGTAATCCCCCAACCTCAGCCTCCCAAATAGCTAAGACTACAGGCATGTACCACCATGCCTGGCTAATTTTTAAATTTTTTAGAAACAGAGTCCCACTATGTTGCCCAGGCTGTTCTTGATCTCCCAGCTCTAGAGATCTTCCCACCTTGGCCTCCCAAAGCCCTGGGATTACAGGCGTGAGCCACCACATCCAGCCTCGAATGTATCTTTTTAACCAGCAGCTGAGACAAAAGTTCTAAAAGCCCAGACTTTAAATGGAAAATGCTGGGCTCTTAAGAAATAATGGAGAATCATAAAGTAAAGAAGAATGCAAAATATGGCATCAAAGCAGTTATTCTATCAATGGGAAATTGTGACCAGCTGAAGAGAGAAGGAGGTTGGAGTGTGTGTGACTAGAATTTAAAGGTTGTCTGGGTCCCTAAGTCAGAGTTAGCACCTGATCTCCCATTCCTGAGCTCCAATCATGGTTGGAGATTGAGGGCAACATTATTGATACCCCTGGAAATTCCAGGTAGGTTGAGAGGAAATTTAAGAACAGCAGGCACTTACACTTCATTTTCTAGGTGTAGCTCAGAGACTACAAGCTTCATAGAGAAGTGCTAAATCCAACATGGCACTAAAGAGAAAGAGTAGCAGCTATAGAAGGTAGGGTGTAGGTAGATGGGCCTGAAGATACTCCCTTTCACTCCTGTGGCCAGAGGAAAGATGATGAGTATTCCTAAATACCTGTGTGTAAAGGACAGTCGGTGTGCAGAGATGATGACTGTGAAAGTTCTGGGAGTACCCCCAAGAAGACACCTGGGTTAGGACAAGGATAACTATGGACATAAATAGCAAATACCAAAATAAAACTTCCAAATGACTCAATGAGATGAAGTACATACACCACAGTCACAGTCAACAAGTACTGTGGCTGGCATTGAGCTAGACTCTCCTTTCTCTGATGGCAGGACTCTATATAAGCACCCCCACCCCCCAAAATATGGGCGAAAGATATGAACACACAATTCATGGAATCACTATATACTCAATAGGTGACCAAAAATAGTTTTTAATGATAATACCTATCACTGATATGAATAGAAGAAAAACATTTCTCAAACATTCCTGGTGAAAATTTAATAGTTGTATCTTTGCAAAGCATTCTGGATATATCTACTTAAATGAAAAATGCATACGTGCTTCAGCCAGGCAAGCCATTCCTGAAATTTTTATTCCATAGAAATAAAAGTATTAGTAAATTAAAAAATACACATGCAAAGAAAATTCTTGATGCATTGTTTATAAATGAAGAAAAAGAGAGAAGTTAATGAAATATTTACTATATAGGGGAATGCTTTAAGCATCCCTATTTCCTGAGATACAACAATATTAAAATTAGGCCAATTAATAACCCTAGAAAGGGTTATTAATTGTGTGCAAGTGAAAGGAAGAGTCACATATCTCTCACTTTAAATCAAAAGCTAGAAATGATTAATCTTAGTAAGGAAGGCATGTTGAAAGCCAAGAGGTGGCTGAAAGCTGGGCCCCTTGCTCCAGTTAGCCAAGTTGTGAATGCAAGGAAAAGTTCTTGAAGGAAATTAAGAGCACTACTCCCACAAAGACACAAGTCATAAGAAAGCAAACAGCCTTATTTCTGAGAGAAGTCAATGCCTGGCTTCAAAGCTTCAAAGGCCTAGCAGACTCTCTTCTTAGAGGCTAGTGCAGCTGGTGACTTTCAGTTGAAACCAGTGCTCATTGACCATTCCAAAAATCCTAGCCCTTAAGAATTATGCCAAATCTACTCTGCCTGTGCTCTATAAAGGAAACAGCAAAGCCTAGATAACAGTAGATATGTTTGTGGCATGGTTTACTGAATATTTTAATCACACTGTGGAGACCTACTGCTCAGAAAAAAAGATTCCTTTCAAAATATTACTGTTCATTGAGATGCGCCTGGTTAACCAAGAGCTCTGATGGAGATGTACAAGGAGATGAATGTTGTTTTCATTCCTAATAACACAATATCCGTTCTGCAGCCCATGGTCAAGGAGTCAGTCATTTTGACGTTCAAGTCTTGTTACTTAAGAAATACATTTCATAAGGCTATAGCTTCCATAGATAGTGATTCCTTTGATGGATCTGGGCAAAGCAAATTGAAAATCTTTTATAAATAATTCACCATTCTAGGTGCTCTTGCCACTGTTCCATCTGTGATTGAGCATCCTTTCTGCAGAAAGTAAAGATAGCCTTGCTGAGAGATCTTTTGTATCCATGCTGATTTTTCTTCTTGGCACCAATTATCTATTTCTAACAATTTTGGTATTTCTAACAATTTTGGTGGCCCATATGGGGATACATTCTCCTCTGGTGTTGGTCTCTGGTCCTTTCTCATGAGGAGGCGCCCCACCGCCTCTTGTGGTGGCCTCAGGGGTAAGGGACCGAGACCCACCTGGTGTGACGAATAAACCCAAACTCTCAGCAATGCAGAAAGAAACCAGCCAGCAACCTGGGGTAAAGGATCCTCACATACTGCGGTGCCGAGTCTGTGCACAGACCATACAAGGAGAAGCCGCAGGAGCCGTCTTTTAGCACAGCTACCACCCTTAGAATTTCCGGTAAACCAACACCATCCTGAGAACCACATCCTCACCAAAGGGTGGAAAGAAGGGAAACTCAAGCTAGCCTGGGAAGGACCCTACCTCGTGCTGCTAACCACCAAGTACGGTGGAAAGGGGATGGACACATCACACCCGAGTCAAGCAAGTGCCGTTATCATCAGAATCATGGGCCATTGTTCCTGGATCAAGCCCTACCAAATTAAAGCTAAGAAAAGCTTCATCTTTCCATCTTTTCCTTTCCTTTCCTTCCCTCTAACTATCCCTCATCTTGTCATCAGTGTAACCAAATCAGATTCACCACAGGTTATAACATTTGATGCTTGCCTTGTTATACCTTGTGGAGGTTTGCAAAGCCAGAGACAACTCTCTACTTCAGAAAAATACCTCTGCCACTCCAGGGAGACCACTGCCACCCCTGCATCTTGCTTGTGGTGGAGGTACCAAGATACCCCAAGTTGGAATTTATATGCTCAGTGGGTAGATGTCATCTGGATCAAGGCTGGACCTCCGAGGAGGGATGTGCCGACTTAAAGCCATACCTCCACCTTACTAAAGGGATTGCCCCTGCCCCAATTGTCAATCCCACCAGTGTAACCCAGTGCTTATATCCATTACTATTCCTACCACTAGCAACTCTAACCCCACTTTAGAGCGTTTCTATGGTTTAGGATCAGAGGTCACTGGAAAGGATCCTTCTTTAAGATGTGCTTTGTTCTCCCTTCTCCACCTCCTACAACTGCCCTTTTCCCAAATCTATGAAATCAAGCCACACCTCACCTCATGCCAAATGACAAAAGCAAAGTCTCAGTAGTAGAAATAGGAGACCTAAGGCAAACCAGTGCCACTGAAACAGGGTATAAAGATGTAAATGCTTGGTTAGAATGTATTAAATATTCCATTTGCACTTTAAGCAAAAGTGACTGTTATGCTTGTGTGCACAGTAGGCCAGAGGCCCAGGTTGTCCCCTTTCCACTAGGATGGTCCTCAAATCAAGTAGACATGGAGTGCATGGTAGCTCTTTCTCAAGATTCCACCGCCTGGAATAATGAATTGTGCCAAGCTCTTTCTCTGCTATTTCCTGAAGTTCAACATCCTGCAGGTCAGCCCCCAAGGGCCATCCAGCCTCCATCTTCCAAAACCAATTTTACCTCGTTTCTCCAATGACAAGGGGAAAAATTTGGCGTTCCTTGGAGACTTAACAGGATGCAGTGCAGTCAGGCACCTCCATGATCTGACCTATCAGTCCACCCTTATCCATCCCCAAGCAGTTGTATGGTGGTATTATGGAGAACCTTTACTGGACACTCTGCCAAATAATTAGAGTGGTACTTATGCTCTAGTTCAGATGGCTACCCTTTTTACCCTGGCATTTCATCAACCAGAAAAAGAAGAAAAAGTAGCCTCAATTCTTACCTCTTTAACAGCTATAGTAAGTATACTCCTTAGGTGCTATGTTGTACCATACATCCAGAAGTTAATCAAAACAACTAAGCCAACACATATTAAGTGAGTTTGAAGAGGAAACTATAAAGTGAAAGAGGAAGAAATTGTAGAAAGTAGAAAAGTTCCTCTTCAAAGCTTATCTTGGTTTAAAAATAAAATAATAGACACTAGGAATAATAGCTCCTTACTCTAAAGCCTCCTATCAACTATTAGTTCTTACAGTTTAGCCCAGTTAGTTGCTTTGGCTTACTCAGGCATGTCTGGACAGGTCCAGGCAGGTCTTAGCTCATAGCTTATGCCCCTTCCTTATTTGGAAATGTTTTTGCTTCCTTAAACCTTTCGTAAGCAACTTCCTCTCATTCTCTGTTCTTCCCTGCACTTACCTATTTAGGGAAGTTTTAGGCTATTAGCAAATCGGGTATCAGTTTAAGAGTGTGAAGTCCAGCTCCAGCCAATGGATGCAGGACCCAACAGTAAGGACGACCCAAATGTGTAAGGGATAAATATGTCGGCTTTTCCTTTGTTTAGGTGTTCTCTTGCCATTGTTCCATCTGTGATTGAGCACCCTTTCTGCAGAAAGTAAAGATTGCCTTACTGACAGATCGAAAGAAAGGAAGGAAGGAAGGAAGAAAGGAAAGAAGGAAGGAAGGAAGGAAGGAAATAATTCACCATTCTAGATGCCATTAAGAACATTTGTGATTCATGGGAGGAGGTCAAAATATCAACATTAACAGGAGTTTGAGAGATTTCAACTCTCATGGATGACTTTGAGAGCTTTAAGACTTCAGTAGACAAAATAGCTGCAGATATAGTGGAAATAGCAAGAAAACTAGAATTATAAATGGAGCCTGCAGATGTGACTGAATTGCTGTAATCTCATGATAAAACTTGAATGCATGACAAATTTTTTCTAATGGATAAGCAAAGAAAATAGTTTCTTGATATGGAATTTACCCCCGGTGAAGACATTAGCATTGTTGAAATGACAACAAAGGATTTAGATTATTACATAAACTTAGTTGATAAAGCAGCAAGTAGGGTTTGAAAGAATTGACTCCAATTTTGAAAGAAGTTCTACTGTAGATAAAATGCTATCAAACAGCATCACATGCTACAGAGAAATCCTTCATTAAAGGAAGAGTCAACAGATGCAGCAAACTTCATTGTTGTCTTATTTTAAGAAATTGCCACAGCACACACCCACCTTCAGCAACCACAACCCTAATCAGTCAGTAGCCAACAACATTAAGGTACAACCCTCCACCAGCAAAACAACTATGGCTTGCTGAAGGCACAGATGATCATTAGCATTTTTTAGCAATAAAGTGTTTTTAAATTCAGGTGTGTACTTTTTTTAGGCAATTAATCTATGGTACACTTAAGAGACTACAGTTTAAGCTATTGAGCACTTAATAGACTACAGTATAGTATAAACATAACTTTTTTTTTTTTTGAGATGGAGTATCGCTCTGTCTCCCAGGCTGGAGTGCAGTGGCGCAGTCTTGGCTCACTGCAACCTCTGCTGCCTAAGTTCAAGTGATTCTCCTGCCTTTGCCTCTGGAGTAGCTGGGATTACAGGCGCGCACCACCATGCCCAGCTAATTTTTGTATTTTTAATAGAGACGGGGTTTTGCCATGTTGGCCAGGCTGGTCTCGAACTCCTGACCTCAGGTGACCCAAGTGCCTCAGCCTCCCAAAGTGCTGGGATTACAGGTGTGAGCCACCACACCCAGCCATAAACATAGCTTTTATATGCACTAACAAACCAAAGCGAATTTGTGTGACTCACTTTATTGCAATATTCATTTTATTGCCATTGTCTGGAACTGGACCTCTGGTATCTCTAAGGAATGCCTGTCCTGATATCAGGAAAGAAAGTGGGAACATCATTACAGACCCAGCAAACATTAAAAGGATGATAGGAAACATTATGAACAACTTTATGCCAATGAATTTGCAAATTACATTAAATGGATAAATTCCTTAAAAGACACAAATTACCAAGTCTAACTCAAAAGAAAATAGGAAAACTAGATATCCTTATATGTATAAAGAAGTATAATTAATACCACTAAAAAAAAGTTCCACAAACAAAACCCCTGGCCCAGATAGCATTACTAATAAATTCTACCGAACATTTAAGGAAGGGATAATTTCAAATCTACATAAACTCTTTGAGAAAGAGAAGAGGAAGGAACACTTCCCAACTCATTTTATGGGGCCAGCATTATTTTGATATTAAATCCAGACAAAGATATTTCAATAAAAGAAAACCATACACTAACAATCCTCATGAACATAGACCCAAAAATCTTTAAGTTAATTTTAACAAATTGGTTAAGCAGTACATTAAAAAGATGATATATAAGGATCAAATAGAGCTTAATCCAGGGATACAAGGGTGGTTTAACATTCAAAAATCAGAGCTGAGCATGGTGGCACGTGCCTATAATCCAAGCTAAGGAGGAGATTGAGGTAAGAGGAGTGCTTGAGCCCAGGAGTTCGAATCCAGCCTGGGAAACATAGCAAGACCACCCCCATCTCTTAGAAAAAAAGCTATCAAAACAATTCATCACATTAAGAGACCAAAAAACAAAATCATATAGCTGTGACAAAATTCAACACTCATTTCTGATACAAAAATTTTTTAAAAAACCTCTCAACACACTAAAATTTCTTCAACCCAATAAAGCACATCTATGAACAACTTACAGCTATACTTACAATGGTAAAAAATTTAATGATTCCCTCCTTATAACAAGGACAAGGCAAGGATATCCACTCTCACCACTTTTATTTTACATTGTACTGGAGGTACTAGCCAATTAAATAAAGCAAGGAAAAAAAAAAGAAAACTCTGTATTCACAGACTACATGATCTTCTGTGTAGAAAATCCTAAGGAATCTCAAGAAAAAAGTTGAATTCACTAAAACAAATACATAAATTTAGCAAGGCTTCAGGATACAAAAATCAATACATGGAAGTCAATTGTATTTCTACATACTAGCAAAGAAATATTGGAAGATGAAATTTGTAAATGCCATTTACAATAACATCACACACGTGAAATACTTAGCAACACATTTAACAAAGTATTTGCAAATATCTACAGGCTGAAAACTATGAAATTTGCTAAGAAATGAAAGACCTAAATAATAAGAAAGATCCTTTATTGTTTCTGTCAAAGACTATATGAATGAATCAAAAAATTCAGTATTGTTAGTCCCCAAATTGACCTACAAATCCAACACAATTCCAATCCAAATCCCAGTGAACTTATTTACAGAAATTGACAAACTATTCTGAAATTTGTGTGGCATTTCAAAGGACTCACAACAGCCAAAACCATGTTGACAAAAAATAGACATCACCAAAATATAAAATTCTGCTCTTTGAAAGATACTAGTAAAAGAAATGAAATGACAGCTATAGACTGGGAGAAAATATTTATGATATATTTAATGACAAAAGACTTGCATTCGGACCATATAAAGACTCCTACAACTTTATAAAACAACCCAATTAAAAAAATAATGGGCATGCCAGAAAAGAAGATATAGGTATATCCAATAAGCACATCGAAATAGGTTCAATTATTCATCAGATTATAATTAATCTGATCAATTATTTATCAGATAAATAATCATCAATTTTTCATGCAAACTGAAGCCACAGTGAGATAAAAATTAAACCTACTGGAATGAATAAAATTAAAAAGACTGGGAGAGTACAGTGGCTCAAGCCTGTAATCTCAGCACTTTGGGAGGCCAAGGTGGGCAGATCAGTTCAGGCTGGGAGTTCAAGACCAGTTTGGCCAACATGGCAAAACCCTGTCTCTACTAAAAATACAAAAATTAGCTGGGCGTTGTGGCCATACCTGTAATCTCAGCTACTGGGTGGCTGAGGCACGAGAATCGCTTGAACCCGGGAGGTGGAGTTTGCAATGAGCCAAGATCACACCACTGCACTCCAGCCTGGGCAACAAAGCAAGACTCGATCTCACAAGAAAAAAAAAATCTGATATTCATTATAATTAAAAAGAAAAAAACACTGACAATACCAAGTGTTGGGAAAGATGTGGAAAAACTTAAATTCTCTTAGATTGCTGGTAGGAATGATACAACCACTTCAAAAACAGTTTGACAATTTCTTAAAGAGTTAAATATACACTTACTATATGACCTATCAATCAGCAATTTCTCTCCTAGATTATATACCTAAGAGAAATGAAATGAAAGAAATTACAACATATAATTAAAACTAAAAGACTTATACATGACTGTTCTTAGCAGCCTCATTCATAATAGCTTTAAGTTGGAGACAACCCAAATGTCCATCGACTTGTGGATGATAAGCAAATTGTAGTATATTCACACAATGGAATACTACTCAGTGATAAAAGACAATGAACCACTGATACAATACCACTGATGAATCTCAAAAATACTATGCTAAGTGAAAGAAGGCAGAACCAAAGGATGCGCCATTATTTTATTTATATGAAATTATAGAAAAAGGAAAAGTAATTTACAACAATAGAAAGCAGATCAGTGGTTTCCTGGGACCATGAGTGAGGGGACTGATTAAGAAGGGACATAAGTGGCCGGGCACGGTGGTTCACGCCTGTAATCCTAGCACTTTGGAGGCCAAGGCAGGTGGATTGCCTGAGCTTAGGAGTTCAAGACCAGTCTGGGCAACATGGCAAACACCCTTCTCTACTAAAAATACAAAAAATTAGCCAGGTATGGTGGCACGTGCCTGTAGTCCCAGTTACTCAGGAAGCTGAGGCAGGAAAATCGATTGAACCCGGGAGGCAGAGGTTGCAGTGAGCCAAGATCGTGCCACTAAACTCCAGCCTGGGCGACAGAGCTAGGCTCTGTCTCCAAAAAAAAAAAAAAAAAAAGAGACATAAGGGAGCTTCTGGGGATAATGAAAATGTTCTACAGCTTCACTGTGGTGGTAGTTACATGAGTGTATACATTGTCAAAACTCGTTGAACTATACACTTAAAATTGGTACATTTTATTGAATCTATACTTCACTAAAGTTGATTTAAAAAGACAAGAATGGACTGGGCACAGTGGCTCACACTTGTGAGGGCAATGTAGTGAGACCCCCTCTCTACAAAAAATAAACAAAAATTACCTGGGTATCGTGGTGCATGCCTGTAGTCCTATCTACTCAGGAGTCAGAGGCAAGAGCATCACTTGAAGCTAGGAGTTCAAGACCTGCCTGGGCAACATAGTGAGACCTGGTCTCTACAAAAATAAATAAATAAATAAATAAAATTAAAAATAAATAAATAAATAAATAAAAGTTAGCTGAGTGTAGTGGCATGGTACCTGTAGTCCCAGCTATTCAGGAGGCTGAGGCAGGAGGATAGCTTGAGCCCAGAAGTTAGAGGTTACAGTGAGCTATGATCATGCCACTACATTCTAGCCTGGGCAACAGTGTGAAACCTTGTCTCAAAGAAAACAAAAACAAAAATGAACAAACTAATCTATAATGATAAATATCAGAATAATCACCACCTTTGGAGGAATTATTGACTAAGAAATAGTAAGGGAGCCTTCTGGCAGTGATGAAAATGTGCTATGTCTTTATCTGAGTGGCAAACATTCAGTGAGCTAAACACTTAAGATTTGCATACCTCATTGCATATTTGTTGCTCCTTAATGAAAATTTTCTTAAAAATAATCACTTATGGTTGCTTGGGTTGAAGTGCCTATTAAAGAAAAAAGCTTTTGCTGCATTTGGCCATAATTACAATAGTGATGACCCCTGGGGTTATCAGTGGGTGGGCTTCATCTCACAGTATTAGAGAGGTTATAGAAAGTAAAAGACAAGCTCAGGACTTTAAACTCTCAGCTCAAATTGCAGTCAGAAAACCTGATCATTATATAGAAATCTCTATTTCTTGTAGCTTCAGGGCAGATACGGATGAAAAATCAGCCCCCAAATATAATGTGACAGAATCAAGATGTAAGTTGAATTCACAGACTTGCCAAGTCTTTTACATTAAAGTTAGCACATTGGAAAATAGATGAGACCCTGAAATTTGGAATAGTTACATTTGGGTGGACTCAGAGGAATCTGAGACTTGAGCCACAAATCTTCCCAAGCTTTCCTTGGCAGGAGAAGCAACCCCTTCTCTCCTGTCTGAGAATATTAGCTTTTCTTTCCTTAGAGATCCTTTAATAACTTCTCTTGGGGCATTTAGCTTGCAAGGAGGTGTCTATTTTCTTCAAGATCCACCTGTACAACATTCATTGCCTTTAAATCCAAAATTGGAGTCTGATCTTGGTATTGCTCCAGGAATACTAGTTCAAAGTCTGTCTTGAGAGATGAGTGTTGGTACTCCAAGAGATCAGTAAGTTTTTGCTAATTTCTAGCAGCAGAAAGCTGGGGAATATGTGTGGGAATTGATTATAGTACTTTCAGACTAAGAAGGATAGATATAACTTTGGATTGCCTCAAATTTATCAGTATTGCTATACTTTGCAGTATATACTTAGCAGTAACATTTTTGATATCTGGGAATAGTTTTAACAATTTTCTTGGTAGATTAAATAAAACCTTGACTCAAAGATAGCCTGCATTCAATGAGGTTGAGATGCCGGAATCTTCTTGGCTTACTATACAGTAAGAAATCTAAAGGCTTTCAAGATTTCTGAAATTGATTTTTCATATGTAGCCTCTATATGTGCACTTCTACCATATCGCCCAGGACAGCCCAAATGACATTCCCTTGAGAAATAACTAAAGAAATTAACGAGGGGAGCACCAATATCACTAAAAAGTTCTATGGTTGCTGTCCTGGGGATGATGGTGAGAGATACTGTCATTGAAGTAAACTCTCTAATTTCAAGGGAAATGATTGGCTTCTAGAGTGACAAAAGATATATGACATTTAACTACCAGAGACAAGTCCCACTAGTCAAAGTTAGTGCTCATAAGTATAATTAATAATAGTATTTTGATCCAATCTCAAAGATCCAAGGCCATATTTTAACGGATCCAGTTTGTCTAGGACTCACACTGTGGTTAGTTCCTGAATATATACTTGGAATTACCATAATGAACAGTGGGAGTTAAAGTGGCCATCTAAATGTTTTCTTGGTGATTACAGTTTCCTTAGGAATTAAATGGATATAATGCCTACTAAATTATTACTGGATCTACTTACAGAAAAGCACTAACTATAGGTCCAGAAACATGAGTTGAGATACCACAATGGAGAATCTCAGCCTCTCACCCAGATGCCAGACTTAAGTCAGTTGGTATACCCAGAACTCTTTGGTTGAAGGGAAGGCTGGGTCTCTTGGGGAAGAATTCGACAAGACTTCCTCAAGTACATATTGTAGATTTTACTCTAGGCTTTACTCAAAGGGCCTGTAGCCATTTATTAGGGTAAATATGCATTGGCAAAGGAAATATCACAGACTCAGGGATTACCAGATATTGATTCCAAGTTAACATCAATTCCTAGGATCCCAAAACACTCCCGTGGACCACTGGGTAAAGTTAGGATGTATAGATGTCAGATAATAAATGCTATTTTGGTCAAAGTTTATGTCATAGGTCCAATTACTCTGTGGACTTAGCTATGGTTATTTCTGGTTCTTGGATGTTTAATTGGAATAGACACACAGCAACCAGCAGAATCTTCACATTTGTTCTCCATTTTGGGAACTGAGGACTATTATGGTAGGAAGGACCTGGTATTATGGTAACAGAAACTCCTGAACTTTCCCTGTCTGCCAGAATGTTAAAAAAAAAAATACATAATCATATAACAAAAACAAAAAACTCCACAGAGATAGATATGAAAATATATAAACGATTCAGGGGAAGTAATCCTATCATATTCTTATCTAATTTTCCTGTTTTGTCTATGTAGAAGGTGGAGGATACTTCTTTTTTTTTTTTTTCTTTTGTGAGACAGAGTCTCACCCTGTCACCCAGGCTGGAGTACAGTGTCATGATCTCAGCTCACTGCAACATCCACCTCCTGGGTTCGAGCGATTCTCCTACCTCAGCCTCCCAAGTAGTTAGGACACGTGCCACCATGCCTGGCTAATTTTTATATTTTTAGTAGAGATGGGGTTTCACTGTGTTGGCCAGGCTGCTCTTAAACTCCTGACCTCAGGTGATCCGCCTACCCCAGCATCCCAAAGTGCTGGGATTACAGGCATGAGCTGCTGCGCCCAGCCTACATCTTGAAGAATGTAGATTACTGTGGCTCTATTTACATGGCTATTCCAGGTGTGGAATCTTTATTGAATCAAATTGACGTAGCTCTCTCATTCACAACAACTATTGGTCTGGCAAATGCTGTTTTCTCTAGAGAAGTTTACAAGGACCAAAAGAAATTTGATTTCACCTGTCAAGAATAGCAATACTTTTCACTGCATTCTCTTAGGGCTAAGGCAGTTCTTCTTTTCTCTATCGTAATCTAGTATACATAGACCTTGATTGTATTGACATCACAGAACAGGTCCATGATATCCATCATGATGATTGGACTTGATGAGCTGAAAGCAGCATTAGATACCTTGGTAAAGTAGCATTAGATACCTTGGTAAGACAGCTAATGTGTGTCAGAGGATGGGAGATAAGCCCCATAAAAATACAGGGTTTATGACCTTGTTAAAATTTTTGCTTTGGGAGGCTGAGGTGGGCGGATCACGAGGTCAAGAGACTGAGACTACCCTGGCCAACATGGTGAAACCCTGTCTCTACTAAAAATACAAAAATTAGCCAGGCGTGGTGGCATGCGCCTGTAGTCCCAGCTACTCCGGAGGCTGAGGCAGGAGAATTGCTTGAACCCGGGAGGCGGAGGTTGCAGTGAGCCGAGATCATGCCACTGCACTCCAGCCTGGGCGACAGAGCGAGACTGTGTCTCAAAACAAAAACAAAAACAAAAACAAACAAAAAAAAAACAAAAGAAATAGGCAACTGGTCCCAACTGAAAAATGGGAAAAAGATCTGAAAAATCCATTCACAGAAGAGGAAAAACCCATACATATAATAAGCACATGAAAATATATTAAATCTCACTAGTAATCAGGGAAATGCAAATTAAAATAATGATACCATTTTTATCTATCAGATTACAAAAAATAATAAACTCTAACAATATCAAGTATTGATGTGGATATGAAGAAATAACACTGTCATTCAATGCTGGCAAGAATGTAAATTGGTATGAACATTTTGTGAAGCAATTTGGCTATAACTAATAAAGTTGAAATGCATACATTATGCAATCCAGTAATTCCACTTCTAGTTATTTATCCTAGAGAAACGTTTGCATATGTACACAGGAGACGTGTATAAGGATATCCATTGCAGCATTACGTTGATATCAAAATACTGAAAATAATCAAAACACCATCAATAGAGGAGTTTTTTTTTAATTATGGTGTTTCCATATTACAGAATGCCTTATTGCAGTTAAAAAGTATAAAATATATTTCTTTACAGATATGAATTAGATCTCAATGTTGAGTAAATAAAAGCAATTTGAAGAAAGACATACGTACTGTATCAGGTACTTTTTTTTCTTTTTTTTTTTTAGATGGAATTTTGCTCTTGTTGCCTAGGCTGGAGTGCAATGGCATGATCTCTGTTCACCGCAACCTCCGCCTCCTGGGTTCAAGTGATTCTCCTGCCTCAGCCTCCCGAGTAGCTGGGATTACAGGTGCCCACCAACATGCCCAGCTAATTTTTGTCTTTTTAGTAGAGACAGGGTTTCTCTGCGTTGGTCAGGCTGGTCTCGAACTCCCGACCTTAGGTGATCCACCCACCTCGGCCTCCCAAAGTGCTGGGATTACAGGCGTGAGCCACCGCGCCTGGCCTATATCAGGTTTTTTTGTTTTTGTTTTTGAGACAAGGTCTTGCTCTGTCAGCCAGGCTGGACTGCAGTGACATGATCATAGCTCACTGCAAATCAACATATCCTCTGGCCTCAGCCTCTGGAGTGGCTAGGACTACAGGTGTACACCACCATGCCTGGCTAATTTTTTATTTTTTGAAGCAATGGAGGTCTCACTGTGTTGCTATATCAGGCTTTTTAAAGCACATACACAAAATGTTAACAATCATTATTTCTGGGTGTTGGGAACACATATGTTAATTCTATCATTTTCTATATTTTTCTATAATCAAAAAAATTTTTTAAAAATAACAATGGAAAAAGGACAAGTAGGGAGCGGTAAATTGTTTCAAGTGACATACTCAGGTCAGGTAAGATAAGTACTGAACATTATACATTGGATTTAGCCATCAATAAGTCAGTCACAAATATTTCTTAAACATTTACTAAGTAGAGGTCATTTTGACACGTCACAGAATGGGAAAGTAGAGTATAAGCCTAAAGGCAAGATATAACTTTCTTGATTTTGATGCTGCAGCTTTTATTTACATGATAATGATTGTTGTGGTGATAGTGATGATAAAAGCTTCAATAAGCCACGTTCCAACTGCATAAAAATCTTAAATCTCCTGTAACAACTAATCACAAACTTTCTTCTTTGCTTAGGTAGGGTTTTTGGATCGGCAGAGGACATTGGCCCTGCTGGAATTGTTCTATGACCATAGTTCACAAATGCTTAGGAGTTTACTTCGAAACCCACGACAATGTAAGTGCCGCTCAGAGGGAGTATGTTCAAGCTGGAGTGTCGCAGTGCACTGATATGTACTGATATGATACACTGATATGTTAACACAAGATTATTCTACCACCATGGAATCCCTTCACATAATAGCTCTCTTAGATCATGATAACTGTATCTAGTTGTTTATTCCCTCCACGAAATTCACTCTTCATCACAACTAGATGTATTTTTCACCACAGTGCAATACTCAAAAATTTTATATCAGAACTCAGCTAGAACTCAATTCTAAATTCATTCAAATGAAGAAATGCTTTAGTGACAGTCTGAATGTTTTGGAAATTAAGTTAGTAATGGTAATTCCATTTTATTAACAAAAAAATTTTTTTGAGTCTTACTCTTCTCACCCAGGCTGGAGTGCAGTGGCATGATCATGACTCACTGCAGCCTCAACCTCCCAGGTGGGAGATGATTCTCCCACCTCAGCCACCTGAGTAGCTGGGACTACAGGTGTGCACCACCATGCCCAGCTAATTTTTTGTATTTTTAATAGAGAGAAGGTTTCACCCTGTTGCCAAGGATAGTCTCAAATGCCTGGGTGCTGGGATTGTAGGTGTAAGCCACCGTACCCAGCCTGGTAATTCCATTTTTAATGCCCAACTTAAAATTATAAGATGTATAAGAACAGTATTTCCTTTTCCCAAGCATTTACTTATACAGTAAAATATCCTTTTTATGTTATTTCCAAAACAAGTACAATTATGGGGTTTATTTTTATTTTTTTTTATTTTATGTTATTTTACGTTTTCAGAGATGGGGTCTTGCTATGTTGCCCAGACTGGCTTCAAACTCCTGGGCTCCAGCAATCCTCCTGCCTCAGCCTCCAGAGTAGCCAGGACTACAGGGATGTGCCACTGTGGTCAGTTTATTTTCATTTTTTTTAAAGAGAAGGTATTGTACTGGCTGAGTTTCCCAAAGAATGTCTTTTTTTTGAGACAGAGTCTCGCTCTGTTGCCGAGGCTGGAGTACAATGGCGCGATCTCAGCTCACTGCAACTTCTGCCTCCCAGGTTCAAGCGATTCCCCCTGCCTCATCCTCCCAAGTGTCTGGGATTACAGGCGCCTGCCACCACACCCAGCTATTTTTTTGTATTTTTAGTAGAGACGGGGTTTTGCCATGTTGGGCAGGCAGGTCTCAAACTCCTGACCTCAGGCATCCACCTGCCTTGGCTTCCCAAAGTGCTGGGATTACAGGCATTGAGCCACCACACCTGGCCAAGAATGTCAATATTTTATTTCTGTGTGAAGATTTATTAATTGGATACTTACAAATCTGTGGGTGATATACTTGGAGTATTTCTGAAAATTGTGAGAATTGCAATTTTATGGCTTACCACTACTGTTTTGGGAGAAATGGGGACAGTCTTGTGGCATGATTTCCACTCTTTATAGTACAGACACCAGGGTTTTATTGTTGTTGTTTAACAGTGGGATTCTGTGAATACTATCCAGTCTTTCCCTAGTATTCTGTTCTAGGTATCCACATAACTGTAGAGGAAAATAATTGAGGAATGAAGAACAAAGAAGAGGGAAAGAGATAGGGGGAAGAAATGAATGTTGGAAAAACATAGCCCCATTGAAAGATTGTCATGGATAAAGACTTGCTTTTTATATTGCAAATATTGAAAATATATTTGACATGAAAGATGTGTCCCTTTTCCCATCCCTATGTGATGCTTATTGTAGGAGACCACAAAGGTAGAGGACAAATTCTATTTGCCTTGGCAGTCTAAGCAACACTCCAAGTAGCAAAAGGAGAATCCTATTTATTTCCAAAATCACACCTTTTAGGAAGGGATGATTTCTAACTTACAGTAGTATAAGTTCTTTTGGGTACCTTTTTACTTTTTATTGTGTTGCAGCCAAAGATAACTGATATTTATTTAGAGCAATAGGCCTATATTACAATTTCTGTGCTCAATGCTTTTCTTTGCATTAATTTAATAGCTCTAATTCTGCATTATAAGATCAATGGTTTAAGTGAATATTTTGTTTTCTGCATTAGGGCCATTCATTGAATTTGAAGAGATAAACTTGACTGAGTTGTGGGGAGACATGGATAATCAGAAACACATTTATGAAGGTTTTGACAAAGTGCTCTTGGAGATGAATACATTACTTTCTGCAAATCATGCTAGCAAAACCCAAAGTAAATTATTAGAAAGTCCAGATCAACCTAAACTTAACGAACAGAGAACATCAACACCATCACCAAACCCGCCAGAACAGCAGAGAGGAGTAACTGCAGAACAAGGACCACAAAGAATTTCAATTGAAGAACAACAACAAGGCAAAAAGCCAACTGCAGAGCAAGAACTGTACATAGAATCAGTAATAGAACCAGGAACACACACAGAGTCAACTCTAGAACAAGGGTCAAGTAGAAGGTTACTGACAGAACAAGAAACACACAGAGAGTCAACTACAGAACAAGGACAGCACAAAGGGTCAATAGAAGGACAAGGACCACGCAGAGTGTCAGTTTCAGAACAAGGATCAAGCAGAGAGTCAGTTGCAGAACAAGGGTCACGCAGAGAGTCTATTGCAGAACAAGATCGACACAAAGGGTCAGTAGCAGAACAAGGATCACGCAGAATGTCAGCTGCAGAACAGGGATCACTCAGAGAGTCAGTAATAGAAGAACCATACCAAAAATCAGAACAAGGACCTTATGGAGAGATAATTTCAGAAGAGCAAGAAGACATAGGCTCAACTTCACAATCAAGAAAAGATAGTATCTTAAAAAGTACAAAATATGGGGAACCTATAACCTCTGAGTACATTGAAGTCCCTCTACAGGAAAAGAGGTCTTGGGAACAAACATATGAAGAGGAAATATTCCTGAGTTCTGAACTGCAAGAGGAAGTTCCAACCTTAAGCAGAAAAGATCACTTTCCAGGTAGTAATGCAGTTCTTCTACAACATCAGTTCCCTGTTTTGTGGAATGGTTTTTAAAGTCTTTTCAGAAAACACTCATTTAAGTTAGAATTTTTTTTCTGGCATATCAGATCATGCAAACCTCAGGCATATTTTGCTGCTCCACATTAGTCTAGACCTTGAACAATAATCAATTAATTACATTCACTAATGAAATGCAAGCCAGAATGTCTGTATTGTCAATTTACATATAATTTCCATTGCACTAGATTATAGAAGTGTTTTAATTGGGTTTCTGAAAAGGTAGTAGAAGCCCTTTTGTTTTAAATGTAATGTCTGATATTAGAAACCACTTTAAAAATTTTCTTTTATTTCAACTGTAAATGGGTCTCGCTTTTTTCAGTTAAATATAAAATATATGTTCTAGAAGAGTTTCTGAAAGTCATATTCAAGACAGAACGCACCCTGCATTTCAAATATTTATTCTCATGTCTTTGGTCAGAATTTAGGCATACAGTAGTTCCCCCTTATCCATGGTTTTGCTTTCCACAGTTTCAGTTAACCACAATCAACCACAGTCAGAAAGTATTACATGGAAAATTCTAGAAATAAACAATTCATACATTTTTAACTGTGCACCATTCTGAGTAGTGTAATGAAATCTTGCACCTTTTGTTCAGTATGTCCATGTTGTCTATGTTACCTTCTCATTAGTCACTTAATAGCTGCTGGATTATCAGATTGTCATTATGTTGCAGTACTCTTGTTCAAGTAACCTTTATTTTACCTAATAATGGCTTCAGTCGCAATAGTAATGGTGCTGGCAATTTGGATATGCCAAAGAGAAGCCATAAAATGCTACCTTTGAAGTGAAAAGGTGAAAATTCTCAGCTGGGCATGGTGGCTCATGCCTGTAATCCCAGCACTTTGAGAGGCTGAGACGGGTGGATCGCTTGAGCCCAGGAGTTCAAAACCAGCCTGAGCAACATGGCGAAACGCCATCTCAAAAAAAAAAATTAGCTGGCCATGGTGGCATGCAATTGTAGTCTCGGCTACGCAGGAGGCTGAGGTGGGAGGATCACCTGAACCTCAGGAGGTTGAGCCTGCAATAAGCCATGATTGCACCACTGCACTCCATCTAGCCTAAGCAACAAAGTGAGACCCTATCAAGAAAGAAAGAAAGAAGAGAGAGAGAGAGGAAGGAAGGAAGGAAGGAAGGAAGGAAGGAAGGAAGGAAGGAAGGAAGGAAGGAAGGAAGGTTCGTTCTCAACTTAGTAAGGAAAGAAAGAAAATTGTATTCTGAGGTTGTTAAAATTTACAGTAAGAACAAATCTTTTACTTATTAAATTGTGAAGAAGGAAAAAGAAATTCATGCTACTTTTTCTGTCACACCTCAAACTGCAGAAGTATATGTACTATCTGCAGTTTCAGGCATCCACTAGGGATCTTGGAACATATCCTGCCAAGGTTAAAAAGGGGGCTATTGTATAGTAATACCTAGCTGTGAGGGTGGCTGAGAAATGTAGCCTCATTTTGCATGGCCAAATTGGATACAATAACAGCTTTTGCTATAGAGCTGCTTTCAACAATTCAAGTTATTCAGTGACTTCACTGTGGTCGATTGCAACACTGCATATATGGGAAAGTACTTAGAGTTTTTGGTGTTCTATATGCAATGCATTTCTATCACTTATTAACCTTAAAATAGCTAATGGAATATGTAATGTCTAATTCATAAGCATTTTCATTTGCACCTTTTAGAAACTACAAAAAAGGAAGTTCAGAAAGACAAGCCCTGTGAACCCAAGTCCCAAAAAATAGAAGGAAAGTCATGGTCAGGTAACTCCTCATTTAATCCTCCTTTCATTTATACCCTAGAACAAAAATATTGTGAAAGCGAAGTTTGATTGGCTATGTTATGGAATGTGTTTTTACAGGTGAATTTTTTACTTGTAACTGGAAAATGAAGTATGTCACATTTGAAGATGAGGAACAGGCAAACTTAATCTATGGTAACTCCAGGTTCACAGGTACATGTTAACAATGAAAGTAGGAATAGATGGCAGTCCAATAGATGGATTTAATTTACTGTGGTACTCGATGATAAAGACTGAATTTAGCTAAGGCAGAATGGGAAGGTGTTCCTTGCATTATTTTGTCCTTGAGCTGGTGAATCTAAATATATACCAGATAGATATATTTGGTGGTGATGTACTATTGATGGTGGCATGTGCTATTGATGAATGCTCTTCTGCTTTAAAACTTATGGCATTAGTACCCATTTTTTAACCATGATATGGCCCTACCACTGCTTTAAAGCTATGATCTAAGCATACAGAGAAAATCAGACATTAGATACTAAAACTCAATAGAAATCATTTCAGCTATTCCTTTACCTGGTAGGGCCACATCTAAACATATGAGACAAGTGAGAATCTATCTTGTTTTTGAAGACTTGCAAAGAAAGATCTACTCAACAGAGCAGAGTAGTTTCTGGCTTTCAGACAAAGCATGTCTTTAAAATGATTGTTCCAAAAGCACTCATATTTCACTAAAATGCTACTATATTGTTTTGCCTTTCACATCAACAAGTTGTAGAACTAAATTAGATCAAGATTATCTTCTTCCTACCTGCAAATTTTTCTCTCATTTAAGCCTCAAATAACAAACTTTCTATCCTCAAATTTTCTGGTGAAAATGCATGGCATTGGTCAACCTCTTGCAGCCTGCTAGTTCATGTTCTTCTTCTTAGTCATCTTTATATCAATTTTGCTTTACCAATATATGTAAAAATTGTGAGTAATCATTTTTTTTAATCACATCAAATCTCATATAGAAGGTATAAGGGCATGAATGATTGAATCAATGAATAAATCAAACGGAAGTCACTTTGCTGACATTTTATGAAATATACTTCATACTGTACTATTGAGCTAAAAGGTAAATATATTAGCCAAGGCTTTTGGAAGAAGGAGTTGTGGTGGTGGTATTTAGTAATTTGTTTAACTAGAAAGTTCAGCGTGCAGCTGTTTTCAGGCACAACTAGATTCAAAGGCTCAACAATAGCAGCAGGATACTGTCTGTCTTCCTCTAAGCCCTGTTTTTCTGTGTCACTTTCAATTGAGACAGTTTTCTCCATGTTGTGACAAAAATGGCCATGAAAGCATCTCTAAGCTTATACTCTACTAGTTCAGCAATCAGAGTACAAAAAGAGTGATTCGTCCCTAATAGTTCTTCCAAAAGTTCTGAGGCTAACTCTCATTGGCCTATAGTAGGTTACATTGCTATCATATATGAATTGTTAGCCAGATGTATATCACATGACCATCCATGGCACAAAAGTGGGAGGCACAGTATGACCTGACTCATCTGAACTGACAATGGAGAGATGTTTTTCCAAAGAAAAAAGGAGGATGCTGTCCTCATGAAGGAAGCATGGATTCCTGACAGTCAAAAATGGCAGATATTCATTACAATAGGCACTCATTTATTTTCCCTAACTGAAAAAATTGTTCACTTTACTGCTTGGTAATGTTTCTTGCTTGACAGATTTACACTCAATTATCAGAAATATTCAGTCTTGCAAGGAGGTAAAAGGCAGAACTGCCTTCAATGGAGTTTCATTCAATCTGCTCCAGTTTGTGCAACTCCTGGAGACATTTGTTGGTGAAGACGCTCCCTTGAGTGTCAGCGAGACTCTCACCTCCTTTTTTAAGGAGGGCTATGTTGAAACAGAACAAGAGAAAATGAATGCCTTAGAACAGGTGGGTAATATTATTTATTAATGATACAAGTGAGGTCACTATTATAAGTAAATCTCTCAACCTCAGTTGCTCCCGATGTGGCTCGTGTTAAAAAATGTACAACCAAACTGATCACTTTCTTTCAACAAGCATAGCCATTAAAGATTCTATTTTATCATCAAATATTCTAAGATCACACTCCAGAGAACTCATTCCCCTAATAATAACATGATTGCTCCTAGCAGGAGATGGTTTATTGTACAGCTTTATTCTTTCTCTGAAGCTTTTTGAGAAGCAGATATGGATATATGCAAAGATGTGTATGTGCATTATTTGCCTGTGTGTGAGTGTCTTTACAAGTACACACACCTGGGGTATGATTATGGCCTGAGTATATATTTTTACTCATGAGCACCCAGGTAGTACATATTTCCTAAGAACTTACTACTTACTTGGGTGACAGGTAAGTGCATACACATTAGCTTATATAAACAATTTATTCTCTCATATGAAATATGTAAATTACTTTCACTAAGCTTATTCAGTAATCATCAGCCTTATGAGTCTTTTCAACCTAATTCTAGACAATTCCCTTTACCTTCTCAATTCCAGTTCTTCCTACTAAATCAAAAGGTGTATATTCATTTTATTTTTGCAATTATATCTATCTAGATATTAATTCAATTACTATCTCACTAATATAATTAACCTAGTGAAAACTCTAAAAGATAAATAAAATTAATGTCAAATATAGTCAATCTTAAATATAAAAAAAGAATTTTTAAAACACAGCCATTTTTCATTATTTAAACACTGCCATTCATTCCCCTTCACTCAAAACATATCCCTTAGGGCCAGCTGCAGTGGCTTATGCTTGTAATTCCAGTGCTTTGGGAGGCTGAGGAGGGAAAATCTCTTGGGCTCAGGAATTTGAAGTTACAGTGAACTGTAATTATGCCACTCTATTCCATCCTGGGTGACATAGCAAGACTCTGTCTCTAAATAAAAATAATAATAATTTTAAAATACAGTCTGTGTATTTATCACATTCCTGAACAACTAGAGAAGGAGTGGAAAAGAATGGTCAAAGATTCTTAAGGTTTGTAGAATAAATTTGAAAAAAAAAAAAAAGGATTCTTAAGGAATACTAATGCAGAGAATGCCTGCTGTTATTTTTTTTCTTCAAAGCCAGTCAAGGTTAGCAGTGGGAGGTTGTATACCAACTTTAGTGACACTAATGTTAATAAGTTCTGATAACCCCCTACCATGGGACCAACCAAGAATGTCTGTTTTGTTTTGTTTTTGTTTTTGTTTTTGTTCTGGCCTAGAAGTAAAACAGAGAAATGGTATTTAAGGGATTAAAATTAATCACTGCATTTTCTTTTCTAAAAATTTTTAAAAAAAATTTTTTTTAAGACTGAGGTCTCACTGTGTTGCTCAGGCTGGTCTCCAACTCCCGGCCTCAAGCGATACTCCTGCCTCAGCCTCTTGAGTGGCTGGCTTTACAGGGATGCACCACTGCTGAATCACTGCATTTTCCCTTAATATCATGCTTAGCCTCAAAGTAAACCTGTTTTAATAGAAGACGCTGGACTTTTTTTGGAATAAACACAGAATGCTAGCTAGCACAATGAACATATATCTTCCGTGCTTTATTATCCTGTTTGTATCCTAGTTTAGCCAAAATGCTTTCCAAGTCCGACAGAGGCTTCTCCTAGAAGCCATCTTTCAGAAGTGGGACAGTGATGGCTCAGGCTTCCTGGATCTGAAGGAAGTTGATGAACTCTTGTACACATACAAGGAGGGAATGGAAAAAGAATCTATGAAGAAAGGTAAAATATAAGAATGTTCTTATTTAAACTGTGGTAATTAACTTGGCTTCAAGTTTCTCAGTACACATATACAGTTAAAATACTGGTTATGCTAAAACCACTAGATAACCCTTCATGTCTACCAGTATAGATATACATTTATCTTATTTATTTTTAATTTCTAAAAATAGAGATAGGAGTCTCACTGTGCTGCCCAGGCTGGGCTCTAATTCCTGGGATCCAGTGATCCTCCTACCTCAGCCTCCTGAGCAGCTGTGACTGCAGTACCTGCCACTGTGCCCAACTCTGGCTATAATCTTTTAAGTAGAAAATAACAAGTGTTGGCAAGGATGTGAAAATATTAGAAGCCTTGTGCATTTGTCAACACAGTCAGAAGTGGAATATGTTGCAGAATGCTTTGTCCAAAATCTTAAATCTATATAGTTAGATTCCTTCAGTATACCTGGCTACTCTCACTATGTAACTAACCTGCACAATGTGCACATGTACCCTAAAACTTAAAGTATAATAATAACAAAAAAAATAAAAAAAAATTTAAAAAAAAGGTTAAAAGGATTCAAGCCATTCCACAGTTCTGCTTGTTCTCTCTTCTTGTTTTATCTCTTTGTCTTCACTGGCTTGCAAATTTCTTCTTCAATTTACTAACTTCTTATTCTCCTTAGTGACTTTTTGTGTATTATATTTTTCTCTTATGACCAGTATTTACCAGTCAAAAGCCACTAAAATTCTCATTCCAGTATGATAAATTCCTTTCTTCATTTTATTAGATCTTAGTTTAAATTATTTTTCTCTTCACTGGGTTTAAAGATTTATCTGGTTAACTTTGGTGTACCAGATTTTCAGTTTTTAAAGTATATAGTGCACAAGGGAAAGAATTGTCAAGGTTAGTTAAGTTCTTCAGCCCTTTCAAAAATCATTGTATTGGTTGAGCGTCAAATGTTCCTAAGTTTATTGATTGTCATGTTCTCTTCAGTAACTATGTCTTCTACAAACTTTACATTATACTACCTGGCATGTCTTAGGATACATCCAATGAGAATTTACTTAATGAAATTCCAAAAGGCATAATGATGTGATTTTCACTTATCAAATGGGCAAATTTCGTAACACAAAACCACATCCTACAGAGAACACTAGACAGTAGTTATAGCAGCTGGGTTCCAATACTGGATCTTCACTAAATGATCTTGTGATCTTTGGCAAGTTCCTTAACTTCCATAGACCCAGGTCTCCTTGTTTTCAAAACGAAGGCTTTAGATATGAAGAATCCTAGAATTTAAGGAACCTAAGGGTAATGTTATAAGGAAGTCCCATATATTAGATGATATGGAATCCAATTATGTGGAATTATATGGGATCATATATATGAGTAAGGTATAGCAATAGGGACAGATAGATAGCATAAAATGTGAAGGATTAAGCCCAGCAAATGAGAACCAGGACAGCAATGAGGAGGCAGAATCTGCTGCCAGATAAAAATGTCTGCAAACAAGAACAATTATTCTCTCCAAGGGCAGGCTTATACAAAACGACTCTCAATAAACACATATTGGTAGCCATTTGGTCTGAGGAGATGATTGCTGAGCTGATGGCAGTATGGAAGAAAAAAAGCAGATTTATGCTCTTTAAAAAGGAAGAAGATTCTAAATTTCAAGCATTGCCAATAACCGATTGGCAAATCTTCAAACAGCTCTTTTGTTTGTTTGCTTGTTTTGGTCTACTCCTATTGCTTCTTTGTCCAAGATTTAAAATTGGGATTTAAATAGCTTAAAATCATAGGATTAGAAGTTTTTAGAAAGGTTTCTGCTGGTGTCCTCAAAATGGAAGATTTCTATATGGAAGAGGAAGGTTGAAACTTTTAGTCTGTCTTCCCCCTCCCCACCTTTTTTTTAGAGACAAGGTCTCACTCTGTTGCCAAGGCTGGAACGCAGTGGCATAATCATGGCTCACTCCAGCCTCTATCTTCCAGGCTCAAATGATCCTCCCATCTCAGCCTCCCAAGTAGCTAAGACTATATAGGCTGTGCCACCATGCCTGGCTAATTATTTTTAAGACAGGGTCTCACTATGTTGCCCAGGCTAGTCTTGAAGTCCTGGGCTCAAGAGATCCTCCTGCCTCAGTCTCCCAAAGTTCTGGGATTACAGGTGTGAGCCACTGTACCCAGCCTCATTTCCCCTTTTATTCCTGTCTAATACAGCCTAATCTTTTGGGCAGAAACATCACAAATAAAAAGCTATAGAACATGTGGCCTGTCTGCATTGTTGAATTTAATGGAATAAGCCATTTTTTCCCCATTACTTTTCATAGGATAGCTATTAACATTCTTGGCTATGCCTTTTAATTTTCTATTTAAATGACGAAATTTGCTTTAATATGTTCATTTATATTCCAGTAGGACATTTAACTCTTTTATAATTAAAACATTTTGGAAACATTTATTTTGGTGACATCAGCAAGATGGCCAACTAGAAGCTCTTAGGGCCTGTTTCCCTCACAAAGACAAGCCAGAACAACAAATAAACAATTACATTAAGAAAAATAACTGAGGGAGAGTGCCATCTTGCATCAGAGGAGTAGCAGAAATCCTGGTGAGCCCAGAAACTCAAGATGGCCACATAGAGAACAGAAGGCGATGCCAGGTCTCCACTACCCCATCCCCCAACCAGGATCAGGTGGGAACTGGGAAGAACTTCTACCTATGAAGTGGAAGTAAGCAAGAGGATCCCAGCAACCCCCATTGACACCTTGGACACCTACACAGCTCACTACTGGGGTCCCCTGCAGTCCTCACAGGCATTAAGCCCAGCTGAGGGAGCTGCCTCTAGACCACATACCTGTGCTCTCCCCAGAAAAGACGCTGACATAGTGCCCTGACCCTTGTGGCCCGTGTGGCTACTGCACTACACCAGCTTGGGATTGGAACTACGGCTGGAGTGTGTCTTGCTCAGGGGTGAGTAGTCACGACACCCCTTCATCCCTGGGGCTAAGCCACCACCAAATCACCTCAGGCCAGTGGCCCAGCATCCTCAAGTGGAGCTGCAAGCACTCTTCCACATGAGGCCAAGTGGAGGTGGAGTCACTCCATCTACCGCTCCCTTCATTCCCTTGGGCCAAAGCTGAGGCAGTACTCTGCCTCCTAGAAAAACAATTCCTTGGCCACTCAAAGCAGTCATTCCTCCTCAGTGCCTAAGTTGAAGAAACTCCCTGCATCCCAAGAAATGGTGCCTTGGCCACTCAGAACAGTCACACCCCCAGCCCTGAGCTGAAGCAGCACATTGCCCTCTGGGAATTGGTACCCTGGCCAAACTGAGCTGCTACACATCCCAGTGCTGAGTTGACGTAGTAACCTGTGTCCCAAGGAAACAGAGCATTGGCTGAGCTAAGGAACTCTGCCCTACAGTCCAAACAACTCTAGTACCTGGCTTCTCTGGAGCTTTACTGGACTCTTAGAGTCTGAGTGGCTGAAATACCCATCTCCCTGGGAAGTGGAGTCACTGCTATTCTTTTCCTTGTACTCCCTAAGGCCCAAACAACAGCTGTGCTCTGCCTTTCTGGGTTACTTGCTGCCACCGTACCTGGTCTTATAGTGTCTTGGATAATGCTGAGCCCCACCATTCCATGGTCTTGTGTCACTACTACACAGTGCCTCATGCCCTGAGACCTGAGTTGCCTTTGAGTTTTATTTGCTTAGGTTCCCATATTGCAACCATATCGTCCTCCTGGGCCCAAACTTCCAGAGCAAGTTTTCTCTCTGGAGTCAGGCCAGTGCTGTGCCCTGCCCCCCAGGGGTAGAATCACAGCTACAGCCCAGCCTCCTGGGCTCAAGCTGCTAGGGGGTGCCTCAGAGTCACAGATCCTGTCTCTATGGGCAACCTACACCCAACCCTGCCACAGAAAGCAAACCTGCACCCCAAGAATCAGGAGCCACAGTAAGTTTGGGAGATCCTGTGCTTAGGACCCTAACCCGACACCTGCCCTGAGCACCTGCAACTGGAACCCAGTGCCACTGCAGCTGCTTATAGGCCATGTCAGACCTGACACCAAGAGGGATCCCCCTCAGCTAAGTTTCCCCATTGTGGGGAAAACAAGAGTAAGAGGACTCCAAAAGCCCTCAACATCAAGGACATTAATAACATATGCCGCTGCTGCTGCTGCCACAAACTTTCTACTGCCTAGGCCACTGAGGTGCTGACAGGTATTGCTGATGTTGAACACAGCTGAAGAAACTGCACAGAGACTATACCATTTCACCTATCTGGAAACAATGTCGCCATGTCCATCCCAACTAGCACACAAAATTTCAACTACAGGTGAAAATCTTCCTCTATAAAAGCCACTCTAGAAAGATTGGAAGAGACAATTGTTCCACCAAATAAACAGACATCAATGCAGGGACACAAGAAACATGATAAAGCAAGGAAATATGGCACTACCAAAGGAATATAACTCTCTAGTAACAGACACTGAAGAAAAGGAAATTAATTAATTGCCAGGAAAGGAATTTAAAATAATGATCTTAAGGAAACTCAACAAGACAAGAAAATTCAGATTGACAGTTCAACAAAATCAGGAAAACAAGTCCTCATATGAATGAGAAATTCAACAAAGGGATAGAAATCATAAAAAAGAAGCAGACAGAAACCCTGCAGCTGAAGAATTCAATGAATGAAATAAAAATACAATAGAGAGCTTCACCAGCAGACTTATTAATCAAGCAGAAAAACTAATCTCTGAACTTGAAGATAGGCCATTTAAAATTACCCAGTCAGAGAAAGAAAAAAGAAATAAGAATGAAAAAGAGTGAAGAAAGCCTACAATTATCACTATTAAGTGAACAAATATTTGTATTATGGGACTTCCAGAAGGAGAAGAGAAGGGAAAAGATGTTGAAAACCTATTTAACAAAATAATAGCTGGAAATTTCCCAAGTCTGGGGAGATATATGGACGTCCAGATCCAGGAAGCTCAAAATTTCCCAAATAGATACAGCCTAAAATTCCTCTCCAAGGCAAATTAAAGTCAAACTGTCAAAAGTCAAAGACAAAGAGAGAACTCTAAAAACAGCTAGAGAAAAGTATCATATAAGGGAAAGCCAGAGAAAAGTCACATAGAAGGGAATCACCATTAGACTAACAGTGGAGTCCCCATTAGAATAGCAACAGATTTTGTTGCAGAAATCTTAAAGGCCAGAACAGAATGGGGTGATATATTCAAAGTGCTGAAAGAAAAAAAAATTACCAACCAAGAATAGTATACCCAGAAAAACTATCCTTCAGAAATGAGAGAACAATAAAGTCTTTCACAGATAAGCAAAAACTTGAGGGAAATTATCACCACTAAACCGGCCTTACAAGAAATGCTCAAGGGAGCCCTATATCTGGAAGTGAAAATATGATAATCCCTATCATGAAAACATGCAAAAATATGAAACTCACTGGTAGAGCAGATACACAAAGGAGAAAGAAAAGAATCAAATCTTATCACCAAAGAAAACCAACACACTGCAATAATAATAAGAGGGGAAGAAAGGAACAAAGGATATAGAAAGCAACCAGAAAACAATTAACAAAATGACAGGAGTAAGTACTCACCTATCAATAATAGCTTTGAATATAAATGGATTAAATCCCCCATTTAAAAGATATAGATTAGCTCAATAAATTAAAAACATGACCTAACTGGCCAGGCGCGGTGGCTCATGCCTGTAATCCCAGCATTTCGGGAGCTGAGGCAGGCGGATCACAAAGTCAAGAGATTGAAACCATCCTGGCCAAAATGGTGAAACCCCATCTCTACTAAAAATACAAAAATTAGCTGGGTGTGGTGGCATGCGCCTGTAGTCCCAGCTACTCAGGAGGCTGACGTGGGAGAATTGCTTGAACCCTGGAGGTGGAGGTTGCAGTCAGCCGAGATTGCACCATTGCACTCCAGCCTGGGCGACAGAGCCAGATTCTGTCTCAAAAAAGAAAGAAAGAAAGAAAAAAACATGACCTAACTATATGCTGCCTAGAAGAAACTCGGTTCACCAGTAAAGACATATATAGACTGAAAGTGAAGGGATGGAAAAAGATATTTCACGTGAATGGAAATTGAAAGCAAGCAGGAGTAGCTATACTTAGACAAAACAGACTTTAAGTCAAAACTGTAAAAAGAGAAAAAGGTCATTATATAATGATAAAGAGATCAATTCAGCAAGTGAACAATTCTAAACATATATGCACCCAACGTCAGAGCACTCTGATATTATAAAGCAAATATTGTTAGATCTAAAGGGAGAGATAGACTCTAATACAATAGTAGTTGGGGACTTCAACACCTTACTCTCAGCATGGGACAGATCATTTAGACAGAAAATCAATAAAGAAACATTGGATTTAAACTAAACATTAGACCAAATGGACCTAACAGATATTTATAGAACATTTTATCCAACAGCTAGCTGCAGAATACACCTCTTTTTTTTCAGCCCATGGAACATTCTCCAGGATAGACCACATGCTAAGTCACAAAACAAATCTTATCAAATTTAAAGGAATTGAAATCATATCAAATATCTTTTCTGACCTCAATGAAATAAAAATAGAAATCAGTAACAAGAGGAACTTTAGAAGTTAAACAACATGCTCCCGAATGAGCAGTGGGTCAATGAAGAAATTAAGAAGGGAATTTAAAATTTTTTTTGAATTTTTACTTTTTACTTTTTAATTTATTTATTTTTTAAATTTTCTTCTACTGAGGTCCTATGCCATCATAAAATTTCTTGGAACAAATGAAAATAGAAACAGAACATACTAAAACCTATGGAATACAGAAAAAGCAGTATTGAAAGAGAAGTTTATAGAAATAAATGCTCACATCAAAATTGTAGAAAGCTTTCAAATAAACGATCTAACAATGCATCTCAAGGAATTTGGAAATCAAGAATAAACCAGACCCAAAACTGGTAGAAAAAAAGAAATAATAAAGATCAAAGCACAAATAAATACAATTGAGACCAAAAAATAACCAAAAAATCAACAAAACAAAAAGTTGGTTTTGTAAAAGATAAACCATATTGCCAAACCATTAGCTAGACTAACCAAGAAAAAAAAAGACCCAAATGAATAAAATTAGAAATGAAAAAGGAGACATTACAACTGATACCACAGCAATACACAGAATCATTAGTGACTATTACAAACTATATGCCAACATAATAGAAAACCTAGCAGAAATGGATAAATTCCTGGACACATACAGCCTACCAAGATTGAAGCAAAAAGAAATAGAAAACCTGAACAGACCAATCACAATTAACACGATTTAATCTGTAATAAAATGTCTCTCATCAAAGAAAAGCCCAGGATCTGATGGCTCCACTGTGGCTTTCTACCAAATATTTAAAGATTATCTGATATCAGTTCTTCTCAAACTCTTTTAGAAAATTGAAGAGGAGGGAATTCTTCCAAACTCATTCTATGAGGCCAGCATTATGCTAATACTAACACCAGACAAGAACACAACAACAACAGAAACAGAAATTATAAGCCGGTATCCCTAATGAACACAAATGTAAGAATTCTCAACAAAATTCTAGCAAACTGAATCCAGCAACACATTAAAAAGATCATTCACACAGAGAATAAAAGAAAGGCTGGGTGTGGCGGCCTTTACCTCTAATCCCAGCACTTTGGGGGGCCAGGGCAGGAGGCTCACTTGAGCCCAATAGTTTGAGACTAGTCTGGGCAACATAACAAGACCCTGTCTCTATTTAAAAAATAATAATAATAATAAGGAAATAAAAGATCATTCACCCTGATCAACTGAGATTTATCCCAATAATGCAAAGATGATTTAACATAAAATAACCATGATACATCCCATCAACAGAATAGACAAAAAATTACATGACTATCTCAATAGATGCAGGAAAAGCATTTGATAAATATTCAATATTCCTTCATGATAAAAACTCTCAACAAGTTAGGTTTAGAAGGAAAATACCTCAACACAAGAAAGGCCATACATAACAAAGGCAACATCATACTAAATGGGCAAAAGTTGAAATCTTTTTTTCTAAGATCTGGAATGAGACAAAGATAACCACTTTCACCACTTTTACTCAACATCTGTCTATTCTAGATGTCTTAGCCAGAGCAGTTAGGAAAGAGACAGAAATAAAGGGCATCCAAATTGGAAAAGAGAAAGTCAAATTGTCCCTGTTTGCAGATGACATGATCTTATATATTAAAAAACCCTAAAAGCTCCACCAAAAAATTATTAAAACGGATAAACGAATTCAGTAAAGTTGCAGGATACAAAATCAACATATAAAAATCAGTAGGCCGGGCGCGGTGGCTCACGCCTGTAATCCCAGGACTTTGGGAGGCGGAGGCGGGTGGATCACCAGTTCAGGAGATCAAGACCATCCTGGCTAACACGGTGAAACCCCGTCTCTACTAAAAATACAAAAATTAGCAGGGCGTGGTGGCACGCTTGTAGCCCCAGCTACTCGGGAGGCTGAGGCAGGAGAATGGTGTGAACCCAGGAGGCGGAGCTTGCAGTGAGCTGAGATGGCGCCACTGCACTCCGGCCTGGGCAACAGAGTGAGACTCCATCTCAAAAAAAGAAAAAAAAAAAATCAGTAGCATTTCTATACACTAGCAATTAACTAGAGGAAAAAGAAATTTAAAAAGTAACCCCATTTACAGTAGCTACAAAAATAAAAAATAAAATACATAGGAATAAATATAACCAGGGAGGTGAAAGACGTCTACAAGGAAAACTATAAAACGTTGATGAAAGAAAATGAAGAGGACACCAAAAAATGGAAAGACATCTCATGTTCATGGATTGGAAGAATTAATATTGTGAAAATGACCATACTACCGCTGTCACCAGCTGCTGACATGGGCAGGTCCCTTGTGGGGCTGCCTGTGCGGGTCGCTAGGGCGGTGGACATCACGCTGCTATTCCGGGCCAGCGTCAAGACCGTGAAGACGCAGAACAAGGCACTGGGAGTGGCAGTGGGTGGCAGAGTCGATGGCAGCCGGGATGAGCTGTTCCGCAGGAGTCCCTGGCCCAAGGGCAACTTCTCCAGCCGGGCCCGCGAAATGATTTCTCACAGTGGCAAACTGAGAGATTTTCTTCTGGAACACAGGAAAGATTATATTAATGCTTATAGCCATACCATGTCTGAATATGGGAGGATGACAGACACAGAACGAGACCAAATAGACCAGGATGTCCAGATATTCATGAGGACCTGTTCAGAAGCAATTCAACAACTACGAACAGAAGCTCACAAGGAGATACATTCCCAGCAAGTGAAGGAGCACAGGACTGCTGTTCTGGATTTCATTGAAGATTACTTAAAAAAAGTGTGTAAACTTTACTCAGAACAAAGAGCCATCCGAGTTAAAAGAGTGGTGGATAAGAAAAGAATATCTAAGCTGGAACCAGAACCAAATGCAAAGACAAGAGAATCCACATCTTCTGAGAAAGTTTCACAGTGTCCTTCAAAAGACTGAAGAAAACCCTGCCACTGAAGAACATCCAGAAAAGATTTTGACTGAAAGACAACCTGAATTGGGAACATGGGGAGATGGCAAAGGTGAAGATGAGTTATCCCCAGAAGAAATACAAATGTTTGAACAGGAAAATCAGCGACTAATTGGTGAAATGAACAGCTTGTTTGATGAAGTGAGGCAGATCAAAGGGAGAGTGGTTGAGATTTCCAGACTTCAAGAGATATTCACGGAAAAGGTTTTGCAACAGGAAGCTGAGATTGATGGCGTTCACCAGTTAGTTGTGGGGGCAACTGAAAATATCAAGGAAGGCAACGAAGACATAAGAGAGGCCATTAAAAACAACGCTGGCTTCCGCGTATGGATCCTCTTCTTCCTCGTGATGTGCTCCTTCTCCTTGCTCTTCCTCGACTGGTACCACAGCTAGCCTGGGCCACGGGGGCCCAGCACGAGAGTCTGCATGGGCGCTCACAGGCTGTGTACTCTCATGTACCCGCCGTAGTCTCATGTACCCCCGGTGCTGGAGCATGGTATGACCACATTTTATCACAGAGCCATTTTAAGAGAAAGGGGTTCAGACAGACGGACATATTCCCCAAAAAGGGATACCCAGGCCGATAGTGTTCAGCCCATTTCGCAGCTGAAAAAGAAAACACTGCACACCAATGGGAAGTGGCCTATGTAGCTATCATAAGGCTAGACAAACTGAATGCTGGAGCTGGTGATTAGCTGCTCCTGAACTTGAGGCCGCCTTGGCAGGGGGGGCTGCTCCAGTAGCAGGGGCACAGCAGGCCTCCAGAGCCCCCAGTTGTCTCAGGGTTCAAAGGAAGTCACTGACCTTTCCCATCCCAGTAGCTTCAGGGAAGAACATAGTTTAATAACGTCTCTCAACAAATGATTACTTCTTTGTTTCCTTGTGGCTTCTTGTCTGTCTGAGTCAACCAATAAACAGACTCACTGGATTATAGAAAAGAAAATTCACATTTGCCTTATTAATCTAATAAATACAATTACAGCCCCTTAAAAAAAAAGAAGAAAAAGAAAATGAAAAATGACCATACTACCAAAAGCAATCTACAGTTTCCATACAATCCTGATCAAATACCAATAGCATTTTTCATAGAAATAAAAAAAAATTCTAAAATTCATATGGTATCACAAAATGCCATGGATAGCCAAAATAATCCTGAACAAAAAGAACAAAGAGGCATCACACTATCAGACTTTAAAATATACTACAAATGTCTAGTTACCAAAACAGCATGGTACTGGCATAAAAACACATAGACCAATGGAACAGAATAGAGAACCCAGAAAGAAATCCATATATTTACAGCCAACTGATTTTCAACAAAGGTACCAAGAACATTCATTGGGGAAGGGAGAGTTACTTCAACAAATAATGCTGGGGAAATTGGATGTTCATATGAAGGAAAATAAAACTAGACCCCTATCTCTCGGGCCAGGCACTGTGGCTTACACCTGTAATCCCAGCACTTTGGGAGGCTGAGGCAGGTGGATTACCTGAGATCAGGAGTTCCAGACCAGCCTGGCCAACATGGCAATACCCTGTCTCTACTAAAAATACAAAAATTAGCCAGGCATGGTGGCACGTGCCTGTAGTCCTAGCTACTCGGGAGGCTGAGGCAGGAAAATTGCTTAAACCCAGGAGGCAGAGGTTGCAATGAGCCGAGATTGCGCCACTGCACTCCAGCCTGGGTGACAGAGCGAGATTCCATCTCAAAAAAAAAAAAAAAAAAAAAAAAAAAAATTCAATTTAAAATGGATCAAAGACTTAAATGTAAGACCCCTAGACTATGAAACTACTGAAGAAAACATGAGGGAAACACTTCAGGACATTGGTTTAGGCAAATATTTTATGGGGAAGACCTCAAAAGCACAGGCAACAAAAGCAAAATTAGACAAGCGGGATTCTATCAAACTTTTAAAAAGCTTCTGCAGTGCAAAGGAAACAATCAATGGGGTGAAGAGACAACTTGCAGAAGGGGAGAAAATATTTTCAAACTATTCATCTGACAAGGGATTAATATTCAAAATATATAAGGAACTCAAACAAAGCAATAGCCAAAAAAAGAAAAAGAAAAATCAAATAATTCAAATTTAAAATGGGTAAATGAGCTGAATAGACATCTCTCAAAAGAAAATAAAAATGGCCAACAGGTATTTGAAAAAATGCTTAACATCACTAATCAGGGAAATACAAATCAAAACCACAATGAAGTATTATCTCACCCTGGCTAGAATGGCTATTACTAAAAAGACAAAAAATAACAAATGCTGGCGAGGATGCAGACAAAGGGAAACTCTTATACCTTGTTGGTGGGATGTAAATTAGTAGAGCCACTATTGAAAACAGTATAGAGGTCCCTCAAAACACTAAAAACAGAACTACCATATGATCTAATCTCACTCAAAGTATATATCCAAAAGAAAGGAAATAAGTATGTTAAAGAGATTTCTACATTCCCATGTTTATTGCTGCATTACTCACAATAGCTGAGATATGAGATCAGCTTAAGTGTCTATCAACAGATGAATGGATAAAGAAAATTTGGTCTATATATACAATGGAATAGTATTTAGCCACCAAAAAGAAAAAAATCTGTCATTTGCCACAACGTAGATGAGCTTGGAGGGCATTGTGTTAAATGAAATAAGCCAGGCACAAAAAAGATAAATATTACATGTTCTTACTCATATGTTGAAGCTAAAAAAGTTGAGCTTATTTAAAGAGAAAGTAGAATAGTGATTACTAGAGACAGGGAAGGTTAAGGGTAGAGGGGATATCCAAAGGTTGGTTAATGGATACAAAAGTACATCTAGATATGAGGCGTAAGTTATAGTGTTCTATAGCACTGTAGAGTGACTATAATTAACAGCAATTGGTTGTATATTTTCAAATAGCTAAAAGAGCAGATTTTGAATGTTCCCAACACAAAGAAGTGATAAATGTTTGAGGTGATGAATATGCTCATTATGCTGATTTGAGTATTACATATTGTCTACATGTGTTGAAATAACACTCTGTACCCCATAAATATGGACAAGTATGCATCAATTAAAAATAATAAAGGCAAAAAATACAGTTGGAAGTAATAAAACATTTATTTTGAAACAAAACAACAACAACAAAAAACATTTTGGTGATACTTTTTGTCACAAAGTTACAGAAACCATGAAAATTAAGAACCATAGTTATTTAAAAGTCTCATTGAAAAGTACACAAGAGTTTTTTAAAGAAACTGAAAACTGGATAAGTAGCTAGCATAAAATTCCTGATGCTATTCCTTTGCTCTGGAACTCTGGAATAAAGAATCTCTAAGAAACTCTTCCATCTTTCTTTGATTTCCATAACCTTGACACTTTTGAAGATTATAAGTTGGTTGCAGTATGTCCTTCATTTAGATTTATCTACTGTTTCCCCATGGTTAAATTCAGGTTATTCATCTTTGTCAGAAATATATCACAGAAGCAATGCTGTGTTCTTCTTATTGTATCTTATCAAAAGTCCTATAGTAATAACGTTGACCAGTTGATTAAGATTATATCTGTCAGGCCCCTCCACTTTAAAGCTACATTTTTCCTCTTTGTAATTAATAAGTATTTAATGGGTGTCCATTGAAACCATATAAACCATTCTTCCTTTTTGTCAACTTTTCATTTATTCATTTATAGCAGTATGTATTCATGGTTTCCTTTTTTATTCAATGGGTTATATTCCAATATTATCACTATTTGTTTTGATACTCATATTGTCCCAGTTTTAGACAATGGGAGTTCTTTCACTCTGCACTCTGGCTCCTGTGTCCTCCCCTCCCCATGCCCAACCTTTATTTTTTTTTTTTTGAGACCAGGTCTCACTCTGTCGCCAGGCTGGAGTGCAGTGGCGCAACTGTAGCTCACTGCAGCCTCCAACTCCCGGACTCAAGCGATCATCCCATCACAGACTCCTGAGCAACTGGGACTACAGGTGTGCATCATCAGGCCTGGCTAATTTTTCTAATTTTTGGTATGGATGGGGTCTCTCTGTGTTGCCCATGCTGGTCACAAACTCCTGGCCTTAAGCAATCCTCTCACCTCAGTCTCCCGAAGTGCTGGGATTACAGGCATGAGCCACCATGCCCGACCCCAGCATTTCAGTATGAAAACTGTCAAAGATGGCAAAGCTGAAAGAATTTTACAGCAAGTACCTATATACCCACAACATAAATTCTATCATTAATATTTTACCTCACTTTTTAATCTGTCTATTCATCTCTCTGTCCCTCTCTCCTTCCATCTCTCTTATTTTTGATGCATGTGGTCCATTTTAAGTAAATTATAGAAATCAATACATTTCTCCCTAAATACCTCAGCATGCATATCATTCATTAGAGTTCGATATTTGTTAACAGCTTTTTTCTTTCTTTTTGCCCGTAGGGAAAGAAGGAAGTTTTTTCCTCTTGAGACCAAATTTCCATAAAATGAGATGCAAAAATTTTAAGTGTATATTTGCTGAGTTTTGACAAATACATGCCCTATGCATCCCATACTCCTATCAAGATACAGAACAAAGAGCACTGTGACACTCACCTGTAATCCCAGCTACTCAAGAGGCAGAGGCAGGAAGATTGCTTGAGCCCAGGAGTTCAAGATCAGCCTGGGTAACATTGCAAAAACCATCTCTTAAAAAAAATAAATAAAAGATATAGAACAAAAAAAGTCCCCACACCTCTTTCCCATTCAGTCGTCCACCCTCCAATCCCCAAAGCAACCACTTTTCTATTTTCTACCATAAATTAGTTTTATCTCTTCTGGAATTTCATAAAAATGAAATTATACAGTATGCATCTTTTTTTACAGAGTTTAAACTCTATGTACTCTTTTTGTAAGGCTTCTTTCACTCAGCATAATTTTTACTTTTTTAAAAATTTTTTGGGGGAGACAGAGTCTCACTCTGTTGCCCAAGCTGGAGTGTAGTGGCATGTGATCATAACTCACTGCAGCCTTGAACTCTTGGGCTCAAGCAATCCTCCCGCCTCAGCATCCCGAGTAGCTGGGAGACTACAGGTGCACACCACCATGCCTGGCTAGTTTATAAACTTTTTGTAGAGACAAGGTCTCACCATGTTGCCCAGGCTGGCCACTAACTCCTGGCCTCAAGTGATCCTCCCTCCTTAGCCTCCCAAAGCTCTGAATTATATTCATAAGCCACTGGGCCTGGTTGACTCAGCATAATTTTTCTTGAGAGTCTTAATATGTTGCTACATGTATCAGCAATTTGCTTCTTTTTATTGCTGAGTAGTATTCCATTGTATGAATACACCATGGTTTGTTTATCCGTTTTCCTATGTATGGACACCTGGGCTGTTTCCAGTTCTTAGCTATTATAAATAAAGCTACTCTGCACAATCTTAAGTAAATCTTCTGGTGAATATGTTTTCATTTCTTATTAATAAATACTTAGGAGTGGAATTTCTAGGCCACAGGGTCTATATATGTTTAGCTTTATAAAAAACTGCCAATTTTCTGCATCCTTTTAACATGCATCCCTCATTCTTTGAGCACGTCCTTGCTTTCTGGCACAAAGAGATCTTCCAGGTTGATCTTATATTTTCCCTGCTTTCACCCTGGAATTATTCATCTCCCCAAGCCAGCATCTGGGTTCTACATGTGCTCATTACTCATGAGTCTCCTCTCTCAGATTTCTCAGTGGACAGATGTAGAAACTGTGTGTGTGTGTGCGTGCATGCCTGTGTATGTAAATGTATGTACACATTTATATCTGTACATACCTTTCTGTCTACTAATATTAAAAACCATGAGTTCACACTGGTAATTCCAAGTCTAATCCAACACAACAGGGTTCATTCTAGTTTCTTCTCATTCCCTTTTGTAGTTCCCTTTTCTCTGGTTTGTGTTAACCTAAATATATTTATTTATTTGATCAATCCCCCAATGAATCCATTAGTTCTATATGGAACTAATCTCCCATCACTGTCGCTGTCCTCTCTTCCACACTGATTTCCTTCTTACTACATTTAAGTTTTAACATCTTGCACTAATCGGCCCTTCCCACATGGCTATCCTCCTTACTCTGCTTAGGTTCTGACACCCCTCAACAGATCACCCCCTCCAAGTGGATGCCCTTTACATAGTCCTTAGGCTCTGACACTCCATGCCAAGGCACATTTTCATGTGGATTCCCTTGTCAATTCACTCAGGCTCTGACTCCTTATGCTGAGCTGACCCCCAGCCTATGTGGATGGCCCTTCCATGTAGACACCCTCCTCACCCTGTTTAGGTTCTGACTTCCCAGGCCAGGCCATCCCTCGATTTGGATGCCCTCCTCACCCTGCTCAAGATTAAACACCCCATGTTGGGCATCCATCTCATACGGATACCCTGTTTGTACTGCTTGGAATCTGACACCCAAGTTAAACCACCTCTCTGTAAGGCCAGCGTCTTTACCCACATGGACTGAAGGTTGCCCTTCCACATGGATACCCTCCTCGCTCTGCTCAGGCTCTGACAACCCATGCCCAGCTAACCCTGCACAGATTTGGGCCCTGATACCCTGCTAGGTGCCACATTGGCTTCACCTGTCCAGAAACAGATGCTTACCTTGCTCTGCCCCACCTAATGGCTTTAGGATCAAATTGTTCAAGGAGGCAAAAGAATGAAAGGGGAAAAAGAAGAAGAAATGGAAGATGAAGAATCCACAAGGCACTTTTAATCTAATTGAGGATTGTACTAGTTAAGATCCTTTTGGCTCAAGTAAGAGAGAACACAACCCAAAGTGGTTACACATAAGAGGAACTTATTGGTTCATACAATGAAAAAGTCCGGTACTAGTTTAGGACACAACTAGATTTGGGAGTCCAAATAATGACATTAGGACAGCTGTCTGGTTCTTTCTCTTTGTCTTGCTCTCTTCTGTTTTAGCTGCACTATCATAGAACCTCTACCTTTGTGGTAACCAGGTCCAGTTTCACATGCTCACAGTTTCATTCAAGTCCAATGGAAATAAAAAAGAAAGTGTCTTCTTCCTAATCATTCAATCAAAAAGTCTGGCATTAGTCTGTACTAAACCAACCACTCTGGCTAAAGGAATAGAATGTCATGACTGGCTTAAGCCTAAGGCACATGCTCCACCTCTAGAACTATGAGTGGAACCCCATTCAAACACATGATCAGAGATGGGAATGAAGTTGTTTCCCCAAAGCAAAATTAGAGATAAAATTACTAAGAGAAAGGTGAGTGGGTGCTAAGGAGCAAAAAATCAATAAATGTTCAACTACAGAAATGAGAAACTCACACATGATGTGATGTCTGCGAGTGCCAGGTAGTATTTGTTAATTGTCAAATAAATGGTGTAGAATAGATGCTATCGTCTTTCAAGAGAAGGAGAAATCACAACGGAAGTCTTCTTGAGGGAGGAGGAACTTTGAACTATACTTTAAAGGGGAAGGGTACATACCCTGTGACTTACTAATTTATAACTGTCAAAGAATCTTGCACATATGCACCAGGAGACATTTACAAAATGCTCATAACACTGTTCATATGAGTAAAATATTGAGAATAACCGAAACACCCACTGACTGTAGAATAAATCAGTAATGATATACTCACATAGTAACACACATTGGTGAAAATGAATGAATCATAGCTACAGTAACAACATAGAAAGATATGTTGAAAAGATAAACAACATGGAAGATATGTAGCATAGTGTTGAATAAAAAAGCATGTCCAGAAAACTACACATAGTTTGCTAACCTTTTTCTAAAGTTTATAAACATGCAAAACTGGCTGGGCACAGTGGCTACACCTGTAATCCCAGCACTTTGGGACGCTGAGGTGGGCAGATCATCTGAGGTCAGGAGTTAGAGACCAGCCTGGCCAGTATAGTGAAACCCCACCTCTACTGAAAATATAAAAATTAGCCAGGCATAGTGGTGCACATCTGTAATCCCAGCTACTTGGGAGGCTGAGGCAGGAGAATCATTTGAATCTGGGAGATGGAGGTTGCAGTAAGCCAAGATTGTGCCACTACACTCCAGCTTGGGCTACAGAGCTAGACTCAGTCTCAAAAAGATAAATAAATAAATAAAAAATGCAAAACGAAACCACGTGTTGTTTAGAAGTGTGTGTGCATATGCGTGTGTGCATGTGTGTGTGTGTATGTGTAGAACACATATATTGCTATGTAACTATAATAACATTGGGAAAATTACAAGAAAGGTAAAGATAAAGCCAAATTCAGGATATCAGTGGGAAGTGTGGGGAGGCAGGGAATGGAATAGGGCAGATCATAGAAGAATATATGTTACTGGTAATGTTCAGGTTTGGTAGTAGGTTCATGATTATACAATTACAAAAATAGAGAAGACATGTGAATACAGAAGTGTGCAAGACATGGACAGGGACCATGAGTAGAATGGAGATACTGCAGTAGATAATTCCTATATGGCCTTACGGGCAGATGTGATTAGAAATAGACTGGATCCAAATATGGTAGGACTTTGAACCAGGGAATTGCATAATGCAAGTTGTGTTTTAATTTAATTTTACAAACACGTATTGAGCATTTACTATTGTTAAGTCAATTACAAAGTGATAAACGCTGGCTCTGGGGTTATGAAAGTATGAAAGGAGAGGAGTGGCCACACTGCCAAAGAGTAACAGGATAGAATTAAGTGGTTTATTGGATATGGAAGGCAAAAGGTAGGGAAGGAGTCAAAGCAAACCTTGAGGTTTCACCAGGCTAGGTGGTAAAATTAAAACAAAACAAAAACAGAAGCTGACACAGGAGTCATATTGAGTTCAACATAGAAATTCATTGTAACATATTCCACTGGGCTCAGAGATGCCTTTGGTATACTTGGTTTTCCAGGAGAGCAGTTGCCCAGGGCTTCAGTTCATCGTAAGAGGAGAATGAAAATCCCCCCCACCAATGAGTGAACTTTTGGTTAGTTCTTGGTTTCGTGTTTGTGTCTTTTAGCTAAACTACACATCCAATTTCCAAAGCCACACCCTGGTCACGAAGTGAGATTGTCTTCAAAACAATTTCAGAATTACATAGAATTGGTTGTGTCTGAACTCAGGGGCAATGAAGACCAAGTTCTGGAAAGTGTTGTGGAATTTCTGATGAATGCTTTAGAGAGGAGCCACATTGAGAGTCTGAGGAATTCTGCCAGGCGGAAATGGCTGCACCAAATCCAATGTGCTGCAGAGACAAGTGGGGTGTCCCTAGAGCCGGTGTATAGTGAGACCTTTAAGGCCCTCATGCAGGTACGTTTCCTAAAGCAGTATGTAAGAGGAAACATTTCCTCAAAGTAGGCGATGTTCAATGTTTGCAAAAGAGGAGCATCTTGAATTCTCTTGAAAAATCACTGGGTGCTGCTGTAGATATTTTATTCATTCCAGTCCATTACAAATGGCCCAAAGCCTAGGAGAGATACAACTGGAGTGACTGCTGGTTGACAAGATAGAAGCAGAGGAGAAAGGTAGAAAAGACAGATGTAGAAAAGATGTCTTGGGATTTCTAATTTCATTTCTGCTAAGAGTCAAATAAGCCTAGAATGGACAATAGACAGATTATGAACAATATCAGTAAGGAGATGTACAAGCAGTTCAAGCTACATTTCCCTTGCATGGTATTTTGGGAGTCAGTTTTAAAAGGAACTATTTAAATCATAAACTCATTATCGAGTCTGACACCACACAATATTTCACAGCATTGCCTAGAAGCAAGCTGAGACTACTGCAGAATCCTGTCACTTAGAACGCATGGCCCTGAGGGGCTACTGCCTACAGCCTTGCCACCTCCTCAGAGACTCCCAGGTTGCTGCTATTCACAGGCAGAAACAGCACAGCCGCCTTCTACATGTATCATAGATTCCACTAATCCAGGGAACCTATGCCAGTCATCTCAGCTAAATAGCGATACTTGCTCAATTGAATCATCTCCTGAATGGCCGAATTTTCCAGTGTAGTTGGAAATGGGGCACCGGGACCAAAAGACCACTCAAGAAGAAGAGGCATTGTTCTAACTTGCTTCAGAGGTCTGTGGTATCCTAAGAGAAATCTCGCTACATATTTGTTAATGACTCCATAGATCTTGTATGTGGAAAGAAGGAATAAAGGCAAAAGAAAAGGGCATGGAAAGCAAACCCAAATATATAGAAAGAGGAGAAAAATATCAAGGAAAGTGTCTCACATGTCCCCAATTTATGGATATGTTTAATGTATATATTGACACATAATATTGTTAATAACATAATAATAATATTTAAGGTACAGAGAATTTATAGTTGCAGAAATAGTAGTTGCAGAAAGTCTGCAATCTTGGGCCACAAAAAAATCCTTCCTGAAATTACATAGATCAAATATACAAAGTGTGTTAAGAGTTCCTCGAGAGCATTTTTTTTCACTTTCACATCACAGTCGACGGTCAAGAAATATGAGTGAAGTGAAGGCAACTTCTTGGCCCAGCTCTCTCTCTCTCAAATCAACACTTTCAATAGAAACACAGACAGTTGACCATAGGTCAAAGGAATCCAAGTTTTAAACCTCTAAATTTGAGTAGACTTGAGAGTTTTTTGGTTTTGTTTTTCTTTTCTGGTAAACCAGTCCAGTTGGCATAGAAGAAACCCGTTATACCCACTGAAACTCAGACTTACAGGATAGCTATGCTGTCAACCTTTTCCCCACTGCCCATGAATAGTAATATATGCATTCTTTATTCAGGAAAATGAAACTACTGGGGCAAGATGCATGAATTAACTAGTAAGGGGGACATGATTAGGGGAGTTCTTTGGCTGTTGGCAAACACATGGTCGGAAACGTTTTGCTGTAGGATGCTGAAGCCCATGGAAATAAAAAGATCAGTGCTCACATTTCCCTCTTAGAAGAAAACCTACTACTGCCTGAGAAAGGGAATGTTCTATTGAGGAATGTGGCTTGTACCTTAGATGATGCTCAATTTGTACTGAACAGAGTGCTCTACAGGGACATGAAAGGAATCAGGTAAGAACTTCTTGAAGAGATTGGTTTCACCCTCCTAAAAAAATAATTCCCTTTCTGAGTAAACTGGCATCAAGATCCCAGCTAGCTGCTCAAAAGAGAGGTGCCTCAAGTCACCAGTGCTTCTGGAGTAGAAGCTGATGGCTTCCAGTCCTGGATGATTTCACTTATTTCTAGAGCTCGCTCTTTGGTAATGATTCGCCACATGGGGACTCTGCGTCACAATATCATCTCAATTATTTCTGCCTGCTCCATAAGTTATGTCTCTGGAGTTCTGTTTATATTTGTTTTCTATGTCCACATCCAAGCTTGTTTTTTTTTTTTTTGTTTGTTTGTTTTGTTTTTGTTTTAGTCTTTCTCAAGTCAGACCTCCAAACTGGTCATCTTATCTGAGTCCACTGCTCGGTCATATAATGCCACAGATTGTGAATAGAGAATCGCTCTAGTTTCCTCCATGGTTTAATCTAAATCTCTCCCTGTGCCTTTCTTCCATCCTCATACTCTTTTTCCTCAGCTTTACAGTAGTGGATGAAGGGAAGCCAATCCATGTTCCCCAAGTTCAGTACCATGGGAACATCTTCTTCTGGAACCAGTCCCGTAATAAGCATGATTATAATGGTTCATTCCTGGCTCTGCCTCTTCAAGATGCATATATGAGGATCTTTGGGGTCTTGGCTGTTGATACCCTTAGAGATCCCCACGAAATAAACATCTTTCTACCTCATGAGATCAGATTCTATCAGGTAAGTCATAGAAGTCTTCAAGAGCGATGGTAGGATGGCCTCTCTTTCTAATACTTTTTAAAGAGTGAAACCTGAAATCCGATGAGAGTAAAGCTGTGTATACAGATAACATCATCATACTTGCTCCTGTTCCCTGAATGTATGTTTCAGTCTTTTGAGAAGTTCCCCATTACTTATGGAAGGACTTTCAGCCTCAGTTACATATCCATGCCTCAGCCTCATGTGTCCCATAGCATTAATCACAGGAATAGAATTTTATGCTACAGAACAGAAATCCAACCATTGACCATTAAGACCCACAAAGCGGGAATGAACTTTTAGAAGGGACGTATTTGTGTTTTACTAACAGTGGTATCTATCTAGAAATCTTTTGTACTTTCTACAAATGGTACTAATTCTGATATGCATCCCCATAGGTCTTGATTTCAGTGTTATAATTTTTGAGGATGAAAAATAAAGAAAAAGGCCTAAATGTTTCTTGGGTATTCATGTTTTTAAATTAGATCACAAAATGATAGGCACTTTTAAGATCATGAAATAGCTAGACCATTTCTACAAGCATTTTTATTTAATTTATGGATAGAACTTGCAATAAAGGAAGATCAAAAGCCTTTATGGAGACAATGAACTGTGGAGTCTAGCAGCAAGTTAGGAACTTGAACTTGCTATGCCCTTATCATTTGTTGCCCTGTAAGCCTTTGGCTCTTTATGTTTATTTACCATTATTTTTCACTTTCTCTTCCCATTTATTGGGTGGATAGTTGAGGAAAGTGGTAGTACCTCTTTCTCTGGACACATTTTCAATAATAAAATTCATTCTCATCTGACACAAGAATTATGTGAAGATATTAAAATGGAGGAGTATGGAGTTATCAGTAGGTGAAGTATATATAGTCTTGCTAGAGAGCTTTTCAAAATGAATTATACATTGGCACTCTAGCCCTTAGAGGTAAAGGCTTCTGGGTTACCCTTAGATGCCTTGAGTCCTAATATAAAAGGCATATAATTTTGAAGAGTTTGTGATTCCTAGAGTTTCCTGACAACAGGCCCACATATGGGTTCTAAAGATTTCCCATCCCTTCTCTGTGGAACAGGGTCTCCTTATGCCTGTAAGAGGACTACGTAATCTAGCACACTGTGGGTCTTGGAACCAAACATGTCCTATACTGTCGATCTGATGATAGTGGCCATGTCTGCACAGATGCAGGCATTAACATTGGCATCCGATCAAGGCAGCTCCTACCCACCTGCCTAAGATTGGCATTCGTTCTTGGCTTTTTAACATTTTTTTCTCATTTCAAAGTTTATCTTGTTCCTTTGATGCTATTCTCTAATAGCACATACCACAAATTTCACTGGATGACTATCAAAAGCATAAAAAGGTATGTGGGTCTCTCTCTTTATACCTCTTTTTTTTTTTTTTTTTTTTTTGTGAGACTTGCTCTGTTGCCCAGATTGGAGTGCAGTGTTGCGATCTCAGCTCACTGCAACCTCCACCTCCTGAGTTCAAGCAATTGTCCTGCCTCAGCCTCCTGAGTAGCTGGGATTACAGGTGTGCACCACCATGCCCAGCTAATATTTGTATTTTTAGTAGAGACAGGGTTTCACCATGTTGGCCAGGCTGGTCTCAGACTCCTGACCTCAAGTGATCCGCCCTGCCTTGGCCTCCCAAAGTGCTGGGATTACAGGCATGAGCCATGGCACCTGGCCTATAACTTTGATTTCTTGATGATCCTTTTTTTTAATAGTAGAATCTGGAACACTGCCCTTTGAGGACTGCTGAATAATTTGTAGGAAGTAGATTATCATGAAGTAATTAAATTACTGGTAAAGGTAATCCAATTACTATATTACTAATTATTTTTCTATTTTAAAAAGAATAGGCTATTTGAATTTTCTGTCTCTACAGGGTGTTGCTAATGTCTTTAGCACTGCCTATCACTACGTCCACAGCCGGGAGCACATTCTGCATATTGTGATCACTGGCATAGGCTGGCTTTATGACGTCACATCCAGCATCACCTCCATCACTACGTACTTTGTAGAGCCTAGCCCAGCCCAGGTAGGCAAGGCTCAGTAGTGGTAGATCTCTCCAAGGTAGCCGAGTGTCTAGATGTTATTTCTTGCTAATATTTGAAAACCATATTAATTAGCTATTAGTCTAAAGGAAGACAGATTTCCCAATACAAGACCCTTGGTTGTGAGTGACAGGAATCCATCTCAAATTGCCTTAGGCAAAAGGGAGAATTAACTGACTCACGTGACCAAAATGAAGACAGGGCAGGAGTCAAGCTATCTTTCAGGATGGCCAGATCCAGGGACTTGAAGCCATCAGGGCTCTCTTGTGTTCATCTCTCCACTTCTCATGTTTGTTTCCCTCTGTACATTGGTTTTGTTCTTCCAGCTAAAGATGGGCTTTTTCTGCAGAGCAAGTCAGATGCTTACTAAAAGCATCCTGTAAAAAGTTCCAGTTTGGAAAACCCAAGAAAGAAGACGGAGTCTCGCTCTTGTTGCCCAGGCTGGAGTGCAATAGCGCAATCTCAGCTTACCTCAACCTCCGCCACCCGGGCTCAAGCAAGTCCCCTGCCTCAGCCTCCCGAGTAGCTGGGATTACAGGCATGCGCCACCACGCCAAGCTAATTTTGTATTTTTAGTAGAGGCGGGGTTTCTCCATATTGGTCAGGCTAGTCTTGAACTCCCGACCTCAGATGATCCAGCCACCTCAGCCTCCCAAAATGCTAGAATTACAGGCGTGAGCCACAGTGCCCGGCCAGAAAACTCTTTTTGACTTATCCTGAGATACATACCCCTGGCCAGAGTGTGGAGTTCACAGTAATGGGCAACACTCACCAGAATCATATGGGTGGAGTGGGAAGGGACTAGGAGCTGCTGTTTTGGAAGGACTCAGTTATATGACACCGATTTTTTTAAGCCCTCCTATCCATAATGTCATGAATTCTTGCTGACTGTTTGCTTTGCTTCTTTATACTTTGTGTTAGGATTTTGCATATGATGAGAGTGGGTGGAAAGGTTTTTCCTTTCAGAAAGGCTGAATGACTCTGGGAGGTGCTTGGTTGGGTGGTAGTGTCACCTGGTTGTCTCCCAGTCCCTTGGCTGGCCCACACAGGCATGTCCACACTTCCCTCCGGGCTGCTTCTTTCCTTTTTCCCACCAGGTCCCTACTTCCCTCCCTCAGTAGCTAGGTCAATCTGATGAGGCCTTGGTCAATGAGGGCAGAATCATGGAGCTCTCTTGTGGGGTGGCCAGGCCATGGGAGCCTCCAAGGGCACTTAGGCCTGGGGCAGAGCACCCTGTTTGAAGGGCCCCAGCTACAATGGCCCTTCAAAGCACATGGGGCCCCAGGGAAGATTCAGAAGAACATCGTCAGGGCCTTAAGAGAAACAACACATAGGGCACCATGGAAAAGCCAAAATAGCCCAAAGCAGCAGCAAGAAGCATGACTTCAGCGGCTGTAAGTTCAGAACCAAGAGTCCACAGACAAAGCCACCAGGGTCACACCCCATCTGACCTGGACCATCTCATAGTGGTGAAGAAGATCCTGCCAAAAGTCGGGGGAGAGAAGGACCACCCAGCAGTCGGGTTGTGAGTGAGATCATGGTGGGGCAGAGACCAGAACAGCCTGTCTAAGCTCTTTTCAAGCACTCAACGATCATAACTTCCTAAGCCTCCCTCTTCCCCTTCTGCAGCCCCTCCAGATTCACATTTCTCTCTCTTCTCCAGGCTGCTCTGTGTCTCAAAGATAAACCAGTATCCATGGGCTCTTTGGCCCTTTGGCTTCTGCTTGCATTTGTCCAATGACAGCTGCCAACAGGACACTGGAGGGCAGAAGTAGAGTGCAACTGGGGCATTGATGCTTCTGTTTCCCTCTCTGTCAGGTTGCTGTGGGTTAGCTGTGTTTCTCTCCTAAAGGCCACTTCACCTTTCATCAGGCAGTCCTCTCCACACAGCTGTCCTTTGTCGGTTCTGGTCATTGCTTCCCCCGTCCCCGCCCCCTCTCCCCGCCTCTTCAGGCTAAGAGTGGTAACAGCTCTTCCTTATTACCAGGTTGGAATTCTAAACACTGCCTTCATAAATAGTCCCTTTATTAAACGCCCCTTAAATTACCCAGCTGTGGCAATCTGCTTCCTTGTGATACCCTGACTGATACGAATTATAAAGTAAATCCTGTGATACTCCCCCTCACCTCAAGCCCATGTTCCTGTAAGGTACAGAGTCATAGAGGAAAAAAATTACTGCTCTGTTAACAGTAACCATAGATGAGTAAAAACAGATTCAAATTCTCTTAGGTATGAAATTCAGGGTATTTTAGCTTATCACCCCAAAGCACCTCTGTCTATTTCTTTGGAGTACCGAACTTATTAAATAGGTAACTGCATCAGGCACAATAATGCCTTCCCATAAGATGTCCATGTCCAAATTCCTGGAATCTGTGAGTATGTCAGTTTACATGGCTCACGCCTGTAATCCCAGCACTTTGGGAGGCTGAGGCGGGCAGATCACGAGGTCAGGAGATCGAGACCATCCTGGCTAACATGGTGAAACCCCGTCTCTACTAAAAATACAAAAAAATTAGCCGGGCGCGGTGGCGGGCGCCTGTCCCAGCTTCTTGGGAGGCTGAGGCAGGAGAATGGCGTGAACCCGGAAGAGGCAGAGCTTGCACTGAGCCGAGATCACGCCACTGCATTGCAGCCTGGGCGACACAGCGAGACTCCGTCTCAAAAAAAAAAAAAAAAAAAGAAAAGAAAAGAAATAAATTTGGAAAGAAGCTAGAAGTCCAATCGTCAATGTGCGATAATCTTAACAGTTTTCCAAGGATAACGTTGACAACATTTCCCTTCTAAAGAGTTTGGAAGAACCCTTGATGTCATGGAGTATAGAGGCAAGAGGAAATTTCACATTACAAAACAGCTGTTCCTCTTCCAAGCACCATTCAACATGCAGCCCCTATGGATCCTCTTATCATATTTTTAATTTGTTCCAATAATTAGTTATCTTTATTTTTATTTTTTTAGAGACAAGGTCTCACTCTGTTGCCCAGGCTGAAGTGCAGTGACATGATCAGAGCTCACAGTAACCTTGAACTCCGAGACTCAAGCGATCCTCCTGCCTCAACCTCCGGGGTAGCTAAGACTACAGGCATGCCCCAAGAATTTTTTTTTTAAAGGAATGATTCATAAAAACCCCTCTTTACATCTCTTAATTGAATTTGTGTTTCCTACAGTTACTGTATTTACAGAATATGTTAATATACGTTCTTATAAACTAGTTTCTACGAAAAAATATTGATCAAGACTCATTAAAATATTTTCACAACCCACATGTAAGTTGTGGGTTGACCTACAGTTTGAAAACTTCTTAGAAGTAAGGGAGATAAAGAAGCAGGGAGAATGAAGATTGTTTAGTGAGGTAGAAGGAGAACCAGGAGAGAGTGTCGTCCCAATAGCGAAGTGAAGAAAGTAAATTGGCCAGGTGGTGGCTCACACCTGTAATCCCAGCACTTTGGGAGGTCGAGGTGGGTGGATCACCTGAGGTCAGGAGTTCGAGACCAGCCTGGCCAACATGGTTAAACCCTGTCTCTACTAAAGATACAAAAAAAAAAATTAGCCGGGGCCGGGTGTGGTGGCTCACGCCTGTAATCTCAGCACTTTGGGAGGCCAAGGCAGGTGGATCACATGAGGTGAGGAGTTCAAGACCAGCCTGGTCAACATGGTGAAACTCTGTCTCTACCAAAAATACAAAATTAGCTGGGTATGGTGGTGCATGCCTATAATCCCAGCTACTTGGGAGGCTGAGGCAGGAGAATTGCTTGAACCCAGGAGGCAGAGATTGTGGTGAGCCAAGATCGTGCTATTGCACTCCAACCTGGGCAACAAGAGTGAAACTCCATCTCGAAAAAAAAAAATTATCCTGTTCTCTAATGGTACTAAGTAAAATGTCACTGTCCTTAAAGCCAGAGGTCATCTAAGCTTTCCTATTTTTTTTCTATTTATCTGTCCCCAAAAGCTTTAATGAGAATATGAGGTCTAATTACTCCTAATGAAATGCCTTCCTCTTTTCAAGGATTCAGACTATGTTTTACGCAACATGATGGTTACAGGGCAGCTGGGTCTAACAGAAATCCACAAAAATCCTCCTACCATCCACAGGAAGTCATGCATCTTCAGGTTAGAGACATGTCTGTTTTGTTTGACTGCTAGAACACATCCTTCTGGTACAATAGTAGACCTGAAAGACACAGCTTCTGACTCTTGCTCATACACGCTGACTTTTATTCTTTCTTTTTAATTTAATTTTATTTTATTTTAAGTTCTGTGATACATGTGCAGGACGTGCAGGTTTGTTACACAGGTAAACTTGTGCCATGGTGGTTTGCTGCACCTATCAACCCATCACCTAGGTATTAAGCCCCGCATGCATTAGCTATTTTTTCCTAATGTTCTCCCTACCCTCGCCCCCTTGACAGGCCCCAGTGTGTGCCCTTCCCTGTGTCCATGTGTTCTCATTGTTCAGCTCCCACTTATAAGTGAGAACATGTGGTGTTTGGTTTTCTGTTCCTGTGTTAGTTTGCTGAAGATAATGACTTCCGGTTCCATCCATGTCCCTGCAAAGGACATGATCTCATTCCTCTTTATGGCTGCATAGTATTCCATGATGTGTGTGTATACCACATTTTCTTTATCCATTCTATCATTGATGGGCATTTGGGTTGATTCCATGTCTTTGCTACTGTGAATAGTGCTGCAATGAACATATGTGTGCATGTATCTTTATAATATAATGATTTATATTCCTTTGGGTATATACCCGCTAATGGGATTGCTGGGTCAAATGGTATTTCAGGTTCTAGGCCTTTGAGGAATCACCACACTGTCTTCCACAATGGTTAAACTAATTTGCATTCCCGCCAGCAGTGTAAAAGCGTTCCTACTTTTCCACAGTCTTGCCAGCATCTCTTGTTTTTTGACTTAAGATCACCATTCTGACTGGTATGAGATGATGTCTCATTGGGGTTTTGATTTGCATTTCTCTAATGATCACACTGAATTTTATTCTGATTGGCTTTTAAAGAAAAATTTCTGCAGAATGTTGTCTGCCTGGGACATATTTACTCTTTTTTTCCCAAATCCTTTTTTCTTGAGAGATGAGTTCTCACTGTGTCACCCAGGTGGGAGTGCAGTGCTATGATCTTAGCTCATGGCAGTCTCAAACTCCTGGACTCAAGCTAACCTCCTGCCTCTGCTTCCCAAATAGCTGGGACTACACGTATTTGCTAAGCCCAGCTCATTTAATTTTTTTTTTTAAGAGACAGGGTCTCTTTATGGTGCCCAGCCTTCCCAAGTCCTTTTTAAAACAGATTTCATTGGCATTTTATTTTAAAATTGCATGTTTTAAAGCATGAAAGTGTTTTATTTTCCATGAATTTCCTTGTAAATATGGAATTCAACAAAAGCCCACCATGATTATGAATAATACATTCACATCACTCATCAGAGCTCATGTGTGAATATTAGCAAGACTGTGAATGTCTTTTTTATTTAAAGAAGACATGCAGAGTTGGAGAGAAGGCAAAGCATGTTGTATTTAATAAGTACTCGGTTCTAAATTACTTAGAATGACTCTCACTTGTCAAATGCAAGGAATACTACTAAAATGTGTACAAATGTAAACAGATCTTAACTGAGAACACACCTATTGCAAAAGGGAATGACTGCTTCTTAGGGGGTCACTGTCGTTGAGTAGGCGGTAACTCAGTAATCCCAGACCAGTAGGCTAACTCAACATTTAATTACATATGTCAATTAAATTTTAGTTTGGCCTCATGCCAGAATGTTGGTTCAATCTCAAGCTCTTTTCCACATAGTTATTCCTTGTGCTGGTCAAAAGTTTTACAGAAGTCCTTGTAATACCCAGACTCATAGCCCTGGATTCTTTTTTTTTATGTATTTTTTAAATTATACTTTAAGTTCTAGGGTACATGTGCATAACGTGCAGGTTTGTTACATATGTATACATGTGCCATGTTGGTGTGCTGCGCCCGTTAACTTGTCATTTACATTAGGTATATCTACTAATGCTATCCCTCCCCCTTCCCTCCACCCCACGACAGGCCCCGGTGTGTGATGTTCCCCACCCTGTGTCCAAGTGTTCTCATTGTTCAATTCCCACCTATGAGTGGGAACATGCATAGCCCTGGATTCTTGTGTGTAACTTAGAACAGATGTCTTTGGAGGAAGTCAGTTGACCAATGGGCTCTATTGTTATTCCTGGAAAGCCTAGTATGATGCATTATTACTATGGCACTCATCGAGACACAACACAAAGTGGTGGCTCAGCAGCAGCAAAAGGGGTGGGAATAGCAGAAGGACATCATCTTACCTGTCACTGTAGGATTGATATAGAAACTATAAATGCGCTTTTCGAGGATGCAAAGTACCAATTTTTTACAAATACCTTAAAGAAATGGCATATCAGAATTAATGTAGATGGGGAAAGGGAAAAGAAAGAAAAAGAGGTGTGTCTGTGCCTCACCAAGAGAAAGAAGCAGCCACCACATTTCCATGAAAATCTCAAGTCTCTCACTGAGGCAGATGCTATAGATGCTCTACCCAGATCCCCAAAATGCCTTTTACCAGCTGCTGTAGGCACGGCCTGGCTCACACCGTAACTTTCTCTGGAGGAGCGCCCTTGAGCGATTGGAGCTCTTCACCAGGAGTTACCTAAGAGATGGGTAAACACTCCCCCAGCCCAAACTGCCCACACACACCCAGGGCAGCTTAGAGCCAATGACTGACTAGTGCTAGGATGCAAAAAACCCCTCCCTTTGCCTCAAGGTGGGACAGATTCTTTGGTACAATTGACCTTTCAGAGCTCCCCTTGGGATCAGGCCGAGGCTAGACTTCATGTGAAATTACATTCTTACTTAGCTTCTTCCCCTTGCCTGTCCTGCTTCATTCAGTCCCTCACAGGTTTCTCCAGCGAACACTCGCTCAGTAAATCACTTGCATAAGCATCCCTGTCTCAGGCTCTGCTTCTAGGGAACCCGACCTAACACACTCATCATTTCTGCTGGCACTCCACCAAAGCATAATGGACAATAGGTAAACAAAAAATGAACACCTTCAGATAAGCCAAGACAACGAAGCAAAGTATCATGATGGAGAGTGGCTTGGGCGCTGCTTGAGATTGGGTGGTCAGGGACGCCTTCTCTGCCGAGGGGATGTTTGAGCAGAGACATGAGTGAGCAAACAGACAGCCATGTGAAATCAAGGGCTAGAATGCTCCAGGCAGATGAAACAGCAAGAAGGGCTGGCATGGTGGAAGTGAGGTAGGCACAAGAGAGTAATTCAATATGTTTTGGTGGAATGATGTGAACAGACAGATGTTTAATATCCTTGTGCTTATTTGGTTTTGATTTCAGAGATTTCCTCTTTAAATGTACTGACAGTTCAGAAGTTGTTCTGGCTTCTGCCTGTGGAGAAACGCATATAGTAGTTCCACTTCGTGAGAGAACAGGAGAGGCTCTGGGAGTCCTCGATTTTAACATCGGCCAAAATAGGATGTTGTTGTGTCAAGAATATAAAGATCTACAGAAAATGATGAAAGTGGTCCAAGTGGCCTGCTATGAAATACTTGGCGAGTTCTCTGGAGAGATAAAGAAAAAATATATCTTAGGTATCGTTCATGTGGCATCAGTCTAAATTCACAGGTTTAATAGGTTTTGGGGAAATCACAGGGAGTGCAATGAAATATGCACTTTCTAAAATGAATTGTTACAACATACACATCTTTTCATATAAAAGGAATTCCCTTATGCAGTCTTGCGCTGACGAGTAATGTCTACAAATTAAAGGAAACAGCCTGGAATCACATTCTCATGGTTAGATTCCTACAGTTTTAGAGCTGGAAGGGCTCATAAAGGCAAGCTAGAACTAGCATGTATTAAATACCCCCATTATGTGCTTCAGATATTATTTCATTCAATCCTTGCCATAACCCTATGAGATGAATAGTGATACCCCACTTACAGGTGAGGAAAGTAAGCAAATTGCCCCCAGTCACACAGTTAAGAAATGGTGAGGGCTGGATTTGAACCTAGATTTGGGTGCTCTTCCCACTATGTTATACAGCATTAAGTAATCAGAACATCTCGTTTTACAGATAAAGATGCTAAAGACTGCAAAAGTAAAGTGGATTATCTAAGGTCCAATAGCAAGCTGGTGGGAGAGCCAGGATTAGACTTTAGTTTTTGTGATTCCACATCCACTAGGCTACTCTCAGCGCAATGCCAGCTGGAGAGAGGGAGGGAGGAAGAAGGCCTGGAAACCTTTGGCTTCCTAGAATGAAGTGAATAGAATTAGCAGAGTAACACTATGTGGGATTGAGCCAAAAGATTTGTAACTATGTCATAGAGTGGGATAAGAAGAAAGGAGAAATTTCATGTCTCCTAAGTGTTCACTATGTGTAACGCCTGTAACTAAGCACTTTTACATATATCATCTTCTCTAATTCTCACAGCTAACCAAGGAAGTAGGGATTAAGCCCATTTTCACAGAAGAGGAAAAGGATATTCAGAGAGACAATAGACTAATAAGGGTGACAGCGTGTGTTCAAACCAGGGTCTAACTCTAAAACCCAAGTTTTTGCCTTTTCTCAAAGCCTCTTCCTATGAGCTTCACCGGGAGTAATTTCATTGCTTTCTTTTGATTTCATGGCTAAAGAAACTGAGATTGTTTAAAACCAAAGGCTATGGTCTGCTTTTTCTTGACAAAAACATTTACTATAATATGTTCAGAATCCTATGAAAAAGTAATGTACAGCAATGTACATTAGACTGAACAGCAATGTGAGCTATCATTTTGTTATTCCAGAGATTGAAAATGTCAGGGAAGTCCAGCGGGCAGGAATTCTCTTCTTCCGAATCATGCTGCTCGAGCTACAGGAAAGCATCCAACTACTCAATTCCATGGAATTTGTGTCACTGTTGCTCTATGACCATACTCTTGTAACAGAGCCAAATTCTCCTCAAGACAGCAAATCTATGGAGTTGGAAGCCAACGTGAAACTAGTGCGTGACATCCTGAAGGCGGTTATCTTGTTCTTTCATCCAGAGTTGGAATTTTCAAGTGACTTTGGAAGTTGGGATAAGTGTAAATTTGTAAGTTTTTTTTTAAAAAGCACCTTTTAAATTGAAGAATCGCCTAAACAAATTTAACTGTACAAATCATAATTGCATAAATCATAAGGGTACAAATGCAAGAATTTTTACTGAGTGGAACACGTTCACGTAACCAGACCTAGATCAAGAAATAGAGCATTTATGGAATCCCAAAAGCTCTCCTTTGTACCCTTCCTCATCATCCCTTCACCCCACCCACCCCAAGGGTAACCATCATCTTTTTTTTGAGACGGAGTTTCACTCTTGTTGCCCAGGCTGGAGTGCGATGGCGCTATCTCGGCTCACTGCAACCTCCACCTCCTGGGTTCAAGCAATTCTCCTGCCTCAGCCTCTCGAGTAGCTGGGATTACAGGTGCCCGCCACCACGCCCAGCTAATTTTCTGTATTTTTAGTTGAAACTGGGTTTCACCATGTTAGCCAGGCTGGTCTCGAACTCCTGACCTCAGGTGGTCCTCCCACCTGGGCTTCTCAAAGTGCTGGGATTACAGGCGTGAGCCACCACACCCGGCCATGGGTAACCATCATCTTCACTTCTAACACCATTGATTGGTTTTGCCTATTTTAAAATCTATATAAATGGAATTATGTAAGCTGTTGAACTGGGCACTGTATTTCTGCTTCCTGGTGATCCCATAAATTTTCTCTTGTTGTTTGTTCACAGTATGTTAACAAATATTTAGTCAACAATATTTGTGCCTTTGATCCAACTGCCAAGCATGTGGAAGTTAATGTACAGCTTATTGATGAATATATCAGAGGTAAATTTCCACTTAATTACAGCCTAAATCTATGCCAACAGCAATAAAACACAGTTGTGATTTTTATTAGGATAAAGCAAGTGGGTCATAAATTCAGTTTTTAGGAGAAAATAGTTATAAGTCTTCTAAGAGGAGGGACACTATGTAATCTATTGCATCATTCCCCAAAGTCATTGTCTATGCCACATTTTGAGAATTCAAAAGCACATCTATCTCCCACTTATTGACTACATGTGCATTATTTATTTTTAAAAATGCAAATGGGGCTGCAATGAGAATGGAAATTTTAAGCAAAAAGGCTATCTTTAGCTTAATAAATAACCAAAGAAAATAATAGACTTTTTCAAGGAGGAGAATCACCAAGAATGGAGAGCAGCGAGGCTCTCAGGTTGGAGAAGACGATTAGCTGTTTGGCCACAGGGAATAGGCCACATATGAGAGTAAATATACAAACAGAGGCCCAAGGTCCTCCACTGACCTGTATTCTCCCACCAGAGGCCTCAGGCTGTGATGAGGAATTCATTTATAGTTTGTTTTTTTCTTTGTTATGAAAAGTAATCATAATTGGGAAAATGGCTCTGTAGAAATTGCTCACTAAATCTATCCCTTTCCTCCTCTTCCCGCTCTCCTACTATCTGTGGAGGCTCTAGACCAACGCAGAAGAGTTTCTGGATTAACGGGGAACTATCCTAGCTTATTCCTGAGAAGCCTTGACCACCAACGCTACCCACCACTTTCTGCTTTCCAATAGTGCCCTCTGGTGGAAGAAATATTAATTGCAGTTAACGGAGCCCGACTCAGCCAGAAAATAGCCCATAGGCTCCCCAATCACCACCGCCAAGCCTTTAGTGTTAACCACAGTCTCCGCAGCAATCAAGAAAGTTCGTAGGTCACCCAGATACCAACCCTCTCTCCTTCAGATGCAGTTATATCAGGAAATTCTAAGCTTCCAGCTTAGGGGAAGGGAGAGGAATTCTTCGGGGTGCCTTTCTGTTTGTGCCAGAAGGAGAGGAGTCTTCAGGCAGGGCAATCTGCTGCTGGAAGTTTACCTGGCCTAGCAGCTTTAAGTAAGGGCCCTACTCCACGAATCTACCCAGAATGAAATGTCACCAATAATACCTGTAGGTTCAGCCTGTGACAGGCAGAGACTGCTGGACTATATAGCATAGCTCCTAACCCACCACGCCTTCCAAACTATTATTTTACCAAAAGGGCAGAATTAGGACTGGTAATGTGTCCATACTTTCTTAGGGCTTCCGCTGCCAACTCTCACCCCCACTTCATCCTAGTTCAGGAAAAGAGTATTTCCTAATGTAAATGACGAGTTGATGGGTGCAGCAAACAAACATGGCACATGTATACCTATGTAACAAACCTGCATGTTGTGCACATGTGCCCTAAAACTTACAGTATAATAATAATTTTTTTAAAAAGAAAGAAAAGGGTATTTTTGGCCAGGCACAGTGACTCACACCTGTAATCCCGACACTTTGGGAGGCCAACGTGGGCAGATTGCTTGAGCCCAGAAGTTGGAGACTAGCGTGGACAACATGGCAAAATCTTGTCTCTCCAAAAAAAAAAAAAAAAAAAAAAAAAAATAACTGGGTGTGGTGGTGCACGCCTGTAATCCCAGCTACTCAGGAGGCTGAGGTGGGAGATCACTTGAGCCCAGGAGGTTGAGGCTGCTGTGAAATGTGATCATGCCACTGCACTCCAGCCTGGGCAACAGAATGAGATCCTGTCTCAAAAACAACAACAACAAAAAGGAGATACTTTTTTTATTCTGATGAAACTCTAGGCAGCTGTGTCTTGCCTTTAGATTGAGCCAGTCATCTGTGAAGTAACATTGGGTAGCTTTGTTGGGCAGGCCTGGCCTCCCAAGACTGTGCCATTGCAGGTGAGTGCTGCTGACATACTTCCCTGTGGGGGACCCTCTGACTCCAGTGAGCACTCCCAGACAGCTGTGTTTGCAGTAGTACATCAATAGCCTACTATTCTCTGTCACTTTGCCTAAGATACTCCTAGTAGTTGGTCTTTTCTACCTGGAGATTCATGACGTGACCACCCTCTCAAGGACCTATTCTCCCCACTCCACTTGGGACCTCTGCTGCCAGCCTCACCTGGTCGTTCAGGATGCCCCATAACTGCTGCATGTCTCCCTCCCAGGAATTTTAGACAGATGTTGCCTGTTTGGAAATGTTCTTAGACCCAGAGGCAAGAAGAGCTGTCCCCTATTGCAAGTATAACCAGAATCACTTTTCTGTGTAGAACCTGGGTCTCTGCCAAGTGACCATACCTCCTCCCCTAAATCCAAGTGTTTACAAGTCCACAGACATTGGTCTTGGCAGGAGTGCCCCCGGCCCTCCACTTCTCCTACAGGGGTCCCAGAGCTCCAACTCTGTCAAAGCAGCCAGAGGCTCAGTGCTGTCACCATTTATAAAGAAACCCACCAGCTTCCTCAATAAAATGACACCATGATCCTCTAAGGGTGACAATGAAGGAAGGTGCCTTCAGGGGAGGACTGCTGGACTCACAGTCCTAATTAACTTTTATCTTCAAGATTCGCCTTCCCTGGGAGATCCTTCCCTAATTGCTACTGCTGCCATCATGGTGGCTCTCATAGGTGCCACGCTCCCTGCAACTCCATTACAAAAATGGAACATGACTCATTCCTTAACTCCCCACTGCACAGCTAAGGACCTGACAGGAACCTTGGTAGAATGATTCTACCGACAATCCAGAAATAACAAGTAGGAAACAGCACTGAATCTGCAACTCTGAGGACATGCCTTTTTCTTTGAAATGGGTCAAGCCAAAATGGACAACCAGACACCAAGAACATTGTTCTGTCCTATTCATTTAAACCTTCTGTATGCTAACATTGGTTTGGATTCAATTACAGTTCTCTGCAGTCTTTTTGGACTTAGTCATCTTGAATGGGAATTGTTGGCTCCCTCTTAAGGAAAAAACTTGCCATCGCAGCTAGACTTGGGTTTAATAGAGAGCTAAGAGTGCACCATTTATTTACAAGTTGCTCACAGATTTTAGGCCATGGAGGAGGAGATATCAGTTCAGCTTGAGAACAGATTTCCTTTGTCCTGGCAAGAGCCCCTTAAAAATGCCTTTTAGTTACGAGTTATGATATTAGACAAGTACTCATACAATGCACAAGAGAAGGGTATAACACTCTGTTCTGGGTAAAGATCTCAGGCCTGGATGTTTGACCTATTTCCCATGCATGCAAACCCCCTGCTTTTCAGTTCCAAGTTATTCAGAGGAAAAAAGACAATCAAACCAGCCATTCTCTTTATGTTTCTTATCACTTCTTGTGATTTAAATTTTGAAATTTTCTAACAGTAGTTATTAAGAGGAACAACTAAATACAGTTTTACATGTATAGATAACATTACTGCTACTTTGATATCTGATTAAAGACTTTTAAAAATGAGCTTGATGAGACGTGGAGCATGGTGGCATGCACCTGTGGTCCCAGCTACTTGGGAAGCTGAGGCACAAGGATTGCTTGGGGCCAGAAGTTCAAGACTATGGTGCACAATGATGGTGCCTGTGAATAGCACTGCACTCCAGCCTGGGCAACATAGTGGATACCGTCTCTAGAAAAAAAACTTGGTTTAATAAGAACATTTTTCTATTTAATTTGACACTCATTGTTTAAAATTTTAGTGGCTGTTAAAACTGTCTTTTATCCTGAAAGCATATATATATATATATATATATATATTTTTTTTTTTTTTTTTTTTGAGATGGAGTCTTGCTCTGTCACCCAGGTTGGAATGCAGTGGCCCAATCTCAGCTCACTGCAACCTCTGACTCCCGGGTTCAAGAGATTCTCCTGCCTCAGCCTCCCCAGTAGCTGGGATTACAGGCACGTGCCACCACGCTTGGCTAATTTTTGTATTTTTAGTAGAGACGGGGTTGCACCATGTTGACCAGGCTGGTCTCGAACTCCTGACCTCAGGTGATCCACCTGCCATGGCTCCCAAAGTGCTGGGGTTACAGGCATGAGCCACCACCCCGGTCACAATTATATACATATACATATACATATACATATACATATACATATACATATACATATACATATACATATACATATATATATATTTTTTTTTTTTTGAGATGGAGTTTCGCTCTTGTTGCCCAGGCTGAAGTGCAGTGGCGCGATCTCGGCTCACCGCAACCTCTGCCTCCCAGGTTCAAGCGATTCTCCTGCCTCAGCCTCCCGAGTAGCTGGGATTACAGGCATGTGCCACCCTGCCCAGCTAATTTTGTATTTTTAGTAGAGGCAGGCTTTCTCCGTCTTGGTCAGACTGGTCTCAAACTCCTGAGCTCAGATGATCCGCCCCCTCGGCCTCCCAAAGTGCTGGGATTACAGGCGTGAGCCACTGAGCTGGCTTTAAATTTTTTATTAAAGTAATTGAAAAGGTCACATAGAACTAAAAGCCTAAAAAGAGTCACTAGCCCATATCTTCTCTTTCATACTCTTCAGTCCCCCTCGCCAGGGGCAACCATGTTTTGTTCTTTCACTGTTTCTTCTTGGCATTTGCACATCTATTTCTGTTATGCACATATTGCTGTCTTTTGATTCATCAATTTTAAACCTTATCAGTCAATTTCCTCTGATTATAAATGAAGATTTTGTTCTGTTATACCACCATTCTCTTACCCCATCCTCCCAATGTAGTTATATTTATAATTTGGGGTTAAAGATGCAATGTTTACATGATTTTGCCTATGCAAATATTATACACAGCTGAGGATTGTAGCATATTTTGATTCCTCATTTTTTTTGTTTTTCCTGAAGTAAATAATTGTCTTTTATTTTTAAACTTTCTTAGTTTTATTTGTACTTCTTGATAATTCCCACCCCTTCCATTTGTCTCTCCCATAAGACAGTTCTATCAGGTAATTTATTAGTTCTAATTTATTTTCTTTTCCCAAAGCCATCTCTTCTAGAGATCTCAGTTCCTCTGTTTTTGTTTTGTTTTGTGTTTTGAGACAGGGCCCCCCTCTATCACTCAGGCTGGAGTGCAGTGCCACAATCACAGCTCACTGCAGCCTCGACCTCCCTGGCTCAAGCAATCCTCTGGGCTCAGGTTTCCAAGTAGCTGGGACTATAGGCACGTGCCACCACACCCAACTAATTTTTTTATTTTTTGTAGAGGTGGGGGTCTCACTATATTACCAGGCTAGTCTTGAACTCCTGACCTCAAGGGATTCTCCCACCTCAGCCTCCCAAAGTGCTGGGATTACAGACGTGAGCCACCATACCCAGGCTTCAATTCTTTCTCTATCAGTGGCTCATGCCTGTAATCCCAGCACTTTGGGAGGCTGAGGTGGGCTGATCGCTTGAGCCCAGGAGTTCAAGAGCAGCCTGGGCAACATACTGAGACCCTGTCTCTGCAAAAAACTTGGAAAAAAAAAAAAGCTGGGAGTAGTGGCATGTGCCTGTAGTTCCAGCTAGTCAGGAGAGCTGAGGTGGGAGGATCGCTTGAACCCAAGAGGTTGAGGCTGCAGTGAGCCATGTTTGCACCACTACACTCCAGCCTGGGCCACAGAACGAGACCCTGTCTACAGAGAAAAAAAAAAAAAAACTCCTGGGCTTAAGCTGTCCTTCCACCTCAGCCTCCCAAGTAGCTACAGGACTGCTGCCACCACACCTGGCTTTCCATTGTCTTTTTTAAAAACTGAGACATAATTCACATGCCATAAATTTCACTCTTTGTACATTTTAAAGTGTAGAATTTAGTGGTTTTGAATATATATCCCAGATTGTGCAGTTATCACCACTATCTAATTTTAGAACATTTTCATCACCCCAAATAGAAACCCTGTACCCATTAGCAGTCACTTCTTTCCTCTCCCTCTAGCTCCTGGGAGCCACTAATCTACTTTATGTCTCTATGGATTTACCTATTCTGGACATTTCATATACATGGAATCACACAATAGGTAGCCGTTTGTATCTGGCTTCTTTCACTCAGCATGTTTTCAAGGTCCATCTATGTTCTAGCTTGTATCAGTACTTCATTTTTGCGTGTGTGGCTGAATAATATTCTATGATAGACAACATTCTGTTTATTCATCTATCAGTTGATGCACATGTAGGTTGTTTCCACTTTTTGGCTACTGAATTATGCCTCCATTAACATTTGTTTACAAGTTTTTGTGTAAACATGTATTTTCAGCTCTCTTGTATACATACCTTTGGAGTGCAAACATATGGTAACTCTATGTTTAACTTTTTTTGGAAAAGACTCCATTGTCATCCAACTTTAAAGATTGCTGTTGACAGCCTGGGCAACATAGTGAGATCCTGTCCCCACAAAAAAAATGAAAAACTTTGCCAGGTCTGGTGGCATATGCCTGTAGTTCCAGCTACTCAAGAAGCTGAGCCCAGTTAAGGCTGCAGTGGGCCATGATCGTGCCACTGCACTCCAGCCTGGGCAACAAAGTAAGACTTAATCTCTTAAAAAAAAAAATAGGCAAAGATTGCTGTTAAGAAGTCTGAAGCCTTTCTAAATCAGTGTGACCTTTCTTTGTTTTATATCTCTCCAGAAGCTGTAGAATCATCCCTTCATCCCCAAAGTTGCAAAAATTTCATAATGATATGCCTTTTTATGGGTCTGTTTTCATCCATCGATCTGGATACTGGCTGGGCTTTTTCAATTGTGAAATCTAGGTTGTTAAGTGCTGGATGACTTCCTCCATGGCATCAAGATTGCTACTTACAGCTGTGCAGTTTGTACACTGCACAAAGGTGCTCTGCTGAGGAGGTGGGTGGGGGCCAAAATGTATCCCGGATTCCATTCACTAGACTGTGTGCCTTAACCTGAAGCTACATCTGCTTGGAGGAGGAGCATCTTTTTCATTCACCAAGCTGTGTGCCCACAGAGCGCGTTCCCTCACAGTAGGTGTGTTTTTCTCACCTTTACACAAAGGTGACCTATAAGGCTGGTGGTGGCCCTGCCCTCTTTTTTCTGTATTCACTCTTTGGAATTCCTATTATTCAGACATTGGATCTCCTAGATTCAGTCTTCAAAATCCCTATATTTTCTCTCCTCTTTCCTAAACAGCTTCAACAAACCCTTCTGAACCCTTTGAGGATTCTGGGATATACAGAAGGTTGGTTCTAGGCTTTCTCCACTGCTGATTTAGGATTCCACTTTTCTCCTGTCTGCTACCACTTCTTCATCTGCTTTATATTTTTCAAATTTTGTTGTTCTGTCTTTCACTCAACTAAAATTATCTCAGTGCTATCCATGTGGCAGGCCCTATTCTAGGTTCCTAGGGTACAGTAGTGAATGACATAGAACAAGATCCCCGCCCTCAAGAAGCCTACATTCTAAAGGGGAGAGCAGAGGATAAGCAATAAACATAATAAATTATACACTATGGTAGAAAATAAGTGCTATGGGGGAAAAAGCAAAGTCGAGTAAGGCAGTGGATGCAAAGGTGGGAAGCAGGGAGGAGGCACGGGCTGCAAATTTAAATAGTCAGGTAGGCCTTATCAAGAAGGTGAGATTTAGGCCGGGCGTGGTGGCTCACGCCTGTAATCCCAGCACTCTGAGAGGCTGAGGTGGGTGGATCACCTGAGGTCAGGAGTTCAAGACCAGCCTGGCTAACATGTGAAACCCCATCTCTACTAAAAATACAAAAATTAGCTGGGCATGGTGGCAGGCACCTGTAATCCCAGCTACTCAGGAGGCTGAGGCAGGTGAATTGTTGCAACCCAGGAGGCGGAGGTTGCAGTGAGCCAAGATCGCACCACTGTGCTCCAACCTAGGCGACAGAGTGAGACTCCGTTCAAAAAAAAAAAGGTGAGATTTAAGCAAAGATGTGAAGGAAGTGAGGGAATCAGCCATATGAATGTACAAGGAATATTCCAGGTGTTGCTTGATGTTATTTTATCCTAAGAAAAGAAAAAGAGTATTCCAGGCAGAGAAAACAGCCAAAGCAAAGGCCCTAAGGCAGAAACAACCAGTGTTTTCAAATAGCAACAAGGAGGCCACTGTGTCAGCAGCAGGGTCAGAGAACGGGAGGTAAGTAAGGAGATGAGTTCAGGAGGTAATGGAGGACTGAATCAATTAGGGTCTTGAAGACTATCATAATGTCTTGATTTTATGGCTTATGGTGATCCTCCTGCCTTGTCCTCCAAAGTGTGGGATTACAAGCATGAGCCACAACACCCAGTGAATTAGAGCCATTGCAAGGTTTTAAGCAGAGGAACGATATGACCTATGTTTTAAAAGGATCACCCTGCTGCTGTAATGAGAAGACACTTTGGAGGTCAAGAAGAGAAGCAGAGAGACCAACTAGAGGAGTTGTTGCAGGAATCTGGTGGAAATGGTGAAAAGTGGTCATATTATATATATTTGAGAGGCAGAGCCAAAATATATCTTGACAGTTTGAGTGTGGAATGAGAAAGAAACAGAGGAGCCAAGGTTGACTCCATGGTTTGGAAGGATGGAGTTACCATCAGCTGAGATGGAGAACACGTAGGTGGAGCAGGCTTTGGTCGGGGGAGATGAAGTGTTCAGATTTTGACATGCTGAGTTTGAGATATCTATTAGATATGGAAGTAGAGATGTGACTATGTAGATGGTTAAATAAATCTGGAGTTTTCGAGAAAGGTCTAAGCTGGAGATATAAAATCGAGATTGGTTGGTGAATAGATGATTGGCAAAGAGAGGAAAGTCTCCTAGGTGGGAAGACTGAGTAGAGACGATTCTGAATGTTTTGCCACAAAGGGGAGCAAAGAATGGTGTGGTAACCGGAGGAGGAAATGGGGTCAAGGTTTTGTTTTGTTTCTCAGATGGGAGAGATAACAGCAGGTTTCATTCTGATGGGAAATCCTGTAGAAAGCAAGAAGTTGACAATGTTGAAGACAGAGAATTCCTGAAACAATGTCCTCAAGCACGTCAGAGAGGATGGGCTGTTGTTAGAGTAACCATACGTTCTATGTTTACCTTGGAACAGCCCAAGTTTTTGCTTGTTGTTCTGGTGACTTGTCCAGTTAGCATCCTCTTTCTCTCTCAAGTGTACCAATTTGAACAATGAATTATTTGACTACCCTGGATCTACCACACCAAGGGAGGAATTGGCTTAAGACAGCAAGAGGACAGAGAACATGGGTGCAGATGAGAGTGAGTGGGTAGGTGTGCTGGTAGAAGTCTACGGAAGGAGAATATGGGTGCAGATGAGAGTGAGTGGGTAGGTGTGCTGGTGGGAGTCTATGGAAGTTGCCTTCTGATTGTGTCAATCTTACAGAGAAGCTGAAAGCAGAGTCATCAGCCAGAGTGAAGATGGGAGAAGAAGTTGTTGGGACTTTGAGGCAATGGGAGTAGGAATTAAATATTGGTGTTTCTTTTCTCCTGATCTTTCTATCATTGGTTTTATGTCTTCTTTTATTAATTAATTAATTAATTATAGAGGCAGGGTCTGTCTCTGTCACCCAGGCTGGAGTGCAGTGGTGTGATCATGGCTCACTGTAACCTCGAACTCCTGGGCTTAGGTGATTCTCCTGCCTCAGCCTCCTGAGTAGCTGGGATTACAGGCATGAGCCACCATACCCGGCCCTTATGTCTTCTTTTTCTTTTTCTTTTCTTCTTTCTTTTCCTTTACATTAGTCTTAGTAGGAATTTCAGACGTAGCAAAATTGAATGCATGTTAATCATCTAGAAAAGCATTATCCATTCAATTTCTTTCATATTTTAACTTGGTGGTCTCCAAAGTTAAGTGGAAGCACCCCAGAAGATTTTTTAAAAAACTGTCTCTGGGGCGCAAGAAAAATATCAAAGATGATTCTGTTGAGACATTGAAAGACAGAAAGAAAGAAAGAAAAATACCAAAGGACTAAGGACTTTTCTTTTTTTCTTTGTTTCTTTTTTTGGAGACAAGGTCTCACTCTGTCACCCAGGCCGAAGTACAGTGGCACAATCTTGGCTTACTGCAACCTCTCCCTCTCAGGCTCAGGTGATTCTCCCTCCTCCCACCTGAGCCTCCCTAGTAGCTGACACTAGAGGCCCACACCACCATGCCCAGCTAATTTTTGTATTTTTTGTAGAGACAGACCATGTTGCCCAGGCTGGTTTTGAACTCCAGGACTCAAGCAATCCACCTGCCTTGTCCTCCCAAGTGTTGAGATTACATGCGTGAGCCACTGCATCCGGCCAAAGGACTTTTCTTTATAATGGTTTTAACTCATTGTTAATTTCTATTTTTTGTTTAAAATGTTTTAAAATAAATAATTTATAAATATATATATTATAAATATATATATATATGGGCACATGCTCAATGTTTGTTACTGATAGAGGTACATGAGCAAAAGAGTTTGGAGGCCACTACATTAAACTATGAATTTTGTAAATATAATTTGCATTGATTTCAATTTACACATGACTTGATTTATAGCTACATCATTTAAAAAGCCACTACATGTGATATTGTATAGAAATTATGTGATATTGTACAGAAATTATGCTTGTGACACTGTACAGAAATATGCTTGCCATGGGAATGAAACTGATATACGTGCAAGAACTCAGCATTCATCCTAGAACAAACTTCCCCCTCAAACTTCGATTACTAGAGAAAAATGTGTTTTTAACTCCCCGTGTAACATTGATATTTTTCCTGATAAATCTGGGAGGCAGTACACTACAGTGCCTTTGGGACCATATTAAATTAACAATGACATATTAAATTCCTGATTGCCATGGCAAATGTAAATTCTCCTGCCTACAAAAAGATTGATTGAAATTTGCATATATGACCGGGCGCAGTGGCTCACACCTGTAATCCCAGCACTTTGGGAGGCCAAGGCACGTGGATCACCTGAGGTCAGGAGTTCAAGACCAGCCTGGCCAACGTGGTGAAACCCCATCTCTACTAATAATACAGAAGAATTAGCCAGGCGTGCATGCCTGTAGTCCCAACTACTCAGGAGGCTGAGGCAGGAGAATGGCTTGAACCCATGAGGTGGAGGTTGCAGTGAGCCAAGATCACGCCATTGCACTCCAGGCTGGACAACAAGAGCAAAACTCCATCTAAAAAAGAAAAGAAAAGAAATTTGCATACACATACCCTTCTATTGCTGCAAGGACCTTCAGTTTATTGTGTGTGGCTGTCATGTTAAGGAGTGACTTGGGGTATGTGAAGCAATAGAAATGAGAACTAAAACTAAGAGAACTAATGAAGGAGAGGAACATCAACAAATGTGGCTGATCTTGGATTGTTAGTTGAAAGGAGCAGTTACATTTTAGCTTTTGTACTTGAAGCTTAAGTACTTCTTTCTTTTTGCTTTGCCCATCTATACTAATTATCCATCATCCCCAAAAGATTTAACTTTATTAATCCAGTGTTAAAAGCAGGGATCCATAAATGGAGTTTTAATTCAGAAATATCCTACTATAGCCCAGTGTTTCCAGCATAATGAATTCACTATGTAATTAAAAGTTTGATTAAACTAGAACCTACAAAAATATCATGTTTCTGAACTAATGTCCATAGATAGACTCAAAGGTCACCCAGTACTCTCTATAGCTTAGATATATTCAAATAATTTACTATACACTTTTCCAAAGCAAAGCAAAAAAAAAAAGCGTTATTTCTATGGTTATAAAAGAAGCGTTTATCTGCTTGAAAAAATTGCAAAGTCTGTGTGAGTGGGGTCTGTCGTGGGTCAAGCTGCAAAGATCCGGCCTGCATCTACCACAAGAGGGCAGTAGCACTCAACCGTTAATAGGGAACCCAGCAGAGCGCTGGAGGCTCATTAGAGGAATCGTTAGAGCCGGTCGTTAACGCATCAACCTCTGGAAAGGACAGGGAAACAGGAACCACCGTCCAGACACTTTCGGAGCTTCTGTCTCGGTAACAATAACACAGGAAATAAGCAACAGGGTCTTGTGAAAGACAGCGACCTCGCTCACCATCCCCGTGTCGTTGAATCACCATGGAGATGGCGACTAGCTTAATAATGGCTTGCAGATGGGCGTCTGCTCACGTGGATGTTCAGATAAGAACACTGTGGCAGGGGTCAAAGGAACAGAGCTCTTCATGGGCATTAGGGAAGGGCGGAAGAAAAGCTGAGGGGAGCAGCAGAGCTGTTTTGTCTCCGAAAATAAGGACTTTTAGGAGTGTCCTAGGGTGAATTTTATTTAGCTTCATAGCATTGAAACATTATCTTTGGAAACCTGTATCATTTACCTTGCAGGGTTTCCAGGAAACTAATTAACAGAAAGAGAGATGAATTGGCCGAGCGCGGTTGCTCACGCCTGTAATCCCAGCACCTTGGGAGGCCGGATCATCTGAGGTCACGAGTTCGAGACCAGCCTGGCCAACATGATGAAACCCCGTCTCTACCAAAAATATAAAAATTAGCCAGGCCTGGTGATGGGCGTCTGTAATCCCAGCTACTTGGGAGGCTGAGGCAGGAAAATCGCTTGAACCCAGGAGACGGAGGTTGCAGTGAGCCCACAAGGTGCCACTGCACTCCAGCCTGGGCGACAGAGTGAGACTCCATCTCAAAAAACGAAACAAACAAACAAAACAAAACAAAAAACAGAAAGAGAGATGAATTATAACAAATGCACCTTCAATATTTTAAGTATGTATGTCGATTGGTCTAGTATTGCTCATAAAATGAGATGAATCAGGTATTTTGAATGTGATCTCATGACCAGCATCTGTTTTGTTTTTATTCATAATTCTCTCTAATGTTACTGAGCTATAATCTGGAAAGAATTTTAGTATTTGAGAAACCTAATTCATTATTCCTTAATTTAATGTTTCAATTTAACATTTATTGAACACTTATAATTGAATGAGAAAAGACAATGCCAGGGTGGTGTGTGTGTGTGCGTGTGTGTTAAAACAGAGAATTTTAGAAAATTAATTGGATCCACGCTTTAAAGTCAGCTTCAAATAAAAATTGAGACTTGTGAATGTTTTCCACATTTTACGTGCCATTCCTATCCCATATTATACCTTTTGTTGTATAGTTCCTTCCAAACCATAGGACAGCTAAACCTAATTCAGAGAATCTTGTTCCTTTGTGTTGATAAAAGACAAGAAAATAAAATATGTTCTGCTTAGCAATTCTAATAGATCATTGTCATTACTGTTAATAAGCTATTGGATAGAAGACTTGATATTTAAAAGCTTTTACTCAATTAAAAAAAAAGCCAGGTGCAGTGGCTCATGGCTGTAATCCCAGCACTTTAGGAGGCCGAGGTGGGAGGATTGCTTGAGGCCAGAAGTTCAAGACTAGCCTGGGCAACATAAGACCCTGTCTCTATTATTAAAGATAATGAATAAATTATTTATTTATAATTATAAATAAATAAATAATAAAGCTTGAACTCAATTATAACCAAATGGTTTACTCAAATCAGCAAACATGTATTGGGTTAGGCACTGAGTTAGTTACTAGGAATAACAGAAATGAATAAAATAGACTTGTGGATGAGAGGCATCTGAAAGAAAGGGGGTAATTATTATTATTATTATTTTTTGAAATGGAGTCTCACTCTGCCACCCAGGCTGGAGTGCAGTGGCACAATCTCAGTTCACTGCAACCTCCACCTCCCAGGTCCAAGCGATTCTCCTGCCTCAGCTTCCCAAGTAGCTGGGATCACAGGTGCCCACCACCACGCCTGGCTAATTTTTGTATTTTTAGTAGAGATGGGGTTTCACCATGTTGGCCAGGCTGATCTCAAACTCCTGACCTCAAGTGATCCACTTGCCTCTGCCTCCCAATGTGCTGGGATTACAGGTGTGAGTCACTGTGCCCAGCCGGTAGTTAATATTTTTGAGCAACTACTCTGTGACAGATCTTCACATATATTTTCTCAGCCTCTGGTCCCAGCTACTTGGGAGGCTGAAGTGGGAGGATCACCTGAGCATGGGAGATTGAGGCTGCAGTGAGCCATGATCGTGCCACTGCACTCCAGCCTGGGCAACAGGGCAAGACCCTGTCTCAAAAGAAAAAAACAATTCTTACAATTTTGTTTTATGGAAGAAGAAACTGAGGCTCAGAGCAGTTAAGTGACAAAACTCATTGGTGTAGAGCCAAGATCTGTTCAACTCTATATAGTCTTTCCATTGGACAGAACCCTCATCTGTTCAACTCTATATAGTCTTTCCATTGGACCATTCTGTTTGAATATTAGTCATTGACTCCTGGGAAAAAGCAACTTTTATGAATGACAGTTTAACAGTTTTCAATTTAAAAAACTTAAAACATATAATGGTGTGCAGTTACTATATAGCTTTAAATAATTTTTAATTAGGAAATATTTCAAACATGCAAGTATAGAGAATAATACCTGCATAGTCATTATGAAGCTATATTCTATATCCAACCTTAACACTATATTTGAGTTAGACTTTTTAAAGAAAACATTATAGGAACAGTTGAGGATTTCTATCTTTCCTCGATCCCACTGTCTTCTCGTCTTTCCCTAGAGATAATACTATCATGAATTTGGTATTGGTTTCATGCATGATTTCTTATTTTTACTATATGCTAATGAATCCATAAATAATATAATACTATCTTGCAGGTTTTAAAGCCGTTTAATTGTGCCCAAAAGTACACATTATTCTATAACTTACTTTTTGTATTGAATATTTTGAGATTTATTCATGAATACAAATAACTCTAATTCTTTGTTAACTGCTGTTAAGTATTCCATTGTATGACTATACCAAAATTTATCCATATTCCTGTAATTACATATTTACACAAGATTCTGCTTGGTTTTGACTCAAAACATATCTAATGAACTTTAATCATAATATTAGAACTTATAATTTTAATAGTAAAGTGCAAAACTCTCCACTCTTACTTTTCTTTTTTTTTCCTGATGCAGATCATTCCCGAACTGAAGTATGGAAATTTGGTAATGTTGTCATTGAACATCTATACCACTGGATACACATCTGTTCAGCTCTCATGAAGATAACCAAACAACTAAATAGTGGTATTACACCTCCGTTGCCCTCCAAGACTGACAATTATATGTATGCAAAAATGCCAGGGGAAGGTTTGCAAGAGAAGTGATAATGGATGATAATGGAATTGATACTGTATTTAGGATCCTTTGTTTGTTATCAGTTTTGTTTGTTAACTATAAAATATTTTCCATTGGAAAGGGGTACCTATAAATGTCTTCTGCTGCTAATATTTATCTCAGCACTTTCTAAACCCAAAAGTGCTACCTAAGAAGAAATTTAGCCAAAAAATACCCAGCTAAGGTAGCCATAGCCAAGTGTATTTAAGTATGTTATAGAATATATTTGAAAGCTTCCTTTCAGTTTGAGCTTTGTATCTGCTGTGGAACTGTTATGGTTGATTGGGTAGTTATTTTTCATTCTTATAAGGTTCAAAGTAACAGCTGAGGATTTAGAAAACAAGAATACCAAATAGAATACGAAATAATAAAGATAAACCAAAAGAATACCAAATAATAAAGATTTTTAAGAAATGGACTGAGAATTGTTTTTCTAATTTTTCAAAGACTTATCTAAACATCGCCTCTTCCCTCTCTCTGCCTCCATACTCTTGCCTTAACAACTCAAAAGTTGCTTTTGGTTTTTAACTTTTTAATTTTTAATTTTTGTGGGTACATAGTAGTTGTACATATTTATGGGGTACTCAAAAGTCATTTTAATGAACAGAAATTCTTGTGGGAAAATGTCCATGACTCATGGAAAAAAGAAGACACTTTTTTAATGATAAAAACCTCTTCAGTTCAAAAGTACAAAAAGAATTTATATTTGTTTAAAGCTTGTTTTTATGACAAACTTTACTGCTCTGTGGTGAGATTTCATCTTTGCAATAGATATCTGATGACAGAGTCCAGTTTTAATAAAATTTTGGGAAATTAAACTTTATTTTCTTTATTAGATTGACAAAATGTGATGTGTCCAAATATCTTATAATTTGAGATTGGCCGTCCCTTTTTAACCTTTTCTGATAAGAGGGCAGTGTTATTACCAGTCCTCCTCTCTCGGATGATCACATGCCAGTTTTAACCTATATGCCTGTTTCATATTTGGAAGGGGGCTTTTTAGGGCCTTCAGAGCAACATTCCAAGGAACAGTGTTCTTGAAGATATTAAACTCATAACCACATATCCTGATGGCTTCAGAGCAAGTTTACAGAGTTCACTGTGAATACAAATGGCATTTTAGGTGGCAAGGAAGGAAAGATTTTGCAGAATGCCATGTTTGTAACCGTTATCCTGGAAATTAAATTAACTAAATGACTTCTAGCTTGATGAAAAATATCATACATTTGCATGGCACTTTAACTTGAAGTGTTTTCGCATACTAGCTTATTTGATTCTTCCAATAATCTATAAAGTGGGTAGTCCTGATATTATCTCTATTTTATTTTATAAATGAGTTGCCCAGTTCACAACAGGCATAAGAGGCAGAGCGGACCTAGCACATAATTTCTGGTTTATTGCCCTTGCCAGCACCCTAGAAATCTCACACTTTCCAACTTTCTTACTAGGCTAATGACCATGCTGTCAGTCTTTTGAAAACTACTTTAAAATTTGCAGCCAAACAAGCCAGATCGGTTAAATTTATTAAATAATCATTCAAGTAAAATACTGTCCCTTAACCTTAGGAGCTTATATTTTGAGTGAGGAGGATGTTATTTATACCTGATGAAGGTTAGATACAGATTTATATCTAAATCCATTTATTTCGCTGTTAATAGATTTATTTATTTACTTATACTTACATATGCTTCAGAAGCTTGGACTTGATTAACTGAATTTGTTATTGGCTCTTTCCTGATAGCTCATAGGTAACAATGACACTGTACAGTGTAGACCATCCAGACCACTTTCTCTCCTTTGCTTTCTTTTTTATTTTTTTAAGTGACAGGGTCTCGCTCTGTCCCCTAGGCTGGAGTGCAGTGGCTTGATCATAGCTCACTGCAGCCTTAAACTGCTGGACTCAAGTGATCCTCCCGCCTCGGCCTCCCAAAGTGTTGAAATTACAGGCATGAGCCACTGCGCCCAGCTTCACTTTCTTTTATACTTTTGGCTTGTCATGGCTCAGGAACAACATGAAGTATCAAGATAATGACAATGGAGTCTCAAAAAAGCTCCAATTGCCTTTTTAAACAGCTTTACTAACATATCCACATACCATAAAAGTTACCCATTATAGCGTAGAATTACTTTTTTTTTTTTTGTATATTCACAGAGTTGTACTACCCTTACCACAATCAACTTTAGATTTTTTTTTTTTTTTTTTTTTTTTTTGAGACAGAGCCTTGCTCTGTTGCCCAGGCTGGAGTGCTGTGGTGCATCTTGGGTCACTGCAACCTCCTGGGTTCAAGCCTCCTGGGTTCAAGCGATTCTCCTGCCTCAGCCTCCTAAGTAGCTGGGATTACAGGCGCCGGCCACCAAGCTCGGCTAATCTTTTGTATTTTTAGTAAAGACGGGTTTTCGCTATGTTTGCCAGGCTGATCTCGAGCTCCTGACCTCGTGATCCGCCCACCTTGGCCTACCAAAGTGCTGGGATTACAGGCGTGAGCCATCGCGCCCGCTGAAAATTTTGATCATCCCAATAAGAAACCACATACCCATTAGCAGTCACTCCCCACTTTCCCCTACCCCCAGCCCTAGGCAACCGCTAATTTTTTTTCTCTACCGATTTGCCCATCTGGACATTTTGTATACAACATGTGGTCTTTTGTAATTGGCCTCCTATTCCCTCTTTTTTTTTTTTTTTTTTTTTTTGAGACAGAGCCTCACTCTGTCACCCAGGCTGGAGTGCAGTGGTGCAATGTTGGCTCACTGCAACCTCTACCTCCCGGGTTCAAGTGATTCTTGTACCTCAGCCTCCCAAGTAGCTGGGATGACAGGCACACACCATCACACCTGGCTAATTTTTGTATTTTTAGTAGAGACAAGTTTCACCATGTTGGCCAGGCTGGTCTTGAACTCCTGGCCTCAAGTGATTGGCCCCCTCAGCCTCCCAAAGTGCTGAGATTACAGGCGTGAGCCAGTGCACCCAGCCAATTCCCTCTTAATCTAAATATGCTTAAGCGACCAGATGCCCTGAACTTCTAGACATTCTCAATCTTCTAACTCAGAAGACCATTTGAAGGTAATTTAAGAATTGTGCAGGCCAGGCACAGTGGCTCATGCCTGTAATCCCAGCACTTTGGGAGGCTGAGGCGGGCGGATCAACCGAGGTCAGGAGTTGGAGACCAGCCTGACCAACATGGAGAAAACCCGTCTCTGCTAAAAATACAAAATTAGCCGGGCATGGTGGCACATGCCTGTAATACCAGCTACTCGGGAGGCTGAGGCAGGAGAATCACTTGAACCCGGGAGGTGGAGGTTGCGGTGAGCTGAGATCGCGCCATTGCACTCCAGCCTGGGCAACAAGAGCGAAACTCCGTCTTGAAAAAAAAAAAAAAAAAAAAGAATTGTGCATTCCTCTCATATATGAGGTTTTATGCAATGCCAGTCCCAAAAACCTCACCCCACATCATCAATGCCATATTCTTACTCTCCTTCCACAGAATCTTGTTACAAAGACCTCTCTCAGGATCAGAAAAAGTAACTATTGGATACTAGACTTCATACCTGGGTGATGAAATAATCTGTACAGTGAACCCCCATGACACAAGTTTACCTATATAACAAACTTGCACATGTACCCCGAACCTAAAAGTTAAACAAATTTTTTAAAGCAAAAATAAAAATTTTAATTAAAAAACCTCTCTCAACTGACAAGATCAGTGAATTAAATATTACCTATTTCACCTGTTTTCTGGTTATAAATATAGCTCACCACTTTGCAAGAAGGGCCATTGTGAACCATCTTTGGTCTAGAATGCTGTCCAGTTCCATAATCTTTTTCTTGGTCAAATTTGTTAAATTTATAAATAAATAAATATTGCCTAATTTCTCTGCCCTTAAACTTGGTTACTACCCTCAGTAGGTGTACCATTTCCTAGTCATTAACCGTATTTAACCTCTCCTCCATCTACTGTCTGAGCTTAGACTGTCCTGCCCAGGGACTTCAAGTGATGAGGCAACCCTGGGTGGCCATTACGTGACTGACTCTGTAGCTACAGTTGTTTGAATTAGGGGTGACCCCTTACCAAAGTGAGACCAATTTGTGAAATGGCCTAATATAAAAAGCACCCAAACCATGGACAAGCCAAACTGGGAAACAGCAATGGGAGCAGTGTCTAAAAGGAAATTAAGGCCGGGTGCGGTGGCTCACACCTGTAATGCCAGCAATTTGGGAGGCCGAGGCGGGTGGATCACCAGGTCAGGAGTTTGAGACCAGCCTGGCCAATATGGTGAAACCCTGTCTCTACTAAATATACAAAAGTAGCCGGGCGTGGTGGTGCATGCCTGTAATCCCAGCTACTCGGGAGGCTGAGGCAGAAGAATTGCTTGAACCTGGGAGGTAGAGGTTGCAGTGAGCTGAGATCACACCACTGCACTCCGGTCTGGGCAACAGAATGATACTCCATCTCCAAAAATAAATAAGTAAATAAATAAATAAAAAATAATAAAAATTTAAAAAATAAAAGGAAATTAAGTGCTTAGAGAGGCCAAAGGTGTCATGACAGGCCTTGAAGGAAGTTGGTGCATACTGCCTTCAAGATGCTACAAGTTAGCAGAAACTATAGGTAGAGAAAAGGTGTGAGTAGTTGGTTGGGGAAAAGATTGGGTGCAAAGAGAAGAAACTGAAAGTAGTGAAGTTAACATTAGTAACACTAGTGTCAAAAGATTAAGTGGAAGATCCAAGGGTTTCGGTAATGGATCCAATTTAGTCAACTGTTCTGTTCTGGAAGTTTAAGATGATTGGAAATTTCTGTTGTATAACATCCATGAGGATGGTAGTGATGATACTATCTTTTACTGGTTTACCCAGCTTGTCCTTACAGCATTTCTTGTTAAAGTTTCAAAAGTTGGGTTCTAAAATGTTAAGAGGCTTCTCTGTGCCCTTACTCACTGCTGCAGTTACCACCACTGCTGCAGACTCTACAACACTGCATCTGAGAAACTGTCCCTTCTAGCCTAGGGAAAATCCCATGACTGCTTCATTAAAATGTCCCAAAGGCAATGGAAGAATACAGAATATAACAATTGAAAAACTCAAATTATGTAGGATATTGAGTTCTCCCCTGGGTAATTATGGGTAACTAATTCCCCATTCAGTCTATTCAAGCAAGAGGCAGGCAGCCCTGGCAGGGGGCTTTATTTTTTACTCTTTATTTTAAGCAAAGTAACACATACTCATAAAAAGTCATTCTGTTATACAAGGTCTGTTGAGACCACAGCATTTCCCAGCCCCACCTTACCTTTATTTTCCTTGCTTCTGAGTCAGCTACTTTCAATTCTTTTTGCTCAGGAGTTGGTAAACAGCCCATTGGCCAAATCTGGCCAGCTGCCTGGTATGGTAAATAAAGTTTTATTGGAATAGCTATGCCCATGTCTGTGGCTGCTTTCACATTACCAGGGCAGAGTTGAGTAGTGGCCACAAAAACCATATGGGTCACATGGACTAAACTATTTGCTATCTGACTGCAGAAAAAGTTTGCCAACCCCTATTTTAGCTGTGGTTTTGACATTTACCTCTATATTGTTAAATTACATGCTTGTGTGGCTACTTTTGTTTTTCCGATTTAGGCAATATCTATTAATCTCCCAGTATACAATACAAAGATTTAGCTCCTTCCTCAGCATATATACACACACGCTTCCCATCCATTCTTCCCAATATTATTACATGGTAATGTAATCAGAATAGATCAATATTCAGTGTTTATATTATCATGATTATGTATGCTATTTACAGCTTAGCCATGTTGTAAATTACAATTATTTTCCATTCCTGTACATCCTTTTGCTTTCCCTAGAGTTAATGTCAAAAGAAAACTGGAGTGCTATAATATCACACAAGTAGATTTCAGAGCAAAGAATATTATAATGATAAAGGTTATTTGATAATGAAAAGTCAATTAAGAAGACATTACAATCTTAAACCTAATAACAGAGCTTCAAAATACATGAAGCTAAAACTGATAGAACTTCAAGTCTATAGACATAAAATATTTACCTAGGACTGGGGGATTTGGAGGAAAATAGGAGTGACTAATAGGTATATGGTTTCTTTGTTGGGTATTAAAAATAATCTAAAATTGGCCAGGTGCAGTGGCTCACACCTGTGATCCCAGCACTTTGGGAGGCTGAGGCGGGTGGATCACCTGAGGTCAGGCGTTTGAGACCACCCTGGCCAACATGGAGAAACCCTGTCTCTACTAAAAATACAAAAATTAGCTGGGTGTTGTGGCGGGCGCCTGTAATCCCAGCTATTTAGGAGGCTGAGGCAGGAGAATCGCTTGAACCCAGGAGGCTTGAACCCAGGAGCTTGCAGTGAGCTGAGATGCACCATAGCTCTCCAGCCTGGGAAACAGAGCAAGGCTCTGTCTCAAAAAACAAAAACAAAACTAAAATTGATTGTGGTGAGGGTAGTACAACTATGACTATACTAAACATACAACTTGACTATACTAAACCCCACTGAATTGCACACTTTAAATGAATGAATTGTATGATATGTGAATTATCGCTCAATAAAACTTTTTAAAAATATTTTTAAAAATATTATACTAGATAGAAATCTGAATCTATACAAAGACATGGAAACACCAGAAATGATAAATATGTGGGTAAACGTATTTTTCCTATTCAAAAAAATCTTTTTAAAAACCAAGTTACTTTTTATAGCAAAAATAATTTATTGTGCATTTATGACATAGTGACAATAGCACAAAACTAGGAGATAAAATGGAAGTATACTTTTCTAAGCTTCTTATACTATACACAAAGTGGTAGATTCTTACTTTAAGGCAGATTGTGATAAGTTTAAGACATATATTAGAAACCCTAAAGCAACAGCTTATATAACAAGCAAAGAAGTATGGTCAATAAACCAACAAAGGAGGCTGAAGCATGAAAATCATAAGCTGAATCACAGTTGGGAAAAATAGAAAACAAATAGCAATCATACTTTTTTTTTTTTTTTTTGAGATGGGGTCTGGCTATGTTGTGCATGCTGGCCTCAACCTCCCAAAGTGTTGGGACTACAGGCCTGAGCCACCCCACCCAGCCTGCAATCATAGTCACTTTAATGAAAATGTTTTAAGCATCCAAATTAAATGGAAGAGACTGTCAGACTGGATAAAAAAGCAAGACCCAACTATTTTCTGTCAACAAGTGATCCAATTTGAATGTAAATACACAAATAGATTAAAATGGGTTGAAAAAGATACACTATGCTAGCATTAATCAAAAGAAAGCTAGTTATATTGATAGCAGACCAAGCAGACAAAGAAGAATAAAGGAATAAAGAGGGCCACTTCTTAATGCTATAGAGGTTAGTAGAGGTTAATGCAAGAGAACGTAACAATCCTAAATGTTTACATACCTAATTTCAAAATACACGACACAAACTGATAGAATTGAAAGGAGAAGCAAATTCGCAATTATAGTTGGAGATTTCAACATCCTTATCTCAGTAATTGATCTCTTTGGCTGCTCTGAGACTAGCTGGGAATGAACCAAGAGTGAATGAGTGCACAGATGTGGGCAGAGTTTTCAAAAAGGTATCATATATGGGCCAGGCACGGTGGCTCACGCCTGTAATCCCAGCACTTTGGGAGGCTGAGGCGGGTGGGTCACATGAGGTCAGGAGTTTGAGACCAGCCTGGCCAACATGGTGAAACCCCGCCTCTACTAAAAAAATACAAAAATTAGCCAGGCATGGTGGCGGACGCCTGTAATCTCAGCTACTCAGGAGGCTGAGGCAGGAGAATCGCCTGAACCTGGGAGGCGGAGGTTGCAGTGAGCCAAGATTATGCCACTGCACTCCAGCCTGGGCGACAAGAGCGAGACTACGTCTCAAAAAAAAAAAAAAAAAAAAAAAAGTATCATATATGATCCTGATTCCTATACCCAATGGCCCGTGAACAGTATTATTAATAATTTTGGTCCTTGGGCCGGGCGCGGTGGCTCATGCCTGTAATCCCAGCAATTTGGGAGGCCGAGTCGGGCGGATCACCCGAGGTCGGGAGTTCGAGACCAGCCTGACCAACATGGAGAAACCCCGTCTCTACTAAAAATACAAACTTAGCCGGGCGTGGTGGCACATGCCTGTAATCCCAGCTACTCGGGAGGCTGAGGCAGGAGAATCGCTTGAACCCGGGAGGCGGAGGTTGAGGTAACCGAGTTCGCGCCTTTGCACTCTAGCCTGGGCAACAAGAGCGAAACTCCGTCTCAAAAAAAAAATTTTTTTTTTAATAATAATTTTGGTCCTATGTAAGGTATTATTAATACACAGATTTTCATTTTTCGCCTAATTATCCTGAACCAGTTAAAGTGAACACTTGGAAGGGGGTAGGGGGAATATCGATAGCCATGGCAGTGGTTTTCAAACTTTATCAGAATTACCCGCTGGTTAAAATTCAGATAACTCGCTTCACTCCAAAGTTTCTGATTCTGCAGGTTTGGGGTAGGGCCCGAGAATTTGTCATTTTAACAGTATCTCCGGTGTTGCTGATGCCGCTGGTCCCAGAACCACACACTGCGAACAACTGGCCTAGAACGTTGTCATTCCTTTCTCCTACAGATTTTGAGGCAGCCGGTGGGCTCCGAAACAAAACAGAGGTCACTGGATCCGATTCCCAGTACCATAGAAGTGACTCAAACCAGCGATTCAACCGACAAGCAGGATCCGGGCCACCCAAAGCCGCGCGAGAGTTTACGTGACGACATCGGCGTCAGCGTCACGGAGGCGTCGGCCACGTTCAGCGGACACGGGAGCAAGATGGCGATTCCGGGCAGGCAGTGAGTGATCCGGGAGTTAGGGTCAGGCTGGGGGATGAGAAACTACGGCGACTGTATCTTTGGCCGAGGAGTTTTAAATGCGCTGGAAGTGAAGGGACTGTGTCGTCAAGGGTAGAGACGGGAAAAAACGAGAAGTCCTGAGGAACATAGATTCCCCTCCCCCGTACATTTTCCCGGATGGAAGCCCGAAGTTTGAGGGAGAAACTTGTGAGGAAATAAAGGAAGTTAGGCTGAGGGGCAGAGAGCGAGACTTTTCTATTTTCCAAAAGCTCGGTCTGAGGCCCCTCAGTCTTGCTTCCTAACCCGCGCTTGAGTTTCTCCCCGCTTGGATGCTCTCAGGGGCAGTGTGAAGAGAGACAGTTCCTGGCTTCCTTAGAGGGCCTTGTTCTCCTTGGCAGAAGCTCAAGTCCTGATTCCCGCCCTTCCTTCTCGTTTTAGGAATATTGTTCTGAGAAGCCACAGAAAAAGGGTAGGCATATAGGAAATTGGGGTATACGTTGCCGCAAAAGAGACAAATACTGTACGTACTTGAAAGTTTTACCTTTGATGTGTAATCCTTACTTTTGATGCGGCCTCCCGTGATCTCCGCATCTTAAAGGCCAAAACGTGAGAAACTAAAGGAGTTGGATCTGATGGGATGGTTCTCTCAGATGCTCCGAGGCAAAGCACATGATCTTAATAAAGTGTAATGCGAACTTGCCCCATGGCTACTTGGGTTTCTCAGTTATCTTTTAAAAATTTTCGTGAGTTACACTATCCAGTCAGTTCTTAGAAACTGTGTAAGTACACAGTAGGAAAAAAAATCTAGCCATTTTCTTGACTGTTTAGACCACAAGGATAGTTGAAAGCATTTTAAAATCTTTAGTGGACATGAACTAAACTTTCCACTACACATGTTTTTTTTTTTTTTTTTTAAATGTTACTGTCACTTCGCCATCTTAAAACATTTCTGAACTTTTCATTTACTTCTCTTCTTTGATAAAAATGGTATTCGAGTTTGGCCCGTGTCCACAAATGATCACTTAGAGTAGTAATTATAGAATCTTACGGCATGTTAGAATTTTGAGATCACTGAGAAGCAAAAACAGTCTGTTACGTGTTCATAAAGCTTATGACATGTTTTGATTTGGTAGCTTCATGTGGAAGAGGTAGTAGATGTATTTGTTAACATTTAAACATAAAGGTTTAATTTCTATTTCAAAAAAAATATATGCAGGTATGGGCTTATTTTGCCAAAGAAAACACAGCAGTTGCACCCTGTTTTGCAAAAACCATCAGTGTTTGGGAATGATTCTGATGATGATGATGAGGTAAGGAAACCTATGTTTTACTCGTGCATGGTTGGAAATGTAAATTTTTTAAAAATTGAACTTGTGACTCTGATACCTTTGCCTTTGTTATTTGTCAGTACAGTGGAGTATAATTTACAGAATTGTCAAAAAGGAAGGTGTAAAGAAAGCAGCTCCACCGATTTTTTAAAGATTTTTTTCCCTCTAAAAGCTGCAAACTTTACCTTTAAACAAATACACGGTCTTTTCAGACTACTGAAATTGTCATAACAAAATTGTTGGTGTAAAGATCCCTAGGTATGAGTTATTAAGATGTCACCAATTTTCTACAAATTTTTATTAGCAAAGCAGTTTTTAATTTGTTAACCATGAGCTAAGATCACTATATAACAGTTCTTAACAACGCTACTTTTTTTTTAAATTCAGTGTCTGCCAAATGTAATTGCTCAGTTATAATCGTGGTAGTGAATAGTTACTCTTGATAGTACTACAGTAACATCTAATATCAACATTTTCTATTTTAGCAGCCAAAACTACTTCTGTGAAACCCACAGTTATATATCAGAAACAATCCCAAATGTGTGCTTTTCTTTTCTCTTTTTTTTTTTTTTTTTGAAACAGTGTCTTGCTCAGTTGCCCAGGCTGGAGTGCAATGCCGCGATCTCGGCTCACTGCAACCTCCGCCTCCTGGGTTCAAGCGATTCTCTTGCCTAATCTTCCTGAGTAGCTGGGATTACAGGCACCTGCCATCATGACCAGCTAATTTTTGTATTTTTGTAGAGACAGGGTCTCACCATGTTGGCCGGGCTAGTCTTGAACTCCTGACCTCAGGTGATCTGCCTGCCTCAGCTTCCCAAAGTGCTGGGATTACAGGCGTAAGCCACCGCACCCAGTAAATATGTGCTTTTCCAATACTCCCATCATGTTTTAATATTTTTTTTTCTTTTTTTTTTTGAGACAGAGTTTCGCTCTTGTTACCTAGGCTAGAGTGGGATGGTGCAGTCTTGGCTCACTGCAACCCCTGCCTCCCAGGTTCAAGTGATTCTCCTGCTTCAATCTCCTGAGTAGCTGGGGTTACAGGTGCCTGCCACCATGCCTGGCTAATTTTTATTTTTTTATTTTTTTGTATTTTTAGTATTTTTAATATTTTTTGTATTTAGTAGATTTTCCTGCCTCAGCCTCCTGAGTAGCTGGGATTACAGGTGCCCCACCACCACGCCCAGCTAATTTTTATATTTTTAGGAGAGACGGGGTTTCACCATGTTGGCCAGGCTGGTCTTGAACCTAACCTCAGGTGATCCACTTGCCTTGGCCTCCCAAAGTGTTGGGATTACAGGCATGAGTCACCATGCCCAGCCTCTTTTTTTTGAGATGGAGTCTCCCTCTTTCGCCCAGGCTGGAGTGCAGTGGTGCGATCTCAGCTCATTGCAACCTCCGCCTCCTGGGTTCAAGCGTTTCTCCTGCCTCAGCCTGCTGAGTAGCAGGGATTACAGGAACACACCACCACGCCTGGCTAATTCTTGTGTTTTTAGTAGAGGTGGGATTTCACCATGTTGATCAGGCTGGTCTCGAACTCCTGACCTCAGATGATCCACCCACCTTGGCCTCCCAAAGTGCTGGAATTACAGGCATGACCCACTGTGCCTGACCGGTTTTCAGTTTTTATTATATAATAGCATGGGTGGATAATTTAACATATTTGATATTTCTTTGCTACTTTTGAAGACATTGGCTCTTTATGGCTCACAGTTTTTAAAAATTGAGGTATAATTTACATATAAAATGCTCAGATTTTAAGTGTACAGCTTGATGATTTTTGACAAATGTATATGCCCCAATCAAGATTTAGAACATTTCCCTCTCTCCCAAAAGGCTTTCCATACCCTCCTGCAGTCAGTCTACCTCCCCACTTGCTACCCCAGACAAATGCTCATATTTCTATCACTAGATTAGTTTTGCCTGTTACAGAATTTCATATAAAAAAAATCATACAGTATGTACTCTTTTATGTCTGACTTACTCCACTCAGTATAATGCCAGATTTATCCATGTAGTTGTAGAATCACATTTTTCTTAAAATGGATTTTTTCCCCCTTAACAGTGACTTAAGTTTTTCTTCCATTTTTCTGTTTTTATTTCTTCATAAAATATTAGAATAATTGACCATAAGAAATGAATCAAGGTTACTAGTTAAATCTCCATTTCTGCGTAGCCAACTAGAATATTTTCAAATGGAATATTGAGGAAGTTACTAATTACAACTTTTGAATTTTTAATTATGTCGTTGCATTAGTAGATATTTAATACCTACAATAGGTTAAGAGTTGATCAGTTTTGCATCTATATAGCCTATATACTTTTTATTATGTGGTACGCTTTAACAGTTTTTTTTGGGACCTTATATAGTGTTGCTTTCAACCAGTGTCTAGTCTAGTGGGGAAGACAGACATGTGAACATGAATATAAAGCAAACTGAAATATGAAAAGGAAACTAATATACTGAGGATTCCTGTGTGCTCATTATACTTTATTTGATCTTCAGGATCACTCTGATGTATTATTATTCCCATTTTACAGGTCAGAAAATTGAAGCTCAGGTTAAGTAATTTGTTCAAGGCCATGTGGCTGATAAATAAGTGTCAAGATTGGGATTTGAACACAGGCCTATCTGACCTTCAAACCTATACTATTCTTCTGTCTTGCCTTGTTTTAACAGTAGCGTTACAGAATGTGAATGAAATGTAGAGAATGAAATGATTCACTTTGTTGCAGGAAAATCAAGGCAGGAATAAGCATTTAAATAACATTCAAGGCTGGTTTAGATTTAAATAGGCAAAAATAGAGGTGAAATAATTTCATTTGGGAGAGAACAGCAAGAAATACAGAATGGCATACAAGTACAAGGCATTTTTGTGGAATAATGTGGCTGGAGAAGAGGGTATATAGGAAAAAATGTTGCAGATACGGTTGTAACAGGATTGGGCCAGATTGTGGAGTACCTTAAATTTTTCGTATAAAATTTCAACTTTATATTTTCAAGTAGTTTTTGAGTAATTCGGTGATATCATCACACTTTTGGGAAGATAACTCTTGAATTGTAAAACAAAGAAAGGGAGAAATGAGAGATGAGTTTAAAAATGCTTGTTAGAAGGCTTTTTTAGTAGTTCAGGTGAGAGATCTCAACCTAGGTTGAGGTCATTGGGAATTAATGGGGAAAAATGTGAGCGATACCACAGAAATAAGTAGGACCTGGCAGCCACATTGAATATATGGGAAAGAGATGGAGTCCTGATGCAAGATCTTTTTTTTTTTTTTTTGGTCATCATTTTCCCTCATTAAAAAAATATATAATTCACACACTGTATACTTTACCCTTTTAAAGTGTACAATTCACTGTGTGTGTGCGTGTGTGTGTGTGTTTTTTTTTTTTTTTGAGACGGAGTCTCTGTCACTCAGGCTGGAGTGCGGTGGCGTGATCTCGGCTCACTGCAACTGCAACCTCCACCTCCCGGGTTCAAGCAATTCTCCTGCCTCAGCCTCCTGAGTAGCTGGGATTACAGGCACCTGCCACCATACCCAGCTAATTTTTGTATTTTTAGTAGAGACGGAGTTTCACCATGTTGATCAGGCTGGTCTCGAACCCCTGACCTTGTGATCCACCTCGCCCGGCCTCCCAAAGTGCTGGGATTACAGGCGTGAGCCGCCGCGCCCGGCCAATTCACTGGTTTTTAAGAGTTGTGCCGGCATCACCACTGTTTAGAACATTTTCCTCACCCAGAAAGAAACTGTGTACCCATTACCATCACTCCCCATTCTCCCCACCCCTAAACCCTGGCAACCACTAATTTACTTTCTGTTTCTATGGGTTTCCCTATTCTGCACATTTCATATAAATAGAATCATGCAATAGGCTTTCTTTTGTGTCTGACTTCTTTCACTTAGCATGATGTTCTCAAGATTGTAACGTGTCAGTACTCTTTATTTCTTTTTTTATTACTGAATAATATTCCATTGTATGAATGTACCATATTTTATCTATCAGTGGTAGGCATTTGGGTTTTTCCCAATTTCTGGCAATAATGCTGCTATAAATACTTGTGTATAGGTTTTTTGTGTGGATATGTTTTCATTTCCATTGGATATTCTATTGGATATGTACCTAGGATGGAAATTTCTGGTTCATATGATAACTCTGGTTTCATATATATATATATATATATATATATATATATATTTTTTTTTTTTTTTTTTTTTTTTTTTTTTTTTTTTTTGAGACGGAGTTTTACTCTTCACCCAGGCTGGAGTGCAGTGGCGTGATCTCGGCTTATTGCAATCTCTGCCTCCCTGTTTCAAGCAATTCTCCCGCCTCAGCCTCCTGAGTAGCTGGGATTACAGGCGTGTGCCACCATGCCTGGCTAATTTTGTACTTTTAGTAGAGACAGGTTTTCACCATGGTGGCCAGCCTGTTCTTGAACTCCTGACCTCAGGTGATCTGCCTGCCTCGGCCTCCCAAAGTGCTGGGATTACAGGTGTGAGCCACCACACCTGGCCTGGTTTTATTTTTTGAGGAACTGCCAGACTTTTTCAAAATGGCTGCACCATTTTGCATTCCTGTCAGCAGTGTATGAGGGTTTTGACACTTCCACATCCTGTCTAACATTTCTTTTTTATTGTAGCCATATAGAAGGTGTACAGTGGTATCTCATTGTGGCTTTGATTTGCACTTCCCTGGTGGCCAATAATGTTGGACACTTTTTTGTTTTTGGAGAAATGTATATTCATGTCATTTACCTTTTTTTAAAAAAAATTTAAAATTGAGATGGGGTCTCACTATATTGGCCAGGTTGGTCTTGAACACCTGGCCTCAAGCAATCCTCCTGCCTCAGCTTCCCAAAGTGCTGGGACTACAGGTGCAAGCCACTGTTCCCAGCCACATTTATCTCTTTTTATTTTATTTTATTTTTTGAGACAGAGTCTCGCTCTGTAGCCCAGGCTGGAGTGCAGTGGCACGAACTTGGCTCACTACAACCTCCACCTCCTGGGTTCAACCAGTTTCCCTGCTTCAGCCTCCCGAGTAGCTAGGACTACAGGTGCAGCTGGGATTACAGGCATGTGCCACTACGCCCAGCTAATTTTTGTATTTTTAGTAGAGACGGGGTTTCACTATGTTGGCCAGGCTGGTCTCGAACTCCTGACCTTGTGATCTGCCTGCCTCAGCCTTCCAAAGTGCTGGGATTACAGGCATGAGCCACCGTGCCCGGCTTTACCTCTTTTTAAATTGGGTTGTCATTTTATTATGGATTGTAAGAGTTCCTTTAGTATCTTATTAGATATATGGTTTGTAAGTATATTCTCCTGTTCTGTGGGTTGTCTGTTCACTTTTCTTGAAAATATCCTTCGAAGCACAAAAGTTGTTTTGAGGAAATACATTTTTTGCTGCTGTTGCTGGTGCTTTAGTGTCCTACCTAAGAAACCATTGCCTAATCCGAGGTCACAAAGATTTCCACTATGTTTTCTTCTAAGAATTTTGTTGTTTTAGTCCTTGAGTTTAGGTCTTTCATACATTTTGAAATTTTTTTTTTTTAATAATAAGAGAGAGGGGGTTCAACTTCATTCATTTGCATATGGATATCCAGTTGTCCCAGCACCTTTTGTTGAAGACTGTTTACCATTAAATCGTCCATCGTCTATTTACCATTAAATTTTCTAGCACCCTTGTGGTTTAATATACAAATAATTATAAAAATCACTTACTATGGATACAACAGAAGGATTGGACATGCTTATCTTGCATTTCACATTAAAGCACCCTGGTATACTGTGTAACACAAAGCATCATGGCCAGGCATGATAACTCATGCCTGTACCCTCATGCACTTTCGGAGGCTGAGGTGGGAGAATCGCTTGAGGCTAGGAGTTCAAGTCCAGCCTGGGCAACAGCGAGACCCCGTCTCTATAAAAAAAAAAAAAGTGTGGTGGCACGCACTGGTAATGTTAGGTACTTGGAAGGCTCAGGTGGGGAGAATTGCTTGAGCCCAGGTTTGAGGTTGCAGTGAGCTAGGATTGTGCTACTGCACTCCAGCCTGGGCAACAGAGGGAGATCCTGTCTCTAAAATAAAAAGAAAAAGCGATATGAAATGACCACAACATACCACAGTTTGAGAAGGATGGGTTTACACAAGTAATCTAGAGAGTTTTTTGATGTTACTGCTGTTTCTTTTCCATTGTGAAATGAGGCTGGTGTTAGCTAGCCAGTGGGTACACTAGAGTCAGCAAAGATAGGCCTGGGCCATTTTGTGCTAGCTTTCTCCTTCCCTCCTGCTCTTCCTCTTTTCCTCCTTCCTGTAGTGGGACTTTAATACAGAGAATTGTTAACATAGGTGATGGAAGACTTGAGATGCCAAAAAGGGCATGATGAGGCAGTCGAGAGATTAGCAGCAGTAAGAAGCAAGTAGTGATATATAGAGGGATACAAGTAGGAGATGGTTCTTGGAGGCTGGGGACCAGAGTTACCTGGTGGGAACTGGGCTTGTCCAGAAGGAGCAGAAACATTTGGGAGATTCAGTCTTAGAGAGAAAGGTTCTCCTACCTTCCGGTCAAAGCCAATGGACAAGGGAGCTGCAGCTTATTTCTTAGTGAACGGAATATAAAACCATTCCTTAGAATAATTTCCTTACCTATAAAAAAATCAGTCTGGTTAATTCCAGCTTGTCTTTTTACTGAGAAGTAAATTTATTGAGTATATTTAAATATTTGTGAGATTTGGCCAGTCATGGTGGCTCAGGCCTATAATCCCAGCACTTTGGGAGGCTGAGGTGGGCAGATCACTTGAGGTCAGTAGTTCAAGACCAGCCTGGCCAATATGGTGAAACACCATCTCTACTAAAAATACAAAAATTAGCTGGACATGGTGGTGGGCACCTGTAATCCCAGCTACTCAGGCTGAGGCAGGAAAATCACTTGAACCCTGGAGGCAGAGGTTGAGTGAGCTGATATCAAGCCACTGCACTCCAGCCTGGGTGACAGAACGAGACTCCGTCTCAAAAAAAAAGATTAAAAAAAAATTTGTGTGATTTGACTATATATTAAAATCTCTTTCATAATTAGTCAACAATTTAAGCAACAATTAAATTATTAGTGCTGTGGAAAATATAGAAGAAAGATAATTTCTTATTCCCCTCCTGAGGAAAGCATTTGATACACCTGGAAAGGAGCTGCTATGAAGCCAATTTATCTGTTCTTTTTATCAATTCAGCAGCATTTAAGATCAGATTTTTTCTCTAGTGGTCCAGCAGAGGGAGCCCTAGCACATGAATTGTTTTCATTTTGTGCTTGCATCCAGGGTTAGTTTAGTGGGAAAGTGGTAGTCTATCCCTTTTAATTATAATTTAAGCAGTTCCTCCTTTCTTTTTTGAGACAGAGTCTAGCTCTGTCATCCAGGCTGGAGTGCAGTGGCGGCATCTCGGGTCACTGCAGCCTCCACCTCCCAAGTTAAAGCAGTTCTTGTGCCTCAGCCTCCCAAGTAGCTGGGATCACAGGCGTTCGCCACCAGGCCCAGCTAATTTTTGTATTTTTTGTAGAGATGGGGTTTTGCCATGTTGGCCAGGCTGGTCTTGAACTCCTGGCCTCAAGGGATCTGCCTGCCTCAGCCTCCCAAAGTGCTGTGATTGCAGGCGTGAGCCACCATGCGTGGCCTAGTAGATCCTCTTTTTCAAATTGTCAGAATAAGTTAGAAATAATTATCATTTTGTTCAAGGTGGGAGAGATGGTTGGGGGGGTGGTGAAAGTTTTTACACCATATGAGTAAGAAAGCATATTCTGATGCTGCTATCAATTCATAAGTGAGTGGTTTTGCTGTCATAATTTTCCGGTCTCACTGTCACCATGTTCATTCTTTTCTGTTGGATTATTTTAATTGTTTCATAACTAGTTTCCTTATTATCTGTCTTCTCAAATTATTTATGATATTGTCAGATTGATCTTCCTAAAGCACAGTTATAATCACTGATCCTCAGTCCTGAACGTAATTATATTTAAAATCTAAAGTGCTAATCTTGACTTTGAAAACCTTCTCTATGCTTTGCCCCTAGAATGCTTACTAGCATTTTCTCCTAACTGTTCCTCCATAAAAAGTACACTGTCGTGCTTGCAGTTTTTCACAGCTCTGCTTTTCTTTACACTGGAAGTCTTCTCCCCATTTTTTTAATGTCCAAATTATAGCCATCCTTCAAAACCCAGCGCAAAAGCTACTTCTTTCAAGATACCTTCTTTGATTTTCCTCACTGGAAAGAATCTCTTCCTTTTTCTTACACTCTTTACCTTTCTTATTGCACTTAGCTTTTAAAAGCTTGCATTATAAGTTGTTTACATACATGTCTTGTCACTGTACTAGATAAAGTATGAGCTCTATGAGTTAGGATCTGGCCATCTAGCCTAGCTTCGTATTTATTTTTTGAAACAGAGTCTTGTTCTATTGCCCAGGCTGGAGTGCAGTGGTGCGATTTTGGGTCACTGCAACCTCCGCTTCCCAGCCTGAGCAATCTTTTAGCCTCCGCCTCCTGAGTAGCTGGGACCACCGGTGCGAGACACCACTCTCGGCTCATTTTTGTATTTTTTTGTAGAGACAGGGTTTCGCCATGTTGCCCAGGCGGGTCTCAAGCTCTTGAGCTCAAAGTAAAACGCCCACCTTGGCCTCCCAAAGTGCTAGGATTACAAGTGTGAGCCACCATGCCTGGCCTAGGCTAGCTTCTAAAAATTAGTAAGATTATTTATTCAGGTGTTTTAGCTGTCTGTATTGTAAAGATCCAGATAGTAAATGTTTTAGGCCTTGCAGGGCAACTGTACAACTTCATTCTCAGTGTGAAAGCAGCCATTAGGCAATATGTAAATTATGAGCATGAGTAATAAATGTGTTTTAATAAAATTTTATTTACAAAAATGGAGATGGGCTGTATTTGACCCATAGCCTACAACTTGCTGACCACTGGTCTGTATGATTGTTCTCAAAAGTATTTTTGATAACAGATATTTAATGAGTGTTAAGTGACCAAGATGGTTAGATGTTGCATGACAGATTAAACCTAGAACTGTTTTTTAGATGTTTATCTATGATAAATGCCTGCCCATTTTGCAGAGCATAATGAATTTTCCTTTTAATGTCGGCAATTGAAATGTTTATTTCTAAACAATGGTATACTTGTGAAATCTAGTTTTGTAACATAATTTATATGCCATTAAGAGATACGATGTATAGAATCTGAAAATTGTTGCACTTTTTTTGGAGACAAGGTTTTGCTCTGCTGCCCAGGCTGGAGTGCAGTGGTATGATCACGGCTCACTGCAACCTCTACCTTCTGGGCTCAAGTGATCCTCTCACTTAAACACTCCAGTAGCTGGCACCACAGGGATGTGCCACCACATCTGGCTAATTTGTTTATTTTTTGTAGAGACAGGGTCTCCCTCTGTTTCCCAGGCTGGTCTCAGACTCCTGGCCTCTAGTGATCCTTGTGCCTCAGCCTCCCAAAGTGTCGGGATTATAGGTGTGAACTACTGTAACTGGCCTAGTTGTTGCTTTTGGATAAAGAGACAAAACTTTTTAACCACTTTAAAAGAGAGTATTAAGTTTAGATAGCTAAAATTTATTAACTTAGTTTTACATTTTATTTAATTTACATTACTTATTATTTTTTTTCATTTTTTGAGACAGGATCTTGCTCTTTCACCCAGGATGGAGTGCAATTTGTGCAGTCACAACTCATGGCAGCCTCAACCTCCCAGGCCGAAGCACGCCTCTCACCTCAGCCTCCCAAGTAGCTGGGACCACAGGCACACACCACCATGCCTGGCTAATTTTTTAATTTATTTTTTGTAGAGACAGAGTCTCACTGCGTTGCCTAGGCTGCTCTTGAACTCCTGGGCTCAAGTGATCCACCTGCTTTGGCCTCCCAAAGTGTTGGGCTTATAGGTGTGAGCCACTGCACCTGGCTGTGAACTTAGTATGTGTATATATGTATATGTAGTTATATATATATATAAAATTATATATATAAAATTACTCAGAAGCCATAGTATATTCCTTTTATAGGTTAAGCATTTATAGAAATTATAAGGGAAACATTAAAACCCTAGCAGAAAAAAAAGAGGAAAACACATTTAGAGACAAATATAGAAAAAATAGAAATATCTAATGAACATTAAAAATACTCAATTTTACTATAAGAAATGTAAACTTAGGACAATAGTGAGCTACCATTTTTTGCCATCATATTAGCCAAATACTTTTTAAAAATGAAATGGCAAGATCTTTGTGAAATTGCACTCGAATTTTTGTTATAAATTAATGCACATTTTTGGAAGCAGATGGACCTTTTCTGGAAAGCAATTCCAAAAATTAGTATAAATCTTTTAAAAGTTGACTATTGTTTACCCAATATTATCAGTCAGGAGACAGAAACCTTGCCAATATTTTCTTTTCTAAAATTTTGTCTTGGAATTGTCAGAAATTGATATAATATATTTTTAGGTATTCAAAAGCATTTATCTTGGGTCTCTTTATGATCGTAAAAATTTAAGACCAGTCCAGCTTTCAACAGTGAAAGCATGAGTAAGTAAAGTGTGTGCAATACTACGGCTATCACATTCATCATGAAATAACATTTAGTGAAAAAATATATACAAATTTGTTATAGATAAAAGGAAAAAAGACAATAAAGCATTTCATATTAATGGTAGTTATCTTTGTATGGCAGACAATGAGTGGTTTTTTTGTTTTTTTTTTTTTAATTTGTAGAGATGGGGGTCTCGCTATATTGCCCAGGCTCATTTTGAACTCCAGGCCTCAAGTGATCCTCCTGCTTTGGTGTCCCCAAGTGCTGGGATTACAGGTGTGAGCCACCACGCCTGGCATGATTTTTTTTTTTATACTTTTCTGTATTTTCAACTATTTTTTAAGAAAAATTATGGTGAATTTTAAGGATTTCCCATAGTGTATTTAGTTTCCAAATCATATTAAAATGTAAAAAGATATAACACATTTTATCTGATAGAAGACTAGGAGAGAAAATATTGGGACATTTTAAAAGCATGAGGTAGATGAAATAAGGATACAAAATTGAATACTTAGGGTTGTACAATGCTATAGGTGCACAGATAAGTAAAAAATAATAAATGAAAATGATTACTTTTTAGCATGGTAGTGTGAGTTTTTTTTCAAAATCATATTATTATTTTGTTATAATTTTGACGAATACAAGGAAGTGAGTGCTTAAAAAAAAAAAGATAACCATAATTGTGTATTCCCAAAGTAAGAAGCATTAGCAAGTTACAGGATTACATAAGTGTATACACTTCCATTCCTTTCACTATTTCTTGATATTTCTCCTCTTTAATCTTTTTAAAAATTTTCTTGAAAAAGTAAGTTGAAGGTTTGGTTTTCCTAATGAAAAATTAATCTTATTTTAGCTGGAAGCCTGTTTGGCTTACTATTGGTAAGAAAAAGTTAAAATTTTAATCTGTCTGAACATTATAGTACATCCAAATCAATAAAATGTTTTAGTTGTGGTTTTTCATCAGTTTTAATCAGATAATGCCTTACTTCTGTAGATATAGTCTAGTATAGTTCAAATAAAAAGACAGTTGTACATAGATAAGACAAAGCATATTGTGAAAATGTTGGGAAATTTAGGTTATTTTAATGATGGCTGAGAATTTGTGAACTTTTCTCATATGCTATTAAACTGAATTACTAGTAAATTTATGGTACCGAGTATATCAAACAGTGAGGGATTTAAAGTAATTTTGCAATTTGCTAAAATTTCATCCTTAACATACTGGCTAAGAGTGAAAAAGCAAGAAGAGAGAAAAGGAAAAGGATGGAACTAAGACAATTCTATTAGAAGTGGGGAGATGGCAAGAAAATTCTGTCCTCCTTATTTTTCTTTTTCTTTTTTAAAATATTTCATTTTGAGACAGGGACTCACTGTTGTCCAGGCTAGAGTGCAGTGGCTCTGTCACAGCTCACTGTAGCCTCAACCTCCTGGGCTCAAGCAATTCTCCCACCTCAGCCTCCCAAGTAGCTGAGACTACAGTCATGCACTACCATGCCTGCCTAATTTTTTTTTATTTTTTTGTTGAGACAGAGTCTCACTATGTTGCCCAGGCTGTTCTGGAGCCCCTGGCTTCAAATGATCCTCCTGCCTCAGCCTCTCAAAGTACTGGGATTAGAAGTGTGAGCCACTATGCCCAGCGTCCACTAGTCTTTTTAACCATTGTTTTCCATTTCTGAGGTCTTTGACTTAATTTCATAGTTTTTCAACATGTGCTCATTGGGGCATTATTTCTTAAGTTTTTGATTGTTAAATAATGCTTGCCCATTGCTTTTGTCACTTAAATATCTACTTGATTGGGTGTAATATTTCTACAATAACAATTTATTTCAAAATCTTACAGACATTAGTGATTTTTTCTGGTACTTAATGTTCTTATGAGGAAGTACAACACTATAGTTTCTTTTATCCCTACTTCTAGACTTTTTTTAATTGGCTTGGACTACTGGAGAGTATATAGCCTTTTTAACTCAATGTGTCTTGCTGCAAATAATGTTGAATTGTTTTTTCCAGGAATACACTGTTTCTTTTTCTCTAAATATTTAGCTTTTTCTTCATTTCATTGAAATTTACTGTCATCCATGTGCTGGGTTATCATTTTGGAGGATCATCTTTGTCTTTCATATCATCGTCATGCATTTATTAATGCATTCAACAGATATTTATTGATCACTTGCCCTGTGCCAGTGAAACATAACAAAAGCCACTGCCTTTATGGCACTTATATTCTCAAGGTGGTGGTGGTGGGGGGTGATAAGTAATTAACATAACAGATAAGTAAGTTACATGTGAATTTAGAAGATTACAGAGCTGTGAAAAAGTAGAGCAGGATAAGGAAAATTAAACAGGTATTTAGGGAAATTACTCAGTCTATGTCTTTTTCTCTCTACTAAGATTAAACTTTTGTCAGTGTTTCAGTTATAGCTTTTCTGTTTCTTACTGTTTCTAATTTATTAGCTCTATTGGTGTTATTTTAGTCTTCAATATATTTTCTTTAGCTCTACAGTTTCTCTGTCTTTTATTGTCCTCTCATCTGAATAGTAACTTTTAAAATTTAATTAGTAATCTTATTTTGAAGAGTTTGACAGGGAAGAGAGAGAGGAAGAGATGGAAATGATAGTTCAAAGATACACAGGTATACCTCACTGATATTGTGGGTATGGTTCCAGACCACTGCAATAAAGTAAATATCTCAGTAAAGCAAGTCATGTAAGTTTTTTGTTTCCTAGTGTATATAAAAGTTATGTTTATGCTATGCTGTAGTTTTTAAAGTGTGTAATAGCATTATAGCTAAAAAAATGCCTATACCATAATTTTAAAATACTTTATGCTAAAAAATGCTAATGATCATGTGAGCCTTTAGCCAGCAATAATCTTTTTGCTGGTGGAGGGTTTTGTCTCAATGTTAATGGCTGCTGACTGATCAGGTGATGTTTGCTGAAGGCTGGGTGGCCGTAGCAATTTCTTAAGACAAAAATGAAGTTTGCTGCATTGATCGACTCTTCCTTTAATGAATTATTTCTCGGTAACATGTGATGCTGTTTGATAGCATTTACCCACAGTAGAACTTTAAAAATTGGAGTCAGTCCTCTCAAATCCTGCTGCTGTTTTATCAACTAAGTTTATGTAATAATCTAAATTCTTTGTTGTCATTTCAACAATGCTCACGTCGTCACCATGAGTAGATTCTATATAAAGAAACCAGTGCAAGGCCAGGCGCGGTGGCTCACGCTTGTAATCCCAGCACTTTGGGAGGCCGAGGCGGGCGGATCACAAGGTCAGGAGATCAAGACCATCCTGGCTAACATGGTGAAACCCCGTCTCTACTAAAAATACAAAAAATTAGCCGGGCATGGTGGCGGGCGCCTGTAGTCCCAGCTACTCCGGAGGCTGAGGCAGGAGAATGGCATGAACCAGGGAGGCAGAGCTTGCAGTGAGCTGAGATCATACCACTGCACTCCAGCCTGGGCGACAGAGCGAGACTGTCTCAAAAAAAAAAAAAAGAAAAGAAAAGAAACCAGTGCAGTGGCTCATGCCTATAATCCCAGCACTTTGGGAGACTGAAGTAGGCGAATCACCTGAGGTCAGGAGTTCAAGACCAGCCTGGCCAACATGGTGAAACCCCGTCTCTACTAAAAAATAAAAAAGTTAGCCAGTTGTGGTGGCGTGCGCCTGTAATCCCAGCTACTCAGAAGACTGAGGCAGGAGAATCATATGAGCCCAGGAGGTGGAGGTTGCAGTGAGCCAAGATCATGCCACTGCACTCCAGCTTGGGCGACAGAGCGAGACTGTCTCAAAAAGAAAAGAAACCATTTTCTTTGCTCATCCAGTAGAAGAAATTTGTCATCAATTCAAGTTTTATCATGAGATTGTCATCAATTCAAGTTTTATCATGAGCAGTTCAGTCACATCTTCAGACTCCATTTGTAATTCTAGTTCTCTTGCCATTTCTACCCCATCTGTAGCCACTTCATCTACTGAAGTCTTGAAGCCCTCAAAGTCATTCATGAGAGTTGGAATCAGCTTCTTCCAAACTCATGTTAATGATGTTTGGCCTCCACCCATGAATCACAAGTGTTCTTAATGGCTTCTAGACTGTTGAATTTCTTCCAGAAGGTTTTCAGTTTACTTGCCCACATCTGTCAGAGGAATCACTGTCTGTGGAAGCTGTAGAGTTTATGAAATGTATTTTTGTTTTTTCGAGACAAGGTCTCGCTTTGTCACTCTGGCTGGAGTGCAGTGGTGCGATCTTGGTTCACTGCAACCTCTGTCGCCTGGGCTCAAACGATCCTCCCACCTCAGTCAGCCTCCTGAGTAGCATGGGCCACAGGCACTCACCACCACACCCAGCTATTTTTTTTTTTTTTTTTTTTTTGGTAGAGACAGGGGTCTCACCATGTTGCCCAGTATGGTCTCAAACTCCTGAGCTCAAGCAATCTACCTGCCTTGGCTTCCCAAAGTGCTGGGGTTACAGGTATGAGCCACCACACCTGGCCTTGAAATGTATTTCTTAAATAAGCCTTGAAGGTCAGAATTACTCCTTGAACCATTTGCTCCAGAATGGATAGTGTGTTGATAGGCCTGAAAACAACATTCATCTCCTTGTACATCTCTGTCAGAGCTCGTGATAACCCGATGCATTGTCAGCAGTATTTTGAAAGGAATCTTTTTTTTCAAGCAGTGGGTCTCCATGACGGGATTAAAATATTCAGTAAACCAAGCTGTAAACAGATGTGCTGTCATGTAGGCTTTGTTGTTTCATTTATAGAGCACAGGCAAGTAGATTTAGCATAATTTTTAAGGGCCCTAGCATTTTTCAAATTGTCAATGAGAGTCAGCCTTTGAAGCTTTGAAGCCAAGCGTTGACTTCTCTTGGGCTTTGAAAGTCCTAGATGGCATCTTCTTCCAATAGAAGGCTGTTTTGTCTACATTGAGAATCTGTTGTTTATTGTAGCCACTTTCATTGATGGTCCCTGTTAGGTTTTCTGGATAACTTACTGCAGCTTCTAAATTGGCTTAAGGGAACATTGTGGCTAGTTTGATCTTCTCTTCAGACTACTAAAATTCTCTCCATATCAGCAATAAGGCTGTTTGCCTTCTTATCATTCATGTGTTCACTGGAGTAGCAACTTTTAATTTCCTTCCATAACTTTTCCTTTGCATTCAGAACTTGACTGTTTGACTGCAAGAAGCCTAGCTTTCAGCCTGTCTCGCCTTTCAGCATGCCTTCCTCAATCAGCTTAATCATTTCCAGCTTTTGATTTAAAGTAAGAAACCTGCTACTCTTTCTTTCACTTGAACACTTAAAGGCCATTGTAGGGTTATTAGTTGACCTAATTTCAGTATTGTTGCGTCTCAAGGAATAGGAAGGCCTGAGGAGAGGGAGAGAGGAGAGAGGAAAACACCGGTTGGTGGAGCAGTCAGTCAGAAAACACACAACATGTATCAGTTAAGTTACCCATTTTATCTGGGCATGGTACATGGCTTCCCCAAACAGATACGTTAATAACACCAAAGATTGTTGATTACAGATCATTGTAACATGTAATAATGAAAAAGTTTGAAATATTGTGAGAATTACCAAAATGTGACACACTGACATGAAGTGAACACATGCTGTTGGAAAAATGGCACTGATAGACTTACTCAATGCTGGGTTGCCACACATCTTCAATTTGTAGTAAAACATCCGTGAAGCACAATAAAACAAGGAATACCTATAATGGTACGGTCATTGTAATTTTCCTTTTTGTTGTTGTCTTAGGATAGAGATAATCTGTGCAGGTTTCAGCTGAAAGAGAAGCAGCTAAGGAAAAATGAGAGATTTTACAGCTAAGGAAACTAGGGTGTCAAGAAGTTAACTGGTCAATAGCACACACAGGGTACTTAGATAATAGAGCTAAATTTTGAATTCAGGTCTGCCTGATTCAAGTCCATGCTTTTAAACAATGTAATGTACTCCCTCTGAGAGTTAGTTTGTTCATAATGGAATTTCCAGAGTTTCAGAGAATGGATTTCAGAAACAATAGAAAAAGGGTTAGTAGGGGACTGGCAAAGATCAGGTTGACTTCAAAGGGTCAATCTTGTTTATTATTTGGAAAGGGAACACAAATAGAAGTTGTGTTCAAATGTGCTTTTTATCATGTGAAATTACACAACTTTGCCTTCCAGTGACCTAGGAATATTTTGAGGAGATTAGGCTATATTTAATTTTCAACAAAATTGACATCCCATTGTCCGGATATATATATATATTTTTTGAACAGTCTATCCCAAGGGTTTTCAATGGGTATGCTGCTACTTCAAGAGGAAATTCAGAAATTTGTGGAGTGGCTTTTACTTATCATAATTGTTTTATTTCTTTCTTTCTTTCTTTATTTGAGACAGGGTCTTACTCTCTCTCCCAGGCTGGAGTGAAGTGGTGCAGTGACAGCTCACTGCAACCTCTGCGTCCAGGACTCAAGCGATCCTCCCGTTTCAGCCTGCTGATTAGCTGGGACTACAGGCACGTGCCACCATGCCCAGCTAATTTTTGTATTTTTTTTTTGTAGAGACAGGATTTCACCATGTTGGCCCAGGCTGGTCTTGAACTCCTGGGGCTCAAGTGATCTGCCCACTTCGGCCTCCCAAAGTGCTGGAACTGTAGGTGTGAGCCACCATGCCTGGCGCTTATCAGAGTTAACTTAGGTAGGGTGTTGTTGGCACCAGTTTTTTGTTTTGTTTTGTTTTGTTTTTCAGACGGAGTCTTACTCTGTCACCCAGGCTGGAGTGCAGTGGCGCGATCTCGGCTCACTGCAAGCTTCACCTCCCGGGTTCACGCCATTCTCCTGCCTCAGCCTCCGGAGTAGCTGGGACTACAGGCGCCCGCCACCACGCCCAGCTAATTTTTTTGTATTTTTAGTAGAGACGGGGTTTCACCATGTTAGCCAGGATGGTCTCGATCTCCTGACCTAGTGACCCGCCTCGGCCTCCCAAAGTGCTGGGATTACAGGCGTGAGCCACCATGCCCGGTGTTGGCACCAGTTTTTGATGAGGACCGGGGTGGTAGATACTGTGCATCTCATGCCCCCATTCATATAGGTGAAATCCCTCTAAACATGCATATAGATGAAAAACTGCTTATTTTATTTTATTTCATTTTTTTGATCATGGCCCACTGTAGCCTTGATGTCCCAGGCTCAAGTGGTGGCTCATGCCTGTAATCCCAGCACTTTGGTAGGCCAAGGCGGGTGGATCACCTGAGGTCAGGAGTTTGAGACCATCCTGGCCAACATGGTGAAACCACGTCTCTACTAAAAATACAAAAATTAGCTGGGTGTGGTGGTGCACATCTGTAGTCCCAGCTACTCGGGAGGCTGAGGCAGGAGAATTGCTTGAAACTGGGAGGCAGAGCAAGACCCTGTCTCAAAATTAAAAACAAAAAACAAAAAGAGTATTGGGTATGATACAATTGAGAACTACCAGTCTGGGCTTTCCCCACTGACATAAAATGGCTCATTTATTATATATTAAATTTCCATAAATATGTAGATTTGTTTTTTTGGACTATTCTGTTTCATTGATTTTTTTTCTTTAATCCTGGTTCAATACCATATTATTTCAATTACTCTAGCATTATAATCTCTTTTAATATATGATAGGACAAAGAATAAGAAAAGCTAAAGTTTATTGAGTACTTTGTTTATGTTAGATATGGCTTTACGTGTTTGATATGAATTATCTCATGTAATCATGTTAATTGGTTTACCATATTTTATCAAATCTAAGCTGCTTTGATATTGATGCTTTCTTGGTGTTACCAGAAAGTGTCAATGAAAACTTTTCATACAGAACATCATTATTGCTTCCTGGGTGACAGCATTTTTTTAATAAGTCATTGATTTCTGAGAGATTAAAATATGAAGAATCTGTGTTTTAGAATCAGAGAAATAAGATGTCATTATTCTCATTTTATAGTTGAGGAAACAGGCAGAAAGTTTAAATAACTTGCCTGAGATTACACAGCTAATTGACTTAATATCCCATATGATTGATTGGGATCTTTTAAAGTTATTACATTTTCTAAGCATTTATTGCTGATACACAGCAGTAGTAATTATACACACACACATTTGTACATACATCATATTTTATGTATATATCTAAGGATTTTTTTTGTATGTGGATATAGTATCTGAGCACCTTGCTAAACTCTTCTATTACTTGTAATAATAGGTTAAAATTCTCTGGATTTTCTGAGTAGGTAATCATAGTACCTGAAAATGATTTTAATACTAATTTTTTTTCTGGTCTAATTGCATTGAGTAGAACCTCAAGAGTATTGTTGAAATATAGTGGTAATAGCAGGCATCCTTTTCTTGTTTCTGACCTTATGAAGATATTTCTAATGTTTCATCATTAAGTATGCTATTCATGCTAGGTTCATGGTAAATATCCTTTTTCAAATTAAGGGAGTTTCTCCGTATTGTAGATTTGTCATTCACAAATCATCTTATTTACAACTATTCGGCAATCCTCTCTACTGAGTTTATCTCTATAATAGAGTCCTTCTACCAGGTGCACCTCCCTGTGAGAGAGTATACTTCCTACCTTCTTGATATCAGGCTTAGCCATGAGGCTTGCTTTAGCCAGTGGAAGTGATGTATGCTGTATCTGAGCAAAACTTCAGGAGTCATTGCTTGATTAAGTCATTGCTTTTCTCCCCTCTGCCATATGAACAATATGTTGCATATAGGTACTGTGCCTTCAGCTTCAGTCCTAGAATGAAGACAGTGAGGAGCCACAGCCGTCCACAATGGACATGTAGCATGAGCGAGAAATAAACCTTTGTATTGTAAGCCTTGAGACTTTGGTGATGTTTGTTAACACAGGATCAATTCTCAAAATTAACCAATAACTTTAGTTGCTAAACATTTTAATTAGGGATTGAATTTTGTCAGCTCTTTTTTCAGCATCTGTTACTATTGTGAATTACATTGATAGATTTTTTTCAAAAGTGAAACCACTCTTTAAAATACTAGGATAAACTGTACTTAGTCTTGGTGTATTATTCTTTAAATGTGCAACTGAATTTTATTTGCTGTTTTTTAAATTGTAAAATATGCATAACATAAAATTTACCATTTAAGCATTAAGTGTGTAGTTCAGTAGCATTAAATGCATTTACACTGTTGTTCAACTATTACCATGGTCTATTTTGAGAACTTTTTTATCTTCCCAAACTGAAAGTGTATACTCATTATATAATAACTCCCCTTCCCCCAGTGCCCTGCCCAGCCCTTAGCAACCACCATTCTACTTTGTGTCTATAAATTTGACCATTCCAGATACCTCATATACGTGGAATCATATAGTATTTGTCTTTTTGTGACGGGGTTATTTCACTTAGCATAATGTCCTCAGGGTTCATCCATGGTATAGCATGTGTCAGAATTTTCTTCTCCATTGTATATGTGTATCACATTTTGTTTAATCTGTTCATCCATGCCTGGACCTTTTGGCTGTTGTGAATAATGCTGCTATGAACATGGCTGTATAAGTAACCATTTCATTTCCTGCCTTCAGTTCTTTTGAGTGTACAATTGTCCCTTGGTGTCCTTGGGGGACTGGTTTGAGGTCCTTCCTCCCACAGATATGAAAATCTGTGAATGCCCAAGTCCCTGATATAAAATGGCATAGTATTTGCACATAACCTATGCACGTTCTCCCATATACTTTCAATCATTTCTGGATTACTTGTAATACCTAATACAATGTAAATACTATGTAAATAGTTATACTCTATTGTTTAGGGAATAATAACAAGGAAAAAAGCCTATACATCTTCAGTACAGGCAGTTTTTTTTTCCAAATATTTTCAAACCATGGTTGGTTGGATCCACATAGATGGAACCCACAGATACAGAGGGCCAACTGTATACTTTGGGGGGTGGAGGGGGAATTGTTGGATCATATAGTAATTCTGTGTTTAAGTTTTTGAGGACTGTTTCAGTCTTGAGGAACCACCACAGTGGCTGTATCATTTTACATTCCTACCAGCAATACACAAAAGTTCCAATTTCTCTACATCCCTAAGTCACAGCACTGGGTATTGACTGTTTTATTTGATAATAGCTATCCTAAGGGGTATGAAGTGGTATCTCAAGTCTTAGCGTTTTTTTTTTTTTTTTTTTTTTTTTTGAGATGGAGTCTCGCTTTGTCGCCCAGGCTGGAGTGCAGTGGCCCGATCTTGGCTCACTGCAAGCTCCGCCTCCCGGGTTCACACCATTCTCCTGCCTCAGCCTCCCGAGTAGCTGGGACTATAGGCGCCTGCTACCATGCCTAGCTAATATTTTGTATTTTTAGTAGAGACGGGGTTTCACTGTGTTAGCCAGGATGGTCTCAATCTCCTGACCTCCTGATCCAACCGCCTCAGCCTCCCAAAGTGCTGGGATTACAGGCGTGAGCCACCGCACCCAGCTATCTTTGCCCATTTTTTAATCCGGGTTTTTGTTTTTGTTGAGTTGTAGGAGTTCTTTTTTCAGTCCGTTATCCAGATATATGATATGCATATATTTTCTCCTTTTGGTGGGTTGCCTTTTCACTCTGCTGAAAGGGTCCTTTCCTGTACAAGTTTTTAATTATGCTGATCCAGTTTATCAATTTTTTTGTTGCCTCTGCTTTTGGTGTCATATCTAAGAAATCATTACCAGATCCAGTTTCATTAAGTTTTCTGTTTTCTTTCAAGAGTTTTATAGTTTTAGCCCTTATGTTTAGGTCTTTAATCCATTTTGACACAAAATTTTTGTGTACAGTGTGTTTGCTATTAAGTCGCATTGGCCTGTAGTTTTCTTGTGCTGTTCTAATCTGGTGTTGATTTTGCTCTCCCTCTTTTTTTTTTCCTCTAAAACAATGGCTCTACAGGTGTGAAATGGGGGTAGTCCTTGGGAGTTACTTAGGATCTGCAAAAACAAAACTTTTTCACAGGAATACTGAGACACTATTTGAGGCCGGGCATGGTGGCTCACGCCTGTAATCCCAGCACTTTGGGAGGCTGAGGCGGGCGGATCATGAGGTCAGGAGATCGAGACCATCCTGGCTAACACAGTGAAACCCTGTCTCTACTAAAAATACAAAAAATTAGCTGGGCGTGGTGGCAGCCACCTGTAGTCCCAGCTACTGGGGAGGCTAAGGCAGGAGAATGGGGTGAACCCGGGAGGCGGAGCTTGCAGTGAACCGAGATCGCACCACTGCACTCCAGCCTGGGTGACAGAGTGAGACTCCGTCTCAAAAAAAAAGACATTATTTGCTTTTTACTCTCATAGTCTCACAAGTATTTGGTGTTTTCCAGAGGCTGCTTACATGTAATATTATAATTGAACATAGAGCACATACGAGAATCCAGCAATCATTTGTTAACAGATTTGCAAAAATACAAAATACTTCCACTTTTCTAATTTTTTTGAAACTAGTTATTTTTCACAAGTTTTGTAACCTTTGATAAGAATGTCGTTAGCATGAAATGGGTTATTTTATAGTGAATTAATAACTTAAAATTTTCTCTTGTAATTTCCACTGTGGTAAATATTGACAGCTAAACCCATGCATGTAAACAAAAGCTGTTTGGGTACTCAATAATTTTAAAGAGTATAAAAGAGACCAAAATATTTGTGAACCTCTGTTTTAGGACAGTTAACAGAAATTTTGTTAAAATGAAAGGTAATATATTTGGAATTGGTCCTTCACTATTTCAGTTTCTGATTTTTTTTAATTGTTCAGATTTTACTTTTTTTTTTTTTTTTTTTTTTTTTTGAGATGGAGTCTTGCTGTGTGGCCCAGGTTGGAGTGCAGTGGCGTGATCTCGGCTCACTGCAACCCTTGCCTCTCAGGCTCAAGCGATTCTCCTGCCTCAGCTTCCCTGAGTAGCTGGGATTACAGGTGCACACCACCATGCCCAGCTAATTATTGTATTTTTAGTAGAGACAGGGTTTCACCATGTTGGTCAGGCTGGTCTCGAACTCCTGACCTCGTGATCCGCACTCCTTGGCCGCCCAAAGTGGTGGGATTACAGGTGTGAGCCACCGCATCCGGCCCCAGATTTTACTTTTTCAGCTAATTTTGGTTATTTACATTTATTTAGAGACAGGGTCTCACTGTGTAGCCAGGACCTCCTGGGCTCAGGTAATCCTCCCACCTCAACCTCCTAAGTAGCTGGGATTACAGCATGTGACACCACATCTGGCTAATTTAAAAGAAAAAATTGTTTTGTAGAGATGAGGTCTTGCTGTGTTGTCCAGGCTGGTCTTAAACACCTGGGCTCAAGCAGTTCTCCTGCTTTGACTTCCCAAAGGGATTATAAGCATCAGCCACCACACCTGGCTAGAATCAGCTTTTTGATTATTCATTGTCCGCTGTCTTTTAGTTTTCTATTTTATTACTTTTTTCTTTTATCTTTATTATCTCCATATAATCTTCCTTTGATATTAGTTTGTTGTCTTTTACAATTAATTTTTTTCTAAGAAATTTATTAATAGCTGTAAATTCTTCTTCAGTGCTGCATTGAGTGCATGCCACAGGCTTTTATTTAGTGACCACATTGTGTATTTTTTAGACATAATTTGTAATTTTTGTTTTGATTCTGTTTTTAATATAAAACGTTTAGAATTAGGCTTTTAATTTTCAAATATTTGGCCTTTTTCCTCCACTTTTTGCTGTTAATCCTAATTCATTTTGTCTATAAACATGTCCATGGCCCATGTGACTTCTGTTTTTTTGTAGTTTTTTTACATTTTCTTAGTATCTTAATAAATGGTCACATTTTGTGACAATTCATGTATGTTTGAAATGAATGTTTTCCCTGTTTTCTTTAAAGTACTATATACCTTTACATACATATGTACGTTTGAATATGTATTTGTGCTTTGTTAATTGGCACAAACAAATTGGTTATCGTGACAATTTTTAAAACTTTAAAAATGTGAATATCGGCTGGGCGCAGTGGCTCATGCTGGTAATCCCAGCACTGTGGGAGGCCAAAGTGGGCGGATTGATTGAGCTCAGGAGTTCAAGACCAGCCCGGGCAATGTGGTGAAACCTCGTCTCTACTAAAAATACAAAGAATTAGCTGGGCATGGTGGCCCGCACTTGTAGTCCCAGCTACTTGGAAAACTGAGGTGGGAGGATCGCTTGAGCCCAGGAGGTGGAGGTTGCAGTGAGCTGAGATCACGCCAGTGCACTCCAGCCTGGGCAACAGAGTGAGACTGTCTCAAAAAATTTTTTTAAATGTGAATATCTTTAGGTGGGGCATGCTCTCTTTGATTAGCTGTAGTTTCTTCCACTCCCTACTGTATTACAAGAGGCTGTGTATCTCTACCTTGCAAACAATTTGTGTATCTCGTCCAACCTTAATTCTTTTATTCACATCTATATCCTTTCTCACTGGTCTACATGATTTTTATAAGTGTGGTGTGGTAGTTTTCCACTATGGTTATAGTATTTTAAATATCTCTTTTGAAATAAGGTTTTTTTAAATGTATTTCAAAACTATGTTAAATATGTAAAGACTCATTACTTTTTTAAAAATGTATTTTATTTTTTTAGAGACGGGGCAGGGGTGGGTTTTGCTTTGTTGCCTAGGCAGGAGTGCAGTGGCTCTATCATAGCTCACTGCAGCCTCGAACTCCTGGGCTCAAGTAATCCTCCCATCTCAGTCTCCAGAGTAGTTGGGAATATAGGCATGTGCCACCACGCCTGGCTAATTAAAAAAAAAAAAAAAGTCGTAGAAATGAAGTCTTGCTATGTTGCCCAGGCTGGTTTGGAACTCCTGGCCTCAAACGATCCTCCCACCTCAGTCTCCCAAAGTGCTGGGACCTCACCCGACCTAAGTATTAGAAATAGTGTATCTTAAGTGTTTAGTCCAGTGCATAACACAGAAGTGCAATAAGTGGTAGCTATATTGCTGCAATAATAATTATATCTGTGCAGTAATTACTATTCATCATTAGTGGTCTGAAAGTTTCCTGTGTTGTCTCCATCCGACTTTGTTTTTGACTGTCGTATTTGATATCCTGGCTTTTTTGTGACCTTTTAATAGAATCATGATTGCAAATTTGGGTTTGTGGCCATTCACTACGTACCATTATATTAGAAAAATTCCATAAATAAGGCAGTTATGTCCATAATTACATTTTTGAGTTATTGTTTTATTTGGTTTGTGTACAATCTCATTGCACTCTTTTTACTCAACCTGTTTGACAATTTCTAATTGGAAGATAATGTAAGCTTTACTTCCAAATTTATGAAGTTAAATAACAAAATTAGCTTTCTGTTTCTCCAAAATCATACACATCTGCTTCCATATACTGACAGGCTTTGATATTACCCATTCCAACTTTACCATAAAAGTCATTAAAAAGAAGTTTTTCCTTTATTTTCATGTTGTGTTTCAGTGTATGTTGTCAGACAGAAAGCAATAATCCCTCATCTCACTCCTGAATTTATCAAAAGCTGGAAATAAAATAGATCAAATCACTTTCTGAAACAAAATTACTTTATTAGTTTAGTAATAATTTGAGGTTACTTTAAAGATAAGAAGCAGCATTTGGAAGGAGATTCATTTCCTGCCTTTGGGCTTTATCTGCAAGAAGTACATCTTTAGTGTCAAGAGATTGTGTATTTATAACTGAACTCTAATAAAATCTGTACTGGGGACCCTGCACACCTGACTTGGTCATTGTGGTTATATATTAGGTGCCAAACTATTGCTTGTCTCTTGAAAAAAAAATACATTGCCAAGTGTTTTTCATTAAAATTTGCCCTGTGTAGAAAAGGTTATAAGACCTTTGACTGTTCATTATAAGTGTGCTAGTTGTTACCAACATAGTTAATGATGTTCCTTTTGAAAATAAGTTTGTGTTTCTAACTGAAACAAACTTACGGAGTTTTTCTTTTATTGGTTAATTAAGCAATAATTGGAAAACATGTCATTAATTCTAGTATATATGTTTTCACTAAAGCTTATTAAATATTTGCATTTCCGATAGCACAGTAGGGTGACTAGTCAATAATAATTTGTATATTTTAAAATAAAGAATGTAATTGAATTGTTTGCAACTAAGTATAAAAGCTTGAGGGGATGGATAACCCATTCTCCATGATGTGCTTATTTCACATGGCATGCCTGTATCAAAACATCTCATGTACCCCATAAATGTATACATGTACCATGTACCCACAAACATTTTAAAAATAATTTTTTAAAAATTATAAATATTTTTCTACCACTATTTTTGGCTAACGTTACAGAATATTGAAAACTGTATTCTGATTTTTTTTCCCTTTAATCAGTATTTTAGACTATATGCGAGTGTCAGGGAACTATACCGTTTTCCTTATGAGCAATCTAAAATTACCCTCCTATTCACAACCCGTTTATGCTTCTCCCACCTTTTGCTGTGGTTTTTGTTTTTTGTTTTTTAATCTCAGAGAAATTGTCACGCAAGGCATGTAAGATTATTATTATTATTATTATTATTATTTTTTTTTGAAGCAGAGTCTCACTCTATTGCTTAGGCTGGAGTGGAGTGGCACAATCTTGGCCCTCTGCAACCTCTGCCTCCCAGGTTCAAGAGATTCTCCTGCCTCAGCCTCCTGAGTAGCTGGGATTACAGGCATGCACTATCATGCCCAGCTAATTTTTGTATTTTTAGTAGAGACATGGTTTCTCCATGTTGGTCAGGCTGGTCTCAAACTCCTGACCTCAGGTGATCTGCCCACCTCGGCCTCCCAAAGTGCTGAGATTACAGGAGTGAGGCCACTGTGCCCGGCAACATAAGATTATTTTCGAACTGCATCCTTCATGACATTTATATGTGTATTTGCAACTGTATGTGTATGTATATGTATAGACACACACATCCCTATGTCTATATAGATATATCTGTCTTTCTGGAAGTACGACATCTCTTTTACAAAGGAAAGAACTGTTATGCCTATGCATACAATACACTTCTTTTTTGAAACATGTTCGGAGAATTGTTAGTCATGCTCCTCATTTCAAGGCGCACACTCCTATCATCAGCCTAGCCTGCACAAAGCTCTTTTCTTCTTTATTAATTTTCCTCTTCTGATCCCCTCTCATTCCCCTTTAAATATATATATGTGCTGCTTGGATATCCGTGTTTGATATATGTGCTGATGTGTTTGACATATGTGCTACCTGGATATCTGTGTATACTTTTAAATTATATTTTGTTTTGAGTACATATGATTTTGTAAACATAAATGTTACTGCATTATCTCATTTTTTTAGTCAACACTGTGTTACAGTATGTATACCTAGTTAATTGTTTTTAACTACAGCATATACGTCTACTGTATTTTATCTATCCCATTCCTTCTGAGATAAACACTTAAGTTACCTTCAGTTCCCTGCTACCACAGTGATATTATTTTAAAAAATTCTCATACATGTCCCAGTAGAAACCCTTGTGAAAGTTTTTATGGGGATATATATTCAGGGGTGGGATTTCTAGATCATAGGGTATGTATATAAATTATTGCACTAAGGCCGGGCGCAGTGGCTCACACCTCTCTAATCCCAGCACTTTGGGAGGCCAAGGTGGGCGGATCACGAGGTCAAGAGGTTGAGACCATTCTGGCCAACATGGTGAAACCCCATCTCTACTAAATATACAAAAATTAGCTGGACGTGGTGGCGTGCTCCTGTAGTCCCAGCTACTTGGGAGACTGAGGCAGGAGAATCGCTTGAATCCGGGAGGTGGAGGTTGCAGCGAGCCGAGATCACGCCACTGCACTCCATCCTGGCAACAGAGCGAGACTCCATCTCAAAAAAAATTATTTCACTAAGTACTGATAAATCACTTTCTGAAATGGCTTTATCAGTTTACATTTTCATTGGTGGCCACTGTTGTTTTTCTCATCAGCCGTTTATTTATTTACTTTTTTTTTTGGAGACAATTTTTACAGTACCATCCACAAATAGTGGATACATTTTTTCCTGATTTGTGGGTCATCTTCATTATGTTGTATTTCCGTATATCCGTGAATCTGCTGCTAAGCTTTCCTGTTTTATTTTTATATGTTGCTGTGCCAAAACATAGTTTGTTTTGTTTTAGACAAGGACCCACACTGTTCCTCAGGCTTGAGTGCAGAGGCATGACCATGGCTCACTGCAGCCTCGATGTACGGGGCTCAAGCAATTCCCCCACTTTTGTCTTCCGAGTAGCTAGGACTGCAGGTGCATGCCACCATGCCCAGCTAATTTTTGTATTTTTGTAAAGTTGGAGTTCTGCCGTGTTACTGATGCTGATCTCGAACTCCTAGCCTCAAGCAGTTCTCTTTCCTTGGCCTTTCAAAGTGCTGGGATTACATGTGTGAGCCACTGTGCTTGGCCAAAATATCGTTTTTTAAATTATTGTAGCTTAGTATATCTAGTTGAGTGAGCCCCCTACTCTACACTTCTTTTTCAAACTTGATCAAACTATTTGTGGACTTTTATTGTTATATAGATAAAGTTTGTGAAATTCCTTCAAAATTAAAACTCTTCTGAGATTTGTATTAGAACTGCCTTGGATTTATAAGTTATATTAGTCTTTAAGGAACTACATGTAAGTGTGGTATAGTTCTTCCTTCATTTAGACTTTTTAAATTTTAAATAGAAACAGGGTCTTGCTATCTTGCCCATGCTGGTCTCAAACTCCTGGGCTCAAGTAGTCCTCCCACATTGGCCTCCCAAAGTGTTGGGATTACAGGTGTGAGCCACCACACCCCTCCTAGACTTTATGAGGTAATTTTTTACCCCATTAATGTCCTGTGCCTTATCTGCAGTTTAATTTCTAGATACTTCCTACATTTTGTAGCTATTGTGAGTGGTACCATATTTTCAGGAATATATATATTTTTAAGAGTCTTGCTCTGTCCCCCAGGCTGGAGTACAGTGGCGCAATCTTGGCTCACTGCCACCTCTGCCTCCCGAGTAGCTGGGATTTAGAGGCGTGCAGCACCATGCCCAGCTAATTTTTGTATTTTTAGTAGAGATGGAGTTTTGCCCTGTTGGCCAGGCTGGCCTCAAGCAGTCTGCCCACCTGGGCCTCACAAGGTGTTGGGATTACAGGCGCAAGCCACCACACCTGAGCCTAATCAGATTTACTGTAATAGTTTGTTTAAACCATCTGCTTCATCTCTTCTAGTCCTTATACCTCTTTTTCCTGTTTTACTTTATTAGACAAGTTTTCAGTAGTATGTTGAAAAATGTCCTTAGTGGGCATTCTGACCTGTCTATCCTAAGTGATATCCTAAGCTTCTGAAGTTTTTCCATTAAGTTTGATTTTTGTTATTGGCTTTTGGTATATAGACTTTTTCTTTTTCTTTTCTTTTCTTTTTTTTTTTTTGAGACGGAATTTTGCTCTTATTGCCCAGGATGGAATGCAATGGTGCGATCTCGGCTCACTGCAGCCTCCACCTCCTGGGTTCAAGTGATTATGCTGCCTCAGCCTCCCAAGTAGCTGGGATTACAGGCCTCCGCCACCATGCCCCAGCTAATTTTTGTATTTTTAGTAGACACGGGGTTTCACCATGTTGGCTAGGCTGGTCTTGAACTCCTGACCTCAGGAGATCTGCCCACCTTGGCCTCCTAAAGTGCTGGGATTACAGGTGTGAGCCACTGCACTCGGCCAGACTTTTGTTTGTTTGGTTGGTTGGTTTTGTTTGTTTTGTTTTGTTTTGTTTGAGATGGAGTCTCGCTCTGTTGCCCAGGCTGGAGCGCAGTGGCCAATCTCGGCTCACTGCAAGCCCCGCCTCCCAGGTTCACGCCATTCTCCTGCCTCAGCCTCCTGAGTAGCTGGGACTACAGGCGCCCGCCACCACGCCCGGCTAATTTTTTATATTTTTAGTAGAGACGGGGTTTCACCATGTTAGCCATGATGGTCTCAATCTCCTGATGTCGTGATCTGCCCGCCTCAGCCTCCTAAAGTGCTGGGATTACAGGTGTGAGCCAGTGCGCCCAGCCCCGGCCAGACTTTTTTAAGTTAAGGAACTCTTCTATTCATCACTGACCAACTTTTTTTTTTTTTTTGAGACGGAGTTTCGCTCTTGTCCCCCTGGCTGGAGTGCAATGGCGCAACCTCAGCTCCCTGCAACCTCTGCTTCCCGGGTTCAAGCAATTCTCCTGTCCCAGCCTCCCGAGTAGCTGGGATTGCAGGCATGTGCTACCATGCCCAGCTAATTTTTTGTATTTTTGGTAGAGTTGGGGTTTCCCCATGTTGGCCAGGCTCATCTTGCGAACTCCTGACCTCAAGTAATCAGCCCGCCTCAGCCTCCCAAAGTGTTAGGATTACAGGCGTGAGTCACTGTGCCTAGCCTGACAATTTTTTATAAATCACAAATAGGTACTAAATGCCTTCCTGAATTTATTGAGCTAGTTAAGTCATTTTTCTCCTGTGGTTCATTAATATGGTTTATTAGATTGATACATTTTTAAATGTTAAACCATTCTTGAATTTCTGGCTTAAATCCTTTTGAGCAGGATGTATTATTTTTAATATGCTAGTAAACTCAATTCACTAAAACTTGATTTAGGGTTTTCAAACATCTATGTCTATAAGTGGGAAAGGCTTTGTTTATTGTCTAAAAATGTCTGTAGGATTTTAATTTATGGAGGTGACAAATGACATATTGAGACTAATGCCCTTTAAAAGAAGATTATTGTTATGTACATTTACTGACAGGAGAAGACATGCCATTTCATTCAGGGCTACATAGGGAAGAACCAGTTTGGATCAGGAAAAGCCTGGTTCAGAGTCTTTATTGTATTTTTCATGGGAAAGGAAGGGAAACAGTTTAGGATTGGCTAGTTTGAATCTTGTCAGTTGCCTCTGGGCTGTAGCGGTGATCACCAGTTTTTTTGTATCTGGCCCTGGGCAATGAAGGCAGAGGACTATTGCTTCCTGGCTTGTAGGGGCCAGAGGAGATGGTTCTAAGTTTGGGCTGTGGATTGGCTGATTTACAGTTTTTGGAATATGTATCTGTTCTGCCCAGGTTTTCAGATTTAATTGTTCACGATAGTGTTTTTTAAATCTTTCATCTACTGTTACTTGCATCTCTTTACTTTTCTTGATTAATCTTGCCAAAAGTTTGTCTATCTTATAAAATCTTTTGAAATAACTAGCCTTTGATTTTGTTCATCTATATTTTGTTGATTTATTCTCTAATTTCTGCCCATATGTTTATTGCTTCCCTGGGTTATTTTGTCAATCTTCCTAAGTTTCTTTTTGAGTACTATTTTAGCTGTATCTCACAAGTTTTGGCATGTAGTGTTTTCAGTGTTATACATTTATAAATATTTTGTAATTTCCTTTATGATTTGTTTAACCTGAAGACTTACAGGTATAGCTTTTAGTTTTGACATACAGGTTTGGTTTTCTCAAGGATATTTTTATTGCCGTTTCTATTCTTTTATTTAATTTTTACTTAAAAAAATAGAGATGGGGTCTTGCTGTGTTGTCCGGGCTTGTCTTGAACTCTTGGTCTCGAGTGATCCTCCAACCTTGGCCTCCCAGAGTGTTGGGATTACAGGTTTGAGCTACTGCACCTGGCTGCTGTTTTTATTCTTATGTTTTATTGTGTTATGACCAAAGAACATAAGATTATCTGATGTTTATTTTTATTCTTGATCTATTTGTTATCATAGAGGAGTAAGATTGCCATCTAAAATGGTTGCTGTCCTTATATTTCTGAGAGTTGATGCTTTTTATTTATTCATTTATTTAAACAACTTTATTGAGATAAAGTTCACATAGCAAAGCCAGGTGCAGTGGCCTGTAATCCCAGCCCTTTGGGAGGCTGAGGCAGGAGGATTGCTTGAGCCCAGGAGTTCAAGACTAGCGGGGGAAACATGGTGAGACCCTGTCTCTGCAAAAAATTTTAAAAATTAGTTAGGCATGCTTGTGGCACATGCCTGTGGTCCTAGCCACACAGGAGGCTGAGGCAGGAGCATCACTTGAGCCCAGGAGGTCAAGGCTGCAGTGAGCCATGGTCAAGCCACTATACTCCAGCCTGAGTGACAGAGCAAGACCCTGTCTCAAAAAAAAAAAAAAAAAAAATACCAAAAGCTCTGTGGTTTTTAGTATATTCACAGAATTGTGCAGCCATCATCACTATTTTAGAATTTCATCACCCAGAGAGAAACCTGATCATTAGCAGTCACTCCTAATTCTTCCCTCTACTCTGCCCTTGGCAATCACTAATTGACTTTATGTCTCTACAGATTTACCTATTTGGGACATTTCAAATAAATGGAATAATATAATGTAATACATGTTGTAGAGATCTTTTTTTTTCTTTTTTTAGATGAAGTCTTGCTCTGTCGCCCAGGCTGGAGAGCAGTGGCGCAATCTCGGCTTACTGCAACCTCTGCCTCCCGGGTTCAAGCAGTTCTCCTGTCTCAGCCTCCTGAGTAGCTGGGATTACAGGCAGGCACCACCATGCCTGGCTAATTTTTGTATTTTTAGTAGAGATGGGGTTTCACCATGTTGGTCAGGCTGGTCTTGAACTCCTGACCTTGTGATCTGCCTGCCTTGGCCTCCCAAAGTGCTGGGATTACAGGTGTGAGCCATCGCGCCTGACCAATATGTGGTGGTTTTTTTTTTGAGACGGAGTCTCGCTCTGTCACCCAGGCTGGAGTGCAGTGGCGCAATCTCGGCTCACTGCAAGCTCCACCTCCTGGGTTCACACCATTCTCCTGCCTCAGCCTCCCAAGTAGCTGGGACTATAGGCGTCCGCCATCACGCCCGGCTAATTATTTGTATTTTTAGTAGAGACGGGGTTTCACCGTGGTCTCGATCTCCTGACCTCGTGATCCACCCTCCTCGGCCTCCCAAAGTGCTGGGATTACAGGCATGAGCCACCGCGCCCAGCCGTTTTTTGTTGTTGGTTTTTTTTTTTTTTTTTTTTTTTTTTGGAATCTCGCTCTGTCACCCAGGCTGGAGTTCAATGGCGCGATCTCGGTTCACTGCAATCTCCGCCTTCTGGATTCAAGCGATTCTCCTGCCTCAGCCTCTGGAGTAGCTGGGATTATAGGTGCCCGCCACCATGCCCGGCTAATTTTTGTATTTTTAGTAGAGATGGGGTTTTGCTGTGTTGGCCATGCTGGTCTTGAACTCCTGACCTTAGGTGATCTGCTCACCTCGGCCTCCCAAAATGCTGGGATTACAGGTGTGAGCCACCACACTTGGCTGTTTCCACATCTTTATGAGCATTTGTGACTCTTTTATTTTAGTCATCCTGTTGGGTACGAAGTGGTATTTCAATGTGGTTTTGATTTGCATTTCCCCAGTGGCTAATGATGTTGAGCACCTTTTCATGTGCTTTTTGGCCATTTGTATATCTTCTTTGAAATAAATTTGTATTTCTTCTTTGAAAAAAGTGTTCAACTCCTTTGTCCATTTTTTAGTTTGTCTTTTTATTGTTGAATTGTAGGAATTCTTTATGGGCTGCAAGTTCCATAACAGATACATGATTGCAAATACAGTTGATTCTTGAACGATAGGGGGGTTAGAGCTACCAACACCCGTGCAGCTGAAAACTTTTGACTACCCCAAAACTTAACCACCAGTAGCCTATTGTTGACCAGAAGCCTCGTTGATAAACAGCTAACACACTTTTTATATGTATTATATACTGTATTCTTACAGTTAAGCTAGAGAAAAGAAAATGTTATTAGGAAAATCATAAGGAAGATATATAATAAAATATATTTCCTATTTATTAAGTAGAAGTGGATCATCATAAAGGTCTTCCTGTTCATCATCATCTTCACATTGAGCTAGCCGAGGAGAAGGAGGGATTGGTCTTACTGTTTCTGAGTGCCAGAGACAGAAGAGGTGGAGGAGGTGAAAGGTGAGGCAGGCACATTGGGTGTAACTTTTACTTAAAATCTACATATAGGTGTGCCCATGCAGTTCAAACTTGTATTGTTCAAGAGTCAGCTGTATTTTTTTCCCATTCTGTGGGTTGTCACTTTCTTTTTTTTTTTTTTTTTTTTTTTTTGAGACAGAGTTTTTCTTTTGTTACCTAGGCTGGAGTGCAGTGGCGCAATCTCAGCTCACCGCATCCTCCGCCTCCTAGGTTCAAGTGATTCTCCCAAGTAGCTGGGATTACAGGCATGCGCCACCACGCCCGGGTAATTTTGTATTTTTAGTAGATACAGGGTTTCTCCATGTTGGTCAGGCTGGTCTCAAACTCCTGACCTCAGGTGATCTACCTGCCTCGGTCTCCCAAATGGTGGGATTACAGGCGTGAGCCACCACACCTGGTGTGTTTGTCACTTTCTTGATGGCTTTTGAAGCAACAATTTATTTTGATGAGATTTGAAATAATTTTTTTTTTTTAAAACAGAGTCTGTCTCTGTTGCCCAGGCTGGAGTGCAGTGGCGCGATCTCGGCTCACGGCAACCTCTGCTTCCCGGGTTCAAGCGATTCTCCTGCCTCAGTCTCTCGAGTAGCTGGGACTACAGGCATGCACCACTGTGCCCAGCTAATTTTCTTTTTAGTAGAGACAGGGTTTCATTCTGTTCGCCAGGCTGGTCTTGAACTCCTGACCTCATGATCTGCCCGCCTCAGCCTCCCAAAGTGCTAGGATTACAGGCGTGAGCCACCGTGCCCAGCCTAAGAATTTTTTTTTTTTTTTTTTTGGTCATTTGGACTTTTGGTTTTAGCTACACAGATTTTGTCATGTGTCTAATTCAAGGTCACAAAGATTTACTTGTATTTTTTCTTCTGTGAGTTTTATAGCTAAATGTAAACGTTTAGATTAACTCCATTTGAGTTATTTTTTGCAAAGGGGGTAAGGTAAGGGCCCAACTTCATTCTTTTGCATATGTATATCTAGTTGTTCCAGCACCATTTATTGAATAGACTGTTCTTTCCCCTTTGAATTGTCTTGGTGTTGCTTTATTTACTTGGAAGATACATTGTTAAAAGCATAAATGTTTATGATTGCTATTTCTTCTTGATCTGTTCCTCAGTATCTGGTAACCTACTTTGTTCTTCACATACGTTTCTCTTTAATTCTATTTTTCTGATTTTATAATTACTATCAAGCTTTTGATTCATATTTGCCTTTTGTATTTTTTCCCACTCATTTATTTTCAGCTTTTTTTTTTTTTTTTTTTTTTTGAGACAGAGCCTTGCTCTGTTGCCCAGGCTGGAGTATAGTGGCATGATCTCAGCTCACTGCACTGCAACCTCTGTCTCCCAGGTTCAAGTGATTCTCATGCCTCACCTCTCCTCAGTAGCTGGGATTACAGGCGTGCACCACCACACCCTGCTAATTTTTGTATTTTTTTAGTAGAGACGGAGTTTTGCCGTGTTGGCCAGGCTGGTCTCAAACTCCTGGCATCAAGTAATCTGCCTGCCTCAGCTTCCCAAAGTGCTGGGATTACAGGCATAAGCCACCGTGCCCGGCCTATTTTCGGCATTTTTATATCCTGTTGTATTTAGGCTCTTTTTGTAGACCTCCTATTTCTAGATCTTTTAAAAATCCAATCCCAGAGTTTGTTGTCTTTTTTTCTCTCTCTCATTTAATAGGTTGAATTTTCTTTTCCTAGTTTGAAATGTACACATTTCATTGTGTTTCAGTTAAAATTTTGGTCATTATCCCAAACCAATCTATGCTTACATTTATACGTTTGGTTTCTTTTATTGTTGTTATAAGTATCTTTATATCACTCACTGCCTTCAACATAAATACCTTGGCACACTCTGGCTACCTTCTGGTTGTCTTCTCTCCCTCTCTTCCACCTGCTGCTTGCCTTGCCACTGTGTTTATATCATCCAGATGAGGTGTTGGCAAACTATGTCTCATGTTGGCATCCTTTTTTAAAATAAAGTTTTATTGGAACACAGCCTTGCCATTTGTCTGTCTGTGGCTACTTTTGTGCTACATGACTAGATGCAACAGGCCACATGGTCCACCAACCTGTGTATTCACCATTTGTCCCTTGAGGAAATTTGCTGACCCCTGCTCTGGATCTGTGCTAATATGATAGCCAGTTTAGTCTTAGAGGCTGTTTTAGCTTAAGTAAAATTTAAAAATTAGTTCCTTAGTCACATTAGCCACATTTAATGTGTTCTATAGCCACGTGTGACTGGTGGCTAACATATTGGACAACACAGGTAAAAGATATTTTAGTCATTTCAGAAAGTTGTATAGCCCTGCTCTAGATTTCGTCCTGGATTGTTATGGTTGTTTTTTGTCTTATTTTAAAAGATAATATTAGGGCCAGGTGTGGTGGCTATCACATGTGCTGTAATCTCAGCACTTTGGGAGGCCGAGGCAGGAGGATTGCTTAAACCCAGGAAGGAGTTCAAGACCAGCCTGGGTAACATACTGAGACCCCATCTCTACAAAAAATAAAAAAATAAGCCAGATGTGGTGGCAGGTGCCTGTGGTCCCAGCTACTCGGGAGGCTGAGGCGGGAGAATTGCTTGAGCCTGGGAGCTTGAGGCTGCAGTCAGTCGTGATTGTACCACTGCATTCCAGCCTGGGCAACACAGTGAGACCCTGTCTCAAAAAAAAAAAAGATATATTAAGTTTTACTAAGTTATATATTTACCTTTCATGTATCTCATAATATTATTATTGGGAGTACAGGTTGAGTATCCCTTTCTGAAATGCTTGGGGCCAGGTGTGGTGGCTGGCGCCTGTAATCCCAGCACTTTCTGAGGCTGAGGCGAGAGGATTGCTTCAGCCCTGGAGTTCAAGAACAGCTGGGCAACACAGTGATACCCTGTCTCTACAAAACACTAAAAAATTACCTGTGTGTAGTGGTACATACCCGTAGTCCCAGCTACTCAGAGGCCAAGGTAGGAGGATCGCTTGAGCCTGGGAAGTCAAGGCTCCTGTGAGCCATGATCGTGCCACTGAACTCCAGCCTGGGCAACAGAGTGAGACCCTGTCTCAAAAAAAAAAAAAGAAGAAAAGAAAAAGAAAGAAATGAATGCTTGGGACCAGAAGTGTTTCAGATTTCAGATTTTTTCAGATTTGGGAATATTTGTATTATACTTAACAGCTGAACATTCCTAATCCGAAAATCCAAAATGCTTCTTTGAGCATACTGTTGACACTGGAAAAGTTTTAGATTTGGGATTGTTGGATTAGGGATATTCAGCCTGTACTTCCTTTATTTTCAAAGAGGGCTTTTATGAGGCAGACCTGAGATTTTATGTGCTTAAAACATCTTTAGTTTTGATGATAGTTTTTCTGGATATATACTTTTTAGTTCAAAGTGCTTTCCATCAGCACTTTAAAGTTACTCCATCTGGGTAATGTTAATTAAGATTTACTACCTTTTTTTTTCTTTTTAATTTTTGTGAGTATGAAGTAAATGTATATATTTATGGAATATGTGAGATATTTTGGTACGGGCATGTGGTGCATAATATGGATTACTTGTTCTTAAATCCCAAGTTGCTGATGAGGTATTTGATGACATTCCGATTGTACCCCTTTATAGGTGACCTACTCTTCCTTGTTGGAAACTCTTAGAATTTTCTTTTTGTCTTTCATTTCCTTAAATTTCATTATAATGTATCTAGTTGTTGTATATGCAGGCGTGTGTGTTTTATTTATCCTCTGTCCTCTTTTGCATTCAAAACCTGTTCAATATGATATTTTTCTCCAATTCTAGAAAATTACCAGTCATTCAAATATTTCTTTGAATCTGTTTAGTTTATATGTCTTCCTCTGGGTCTTCTGTTACATAAATATCTTTCATATCACTATACCTTTTTTTGCTTTGTTTTTAAGAGATGGGGTCTCACTATATTGCCCAGGCTGAAATGCAGTGGCATTTCATGATCATAGTGCACTATGCCTCAAACTGCTGGGCTCAAGTGATCCTCTTGCCTCAGCCTCCTGGCTGTAGCTAGGACTACAGACGTACACCATCGTGTGGCTTTTTTCTTTTTTTAAGCATTTTACCCTTTCCATGTGTGTTCTAGGAGTTTCTAGCCTAATATTCTAACTTATTAAAACATTTTTTCAGCTATATCCATTCATTCATTTACCCATCTCTTAATTTTATTTTATTTATTTATTTATTTTTTGAGATGGAGTCTCAGTCTGTCACCCAGGCTGGAGTGCAGTGGCACGATCTTGGCTCACTGCACCCTCCACCTCCCAGGTTCAAGCAGTTCTCGTGCCTCAGCCTCCCTAGTAGCTGGGATTACAGGCACCTACCACCAAACCCGGCTAATTTTTATACTTTTAGTAGAGACAGGGTTTCACCATGTTGCCCAGGCTGGTCTCAAACTGCTAACCTCAAGCGATCTGCCCGCCTCGGCCTCCCAAAGTGCTGGGATTACAGGCGTGAGCCACCACGCCCGGCCCATCTCTTAATATTTTTATTTTGACTATATTTTCCATGTACATTATTTCAAATAGTTTCTGTTGACCTTGTCTATCAGGACACCTTGCAGTAAATCCATCAGGAAGTTGCTCTACTATCGGACATTAGAACTTACTCCTCTAACTGTATGTTCATACCTATTAGTACCCATTAACCAACCTCTCTTTATCTCTCCCCTCCCCCAAGTCCTTCCCAGCCTCTGTTCACTATCATTCTACTCTCTACCTCTATGAAATACATTTTTTTAGTTCATACATATGGGTGAGTACATGAGATAGTTGTCTTTCTGTGTCTGGCTTATGTTACTAAAGATAATGACCTTCAGTTTCATTCATGTTGCTGTAAGTGACATGATTCCATTCTTTCTTTTTTTTTTTGAGATGGGGTTTCACTCTTGTTGCCCAGGCTGGAGTGCAATGGTGCAATCTCGGCTCACCGCAACCTCCACCTCCTGGGTTCAAGCGATTTTCCTGCCTCAGCCTCCCAAATAGCTGCAATTACAGGTATGCACCACTATGCCCAGCTAATTTTATATTTTTAGTAGAGACGGGGTTTCTCCATGTTGATCAGGCTGGTCTCGAACTCCCGACCTCACGTGATCTGCCTGCCTCGGCCTCCCAAAGTGCTGAGATTACAGGTGTGAGCCACTGTGCCCCGCTGATTCCATTCTTTTTTATGGCCAAATGGTACTCCACTGTGTAAATATGCCACATTTTCTTTGTCAATTCATATGTGATGGAGACTTAGGTTGATTCCATATTTTGGCTGTTGTGAGTAGTGCTGCAGTAAACATAAAAGTGCATGTATCCTTTTGATATACTGATTTTCTGTCCTTTGAATAAATACCCAGTAGTGATATTGCTGGATCTTACGGTAGTTCTGTGTTTAATTTTTTGAAAAATCTCCATACTATTTTCCATAATGGCTGTACTAAGTTACATTCCCACCTACAGTGTATGAGAGCTCCTTTTACTCTGCATCCTTGCCAGCATCTGTTAGTTTTTGTCTTTTTGATAATAGCTATTCTAACTGGGTAAGATGATATCATTGTGGTTTGGATTTGCATTTCCCTGATAATTAGTGATGTTGGGCATTTTTTTATATACCTGTTGGCTACTCATATGTATTTTGAGAAATCTCTATTGCCCACTTTTTTCCCCTTTTATTGATATATAATTTACATATTTATGGTGTACATGTGAGTGTTTGTTACATGCAAAGAATATGTAATGATCAAGTCAGGGTGATTGGGGTATCCATCACCTAGAATGTTTTATCATTTTTATATGTTGGTATCATTTCAAGCCCTCTCTTCTAATTACTTTGAAATGTACATATTATTATTGCTAAGTATGGTCACCTTAGTCTGCTATCAAACATTGGAACTTATTTCTTCTATCTAACTGTATGTTTGGGTACATAAGAAATAAGTTCCAGTGTTGGATAGCAGACTAGGGTGACTATACTTCTTATAGTCTTTGTCTCTCTCCCCTCTTTATCCCCTCTCCTCCTCCCCTTCCCAGTCTCTGTTATCTATTGTTCTATACTCTATGTCCATGAGATCAAGTTTTTTAGCTCCCACATATGAGTGAGGACATGCAATATTTGTCTTTCTATGCCTGGCCTATTTCACTTAAAATAATGATCTCCATTTCTATCCATGTTGCTGCAAATGACATTATTTCATTATGGCCAAATAGTATTCTATTGTTTAACACACTTTATCCGTTTATCTGTTGCTGGGCATTTAGGTTGATTCCATATCTTTGCTATTGTGAATAATACTGTGGTGAACATATGAGAGTGTCCTTTTGATACACTGATTTCTTCTTTGGATAGATACCCAATAGTGAGATTGCTGGGTCTTAATGGTAGTTCTAATTTTACTTTTTGAGAAATCTCCATACTGGTTTATTTACTAATTTACATTCCCACCAGCAGTGTATAAGAGTTCCCTTTTCTTACCAGCATCTGTTATTTCCTGTCTTTTTAATAATAGAGGTTCCAGCTGGGGTAAGATATCTTATTATGGTTTGGATTTGCATTTCACTGATGATTAGTGATTAGCATTTTTTCATATACCTGTTGGCCATTTGTATGTCTTTTGAGAAATGTCTATTTCATGTCCTTCACCCACTTTTTAATGGCATTTTTTTTTTTTTTTGCTATTGAGTTGTTTTGAGTTCCTTCTATATTCTGGATATTAGTCACTTGTCAGATGAATATTTTGTAAACGTTTTCTCTCATTCATCAGGTTGTCTCTTCTGCTGAGGGTTTTCTTTGCTGTACGGAAGTGTTTTAGTTTAATACAGTCCCATTTATCTATCTTTGTTTTTGTTTCCTGTGCTTTTGGGATCTTGGCCATAAACTCTTTGCCTCAACCAGTGTCCCTGGAGCATTTCTCCTGTGTTTTCTTCTAGTAGTTTTATAGTTTGGGGCCTTATCTTAAGTCTGTAATCCATTTTGTTTTGATTTTTTATATGGTGAGAGACAGGGGTTTAGTTTTATTCTTCTCCATGTGGATATTTAGTTCTCCTAGCACCATTTATTGAAGAGGGTATTCTTTCCCCAGTATACGTTCTTGACACCTTTGTTGAAAATCAGTTGGATATAAATATGTGGATTTATTTCTGGATTCTCTATTCTGTTCCATTTTGGTCTATGTGTCTGTTTTTATACTAATACTATGCTAGTTTGGTTATGATAGCCTTGTGGTATATTTTGAAGTCAGGTAGTGTGATGCCTCTAGCTGTTCTTTTTGCTCAGGTTTGCTTTGGTTATTCAGGCTCTTTGTAGTTTCATGCAAATTTTAGAATTGTTTGTTCTAGTTCTGTGAAAAATATTATTGGTATTTTGGTAGAGATTGCGTTGAATCTGTAGATTGCTTTTGGTAGAATGGTCATTTTCACCATATTAATTCTTCCGATCCATGAACATGGGATGTCTTTCCATTTTTTTGTGTCCTCTTTAATTTCTTTCATCAATGTTTTATAGTTTTCCTTGTAGAGGTCTTTCACCTTGGTAAAATTTATTCCTAGGGTTTTGGGTTTTGTTTTTAGTTTTGGAAATATGATTGCTTTCTTGATTTCTTTTTCCTCTAGTTTGTTGCTAGTATATTGAAAGTTATACTGATTTTTCATGTTGATTTTGTGTCTTGCAGCTTTACTGAATTTGTTCATTAGTTTTAAGAGGTTTTTTTTGTGTGTGTGTGTAGTCGTTTGGTTTTTCTAAATATAAGATCATGTCATCTGCAGAGAGGGACAGTTTGACTTCCTCTTTTCCAGTTTGGATGCTTTTAATTTCCTTCTCTTACCTGATTGCTTTGGCCAGGACTTCCAGTATTGTGTTGAATAAGAGTGGTGAAAGTGGGCATCCTTGTCTAGTTCCAGTTCTTAGAGGAAAAGCTTTCAGCTTTTCTCTGTTCAGTATGTTAGCTATGGGTTTGTCATATATGGCCTTTATTATGTTGAGGTATATTCTTTCTTTTTATTTTTATTTATTTGTTTATTTATTTTTTGAGATGAAGTCTCACTCTGTTGCCCAGGCTGGAATGCAGTGGCACGACCTCAACTCTTTGCAACCTCTGCCTGCTGGGTTCAAGTGACTCTCCTGCCTCAGCCTCCCAAGTAGCTGGGACTACAGGCATGCACCACCATGTCTGGCTAATGTTTTTTGTATTTTTAGTAGAGATGGCGTTTCACCATGTTGGCCAGGCTGGTCTCAGACTCCTGACCTCAAGTGATCTGCTCGCCTTGGCCTCCCAAAGTGCTGGGATTATATGTGTAAGCCATCGTGCCCGGCCAAGGTATGTTTTTTCTGTGCCTAGTTTGTTGAACATTTTTATCATGAAGGGATGTTGAGTTTTATTGAATGCTTTTTCTGCCCCAATTGAGATGATCATATGGTTTTTGTCTTTTATTATGTTGATGTGATATATCATATTTATTGATTTGCATATGGTAAATTATCTTTACAACTCAGGGATAAATCCCACTTGATTGTGGTATATTGTCCTTTTGATGTACTGTTGGATTTGGTTTGGTAGTATTTTGTTGAAGACTTTTGCATCTGTGTTCAACTATGGCCTGTAGTTTTTTTGTTTTGTTTTGTTTTGTTTTTTAATGTTGTGCCTTTGTCTGGTTTTGGTTTCAGGGCTTCACAGAATGAGTTAGGAAGAATTCCCTTCTCTTTTATTTTTTGGAATAGTTTGAGGAGAATTGGTATTCTTTGTAAGTTTGGTAGACTTTGGCAGTGAAGCCATCAGATTCTGAGCTTTTCTTTTTTAGGAGACTTTTTATTACTGATTCAATCTCATTACTCGTTGTTTGTTCAGGTTTTCTGTTTCTTCCTGATTCAATCTTGGTAGGTTTTATGTGTCCAAGAATTTGTCCATGTCCTTTAGGTTTTCCAGTTTGTTGGTGTATAGTTGTTTGTAGTAGTATCTGATGATCTTTTGTATTTCTGTAGTGTCAGTTGTAATGTCTCCTTTTTCATTTCTGCTTTTGTTTGAGTTCTTGGTTGGTCTAGAAACATAATTTTGTAAAATGGTTTTCTTGTTAAACACTTGAACCATCATTCTTGATCATCTGGTGTGTAGAAGACACTGTACTGGATACTACTGGTAGTAAGTAGAAGGCTGCATAAGACAGATCTGTGCTCTCAAGGAGATTTGTTATACATTATGAAAATGAATTTATAGGTAATTCAAGTTAAAACTAAAATATCTTCACTTCTGAGAGAAGCTAAAATTTCAGAAGCTGCTAAGGGGCTTTGTTAGGATTAGGGGCTTTTCTCATTGCGTAACCAGGAATAAAAGACAGCCTTACTTTGAGAAGACCATAAACGGGTGAATGGATAAACAATTTGTGCCATGTTTATACAATGGAAACACTACTTGGCAAGAAAGAACAGACTTGATACATGATGTGAATTAATCTCAAACTAATTATGCTGAAAGAAGTAGATAACCCCCCCATACAAAGTATATATGTTTCTGGGTTTTGGCTATTACAACTAAACTGGCTATAAACATTTGTATACAATTCTTTATGTGTACATAGGCTTTCATTTCTCTTAGGTAAATACCTGTGCATGGAATGGCTGGGTCGCTTAGGGTATCTGTTTAAATAGTCATTTTTCTAATTATTGTAAATGTCACTTCTTTCTTATACTAGGTTTCTATATATGCTTGTGTTCATTTTTGTCTCTTGTCTGTGGATCTGCTTTGCACTGTATTAGCACTATTATATATACTGTTTTAATTTATGTGGCTTTATAATATATCTAATGCATATTTTGGGAAAATTTTTACCCTGTTGCTTTCCTATGGAATTGTTTCATATAAACACATTTTTAGTTTATTTGCATATTCTTCAAAACCTAAATATTTGAATATTAAAGAAAAATGTGGAAAACAGAAAATTTTCCTTTTATGATGAGATACAGTATTGTAAGACAGTTAGATTATGAGAATCTTGTCCTGTGTATGGGATTTGAGTCATCAGTGCTGAACTGTTGAAATAAGACTTGTCAAAAATGATACATTCAGATCCTTTTGGATAGGAAGTATAATTTTTCTTTTGTTCATATTTAGAACCATTCTGAAAACACAGCCATGGATGAAATGATCTCTCTGTAACATTTTCTCTGTCACATTTTTATGTTGTAAGAGTATGTCTTTGCTTGCCAGTATACCTTGCCAGGGTTGAGTAATACCATTTTTAAAATATTTACCAACATGATAGATGATAAAAGTTAATATTTTTATTTTCACCTCTTTAGTTATTGCTAAGATTGAACATTTTTAATATAGTTAAGAGTCATGTATATTTTCTCTTTTCTAAATTTTCTCTTCATAGCCATGTCTTTTTTTTTTTTTTTGAGATGGAGTCTTGCTCTGTCACCCAGGCTGGAGTGCAGTGGCGCAGTCTCAGCTCACTACAACCTCCTCCATCTCCCAGGTTCAGGTGATTCTCCTGCCTCAGCCTCCCAAGTAGCTGGGACTACAGGCGCGTGCCACCATGCCCGGCTAATTTTTTATTTTTTTACTTTTAGTAGAGATGGGGTTTCGCTGTTTTAGCCAGGATTGTCTTGATCTCCCAACCTCATGATCCACCCGCCTTGGCCTCCCAAAGTGCTGGGATTACAGGCGTGAGCCACTGCGCCCAGCCAGCCATGTCTATTTTTTTCTGTTGTAGTTAGTGTTTGTCTTAGGTCTGAGCTTATATTACATAATGAAAATGTTAGGGTACTCATCACAGCCCTTAAACTTTGTACTTACAAGAGTTGTGAGAATGTGGACAAATAGAGATTGCTGAGTTGTAAGACTTTTAATAAATGATCTGTTGCTAAGTTTAAAAAAGTAAAAAAGAACAGGAAGTTCTCAGCACGACAGAAAATTTTAGCTGTGAGCCATTTGAAAGAAGGATTGGTTCTTGAACTGTTTTTGTTTAGCTAAGAGCCATTTTGGATAATTGGGTAGGTGCAACTTTTATTTAAGAAAGAAGCTCATATGTCCCATTGTGCTTTATTAGTTATGGAATAATTATTTCTACAAAAAGAAAAAATTCAGAACCCTTTACTAAATTTTTGTGTTAAAATAAATTTATTATTGAAGGAAGGTAATTTAATAATATAAATAATGGTCTAGTACCTATACTTTTTTCAATGTCATTAGACTATATTTTGTTTCCTGGTGAAGGAGTACCAATAATACAGACCTAATTCCCTTTTTTTTTTGAAATGGAGTCTCACTTTGTCATCCAGACTGGAGTGTAGTGGCACGATCTCAGCTCACTGCAACCTCCGCCTCCCGGGTTCAAGTGATTCTCCTGCCTCAGCCTCCTGAGTAGCTGGGATTACAGGCACGTGCCACCATGCCTGGCTAATTTTTTTTTTGTATTTTTAGTAGAGACGGGGCTTCATCAGGTTGGCCACGCTGATCTCAAACTCCTGAGCTCAAGTGATCCAGCCGCCTCAGCCTCCCAAAGCGCTGGGATTACAGGCATGTACCACCACATCCGGCTAATTTTGTGTGTGTGTGTGTGTGTGTGTGTGTGTGTGTGTGTGTGTGTGTGTGTGTGTGTGTGTTTTTAGTAGAGACGGGGTTTTACCATGTTAGCCAGCCTGGTCTCGAACTACTGAGCTCAAGCGATCCACCCTCCTCGGCCTCCCAGAGTGCTGGGATTACAGGCATGAGCCACTGTGCCTGACCCTAATTCTTTTCTGATGGTTACTACTGCCCAGGAGGTAATCGATTTAAGCTTGTATAGTGATGCAACAAAGGTACATAGTCATGTATTTTCTCTTCGATTTATCTGAGCTAACGGTAAAGATTTTTTATTTTTTTGTATGTCTCCCTTTTAGGTCATATCTGACTGCTATTCAAAATGAAGCAAATATTAGATTGATTAAATAATTTTTATTCTCTACACAGAACAATGAAGGGAGAAAAAAACTAAGAAATCTAGTTGCAATGTTTTTCTTAATTCTGCAGTTTATGGTGCCTATACTTTGACCACTTTTTTTTTTTTTTTTTTTTTTGAGATAGTCTCCCTCTGTCACCCAGGCTAGAGTGCAGTGGCACGATCTCAGCTCACTGCAACCTCCACCTCCTGGGTGCAAGCAATTCTCTTGCCTCAGCCTCCCCGAGTAGCTGGGACTACAGGCGCGCGCCACCATGCCCAACTAATTTTTTTTGTATTTTTAGTAGAGGCGAGGTTTTACCACGTTGGCAAGGCTGGTCTTGAACTCTTGACCTCAGGTGATCTGCCCTCCTCGACCTCCCAAAGTGCTGGGATTACAGGCATGAGCCACCGTACCCGGCCAATGACCACATTTTTACCCCTTATAATGTGTATGTGTGTGTGTGCGTGTGTGCGAAGTATTGTTTTATGTTATTTGTGATTGTAAAATAGACCAGTCACTTTCTTCCCTTTTTTGTGGGTTCCTTTCTTATTTGGAATTAAAGCTAACTGGAACCTACTAACTCTTAAGACATAAATTTAAATGTTGACCAAATATGGCTGCTTTCCTACTAGATTATAATCTTTTTGTAGCACCTAGCCTAAGTGCTGTACACATATTAGGCTGTCAGCATGTTTACTGAATTAAGTTAAAACATTTGGAAGGAGCTACTGCTTCAGGTTTTTGAAAAGGTATTTTCCTGAGATTTTGATAAAGAACCTATCTTGAAATATTAGTGTGTTTTTTGTACTTTTAGAACAGTTCTAATGTTTGCATTTGAACCTATTTGTTTATAAGTTGATTTTTTTTCCTTCGAGATAAAGTGCCTTATAGGAAGTAAATTTTGTCTCCCTAAATTTAAAACTAACGATTTTATTAGAAGGCACCATTGGCTGAGCATGGTGGCTTATGCCTATAATCCCAGCACTTTAGGAGGCAAAGGCGGGAGGATTGCTTGAGCCCAGGGGTTTGAGACCAGCCTGGGCAACAAAGCAAGACCCTGTCTCTACAAAAAAATAAAAAAATTAGCTGGATGTGGTGACACACATCTGTAGTTCCAGCTACTCCAGATGCTGAGGCAGGAGGATTGCTTGAGCCCGGGAGGTCGAGGCTGCAGTGTGCTGTCTTCATGTCACTGCGCTCCAGCCTGGACAACAGAGCAAGACCCTGTCTCAAAAAAAAAGAGAAAAGAAGCCAGTTTTAAGGAATATTCTCCTGTGTTACACTGCAAACTGGTCCTCAGGCATAGAATTAAAATAATTGTCTACCTACTAATTTTGAAATGAGTCAATGACTTTATTGTGTGGTTTGGTCACATTCAGCCTTAATCTTTTTTTAAACAGCTGTTTTTCCCTAGATAACTTGTAAGCTAATATATTTTGTGGCAAGAACGAAATGTTTTTGCGATATTTATACTAAGCAAAATACAAAATACCCTTGAAAGTAATGCTGGTAGAAAAGAGCCAATCTCAAAACGATATACTGCATAATTCAATTTATTTAACATTCATCAAACACAGAGATAATGGTTGCCAGGGATTAGAGATGGAGGAGGAAGGATGAGTATGGCTTATAAAGGAGTAGTGCAAGAAGTATTGTGGTGACTAGTACAATTAAGTATCTTGATTACGGTGATAGTTACTTGAAGCTCTGTGTTATAAAATGGCATAGGACTATGCACATACATGCACAGATGTGTATGTGTAAAAATGGTGAAATCTGAATAAGCAGTGTGGGTGTACCAGTGTCAGTTCCCTGGTGTTGATATTGTACTCTATGCAACTTACTAACATTGGGAGAGGTTAGGTAAAGGGTACACAGTACTTAACTGTACATTTCTTTGAAGTTTAAAAATACGCTTTTTAAAACAAGCACTTCCCCTTCTCACCCCAAACCAGGACAATTATTAGAGACAAACGTCTGTTCATTTGGTGTGTCCTTGTATCTTGCCATTTGATTATAGCAGCACAGCAGAGGATACCCTCAAAGGAGAATACTCCCTAGTCTACTCATGTTTTGGGGGCAGTGTATTTTTGTTTATGAATTAGTTCCTACTAAAGCCACTATCAGTTCTAGAAAACCCATTTCTAGTTACGCTATAGCTCCCATGGCTAATTAAGGATTCAAATGTATGCATCCTCCATTTTCCTGTTTATGGACATACTGAATATAAAACCTTAAAGAATCAACACAAAAGAAAACATATACAGCCTTTTAAATATTCAGCAGAATAGATTTTTCTAATTCAGTGGATGGAAATATATTAATGTCACTTCAAATAAATACCAACCTTACATTTTATTAAGCACACTGATAAATATACTATAAAGAGGAATATTGTTTGCATGCTTTTCTGGTGAATAATCCAAGAAAAAAAAAAGTACAGCTACTGTGTTCTCATAACTTAGTTTTGATTTGTTTAAATATAAGCATTTCTTCAGCCATATATTTTTAAACAGGAACATGATAATAACAAAAATGGTAGCTAACCTTTGTGAGGTAGGTACTAATATATAGAGGAGGAAACTGAAACAGGAAGAAATTAACATACCTAGAATAACAAGCTAGCAAGAGAGAGAACAGTTGTAGACTGTTTCTGAGTCTACACTTGTGAACGTTATTTTGTAAGTTCTCCTCATGCTGTACAGTATAGGAACACTGAAGTTAGAGATTAATAATCTTTGCAGTTATTATATAAGTTTTGTTTTATTCACAGGGCACTTATGAAATCTATTTTTTCTCTTGCTGAGTTCAATAAGATCAACCCTTCCCTGATTTATGGCAAGAGGATCTGCTTTTGTGATATTTACCTTCTTGAGTATCCTTTCTTTTTATGAAAACCAGACTAAATTAAAAGTTCTCTTAAAATTTGTGTTAGTATTTGAAAAAATTTTATACAAGTTTATGGGATACCTGTGAGATTTTGTTATATGAATGCAATGCTTAGTGATCAAGTCAGTCAGCAATTAGTGTCTGTTACCCAAGTACAATACGTTTTTGTTAAGGGTAGTCACCCTGGCCAGGTGCAGTGGCTCATGCCTATAATCCTAGCACTTTGGGAGGCCGAGGTAGGCAGATCACTTGAGGCCAGGAGTTCGAGACCAGCCTAGCCATCATGGCAGAACCCCATCTCTACTAAAAATACAAAAAAAATTAGCCACGCATGGTGGCGCACACTTGTAATCCCAGCTACTCGGGAGGCTGAGGCAGGAGAATCGCTTGAACCCGGGAGGCAGAGGTTTCAGTGAGCTGAAATCACACCACTGCACTCCAACCTGGGCAGCAGAGCAAGACTCCATCTCAAACAAACAAAAAGGATAGTCACCTTACTCTTCTGTCAAACACTGAATATATTCCTTCTATCTTACTGTATGTTTGTACCCTTTAACCAGCTTCTCTTTATCCTCCCCATTTCCCTCACTTACCCTTCCCAGTCTGTTATCTACCTTTTCACTCTACCTCCATGTGATCAAAGTTTTTATTTTAGCTCCCACATGGAAGTGAGAACATACGATATTTATCTTTTTGTGTGTGGCTTATTTTACTTAAGGTAATGACCTCCAGTTCCTTCCATGTTGCTGTAAATGATACGATTTCATTCTTTTTATGGCCAAATACTATTCTGTTGTGTATGTATACTGTATTAGTATTTTAAGGATACCACTAAAAACGTAAAAAGACTTGACCTTTAAAAACATAAGATCTGGCCGGGCACGGTGGCTCACATCTGTAATCCCAGCACTTTGGGAGGCCAAGGCAGGTGGATCATGAGGTCAGGAGTTCGAGACCAGCCTGACCAACATGATGAAACCTTGTCTCTACTAAAAATACAAAAATTAGCTGGGCATGGTGGTGTGCGCCTGTATTCCCAGCTACTCAGGAGGCTGAGGCAGGAGAATCTCTTGAACCCGGGAGGCGGAGGTTGCAGTGAGCCGAGATCGCACCACTGCACTCCAGTCTGGGCAACAGAGTGAGACTCTGTCTTAAAAAAAAAAATAAGATCTTACTGATCTGCTTTTAATTGTAGTAGTTTTTTTTCTCACACATAAATATATGTATTTAAGATATTTGTTAAAAAGAAAAATATTTTCCCATTCATGATATGACTACAATGTATCTGAAGGAATCTGTTTTTCATTGATACTATGGAGTAGATGTAGAAACAGTACTTAAAATATCAAATACTAAATAGACTCGTTTTTCCTTTAATGTTAATAACATTCTGTGTTTTCATTTTATGTGACTTTCCACTCTAATGGTCAACAGTACATGTACAGTTATAATAATACTTATGTTACTCTAGTAGATGGAATCATACCTCAGCTTTACGTTTTCAGAGGAATCATCTCAGTTGGTGAATTTCCAATAATAGCAACATAGGACACCGTTCAATATTATAAAGTTTAAATCAGATTTATGCTATAGGCTATTTGTACCTTTCCATGCCTTTTAATTCTGTGTTGTCTTGAGACATTTCAGTGTATATCCAGTACTGGTGTTTAAAGGAAAGTTATTAAAGTTTGGAATAAGAGTACCTGAATTGGAATCTTGCTTTGCCATTCACCAGCTGTTTGTCCTTAAATTCTCTCAGGTAATCTGTAGCCTTAACAATTAAAGGTGACTTCTATATGTCATTTAGCTTACTTATCCATTATTTCTGAAGTTGTTAGGATTATTGTAACTACTGTTGTTGTTACTATTTTTAGATTAATATATTTCCTTTCTGGATTTCCATTTAAAATATATTTAAAGAATCATAAAAATTAAACACAAGCAACATCCTTTTATATTCTGCACAGTTCTTAGCAGAATTATAGATTCAAAAAAGACACACAGAATAGGCCACAATACATGTGCCAATTTTTGTTCTCAATCTTAAAATTACATAGTATAATTATTATGGTTATCTGAAAACAATCACGTTGTGCACATGTACCCTAAAACTTAAAGTATAATAATAATAATAATAGTAATAATAATAATAATAAATAAAATAAAATAAGTATCTGCTCTTTTATGAGGAAATTGTTTTTAATTGTAGTAGTTATTTTTCAGTCTGATCTGAATCTAGATGAGTTTTTTATGTTATATAGAAGATCATTTTATATATTTTTATATAGGGTTACTATTACAGAAAAAAGTAAAAGTTTTACTGCTACTCTTTTAAGCTTTTTGTATTTGTTTAAACAGGTTTTTGGCATTTAATCGTCATCCTTAGTGGTAATTGTTAAAGTACCTTTATTTAGAAAATTGAGAATCAAATGACCTTCAAAAGATCATCAGTTTTTCCTGACTTTTTCAGGTTAGGTTCAGAGTTATCCACTGATGCTGTTGAATTCTAGGGATATAAGTTTGTGAATAGAATATGTAAAACTATTGCACTCCTTCCATTATGTTACCTTCCTGTGTAAGTAGTAACAGCTTGTTTTTTCAACGGTCATACTTCATTCTTCTAAACAGCTATGAACATAGAAACAAAATCTTTTGAGGTGTCTCAAAATAGATATAGTCTACATTGGAAAGGCCTTTCTCAGTCTGCTTATTCTATATTTTATAAAAGTCTGGAAAGGTATAGCCTTGTGTTTTTCTTTCCCAAGTTTTCTTTTTAAAAGTTATTTTATTTCTCTGAGAATCTTCCATAACAACCAAGTTACATAGTTTAGATTGAAGCATCCAGTTTGAAAGGCAGCAGGTAAACTCTGACAGATTAAAGGTGACAGACTGAAGGAGGAGATAGGAAAAAATAAAAGCAAGTAAAAGAGGAAAACATCCAGCATTTGGAGATGTAATCTTCTCAGTCAGTCCTGAAGACATCATTAACTCAGTGGTCAAGAAAAATATTTTTCATTCATACTAATCAGAAATACAGACATGAAAATACATTGGAAATATTAACTATTACTTTCAGTTTTGGTATTTAAAATTGATATTCTAGTGAATGAAAGTTTCATATTACATGTAACAGAAATTTGGATTAAATCAGTAATACATGTAATACACAACTAGTATACTTAGCATAGCACCTAGCTCAATAAATGTTAGCAGCTATTACTGTTTTTGTTATCAACATCTTTCCCCCAGTTAGTCAGTTTACCATCACCTAAAATGTCTTTAGTTCTTTGCATACTTATTTAATTTTTTAAATATGTATTATATGACCTTTGTGTATTAAATTGATTTGTCTGTGGTCATAGAGAACTATTTTGTTCTGGTTATTACCATGAAAAAAAAAAAGCACCAATTGCTGGTACAATACAACTGAAGATAGCAAGTGTTAATAGGCTGGACTACTATAATTCTAGAGCTGAGGATTTTGTGTACATATATATATTTAAAACTTACACATATGTTTTTATGTATATTTAAGACTTCGTTTTTTTTTAAACAGCAGTTTTAGACTGACAGCAAAATTGAGAGGGACAGAGATAACCCATGTAGCCCTTGCCCCCACAAATGAAAGAATTAAAAATGCATCAGTAGCTTTATTTTGGCTTTTTTAAAAAGATGTAATTCACATAGCATAAAATTCATGCTTTTATACAATTCAGTGTCAGTATATTTGCAAATCCTGATACTTGAAAAAAATTAATTGTGCATATTAAGGTATATAACAATTATGGGATATAGATGGTAAAAAGTTTACTACAGTAAAGCAAATTAACATGTCCATTATCTTACATACTTTTTTTGTTTCTGTGGCAAGAGCAGCTACAATTTACTCATTTAGCATGAATACCATATATAGTACAATTTTATTACCTATTGTCCTCATGTGGTACATTAGATCTCTAGACTTGTTCATCTTGTTACATACCTACCTCTTCCCATTTCCTCTCACCCCACCCCTAGTAACCATTGTTTTTAAGTTCTTTATCTCTGTGAGAGATTCCACTTACAAATGATGTCAGGTACTATTTTTCTTTTTGTGTCTGGCTTACCATGTAGCATAATGTCCTCCAGGCCCATTCATATTGTGGCAAATGGCAAGATCTCCTTTTTAAAGGCTGAATAATACTCCATCATACATATTTACCACAGTTTCTTTATCCATTCATTTGTCAATGAACAGGTAGATTGTTTCCATACCTGGCTATTGCAAATAATGCTGCAATGAACATGGGAGTGAAGCTACCTTTACCAGGTGGTGATTTCATTTCCTTTGGCTATATGCCAAGAGGGATTGCTAGGCTGTATGGTAGTTCTATTTTTAATTTGTTTATAAACCTCCATACTGTTTTCCATATTGACTGTACCAGCCTACATCTGCACCAGCAGTATATAAGAATTCCCTTTTCTGGCACCCATGCTAACCTTTATTATTTTTTGACTTTTTTAGAATAGCCATTCTAACAGGTGTGAGGTGTTATCTCTTAGTGGTTCTGATTTACATTTCCCTGATGATTAAAGCCTGTACTATTAAGGAAACATATTTTTCTTAAGTATTTTTTTTTCTTAGCTGTATGTAATCTTTAGTTTTGCCCATGTGATGACTACTTCCTATCTTCCTCTTGCATTCTTTTACATTTTTATTCTCTTTGATTCTGGTCTAATGTCATATCTCTTTTGGAAAGGGATTCTTGATTCCTCATATACATTTAGTTGCCTTCTCTGCCCTGGGCTCCCACAGTGCTTTGTTTATTCCTTTATTATATTGCTTATCACATTTATATTGTAATTGTCTTTTTTTTTTTTTTTTTTTTGAGACAGAGCCTGGTTCTGTTGCCCAGGCTGGAGTGCAGTGGCACAATTTTGGCTCACTGCAACATCTGCCTCCCAGGTGCAAGTGATTCTCATGTCTCAGCCTTTCAAGTAGCTGGGATTACAGCTGTGCTCCAACACTCCCGGCTCATCTTTGTATTTTCAGTAGAGACGGGGTTTCACCATGTTGGCCAGGCTGGTCTCAAAACTCCTGGCCTCAAGTGATCTGCCTGCCTCAGCCTCCCAAAGTGCTGGGATTACAGGCATGAGCCACCGCGCCTGGCCATATATTGTGATTATTTCTTTAATTGTCTTCCCTTTCAGACTGTTTATCTGAAAAACAAGATTTTGTTTCAGTCTCTGGCCTAAGACTGAGACTGTTCTTGCTTTTTCACTATCCTCAGGACCTAAACATGCTTTTTGGTACATAGTTTTTGATTATTGCCACGAATAGTTGCTGCTGTCCCTAAGCCTTAAACATAAACCGAGAGCTTGATACACTATATTGAGTGGTGAATATTAAAATAGTTTGCTTTTTGTAAGCTGGGAATCATACCATTTTAGTGTTGGAAGGTACCTGAAATATTATCTAGACCAGTCTTTCCCCATTTCTCACACACACACACACACACACACACACACACACACACACTCCCTCTCTCTCTCTCTCTCTCTCTCTCTCTCTCTCTCTCTCACATGTTCACATGAAGCAAATTGAAATCTGTAAAGGTTGAATGACAGTAGTGAATTTAGGACTAAAAATTCATGTTTACTCATCTTTTCCTGTACCATTCTATTTTCTCTGATACCTTATAATCTATTCTGAGGATTTACAATGCAAATTCATTTATTTCCTGAAGTTTAGGGAAAAAACCCTGAAAATGTTAGTTTAATTTGTATTATTATCTTTTTACTTTTAACTATAAGTAAGGCACCATTGCCAACCAGAAAACAGGTTGAGCATCCCAAATCTGAAAATCAAAAATCCTAAATGTTCTAAAATCTAAAACTTTTTTGAGCACTAATGTGAAGCTCAAATGAAATGCTCATTGGAGCATCAGATATCAGATCTTCAGATTTGGGGTGCTGAACCAGTAAGTATTTTAAAAATCTGAAATACAAAACACTTCTGGTCCCATGTATTTTAGATAGGGGACGCTCGTACTGGAAAAGAAATTTTAAATTTGTTTAAAAAGTGACAATATATTTCTGTTTTACAGACCTCTGTGAGTGAAAGCCTTCAGAGGGAAGCTGCTAAGAAGCAGGCCATGAAACAGGTAAGGTAGAAGACTGGGATAAGTGCATTCAGTGAAGCATTCCGGCTCATTTTTAAGCATCAGTTTTGGTATCTAGGTGCTGAGACTAAAACAGAATAGATTTAAGGAAAAACACAATGAAGAATTAGCTCCTTATTGCTGTGCTATAGATTAAACCAGTTCTGCTTGTAGATGACTCATTAGTCTAATAATGGATTGTTTGGCCTGTTGTTATTATTAAATTCTTGCTAGTGAGCTTACTTGCAGGGAAAAAAAAAACCTTTTCACAACCAAAATGGTTTCACAAACTTATAATTATTTGAAACTCATCTGCCCAGAAAGAAGAATATCAGAGATAGATACAAATATATAGATATATAGATATATAGATTTTTTTTTTTTTTGAGATTGAGTCTTGCTCTGTTGCCCAGGCTGGAGTGCCGTGGTGCACTCTCGGCTCACTGCAGTCTCCATCTCCTGGGTTCAGGCAATTCTCCTGCTTCAGCCTCCCGAGTAGCTGGGACTAAAGGCGCATGCCACCATGCCCAGCTAATTTTTATATTTTTAGTAGAGACGGGGTTTCACCGTGTTGGTCAGGCTGGTCTGGAACCCGTGACCTCAGGTGATCCGCCAACCTCAGCCTCCTGAAGTGCTGGGATTACAGGCGTGAGCCACCGTGCGCGGCCTGATAATTTTTAAAAGACGTGCTTGTTTCCAAGTGCTTTTTACATACATTTATCTTTTACAGTTCTCACAAACTTGCCCATAGTACTGATTAAGAAATCTGAAACTCAAAAAGGATAAAGTGCTCCTTAAGATCATACTATTAATTATCGAACTAGGCCTGAAGGTTTACTAATTTTTCTGCTATTGTAGACTAGTATATCTTAGATTTTCTGCTATAGAATGTAATGAAATTAAACAATAGCGAGGTGCCTTTGTTTTTCATTTTGAATTATTTATCCTCTCCATTAGCTTTATAATTTTTGGTCCTATTTCCTCTTTGTCTAACTGGAAACCTGCATAAAGATAAGTTTATTAAGCACTTTCTATGTGCCAGGCATCATGACAACTATGTTTTAAGAATGATCTTTAATTCTTACAATAATTCTATGAGATAGATGCTTTTATAATCCTTATTTTATAGTTAAGGAAATGAAGGCAAGAAGAATTTATGTGACTTGCATGAGACCACATAGTTAATAAATGGTAGGGCTGTGTTCAAAACTAGACAGTGAAACCTCAGAACCTAGGCTTTTAACCACTGTGTTTCACACCCTCCCGGACGAATTGGCACAGAAGGATATATTTAGTCATTTTAAGATAATGTCAGAGTTTCACAGTGAAATATAATGTGTAACTCAGCAGCCTCAGAATGATTTAATATACACATAAAACATAAAAAACAGTGATTATTTAACATAAATACTGGAGTGCTTTGAGTCAGAATTTTGGAGATACCATTAAGTTCAACTTCCTCACTATATAAATGGGAGACTTAGTTCTGGAGAGTTGGGTAACTTATCCAAGGTAATACAGGTATCTTGTTTTCCAGGATTATTTTAACATTTTTGTGCTGCCTTTTTTTCTTCACTTAAAGCATGAATCCCAAATCTGATTTTATTCTTAACTCTGTCTTGTTCAAGCCACTTTATCTGTTTAGTGGGACTTTTTGTAGTTTGCTTGGAAATTAGGAATGCTGCTACAACTCTTACACCTTTCACCTGCTTTCTGCTGATTTTTTCTCGCACCTATATTACATACTTTTCCCTTTGTTCCCCACTTGATTGATTCAGCTCATCGAATGTCTTTATCCATACGAATTGAAATTATTTTTCATTTTACTATGAAGAATACTAGCTTGATTGCATTTACTAAATCTTAGAGAAAATGCTTTTTAAAATGGGGTACTTTAAACTATTTTTTTCTTCTATGTGGACCTCAAGTTTACAGAACTGATGATGGCAACATTATTGTCATATTCCGTTTCATTGGGAAAACTTTCAGTATGTCATCAGTAAATAAAACATTTGCTGTAGGTCTCTGATAGATATTTGTTGCTAATCTAAGGAAATTATTTTCTTAGTTGGAGGGTTTTGTTGTTTGTTTATTTGTTTAAATGGTGAACTACATACAAAAAGGATACTGCTTCATGACCATGTTGGTTTTATACCAATAATGTAAAGTCAGCTTAACTTTAGAAAATCAATCATTGTAACTTCACATAAGTGGTATAAACTTAACATAAGCATAAAATGTTATCATTTTCATATATTGTTGCATTTGGCTTACTAAAGCTTCATTAAGAGTTTTTAAGTATTGAAGATTTTTGCATCATAAGTGAGACTGGGCAGAATAGGATGGTTTCCTTTTCTTTCGCTGCAATTATCTAGATTGAAAAAGTCTGATAATACCAAGGTTTGGCGAGCCTTATACAATGAGCTAATATGATACTATATACATTTTGTTTGTTTCTACTTCATTTTCTGTCCTGACAGATCAGTGTGTTCTTCATTCTGTTTTCTTTGGGTTTATTTTGTTATTTTTCTAACTTTTTGAGATTGCTGCATAGCTCTGTTTTCTGTTCTCTTTTCTAATATATGCATTTAAGGCTATATGTTTCCCTCTAAGTACTTCTGTAGCTGTATCTTACAGATTTTGATAGGCAGTATTTTTGTTGTTTCATGCAAAACATTTTCTGATTTGCATTATGATTTCTTGTTTGACCCATCTATTATTAATTTCTGAACATAACGGAGGTTTTTGATTACCTTTTTGTTATTCATTCCTAATGTGATTACTTTGGTTTTTTGCTTGTTTGTTTTTTGGGGTTTTTTGTTTTGTTTTGTTTTGTTTTGTTTTTGTTTTTGTTTTTGAGATGGAGTCTTGCTCTGTACCTAGGCTGGAGTGCAGCGGCACGATCTCAGCTCACTGCAACCTCCACCTCCTGGATTCAAGCGATTTTTCTGCCTTAGCCTCCTGATAGCTGGGATTTCAGGTGTGCATCACCACACCTGGCTAATTTTTATATTTTTAGATGGCCAGGCGCTCTCTTCACCTCAGGAGATCCGCCCGTCTTCGCCCCCCAAAGTGTTGGGATTACAGGCATGAGTTGCCACACCCAGTCCCTAACATGATTATTTTGGATTCCAAGACACTGCACTGTATTGTTTCATTCCTTTAAAACCTGTAGAGGTTTACTTTATGGTCCAGTATATAGTCAGTTTTTATAAATATTTCCTCTGTGTTTGAAAATGTTCTGTATTGATACAAAAATTAGCCGGGCATGGTGGTGTGCACCTGTAGTCCCAGCTACTCAGGAGGCTGAGGCAGGAGAGTCACTTGAACACAGGAGGTGGAGGTTGCAGTGAGCCAAGATGGTGCCACTGCACTCCAGGCTAGGCAACAGAGCAAGACTCCGAACCCCCCCCCCAAAAAAAAAGAAAAAAGAAAATGTTCTCTATGTGTCCATTGGGCCAGTTGTGTTAATCCATATATATTCATACTGTTTTTTTTTGTTGTTGTTGTTGTTTTGTTTTGTTTTGTTTTGTTTTGTCTGTTCTGTTACTGAGAGGCATATGTTAAATCTCCCACTGTGATTATGGATTTGTCTATTTTTCCTTGAATATCTGTTCAATTTTTGCTTTATTTATGTTGCAACATAGTTAATAGTAACATATCTACTCAAGTGCTCCCCTACAGCTCTCCTCCCAACATATACAAAGGCATGTCATCAGTTTAAAACAGCCCTGGCCGGGTGCAGTGGCTCATGCATGTAATCCCTGTACTTTGGAAGGCCAAGGTGGGTAGATCACGAGGTCAGGAGTTCGAGAACAGCTTGACCAACATAGTGAAACTCCGTCTCTACTAAAAATACAAAAAATTAGCCAGGCATGGTAGCAGGTGCCTGTAATCCTAGCTACTCAGGAGGCTGAGGCAGGGGAATCGCTTGAACCCAGGAGGCGGAGGTTGCAGCGAGCCAAGATCCTACCACTGCACACCAGCCAGGACAACAGTGCAAGACTTCGTCCCCCCCCCCCCAAAAAAAAAACAGCCCTCAGTCTCCCTTTTTCCTTGCTTTTTGTTATTGTAGTGGTGATTATTTCTTAGATTCCATGTTTCCCTCTTTGTGTTATCCAGGCTGGTTTTGGGGAGTGAGCAGGAGTGCCAATTCAACATCTAGGCAGGAGAATCTTTCACTTTCTAAAGGTTGAGAAGTGAAAAAAATGAATTTCTTAATATTTTAAACAATATTCTAGAAAAAAAGTTTTTCAGTTAGCATGTGCATTATTCAGAGTTTAAATGTTGGTATGTAAAAACCCTAGTCTATCAGATAGATTCTTTTGAATAATTATATCATCCTATCACTTAAAAAGGATCCCTCTTGGGTTCTACATTAGCCAATCTAGCAATTGAGGAAAAAATCAAAGTGTGTAGACTCTGTACCTCAGGAATTTACAACCGGGGGCAAAAGGCTAAGATTTGTAAAACAGGAAGTAAAAACGCCCATGCCTGGCATGGTGGCTCACGCATGTAATTCCAGCACTTTGGGGGGCGCTGAGGTGGGTGGATCATTTGAGCCCAGGAGTTCAAGACCAGCCTGAGCAACATGGTGAAACTCTGTCTCTACAAAACATATAAAAATTAGCCAGGCATGGTGGCACACGCCTGTAGTCCCAGCTACTTGGGTGGCTGAAGTGAGAGGATCACTTGAAGCCTGGGAGGCAGAGGTTGCAGTGAGCCAAGATCACACCACTGGCACTCCAGCCAGTGCGACAGAGCGAGACCCCATCGCTTTAAAAAAAAAAAAAATCTAGTGTAAATATTGCAGAATAGAATGTTCCTCAGAGTTTAGAAGAAAGATCATTGGGGGTTAGAGGCCTCAGAAATGGGCTCATAGAAGAAGTAGGGCTGGCCCTGAAACACTGGGTAAGATTTTGATCGCTTGAAAGAGGAGAAAAAAACATCATTTGAGATGGAAGGAACATGATAAAGGCAGAGACTTTATGTTTAACAACTCTAAAAATGATAATGAAAGTTTAATATATAATACAGGCCTCTCAAAACCAAGGTTAGGTGTTTCCATCGTACCTTTTGACCTTTTGATGGGTATAATTATATACAAATGAATAAATGATAATAATAGTTGATGTTTATTGAATACTTATTCTCTATCAGGCTCTGTTTTAAGTTTAGTCATTTAATTATAACAGCTTAGAATGTAAATATAGTCATTATTCTTTCTCTTCTAGATGAGGAAATTAAGGTACCAAAAGATTACAAACAAACTTGCCCGGAGTAATTAGTAAGTGTAGAGCCAGCATTCATACCCAGGCAGCCTGGCTCCAGAGTTTATTTGTATTTCCTATCTAAAAATGTGATTGTAATTTTTATGATATATTTTCAATTTATGAACCATTCTCAAAAAGCATAGACTTTGTTGTATCTATTGGCTGGCTCATATTTTTGAAACATGTTTAATTTTTTTTTAAGACCAAACTGGAAATCCAGAAGGCCCTTGCAGAAGATGCTACTGTGTATGAATATGACAGTATTTATGATGAAATGCAGAAAAAAAAGGAGGAAAATAATCCCAAATTGCTTTTGGGGAAAGACAGAAAGGTTTGTAAGCTGAAATAACAAACTTTCTTTGACCTTGACCTACATTTTGTGTCTTAATCTTATTTTAACATGAGAATGATCTGAGAAAAAGCTTTTAGGTATGTGAGGTGTGAAGAGTCCCTAATTCCAGATATTACAAATTTGATTGTAGAACTCAAGCAGCACTACATATTATCCTAATAGGCCAGGTGAATTATCTAACAATTTTGCTTTTTGCTTTGAAACCTTTGCAAATAGTTTTTTGAAAACTTTTCCTTGGAATTCTAATGTACCAAATTTGTACTGTTCCTGCCCTGTGTATGTTTATTTGTGTTTTATTACCCTCTCATTTTTTCATTTCTTCCTAGCTGGTAACTGAATCATCTGCCTGCACCTATCATGATTTTATTTTCAGTGAGAAAAAAATTTGGGAGGGGTAAAAACTGAAATAAGTTCAGATTTTCTTTCTATCAACTCTTGTTCTTTCACAAGCACAGGCTGATTTTTAAGGGCATTTGCATCTGACAGTTATCTACTAGTAGAGTGATGGTATAAAATTATATTAAGCTACTATTTTAAATAGTCATATTTCTACTAAATGTGAAAAACTAGCAGGAACTTTTCTGATTTTTTTTTAATTAAGATAATACCAGAAAAAAGAAAAAAATTATATTTAGTTTGATGTTTTATTAAAGTTAAATCGCATTATAAACAATTTCTATCTCTGCTACACCTAAATTTTTATGGAAAACAGTTTCAATATTAATCTTGCTAGTAAGTTTATATTGAATGTAGGGAAGACAATCTTATTTGGGCCAATCATTTCTATCTTAATGAATTCATTATAAAAATTATAATATTAACAATTACTATTTTTTTACTCTTTTCCTAAATCTTTTTTATTTCCTTAGCCCAAGTATATTCACAACTTGCTAAAAGCAGTTGAGATCAGAAAAAAGGAACAGGAAAAAAGAATGGAAAAGAAAATACAGAGAGAACGAGAAATGGAAAAGGGGGAGTTTGATGATAAAGAAGCATTTGTGACATCTGCATATAAGAAAAAACTGCAAGAGAGAGCTGAAGAAGAAGAAAGAGAAAAGAGGGCTGCTGCACTGGAAGGTAAAATGAAAGAGTGGGAAAGGCACAAGGAAACAGTAGCAGAATCTCTCCCCTGTGGTTAGCTGTTTGCTCTGTCACTGAACTTTAGGGTTATGAGTTTGTGATCATAATTTATATATAGGAATTCAAGACACAAGGAATATGGTATTATATAGCAGTATAAAACAGAAAGGAAAGTTTAACTAAAAACACAGTTGAACTCTTCAGTAACTATTATTTCTACTAGACTTTTCTCTTAGTTCTCATTTTGTGGCTTTTGCCTTAGAACATGATCTGAAATGTAAAAACATTTATTACAAAGTATAACGCCATGGCATTTGTCAGAAACAATATAAATATAATTTTAAACCCTAGTTACATTTTTTTGGGATGAGAAAATAATAGAGTAACACCACTCAAGGAGGATCAATGAGGCAATTAGAAAAAGAATAACATTAATTGAAGAAAGAATAAAAATTGGATGAATTAAGAATATCTTAATGCTTTACCTTAGTGCTTTCTACTCATGATTATTTCTCAAGATCTAAGTAGAATATGTATTTATAAAATACTTTTTTTTTTGAGACTGGGTCTCTGTCACCCAGGCTGGAGTGCAGTGGCTCAACCATGGCTCACTGCAGCCCTGACCTCCCAGGCTCCAGTGATCCTCCCACCTCAGCCTCTTGAGTAGCTGGGACTACGGGAACATACCACCACGTCTGGTTACTTTTTGTATTTTTTGTAGAGACGGGGTCTCACTATGTTGCCGGGGCTGGTCTCGAACTCCTGGGCTCAAGCAATCTTCCTGCCTCAGCCTCCCAAAGTGTTGGCATTACAGGTGTGAGCCACCATGACCAGCCCTGTAAATACTTTAATTGACAAATGCTCATCAGCTTTTTGGACAGAGTCTCGCTGTGTCGCCCAGGCTGGAGTGCAGTCGTATGATCTTGGCTCACTGCAACCTCTGCCTCCCAAGTTCAAGTGATTCTTATGCCTCAGGCTCCCAAGTAGCTGGGATTACAGGCATGCACCACCACACCTGGATAATTTTTATATTTTTATAGAGACGGAGTTTTACCATGTTGGCCAGGTTGGTCTCGAACTCCTGAGCTCAGGTGATCCACCCACCTCAGCCTCCCAAAGTTGTAGGATTACAGGCGTGAGCCACTGCGCCCATCCTCTTCAGCTTTTAAGTAGAAGAAAACCAAGTCTATAACATTCTGTCTAAGCATGTACTATGTGTTTAGAGTGCCAGTCGGCAAACTTTCTGTAAAGGACCAGATAGTATTTTAGTATTCATATTTTAAGACTTTAAATTTATAAATTCATATTTTGAATGCCAGATCATATTCATACTTTAGGGCTTTTTGTGTATATGATCTCTGTCGCAGTTACTGAGCTCTGCCTTTGTAGTACAAAAGCAGTTGTGGACAATACATAAATGAACAGGGCTTTGTTTCAATAAAAATTTATTTATGAAAACAGGCAACAGGCCAGATTTGGCCTGCAGTTTGCCAACTCCTGATCCAGCGAGTAGTTTACACACTGTATGTTATATACTGTATGTCTGTAAAATGAAACTGCACTGTGCCTTATTGAATATATTCTAATTTTTGCTTTCCCTCTGTTAGCATGTTTGGATGTAACCAAGCAGAAAGATCTCAGTGGATTTTATAGGCACCTATTAAATCAAGCAGTTGGTGAAGAGGAAGTACCTAAATGCAGCTTTCGTGAAGCCAGGTGAGGAGACGTGTATGAAATATTTTGAAGAAAAATACTGTTAATAATCTGTGGTTGTGGGGTCATTTTAACCCTCTGAAAGATGGAAGATTACAACATTGCATATTGTGTTGTCAGCCAGCCTTACCTAACTGAATGAATGGCTAGAAATTTGCAGTTTCTTGATTTTAAAACCTACAGATTTAGTTTAAGATCATTTTTATTCTGCATTTCACAGAAATTGTTACATTAAAACAGTGATTGAGTTTAATATTATTGTAAAACCAAAGACAGACTTTTAATGTATAAAGTTTCTGAATTTTTAAGTGATTTATGGGTCTTAACAAGGGAGAGCAAAATCTTCAAGGGAAAGCAAAATCAAATTGTAGTTTTTTCTTTTTTCTTTTTTTTTTTTTTTTTTGAGGCAGAGTCTCACTCTGTCGCCTAGGGTGGATGGAGTACAGTGGTTCAATCATAGCTCACTGCAGCCTTTGCCTCATGGGCTCAAATGATCCTCCCAAGTAGCTGGGACTACAGGTGCAAGCCATCATGCCCAGCGAATTTTCTTTTTGTGTTTTTTGTTGTTGTTGTTGTGTGTGTGGTTTTTTTTTTTTGTTTTTTTTTTTTTTAGATGGAATGGAGTCTTGCTCTGTCACCCAGGCTGGAGTGCAATGGCGCGATCTCTGCTTACTGCAACCTCTGCCTCTCAAGTTCAAGGGATTCTCGTGCCTCAGCTTCCTGAGTAGCTGGGACTATAGGTGCATGCACTACGCCCGGCTAATCTTTGTATTTTTAGTAGAGATGGAGTTTCACCATGTTGGCCAGACTAGTCTCGAATTCCTGACCTCAGGTGATCCACCCGCCTCGGCCTCCCAAAGTACTGGGATTATATGCATGAGCCACCACGCCCAGCCTCTTTTTGTATTTTTGTTGTGGAGATGGGGCTTTATGTTGCCCAGGCTGGTCTTGAACTCCTGGGTTTGAGGGATCCCCCCTCTATCTCAGCCTCCCAAAGTGCTGGGATTACAGGTATGAGCCACTGCACCTGGCTGCTTTTTTTTTTTTTTTTTTTTTTTTAAATAAGAATGTGGGTATTCCTCATGATCCTTAAAATGATTGGTGCCTGGTACCTTAAAATGATTTTGCTGTCAGAATTAAGGAGAAAGTTGGAAAGAATTAGGTGTCTACAATATAAGTCTTATATACATGTTCAGATAGTGTATAAAAAGGAAAGTGGTTTGTTTTCATAAATAGAACCCAGCCTTCCTAAAATGTAAGACTTACATATCGGGGCTAGAACTGCACTGTTAGTATGTAGGCACTAGTCACGTGTAGCTACTTAAATTAATTTAAAGTAAATAAAGTAGGTTGGGCGCAGTGACTCACGCCTGTTATCCCAGCACTTTGGGAGGCTGAGGCAGGTGGATCATGAGATCAGGAGATGGAGACCATCCTGGCCAACATGGTGAAACCCTGTCTCTACTAAAAATACAAAAATTAGCTCGGCATTGTGGCACATGCCTGTAATCCCACCTCCTGGGGAGGTTGAGGCAGGAGAATTGCTTAAACTCGGGAGGCGGAGATTGCAGTGAGCTGAGATAGCGCCACTGCACTCCAACCTGGCGACAGAGCCAGACTCCATCTCAAAAAATAAAATGGCTGGGCACGGTGGCTCATGCCTATAATCCCAGCACTTTGGGAGGCCAAGGCGGGCGGATTGCGAGGTCAGGAGATTGAGACCATCCTGGCCAGCACGGTGAAATCCCGTCTCTACTAAAAATACAAAAAATTAGCCAGGCGTGGTGGCGGGCGCCTGTTGTCCCAGCTACTTGGGAGGCTGAGGCAGGAGAATGGCGTGAACACAGGAGGCGGAGGTTGCAGTGAGCTGAGATTGCGCCACTGCACTCCAGCTTGGGTGACAGTGCAAGACTCTGTCTCAAAAAATAATAATAATAAATAAATAATAAAATTAAGTAAATAAAATTTAAAGTTTTGATCACAGCGGCCACATTTCATATACTCAGTTGCCATATTTGGCTGGTGGTTGCCATACTGGGGACAGCTCACATATGAACATTACCATTTCTTGAGGCATTTCTATTAATGCTGGTCTAGAAGGTAAAGGATTAGAGGATTTTTGAATAAAGTTATAAGGTATTATAGGAATGGTGAGATGATTATGCCATAATTATGTAGCTGAAGGTAAAAGAGTCTGTCCTAAGCAAAAAAAAAAAAATTTTTTTTAACAGGAATGTTCTGGGTAGATCTGAGTCTGTGTTGCTAAGGAAGGGAAGAGGTAGGAGAATAGAATTAAGGTGAGGAGAGGAAGTTTATGCCCCACTCCCTCCCTACGCTGCTAGGCTTTGATTATAAAATTGGTGAGAAGTATGAACCTAAGAAAATGTATTTGAAGATTCAGGTTTTGAATGGAAATTATATTACGTTATATCTTTGTATTAGAGTTTCATCTGGAATATTTATTAGGCTGCCATGAAACTCTGTAATGTCGTTGACATAGTTGTACTTCTTAGAGTCTAATAATCGAATTCCTAACTGTTAGTGGGTCCTTTAGCCAAGATAGTTCTGCCAGTAATTCCTGGAGAACCAAAGTTGTTGCACCATTAGTGTGATTAGTAAGTGATTAGTAAGAATCACTGAGTGGTTCTTATTTACATTATACTCATACTATAAAGTTAACTGTACTTGCCAGCTGGAACAATGAAGGTAATATAATTTTAGTATTGTTGATTCTAATGGACAAATTAATATATTTCCATTTTGTTGTGATAGGTGCCAAGGAGTGAATCAGGATACACTCATGAGAGAGAGTAAATATTTAGGATTATATTTGCCACTATTTTGCTGTGCAAAGATTATCTTCATGTATTTCTAGGACTATTTTTATAATTTTTTAAAAAGAAAAAGGCCAAGCATGGTGGCTCACACCTGTAATCCCCGCACTTTGGGAGGCCAGGGTGGTTGGATCACCTGAGGTCAAGAGTTTGAGACCAGCTTGGCCAACATGGCAAAACCCTGTCTCTACTAAAAATACAAAAATTAGCTGGGCATGGTGGTGCAGGCCTGTAATCCCAACTACTCGGGAAGCTAAGGTGAGAGGATCACTTGAGCCTGGGAGGCAGAGGTTGCAGTGAACCGAGATTGTGCCACTGCACTCCAGCCTGGGTAACAGAATGTCTCAAAATAAATAAATAAGAAAGGAAACAACAAATCCAACAGTCACAACTTAAGCTTCATGTTGTGAAAATAGAACTTAGATTCAGAACATTTATTACTTTTCCCAATTATTCTTTGTCTTAGGCTTACCAAAAAATGAAGACCTGTACAGACCCTTGCCTGTAGGTTCTAGTAGTATAGTAGACAAGGGCTAATTTTCTCTTTTCACTTCTACAAATATTGAAAATATTCTGAATGGTATGAATTTGAAAATACTAGTTTGCATAGACATCAGGACCTTTTTGCATTTGGATAATCAGACAGTATATATCACTATAGGTGTATTGATTTGAGTATTGATAAAAATTATATGAACCCTTCATTTGCTTATTACAACTGATAATGTGGCATTTTTTTCTGCCCTTTTTTGTTTTTTGTTTCTAAGATCTGGTATAAAGGAAGAAAAATCAAGGGGCTTCTCCAATGAAGTAAGTTCAAAAAACAGAATACCACAAGAGAAATGCATTCTTCAAACTGATGTGAAAGTAGAGGAAAACCCAGATGCAGACAGTGACTTCGATGCTAAGAGCAGTGCGGATGATGAAATAGAAGAAACTAGAGTGAACTGCAGAAGGGAAAAGGTCATAGAGACCCCTGAGAATGACTTCAAGCACCACAGGAGTCAAAACCACTCTCGGTCACCTAGTGAAGAAAGAGGGCACAGTACCAGGCACCACACGAAAGGATCACGAACGTCGAGAGGACATGAGAAAAGGGAAGATCAGCACCAGCAGAAGCAATCCAGAGACCAAGAGAACCATTACACTGACCGTGATTACCGGAAAGAAAGGGATTCTCATAGGCACAGAGAGGCCAGTCATAGAGATTCCCATTGGAAGAGGCATGAACAGGAAGATAAACCAAGGGCGAGGGACCAAAGAGAAAGAAGTGACAGAGTATGGAAAAGGGAGAAAGATAGGGAGAAATATTCCCAAAGAGAACAAGAAAGAGATAGACAACAAAATGATCAGAACCGACCCAGTGAGAAAGGAGAGAAGGAAGAGAAAAGCAAAGCAAAGGAAGAGCATATGAAAGTAAGGAAGGAAAGATATGAAAATAATGATAAATACAGAGATAGAGAAAAACGAGAGGTAGGTGTTCAGTCTTCAGAAAGAAATCAAGACAGAAAGGAAAGCAGCCCAAATTCTAGGGCAAAGGATAAATTTCTTGACCAAGAAAGATCCAACAAAATGAGAAACATGGCAAAGGACAAAGAAAGAAACCAAGAGAAACCCTCTAATTCTGAATCATCACTGGGAGCAAAACACAGACTCACAGAGGAAGGGCAAGAGAAGGGTAAAGAACAAGAGAGACCACCTGAGGCAGTGAGCAAGTTTGCAAAGCGGAACAATGAAGAAACTGTAATGTCAGCTAGAGACAGGTACTTGGCCAGGCAGATGGCGCGGGTTAATGCAAAGACCTATATTGAGAAAGAAGATGATTGATGGCTACCCCAAGAGAAAGATTTAAGGAAGCACAGAAAACTGTAATTCCTGGAACCTGCTGCGTAAAACCATAAAGGAGTGTGTTACCAGTAGTTTGGAGGGCATTTTTAAATTTATTTTCAAAATTTTAAGTTAAAAGTCAGTCTTACAGCTTGGATGTTTGGATGTGGATGTTTGGCTGAATTTATATATAGTGTGTACTCATCAATACCACATTCTTTGTTGTATTCAAGAACCGTTAAGAGTGTGCTAATTCCCTGTAGGTACATAATGAGGAAAATTTGCTCCACTACAACCATTAAAAAATAATTTTGGCCAGATACGGTAGCTCGTGCCTGTAATACCAACATTTTGGGAGGCCAAGGCAGAAGGATATTGAGGCTAGGCATTCAAGACCAGCCTAGGCAGGATAATAAGACCTTGTCTCTATTTAAAAAACAAAAAGCCTAGCATGGTAGTCCATGCCTGTAGTCCCAGCTGTTCGAGAGGCTGAGGCAAGAAGATCACTTGAGCCTAGGAATTTGATGTTACAGTGAGGTATGATCATGCCACTGCACTCCAACCTGGGCAACAGAATGAGACCCTGTCTCTAAAAAATTTTTTTTAAATAAATAATTTAACTCTTCTAATAATGTTTTGTTGCAGGAAATGTATTTCAGATAAAATATGGATTTGAAAAACAGAAAATATACTTTATGTTCTGAAATTTGTATTTAAGTATAAAATGTGAATCATCTTGTCTAAATAGCTTACAGCATAGTTGGCTTAAATGAAAATAAAATGATATGCTTATACATTTTATTTATGCATTTATTTTAAAATAATTTTACTCATGTCACAATTCATCTTTTCGCTTTTAGTAGAAATTAATTTGTAATTCTGAAACCTTGACAAGTTAGTAAATTGGTTATATATGTAAATCACTTTTAGTTAAAGGTGAAGCTGTGGAGACATTAGCCTAAATGAAATTAGCTAAAGATCTAGGTGGCCTGTTTCTAAACATGTCTTGTTTCACCTACTCTGAAAAAGATAGTGCAGTTTATTACAAGTTCCACTTGTGTATAAAAATAAAACTAGTATCTTTCTTCTGAGTCTTTGAAACTCAGGAGAAATAATTATACACTGTAAATATTTTATTTATGGGGAAAGATGAATGCTGTGGAGAAAATAGTTCTCTACTAGGTCTTCCCATTAAGAAAATGCTGTTCATATATCTCACAATACTCTACCTAAAGAGCACACTTTCTTATTTTTAGAAGGATAAACTTGGTTTAATAAGAATGCTGACTAGATGAAATATATTAAGGGTCAGATTTAGAATTTATAAATCATTTTATTGTACCTTTAAAACCAGAAAGGAAAAGTCACAGGAAAGTTAACGCCCAAATCTCTGACTGATAGATTAAATGTCAGTTACATCCTAATACTCTAAAGTCAATCAGTGACAGTGACAAACCCCCAAAATCACTGACTTGGTGTACAAAAAGGGAGCAACATAACATCAGTATGGAAAGGTAAAAGGGTGACATCATGGAAGGACCATGAGTGACAGAAAAAATCTTTAACTTTGGTGGGGAGTATGGTTTCTTTCTTGGGATTGTTTTATAACTAGAGCCATGCATTGGGAAGATTAATTTGATCGTAGTGTGCAAGGTAGTCTAGGAGGAGAGACTGATGTCAGAGACATCTGATGATAAACTCAGTTTCCCTCTCCCAGAGGGAAAAGCTCAGAGACTTTTACAAAGCCGCTTGGATCCTTAGATAGGAAAGCTATAAATTACTTTTATTAACCAACTTAATTTGACATAAATCAGGATGAGAGACTGCAAATGAAGAGTTTTCTTCTGTCTCCTCCAAATATACAGAATGTTGGTTTTGCCTCTCTGGTATTCATTCCCCCTTTTCCTGGTAACAGCAGGATTTGCCTTTGAGAAAACACACCTTTACTACTCTTAGTCCACGGGTTCAAATGGGGCAGAATAGCCTACAGTAAGGGTATGTGACTCAAGCTAGGCTGATGCTGGTCATGTTGTCAGAATTTACAGAAAGATGTTTTCTGTTGTCATTGCTGATTATGGCGATGAGGTAAGTCTGGAGTTTCATGGAGAGTGCCTTGCTGCCTGGCAGAAAAAAAACCCACAACAAGAAAGCCAGACAGAGAGAAGAACAAAAAACCTGATGATTGCTTTTGCATCTCTGGCTCTAGTGTAGCTTTTTTTTTTTTTTTTTTTTTTTTTTTTTAAGACATTTAAACCAATACTTTTCCCTTTTTCTGTTAGGTTAGTTTGAATTGGATTTCTGCTGTCACAACCCAAAAAGTCCTATTTGATACAAGGTTCCATTCATGATAGCTCTGTGCCAAAAGTTACCAGAACACTCTTAGTAAATTTTTTTGTTGTAGTATAAGGTTTAAATTGCACATGGAGTTTACAGCTTAATGGATTCACACAGTACACCTAGTTTAAAAAGACATTACCTGTGCCATAGGAGCTCCCCTTAAACTTCTCTCCCAGCCTACTCTTTCTGATTTTTAGCACCTTAGAGTAGTTTTGCTTGTTTTGTAGATTCTTTACTACTACATTCTGTTGATGGACATTGGTTATTTCTTTTTGGGGTTATGAATAATAATATCTTCTAGGTAATGTATCTTCTAGGTACATTCTTGCGCTTGTCATCTAGTACATACATGTATGTTTTGGTTGGGTAATTCTGAGGAATGGAATTGCTGATTCATAGGGTATGCTCATGTTGAGCTTTAGTAGTTAACTACCAATTAGTTTTCCAGAATATTTGAACTAAAAGGCACTCCCTCCATCAATGTATGAGAGTTCCAGTTGCCCCACATCTTGCTCACCCTTGGTATTTGTCTTCTGGCTTTTTGTCTTTTAGCTACTCTGGTAGGTGTTGTGGTATCTCATGGTTTTATTTTGTGGTTCCCTGATGGCTCTCACATCTTTATTAACATTTAACATTTGGGTATCTTGGCGGGGGTTGGTATTTGTTTTTGAGACAGGGTCTTTCTCTGTCACCCAGGCTAGAGTGCAGTGATGCAATCATGGCTCACTGCAGCCTTGACCTCCCAGGGTGAAGTGATCCTCCCACCTCAGCCTCCCAAATAGCTAGGACTGTAGCTGCATGCCACCACGCCTGGCTAATTTTTTGTAGAGACGGGGTTTTACTATGTTGTCTAGGCTGGTCTCAAACTCCTAGGCTCAAGCAATTTCGCCTGCCTCAGCTTTCAAAGTGCTGAGATTACAGGCATTAACTACCTTTCCACTCCCTGCTTTTTTTTTTTTTTTTTTTTTTGAGGGGGGTGTGGAGGGGAACTATCTGCCTTTTCCTTAATCCAGTACAGGTTTTGTTTTGTTTTGTTTTGTTTTGTTTTTGAGATGGAGTTTCGCTCTTGCTACCCAGGCTGGAGTGCAATGGCATGATCTCGGCTCACAGCAACTTACACCTCCCAGGTTCAAGCGATTCTCCTGCCTCAGCCTCCCGAGTAGCTGGGATTACAGGCGCCTGCCACCACGCCTGGCTAATTTTGTATTTTTAGTAGAGATGGGGTTTGTCCATGTTAGTCAGGCTGGTCTCGAACTCCCGACCTCAGGTGATCTGCCCGCCTCGGCCTCCCAAAGTGCTGGGATTACAGGCATGAGCCACCTTGCCTGGCCCCAGTACAGGTTCTTCAGATATTCTAGGTACGAGTTATTTGTAAGGAACTTCTCCCTCCCCTCTATGGCTTTACCTTTTCACTCTTAATGGTATTTTTAATGAACAGATATCTCTAATTTTACAAAGTTAATTAAAATTAATAAAATTTAAAATACAGTTCCTCAGTTGCATTAGACATTTCGAATGCTCAACATGTGGCTGGTGGCTGCCACATAGGACAGTGCAGGTTTATAGAACATTTCTACTGCAGAAAGTTATACTGGACAACATTTTCTAGAAGCATTATTGCCTACATTTCCCATTTAGATCTACAGTGCACTTGGAATTAATTTTTGTTTGTGGTGTAAGATAGGGGTTAAGATTTTTCTCCATATGGATATCAAATAGACTCAGCAGCGAGTGACTATTTGTTCAGATTAAAACCACAGTGAATACCATTACTCATTCACAAGGATGACAAAATGTTAAGAGACATAATACGAAGTGTTGATGAGGATGCGAAGCAACGGTATTTTTTTTTTTTTTTTTTTTTTTTTTTTTTTTGAGATGGAGTCTCGCTCTGACGCCCAGGCTGGGGTGCAGTGGCGCGATCTCAGCTCACTGCAAGCTCCGCTTCCCGGGTTCACGCCATTCTCCTGCCTCGGCCTTCCAAGTAGCTGGGACTACAGGCGCCTGCCACCACGCCCAGCTAATTTTTTCTATTTTTAGTAGAGACGGCGTTTCACCTTGTTGGCCAGGATGGTTTCGATCTCCTGACCTCGTGATCTGCCCTCTTCAGCCTCCCAAAGTGCTGGGATTATAGGTGTGAGCCACCATGCCTGGCTCTCTTTTTTTTTAGGATAGTCTTGTTCTGTCGCCCAGGCTAGAGTGCAGTGATGCAATTTCAGCTCACTGCAACCTTTGCCTCCCGGATTCAAGCAGTTCTCCTGCCTTAGCCTCCCGAGTAGCTGGGGTTACGGACGTACACCACCCCGCCCGGCTAATTTTTGTATTTTTAGTAGAAACAGGGTTTTGCCATGTTGGCCAGGCTGATCTTGAACTGGCCTCATATGATCTGCCTGCCTTAACCTCCCAAAGTGCTGGGATTACAGGCGTCAGCCACTGCATCCAGCAGCAATAGTAATTTTTGTGTGCTACTAGTAATAGGTGAACTGGCACAACCTTTTTGGGAAAAGTTTGGCTTTACCTAGTAATTGACACTGCATGTTTCCTGTAACTCGTGTTCCACAGATGCACCAGGAATATCTATAATACATTTTCAATAAATGACAACCTAAATCTCTATCAGTAGTAAAGAATATATAGCTAGGCGTGGTAGCTCACGCCTGTAATCCTAGCACTTTGGGAGGCCAAGGTGGGCAGATTGCCTGAGCTCAGGAGTTCGAGACCAGCCTGGCCAACATGGCGAAACCCTGTCTCTACTAAAAATACAAGAAATAGAAATTAGCCAGGCATGGTGGTGCGTGCCTGTAATCCCAGCTACTAGGAGGCTGAGGCATGAGAATCACTTGAACCCAGGAGGCGGAGGTTGCAGTGAGCTGAGATCACGCCATTGCACTCCAGCCTGGGCGACAGAGCAAGACTGTCAAAATATATATATATATATATTCACACACACACACATAGGCAATACAACAGTTAAATGAATACACTAGAGCTATACCCAACTTGGATGAATTTCAGTCTTGTGAGAAGAAGTAATATATATATATAGGGGAAAAAAGGCAAAACTATATTAAAAATACATGGGTAGGTGGTAAAAGGGGTTATAAATATGGAAAGGAAGAAAATTAGAATGAACTTTGTAGTGTTGGGTTGGAATTGGAGATATTGGTGTGACCTCATGGTTTTTAAGATAGAGAAATAACTATTAAATGCAAATTATGTATACACTTCTATCCAGTGAGAGGGCTGAGGATCAGTGACAACTCAGTAGCCATGAGAATACCTAACACCCAGATCGTGGTTTCTAAATATGCTCTTGACTAAAAGGAACCAGGGCTTCTTGGAGATATAGCTGATTTCAGAGCTGTGGCAGAGAAAGTACAAGCTGGTCCCGAAACATCTCACTCTGGAAAACAAGGAACTGTTCCAAGAATGATGGGGACATGTCAAAAGCACACAGAAACCAGCTTGAAGGGACTCTCACTGGCTAAATATAGGAAAAATTGAGCATCAAAATTAATAATGGGGGCAGGTGCTGTGGTTCATGCCTGTAGTCCCAGCACTTTGGGAGGCCAGGGTGGGAGGATTGCTTGAGCACAGGAGAACCGCCTGGGCAACATGGTGACACCCTGTCTCTACACAAAATACGAAAGTTAGCCAGGCATGGTGGTATGTGCCTGTGGTCCCAGATACTCAGGAGGCTGAGGCAGGAGAATCAGTTGAGCCTGGTCGAGGCTGTAGTGAGCTGTGATCACACCACTGTACTCCAGGCTGGGCGACACAGCGAGACCCTGTCTCAAAAAAATGAATGAATGAATAAATGAATAAAATTGATTATAATCCATTGGATAAAACAGGAATCTATTTTTAAAAATAAATGGATTGATGAGGACAGGATATTTGCACAGTGTCAGAATAACTCCATCCCCCAAAATATTAATGACAAAAAGAAAAGGAACTTTATAGTGGAAAGCCCGGTAGACACCACCTTAACCAAGTGATTGAAGTTAACATCACCAGTGAGGGGACAAATCAAAATCATTCTCCACCTGGTAGGATGCAGGGAAAACAACACAGCACCATTCCAGTGATAGTCCTGCCAGAAATACATAGCTTGGATTTAATCAGCAGGAATTGATCTTCAAACAAATCAAATTGAGGGACATTCTACAGAATAACTTGCCTATTAACATCAAAGGCTTCAAGGTTGTGAAAGTCAAGGAAAGACTGGAAAACGGTTCTAGACTGAAGAAAACAAAAGAGACGTGAAATTAAATGAAAATGATTCTGGACTAGATCCTTTTTCCTAAAGATCATTGAACAGGGTCTAAAGATGAGTTGACAGTCATGCAGCAGTGTTACTTTCCTAACTATGATGGTTTAATTGTGGTTATGTAGGAGAATGTCTTCATTTGTCAGAGATACATGTCTCATTTTCATTTTTGTAGTTAGAATCTATAAGATATATTCTACTTTTTATTCAAGTCCATTTATTCAGATCTCAGCATTAACTATCCTCTCCACCATTTTACATATTGAATTTTTTAGTTTATAAAAACCATGTCACTGGGTGCAGTGGCTTATGCCTGTAATCCCAGTACTTTGGGAGGCCATGGTGGGCAGATTGCTTGAGCCCAGGAGTATGAGACCAGCCTGAGCAACATGGCAAAACTCGGTCTCTATTAAAGATGCAAAGAATTAGCCAGTCATGGTGGTGCATGCCTGTAGTCCCAGCTACTCAGCAGGCTGAGGTGGGAGGATCACTTGAGTCCAGGAAGTCAAGGCTACAGTGAGCCAAGATCACGCCACTGCACTCCAGCCTGGGTGACAGGACACTTTGTCTAAAAAAAAGAAAGAAAAAAAAAAGTGTGTAAAAAAAAATACTGGTAATCATTTTGAGATCTTTAGTTATTACTTAGTGATATGTTCCAAAACTGGAGCTGAGACTCCAAAGAGATTCCTGTAATTGAAATATTACACTTTAATACTGGAGTTGCCCTCTCTATAAAGCACTGACAACATTAGCATTTATTTTAAATAATAGCAATATCCCTGGAAAAGCAGCAGGACCCAGAGTGACCACTAAGCCTTAGTGATAATAAATGGCATCTCATAACTGGATGCAACAGTTATCTCTAATGAAGCCTAGGATCAGATTTGTGGCATACCAACAGCACATGTGAAAGTCATTCTGGTGTGACATGTAGCCTCATTTCTGGTCCCATTTTATTTTCTCGCTCTTGTTTTTCTTTCTTTTTGTCACCCGTCTTTTGCTTATGTTATCCTTTATTTTGGGAATCCCTACCTTAATACCTCTTTAAACAAGTCAATGTAAATCAGATAATTTGAATCTAGTACAAGGATTAGATTTAGTGTGGTGATGGTAACTGGAGAGTCTTTAACTGTAGGGCAGGAGGTCTGTTAGGAACTGGACCACACAGCTCATTACCACCTGAACTTCACCTCCTGTCCCATCAGCGGCAGCATTAGATTCTCACAAGAGTGTGAACCCTGTCGTGAATTATGCATGCGAGGGATCTAGGTTGTGTGCTTCTTATGAGAATCTAATGTCTGATGAACTGAGGTAGGATAGTTTCATCCTGAAATACCCCTCTGCTCCCCACTATCCGTAGAAAAATTTTCTTCCATGAAACCGGTCCCGGTGCCAAAAAGGCTGGGGACTGCTGCTGTCTCTGGCTGGGGACAGCACACATGTAATGATATATCAGTAACAGGTTCTTCCCCTATGTTAATTATTCTTCCCTATCACACTTTAAAATGAGATAGAACATCCTTGCAGTTTAGAAAAAAACCCATTCTGCAGTTGAATACTCTTTGGATTTCTCAAGCCTCTATGGATGCTAATTTTAAAGCTAAACATGTAAATAACCTTTGGGCTGGAATTAGAAAACCTATAGGCATAAAGCCTGTCCTGGAACGTTCCAGGTGTGTGAACTTGGGCAAATCAATCAGCCTCTTTGAGCTTCAGGCTCTTCATCCCAGCCCCATCCTCACCTGGGAAAATACAGCTGTCACCTAGACTTCTGGTGATCCCATGAAATATATGGGGAAGAACATTATAAACTAAAGCTCTTCACAAATTACAAAGAATTATATTAACTTATTTAACTTTATGGAAATTGAATACATCTAATTCAATGTAGTTTTTGTAAGTGCTATGCAGTGATGTTTAGGGAGATGTTTAAATATTTTGACTATAAGGTTAAGATTTTTAACCTTAAGAGTTTAGAATTTTGTGTTTTTTTAATGATACAACAAATCATGATATTAAGAGTTATTACAGTAACAGTTCACAGCATAAATCATTTATTAATATCTCACAATCTAACTTGAAATATTTATAAACACTGCATAAATGAATACAAGGGCACTGTATGAATTTTAGAAAGGGGACTCTTTTATACAAATAAATTTAGGTTTAATTCTGCCAGATAAAATTAATTTTAGATATGTCCAACACACAATCAAAAGTATTCTGAAAAGTTGTATATAGATCAAATCATAGTTTAAAGGCCATTCACAAAATAACTGTAAATTCCCCAATTTTATCTTTTAAAATATGAATTTTTAATATATCATTTTCTTAAGATAAAGTACACCTTTAATTTTAGAGTGTAAATAAGAATAATCTTTCAAAATGCCATTTAAAAAATTAGTAAATGCTCATATTTGTTTATGATATTTAAGCAAAAATATGGGACATCCTTCCTCACCAAATATTTTTGTTTGGACTGTCAGTGTTTAAAAATTGCTAGACACAATTCTTATCTACTATAATTGGAGTCTTCAGTTACAGAATTGAAGGACTGATGCCATCTATTCTCTCCCCCAAACGACAAAATTCTTCTTAGTTCAGTAGACATTCAAACTTATTCTGACGAGGTCCTTCACCAATGCACACTGTCTCCAAATTAGAGTTGGCTGGTGAAGAAAGTTTATTTTAGTAGCTTTAAAAAAATACTTGCATTGGTGGTAGAGCAGCTTGGCATAGATTCTGTGAGGTGTTGGTAAGAGAAATACCACCTGACATTCCAACTGAAATATATTGTGAATCATTTTCAACAAAAGAGCTCTTCTGTTGCAAAGGTGACTGTTTTTGAAACACCTAATGTAGAAACAATACTGAATTGATTTCAACTATATGAAACAAAAGGACAGACATATTTAAGATTCCATCCTAAAATATTTATCTTTTCTATCGTGGTATTAAACCAATTGAGAGGGTTTTTTTGTTTTTGTTTTTGTTTTTTAGATGGAGTCTTGCTCTGTCACCCAGGCTGGAGTGCAGTGGCACAATCTCAGCTCACTGCAACCTCCGCCTCCCAGGTTCAAGTGATTATCCCACCTCAGTCTCCCAAGTAGCTGGGATTACAGGAGCATGCCACCATGGCTGGCTAATTTTTGTATTTTTAGTAGAGATGGGGTTTCACCATGTTGGCCAGGCTGGTCTCGAACTCCTGACCTCAAGTGATCCGCCCACCTTGGCCTCCCAAAGTGCTGGAATTACAGGTGTGAGCCATTGTGCCTGGTGGAGAGGGTATTATTTCACTCTAGCAGAGGAAATAAAACTCCAGTTCACCTGTCTTTAGCGCTCTCAATAACAGAGAAATTAGCTTGGTCCCCAGGTTTGTCTCTGCCTCTAATGGCATTATCTGACCTTTAAAATATTATTATCATTAAAATTTAGAGACAGTTAAGCAATGAAGTGGGGAAGGGGCAATACTATGGAAAATAGAAAAAGAAGACTTAAAGCTTCAGAATAGTCTTTCCATGGAACTAAGCATAACAATTTTTTTTTTTTTTTTTGAGACGGAGTTTCGCTCTTGTCATCCAGGCTGGAATGCAGTGGAACGTTTGGCTCACTGCAACCTCTGCCTCCTGGGTTCAAGCAATTCTCCTGCCTCAGCCTCCCAAGTAGCAGGAATTATAGGCGCCTGCCACCACATTCAGCTAATTTTCTGTATTTTTAATAGAGACGGCGTTTCACTATGTTGGCCAAGCTGGTCTCAAACTCCTGATGTCATGTGATCCTCCCACTGCAGCCTCCCAAAGTGCTGGGATTACAGGTGTGAGTCACTGCACCCAGCCTCTTGGGTATTTCTTACTGATACAAGAAAAAAAACTTCAGTCCTTAAATAATGTTACAATTCAATTCTATTTTTAGTTTTTATTTTTCTATAAATGCTACATATAGATATAAAAGGTCTTTAAAATATTATTTTAAAATCCACCTACCTACTCTTAAATTTTCTTTAAAAAAAAAAAACCCCATCATAGTATTGATAAATAGGGGTCAAATAAATGCATACTATGCGGAACAGACAGAGATTTTCGATTTTTTTTTTTTAGTTTAATAAAGTTTGAAAACTTTCAAAGCTCCTGTACAATTCCATTAATACCAGACTTGGCAAAACGCTAATTCTGTTTGAAAAGGTGTTTTTTTAAAAGTAGTATATTTGAACAATGTCTAAGTATGTGGGGTGGGGAGAATCCATATCCGAATATCTTCATAAAGCAAGTTCTTAAAATTTGCAAAGCTATTAGGTTAGTGCAAAAGTAATCATGGTTTTTCTTTTGCACCAACTAATATTTACCACTGAACACGCTGGCATTTAGATCACTTCCTTCTTTCAGCATGCTAGACAGTAAAGAGAATGGGCATGAGGTGGCAGGAAGAAGGAAAGAGTGAAGATAATGGAGTTAGGTCAGTGAGGGATATTTCCTAAATTCCCCACTTCTTTTCCTCTAGCAGTTCTGGGAAACTTCTCAGCAGCTATCATATAAGGAAAGTATCTCGCTAGGAGAAGCAAAGAATCAGAAATAGCAGGGCATGGGGAGAATGCAGGAAGTGGGCCAGGGTAGACAATGCTGGGGAAAGGAGGCCAAGGGAGGAAAACCTAGAATTGGACAGGATGTTTCCTCTGCTGTCTGGACCTTCTTTTTATAAGGTTGTTAGAATTAAATTTCATTTATACAGAGAACTGAAGTGATAGGTGGCCAGATGATTAAGTCCTTTTGTCTCTGATGAGGATTTATTCCCCTCAAAATTCTGATAAGGAATTCCCATGCTGCAAATATTAATTTGCTCCTCTACCTACGCCTCTGAGAGTCACGAGACACCAAAGGCCAAATTTACTTATCTATATTAAGGGCCTTATGTGAAATGAAAGGTGATTTACTTAGCTGACCATTTCCCAAGCAGCCTTACTTAGACTCAACCTTAAAAATTATCTGGAGGGCTCACAATCGTGACCGCCAGCGAGCGGCGAGGTCCACGTAAGGCTAACCCAGACTCTCCAACTGCTCTTGGAGTGAAGATGCCTTGGTTTAGGTTAGGGTGCCAGATCTGTATAACCCAGTGCTAAACGAGAATCCGATTTACCCTCCTCTCTTCACCGAGCAAAGCAACCTGGACAGTCAAACTCAGTCACGTAAGGCAGACAGAACTTAAACCAGAGGGCCAGGTGAACACTGAAGGGGCATGTGACAAGATCCACCTTCAACGTACTTCACAGCCAAGCCATGGTGACTAATGAAATAGGCCAGATCTGCCTGTGGAACACTGTCCTGAATGTTTAGCACAGAGAGACAGGAAGGTGGCAATGAGGTGCAGCAAACGCCAGAGGCTGGCCTGTAAAGGAAAGTGTGTGGCTCAAGTAGTGTCACTGGAAAAGGAGTGGGTGGCAGAGCATGTTGTAGTGATTGTACCCTTCAAATAATAACCTCCATACACAATTGAGTTGGTAGAATTTGTTAATGTAAGAAAAATTTGGGGAATTCATATATTTGTAATGGGCCCAAAATATTGGACTAGAGATAAGAATACACTGAAACAACAATATACACAGACTCACAAGCTTGCATGGACACACTATTTTTCATTTTAGCTTCTTACATCTTCCTTTCCTGATGCCACAGCAGCACATGGATTAGAAGGTTCTAGTAGATTCCAGCAATAAAATTATATATGCTACTCAGAAAATATATGGCTAGCGAGATAGCATCCCTGTTCTCTCCTACGCAGTTTACGTATTCATGAACAGTGAAACCTTTAGAAGCAAACAGATATCAGATACCAATGATCATACCAAGAAATGATACAGGAGACTTTCACAGACTTGATTCTAAACCTAATCCTAACTGATGATAGGGTGGTTTTCATCACCTCCATCCACATCCTCACACGTCCAAAATAGGCCAGCTCAGCTGTGTCACAGTCTACCATGGGAATATGTCCAGGGGAATCCATGGAAATAAGTGGCTGGAGGCCTTGAGTCTGGGCACCAGACTGTGTCCCTGTGGAGAAGGCCCTTCCATCATCAGGCTTAGCTGGAAACTCATTCACTTGGAGGGGAGAAGGCAGGCGTGCCTCATCAGAACTGGAGGAGGAGGTTGTGGAGAAGCCTTTTTCCTCTCGGTGAGTGTGTTACACAGCATTCAAGCGGATGTCCCCACAAGGAATTTCTGTTGGTGTTTCTGGGGTAATACTTTTAATAATACGCTATTGGGAAGAAAATACAATGTTATAAACATCCTTGTAATTTTTAAAACTTGCAAAAATAGTCAACATTAATATTAAAACAAAGCTTAAATAACACTTTAATAACATCTAAGAGCGAGTTGGAATAGTCTCACTGACATTCCTTAGGAAAAGAATTCCCAATTTATGTATTCTCAAATATGAATTAAAATGGTATATTCAGAAACTATACACATCTGTAAACTAAGAAAATCATTATAACACTAATGGAAGAAAATGATGAGCCTTCAACAGAATCTCTGCTGGCCAATAACATGCTTTTGAAGGACTTGGGAAAGGGTACCCTTTTCTCTGGACAGAGGAGACTTCTGCGGCCACAAAGGGCTTGGGGAGCAGAGTAATTGCTGGGTTTTGGCCCCCATCCCCTCACCCAGGCTCCTTGTCTCCTGCAGACACACTGCAGCCATACTGCCCAGTGCTATCAGCCACTGTAACAGCCAGGATGTTACTAATTTAATGAATTCACCTGTAAAGCAATACTGGTTAGTTCATATGAGAGTATAAATTATCACATAGTTAAACTGTAAAAGATGCGATTATTGAAATCATCACTTCTAATGCAACATTGTGTTGATGTAGTACTCATCACAGAGAAGTGGCTGAGAAGGTCTACTATAGAAACAGCTGAGGTACACAGAAGCTTTAAGATGGATCTGAAATATACTTGGGCTTAGGTGTGAAATATACAACTGGCCTTGTAAAACTCAGCATCAGAGTGGCAAAAAGCAGCTCAGGGATATAGAGGAGAAAAAAAAAAAAACAGCCACACTGCAGAGGCTTTGAAAAATCTTTATTAAGTTGCTTAATAAAATCTTTGTTGGCCAAAAGTCTGTATGTATCATAAGCAGACAATTTGGATCTGAAAGCATCCTTTGATTTACTGATCTTTAGGTGAAGTTCTGCCCCTGTCATTTTTATTTTGGACTGAAAATGTCTGGAGTTGCCTTCAAGCTTTTCTATTTTCTCATTCTGGGAGTTTGTTCTTTAAGAAATAGGGCCTCTATAATTCAAAAAGTTCCAGTCCTACAGTTAATGAAATGCACTATAGGGCAAAATGCACAAAATTGCACATTTTGTGCTCCTCATGACCTTAGTATCTGTGTACTGAACTTTCACACTAGAAATCCGTTTAAAAAGGAGTCATTGCAGGGAGTTTAAAAAGGAGTCATCCGTTTAAAAAGGAGTCATCAGCTACCAGAGCATGCCGAGTCACGGAAAGCAACTTGTCAGAAACCATGCATTCCCACAGACTAACATGTGAACTATACCTGATTAAACAGAATTATGGCTTGTTAGTTGAGAACTAGACAGAGATCACTATAACGAGTCCTTTTTTTTTTTTTTTAAGAGTCAGGGTCTTGCTCTGTTGCCCAGGCTGGAGTGCAGTGGCACAATCATGCCTCACTGCAGTCTTGAACCCCTGGGCTCAAGGGATCCTCCTGCCTCAGCCTCCCAAGTAGCTGGACCTACAGGTGCATGGTACGATGCTCAACTATTAGAACTTGTCTTAAGTGGAGCTATCACCATAGCTCAGAGAGAGAAGAGATCACCGAGGTGTTTGGTGGGGCAAGGCCCGCAATGAACGACGTCATAAAGTCAAACACTTGGTTTTTGTGCCCTTACCTACCCACATGGGCTGCTGCCCTGTTGGTGACTGACCACCCAGGATGCCAGGCCCACGTCTGTTTTCCGTGCTTTGCCAGCATTCTAGTTGCCAGGCTACCGTTGTGCTGGAAATTTGCCAGGCCCTGCCTGGCCTTCTGCAAGATGATAACAAGTTAATCTAAGAAATGGATTCCTCTTCATATCTTCATAAACGTGTACTCATTAGGGACCATTTTCCAGTATCTTTGGGTGGATTATTAGTAGTTTCTGCAAAAATGACCTAAGCCAGTGGATGACTCCAACCGCAAGACTTCCAGACCGTGGGTGTGTATGGTACCCTTCAAATTACACCAGTAAGCGGTGGCTCACTCCACAAACTCCAACCTTGCATATGGCCAGGGCCCAAAAGGATTTTATATGAGGCTTCCCTCCCTCACACATAGAAAGTTACAGACTAGCAAGTCTGGTATTCATAAAGAATTGTGAAGAATTCTAGACCTTTGGCAAAAAACACAGCATGCTTTATTCTTCTCAGAGATTAAACATGCACATGGGCATATTAAAGTTTTTTTGAGAAGTCCTCAGGTAAACAAACCTGTTTATTTACTTATTTAATTTTTTTGAGACAGAGTCTCGCTCTGTTGCCCAGGGTGGAGTGCAGTGGCTCGATGATCTCAGCTCACTGCAATCTCTGCCTCCCAGGCTCAAGCAATTTCCATGCCTCGGCCTCCTGAGAAGCTGGAACTACAGGTGCCCGCCACCACACCCGGCTAATTTTTGCATTTTTAGTAGAGACGGGGGTTTCACCATGTTGGCTAGGCTAGTCTCGAACTCCTGACCTCAGGTGACCCATCCACCTCGGCGTGCCAAAGTGCTGGGATTACAGGTGTGACCCACTGTGCCCGGCCAAGAAACCTGTTTAACTTGCCTTAGTCCAGCAGTCTCCAAAAATTACCTGACTACATAAACTTTTTCTCCAGCAGTAATACCTGTGACAGCCCCTGGAACACACTTTGGGAAATGTTAACATGGTCAAATGAGCACATTTGAAAGAGGAGGAAACCGAGGCCCAGATAAGATGAGTACCTGCCAGAGCCGACTAGGGCCTTTTCCATGGTCCTCACCGACAGGGGTGTATCACACTGCTTCCGGGTAACCCGCTGCTCCCCATCTGGTGGCCCCTCGTGAAGACGCCCTACCTACAATTAGTCTTACCTCTATTGCTAACAGACCTGAGCTCTGTTAGTGACACACTTTTGGGTGGCATTCCCTTGTGGCCAACTGGGGGAATTTGTGAGAAAGATGGCCAGGATCTGAGGTGTAGCCTGTGACTAAAGAATGACATTTATTAACCTAACACAGTTCCCACCTCCAACCTTGGCCTCTGGATTTGAAGCAACAGAGCTCATGGATCATCACAACTGCCAAGACAGATGACCGGAAGGAATGCGTTCAATGACTCTGGGTAGGAGAGTGTGCGGGAAGCAGCACGGGACCCAAGGCTCTTTAGGGGGAGTGCGGTCATGAGAGGGCTGGTTTGGCTGTAGGAAATTAGTAACTACGGAGCTCAGAGTTCTGTTCACCCAGAATACAGTTTTCCTGTTTCAAAAAAGAAATGAACGCAGTTGTTCTCAGAAAGGGCTGATATTTGGCCGGGTGCAGTGGCTCATGCCGGCAATCCCAGCACTTTGGGAAGCTGAGGCAGGAGGATTGAGCTCAGGAGTTTGAGACCAGCCTGGGCAACATAGTGAGATCTTGTTTCTATTAAAAATTTAAAAATTTAGCCAGGCGCTTGTAGTCCCAGCTAGTCAGGAGGCTGAGGTGAAAGGATCACCTGAGCCCAGGAGTTTGAGGCTGCAGTGAGCCATGATTATACCACTGCACTCCAGCCTGGGGTACAGAGTGAGACCTTGTCTGAAAAAAAAGAAAGAGCTGATGTTTAACTGCCTATGTTCTCTTGCTTCTCATTTCTTATGAAATGTCTTAGGATGACTATTGTGATGGACTCATGTCTAAATTTTGCGTAAGATCTCAAATTAGCCCACCTCCGTTCTCAGGCTATTATAGATTATGCTGAGTAGCTGGGACTACAGGCACGTGCCACCATGCGCAGCTAATTTTTGTAATTTTAGTAGAGACAGGATTTCACCATGTTGGCCAGGCTGGTCTTGAACTCCTGACCTCAGGTGATCCACATGCCTTGGCCTCCTAAAATGCAGAGATTACAGGTGTGAGCCACTGTGCCCAGCCGGAAATAAGGAAACTTCGAGCAGGATTATTCCCCACCTCAGTGTCCTTGTCTGGTAATAATGCCTGCCCATTTACCTCCCAAGGTACTTTGATAACAGAATAGGATAATCGACATGCAGATGCTTTGAAAATGGCATTCATACAAATTGTAAGGTACTGTTATTAACATTTCTACAGCGCATTCATTACCGAAATGAATCTTGCTATCCTGGCAAAACATTTTTACTCCAATGGCTTGAGCTAAAATCATGCTATTGTTAGATAGCTAATAATTTTGATCTAAAACTATGATACTGTTGCAACATCCTTATTTTGTGATGATTTTCAAAATAATACTTTTCACATTGCTGTTAGAAAAGTGACCATGGACATTTCCCACCATAATTGCCACTTAAAATTTGTGTATTGCTCCAGACATCACAGGTCTGATATCCATGCCCAGTGGCAAGCAGGAGGCAGGGTAGTTGTCTGATAAGTTTGAAAACCTATGCACAGCCCAAGCTGAATGCTCTGGTGCACCCAAATGATCAGCTCACTCTTTTGCCCTTGCATTTGAGGCTTTGGGAGATGCCTTAAGATAACAGTGACAGCCATTAGAGGTCTTCGCCATGGCACAGGTACATACATATATAGGGTTGCATGCCTCCTGGTGAATCTCATTTTGAATAGAGCATAACAAGATAATCCTTTTCTCCCAAAACAATTAGTAGTCTGAACACACACATATACACACTAACTAGCACGTACCTCTTTAAATGTCCCTGGAGTGATGATCAACCGATAAGCTATATATGTGGGGATGCAAATGAAAGATGAGGTTCCTATGCAGTAACCCAAGATGATACTCCAGTAAGGATAATTATATTGGAAAAGTCGTAGTTGTGGCGGGCTCATCAGAAAACTGCAAATGATGAACTAAAACAGAAATTCCAAGAAACATTAAAAACCTTAACAATATCCACTCAGATAGAGATGTTTCCGATACCACAAACACCAAATGCTAAAGCTAAGATACTTTCAGGAAATTCCCAAGATGTGATATATCCTGGATTGAACTCTGACACACAGAATTACCAACTTCTGTACCCAAGCTGCAAGACTACACCAGCCAGGTGCTTTCCCTGATTTTCCTCCCCAGCCCTCACTTCCTATAGGGGGATGTTGCAGCAGCCCTACAGCTGCCCCTACAGTCGGGGCTGAAGCCTGCAGCTCCCACTTCAGCACAGGCCTCTGCCCAGGCAAAGAGACTGGCAACCTTGAGAGTAATTTGGGCCTTGTCTTGCCAGAAGGCAGAGGAATAAACTGGGTGACCTCTCCGCAGCCCCCCGCCAGGCCCCAGGCTTCATATTTCTCTCTGCTTTGTTTTCATTGCCTTGCGTTTCTGGCTGTGGTTGTTTTTGGTCAGACGGAAGGTGCCTGATGTCCAGGAAAGATAAGAAGGTTCTCAAGACCCAGAGAGGACTCAGGCTCCTGGGGGTGTGTCCTTCTCCCATTTTCCTGAGCTCTCTGCCTTCTGCATTAAGCTGCATCGCCTGGAGTTTCAACAAGGATGGCTCTGCCACTAGGCATCTCAACAATGAATGTCTGCCTGCCACAGGTCCTCATCATGAAAGGAATTATGGAAGGAAAAATAGCAGCTTAATACACCTTTCACTTGAACACTCTGTGAGAATTTTGACCAAGAAAAATTCCACAGTGTGCTCCCAACACCCAGTTTATGAGTTTTCTTATTTCAATTTGGTTTCCAGATTTTGCCTAGTAACCACTGTGCCGAAATTGTTATTGCTGTTGATTTAATTTTATTTTATTATTTCACAGTCATAAAGAAGACAGTAATGTGAATTATTTGTGTGGTTAAACATCTATTTATATCTTTTTTTTTCTTTGTCTGCAGGTAATAAAATGGGAAATTGCTAAACACACATCCATCTTCTGAGCGGTGCTATCTTAAGTCTAGGTGGAAGCCTTCAAAACAGGAACCTGGTCAATTGCAAACCTTCCTCCTAACCCAGGCTCCTCATCCCCAGAGCCGGCTATGAAGAAAGATGGTTTGGGAACAGGGAAAGAAGATCTGGTTAGGAGCCATCCCGGCTGCTTGTCTCTTAATGTCAGGTGTGTGAAATCCCACTCAGTCATTGGGGGACTCAACCTCCGGTTGGGGCAAGTGCTACTTCAGAAACCCCCTCACACATCCTGGCCTCTACTCGTACACAATATTTTCTTTTTTTTAACTTGGCTGCAGTGAAAAAGAATATTTTTAGTAAGCTACTTGTTGTTTACCTAAAGCAGCCTTAAGAAGCCCAGAGCAGGGGATCTGTTAAGTGAACGTAGAAGTGGAAGACAGATTTGCCTCTCTCAGGCACTAGGGCACTTGGCTGTAGAGGGGTGAGTATGGCAAACATCATGGGAATTATGAGTAGTGCGCCCACATCCAAAGCTGCACGTGGGTTTTCCTGGGCAAAGAAACTCAATGACTGTGCATCAAGAGTGTACCCAGTCTGACAGCAGGAAATTGACAGAAACGAACAGCCCCAAGCCCCAGGGCACATGGAGGCACTCACCTCAGGCACGACATTTCAGCAGGAGCCAAAATCAAAATAAATAATATTTTATTACAATTTTTTAAAAGACAGGATCTAACAGGGCCAGATGAGGGTAAAGCGAGTGAAGTACGATGTACAAGTACAGGGCTGGCTCCTGTGTTTATTGAAAATGTTGATACTTTGTTAATCATGGATCTTTTTGAATTAATTTTTATTTTTAAAAAATATTGTGTGAAAATAATATTTATCCTGAGTCCTGAGCTCTTTGGTGCCTTCTTAAATTTTATACCCACAGTGAATGTTTCACTTGCCTTCAAGTCTCCCCTAGACATCATTTCCTCACTGCGTGGGGAATAAATATGGAAGTAAACAAACAAACAAACAAACATCTTTCTGCCCTCAAGGAATTAATCCAATGACTCTTCTTCCTTTGAAAAACAAATAAAAATATTTAAGTAGATTATTGAGAAGTACTGGTAATAATATAAATTAATAACCCATTTATGTCAGGGCTTCTGCTTCTGGTAGGATGGGCTAGGCGATTTCCAACAACCCTCTCACTGAAAACAACTAAAACTTCTGGATTTAAAAACACACGCATTTTAAATGTGCCTAAATGCATCAGCAAGCTGATAAGGTCATAAGGAGCTCCGAGGCCAACATCTCAGGAGCCCAGAGCTTGCACCAGAGTCACTGCAGCCTGGGAACATGTGCTGCTTGGTGCAAACACTGGCTTTGATTTTGGAAACCTCCAGGGTCTGGGGGAAAGGAAGTCAAAGAGGAATTCTGGGGTACAGAGAGACACATGCAGTGTCACAGAGACAAGAACAAGCATGTTGTCCATCATAGATAAGTTAATGTCAAGATGTGTGGGTACAAAAGAAGTACAAAAAATAAAGGGTTACCCCAAGAAAGTCAAAACACAGAATACAAAAAGGGCTGTTTTCATGTTTGTTTTTTGTTTGTTTGTTTGTTTGTTTAGACTGAGTCTTGTTCACGTCCTGCTAATTTTTGTATTTTTAGTAAAGACAGGGTTTCGCCATGTTGCCCAGGCTGGTCTTGAACTCCTGACCTCAAGGGATCCACCTGCCTCGGCCTCCCAAAATGCTGGGATTACAGGTGTGAACCACTGCACCCAGCTGTTTTGAAAGGGGACACAGAACAGCTGGATGCCAAAGAGATGTCCTAAAACAAAATGGGATAGCCCATATACTCCTAATAGGCTGGAGGTGGACTGAAGGAAGAATCTAACAACATTTCTGGCTCTAAAAGACAAAAAAAAAAAAAAAAACACAAAAAAAACAAAGTTACAGATAAATGAAAGAACTGAAGAATAGTGCCTGCTGGTGTGCATGACATCAGTTTACCCCAGGCTACTTCAGCACACACTTGGCAGGCCAGCAGGCTGTTATCCATCTTGGACAGGGGCACGTGAACCAAGGACAAAGTGAATATTGAACACATCTCAACACGTGGACAACCCTTGGGACTCAACTTTCTCACCCAGGTCCTTTGGTAATAAATGGATTCTACTTTTGACGTGGATTTTTGCTTAGAGAGCTTTGTATCATCTTGAAGAAGATGCATACAAAATTGTAAACACAGAAGTACTAGTACCCCATCCAGGGCCCCCATGAAGAGCATAGCAGATCCTTCCCTGGTCTTGAACAGTTCTTTTTGTTATGTGACTTTGGACCCTTCACTTTACATTGCTAAGCCTCAATCTCCTTTTTTCTTTTCTTTTCTTTTTTTTTTTTTTTTTTTTTTTTGAGACAGAGTCTTGCTCTATCGCCCAGGCTGGAGTGCAATGGCGCGATCTCAGCTCACTGCAACCTCCGCCTCCCAGGTTCAAGCAATTCTCCTGCCTCAGCCTCCTGAGTAGCACCTAGTACCATGCCCAGCTAATTTTTATATTTTTAGTAGAGACGGGGTTTCACCATGTTGGCCAGGCTGGTCTTGAACTCCTGACCTCAGGTGATCCAACCACCTCAGCCTCCCAAAGTGCTGGGATAACAGGCATGAGCCACTGCACCCAGCCTCAATCTCCTTAAATGTAAAATGGGAGTGCCAGAACTATAACCACTTCATAGAACTATTGTGAGGATTTATAGAAAAGTGAGTGTAAGTTGAGCCTGAAGTCTGGCCTGGCATTTAGCGCTCCATAAATGTTATGCATCACTATCACTGCCAGAGTGACTGAAGCCCAGACTACTCCATGGTGTTAGGAGTCAGAAGGGTGGGGAACCATGGTGGGCATAGTGGCTGGGAGGGGGCACAAGAGGGGCTTCTGAAGTGCTGGTCATGTTTTTGTCTCCTGGTATGGTTTTGGCTACATAGGTGTGCTCAATTTATAACATTTCTTTGAGATGTACACTTACGAGCTGTATATTAATACTTTTCTGTATATGTTATTCTTCAATACTATTTATTTCTTTTCTGAAATAGAGTCTCACTTTGTCACCCAGGCTGGAGTGCAGTGGCGCAATTTCAGCTCACTGCAACCTCCGCCTCCTGGGTTCAAGCCATTCTCCTGCCTCAGCTTCCTGAGTAGCTGGGATTACAGGTGCCCATCACCACACCCGGCTAATTTTTGTATTTTTTTAAGTAGAGACGGGGTTTTGCCATGTTGGCCGCCTGCCTCAGACTCCCAAAGTGTTGGGATTACAAGGATGAGCCACCGTGCCCAGCCATTACAATTCATTTTTTATGTGTCTGGGGGAAGTCTTTCGCCAGGGCAAGGAGGAGAAGGGAAATGGCAACTCACCAGGAGAAACAGAGGGCTGATGGCCACCCAGCAGATCCTCCAGAACCACCCCGGGCTGAAGCCGAGCATTTCCTTCACGTCCCTGCAGAACTGAGTGATGCCTGGAACCGCCCAAGGGGAAGAGAGGCAGAGACTAAGAAAGGACATGGGCTGTGCTGCTGTGCCCTGATTCTCTGGGAGAGTCAGAGTCACAGGATCAGCACTGGGAATGACAAGGGGAAATGACAAGCCGGAATTCCTACCCCGGACACACAGGGTAGCTCTGGAATTTCTCTCTAGGAGGAGTACAGCGACAACAATCTGGTCCGAAAGTGGGGCTGGGGGACTTGTCACAAAACTGCATTTTTATAGCAAGCAAGACTCTTTCTACATAGGGTGGGAGGACGGATGGGCATCTGGAAGGATGGATGGACATTTGGGAGGATGGATGGGCATCTGGGAAGAGACACACACCCCCTTCTTGGTGCCACACCGCCTTCCTGAGAGCTGAGTGTGTATCTGATTTCATTGTTATTATAAAACAGTTGAATTTTGTCCAGGAATGGTGAACCCGCCTGACAGACACTGACTTTGACCATGACACTGGAAACTTTCAAGGGAAATTTTTAACCACAATATTGCCCATTCATATGCCAGATCAAGATCAAGGTTCTTCTATAAAAAGTAACTGGTAAGGAAGTGAGAACTGAGAACTCCCAAAGAAGAGTGAGAAATTGAGAAGGGGAAGGTGCTCTGTGGTTGCTTCCCCGAGAGGTCCCAGCAGTTCCTAGGGCAGGTCTATGGAGATTCACACACTTGAACTTGGTCGTCTGAATTGCCAAGGAGGTGGGAAGATTTCTTCTTTAAAAAACAAAACAAAACAAAACAAAAGCAGCCCTGTGTGCAACCCAAAATGTGCCCCCTCCTTGATAATATGTGTAACAAATAACATGCAAAAGTGGTTTATTTTTGTTTGTTTTTGGGTTTTTTGTTTGTTTCGAGACAGACTCTCACTCTGTTGTCCAGACTGGAGTGCAGTGGCGCGATCTTGGCTCACTGCAACCTCTGCCTCCCAGATTCAAGCAATTCTCCTGCCTCAGCCTCCTGAGTAGCTGAGATTACAGGCTTGCGCCATCATGCCCGGCTAATTTTTTTTTTTTTTTGTATTTTTAGTAGAGATGGAGTTTCACCATGTTGGCCAGGCTGGTCTCGAACTCCTGATCTCAGGTGATCCACCTGTGTCAGCCTCCCAAAATGCTGGGATTACAGGCGTGAGCCACCGCGCCTGGCCGAGACTCTTTTACAGACCCATCATCGGGAGGTCACATCTTGTAAACTGCCCCTCACAGCCTTTTTTGGTGAAATCAGCCCTTTGCTACTGTGCTGGCTGATGGTGTAGAAGGGACCCAGCTGGCTGAAGGAAGCGTCTTACCATAGAACCAAGACACAGCGACTGCTTCGATCAGCGCGACAGTGAGCACTGCGGGCCCCGTGGCATACTCCTCCAGCAGCTTCACCACGTAGGCCCCTCCCTGGAGGGGAGAGCAGAGCCTGGGTGAGGGCCCTCCAAGGAGCCACCCCTCCCAACTACAGAGACCTGCAGGGGCTTCCTCACTTAGAATCATTCTGGAAAAATCCCACCTGGGACCGAACGTGAGTACCCCAGAAACTGCCTCTTAGGCCAGGTGCGGTGGCTCATGCCTGTCATCCCAGCACTTTGGGAGGCTGAGGCGGGCGTATCACCTGAGGTCAGGAGTTTGAGACCAGCCTGGCCAATATGGTGAAAATTAGCCAGGCGTGGTGGCACACGCCTTTAATCCCAGCTACTCAGGAGGCTGAGGCGGGAGAATTGCTTGAACGAGAGGCAGAGGTTGCAGTGAGCTGAGATAGCACCATTGCACTCCAGCCTGGGGGACAGAGCAAGACTCTGTCCAAAAAAAAAAAAAAAAGAAACTGTTTCTTGGACTGTTCTTGGACTGGCCTTTGCAGTGGCAGTGTGGGCAGGTTTTACCCACTCAGACGCCTCTTCCCATCCTATGTAGTTCATTCTTCTCATTTCTTCACCCCACTAAATTTTAAGAGACAAACTCCAAAGGGCCTTGGGATCTATTTTAAACTTTCTTCAACTTATTGAACACCTGCTGTGGACACGACCCTGGAGAATCCCTGCCTCTAAAGACTGAATCCAGAAGGGCCCAGGATACCAGACACATTAAGGGCCTTGGTCACAGTTTTGCCTTTCTGTCCTAAATCATGACTCACTGGGGTTCCACTCAGTCCCCTTGACCCCCACTCCAGGGCCATCGGGGTCACGGCTTAAAGATGCACATTTGCAAAATCTGCCTTAGAGTATTTACTTCAGCTACCAAAAAAAAAAAAAAAGGATCTCTAGAGAGGGTGTGACTTCTTTACCATTGCAAATTCTGGAGGAGACCAAGCGGCATTACACACATGACGTGAAGAACGTCAGGGCAGTATCCTCAAGAAAGCAGCTCTAAAGAGTGGAAATAGGCTGGAAAAGCAAATCCTAATTTTCTCCAGATAGTTTTTGAAGCCTGAAATCTAGTGGGATCTGCGGTAAAATGCTGACAGCCCCTGGATACTATGCACGGAATCTGCAAGTAGATGCACAAGAAACAACTTTTCTTCTCCTTGATGACAAACCTTTTAATGGGAGTAACAACCTCCCCTCCTTTGGTCCCAAAGCCAGGGCACTGTGTGAGATGGAAGGAGACGAACAGCTTCCTGTAGCGTTCTGCTGCCCTAGGGGAGGCCAACTCAAAGCTGAGGGGCATGATACTCACAAAAGTCAGGGTGACCAGGGATCCAAAGAAGCAGGTGATGACCACGGCGAGCACGAACCGCTCCCGGCGCTTGGCCCAGACGTGTGGGAACTCATCCAGCACAGCCGTGATCACCCCCTCCAAGCCTGCAAACTGAGAGGTACAGGCAAGCAGTCACGGTGGAGGCTTTGGGACAAGGCTGTGGCCTTCAGGACAGTGAACAGGAGGGAGGGGTAAGGTTGCTAAGTGACTGGTCAAGCTGATCATCACCAGTTCCCCGGCTCGCTGGACCATGTAAGCATCTCAAAGAGTATTTCCCTGTTTTACACTGTCATTTAAAGCCCATCACTAAGGAGAGCCAGGAAACAAAATAGCACACGTGGACAGAACTTCAATATATGAGGTCTCTCGGGGAGACTCCGTTTGCACCAGAAAGGCCAACTCAAAGCTGAGACTCACTCCACACTAATAATTCCAGGCCCTGAACTGAACCCTTGGCAAAGCAGAGACCCAGGAGAGACCTCGCCCCGGCCTGTAGGCGCCATAATTGGGCCAAGGGACAGTGCTTAATAACAGTTCACATATGTGAGCCTTGGGCCTCATAAGCGCCTGGCGCTTGACCCACTTTATCCCATTAATGACTCGAATGTACCAGAGGGTGGTAAATGCCGAGGAGTCAGCCGGGGGTCTGGAGCACCAGAAGGGAGTAGCCAAAGCTGCCTGGGATGGCCAGGGATGGGAGGGAATTGAGTCCAGCTGAGTCCTCCTCCTTTCCTCTTCATCCTCCCACAGCCCATTTCCCCTTCCCATTTCCTCACCGTGCTGTCCAAGCCCAGCGTGATTAACATCAGAAAGAAGATGATGGCAAAGAAAGTGGACGCTGGCATGTTGGCTATCGCTTCTGCATACGTGATGAAGAGGAGGCTGGGACCTGAGACAGAGGGGAGAGAGGAGGAGGTGGTTGACAAGACCTGTCCTACAAAGATGTCACAGAGGAAAACTCAGCCACAACAACAGTTACAATTCTCATCACAAGACCTTATGTGTGAATCAGGTTTTGACACACACCAAGTGCGTCCTCACACTCTACTCCGTCTGACGTGGCCACCCCAGTTCCTGGGAGGCAGGAAGGGTGGGGCTTCCATCTTGAAAACTGTGTGCCCTCCATTAACCCTGGGGGTGGGTAACAGATCCAAGACCCAGAGACTGGCAAAGCTGCACATGAGAATAAGAGTTTCCACCATATAACAATTCCATGGGATTTCTCAGGACCAGGATTGATATTTCTAAAGTCCATGACAGTTAGCCCCCTCTGATGTCTTCAGCTTCAGAACAGTAGGAAATGTTAAATTGATTTCCGTAGAGTCACAGAGGCTTTGGAATAAAGACCTCTTTCTATTTTAAAGTCCCTTTTGAAAGTGTGAGGGACATGTCTTCAGCCTCTCATGGGTTAGCTAGGGGTGCCCTCGTTTGGGGTATGGGGTTGGTCAAAGCACCGAATCAGGCCAAAGATACAAGCATGCTAACATGCTTGTAACAAGAAGGCCCTGGGACCTCGCCCACTAGATGCCATCATCTGTTTTTTCTCCCTCTGTTGCTCTTTTCTTTTTCCACAAAAACTTCACGGTAAAATAGAGTGGTCATATTGGCTAGATTTTCTTTTTCTGCAAGGGGCAGTTCTAAGGATAAATGATATTTGCTTACTAGACTTTGAGCCATCACAAGACCATCACAGGAAGCAAACCCACTGGTTTTAAAGCCATCATCAGAGTCATCATTTCAAGCCCATAGATTTTGGAGGCCCCAGAACTGGGTGCCAAGGGAGTTGCCCTGTCCCTGCATGGCCTGAACACATGGAAAGATCTCTAAGGCATCGAGCTTCTCTCAAATCTTTGAATAAAAAATGTTTTGGAAACAGGGTCTTATTCTGTCACCCAGGCTGAAGTACAGTGGTGTGATCATGGCTCACTGTAGCCTTGACCTCCCAGGCTCAAGCAATCTTCCCACCTCAGCCTCCTGAGTAGCTGGGACTATAGGTGTGCACTACCATGCCCAGCTCATTTATTTTTTTATAGAGGCAGGGTCTCACTATGTTGCCCAGGCTGGTCTTGAACTCCACCATGCCCAGCCTTCTTTGGAAAATTTCAGGAACATTTAGAAATAAATCAAAAGTTAGATCTTTACAAAGATTCAAAGCAAAGCAACTCAGTAGGAGCAAGGGACCTGCATAGAACCCGAGGTCCTACCTGCGTCTTTGGCCACCTCAGACACATCTTCATTCCTCATCTCAGCCATGTAACCGAGCACTGTGAAGATGACAAATCCCGAAACGAAGCTCGTCATGCAGTTCACCACGCTGGTCACCAGGGCATCTCTGGAGGGGAAAACCCAAGGGGCCGCCTGAGACAGTTCCAAGATCAGGGGTCTAAGGAGCATCTGTCCGTGTGCCTGCCCTGCCTTAGACAGGGCGGCCACAGCAAGGACAAGCAGGCTGAACTCAAGGAACCTCAAGCCTGTCCCGGAGTCCCTTCGCCTTCTCCCAGAACCCAGCTGCCGAGGCCTGAAGCTCTGACTGCCATGACCACCACACATGGTGGAGGGAGAAGAGCAGTCAGGGGTGCTTTAAAAGGCAATCCTGCTAGCACAGACCTCTCCATTTCAAACCAGCCTTGTTCTGGAGCAGGGCCCAGGTTGGAGTGGGGGCCAGGACAGGGCCTGAGCCTCACATTTGTGAGATCCTCAGATTTAGGCTTTATCTTCAAACTAAGTCACAGACTGCCAGCCAGAGAGATACCCTCATTTTTTTTTCTTTTTTTTTTTTTTTTTTGAGACAGAGCCTTGCTCTATTGCCCAGGCTGGAGTGCAGTGGCTTGATCTCAGCTCACTGTACCCTCTGCCTCCCGGGTTCAGGTGATTCTCCTGCTTCCGCCTCCCAAGTAGCTGGGATTACAGGCGCCCACGACCACGCCTGGCTAATTTTTGTATTTTTAGTAGAGATGGGGTTTCCCCATGTTGGCCAGGCTGGTCTCAAACTCCTGATCTCACACTTTTAAATGACAGCCTCATCATACAACTGCAGGGTGGTGTCCCAGTGCAAGGCCACATTGCTTAGGGTACATGTGAATCTCCCTCCCACCTTTAAAAAAATCAGTTTTACAATTATCTTATGCATAGCACAAAGAGATTGATGGATGCTGCCATCTGTGATCAATTAAAATTAAGTCTAAAGATGATGGGTGACATTTATTTATTTATTTATTTATTTATTTTTGAGATAGGGTCTCCCTCTGTTGCACAGGCTGAAGTGCAGTGGCATGAACACAGCTCACTGCAGCCTTAACCTCCCGGGCTCAAGCAATCCTCCTGCTTCAGCCTCCTGAAGAGCTGGGACCATAGGCATGCACCACCACACTCAGCTAATTTTTAAATTTTTTGTAGAGATGGGATCTCACCATGTTGCCCAGGCTGGACTCAAACTCTTAGGCTCAAGTGATCCTCCTGCCTCAGCCTCCCAAAGGGCTAAGATTACAGGTTTGAGCAACTGCACCTGGCCCAGTGGGTGATATTTAAAACCATAATTGGTGTAACATTTCCTGTTCTGTTAAAATTTCTGAAATAGGATTTTGTTGCAAAAATTATGGCATTTTGGCTGGGCACAGTGGCTCACGCCTGTAATCCCAGCACTTTGGGAGGCTGAGGCAGGTGGATCACCTGAGGTCGGGAGTTGGAGACCAGCCTGACCAACATGGAGAAACCCCATCTCTACTAAAAATACAAATTTAGCCAGTCGTGGTGGCGCATGCCTGTCATCCCAGCTACTCGGGAGGCTGAGGCAGGAGAATCGCTTGAACCCGGGAGGCAGAGGTTGTGGTGAGCTGAGATTGCGCCATTGCACTCCAGCCTGGACAACAAGAGCGAAACTCCGTCTCAAAAAAAAAAAAAAAAAAAGAAAAGAAAAGAAAAATTATGGTATTTTGTGTTAGTCAAAATAATGTGATCATCATACTTTTTGTTTATACATAATACAAATAATCACATTACAATTTTTATTGTTAAACACATTGACTAGTTAAACCTAACTACTTAATTGTATGTTGCAGCTTTTTGTAAACTTGCTTTGCAATTTCTCTTTCTTTCTTTCTTTTTTTTTTTTTTTTTTGATGGAATCTCACTCTGTCGCCCAGGCTGGAGTGCAGTGGCACAATCTCGGCTCACCGCAAACTCCACCTCCTGGGTTCACGCCATTCTCCTGTCTCAGCCTCCTGAGTAGCTGGGACTACAGGCGCCCGCCACCACGCCCGGCTAATTTGTTTGTATTTTTAGTAGAGATGGGGTTTCACCGTGTTAGCCAGGATGGTATCGATCTCCTGACCTCGTGATCCACCCGCCTCGGCCTCCCAAAGTGTTGAGATTACAGGTGGGAGCCACCGCACCCCGTCTCTCTCTTTCTTTCTTTCTTTCTTTCCTTCCTTCTTTCTTCTTTCTTTCTTTTTCTTTCCTTCCTTCCTTTCTTTCTTTCTTTCTTTCTTTTTTCTTTCTTTCTTTCTTTCTTTATTTCTCTCTCTCTCTTTCTCTCTCTCTCTTTCTTTCTTTCTGGAATCTTGCTCTGTCACTCAGGCTGGAGTGTAGTGGCAAGATCTCAGCTCACTGCAACTTCTCGTGCCTCAGCCTCCCAAGTGGCTGTGCTTACAGGTGTGCAACACCATGCCTGGCTAATCTTTGTATTTTTAGTACAGACAGGGTTTCGCCATGTTGGCCAGGTTAGCCTGGAACTCCTGACCTCAGGTGATCCACCTGCCTTGGCCTCCCAAAGTGCTGGGATTACAGGCGTGAGCCACCATGTCCAGCCTCTTATTATTTTTATATACAGGAGCGCTGACAAAACCGAAGGGCATGGGGCCCCTCTCAGCCTGAGTGGCCCAGGTGAAGCCACGGCCTGGATGAGTGCTCTGGCCATGGGTGAGCTGGTCAGGGGCCTGCAGCACCCCTGAGGGGCAGTGGTATCAAGGCCTAAGCCTGGCCAGATTCGAGGCCGTCGGTCCAATCACCTTCCTCCACACTAGCTGACTTTCACTCACGCCACTTTCAAGCTTTGCTTGGGGACCCCAGATACTCACTGGTAGCAGTTGTTGTTGAACTTGTTGTAGCTAGCAAAAGCCAGCAGGACCCCAAAGCCCGGACCAAGAGAGAAGAAGATCTGAGCGGCTGCATCTATCCACACCTGGAACACAGCAGGGGTAAGGGCATGGGGTGAGGGGGAGACACAGGCTTACCCTGGCACCAACAGGGTCGCCACTCCTGCCTCCATGTGGCTAAGTGCAGAGGCAGAAAAACAGCTTTTAAGGCTCATTCCAGGCATAGCCATAAACCAAGTGCCAACAAATGTGATTTCTCTTCCTATGATTCAGGCATAAACCCATCCAGTGGCCTCAACTGTACTTTAATGCTTGTATTTCTTGGTTAAAGTATCATTGCAGACTTGCACACTGAAGCCACATTTCAGTTGTCCCTACTGTCCTATTTGGAGGAGGACCAGCTTCGTTTAGTAAAATGACAGACAGGTACACATATTTCCCTCATCATCTTACCCCTGTCTCCAGGAGTTTCTGCCAATTGGGTTTCAAGTAGAAGAGAACACCCCTCCAGGCTCCAGGGAGGGTGGCACCCCTCACCAGCAGGACAGAAAGGATGATATAAGGGAAGGTGGCTGTCACCCACACCACCTGTAAGGAAGAAGGGTTATCACCATGCTGTTCCAGGGAGGGGAGGGGAGGGGAGGGGAGAAGGAGAAGGGAGCGGGGGAGGGGAGGGGAGGGGAGGGAGGTGGGTGAATGGATGTCAGTGTCTTTTATTCTTGAAGACCTTGAGAAAGGAGGGCGAGGTGGTGTGGCAGAAAGATCACAACCCTTGGAGTCACACAGGGATCGGATTCAGGTTGGCCAGGAGAACTACCTCTGAGCCCACTATGCATCTGTAAGGTTGAGGGAGTATCTAGCAGGAAACAATAGCACTGGCCAGTGTATAAAAAGCACTGAACATGGTCCATGATGGGTTTCCAGTAAGTCATTGCCACGATTATTAATTGTGGTACTACCAGTGGGTTGAAGGAATCTTGAAAAAAAAAAATCATGTAATGGTTCTTGGCATTGGCCCATTTCTAGAAAATATTCTTTTTTCTTTTCCTTTTTTTTTTTAGTGAGACAGAATTTCACTCTGCTGCCCAGGAGTGTAATGGCATGATCTTGGCTCACAGAAATCTCCACCTCCCAGGTTCAAGTGATTCTCTTGCCTCAGCCTCCCGAGTAGCTGGGATTACAGGCACCTGCCACCACACCTGGCTATTGTTTTTTTTTGTTTGTTTGTTTGTTTGTTTGTTTGTTTGTTTAAGTAGAGATGAGGTTTCGATGTGTTGGCCAGGCTGGTCTTGAACTCCTGGCCTCAAATGATCCACCCACCTCAGCCTCCCAAAGTGCTGGGATTAGAGACGTGAGCCACCATGCCCAACCCACTTCTAGAATTTTCTAACAAATGCGGTGAAGAGAGAGAGGGTGCATCATGGAATGTGTTTGGTGTGGAAGGAAACAGTGCTGTCTGTCCAGGCTACTGGGTTTTGAGTTTGAGAGCCTGTGGGCCCCTGGGCAGGCCTGGGTCAGCAGCCAGAGCCTTCCTCACCTTGCCAGAGGTCTTGACGCCTTTCCAGATGCTGAAGTAGATAACAGTGAAGATCAGCATGATGCAGAGGGCCAGCTGCCAGCTGATGCCCCCCAGGTCCTGGAGCCCCTTAGACCGGTGGATCTGCAGGACGTGGCGCCTGGGGTGAAGGAGAAAGAAAGGCCCCTGAGAGGCTCTGTAGAGTGACCTGGGCACACATCTGTGCTGCTCCTTTGAGGGTGCCCGGGACAAATGGACACGGTGCTGCTAGGACCAAGTGGTCACTGAGGCCCAGGAAGAGCTGGGATTGGCCCTGCCTGTCCTGAAGGACCACAAAGCACATTTGGCCAACACCCTGGGAAGAGTGTTCAACCTAAAGGCAGACTTCCTGGATTCTCCTTTGCTGGATGGGACCTGAACTCCTTTGACCAATGTGACTGGCTTTTGGGAACATGAGGGATGTGTAAGTGTGGGGAGTTGGCTCCCTTCCCTACCCCAAAGTAGCTCTCTCTTTGGGCTGCCATTGCCTGAAATTCCAGCATTAAAGAAAACTACCTTCCTCAAGCATCTTCTTCCAAAGGGTAGATCCCACTTACGAAGTTGACACATTAAACCATTTGAATAGTTTTGAACTATCAAAGTACTAGGATGCTTCGCCTCCATGACATTTGGCTGAGAGGAGGACCCCGGAAGAAGGGGAGTAATTTTGGAATGTGAAGGGAGGGACGGGCTTGGGCGCATTGGAGCAAACTGACTTGGCGCATGAGAAAGTGCAAGGAGGCACAGCAGGGCCAGGCCGTGGAGCACTTGAGGTAGAGTTTCCCAGCTCCAAATTCTGCTACTCCCACCCCTGATAGCTTCATCTCTCAGAAAGGGGTGAGGAGCCCTTGGCCCTGGCCTTCTTTTTAAGAAGCCAAACCCCAGGGGTGTGGCCTGCCCCTAACAGGCCAACCCCTCACTTACGTGCACTTACGTGTAAAATTCTTCAGCAGGGGACGTGGAATGGAGGGTCCAGGTGATGTTGTCCTCGGAGAAGTAATTGGTGCAGTTGCCAGTGTTCCAGGAGTTCTTGCAGCTGGTCCAGGGCAGCTGGTCCGTGAAGGAGGAGATGAGGTAGTATAGCGCCCAGGCCATGATGGTGTTGTAGTAGGAAGCAATGTAAAAGGCAATGATGCAGATGGCATAACCAATCCCTGGGCAGTGGGTGAGATGGAGAGACAGAGGCCGAGTTTAAGGGTGGCCCAACGGCAAAAGGCTGAAACGGGGCACTGGAGAGCCCCGCAGCCCAGCAGAGGGGTACACGTGGGTGCTGCCCTCCATTCCATTCCAAGGACTCCAGGCCACCGTGGGAAAAGTGGCCCTGCCGTTAGTCACTCATATGTATTTGCAAGGTAACATGTTTTAGAAAATGTGTACATGTCCTGTTAATGCTTTAAAATGTTTACATTAGTTTACTTCTCATTGCCGTTTATTCTGTTTCTCTTTGACAATTTCACACCACTTACGCAGTCAAAACCTTAATTACTCAAGCAGTCTCCCAGGGATGCCTAAGGCCTGACTGATTCCAGAAGAAGGTCCCCAGCTCCCACCCACTGATGGAAATCCCTTCCTGAGAGGCTCCACTTACCCACCCCACCGAGCCCTTCAGTTACCTTTGAAAATCGGGCAGATTTTCCTCCATATTGAAATGCATCCATTTCGGTGGTACTGTCCCAGTGCGAGCTCCATGTAAAAGAGCGGGATTCCCCCAAAAATGGCCATGATGGTGTAGGGGAGGAGGAATGCCCCTGAGGCAGATGAAAGACAATTTCACTCCCTGCCCACGTCTGTCCCAGGATAGCCCAACCAATCTGTGACTGAGAATCACAGTCGCCGGATGATGTGAGTGTCAGGAGCCACCCTGGGCTGAGTGGCCTCATGCTGTGCTCCTCTGGTCTCAGTGCTTTGCTAGAAGCAGTCGTAGGGGGAGCACCATGACTAAAATGAGGTTTCAGAGGAGGCCAAGAGAGCAATTGGGAAGAAAGCCTGGTTTGGGAGTCGACAGAACAGGCAGGATCACATCCACTTATGACTACCTGGAGAACGCTGGGCCACTTCCCCTCTCTGAGCCCCAATTTCCTCCCTATAAAAGAACACAGTTGAGGAGAGCTGAGTTTCCCAAATGTAGCCACACATCATAGTCACCTAGATTCCTGGGTCTACCCCAGACCTCCTGAAGCGGAATCTCCAAGCATGGGCACAACACAAAAATTGTGTTCAAGCTCCCTAGGTGATTCCGATGCAGCCAGTACCTGGGACCCTTGGAACAGATCACCTGTGACAATCTGTAGCAACAGCTGCAACTCTCTGTGAGTCACCAAATCAGTATCTTTGTTCATCAGTATTATCTATGGCTCCAGACACATGATTATTGATATTTGGCTACACTTCCATAATTCCATTGAGCCAGAATGCTCCCTGACAAGCGCCGTTTGCAGGAGTGGCTGGACAGGGTAGTTTTTCACAGAACAAGCAAGCACAGAGCTGCTACCTAACTGGAGATGCTGGTGTCTCCTGGATCTTGTGGCTGAGGCTGAATTTAAAAATACCAAGTTGGGGAATGCTAACCTGCAGCCTGAGTTTTTAGCCTAAAGGGTGGATCAGCTGTGATTTTCCCTAATTTTCCCTGCTGTAAAATGCTCTGAACCCAGAAACCTGAGGTCTGTGCAAATCAGAAAGGTCCATGTAATTTACAGTCACACTGGGTAAACCCGGCTCGAGAATAAAACCATGTGTTCTCGTGATGGCCTTCCTCCAAAGAGTTTGCTTGATCAGCTTTACGCTGGGGAATGAGTGTCGGGGAAATGTCACCAGTGACCCAGCCCCTTACATAATGCCCAGGCTAAAGGTGAGTCCTCTGGAGCAGGAGATAAGGTGATTATGACTTTTGCTCCTCCTAGGCAGGAAGCGCTGAGCTTCCCAGGGGCCCCCTGGAACTACCTTTGCAACTACATGGACAGAAATCTTTAAAAGAGAGTAAATCCAGGCCACTCTGTGTTAGGTCACGGGAGAAGTGAGGGTGACACAAATGGATGATCCCCAAACCTCTTTGTAGCTGCCCTCCCAAATCTGTTGTCAGAGTTCCCATGAAAATCAAGCTTGACGCATCTGACACCCACTTCTTGTTATTTTCTTGTGCTGATAACAAGTCCAGAGGCCCCAAACCCATTCACTTTTCCCCACTGCTCTGCTCTCCCCCAGGTTCCCATCTTCATGCCTACAGTCAGCTACTATTTTTTATAATCTACAAGTTAACTACTTGAGAGGCTTTAGGGGTACAAGGAACAAGATAGGGCCTCTGGCCTCAAAAATCTAACATCCCAGGAGGAGATAGGAGGGCCAGCCATGCGTGGTTTGAGGTTGGTATTAATGTCATGCTGTGGATCTAATCCAGCTTAAATTCTGCCCAGACTGGTAATTAAGATTTAGGACTTAACGCTGATGCCCTTCTCTGACCTCACACAGGTCCAAAGGATCAGAAGCATCTGGGACTCTGAAGCCACCTCCAAATTTTCCCTTACGCAGGCCTACCCTCGTGGACTCTTCCCAGCAGAACTTGCCAGCAGGAGTGAAGGGACTCAGCACAGGGCTGACGGCCATTCCCTCACTTCTGGCTGGGGGAGGACAGAGCCTGGAGAATGCAGGATGAGAAGGAGGCCCTTCAATAAATGGAGCGCTAATGATGCTGGAGATCTGTGAGGTCAGGTTTGGGAGGGCTTCACCCAGCTTCACAACCCGGAGAGCCTCAGACACGCTGTCTTCAGCTTTTGGCTTGCTGGAGATTTGACTTTTTTTTTTTTTTTTTTTTTTTGAGACAGAGTCTCGCTCTGTCGCCTAGGCTGGAGTGCAGTGGTGCCATCTCGGCTCACTGCAACCTCCACCTCCCAGGTTCAAGTGATTCTCCTGCCTCAGCCTCCCAAGTAGCTGGGACTACAGGCGCCCACCACCATACCCAGCTAATTTTTATATTTTTAGTGGAGACGGGGTTTTGCCATGTTGGTCAGGCTGGTCTTGAACTCCTGACCTCAGGTGATCCACCTGCCTCAGCCTCCCAAAGTGCTGGGATTACAGGTGTGAGCCACCACGCCTGGCGAGATTTGACTTTTCTACCAGCTCGAAAGTCTAAGTCATCATGTTCCTAGTCTTACGCCAGTGAAGACTGAAAAGACATAATCTGTCTTCTGGCCTCTCAAGAGGACCTACAGCCCATCCCAGGTCACAGCCCACCCGGGTCACAGCCCACCCCAGGTCACAGCCCACCCGGGTCACAGCCCACCCCAGGTCACAGCCCACCCGGGTCACAGCCCATCCCAGGTCACAGCCCACCCCAGGTCGCAGCCCACCCGGGTCACAGCCCACCCCGGGTCACAGCCCACTCCGGGTCACAGCCCACCCTGGGTCACAGCCTCTACTCGCAGCCTGTGATACTGACCCCCTCCATTCTGGTAACATATGTAGGGGAAGCGCCAGACATTGCCCAGGTCCACAGCATAGCCAATCACTGAGAGAAGGAAATCCACCTTCTTGCCCCAGGTCTCCCGTTCCCCTTGATGAAGCTCAGCCACTAGGGTGGTGGTGGTCGCTGGGATAGAGTGCCGTGTGTCATCTCCCGCACCAGGACTTGGAACTGCTGAGTACCCATTGGATATTTGCCCGGACTCCACTTTGTCCCCTGGGGTGGGAACAACCTTCTGTAGAACTCCGTTTTCCTGACAATCTTCTCCATCTTCACACGCTGATAGCTGCTTCTGAGAATTCAAGGGCGTCGTCTCCATCCTGCTGGTTAGTAAATGACACTGATGTCCATCTGCCAAGGATCCCAATTGATCTCTGGGTGCTTGGATTTGTGGATCACCTCCGAGCTCTCTATCGTCGGGATTGACACGTCGGGATTGACTCTGTTGGAAAGACACACAGAGGAAGGAGAAAAAAGTTAGACATTTTACTCATCTTTGGTATTAACTCATCATACATCTTAAACTACATTAGTTAACGGGATTACAAATGCATCTGTTAAATGTGAGACATCCTATTTGCTACATGGCAGTCCATAAATTCAACTAAATTTCTCAACCTATACAGGGCATCAAATGACAATCAAGTAATTTCAAAAGGAAACAATAAAACCAACACAAATAGACAGCAAATCACCAAGGTTTGCACAGGCTGGACTGGAGAGCAAAGCACTCGCTTCCCTTTGAGCCACTGGACTCTCATCTTGTGGTTTGCCAGCAGCTCAGAAGAATGTGAGAGAGGCTCCAAAGCGTCACAGAGCACCCCCTTTGTCTTGGATGCTATGTTGGGGAAACAATGACAAGCAAAGGCGTTTCTGCCTTTCAGCAGGCAGGACAGTCCTCACCATCATTTAAGCTGCACACCCAAAGTTATATTTTATATCAACTACAGCTATGATTTTAAAAGGAAAAAAGCAAAGGACAGAGGTAAAAAGGCCACCCTTCGTGAGGCACCCCAGCTCATCAGCTACAGATTCTGTCACTCGTCTTTTAGCCCCTAGGAAGGTTGGGGCAGATTTGAGCTGCCTCCGGCTGTGTCCAGTCTATCTGCACATGGCCTTTCTGCGTTCCCATTATGCATTTGCAAGCCCGACTGGTCCTTAAACGGCACTGCTGCTCACCATTTGTTCTTCTTTCCACTTGCCAGCAACTCCTGTGGCTAAGCCCCTTGTTATTCTGCAAGAGAGGGCAAGCAAGGTCGCCTTGCCTCCAGGAGACCTAGGGAGAAGAGTGTGCAGGTTACTGATGCTGGGGTGGTTGGTGTCGCCGTCCCCCTGTGCCTCCACTGGGAGGGCCTGGCCGGGGCTGCTGTGCCTTCATTTCACCGCCGTGGCCTGGGCGCAGGGAAGTCAGCTCAGCTCTGGCTTGAGGTCTGAGTCGTCAAACGTGGGGTAGAAATTTGAGCCCTTTTGGACTTTAAACCTATGGCCTGTTATAAAGTTGTAAGCAGCAGTTGTAAGACTGTTCAACTGCTCACTCTGTTTCTTCTGGGCCTGAGCTTTTCAAACTCTTGAAACAGTTTGGGAGTTGAAATACGTTTCTGCCTAGCTGAGATGACACTGGACCCTTCTAGAAAAGATAGCCAGGGATGGACTGTTTATAACTGCAATGATCTGAGGCTAACCCTCCAGATCCAACAGTTAGGAGGATGGCTAGGAACTGGCTAATAGAAATGGCGCATGGATGTCTCCTACCTATTTGGGGTTTTTGGTGACTGCAACTTAGCTACCTACACATGTGAAGACAAAAACATAGTAAGTGAAAAATCAGGACACAAAATAGTAGCTTCACAAGAATGACTATGGCTATAAACATGAGCAAGGATTAGACATGAACACCAGGCAATGTCAGTCACTAGGGTTTGGCGTTTGCTGCATTTTTTCTGTAAAGTGGAAAATAAAAATTTTAAAGGGATCGATTGTTGCCAAAAATATCTACAGCAACAAGAGATAAATCAGCTTCATGTAGCTAGGGGCTGTGTGTGTGTAAGGGGAGGTAGACGTCTTGGGCTGTACCGCACTTGTTGGGCCCTCCGCCACCCACCCCAGGCTCAAGAATGCAAACACCACTCAGAAGGATATGAATTCTGACAAGAGCGGTCTCCATAACCTCACCCTGCTCACCATTTATGCTACTGCCTGGCCTTGGCCTCCCCCCACTTCCCCCTTCCTTCGGCCCTCAACTAGGCTTGATAGGCTTTTAAAATAACCACACATCCTCTCACCCACCATAGGTAACCATTTACCAGGCCAAGGGATATTATTATTTTATTACATGATGAGATGTCAACATATTTAAATATTCAGCTAAATTAAACCTGAACTTGGTAGTCAGTGGTTGTGTTGTTTAAAAAGGCCTCTGTACTTCCCTCCGGCCTATATCAATGACATGTTTTGTACGTTAAACAACTGACGAACTTGAAGGCCAAATGGCAGGGAGGAAGAGCTTTTCCCTGTGCGGCTGGAGGGCACCGAGTTGACAGAGCTGCTCCTTCCCTTGCTCTTCCTCCCACTGGCCCCACAGTTTTGTTTTTTTTTTTTTGAAACAGTCTTGCTCTGTTGCCCAGGCTGGTGTGCAGTGGCACAATTTTGGCTCACTGCAACCTCTGCCTCCCGGGTTCAAGCGATTCTTGTGCCTCAGCCTCCGAGTAGCTGGGACTACAGGCGTGCTCCACCATGCCCGGCTAATTTTTATATTTTTAGTAGAGATGGGGTTTCACTATGTTGGCCAGGATGGTCTTGAACTCCTGACCTCACATGATCCACCCGCCTTGGCCTCCCAAAGAGCTGAGATCACAGGTGTGAGACACCATGCCTGGCCTGGCCCCACAATTTTCTGCAAGAACCTCTTCTATTTTCTGTACTGCCACTTTCCTCTCACTTAAATAGAAGCTCCAATTGCATCACCCAAGCGTTCCCTGGCCTCTCTACCCAGGCCCAGAGGGTCTACGGAAGGGAAATGCGGTCCATCTCAGAAGCAATACTTTGGGGAGAGGAAATAGACATTTAGCAGCAGCAGTGAGCAGTTACCCTCCTGCCTCAGGGGCCAAATGATTTGTTCTGGATTTTGTTTACTTTCTTCCTTGAGGCGTCCTGCAGAGAGGGTAGAAAATGTGTGCAGGTAGGTAGATTTTTGAGGGCAACGTGTGTTCTCAGGAGTCCTCAGGGGTTCAGCCCCGAAGGCATCCAGTCCTGAATTCCTGGCAACTATGGTAAGCAGCTCCTGGAAGAGTAATACGCTGTTTCTATTTGTGTTCTGAGCCATTACAGAGGTCTTGTTTCCTGAAATATCCCCTAGTTCTTCTTAATTTTTTAATTAAAAAATTTTACATCAACAGGCTGAAATGGCCCCAGTGCAAGAAAACCCAGAGCATCCCTCAGACAACTCATGACCGGGCAGCCTCTCCCCACAGGCTGTCTCTCTCTATCCAGCTGTGCTTTCTGGGGTTCTCCTACTGAACCCCCACCCTCATCATAGAATCTGGGGTGCAAACACAAAGTTACAGCCACTCAGAGGAGACACACATCTCCTTTTCTTAACTTACTCCTCTGCCTCTGCCAGGTAGAGGAAAACTCCTCTCGGTGACTAATCGGGTCTGCCAGGAGAAGATGCCATGTGCCCGGGGCCCTTTCTGCCTGCAAGCTCCTGCCTGTGGAGCCCCAGACTCTCTTCCTATTTTTTCTGATTCTGCAGAGCCCTGGCTGGCTTTTTCTATCAAGACTTGCACATAACAATGGCTGAAAACAAGCTGGCCCAGGAATAGAGAAGTGTGAGTTGTTAAGAAGGTTGGTTTCTGAGAATGCCCTCTTCTAAGCTTTCTTTTTTTAAAAGGTATTTTTATCCTGCTGGGTGGAAAGATTGCAAACGAGGTCAATATTACAGCTGTGACCTTCTCCAGGCAGTCTTTGAGTTTCTCCATGTCCAGAAAAAGCCCCAGAAGGAAGCCTTCCTTTGCATCTTGGATGTGTGCTGTTGTTCCAGGCTGAGCTGGTGACAGGCTGAGGGTGGTGCCGTGGACCCCACCTCTGCTGTGGAATGACAGCTGGCAGACAGAAGCTTCGTCCCCCTAGGTCTCTGCACATGAGGGGTGCAGTTGACCAGCCAATGGGAGTGGTTGACTTTCTCTTAACTCTCCTGAAGCTAATGCACTCCATTCCCCCAATCCCTGACTCCAAGTAAAAAAGGACTGTTTCTATTTAAACTTCTGATCGAATCTCCATTCCTCTTTCCACACACTTTGTCTCTATAGCCAGGAGCAACCCGTACCTGAACAAGCATGTAATTATCCCGATTGGTCATAAACACCCAGCCCTTTGGAAATGCCTGTGACGCTCCATCTACTTGATGCCTATCAGTGCCTTCTAAGCAGAAAGACACTACAGAAATGTTGAACTTTGACTTCATGTGTCAAGATCAAAGTGAGTTCATTTCTCAGGAAACTCAACTTTCTTTCTCAAAACAAACAAAAACAAATGAACTGTGGGTTTAACGTTGAGATAGGATTAGTTACAGGTCATAGAGCCAACTGGCAGTTCGTATCCTCTATTCAGAGGGAGGCTGAAGTTCCCAGGGCATCTCCCAAGAGTGATGGGAATTATGGAACGCTGGTGCCGCCCGAAGCAGTAAACATGGAATCTGGCCTTCTTCATGGAGAAGCACTCCCTCAGCAAAGATGTGCGTAGGCCCACATGTGCTCGGCTCCTCAGAAACAAGGCAGGCAAGCCGGGCCAGCTGGCTCACGCCTGTAATCCCAGCACTTTGGGAAGCCAAGGCGGGCGGATCACCTGAGGTCAGGAGTTTGAGACCAGCGTGGCCAGCATGGTGAAATCCTGTCTCTACTAAAAATACAAAAAGTAGCTGGGTGTGGTGGCGGGTGCCTGTAATCTCAGCTACTTGTGAGGCTGAGGCAGGAGAATTGCCTGAACCCAGGAAGCGGAGGTTGCAGTGAGCTGAGATTGAGCCACTACACTTCAGCCTGAGTGACAAGAGTGAAACTCTGTCTCAAATAAATAAATAAAAATAAAAATACAAAAAATGAGCCGGGCGTGGTGGTGCATGTCTGTAATCCCAGCTACTCAGAAGACTGATGCATGAGAATCGCCTGAACCTGGGAGGCAGAGGTTACAGTCAGCCAAACTGCGCTCCAGCCTGGGCGATAGAGTGAGACTCTGTCTCAAAAAAAAAAGAAAAAGAAAGAAAAAAGAAACAAGGCAGGCACAGTCCTGCCTGCATGGAGTCCACAGGCCAAGCCTAAAATCTGAAAAAGAAAACCAACTGCTAGGAAAAACACGATGCTTCTGGAGAGGCTGGTGCTGCCACACATCCCGTGGTGAACAGAGGCTGCCGCTGGCTCGCCGCGGCGTGTTTAGATAGCTCACATGTTTTGCACCACAGTTGCCCCCAGGCTTTAAGTCTTCCTTTGCTGCTATTGCACAGTTTCTCTCACAGGACCTTGGCTGTTGGCTGATCCTTCCTTGCAGGCTCTGCAGTGTAAAATGGGGGCTCACGTTTGCATCTGCTGAAGGCACTGCTGTGTTCCCGAAGTGTGCAGGGTCATGGGGGCACAGGTCGGAAGCCATAGGGACTCCTGCCTTGCCTTTCCAATGAATTGAAGAGATTTCATGATAGAAATGAAGAGAATAGAGAAAATCTGCTTGTTTTTTTTTTGGACAAAAAGGGTAGAAATGAACTCCACTATCACAGCCATCTCCTTATCCAAAGGATTCCTCATATGACAGAGTCAGTTTAGTGTTTTTTCTGTTCCTTTGTGTGTGTGTTTGTGTGTGTGTGTGTGTTGTTTTTTTAAGAGACAGAGTCTTGCACTGTCATCCAGGCTGGAGTGCAGTGGCATGATCATGGCTCTCTGCAGCCTCAACCTCCCGGGCTCAAGGAATCCTCCCACCTCAGGCTCCCGAGTAGCTGAGATTACAGGTGTGTGCCACCACACCCAGCTAATTTTTTGTATTTTTTTCAGAGATGGGGTTTCACCATGTTGCCCAGGTTGGTCTTGAACTCCTGGCCTATGAGCAATCCTCCCGCCTTGGCCTCCCAAAGTGCTGGGATTACAGGCATGATCCACTGCACCCAGCCTGGTTTAATTTTTTGGAGAGGAATTAAATAGGATAAAATCCTCAGGGCCATTTGGGCCAGTTATCATGAGAAAGAAAAAGAATTTCTGTCCAGAACTTTCCCTGCCTGGGAGAGGATAGCCCTGGGCTTCTCTCTACACAGAGTATAAAATCTAGAGGATATGCCCCTTGTGATGGGGTCAAGGTCCCCCTGAGAGGCTGGCCAAAAGGATACTGGATTATTTATTTTGACTTTACTAGAAAGAAATGAATTTAGCATAGCAGATGTGAACAGCCCTCCTCCAGTGAATATAAACAGCCAAGCCCAGACTAACTTCCTTCCAGAGTCATCTTTCATTAGTTCCTCTGTTCACAACCCATAGCTCTCCTTTCTGTTTCAGGTCTGCACTGGAATCCCTGGTCCACCACTTAATGGCTGTGTGACTTTGAGTAGGTCACTTAACCTCTCTTAGCTTCCATTTCCTCCTGTGTAAAAGCAGACTGTTAAAACCGCTACTTCCTAAAGGCTGTCGTGGGAATTAAAGTATGACACATGCTTATCTCAGTGTCTAGCACAGGGAAGCATCAATAAATGACAGTGAGTTGATGTCACTATCACCACCATACATCCGCAACCCATTGTGCCTTTCTACTTCATACCCTAGCAGGGAAACTGAGGCCCACAAGACTTGGGACTTAAGTGATCTGTGGCTCCCAGCACGGGCCTCACTGGGTCATGCTTGCTGCTCTCAATCAGTGCTTGGGGTCACCTGGGAAACAGACTCCTGGGCTGCTCTCCCAGAGATTCTAATTCAAGAGATCCACGTGGGCACTCAGGGATCTGCAGTTTTTAACAAATACCGCAGGTTATTCAGGGGCCAGTAGGCACCAACAGTGCCGTGTGCGTCCCCACCTGTAGCTTCCCTTCCTCTAATTATCCTGCACCCTCCAAGGCCTGGCATAAGCTTCTATCCACCTCCTCTCAGCACTCCAGCCCAAGATACACTCTTTCTACTCAATTCTCATTTGTCACTCGCCATTGATTACCAGGCATCATTAGTTATCCTTTTATATACATTTGCTTCGTGTGCCCCTGGAAGCAGGGGCTATGGCTACACGTCCCTGAGTCCAAATACTTGCAGACTGGAGCACGCCCTGTACAGCTCTCAGCATGGAGGGCTTGTTTTGGGTTTCCTGACTGGGCGAGGGTGCCAACAGATCTGAGCTCCATGTGAGGTGCTGCTCTTTCTCTCCTCCCTGGAGTTAAGTCAAATGGGATCAGGGTTCTATTCTAAGGGGCCCTGTCCCTCCCTGCCTCACCCATCGGGAAGATTGGCTGTGCATCTTGTGGGCAGAGGAGGAGGGCTGCCTTAACAGTCATTTTCATGGACTATGGACAGGAAGAGACTGACATGCCCAGGATTAAAGAGCCCGGGATGGGCTTTCAGACTTTGAAACAAGTACTGGCAGGCACACCCATCAGCGGTCTGGGCTCCAAATGTTCATCTGTGAGCTGGTGGTTTGGAACTTAGAATATATTTCCTAACCCACAGAAATAAATGTGATAAACTAAAACATCTGAAACGAAAGCTGTAGAACACAGCGTTGTTAAGTGCTACACGACGGCTTAGGGGTGGGGAGGGGGCTGACAATGAGACTGATTCGAAGTTCTTTCTTTATTTTAACCTTCTTTTTGGTTCTTAAGGAAAACTAAATTTAAGGAAAGAAGAACAAGGAGCAGGGAGATCCTTGTACAGATTCCACGGAGGTGTCTTTTAGGCACTTTTGAGGTCTTTAGTTTTGTTTGTTGTTCAATTTTAAAATACACAGTAGAGATGAGATCTCGCTATGTTGCCCAGGCTGGTCTTGAACTCCTGGACTCCAGCGATCCTCCTGCCTCAGCCTCCCAAAGTGCTGAGATTACAGCATGAGCCACTGCGCCTGGTCCAAGTTCTTTAGAAGTTGATGACATGGGCTGGGCGCAGTGTCACATGCCTGTAATCCCAGCACTTTGGGAGGCCAAGGTGGGCGGATCACCTGAGGTCAGAGTTCGAGACCAGCCTGATCAACATGGAGAAACCCTGTCTCTACTAAAAATACAAAAATTAGCCAGGCATGGTGGCGCATGCCTGTAATACCAGCCTTTTAGAGGCTGAGGCAGGAGAATAGCTTGAACCCAGGAGGCAGAGGTTGTGGTGAGCTGAGATCGGGCCATTGCACTCCAGCCTGGACAACAGGAGCGAAACTCCATCTCAAAAAAGAAGAAGAAGAAAAAGAAGAAAGAAGAAGAAGAAGAAGAAGAAGAAGAAGAAGAAGAAGAAGAAGAAGAAGAGGAGGAAGAGGAAGAGGAAGAGGAAGAGGAGGAGGAGGAGGAGGAGGAGGAGGAAGAGGAAGAGGAAGAAGAAGAAGTTGGTGACATGAATTGCTTGTGACACATAATTTCACAACTTACAACTTTTTGCAGAAAACAAAACTGCTTTTACTCTGTTACCATAGTATATTTAAATGTGGACGAGGCTGGGAAAGAGACTTGAGAAACTCAAAACAGATGATGTGTTAGATTAATCAGGATTAGGAGTGTCACTTCACCTTCCAAACACTCCTTTACTGTTGTGATAAATACAATTTATGCAATAAGTAAAAATCGAGATAGAACACATGGGAACATGTCCACACACAGCTTTTCTTTTCCTTTATACAGGTATGTTACTAAGATTACCTTTGTGTAAAACAGACATGATTGGGTCCACAAAGGGACCCAAAACAGAGAGAAGAGAGGAAAAAACAACCCCAGGGAGAGGGTGCTATGAAATAAGGGTGGATTCACCTGTGGCTGCTGAGCAAGGCGGAAGAGGGAAGTGGGGAAAAGGGGGTTTGAAGTGGAACTACAAAATAAAATGGGAGTGGAGAAGAGAAAAGAGAGGGGAAACTGGCCCATTTCTCTGGGTGGGGCATGGAGGGGAGAAGGAGAGGTGAGGTCAGGTGAGGTGAGGCTGCTGGAGGAGACGGGTGCATCCAGGTGGAGAGGGGGCGCGGAGGACACGTGCAACCACCTCTTCAGCCACAAGGTGTTTGGAGTTTGGCTGTTGCTGCTCAAAGGTGCCTATACTCTTAGGTCAACAATTTCTGAGATGTGCTTTAGTGTGAGTCACACAGTTGGAGACACTCATGAAAAATCAGTTCATCCTTACACATCATTGCACCAGTCTAGTTCTCAGATATGCACTGAGATGAGAGCAAGAAAAACTTTCTGACCCCTAGTTTACAGTCTCACAGAGTAACACTGTATGCTAAAAAGGACATCATTGAGACAGCGGGGGAAATGGGAATATGAGCTGTATGTGCGATAATAGTATTGTATCTATCTCCAGTTTCCCCAGCATGAAAATGGCGCTGTGGTTACGTACAAGAAGGTCCTTGTTTGTTGGAAATCTGTGTTGAAGTATTTAAGGAAGAAGTATCTGGAAGTCTGCAAACTCTCAAAGGTTCAACTATATATATTAGTTGAACCTATATATATAGTATATATATACCTGTATGTATACCTACAGATATATATATACACACTATATATATCTGTAGGTATACATACAGATACATATAGTTTATATATACATATAGTGTATACAGACACATATATACACTGTATGTATCTGTATGTACATATGTATATATATATCTGTATGTATCTGTATGTACATATGTGTATATATAGTGTGTATATATATCTGTATGTATACATACAGATACATAAATGGCATAATTATATTAATGATCTTATATATTACACATAATATATCAAATCATATATATACTGCATATGCAAAAATTAGATATATGCATAATTAGAGTGACTTTGTACACAAATTGGCAAAATGTTAACTGGTGAAAATGGACCATATCTCTGATTTTTCAGTTGAAAATTTTCAAAAGAAAAAATAATTCTAGCCCTCAGCCAGTGCTGGGAAACTTCCAGTCAGCCAAAGCTCCCTGCTGACCAGAACAGCTTACCTCCCCTCTCCCCTCCAGGCTCTTCCCTCCCTGTTCCTTCGGCCCAGCTCCCCAACTCTGAAACAAGAGAAAGGGCCAGCTAATTTGGTTCGCCTTTTAAAGAAGACATGCCCATCATTACGGAGGGAAGAGAAGAGAGCGAAAGTAGAAGAGACTCAAGTTCTAGGCCTGGCTTTGTCCTCAAGAGCCGTGGGTGAGCTAGAGCCAGCCATGCACAGAGCTACGGGGAGCAGAACCCCTCCCTGGTCCTTCCAGGTCTCCCACTCACTAATTCTTGGCCCCTTAGAGGAAAAAGTTCCCTTAGAGAAGACAAATCAGCTTATTTTATTCAACAGTTCAGTAACAAAGGAAATGAAATGCTCTTTTTTCCTGTATACACACAGAAAGGTCACACCAAAACCCAAGACGGCAAAGGCCCACGTACTTGCCCCCTCCTGCTAGCTGCCCACCCAGTCTGGGGCTCTGGGCTCTCCCAAAGCACACAATGGGTTCGCTGTGTCCCCAGCTTTGCTGAGAAGTGCTCGCCCAGATCACCACCTGGTCTCATCATAACCCCTCCTGTCACCTCTTCCCTCCCTACCTCAAAGAATGACCTGAAGAACTGGACATCAGCATCCCAGGAGACCCTCCCCTTGCTGTCTGTCACTCGTCAGTACCTGAAGACCTGGGACATTGCCTCTCTGTCTCCACATCACTGGGTTGCGTCTCTCCTTTTGCAGCCCAGGGGCTTCTGGGATTAATGGAGGTCCATCCAGTCCTGGGTGCTAAAGAGCCTGTGGCTTAAATCCCATTAACAAATCCCCTTGGTTCAGGGTTGGGATGGAAGCTGGGGAGCTGCTGCCAGGTTCCAGAGGGGCCAAAGGAAAGATGGAAATAATAATAAGGCAGTCAGACTGCCTCACATCCACTTTATCGCTACTCATTTTGTCACCTCATTAGACACAGGGCTGGGAAAACACTTGCTCCCATTTAAAAGCGCGTTGTTGACATTCAGTAAATGAGCATTCGTCTTCCCAGTCACCCAGAGCAAACAAAAGTCAGGCTGAAGGGAGCAGCCCCTGCAGAGACGTTTCTCACAGGGCAACATTTCTGAATGTGAACCAAAGTCAGCACCGTGAGCTCCACCTGGAAGTACGGGGCTGTGCAGGCCAATGGTGGAGCCCGTGCCCACCTGGAAGAGCAATTTGCCTTTCTGCTCAGGGAAGATCATTGATGCCAGGTTTCTGTGAAAGGCTAGTTTCATCTGTTTTCCCCTGGGTCCCTCCTAGAAAGATGGGAGTTTTCTTCCCTTGGAATGTCATTTTGCCTGGTTAAGCCCAGAAACAGATTCCCTGTAAGAGCAAGGGAGTCTGCCTCACTTGTCCCAAGTGTGGAGAAACAGGCGCTTTTATGAGATGTTTCGCTCCACACCCACGTATGTTCCATGGAACACCGCAAACATCAGGGAGTGGAGGTGGCTGTTAATAGCCCAGGGACTGGACAGGAAAATCGGTGCAGCCCAAATTTGTGCTGCCTGGGGGCTATTTCTACCGCACCACACCCTGGGCATCTTGCAAAGGGCATTTGGGCAGCTGGGGAGTCGGGTTATTGGGCCCCTGTTGGTTGGCTGTGGTTAAGGTGCAGGGGTTAACTTACTTACATGTGTCAGAGTGTGCAAAGCCTCTGCCTTAGAGTGAAACCTGAGGGGATCCCCAGGAGACCCTGATTTGAAGGTGATATCTGGGTAGAGAGTACCGGCCCTCCGGCATTTTTGCACCATCATTTCAACTCATGTTTTCTTAAAGTGGAGAGGTTAGGGTCATGGTTGCAGAGTGAGTTGGAGGGGACTCGGACATCGTGTTAGGCAGTCCTCTCCACAGCCCCTCATTTAGAGCTGAGGACCACGAGGAGCTGATATGTTACTGGGAATAACTAAGGTCTGAGTTACCTTCTCAACAACAACCAAAAGTGACTGTATAATTTTTGCTCTGGCTGTCCAGACATCTTTAGAAAAAGTCAAGTCATGACCATATCCTGTTGATTCATGAAGCCAAATTAAAATTAAGCTTCTTCAGGAAGCCCTGCCTTCTATATTCTCTCCAATTATACCATTCATTCCACAACTAGGAAGGAGAAGGAGCTGCCACGTATTGGCTTAATGTCTGGAGTTACCTGTGTTTCTGTTTGGCAGCGGACATCCAGGGTGTTTGGGAAGCAAGCACCTGCTGTAAGAAACAGACTGATCCATGCTCCTAACCCCCCTCCAGCCAAGCATCCCCATTCCTCAGGCACCTCACCTATTTGCGAAACTCTTCAACATGCCTCTCCAAGTTTCATCAAAATGCTCAGACGACTCTAAACATCCCCCGAGAGGAATTTCTGAGGTCTTTCAGATTCCATTAAAACATCAACATTATTCCCCCATCCCACTCCTAGTATATATATATTTCTTAAACAAGGAGATTGAAAAAAATGGGTTTGAATATCTGTGCTGGTGGTTATATCTCTGAGAGGTCTTAGATGGATCACCAGAGTGTTGAGGGGACTTTTGATTAATTGTGAAGCACTTTCAATCTGTTCTTTAGTGGGAAAAAGAAAGAAAGAAAGAAAAGAGGAAAAACCCATGCCCCAAGTGGCTTGCTCAATTTGCACAAACCTCATAAGAACCTGCTTCTCACTCATCCATATTGGAACGGTCACTGCCACCCCAGAGTGCGTGGCAGGAAAACCCGAACCCTGGGGCCTCAGTGGCTTCACACAGAAGCAAGTAATGGGACAAAGAGTCAAAGCTGTGTGCTCCCTACGCTCCTAAAAACCCAACACTGACGCTGCCCACAGTTCTCTGTTTCATTAAACACAAGTCCCAATGTCACCTTCTTAGACATTTTTCCTATGTAACTGAAGGCAAAACACATTAAATATTTGCTCTCGTCTTCCTATGATGAGAGTTAGCTAGCAGGCTCATAAATAATCCATTGACCAGGTTCACTTTTCTGGACAAAACTGATGGTAAAAATACATACACAAAGTCTTTGTAATGTCTGATTCAGAAATTCTACCCCTCTCAAATTCTTCAGAGTCCCAAATGGAAAAGGAACAATTCAATATGCAAAAGCCCCAGTTCAGAAGAAAATCTGCTCCTTAGCCCAAGACCCAAATCCACTCTTGAGCTCCAGAGAGCTTTTTTTCAAGAACAAGTTTGAATGTACACAATTTTCAAGCAAATGATGGTTATATCCTTCAACCACGTAGCACAGTCGTTGGAGTTGGAGTTTCACATACATTCTGAATGGCCTGTGAGGTGTCTGAGAGCGCCTCAGCTCTGACAGTGAAACCACCCAAGCGCACGGAGACTCGGCCCACTTAGGCGCCACTCAGAGATTTCTCTAGCTGTCTGGGCATTTGTGTCAACCAGAACTCTCCCTTTGCATAAAGCCACCTGCACGCGATGACAGCAAAGTAAAGATCAAACATAAACCATGGGTTGAAACGAAAGCAAGCAACTCTTCCCAAAGCGCAGGACAGCACTTTGCTCAAGACCCTCTTTAAGGGGTCTTTCACGGGTCCTCAAGAGGTTGCAAAGCCCCTGCAACAATAGACAAAGGAGCCCCCTACGCCCGCCCACTTCGAGCACTCCACGTTCCTCGTCTCCCACTCTGGCCGGTCAGCTTCAGCTCTGGCTCTTGCTGAGCGTGGAGGGCGCAGGGGCAGGATCCGGCGCCCACCGCTGGGGCGCATGCACCTCCTCGCCTCCTCGCAGGGCGGTGGGGCGCAGCGGTTCTATCCCCCTCCCCGAGGCGGGGAAGAAGGTCTGGAAAGAAACGTGGGTTCGAGGCGGAGAGGAAAAGCGGACCCACCTGCCAGGCTGCGCGGGGAGGCTGGTCCCGGGCTGGGCAGGCGGGCTGGCCTCGCGCCCTCGAGGCACCCGGCGGCGCTGGCTGTGCGGAGGGGCGCCGGCGCGGCCGTATTTGTACCCGCGGGCCCTCACATGGTCTGATCTCTAGATAGCCGCCGCCAAAGAGCTCTTGAAGAATTTTTGCGTCACTTTGAGGCGAATAAACTTAATGCTTCCCCGCGGCCGCGGCTCCGCGCTCCCGCTGGATGGGGTTGCGCTCGCCAGGGAGGGGCCGCGCTACGGGGCGGGGTGCGCGCCCGACCCCAGAGCCAGGAGGGGAGGGACCCCCGACACACACACACGCTCGCAGGGAGGAGCGGAGCGCGGAGCAGCCGGCAGGGCAGGGCCGAGCGAGGAATCCTGACTTTCCTGCTCTTTAACTTTGCGGGAGGGGGGAGGCTGCACAAAGGAGCAGGTGTGCGCCTCCCCTGCCGCCCCGCGCCCACAGGACGGCACACAGGGGTCTGCTCGTGCCGCTTTCTCTTGACCTCGGACACCTCCCCATCGTCCCCATCCCGAAAGCTGCTCTCTCTTTCTTCCTGGGACCTAGCAGTACTCGATACCCATGCGTTTATCTGACTGACCGGCTGGGATGTGAGCTCAGCTTAGAGGCCCTTGTCTAATTCCTCTCCGTCCCCAGAGTCTCACAATAAAGACTTCCACAATGAAGGAATGAAGAACTGGTTCTCATTTTGTTAACCAGCTACAGTTCAAAGCTGCGTCAAAAAGGAGCACAGTGCTTTGGGAGGCTGAGGCGGGAGGATTGCTTGAGCCCAGGAATTCAAGACCAGCCTGGGCAACACAGCAAGACCCCATCTCTAGAAAAAAAATTTTTTTAATTAGCCGGGCGTGGTTGCTCGCGCTTGTGTTCCCAGCTACTCAGGAGGCTGAGGTGGAGGATCAGCTGAGCCCGGGAGGTCGAGGCTGCAGTGAGCCGTGATCGAACCACTGCACTCCAACCTGGTGACAATTTGAATTATCTGAAAGGGCCCAGCAGGAGCCTATTGTTTTGAACCATGTGCATGTAGTTTTGATAATTTTTTCAAAAAGTTTAAAAATTGATTTAATGTTAATATCCTTTTTGCTAAAATTATTTAAAACTTTAAAAAGGGCACATGCAGTACTTGCTTTGGGTTGTCCCTGAGGCGGAAAGGAGAGGGCTCTACCTCTCCCCAAGAGGAGGCCAGGAACGATAGGAAGTAGAAGACCGAAAGGAAATAGCAGTGACAAGTTTGCAGCTCCAGAGAAGCCACCGCCCCTTGTACTTGGAGGAACTGACCCCTGAAAACTGTGCGGCCGGTTGGGCTGAGCGTCTAGAGGGACTGAGCTGGACAACCACGGGCAAGCGAGGGCAGCTCCCAGCGGGTGGAGTCCGCGCGGGATTCTGGTGCCACCTAGACGCCAGGGCGGGGACCGCAAGGTGGGCGGGAGGCTTGGAGGCCGGGATGCGGGGGAATACTGGTAGGGTGCAAGGAGAATGCTGGAGGGGTGCAGGGGGGATGCCGGGGGTGCATGGGGGGATGCTGGGGGGTGCAGGGGGGATACTGCGAGGGGTGCAGGGGGGATAATGGGGGTTGCAGGGGAGATCCTGGGAGAGGTGCAGGGGGATGCTGGAAGGGCTGCAGGGGGGATGCTGGGGGTGCAGGGGAGATGCTGGGGGGGCTGCAGGGGGGATGCTGGGGGTGCAGGGGGGATGCCGCGAGGGGTGAAGGGGGGGATAATGGGGGATGCAGGAGCGATCCTAGGAGGGGTACAGGGAGTTGCTGGGAGGTTGCAGGGGGGATGCTGGGAGGGCTGCAGTAGGGACATTAGGGGTTAGGTGCTGGCATTCAGAGCGGCAACGCCAGGCGGGAGAATCCCCAACAAGCTTGGGAATTTCACCCCCAGGGGCAGCGCCTGCACGGGAGTGGGGCCTCCTCCTTTCAGATGAACACAGTTGTCTGCTGCCTCCCACGTTCCACTTCTTAAATGAGCATGTTTGTGCTGTATAGGCAAGGGCAACAGAAAACGCAAAGTGTCCTTTCCAGGAGGGCCAAAGGAGGGGGGCAGGGACGCTGGGAAGAGGCGCCAAAGCGGAGGACGGCTGCAGGGGTGACTTCAGCGCTTGGCTACCAAGACCAGGTCTGTCCAGTGTGACTTCTTAGCACTTCTTAATTGTGCAGTCTCGCCACTTCTGATCTTCCTTCTAGACTCTTTCTAGCCGAAGATGCATTCCTGCCCAGCGCGCAGCCCCTCCCTATGGCACTGCCCTGTTCTGTGCAGGTGCTGCCTAGAGAGTGGGCACCCTGTGGACCTGGGTCAAATCCCGGCCCCCACCCTGTACTGTGGTGTGGGCTTGACCGAGCTCCTTAACCTCAAGCTGTCTGGCCTTTGTGTCTCTGTTTGTGAAGTAGGGAGGATGATCTCAGTGGGCACTGCCCAGCTGTGGGTGGGGAAGGGGCCAACTCCTTGCAGGCCCTGTGCGCTGGGCCCTTCCTCCAAGGGGGCCTTCGACCCCTCCTCTCTCTGGCCGGGTGGTCCCATCTCCTCCCCTCTTGCTCCCCAGCTGCGGGCAACCACCATTAGCAAATGACATTAGAATTACACAGACGGCCCCGCCCTGGTTCCCCCTGCCTCCATGGCAGAGTCCGCACACAACTGGCCCAGACCCTCCCCCTCTCTCTAAACAGGTGTTTCTCTTCCTCCTGCCCTGGGTACCATCCCACAGAGAGGCCAGGCCCACCTGCAGGTCCTCACCTCCACAGAGCCAGCCTCTCTTGAGCAGCTCCGCTCTGCCTTCTGATACTCATCGCCACAAGCACCTTGTCCTTCCTCGGCCTCCCACTCCCTCCCTCTGAGCCCGCGCCCTGCTCCCCTGCCTGGCGGTCAGTCGACTGCCCCGCCCCGCCTCCAATTCAGGTGGACAGGCTTCAGCGTCCACTACCGGGGAAGAGGCAGCCCCGCACCCGTGCCTCCCCCCGCCTCTGGGCCGCTCCTTCCCAGCCTGAGCCTGACCGCATGAGGAAGGCACAACCTCTCTGCTCCAGAGACCTGGAGAGGCCGGGAGGCCCTGTCCTGGGCATGGAAGGCAGGAGGGAGCCCTGAGTGCGGCAGGAGGGAAGCAGCGCTTCAGGGGAAGGATCTAATGGCTGTGACCTGCGTGGGCTGCAGGTAAGAGTAGGGGGGAAGGGGGTTGTCGTGGTGGTTGGGACAGACGGGTTCCTTAGAATGTGAATGCAGGCGTCAGCTGGTGGCCGCAGGGAAGAGATGCAAGCCAGAAACCCAGCAGGCACCTGCGAAGCTTGGTGCTGGTGGTGTATAGGGACAGCCAGGGAGATGTCAAGGGCGACAGGTCCTGGGCAGCTGGGAAGAGGCTGCCTGGCAATCACCGCACAGCAATAGTTTTTCTTTGTTCACCTGCTTGAGCCCAGAAATAGTGGGGCTTAGAAGCTGCTCTGGGGCTCAGAATAAATACAAGCTTTCACTTTAAGAGGAAAGGGGCACATAAATATTTACACCTGCCCCAAACACCACCAAGAAAACCCACTTCCTGGAAGTCTCAAAGGCCAGCAGTGAGTCCCCTGTGGAGCCAGCCAGGACCGAACCATGCGAATCCCAGGCTCTCCCTCCGGAAGCCCTTGGTGCCATCTGTCTGTCCTGTCTCTGCCCTGTTTATACAATAACGAAAGAAGAAGGCCCACCCCTCCTTGTGGGCTTTTTCTCAGGCCCAGGAAAATGCTGACAATATTCAGTCCTTAGAGTGTCATCTTGCTCCATTCCCACCAGCACCTCCCCGACACCCCTGGTTTTTCCTGGGACCCCCAGTTTTTCCTGGCATGGTTCTGGTGACTCTACATTCATGTTCAGTGGCACCTCCAAGGCAGGACTTGCTGCCACTGTGAACCCTGGGCTCATCTCTACGGAGGTCTCCATGGGAGCCCCTAGCAGGCCCACCCCATCCAGATGAAGCAAGCTAAAGGGAACTCCAGACAAGGTCCTTTTGGGAGTGCGGGGGGTTTGGGGGAGGAACAGATCAGGTTCAGCCCTAAGAAAGGCCAGAAACATTTGGAAGTAGGTTCATTTTGTCATTGGTCATTTTTCCCAGCTCCTTCCCCTCATTCCTCCAGAGCCTTCTGCCTTTGCTAAACCCTCCTCCTAGCACCCCATCACCCGGTCTCCCACCTCCCTCTCCCCAGCCCCACCATCCTCTTGACTTGAACTCCCATTATCTCTCAGTCAGGTATTACGGCAGCAGCCTCACCACACCACTCACTCTATGATAACACCCCAAACACCCCCAGAAGCACTTGCTGGGCAAATGCTAATGCCAATAACAATAACTAAGACTTTTATAGCACTTTCTATCTAAGCCCCATAATTAATTCCCTCAGTCTTCACCATGGGCCCCTGCTGCTTCCACAACCCCATTGAGAGGCACAGTAATAATTGTTTAAAATCAGTAAGTATTTGTCAGATTAGCATCGATTTAAGTTTCTGTTGCTAACCCTGCTTAACTCATTGTATATTCAGACTTCACAGATAATTTTTTCTAAAAGAGAGGAAAAGGCAGGAGTGGCTGATGTGGAAAGGCCCAGCTTGAAGGATACTCACACGTGAGGAGAAATCAGGGTGTAGGTGACACCCCAGACTTTACAGATACTGTGACTACCCCACGATCTATCTGCAATCTCTGTGAGCCATGGTGTAGCAGGACGAGCCTCAGACAAAACCCTTCAGATGCCAGGTTGAAGAAGGAAGTGGCTTTATTCGGCTGGGAGCATCAGCGGACTCATGTCTCAAGAACTGAGCTCCCTGAAAAAGAAATTCCTGGCCCTTTTAAGGGCTTACCACTCTAAGGGGTACACGTGAAAGGGTTGTGATAGATCGAGCAAGCGTGGGGAACATGACTGGGGGCTACATGCATCAGCTAACAGAACAGAAACTTTTGCAATGCTTCCTCATACAATGCCTGGAATTTACAGATAACACAAGTAGTTTAGGTCAGGGGTTGATATTATTATTATTATTATTATTTTATTTTATTTTATTTTGAGACAGAGTCTTGCTCTGTTGCCCAGGCTGGAGTGCAGTGGCGCAATCTTGGCTTGCTGCAAGCTCCTCCTCGGTTCATGCCATTCTCCTGCCTCAGCCTCCCGAGTAGCTGGGACTACAGGCACCCACCACCATGCCCGGCTAATTTTTGTATTTTTAGTAGAGATGGGTTTCACCTTGTTAGCCAGGATGGTCTCGATCTCCTGACCTTGTGATCCACCCACCTCGGCCTCCCAAAGTGCTGGGATTACAGGCGTGAGCCACCACGCCCGGCCTATTATTATTTTTTAACCACCAGGGCCGGGTGGTGGCGCCAAGGTCGTCTGGCTATTTATCTTACTTCTGTTTTTTTTCTGACTTTTTGCTTTTTTCCTTATCTTCTGTCTTATAAACTAGGTGGGTCGGAGGGGAGGAGGAGAAGGGCAGCAGGAGAAGTGGTGGTCTCCTTCCTTAAGGGTTTATGATTTCTACTTCCTCCCTAGGGGATTCCCTTCCCTGACTTCATCAGCCAGGGCCACACTCCAGAGGGCAGCTGTTTTTCCCTTCCACGTTGGTGGAGATGTTGACGCCAGAAGCACAGAGAACCAGGGAGGGCCCCACCGCCCTGTACACATACAGCTGTTGCAGCACCTTGGTCCCTCTCCGAATTTCCCAGGCTCTGGGTTCCCAAGGGACAGGGTGCTGCCTCTCTCCATGCCTCAACACCTATCACTGTGTGGGCGCACAGCAGGCTCCATAAATGTACACACCAGCAATGAAGGGCTAGGAAAATGCCTCTGAGTCTTACCAGACTTAGTGCCATAAAACCAGGGCCCCAGTGGCATATCCACCAATGGAGTACCATGCAGCAGGTAGAAAGAGTAAGGCAGTTTTCTATGGGCTGATCTGGGGGAGTTCTCAAGATTTATTGTAAATGGAGGAAAAAAAATGCATAGAACAGTTGTTACTCCAAATTGTTGAGGGCAAGGCATGGGGGCTGATATGTGTATTGAAATCTGTAAGCACACAGAAGAGACTGGGAACAGTAGGTGCCTTGGAGGCAGAGGACATTAGGATGGAGGGAAACCCCCTTTGTCAATGTCTACCCTGCTATACTATTTAAATATTTGCCATGTGCAGGTGATATTTTTATGAAACTTTTTCAGAAAAGCATTTTTTAATTATAAAAGGCAAAGAAAGAAAGGGGTAACGGTGGAAGGGAGGGAAAAGAAAGAAAAGAGGGGAAGGGAAAAAAAAAGATGTTCTAAGGGGCCTCAAGTTTCTCACAAAGGAGGGAGGAGCCCTAGGGAGTTTGAAGGAGTTCAGCTCCATGTTACACCAGACGCACTACCCACCAAATCGTGCCACATTACACATCACCAGTGCTGTTCACTTAAGCAGGACATTTTTTTTTCCTATTTATTAGCAAAGATGCTGGGAGCCAAGAGGTGAAGTCCAAGGCTTTGCTCAAGATCTGATCAAAGAGCTAGACCTACTCTTAGAACTCAAGCCCTCTGCTCCCAGCTCCTGAAGCCAATCCTCTCTCCTGTACCCCATTTCCATTTTTCTTTCTCCTGCTCAAGTTTATAAGACACTCACCCTCTCTTTGGCTCTTCCTCTCAGCAAACTTCAGGGTAAATTGTGCCTCTCCATCTAGGAAGGGCTTCCCTTAGTTTCTTCTTGGTAAGCTGATCACCGCGTTCACTGTGGGTTGAAGTTACTTTAAAACAAGTCAGCACGTTACCTTCTCCAACTTCAAGCCCTTTCACAATTATTACGGAGTTTACTGCAAGATCTCTCTCATATAAAGTCACCTTTTCAACTGGTTCATGCATAAACATGTTATTTTCCCAAGTAAATGACAAATTTGGTTGGAGAGAAGGGAATTGTTTTAACTCCCAGAGGGGCTCCCACAACACTGGACACATTGAAGAATCTCCATGAGAACTGTTTTTAATAAAAGCTGCCATTTATTGAGCCTCTACTAGGCACATTATATGCATTATCTTCTGTCCTTTTTCTACCATATGGGAAATATGCAATATAAACTGGTATTATTATTTTTGGATAACTATATATGTTATCAAAAAATATAGTTTTCCTCAGCCAGGTTTCAGGCTGAGTTCTCATATTTAATAATTTTTTTTTTTTTTGAGATGCAGTCTCGCTTTGTCATCCAGGCTGAAGTGCAGTGGCGTGATCTCGGCTCACTGCAACCTCCGCCACCTGGGTTCAAGCAATTCTCCTGCCTCAGCCTCCTGAGTAGCTGGGACTACAGGTGCCCACCACCACGCCTGGCTAATTTTTGTATTTTTAGTAGAGACAGGGTTTCACCATGTTGGTCAGATGGTCTCGATCTCTTGACCTTGTGATCTGCCCACCTCGACCTCACGAAGTGAATAAATTTTAATATTGTTTTTCAACAAAGGAAGCATGGAAACAGAGGCTGAGAGAGATTAAGTAGCTTCTCCACATTTATACAGACTTGCCAGGTGTAGGCACTTATATGCTTGCCAAGTGGCAAGGCCAGCATATCTGAGTCCAAAGGCCCTGCTCTTCCCGCTGTGTTGGGCTGATTTGAAACAAAAAAGGTTCAAGCAGTGAGGAAGCCAGGTAAGCCTCTGTGGTTCTCTCCCTACCTATTCTCCCCACTGCCAGGAACCTGCATGAAATGAAATCAAGACCTTAATGTGAAATGTTGAAATACAAACATCTCCAGGGGCTTTGTTCTTGTTCTACTTGTCCCTGCTGAGCAAGTTATAGTGAAGCTGACTTCAGGTCTATGTAAAAACTGTTCGTTAATTATAGCTGTCAGAATAGAAGGTGTGCTCAGTGTCAGCCTACCCTATATTTCCTATGAGCCAGGCACTTGAGTATACAGTCACAAGCAGGACAAAGTTCCCGCCCCTGGGAGCCAACGGAGTAACTGACTTTGGGGAAAACAGACAATACACATATAAATACATCAGTACCTCCAGAAAGTGGTAAGTGCTGTGAATAAAACAGACCCTGTAACAGCATGGAGGTGGCAGAGGCAGTAGGAGGAGGGAGTTGGCTGCCTAGATAAGGTGGTCAGAGATGGCCTTGACACTGAAGGCGTGACCCGAATGAGAAGCCAGCCATGCAAAGACCTGAGGGAAGAGCTTTAGGTAGACGGAACAGCAAGGAGGAACAGCAAGGAGGCGGAGATGAGTTTGATGTGTCTGAGGGACAAAGTGCGGGACAGGGTGGGAGGCGGTCAGTGGCTGGCTGAAGCAGAGTGTACAAGAAGGGGAGTAAGTCGAGTCTGGAGAGGTGGGCAGGGGCCACAGTGAGAGGCTGTGTGTTCCTGTCAATGTGTGCAAATAGAACTTAAAAGACTTACTCGTTTTGGAGAATTTTGGACTAGGTTAACCCATAAGGTCTCCGCCAGGTGAGATGCAGGGATGCTGCTATGCTAAGTCAAGCACCCTCCCATACTCTCCATCAAATAGCCACCCTGCCTTGGCTGCCCTAGCCTTCTGCACAGCAGCTGATTTTTAAAAAACAAACAGCTGTCATGGGGTAACCTGAAAGATGGCTCCAGAACTCATTCTGTCCACTTCAAGACGTGCTACCAAACTAGAGTTTTTCCAGAGGAGTCAGCAAGAGGGAAAGCACTGAGTATTCAAACAATATCCAGGAAAGATGATGTGGAGGGTTTCCCATCTGCACACAATCCTCTTTCCAAATAGCTACAGCTAGCCAGACGCAGTGGCTCACACTTGTAATACCAGCACTTTGGGAGGCCTAGGCGGGCAGATCAATTGAGGCCAGGAGTTCAAGACCAGCCTGGCCAACATGGCAAAACCTTGTCTATACTAAAAATACAAAAAAAAAAAAAAAATTAGCTGTGGTGGCGCATGTCTGTAATCCCAGCTACTCTGGAGGCTAAGGTGGGAGAATTGCTTGAACCCACGAAGTGGAGGCTGCAGTGAGCCGAGATCGTGCCACTGTACTCTGCACTCCAGCTTGGGTGACAGAATGAGACTCAAAAGAAAAGACAAAACAAAGACCAAATAGCTGCAGCTGTTGTGAATTGAACATTCCCCTATTTCCTTTCCCTCTGCAATAATGTGTAAAGGACTTGGAGTTTGAAAAAGAAAAACAGAAAAACCCGGCCAGTTTAATCCTAGTTTTCAACCCATTTGTGTCACAGACCCCAAGAAGGAAGCCATTGGCTTCATGAGTATCAACAACAGTTCTCAACAAGTTGTCCTAAATATGACCACGCTCATCTGGAATCACTTTAAAAAGTATCTAACTTAACAAATGACTAACTAGAGCCACCGTGGGCAATGGTGCTCACCCACACCACACTAGAGGAATAGGACTTCAAGTCCAAGTGCCCTGGTGCCACCAACAGCAACTTAGAATTAAGCTGCTCTTTAAGGACAAGCCAAAGCAAGCAGATGGGCCACACCACATCCTGAAGGCATGTCTCATTATCATGCCTTGGCTTCTTGGACGTGTAGGGTCACCATTACTCAGGCCAGGACTTCCCAGAGGCCAGTCATGAAGCTCTCCTCTGGTGACACTGTATGATTCACAGTTAAAGCAAAAGACAACTCCATGCCTTCCCATTTCCTACCTCATTCGTCACCCAAATACTAGCAGTTTCTTCCAACTGAGACCTCCAGCTACAACTTCAGCCCATTTCCCTAATCTTTAGCAGAGAAGATAAAACCACCATGCTTCATTTCTCCCCTCTGGATCCTAAGTTCATTTGAAAAATGGCTTTCATTAAGTATTTGGTAATGAAGATTATCTTTTTTACATATTGCTGCATTTGGTTTAGGATTTTTGCATCTATGTTTATGGGTGAGGTTTACATGTATTTTTTTCACTATCCTTATCAGGGTTATGCTAGCCTCATAAAATCATTCTTTAGGCCATAAAGTCGTTTTTTACGTCTTGCCTATTGAGCTAATCGAGTTGCTCCTGAGAAGACTTCCAATTTCCTGGCTACTAGAGTTCTAGCAGCCAAGGATGGCAAGAAGATTCAGAATGTAAATGCTCACTTAGGGGATTCACCTGACACCTAGACTACACACTTCTTCTCTCTCCAGAAAAGAAATCTCTAATGCACTGATGAATGGAGGAAGGGCATCACCAAGCCGGTCGGTATAGGAAGGGGACCCAACAGACATTCAACTCTTTGGTAACCCTCCCTTCACGCCCAATTCCAGAATGCTTTCTGTTGCTACCATATCTATGCTTTTCAGGGGATTATGCACTGTAAATTGATTTGCTTATCACTGGCTTTCTCCACCACTGGCTCAGTGAGATTCAACTTTTTCAGCTCTGCTAAATCTTCCAAGGTCTCCATCTGCTTTCTGGGTTCAAATATTTCATTGGCTCCTCTCCTGGTCTTCCCGAGCTTGTGGATTTGTCTTCTAAACAAATCCCTTTACTGTTGCTTTTGAGAAAGTTGAGAGTATCTTCTATTTTTCTAATATTTGCAGCATCTATAATATCCTTTTAATTCCCTGTGTACTTAAAAAAATTAATATTTGTCAATTTTTCTTTAAAAGAACCAACTTCTGGCTTCGTTGATGCTATGCTTAATTTCTGTGCATATCTACTTCCTTTAGGTTTATTTTGCTGTTCTAATTTCTTGAAACAGATGTTTAGCTCAATTTTCAGCCTTTATTACATCCTAGTATAACTTTGATATTTAGATTTAGAATTTACATTCTATTATTCAGAACTAATTAAAATTCTATAATCTTAATACATTAATGTAATAATTTAATGCTGTAAAACCTTTAAATTACTGTTGCAGCTGCATCCCTCGTTTTGACATATTTTTATTATTGTTCAGGTTAAATTTCCTTCATGATTTCTTCTTGGACCCATGAGTTAATTTCTAAACATACAGAGGTCGTCTTGTAATCTTTTAATTTTGGTTTCTAACTTAATTGCACTGTGGTTGGAGTGTGGTCTACGTGGTAACAACCCTTTCAAATTTGTTGAGATTGACTCTACCGTCCAGTATATGGTCGCTTTTTGAAAAAGTTCCATAGGTGATCAAAATGAATGTGCAGTTGTTAGATGCAATTTTTTTTTTAACAGGTTTATGCTCGGTCATTGGTTTCCACACATCTGTGCTTTCAGGATGAAGATGTGGTCTTCTAAACACGTCCATTTTACCAAACTTGCTAAATGTTTAAATCTCTTATATACTTTCCTGAATTTTTTGTTGCTTGGTCTACATGAAGCATATTAAAATCTCCCACTATGATGCTGGATTTCTTATTTTTCCATATAGCTGTTTTTGTTTTACATATTTTGAGGCAATGTTATTAGGTGCATAACTTAGAATCTTTGTTTTTCTGAAGAATTGGGTAAGCATATCATTATGTAGTGGTTCGATCTGTAGTAATGCTTTTTGTCTTAAAGCCTATTTCCAGGGCTGTGGTGTTCCACAGCTCCAGGGAGGACATTCACATTACAGTTTATGCAAATAAACTGAAATTAGACAGTCTGTTTCGTTACTTTGGAGTGGCCTTAATTCTGTGGGTTATGAGTATAACTTCTCAGTTTTATTTTGGTTAGTATCTGCCTGATGTATCTTTTCCATCCTTTCTTATATTGTAGGTTGCCTATGTCTCTCTCTTGTCATCACATATGGCTGGATTTCTTTTAAAAATACAGTTTGGCATTTTTTTTTTCGGGAACATTTAGTCCATTTACATATAATTATTGGCACATTTAGATTTCTCTCTACTATCTTGTTTTGGATGCTCTATTTGTCCTGCCTTTTCTTTACCCTATCTTGTCTTCTTGACTGATTGCATTTTTCCATTCTATTTATTCTTGATTGAAAACTGTATCCTCTGCTTATTTTTAGTAGATACTATAGAAGTTTTTGGCACAGGTTTACATACCAAAGTCTGAAGTTAAACAATGTATTTATCTTCTTCCTGAAAGACACAAGGATCTTAGAGTATGTTCATTCCAATTACCTCCCCTCCCTAGTTATCTGCTACCTTCATGGATTTTCGTTTTACCTTTTTTCCAACCCTGTTAAGACTCTTCTACAGTTGCTTTTTGTGTAGCTGACCAACATAACAATCATGTTCTTTATTCTACATTCCTTGATACATTTCAACCCTTCCATACTGATCACTTCCCTTCTGTTGGGGCAAATTCAGTTTTTTTTGTGAAAATGTTTTCTATTTTACCCTTGTTCTTGAAAGGGTGGCCCAATCTCAGTAAGATAACTTACTGACCTATTCTAAGGCTGGGCCCAACAGAGCCTCACTCCCCACCCTTGTAGGGACCCTGGATCTGGGTAGAACATTTATGCGGTAGGGGAACAGTCCTTCTTAAACAGGCGCTTGGAAGCCCTTTGCAGATGCCGGTGAGAATCGGCGGTCTGGGAAAGAGTACACATCTTGCAGAGAAGCTGAAGAGGGAAGCCCTTTTCCTGTTTTTTCACTTTCAAGAACATGAGCCACCTGGCTGCTTTCTTTTGTAGATAAACAAACACTTCTCAGACAGATCACATAAATCAGCTTATTCTCATTTAGCAAAGTTTTTATTCAAAAGCTTCTCAGCACCATCTAGTTATCAGAAAGAATGGATATCACCTTTTCCTGCCCACCCAATCCCCAGTTCCACAGGCAGAAGTTAAACCATTTGGCTAGAGTTCCCCCTAATGATTATGACTGAGACCATGATAAGATTTTGGTTGTTCTCACCCAACTGTCTCTAAGCCTCTACTCAAACCTGACTCAAGCAGAGATGTGCACACCCCACAGTTCAGAACAGGAAGGAATCATGTCAGATCTGATCAACCTCCCATTCTTGGGCTATTAGAGGCACAAGAAATTACCTTGAAAAAATGGAATTCAGTGACTGCCATCTAGGAAAGACAGTGATACTGTCCAGCAGCATGCAGTTCCGAGAGCTCAACTCTTAGGCCACCCTCCCTCCACTCTACTCTAGGAACAAGGAGCATTAGGTCTGTTTTCTCTCCATACACCTCAATCGCTCGTCCTCTCGTCTTATTAAAACACAGACACAGAACCAAACTTTTTGACAGTTAAAGACAAACAATTACATCTAATTAAAATGCTAAGAGATCCTGAGCTGTTAGAGATGAGGAGAGTAGATAGTATGACCTGATCTTCCCCCCTCTTTTTTTTCCTTTAACAGTATTCTGTTTCAGCATAAAGCACACTTTCTGAAGAGGTTCCTGGTGGAGACTGGAAATCTGACTGTGTCCTGTGGCAACACACAGTCCCTTGCATAACTTTGGCTTCAGTCCCTGGATCTGTCCTTTGCAGCTACGTCAGGTTCCATGGAAGGAGGAAAGAGCTGGAGGGCAGTATCACTCAGCCAAAGCTCCCATGGGGTCCCATGCTGGCAGGATAATGGGTTCCTGCTCTAACACAGCTAGCACCTCTTCAGGGACATGCTTCCTGTCCACCACCACTTCGTAGACATACTCAGAGAACCACTCATCTGTCATGCACAGGTAACCTGGAGAAAAGAACAGAAGACTTATGAGTCCAGAGGGCAAGGGACAAAGAGCAGAAACCCTTTTTGTAGGATAAACCTTTTACAAAACTAATATTCATACATATTTTTCAGCTTTCCCATCTGTAATTTCATTTAATCTAAATCTTATTAGCAATTCTGTGAAGCAGATAGGACAGGCATGGCTCTATTTTTAGAAAAATTAGAAAACCGGGTCTTGAGTAACTAGGTGATGTGCCCAGGTCACATGGTGAGGTTCAGAGCTGGGCCTTGGACCTAAGGCTAACACCAGATCCTGTACTGATGCTCTCTTCCTCCGCTGCCTTGGTGATGGTGAGTGATGACCTGTATACTAGTAGGGAGGCAGAAAAACTTCTCATTCATACAGCCACACCTAGGGCATAAATCTCTAGGGTCAGAAGGGCAAGCATCCCAGTTCCTTTCTTACCCTACCAGTGTCAATGGCTGTTCTCCCCCATTCCTTTCTATCACACACTCCTACAACAACCAGGCGGGCTGCTGTGAGCATTCTGATGGGGCCAAGTCATCATTCCTAGGTATGCACTTATTTGCAGATGATAGTGTGGGAGTCAAATGATAAAACAGTCCTTGTTTTCCTAGGAGGAAATCTACGATGACGATCAGGCGGAACTAGAAGACTCAGACATCTGCTTAACCTGCTCTCCTTAGGAAGGCCTCTCCAGTGGGTTAGGACTATACAGAGGTGCCCCGGCACTAATGCCCCATTTAAGGTTGAAAGCTCAGCTGAGAGAAAAAGTGTGGTGTCATCGGGTACCCATCCTAGTAATAGTTGCCTTCCATAAGGAGGATTAACCTGCATCTCAGGCTCCACTAGGCCAACACAAATTCCCCTTCAGAAACCAGATCCTCATCTCTCACCTTACACAAAAATCAACTCAAGATGGTCAAAGGCTGAAAGCTAAAACCTGAAACCAATACAAGTTCTAGAAGATAACATCGGAAAAACTCTTCCAGACATTGGCTTAGGCAAAGAATTCATGACTAAGACCCCAAAAGCAAATGCAACAAAAACATAAATAAATGGGACCTAATTAAACTAAAAGGCTTCTGCACAGCAAGAGAAATAGCAGTGTAAACAGACAACCCACAGAGTGGGAGAAAATCTTCGCAAACTATGATTCCGACAAAGGACTAACACCCAGAGTCTACAAGGAACTCAAACAATCGGCAAGAAACAAACAAACAAACAAAAAACCAAATAATCCCATCAAAAAATGGGCAAAGGACATGAATAGACAATCTGAAAAAGAAGATACACAGCCAACAAACATGAAAAAATGCTCAACATCACTAATTATCAGAGAAATGCAAATTAAAACCACAATGTGATACCACCTTACTCCTGCAAGAATGGCCATAATTAAAAAGCAAAAAAATTACAGATGTTGGTGTGGATGTGGTGAAAAGGGAACACTTTTACAATGCTGGTGGGAATATAAACTAGTACAACCACTAAGGAAAACGGTATGGAGATTCCTTAAAGAACTAACGATCTACCATTCGATCCAGCAATCCCTCTACTGGGTATCTACCCAAAGGAAAAGAGGTCACTAAATGAAAAAGACACATGCACACGCATGCTTATAGCAGCACAATTCACAACTACAAAAACATGGAACCAACCTAAGTGCCCATCAACCAACGAGTGGATAAAGAAAATGTGATATTTATACATCATGGAATATTATACTCGGCCATAAAAAGGAAAAAAATAATGTATTTTGTAGCAACTTCGATGGAGCTGGAGGCCATGATTCTAAATGAAGTAACTCAGGAATGGAAAACCAAATATCATATGTTCTCACTTATATAAGTTGGAGCTAAACTATGAGGATGCAAAGGCATAAGAATGATATAATGGACTTTGGGCACTCAGGATGGAAGAGTGGGAGGGGTGGAGGGATAAAACAAAGACAACATACCAGTGTACACTGCTTAGGTGCTGGGTGCACCAAAGTCCCAGAAATCACCACTAAAGAACTTATCCATGTAACCAAAACCCACCTGTTCCCCAAAAACTACTGAAAGTTAAAAAAACAAAAACAAACAAATCTGTTCTTTCAGGAACAGATCTCCAAAAAACTTAAATGGGAAAAAAATGCTTTACCCGAGCCATTGCTAATAAGAAGAGCAAAATTAAAGTGAGAGACTGAAGTCCGTATATTTAAAACAAGAATGGGCTGCTGGGCCACAGACAGAACACAGAGCAAACGATGTGTACTGAATCAAGAGAAAGGCAGGCACACACATCCAAGGGCTCCCGGACTAGCAATGGCCATCAGCACCACGACTGTCATCTGACCGTATCTGCTACTTGTTTTATAGTAAACACTGGAGCCATTTTTCTCTGAAAGTTTGTATAAACCTAGGCCTGTGCTATACCATTTCCCACTACACAGGACCAAGAGAACGGAGAAGTAGGTGTTTCTAGCAAGAGGGTCCCCTAGTGAGCAGTTCTCATAAACCTAGGCCTGTGCTATACCATTTCCCACTACACAGGACCAAGAGAACGGAGAAGTAGGTGTTTCTAGCAAGAGGGTCCCCTAGTGAGCAGTTCTCAAGCCTCTTGGCCTCAAGCCCTGCCCTTTACATTCTTAAAATTATTAGGGACCGAAAACATTCTTTATGTGGACTAATATCTATCATTATTTACTATATCAGAAACTAAAACAGAAAGTTAAAAATATTAATTCATTTAAAAATAAGTATGAAAAATGAATATAAACAATATATTTTGAGGAAAAAAATTATATTATGTAAAAAAATATTTTTAGTTAAAAAAGTGGCATTGTTTTACATTTTAATGTCTAGATTTGCAGAAGACAGCTGAATTCCTGTATCTGCATCTGTGTTTAATCTGTTGCAGTATGTTGTTCTGCTTGAAGCAGATGAAGGAAATCCAGCCTCACACAGATATGTTGCTCAAGGGCAGACCCTGCACACTCCCTGAAAGGGCCCTAGGGAACCAAAGATCACACTTTGAGAACTGCTGCTCTTGAGGCAAGACTGGATTAAATTTAAAGGCAACAATACTGGTAAGTCTAATTTTGTATGCTAAAAGGTGTGACAAAGGGCATTATTTAACCTGAAAACACAATTGATTTGGTGAAGTCATCTATGCCCAATCCTGTTTTTCACCCGACAGAAGTCAAAGACAGATCATCCTGACGTGGCATAGCATACGTTTACCCTCAAAAACACTGTGGAGGCCAGGTGCAGTGGCTCACACCTATAATTTCAGCACTTTAGGAGGCCGAGGCAGGTGGATTGCTTGAGCCCAGTTGTTCAAGACCAGCCTGGGCAACATGGCGAAACCCCATCCTCACAAAAAAAAAAAAAAAAAAAAAAAAAATTAGCTGGTGTGGTGGCCTGAGCCTGTGGTTTCAGTGAGCCAAGATCACACCACTGCACTCTAGCCTAAACAGAGTGAGACCCTGTCTTGGGGGTGGGAATGGTAGGGGTTGGGAGTGCTCTGTAAAAGTGTTCAAGTGCTCCGACCAAGGCAGGTAAAGGAATGCACTCTTGTCTCCTGATAAGCTGGCCTCCTGGATCCAGGGCCCCTACTTTCAATAGACGAGAGACGGAAGGACAGTACAGGCCCACTCTGTAGCTACTTCTGGCTTGTCTTGATTATATATTCCAAACTTCCTGGCTTTGTTGGTGTCAGGACCTGGCCCTTAATTAACATCACCCACACCAGTGCCACCAGGTTCTAGCAACAAAAGTTCTGTCCGCTCAAAGGTCAACCAGTGCGTATTATTTAAAACTAAAATACTGCATCCTAAGTGAGTGCTTCCTGAAAAACTAAGCATCTGCCTTCCCAAAAAGGAGCTTTCAGCAAGCAGGAGAGCAGACTAGGGAACACCACACTGTTTGAGACATTAGTCGTCCCTTCCCTCACCACAATGCAGGCTGAATAAATCACTGCAGTGGCCCTGGGCAGTTAGGCAGGTGAAGGATAGAAGCAGATTCATGTAATAAAATTCTGTGTCCTTTCAACAATACTATCACCATACAATCAAATGAATCTTCAAAGAATGCTCCCAGAAGATGGACAATAAGTACATCTACACTATCTTGTTCCAAAAGCATATCAGATTAAGTCCTCACAAATTAAAATTCCTATCAATTGTAACCCACCCTTTCAATGTCCCTGCCAAGAGGACCCGCCTTGATTAGTCTCTCTCTTCAGGATATGAGTTCTTTGGGGACCCACAAAAACCTCACAGTCTAGGTAGCTGCCAAGTAATTGCGCCCTATGTAGATAATGAACTTGTGGCTGCCGTAACTGTTGACACTGTGTGTCTTGGAGTTTGACTGAGAAGATTAGGATCAGTGTGTCTGAAACCTGTGTAGGAAGCAGCAAAGCACCGGCTCAGGCAGGATTCGGCTGGCCCTTTTGACTTGCGGGAAGGTGCAGCTCCTAACCCTTAGACACACTGGCCGTGAGACACAAGCATTCCAAGGAAAAAAGAAAAGAAAACAAAATAAAAACCTGCTCCAGGGATCCCAAGGTTACACTGAGTGAAACACAGACAAATAGATAAAGTCAGCTTTAGGAACTAAGGTGAAATTAAATTTTGTTTAAACTTTAATGTCTTGTTTACATGCGATGAGAAAGAAAGAAAAGTGAACAGTCCTCAAAACAAAACACCTCAAACCAACCAACCAACCAAAAAACACTGGCAACGTTTCTGTATTTTGTAACAGAAAGGGTAGGGTCAGTCTGTAAAGGGAAAAACAGTGTCTGTGAATATAGCTGTAGACAGGTTAGGTGAAATTCATTCAGAAACAGAAGAGTTTCAAATGGGCTAGTTTAAGGGAAAAAAGACGCTTTACCTAAGAAAACTTTTTTTTCTGAAATCCCACCAGAAATGTAAGATTTAAGCCTTTCAGACTAAAGAATACAAAGAATATAAAATATATTTTAACATATTAGAAACATTTTATATTCTTTGTTGTCTTTGTTCTATGAGGAATTTCACCTCACTAACAAACTGTATGTGGCTATTATTTTTTGCCATTTTTAAAAAAGTTATGACAAAATGAAGGTATCTGTTCTGCTCTGACGGTCTGTCTGGCAGCATGGAACTAAGAAGCTGGACTACCAAGGCCTCATTCAGTCACTGCCAATCTTTCACCTGGCAGCTATAACTCAAGGTTGAAGAAAGGCTCCCAGAAAGGAAAGCAGAAGCCTCACTGGCACTTGTCTTATATTTCAAGCTTCCTAATCATCAGGGAGAAACCATTTCACAGAACAGGAATCACTTTATAATGAAGTTGCAAAGACTGTGTAGCAACATGAAGAAATGTTTAGGTGATAAAAAATAGATTAGAGTGGCATATCCAGTATAATTACAACTATGTTACAAATATAGATGCACATGAAAAAAAACCATGAAAAACAATAAAAAATGAAAATTTTATGCCATGGGATAGATTTTCTCTCCAAAATTTCTGAAATGTTACACTGCTTTTTAACTCCTTAAAAGTTACCCAAACTCATCATAAAAAGTCTTGGAAACATGAAAGGAGGAGAAAGAGAAGACAAATATTAATTTTTGAGTTGCCTACAATCCCACCACCTTGGGACACATGTTCAAGCTCTGTCAAATTTTACATGCATCCTTGATAAAGTTTCTGCATGTACTAGACCCTTTAATTTCATAAAAATGAGACATCATACATGGTGGTCTTGTATTACAAAGTAATACACATACTGTTTTCCAATTAATCTCTTTCCTTACTGATAATGAAATACATCTATCTACATCATAATTTTTAAGTACCGAATCTACATGATTAAATCAAAACACGTTTAATCAGTCCCCTATTGTTGGAATCCGGATTTTTTCATGCTTAGAAACAATACTGTTATAAACATTTCTGTAAGTAAATCTTCGTGCACAGCCTTAATCATCTGCATTAATGCACTGTGTAATGACATTCTGGTCAACAATGAACCACATATATGATAGTGGTTCTGTAAGGTTATAATGTATTTTTGCTGTACCTTTTCTATGTTTAGATACACAAATAACACTGTGTAACAACTGCCTAGAGTATTCAGTACAGTAACATGCTGTACAGGTTTGTAGCTTAGGGGCGATGGGCTATACCATCAAGGTTTGTGTAAGTACACTCCATGATGTCCACACAATCACAAAATCACCTAATGACGCATTTCAGAAAAGATCCCTGTCTTAAGCAATGCTTATTAATTTTATTAATAAATAAATGTATTAAATTTCCTTATATCCTAATCAATATCTGGTATACATAATTACTAACTTTCTTCTTGGATCCAATTTGAGCCTTTTCTCCTTTTATGTGTTTGCTTGCTATTGACAGTTTTCTTTTGTAAAGTGTCTGTCTGAGAACTCTGTTCATTTTTTAAGAGACAAGGTCTCGCCAGGCACGGTGGCTCATGCCTGTAATCCCAGCACTTTGGGAGGCCGAGGCGGGCAGATCACAAGGTCAGGAGTTCGAGACCAGCCTGGCCAGCATGGTAAAACCCATCTCTACTAAAAATACATAAAATTAGCTGGGCATGGTGGCGTGTGCCTGTAGTCCCAGTCACTCGGGAGGCTGAGACAGGAGAATTGCTTGAACCAGGCAGGCAGAGGTTGCAGTGAGCCAAGATTGCGCCACTGGACTCCAGCCTGGGCGACAGAGTGAGACTCCGTCTCAAAAAAAAGAGAGAGAGACAAGCTCTCACTCTGTTACCCAGGCTGAGTGACACAATCACAGCTCACTGCAGCCTCAAACTCCTGGGGACATGCGATCCTCCCACCTTAGCCTCCCAAGTAGCTAGGACTACAGACGTGCGCCTCCTCACCCACTTAATTTTCTTAATTTTTGTTGAGATGGGGTCTTACGATGTTGCCCAGGCTGGTCTTGAGCTCCTGGGCTCAAGCAATCCTCCTGTTTTGGCCTCCCAAACCTCTGGGGTTACAGGGGTAAGCCACTACACCTAGCCCTCTGCGCATTTTAAATTGGAGCTTTTTTCTTTTTCATAGTCATCAGTTACAGTACACTCTATATTTTATATTGGTTGCAAACTTTTTTTCCTATTATGTAACTGGCCTTCTAATTTAGTTTATATTTTCTAGCCTACTAACAATTTTTATTGCTGTTTGGAGGCAGAGTCTTGCTCTGTAGCTCAGGCTGGAGTGCAGTGGCGTGATCTCAGTTCACTGCAACCTCTGCCTCCCGGGTTCAGGTGATTCTCTTGCCTCAGCTTCCTGAGTAGCTGGGAATACAGGTGCCCACCACCATGCCCAGCTAATTTTTCGTATTTTTAGTGGAGACGGGGTTTCGCCACTTTGGCCAGGCTGGTCTCGAACTCCTGACCTCAGGTGATCTACCCACCTCGGCCTCCCAAAGTGCTGGGATTACAGGCGTAAGCCATCGTGCCCGGCCCATTTTTTGTTTTTATTAAGTCAAATTTATCAATCTTTTTCTTTTGGTTTTTAACTGGTGTTATGCTTATAAACATTTTTCTGCTATTATAATGAAAAAAAAAAACAAAAAAAAAAGAAGGATAAGTGAGAAGAAAACATCAGAAACAAGACTCTCAATGAAAAACTCCATTACTCACTAAGGCCTTGGCATAGTCCCCAACTATGAAACAGATAATTTCAACAGATAATTGAGTAGTGACAATTTGTCAACCGCTTCTGTTAGGTATCCACTGGGTGAAGCATGACCTAATACCTCCTTGAATTTGTACAGGGTATGTTGCAAATGTGCAAAATGACACAATGCCTATGGAATGGTGTCCAGAGATGTTGGATCTGTCCTTTTCAGTATCTAGAAAAATTACAAATGCACTTACCCTCTTCATTAAGCAGTGTCATTTCTGGGACTTCATCCTATAGATACACAGTACTTACATGCATACAATATGAATTTATGTGCAACAAAGCTAATATTTATTCGGCACTTACCGTGTGCCAGGCACTATTCTAAGCACTGTACATATATATAGTAACCCACTGCAATACTGTTTGTAATAGCAAAGACTGAAACAACCCAAGTCCCATTAGTAAAGGAAATGGTTAAATAAACTGTGGTAGATCCAGACAATGGAAGATAATGAAGCTGTACTGATGTACTGATAAGGAAATGTCCCCAAGATACGCTGTAAGTGAAGTGAGGACAAGATGCAGAGCAGACGACCTAGTGTGCTACCACTAGTATAAGAAAAGAAGACAATAATATATATGTGTATGTTTGTACTAAAAAAAATAAGGAAAGGCATACCAGAAATAGAAATAATAACCTAAGAGAGAGGCAGGGGAATGAAGAGTGACAGAGATGGAAACAAAATTCTTTTTCATATACCTTTTTATATTTTGATTTTGGAACAATGTAATTTCATTATCTATTAAAAGAATTACACTTTAGAAAACAAAACAAAAAAATACACACATATATACTCCAAAACCCTGTGAGGAGCTTACACTTCACAATGCAATTTCACATCACTATCCTTGTTTTGATTCTTATTCTCACAACAATGCTGTGAGGAAAGAGGGCAGTAAGTAAAGCCAACATCGAACCCAGGTCTTAAATTCAAATTCCATCTTTCTCATAGGGCTCAGCTTCTTCCAGTTGAGCACTCTGTGGGCAAAGAGACTTGGGAGGTAGTTATGGCTTCAGCAACAGATAGCATTTAGTCTAGCTCAGGTACCTAACTTTGAAACAAACTCCATCTGCTCACAAACCCCATATCAACAAACAGGAACCCTATTTTTGTTGGGTCCATTTATAATGTATTTTGTATCTTTTATTTATTTATTTTTTAGAGATGGAGTCTCACTATGTTGCCCAGGCTGGACTTGAACTCCTGGGCCCAAACGATCCTCCTGCCTCAGCCCCCTGGGTAGCTAAGACTATAGGTGCATACTACCATGTTTGGCGAGCTATTTTGTCTGTTTAAATCAAAGAGACACCATGTGTTCTAAGTGCATGTATTTAGAAAGATAGATAACAGGATGGGTTGGATGTTTAAAAAAAAAAAAGCCAGAGGAAGAGAACCAAAACCACCCCTTATAATTATGACTGCCATTTGAAACAGTGATCTGAGAAGAGGCTTCTTTTTCCTCCAGAGAAAACATAGAAGTCTGGCTATGTGGTGAGGACACATTTACATTAATAAACCATTTGCTGATAAAAGAAGAGATACTCTTATAGCCGGATATTACTTGCGGCCTCTTTCAGAAACAAAGGTTAGAAGGTACCGTTTCCCTAGTAAATATACTAGGAAAAATGCAGGGTGGAAAATGTGGTAGAGAAAAGGGGTTGTTTTGGCTTGTGGTTTGTATTTTTTAAACCATTAAACCACCACAAAGTTCAGTCAGCAGAAGTGTCCACAGCCTGAGAAGTGCCCCTCTACTAAGGAGCCCAGAAGAAGCCTGTTCACCTCCCGGCTGACTTCTTTCTCTAGACCAATGAGCATGAGCTAGGCAGCCCTGAGGGCACACACAGCTCTCCAGGATCTCTGAGGGTGAACCCGGAGAGGAAAGCACAAATTTAGATGCCATCCAAGGGTCTTGTTTTCCCACTGAAACTCAATGACTTTTCTCTCACCCCAAACTATCGCTACTCCTATTTGTTTCAGACAAAGTCTGCTTGTCGGTCACTCCTCAAAAGCTCTGTGAATGGCAAGCCACATTATTTCTTGGCTTCACTCCTCTGACCTGTTCAACGCATGCTCCAAATGCCAAGAGCTGCACTTCTCAGCCACCATTTCTCTGGCTGGCCTCCCTCTCCCTTTTCAGAAAAAAAGCCACAGCCCTAACATCCTCCCTAAAGAGGGTCACCCTTGAAGAATCCCTAAGGAGGCCTCACAGTTCCAGTCACTGACCATCTCCCTTGCAGTTTATCCCGTGTGTGACTCTGCGCTTATTCTTGTGTTTATGTTTTACATATTTATTCTTACAATAGGTTACAAACACCATATGGGGCCAAGATTTACAGCCTTAATTGTCCCAGCTTCAATTCCTTGCAACCCCACTATACATAGCCTTTGAAAGAACGAAGTACTGACATGCTGCTGATGGAGCATAATAGGACAGCTGGGCTTGCACCCTGACCCCTCCTGAAGTTTCCAAAAACTACCTTAAGTCCAACCCAACAGCCTTTCTCCTTGACCCATTTTCTGTCTGCTCTGCTGTTCCACTATTTACCACCATGTTCTTCCTGACGCCCTCTAGTCCTGGGCTTCCTAGGCGCTCTCTCCAACCCCTCACCCTTTTCAATCACCTCAGCTTCCATGTCTTCCTATTGTCTCCCCACTGAGGGGAGGTACTCCCTAGTTCTTCTTCTGTTAACTGCCCTCTTGGAAAAAAAATCATCCCTTCTCTGCTTTTCTCGGTCTATTTATCCTATATCTTACAGTCTGAGGAGCACACCATGAATGCCACTTCTGTCACATCACAGCCCTCTTCAAATCCCCTTCCTGTGTCACAGGTGAATAAGTATAAATTCCTCTGAGGGTCAGAGACATTCATTCCACCATGGCCTATGCACGGTTCCTTGCATCCCATCAATAAATAAATGTGAGTTGATGCTACTGCTAATGGTTTTTTCTCAGCACTAAGTTTATTCACCTCCACTGCTTTCTCTCACGACACTAAGCCCACACTATGGGTCATCTGCCCACTACACTGGTGATGTAGCATAATGATCACATTAGGGCACTGAATTTTTAGAGATCTGAAACTGGAACCATGGGGCAAGTTAGATGCCCTCCTCTAGAAGGGAAAGGTTAGGGAGCTTCATGTTCTTGTTCTCTTGCCGTCAGTCTATAGATAACATTAACAACAGTAGCAATGGGAGCTAATATTTCTAAGCACTTCTTATGCGCCTCACATGGTTCTCACAACAACCCTACGAGATAGGTCCAATTATTATCCCTATTTTACAGATGAGAAAGCTGAGGCTCAGACAGGTTAAATGCCAATGACCACTGTTACACAGCCAATAGATGGGTTAGCCAGGATGCATACCCAGGCAGTCTGGCTCCAGATTCTGTGCTTAACCTCCATCCTTCTTAAACCAGTGCAAACACCTTGGAGACAATCTGGTGAAAATTACAGATCTTATCTACAGGTAAAAACACATCTATACACAAAACTCTACATTCAATATGAGGAGATTTCTCCCTGAAGCAGATGCCTCATTGCAGGTTAGGAGCTCTGTCACATAGTCTGTCCTTGCCCAAATAATGATAGCCCTCTCTTAGTCACACACTTTGATCAGGAAGCACCAGTGAACTGGAGAGTATGTGCTTCCTCTATTCCATCTACATACACTATTTCTCAGCCAAAGTCATGCAGGCTTTTTGGTTAATAAAGATGGATGGTGAAAAGCCCTTCTGAGAGGGCCGGGCGTGATGGCTCACACCTGTAATCCCAGCACTTTGGGAGGATGAGGTGGGCAGATCACTTGAGGTCTGGAGTTCGAGACCAGCCTGGCCAACAGGTGAAACACCGTCTCTATTAAAAATACAAAAAAAAATTAGCTGGGCATGGTGGCAGGCACCTGTGATCCCAGCTACTCAGGAGGCTGAGACACGAGAATCGCTTGAACCTGGGAGGCAGAGGTTGCAGTGAGCCAAGACCGCACCACTGCACTCCAGCCTGGGTAGACAGAGCAAGACTCCATAACAACAACAACAACAACAACGGCAACAAAAAGCCCTTATCAAAGAACCCAGAATCCAGATTAATGGTAGCAGCACTTTTCCCAAGCCTGGAGAGACATGAAACCCTCTGAGGTGACAAAACAAATTTGCAACTTGCCCCTTTCTCGGAAATCAGAAACCTGTGCTTTTAAGTTCTACAATTCACTCTTGTTTCAGCAAGTCTGGCCCAACATTGCCTAGTTTCCATTATTGTACTAGAGATCCAGAACTGAACCTCAAACAGACCTGCAAATAACTGATTGTCTTTTGTAAGTAATACATAGGGAATTTTAGGGAAGCTGTCTGTGTCAAATTAAGAGATTTGAATTCCAATTCTATCTCTGATTCTGTGCAACCCAAACAAGACACAACTGTCAGTAAGTTTTAGTTTCTTCACATAAAACCTGGGTATAATCACCCATGTTCACATCCTGAGTTACTCTACTCTGATGTCATGAGGAGAAATAAATACAAATACATTAGTGAACTTTGAATTCTCACGAAGCAAGATGCCCTGTAGCTTTATGTCCTGAGTACCTCCAACAGAAATATGGGCTGTTCATAACTCCTTAGATTTATATAACAATATACAGTTTGAAAAATGCCTGCATACATTATTTCATTTGATGGCTACATACAAACTGTAGGAGCTCATAAAGAAACAAATTGTCCATGTTATTGACATAGAAATGTGACACTACAATGAGTTAAATTACTGCCCAGCATCTAAAATCAAGAATTAATTATTAGTAACTGTCTCTCCACAACTCACCTGGTTCTACAACATAGCATTTTATGAAGAATATGTTGATTTTTGTGCCTAGCTTTGAATATACCATCTCCAAAATCACTTGTGGCAGTTGGGCTGGTGAGACAATTAAAGGTCATAATGTTGGTTTTTAGGAAGCAGCAGAAATCTACATATAGTCTGAATTGATAACATGTTTCTTTCTAATCTCTAACATGCCAAAGTATCTTTAACTGAAACCATTTAGAGGCTCCTTTCTAGAAGGAAGTCTGAAAATTTTACTAAAATGAAAGAAATCAGGAACAGAGAGGCTCACTTGTAAGAAAAGATTAAAAATGTGGGTTAAAAACAATTTCAAATGTTCATGTATCTGAAAGGAACAAAAGCAATGTGAAAAATGGAAAACTCATCTTGGTTCAAAATGAAAACCAGGAGAGACAAAATTTTTAAAAGGTAAGTATTTTCCTTCAGTGAACATTGCAGAATTAGAAAATATCCTCCATATCTTCACTTAAAAGTTGTTACTTATCATATTGAGAAACTGGACCAAATAAGCATTAAGAACTATATTATGATAATTCCACATTTAGAGTTCTGCTGTGTCAGGCTCTAGAAATGGAATACAATCTCATAACTAAGTGAACCAATCACAAAGAAGTAAAGTTTCATAGTAAGACTGGTTCATTAGAAAGACCATCTAGGAATTTAATTTATTGACTATCAAATACACTATTATTTGCATGACAGAATATTGATAACTACTGAAGGTGGGTGACAGGCATATGCAGGGTTCTTTAATACAATCCTGTTTACTTTATATATGTTTAAAATTGTCCAAGATAAAAAGTTAAGAACTAAATAACCTTGGCCGGGCACGGTGGCTCACGCCTGTAACCCAGCACTTTGGGAGGCCGAGGTGGGAGGATCACAAGGTCAGGAGATCGAGACCATCCTGGCTAACACAGTGAAACTCTGTCTCTACTAAAAAATACAAAAAATTAGCCAGGCGTGGTGGGGAGCACCTGTAGTCCCAGCTACTTGGGAGGCTGAGGCAGGAGAATGGCGTGAACCTGGGAGGCGAAGCTTGCAGTGAGCTGAGATCGCGCCACCGCACTCCAGCCTGGGCAACAGAGCAAGACTCCGTCTCAAAAAAGCAAAAACAAAACAAAACAAAAAAACAACTAAATAACCTTATTATAAAGCAGCATGGACAAAATTCAGGGAAATTTTGGGTGGCTGCATAGTTTCTGACTTGCCTAAGTCACAATGTGCTAACATGTGACAAACCCTCACAGAATGCCCCAATCTCCACTCTTTACTCAGATTCCCAGCCACAAATGATGCTCTAGGGGCCTTTTCTCCCAATGTCAGACATTTACATAACATCTCCAGGTCCTTCATACAGTTTTATATCCCTTCATCCACTCTTTCTGGTCACCAATGACCATGAACTGACCTGTTATTTCTTGAGTGGACGACATGCTACTAGAACAGGGAAGGTGAGAGAAAGCACAGTTTAGTGGTTAAGAAAACTGGCTCTGGTGTCAGGCCATCTGGGTTATAATTCTGGCTCTATCATTTACTAGCTAGGGGATCTGCAGGTCACTTTGGCTTAGAGATTAGGCTCTTCTCAGATGAATTTCTGACTAATAACGAGAGGAATCAAAGGTGACTTCCTTGATTTTAAATTCTTAAATATTTTATAAAATATTTTTATCAACTTTTCAAAATGAAAGATAATATATCAAATCCCGAAGTCTGTTCCCTCACCTAATTGTGAAATTCATTTCTGATATGATCCATTAACAAGGTACAAAATGGATAGTCAAGTATTTTAAGAAGCAGGGGAGAAAAGAAACCCAGGTTGGTATTACATGTTAGATATGCATCCAATTTTCAGTACAACTGACTATGAATACTAGAATTCATCAACTTGAAGTAATCCAACTGGTACAGTAAAGCAAAAACTGATTTCTCCTTTTATGTCCTCCTGCTCAGAAGAAACCTTCTGTCCATTTTTGGAATAGTCAGGTTATGTGTTACAAAAGAGTTTCTGGGCAGGAGAGCCATGAACATGACCAATGGGGAGAACCAAAGCCAGGGCTGGGCAAAGGGGAAAGGCAGCTTGCCCAGGTATCTTTGCTCTGTTTATCTCCAGCATGTATTATCAACACTGCTTTTTCAGAAACATCAATCTTAACAGTCAGAAATCCCAAAGAGAATAGCAACAAACTGTTAACAATGTTATCTACAGAAACAAAATCCCAGCAATGCTTCTTAAGGTTGTCATATCTCCCAAGAGAGCATAAACAGAGGTCCTACCTCAGACCTGCCAGCCAATGTCCACTAGGATGACAGACAAGAAGGCCCTGCTGGGATAAACACATATTGCCAACATAATAACATACTATGCGCTCTCCTGAGGTCAGGCCAAGTGTGCCAATTAAATTAGATCATGTTTTCTTTCCTTCCTTCCTGTTAAGTTAGAAAGAACATTACCAAGAAACACATGAGAATAATTTATTTTGGCTTGAATGAACGACTCCCTACCCCCACTTCAGTTCTATTTCTTATCTTTTGGCTCTCTACTGAAATGCTTTGCTGTGTATAGTCACAGGCATTTCAGTTATTTGAGAACAACAAAAAAGTTAATCTTTACTAGATAGCTGCAGATTTCACTAAGAAGGATTACAGGAGAGTTACAGGGATAGCAAGATCCCATATTTTACAGTTCTCTAAGCATAATAATGAAATGAGTAAGTTAGCAAAAGCAAAACTTTTATTGAGTAAAAGTAAAGAGGTAAAGCTAAATGGAAAAATTATATACAGTAAAGTGACCTAAAATTATCTTTAAGTATTTAGGTTCAAAATAATAAAGACATTAACTCACACTACATAAAACACATTTTCCTGATTTTACAAGTGTTTATCCTCTCTTAACCAGATAACACTACTATCTTCAAACTCACTGACTATTACAGATGGAAAAATATCGCAGCAAGCTGACGGATCCAGGCTCATCTAAACAAATATAACTTTAGTTCTTTTCCTAGGTGCTAACCTATATGATAACAAATCCAATTATAGGAACCAAATTAGACCAGAAATGAAACAGAAGCTGCAGGGGGTTCATTGGAAGCAACAGGAAAACTTTAACTCAGTATCTTATGTTTGCTAGAAATAATCAAATCTTTCAAATTTTAAGACAAGTATCCATCTCTTAACTATCACCAACTTACAGATATAACTAAACTGTGAGTTATTTTTACTCTGCTAACTTTGCTGAGGTTTAAACCCTTCTCTACTTGACCCTAATGTGTATTTGTCTTAAAATAAAATTCACCTTACAAGAAACCACCAATTTTAAAAAGTATTCTAATTCGTAGTAGTTAACTTAATAGGCACCCCTAAAATCACAGAACAATTATAGAAATCACAGAAGGTAGACATGTAACTATCTGATGATGAAGAGAAATGCAGTAACAGCACTTGTATTTGTTTACATATAAACACTGGGCTGCTGAGTATCACAGCATATTCCAGGGACAGTCAGCCAAAATCCACCAGTGATTATTCTCATAGAGAGATGAAAAGCCCTCGAATGACAAATAAATGGTCTTCAGATTTTGGCTATCACATACAAGCCTGTGCTGCCCAATCAGCATACTAAAATGCTGTCAAGTTCAAAACTCAGCTTAACAGGCTCTTCTAAAACAGCAATTTTTCAAATAGGAGCTATGGAAGTCCCATATGCTCATATCCAAACCTCCACACCCCCTCCTCTACCTTTTACCCTTGGAAATCCTACGGCTGTGAGGAACATAGCTGGAAAATCACGATTCTAAACACAGAGAGGGGCAACAACAAAGAGTTGCTAAAATTTCTTTTTCTTTCTTTTTTTAAAAATAAAATGCCTGGCTAATTCCTGTTGGGTAAAATGTATGCTCAAGTTTGTTTCCAAATATCTCTGAATGTCACTTCTCTGGCTTCCCTACCTGGTTCTTCTCAGTCTTCTAACTAGTCTACTAAGGTGCGGTTAATGTTTTTCCTAGCCAGAATCCATTGGCTAAAAGAAAAAGGGACTCTGAGAAAGAACTGGCTATAAAATGCCCCCAGCACACATGAATCTACATGCTCACAGGTACACATATGCCATGGTGATTGCCACTTTTGGTTTGGAACCCTAAAAATTAAAGCGTAAAATCTCTTTCAAAAGCTATTACTAAAGACAGTCTTTAAAAATGTGGTCTCAAAATTTTACAATAATATACCCTAAACTGTTAATCAACAGTGATCTCTAGGTGGTTGGATTATTAGAGACTTTTTATCTGTATTTTAAAATTTTTCTACAACTCATATATTACTGTGTTATTTTGTTTAGTCTACTTAGTGTAAGTTATGACTTCTCCCTAGGTTTTGATTTGCCAGTATAAAGAAGTGCTAAGTGGTAAGCAAAGTGTTCATTTCCACTTTAGGTATGACAACTTCTAAGGAGTCTCTAATAAATGCCTAAAGAAAGCTTCTTGCCAGTCCCATTCTCCCATACAGAAGGCTTCTGACTTTCTAGAGTACTGATGTAGTAGATGAAAATACATCAAGGCTGGGCGCAGTGGCTCACACCTGTAATCCTAGCACTTTGGGAGGCCGAGGCGGGCGGATCACGAGGTCAGGAAATCGAGACCATCCTGGCTAACACGGTGAAACCCCGTCTCTACTAAAAATACAAAATCAGCTGGGAGTGGTGGCGGGTGCCTGCAGCCCCAGCTACTCCAGAGGCTGAGGCAGGAGAATGGCGTGAACCCGGGAGGTGGAGCTTGCAGTGAGCCAAGATTACGTCACTGCACTCCAGCCTGGGCGACAGAGCAAGACTCTGTCCAAAAAAAAAAAAAAAGAAAAAAAAAAGAAAAAGAAAATGCATCAAATGCCATATAGCAAGTGTCCTGGCAAGGGCACTCAACCTCCTCACTAGCCAAGCGGTCTACAAAGAGGGGAGGGTCAACACAGTTTGCAACAAATGCAGCACATAGCAGTCTCAGAGCCAACCTGGGAGTTCAGGCATGCCATAATGGTCAGGAGAATCCTGGGGGCAAATCAGATCCTCAGATTTTTCTGTAGAATAATCTAGTCAGTGGAGCCAATTACTGAGAAATCCTCCACACTAGAGCAGCTTGACACCCAGACAGGCAGAGTAGAGCAGGCCCAGTCACCTGGAGTTAGTATTACCAAACTGAGCTCACCTTTGTGGCCATGGTCTTCACCCCATGAATTCTCCACTCTCCATTTTGTGAAAGCACCATCCTGATCATCCTGCAAAAAAGTGGATGATGGTGAGTAGTCTGAAGCCAGATTCTCCCTGCTGAGGTGTCATATAATTTTAGCTCTTCTGTAGCCACTTGAAAGAAACAGCCTGCTCTATACAGGCAGCCTGCTCTATACAGGCAGCCTGCTCTAAACAGTACTTGGTCAGGGCTATATATTTCCTACGATCACTAAAGGGATACTCCAGTAGAAATGGAATTTGAATCTCTTGGGGTAAAAACATAATAAACTAACAAAGCAATAAATACTATTTCATCCTTTCTATTCTATTGTATACATAAAATAGGCATGTAAAAATGCTACTTGACTAAGAAAAACTATATTAACCTACTAAAAGCAGTAAACATTTGAAGCTGGGGATTCTTGCTTTTAATCAATCAATATTGATTAAAGCAAATGCATCCTACTTTATTTTAGGAATAATTCTAAAACCTGGTCAGAGTCTTTTTTAAACAAAACAAAACAAACTCATCATACTGCCTGATTTTCTACTTGGGGAAACCAAATAATGATACTCTCCCAAATGCATTCTTTTACTGATCCAGTTACACAAATATTGAATTTCAAAGAAGAGACTGAATGGCAAAGCAAAAGTAAAAAGACCATTTTCATAAACAAAAGCCAGGCACTTCTACTGTTCTCCTTCTTCCATCTTCATTATTAAAATAAGCTCAATTTTGGTCTTCTTAAAGGGACAGTGATACTCATCACAACAACCTTCATTTACAGCCTTTACTATAGTGACACAGAGAGGGACAAGAGGAAGGCTCCATTTGGGAAAAGACTTTTTTCTTTCATGTTTACCCAGGACATTTACTGATGTCAAGGCAACTTAAATCTTTGTAGCATGAGAAGAGCACTCACCCCTGTATTATCGCCTAATGATTTCATCTGTCAACTCCCACTTGCAAATAACTATATGATGAGTCTCATCTATATGGGATTTGGTTCTCTTTGGCTCTGCTAACCCAAACACTCCACTCTTGGCAGTTTTCTTGGATCTCAGTAATTTTCTGTCTCACAAATAGCGCCAACAAACTCACAAGTTTCACACACCCTTACCTGTACTAATCCTTACTCTTTGCCCCCAAATCCTTTAAAACCATATCGTTATATACTATACATTCTGCAGCTGGCATATTATATGTCTGTTTTGGTTTTCTATTCCTCCCACTGTAGTCCAACTTTACTTTCCTTTTAAATATCACTGTTAGAATCGATGTCACCTAAAGTGATATAGTTACTTGTTACTCTAAGTCTGAAAATGTTTCCTATGTTTTCCCCTTGGCCAATGAATTCCTGGAGTGACCTAGATCAAATTGTTCTCTGGGTCATCTACAATTACAAAATGATTAATACCTGGAACTCCCTTATAGGGATTCCATGATATCAGCAACAAAAGAAAGAAAATTGTGGAAATATAACCACTAGTATGCATTTACCTCTGTACTATTACTCAAGTGTAGTTCAAACTCGTTTTTGGGATCAAAAACTCTAGTGGAATGAAGAGAAAATGTTCAATATAAAATTCCAGGTATAATAATATAAATTCTGCTTTATACCATTAGCATGTAAGGTAGCTCCATTTTCCTAAGGAAACAACCCATGCTAATCAAAGAATGGAAGTTCCCAAGAAAATGACAGTGGTATTCATTATTTTTATTCCTGAAAAATAGGAGTATTCTATAACAGAGATAGAAATGATAAAAAGCTGAATTTTTCTTGGAAATTACAAGTTTTTGTTTGTTTGTTTTTTTAAAAACAAACAAACAAACAAAACAAATTCTCGGCTGGGCACAGTGGCTCATGCCTGTAATCCCAGCACTTTGGGAGGCCGAAGCAGGTGGATTGCTTGAGGTCAGGAGTTCAAGACCAGCCTGGCCAACATGGCGAAACCCTATCTCTACTAAAAATACAAAAAAAAAAAAAAAAAAATTAGCCAGGCCGATGGTGCACGCCTGCACTCAGGAGGCTGAGGCAGGAGAATAGCTTGAACCCAGGAGGTGGAGGTTGCAGTGAGCTGAGATTGTGCCACTGCACTCCAGCCTGGGCGACAGAGCAAGACTCAGTCTCAAAAAAAACAAAAAAACAACAACAAAAAAACACAAAACAGAACTCTATATAGTTTAAAAATTTATTTAAAGAACTTTAGTTTAGTTATAAAGCACCCTTATTTGAAAAACCTTTTCATGTATTTTATTTATTTATTTATTGTTTTTTTTTTTTTTTGAGACAGAGTCTTGCTCTGTCACCCAGGCTGGAGTGCAGTGGTGCAATCTTGTCTCACTGCAACCTCCGCTTCCCGGGTTCAAAGGATTCTCCTGCCTCAGCCTCCAGAGTAGCTGCTGGAATTACAGGTGCACGCCACCATGCCCAGCTAATTTTTGTATTTTTAGTGGAGACAGGGTCTCGCCATGTCGGTCAGGCTAGTCCTGAACTCCTGACCTCAGGTGATCCTCCCGCCTCAGCCTCCCAAAGTGCTGGGATTTCAGGTGTGAGTCACTGCACCCGGTCTAAAATTCCTTTTATAACCTAACTTTATGTTTTGTTTATAATTCAAATGTGAGAATTTTGTTAAATTGGGGTGATAACACTTAAATCACCTTTTGCTGTTTTAAAATGACTTTTCTTGATCTACATAAGTAATGCAAATTATACTCCACACATTCTCCTGGGTAACCCTAAAAACCTGTTTCTTGGTGTGGGAGTCTCGCTAACTACAGAGCTGAGATTACTGACGAATGGAATAATGAGGAAAACAGCTCGCTGGTTTACAAGACCTCAACCTTTACATTTATTTATGAAAACTACATGAGGATCAGGAGTATCAGCATTAAGACTGCCTCTTAAGTTCAGGGCACCTTTACACCATACTGTGTTTGATCTCATATAAAACTGAGAATACCTCAGAGTTCTACTACTTAAAGCACTAGCCTTATAATTTGCAGGAATGTAATTAAACCTTTAAGACCAAGTTTTGAATACAGAGAGAGCACAGGGATCTTAGATGCTGTGGGGTTGAAAGGGCACCCTTCAAGTGAAGTAGTTGGAAGAGGTGAGAAAAAGGTACAGAAAGAAAACCCCATCCCACTCACAATTCTGCATAGAGTATAAAAAGCAAATCAGGACTTTTAGATAGGCTAGTTAGGAAAATGTGGCATAATGATATGCTAAGATATTTCTAAACATTTTAAAGATCATAAATCTAGTGGATAGGATAGCAAAAACAATTCTCTATCAAACCATTTTCTAGCTGGGTGCGGTGGCTCATGCCTGTAATCCCAGCACTTTGGGAAGCTGAGGCGGGCAGATCACCTGAGGTCAGGAGTTCGAGACCAGCCTGGCCAACATGGCAAAACCCCACTTCTACTAAAAATACAAAAAAATCAGCTGGGTGTGTTGGCGGGCACTTGTAATCCCAGCTACTCGCAAGGCTGAGGCAGGAGAATCTTTTGAGCCCCAGAGGTGGAGGTTGCAGTGAGCTGAGATCACACTACAGCACTCCTGCCTGGATGACAGAGTGAGACTCCATCTCAAAAAAAAAAAAAAAAAATGATTTTCTAGAACAATTTATATAAGGTAGTTATTCTGTGACTTTCCAGGAATTAGGCTAGAAAGAATATTTTTGCTTGTGGTGGTAAAGAATTAAAGTAGTTCAAGTTCTTCCTTCCTGATGATCCTGAGCACAGAGGTGAAAATATCTATTTTTACTGACTGGAAGTGAGGAGTTTATTTGTGAAAGATAAAATTTCAGTTGTTTCCAACTCTATAACCTATAAAAAGTGGTATTACTATACACACTATTTCACAGGAAATTCAAAATACTTTACATCCAATTTCCTGAAGCTCTGCATATAACTAGAAATGGGTATGGAGTCCACAAATTACTGTTATTGACATTTTACTGCAAAAGAATCTGAATGACAAATGAAGGGAAATCTGAACATAGGTCATCAAGATATGAACACTTTCAGGGCACATTTTGATTCCTTATAAAGTAGAAGTTATCTTCTCTCAAGTTCCCTTGCTGACTTCTCTTTAAACCATGACCTTCCAAAGTTACAGAAACAGTTACTTGGTCGCTCCCTGCTGACCCAAATTCTCCTCATAGAAAGTTCCTATTTTTATATTACCTCTAAGCACGCAGCCAAGCCCCAAGTGACGCAGGTACGATGTCTTACTTGGAAACTAACTTTTAACAGAAATCATATACACTATGAATGAAGCTTTGTTGGGTAAACAGTCTACAGGAGAATGTAGATCCATCTGTGCAAACACTCCAGCAGGCATGCTGAGGGTCATACCTTCTCTGAGACAGCAGTGAAGGTCATGGCGTGGGTCATAAGTGACTCACCAAAAGTCAGCCTCTCCGCTTTATTCATGTTCTTCAAGGAGACACCAAACACTAACTCATGGTCATAGCTGTAAAAAGAATGATAGTACAAAATAAAGGGAGTACGATCATGGGGAAAACTGGCTTTTGGTTGTAAAAGGAATTCAGAAGAAACTGAAGGGGCTCAACAGCTCCAAATAAATAAGGCTCTAGCTGTAGCTCTTCAGAAAGAATATGGAACATGCAGAACTTAGTCTCTCAGTGGGAGTCCATTCTCTATGTGTCACAAGAGTATGCAGGAAAAAAAGGAGATGATTAAACATAAATTCTCCACATCAGAAGCTGACAAGTTTACATTGTCATTTAGGCAAGAAAACTTTAAAAAATAATGAAAAAAGCGTTTGAAGTAACTTCTTAGAAAACTGATCTCTTTTGAGCTGGTGGAACCAACCAGTTTCTGAATTCATTTAAATCACTGCTGATTAAAATTTAAATAAATAATGTCCAAAATATTGGGGAATATTTTTGCATAAGCACTACACTCACATTGTTAAATACAAAGAAACAAAAGGCAAAATACATGTGAGAGAGGTCCTTGCATGTTCTAGTTAGTGTGAGAGACACACTTGGGAGTTGCATGTACCTGTTTTCAAAAATTTTTTAAACCTCATTAATTCTTTTTTTTAGCAGATTTCTCTATCAAGATATTTACTCAACTTCCTACAAGTAACAACTATTTATAAGTAACCCTAAAATAGAGAATGGTGAACAGTCAAGGAATCCTATATGATTTAGTTTACAAATTAACCTTCATTGTCATAAATGACCAGGAGGAATGCTATAAAGTATGCATGCAAATTAGTCCCACTTGTCACAATGACAAAATACAAAGTTACCAAAGTAACATAGCAAACGGGGGCTCTGGAAAATCTTTCATTACACTCCCAAATGCACTGAACACATTTCCGCAATAGTCAATTATTTTTTTAAAGTGTCTTTCTCATAGAGGATGGCTTTTTAGGAACGCCCAACGATTTCCACTCAGATAGAAAGTGGGATTTTGATGTCCTGGGTTAGAGTGTTTAAGTATGTGGAGTTTCTGCTATGAGTCCTCAAACTCTAAAGGATGCAAAGAAAGAGACGCGCCCTTAGGTCAACCTTCATCTTTGGATGAACCTCGGCAGAGTCATTTTGTACCAACAGCACACTCCAACAGCAACAACCCACAAATGACTTTCCATTTTAAATTTCCTGCACTCACAGATTCATGTCACTGAGGCCCAGCTTGCTATTGAAGTGTTTTCCAACATCACAGCCAAACCACACAGCCTAGAAACAGAAGAAAGAGGAAGAAAGTCAACATAAACCCCATCTTCCTATTATACCAAAGAAGTAAAAGATGTTTTAACCCCAATGTGCAAAATACAGAAACAATACCAACCTCTCCATCTTTGATGGAGGCAGCAACCATCTTTTTCAGGAAGTCAATGGGCTGGTTGTTGTATAGAGTTTTTCTCCCTCCAACCATATTGCTTAAGTATTCCACTGTGTAAAGTTTGTTGTACTTGTGCTGGGGCCTAGGGTCATTCACTAAACAAATCTATCAAGATCAAGAACACATTAATTAGGGCACAAAACCAGGAATGTCAAGCAACACACAGCTCTCCTCTAGGTTCATGTTTCCATCAAGCTCATCATCTCTGCCTACAAGCTAAGTACTACAGCCACATTGTTAAGTAACAAAGAAACACAAGGTGGCAAAATACATGTGAGAGAGGTCCTTGCTTATTCTAATTCGCGTAAGAGACACAATTAGGAGGTGCATCTACCTGTTTTTCCTACTAGCAAGAACTGCTCCAAAAGCAATTTTTTTTTTTTTTTTTTTGAGACAGAATCTCACTCTGTCGCCCAGGCTGGAGTGCAATGGCGCCATCTCGGCTCACTGCAACCTCCGCCTCCCAGGTTCAAGTGATTCTCCTGCTTCAGCCTCCCAAGTAGCTGGGATTACAGATGTGCGCCACCATGCCTGGCTAATTTTTGTATTTTTAGTAGAGACGGAGTTTCACCATGTTGGCCAGGCTGGTCTCGAACTCCCGAACTCAGGTGATCCACTCACCACAGCCTCCCAGTGTGCTGGGATTACAGGCATGAGCCACCGCACCCGGCCCTCAAAACTCATTCTGAAAAATAACATGCACTGAGTAAGAAAAATTGGAGAGCTAATCACAAGGCCCCTGTTCTCAAGTTACAAGACAGGCATCTGCTTGGAAGAGGATCAAGAAGCCAATAAAAGGAAGAGGCTCTGATCCTCCTACTAGGCAGATGAGGAAGACCTAAAGGGAACAGGAAAAACTAAGATTACTCCCTTCAACAGGAGAGTTCCCCGAGGGGACCTCAGTGCAAAAGTGCTCTGAATCCACGATAAGAAATACCCAACACACTTTCATTGTTTTGCACTTGAGAATGATTCTGGTCCTATACAGGGGCGCATGTGGGAATTAAAATGACTGCTGGCTTACAGTTTAAAAAGTCTCTGAAGAGGAACATTGTGGAAAAGCTGATAAATCCTGGCACCACCAACTTCATTAGCTGCATAAAATACTTCAGAGGAAGTGGGGAAAAATGTTTGTTTGCTGTCTAGTTTGATACTCATACATGCTAACCAAGAATCTTATACAATTCCCTGTGGTTAACAGCCATTTGAAAGTAAACAGCCAGTGACTACCAGTGCCATTCACCAACCTTATCTTCCATATTGAAGAGTGGCTTGACATGTTCCCTGTAAAACTCCAAGGGTGTTATGGGGCCAATTTTCTGATAATTTTTATCTTTGTCTCGATATTCCCAGGTGAATGTCTCTGGTGGATTACCCAAACAGATGCACACCACTCGGAATATCTGGAAGAGAGGAGGAGGAAAGGCGAGCAATGGTTAGGGGGAAATGTTATTTTTTTCACCTCTTCATTTTCCTTAAGCTTAGGAAACACAAGAAGTTAGTGGCTAAATTCAAGCTAAAAATTTCACAAGAAATCTAATACTGCGTCAAAAACTGGAAAGCCGATGTCTGAGATTTGTTATCAGTCAACTTATGAGTTCTCAAATAAACACTGTGAACAATGCGATTCTGAAATGTTAACATTTAGTGCTTAGTACTTGTCCTGAAAATTTAAACTTCCTTAGCCAAGAATCTGTCTACCATTGATACCCAGCAAGATCTGAGTTGCTGCTCTGATTATTTTTCAAGTAACCAAAAAATGACAAATTTTATAAATGGATTTCCTTCCCTTTATACATTGATGTTTTCCTTATTACAACAGGGGTCTCTAGTCATAGGAAAGTAACTAATTTTTCAGCTGGAGTTGGATGACAATGCCTGTTAAAAGTATTACTAGAAGAGGAGGGCCAGGTGCAGTGGTTCATGCCTGTAATCCCAGTACTTTGGGAAGCTGAGGTTGGAGGATCCCTTGAACCCAGGAGTTCAAGACCAGCCTGGATAACATAGTGAAACCTCATCTTAAAAAAGAAAAAAATTAGCTGGACGTGGTGGCTCATGCCTGTAGTCCCAGGTGCTCAAGAGGCTGAGGAGGGAGGATCGCTTGAGCCCAGGAGGCAGAAGCTTCAGTGAGCCATGATCGTGCCACTACACTCCAGCCTGGGTGACAGAGCAAGACCCTATCTCAAAAAATACAAAAATTAGGGGCACATGTTCTCAGGATCTCCTGAGGGCTGAGTCATGGTTTAAAAAAAAAAAAAAAAAAAGTACAAAAACTAGCCAGGCGTGGTGGCCTGTGCCTGTGGTCACAGCTACTCAGGAGGCTGAGGTGGGGTGACCACTTGAGCCCAGGAGGCAGAGGTTGCAGTGAGTTGAGATCACACCACTGCACTCCAGCCTGAGTGACAGAGTGAGGACCCTGTCTCAAAAATAAAAAGAAGAGGAGTGACTTTTAGTAATAAGGTATAATTTTTTGGGTTGTGAGACAACATATTTTCTAATGATGTCACAACACCTTCAAGTTAACATCATTACGATCCAAGGATATACTTTATATTATTTTCATTTTATAGAAATGCAAAAACAAGGCTGGGCACAGTGGCTCACGCCTGTAATCCCAGCACTTTGGGAGGCTGAGGCAGGTGGATCATGAGGTCAGGAGTTTGAGACCAGCCTGGCCAACATGGTGAAACCCTGTCTTTACTAAAGATACAAAAGAAAACAAAACAAAACAAAACAAAAAAACTAGCTGGGCATGGTGGTATGTACCTATAATCCCAGCTACTCGGGAGGCTGAGGCAGGAGAATCCCTTGAACCCAGGAGGCAGAGGTTGCAGTGAGCCGAGATCATGCCATTGCACTCTGGCCTGGGGGACAGGGCGAGACTCCATCTCAAAAAAAAAAAGAAAGCAATGCAAAAATAGAAAAAGAGATACACCCTGCACAAGGACAGAATAAAGAAAGTATTTTATCTTCTATATCAAATGTCCTTGTCTTTTTAAAAACATAACACTATGATCTGCCTGTCCCTTTTGCACCCACAGTCACCACCCTGATCCAATCATCTATTACCTGCATTATTTATACTACACATTTCTATCCGCTATCACATTCAACAGAAACAGATTTTATATTTACCAAGTGTGCCTATATTGTGCTAGATACTATGTATTTGCTAGGTCCACGTAATTCTCATAATACCCTCTCAAGGTATATTTCCCTCCACTTCCCCTTCACCTTTTTTTTTTAAATCAGAGATTGAGACACAAAGAAACCAAGTAATTTACTTAAGGTCACACAGCCAGCAAGTGGAAAACCACAATCTAAACTGAGGTCACATGCTGTCAAAAACAACAACAACAACAAAATATTGCTCCTTGGCTACAGGATTTAAAAAGGGAAGATGTACTGACCGTCTACTTTGCTGTACTATCTTTCACTACCATATTTCTTAAGCCTCTCAACAAAGATGGTGGATATTATCCCCCTTTTACAGATAAGGATATCAAGGTTCAGGGAAATAAATCACTTTCCTGAAGTCATAGAGCCAGTAAATGGCAGAATTAGGATTTGAACTTAGGGCTGACTTTAATATGTTGTTTCCAAAACTCCATCTATTTACCATTTACTGTAACTTTCTAGATTTCATATAACTTGTCTCCCATAAAAGATTATACACTTCTTAAAGATAAGAACCAGATCATGGATATTTTGTGTCCTTTATAGCATCTAGCAGTGCTGGCGACATGACACAGATACACCAGTTGATCTGAACATTGTTCCATTCTCCATATCACCACAGGAGAATTTGAAAAGCACTACTTTTCTCAACTCACGTCCCTGTTGAAGATCCAATGTTTCCCTATTACCTCCCATAACAAATCCAAACTCCGTGACCTAATTCCTTTTTCTTACTTTTTAACTTAGGCAAAACATATGTTTAGTGTGTAAAACACACTAACAATTCGTTTTTTAAAAACATACATATATACCCATGTAACCATCATTCATATCAATATACATAACATTTCCAGGCTCTGGAGGTTCTCTGGCTCCTTTGCTGTTAAGTAACCCACAACTTCCACCAGATAACCACTGTTTTTACTTTATAACCATTGATTAGTTTTGCCTGTCCTTTAACTTCGTATAAAAGTATTCATAGAACACATTATCTTTTGTGTCTGGCTTCCTTTGGCTGACATAATGTCTGTGAGATTCACACACATTGCTGTGTATATGAGCAATTTGTTCACTGCTGTGATTCTATCTTAACAGAAGCAAGTTAACTTAGAGAAGAAGTTATGCTTGCCTGTCATTTTGTTTTGTTCTGTTTTCCAAGAGAGAACCTTCCTTTATTAAGATTTACTGTGTGTGTTACGAGCCTGAACATCTAGTCATTAAACCATCTCTCTTTTAACGTTATATCCTTCCCAAGTTGGTTTCTACCACAGAAAGGAGGCAGAGTATCACATAAGCAACCGTAATTGAGTTACTCTAGCCAAGGATTAATGAGCTCTGTTTGGGATTCACATTCATTTTGTATTTACTCAGTGCCAAGGCTACAAATGACAACTTTAGGCATCTGTCATTATGAAGAAGACATTGCCACTGGTAACTATGGTCAAGTCAATGACAATGAAGGTGTACAGTCAGAACATACTTAGATTAGAAAGGTTTTAAAGACCTAAATGATGTGTATTTTCAACTAGTAACTACTGTTACATGTGTATCTACATGTAGTAGTGGAACCATTTCAATCAATTCTCAGTTATCCAACGGTGGTAAATTCAGCTCAGCCAGGCCCTGGCCAAAAAAGGAGAGGCAATGCCAGGCCCAACTAAGATGAAGATAACTAAGTGAATTTCTGGTTACTTTTAAACATATTCTAAAGATAAATACAAATGTTTTACACTATAATTTGCAAAATACCTTATTATGTACTTGACTCCCTGTTTAAAGTAAAAAGTGTTAAATTCCTCCTTCTCCCAAATACATTAGAGGAAATATGCATTTCTGCTATCTAAATGAATTCTATAGTGAGTCCTTTTATAAAACAATGCTTATGCCCTTCACATATATTTTATAAATCTGAATTTTAATAAAAATATAATTAAGGCATAAATAAGGATAAGGGTGATATTTCTTTTAGATTCTAGTAAAACTTTGTAACTTGAGACATGTTGCATTGTTTTATACTATTTGTTTACCATGACTATAAATTATCCAAAGTCATTAATATTTAAGTCAGTCTGTAACACTTTGGAAGGAATATCTGACTCTGAGCCAAATAACAATAGTTAATTAAATAAGCTCTCATTAAAAAAAAATGCTCCAAAGAATAATTTCCATGGTCTCTGATACTATATTTTCTTGATAAGAGACTCTGCAGTTCTGAAATAACATTCCCTGGGCAGTGAGCTTTAGATATCCAACTCTGCTCTCTGGTGGGCAACACTGGAGTGTCACCTGCTTCTCACAAGATCTACTTGGCATCCAGGACAAAAAGATACTGAACAGTGAACACAAGAGATTATACAGAATTGAGTAAAATAAGAGTACAACCATATCCCTCAGAATATAATTACACATTAAATTAATATTAAAACCAACAATTAGCCCATTTAGGGAAATGTATTTGTGACTTTAATTGAAATTGCTCACTTCCCATCCCAGTACTTCACATCTTTTTTCCTTTACTTTTCTCCATTGCACTTATCTTCTGGCATATTATACTTCTTATACACTTTGTCTTTCCCTACTAGAACATCAACTACACAAAGATAGGTATTCTTTTCTGTGTTGTTCACTGTTTAATCTCCAATGCCTAGAATAGTGTCAGATACATATGTTAAGAAATATTTAACGAACACGTGACTTTTTTTGTGGGGGGGAGCGGGGGACAGAGCCTCACTCTGTCACCCAGGCTGGAATGCGGTGGCACGATCTCGGCTCGCTGCAACCTCTGCCTCCCAGGTTCAAGCATTTCTCATGCCTCAGCCTCCCAAGTAGCAGTGATTACAGGCATGCACCACCATGCCTGGCTAATTTTTTGTATTTTCGGTAGAGACAGGGTTTTGCCATGTTGGCCAGGCTGGTCTTGAACTCCGGGCCTCAAGTGATCTGCCTGCCTCCCAGAGTGCTGGGATTATAGGCGTAAGCCGCCACACCCAGCCCCACATCTAGCCCCAAGCACTTTTGTCATTTCAAACCAAATTTAGAACCAATCTGATAAAGGGGGTGGACTTGGAATATGGGCTTTCCAAAATGCTGGAAAGCTGAAGGCAAAGATATACACGGCTCAATGACACCTGGCAACTGATTCTGCTTTTCCTCAACTCCTCAAACGAATAATGATGTGATCCTATTAATTCTAAATCTGGTTTAAAAAGAACAGAAGAAGCCAATGATTCTAATTATTCCCTTAAATATAGATTACTGAGAAAGGTCCCCTAAAATTGTGATATGAGTCCCAGAGTATAAAGGGCAGCCTGCCCAAAATTGAGCTAAATTTTTTGATTGATGGAGACCCTTTGCTTGTCCCCTGGGGGCAGTTGTATGTCAAGGGAAGCTACACTGAGTGCATCTGTACTTGCCTCTTGGGGCCATTTGTCTTCTGATTAAGATTTTATATCTTTAGCTAATTAAATAGAGAATTTAAACTAACCTAAAACAATGTGGATTATATATAGTCCCTTTCTAGCAACCTATAACTAGAAAAACTGCAGCTGGTGCCAGAAAGGTCCAAGCCCTATTTCCAGTTTAAATATATTTCATAAGAAGGTGAATTATAAAGAAGGGTCCTACCTCTCAAGTCTCATTTTATAAAGGAGCTCCATTGTAACTGATCTCTAAAAATATTTTCAGGCCAGATGCAGTGGCTCATGCCTGTAATCCCAGCATGTTGGGAGGCTGAGGTGGGAGGATAACTTGAGCCTGGGAGGTTGAGGCTGCAGTGAGCTGTGATCGTAACACTGCACTCCAGCCTGGGCAACAAAGCAAGATACTATCTCAAAAAAATAAAAAAACAAATCTCCCTAGTGGAGAGATCTGTTTATTTTAAATGACTTGCTGAAGTGTAGCATGGTAAAAGAAACAGAATCAGGAGAGAAAGGTAAAAGAATGAGATATGAAATAAGGGGAAAGAATGTGTAGATCCCAATTTAAAGACAAATGATATGGGCCTTAGTTAATTCCCACGCCCATGACAGACATCAAGTGAGAGGAAGAAGGAAAGATGCAGCAGTTGAGAGTCAGTTATAAATCTTAGAAGCGTGAGAACCTTCAACAGTTTTTAAGGCAGCTACAGGCAGACACAGAATGAAGGAGAGGTTAGAACAGTAAGGTAGTTCGAAGATAACAACCAAACTGCTTGAAAGAGAGCAAAACTTCATATAATTCTTCTGCTTAAAAATCTTCCTGACTTCTCATTGCCTATTGAATTGGGGCAAACTCTCATGCTAGTATTCTAAGTTCTTATTATCTGTGTCTAATTTTACCTTTCCACTGTTAAGGCTAGAAGATTTCAGTGCTTGAAACCACTGCAGAAGAGACAGAATCTTAGTCTTCATTTGTATTTGCAATACTGGGTTTTTGAGAAAGTAGTACAGTAAAGTCTAAAGCACTGTAAAAATATTAGTTACTTCTACTGTATAAAAATGCAAAACCCTACAATCATTTACCCCAACTTCTTTTTATTTTTTTAAGAGACAGGGTGTCCCTCTGTCACCCAGGCTGGAGTGCAGGGGTGTAATCACAGCTCACTGCAGCCTTGAACTCCTGGGCTCAAGTGATCTTCTTGCCTCAGCCTACCATGTAGCTAGAATTACAGGCACGCATCACCATATCCAGCTAATTTTTTCATTTTCTTGTAGAGATGGGGTCTCTCTGTGTTGGCCAGGCTGGTCTCAAGTTCCTGTGCTCAAGTGATCCTCCTGCCTTGGCCTCCCAAGGCACTGGGATTATAGACATTAGCCACCATGCACAGCCTACCCCAACTTTTTTTAGTTTTACTGATGGAGAAAGTAGTCTCAAAGGTAAAACGACCTATTGATCAAAGAATAGAATGGTCATAAGAACACTAAAGCAGTCACAGAAAACAGCTCAACTTTGAAAAAAGTTCAGTGCTGTGGGTAAATGAGCTAGTTATAGGAGAGAAGGAGTAAGGAACCTACCTTAGTGACTGTTTATTCACTGTTTATTCACAGAGGAAGAAGAGAAGGGAAGACAGCTGTCTACTACTTTCTGGTAGGGAATGAAAGAAGGGCAAAGATCTGTGTTTTTTTTTTTGTTGTTTCTTTGTTGTTTTTTTTTTTTTTTTTAAAGTAAAACACCTAAGCAGGCAGAAAAGCAGATGCCTTCTGGAGGCATTAAATGTTTTCGGGCACAGAAAGACATAAAAAGGTACACTCTAAAAGTATGTGCACTTCTGTGATGTTAAAGGGAATGAACTCATATAGATGATAACTAATAGTTAAATAATGATCTTGAGATTACTTCTAGAGGTGTTTATATCAAAGAAAGAAACAGAAATGCGGACTATCTGGCCCCACCCCCACACCTACTAGATCAATCTGCATTTTAACAAGATCCCAAGGTGATTCATGTGCACATTAAAGTCTGATGGCACTACTTTAGACCACATCTATTCTTTCCCTCTTCCAAAACCTTGCTTCTTCAATTATTACTTCTCTCATTCACACCTGCTACCCTTTTCTACACATTGGTTCCCTCACACTGCCCTAATTGCCAAAAAGCCTTCTTTCCTATCTGTAAGTTCACCCTTCAAGATCCCAGGACATTATCCCAATACTTTTCCTCGTCCTCCACATCCAATTCATCAGCAAGTCCTGACAGCTTCACTTCCAAAATATACCCTGAAAAATTTTTTGTTTCTGAGATGGGGTCTCGCTCTGTCACTCAAGCTGGAGTGCAGTGGTGACAATCATAGCTCACTGCAGCCTGGAATTCCTGGGCACAAGTGATCTTCCACCTCAGCCTCCTCCTAGCATATGCCAACACATCTGAACATTTTATAAACTTGATGTTAAAAATATATTTTTTAATCGAAGATGTCTTTAAAATAAAAATACAGATAACTAGGTTCTATTCCAGGGAAACTGACTTTGTGAGTCTGGGACAAGTTAGGCCTATCCTATATATTGTTTTCAATAGCTGACAGCCACTGCTATAGAATTTCCTAAGTCAATCATAAAGGCTTCTTTTCCCTTTTTGTGGCACTGACAAATATTGGTTTTGGTCTTTGATTGACTGATCGATTGATTTTAGAAATGAGGTCTCACTAGGTTGCCCAGGTAGCACTTGAACTCCTGGGTTTCTGGACTCAAGTGATCTGCCTTAGCCTCCCAAGTAGCTGGCACTACAAGTGTTACCACCATGCCTGGCTATGTTTTGCTTTTTAACAGACAAGGTTTTTTTTTTTTTTTTTTTTTTGAGACAGAGCCTTGCTCTGTCACCCAGGCTGGACTGCAGTGGCACAATTTTGGTCTCCACCACCTGCAGGGTTCCGGTGATTCTTGTGTCTCAGCTGCCCAAGCAGCTGGCATTATAGGCATGCACCACTATGCCCAGATGTTTTTTTCGTATTTTAGTAGAGACGGGGTTTTGCCATGTTGGCCAGGCTGGTCTTGAACTCCTGGCCTCAAGTGATCCATCTGCCTTGACCTCCCAAAGTGCTGGGATTATAGGCATGAGCCACTGCGCCCAACTGAGAATACATTAATAATCTTAAGGGGATCCGCAGGCTAAAAAAATGGACACTGAGATAACATTGCAATAGAGGTAACTACACATCTCCAAAACAGATCTGCCTTGCCTGTCATCTCAACAAGCAGCCTGCGTCTCACTTCTCAGTAAGAATGCCTTTAGCATAAACACATTTTATTCAAAGCTATCTGAGCTTCACGGCTGTTGATTAAGCCATCATTTTGACTTGCCTACAAGGTTACACAAATCATAGGTACTAATTTGGGGCTTTAAAACTGCAGCTAGACTCTTCATTACCAAAGAGTCAGGTTCAATGAAAAGAAGTCATTTGGGGGATTGTAAAAATTTTAAAACCTTATACACAGGGCCAGGTATGGCGGCTCACACTTTATAATATGCACAATCTTTGGGAGGCTAAGGTGGGAGGACTGCTTGAGCCCAGGTGGTGGAGATCGGCCTGGGAAATATAGTGAGACTGAATCTCTACACAATTTTTTTAATAAATGAGCTGGGCATGGTGGCATGCACCTGTAGTCCCAGCTACTTGGGTGGCTGAAGCAGCATTTGAGCCCAGGAGTTGAAAGTTACAGTAAGCTATGACTGCGCCTCTGCACTCCAGCTTGGGCAACAAAGCAAGACTCTGTCTCTAAGGGGGAAAAAACCCTTACACACAGAATTCTGTAGTAAATAGTTTAGGTAGAATCATTAAGTAAATAATCCTATAAAACATTCATACTCAGGATTTGGTAAAGTTGGATCTACTATTTCTCTGAGGCAGGAGTAGGGGAGGAAAAAAATATGTGAAACATATCTGCCCTAATTCTTACCAGCCAATTACCACGCTCTACCAATGATGAGGACATCAATCTTAGACACATCATTAGTTCAAAGATCATTAAAGCAAACATCAAAAGCCAAAAGGATGCTTATTATCTACAGCAAGTATTATCTGGGCCCTTTTCCACAACTGTTTGCAGAACCTTCATTCCTACTATACCTCCATCTTTTTTTTTTTTTTTTTTTTTGGAGACGGAGTCTCACTCTGTCACCAGGCTGGAGTACAGTGGCACAATCTCGGCTCACTGCAAGCTCTGCCTCCTGGGTTCAAGTGATTCCCCTGCCTCAGCCTCCCGAGTAGCTGGGACTACAGGCGCATACCACCACGCCCAGCTAATTATTTGTATTTTAGTAGAGACGGGGTTTCACCATGTTGGTCAGGATGGTCTTGATCTCCTGACCTTATGATCCGCCCACCTTGGCCTCCCAAAGTGCTGAGACTGCAGGCATGAGCCACCGTGCCTGGCCCCCACCATCTTAATCTAACCCTAAATAAAGGCAAATTATGTAGCAGATATAGCCTCTGCAAGACAGTCATTCCAAGCAAGAAGGGAAGAAGTAACATTTACAGAACTCCTGCTACGTGCCAGGCACTATGCCTTGCATGCTTACATTTAATCCTTGATTCCCCAAAAATCCAATAAGGAAAATATTTCAGATCCTGACTGAATCTCAGACAGGTTAAGTAACTTACCTAGGATCACAGACTGTTAAGTAAAAGAGTCAGAATTTAAACCCATGTATGTCTGACTCCAAAGCCTATTTTTTCCTACTATACTAAGATGCCTCTCTTCTGTAAGAATTTAAGAGATAAAAATGAGATTATTTAAATGCATTTGGTAAATGAAATTTCTGCATTCGTCCACTCAACAAATACTTAAGAAACAGCTATTGTGCCAAGCACTAGGCTAGACATGTTAAATATGAACTGAGCCTTTAGAGCTTAAGGAACTTGTCCCAGGATATAAAGTAATGAGAAGACTAGAGCTCAGATAGCCTGACTTCAGAGATTACACACTCCACTGCTCCACTATGCTGCATCTCTAAGATTTAAAGGAAAACACAAGTGAAGCATTAGTGTTTTCCATCGCAGTGAAAAAAAGTAGGCCATTTTAACTCCATACAGTCTTGAAAGGAAGCCTAATAAAGGGCCTACTGGCTGACAAACGGAAACATTTATTCTTTCCTCAAACCAATTGCAGTTTTATGCATATTCATTCTGGACATGGATAGTATTAATAATAAAGTTTCTTAACTGTCTTGATCATAAATAATATTACCACCTCATATTTTAGTGCTTTTTACATTTTCTAAAATGTTTTTACATACATTAACAAATATAACCATCAATAGCTCCGTCTTTATTTCTACAGAAAGAAGCCAAATGTTCTGGCATCGATCCAACATCCCTTACATCTCTGCCTTTCTAGCTTAATTTGCTACCCATCATACTGAAAAAAGTTATGTTTCAGCCACATGATTCCCTGAAGGTTCTATCTTTGTTTATGGCACTGTTCATACAATTCCTTTTGCCTAGAATGGTCTTGTTATCTACCTGGTAAATTCTGACTACTCTTTCAAGAGCTATCTTCCCTATGAAAGCTTCAGCTCACTGAGCTAGTCACTCCCTCCTCTATGACCACCAAATCAGTTTTTACACATCTAGCATAGGATTTATCATCATTATAGATGTGTTTTCTTTTTCCCAAGAGACTGAGCTCTTTAAGAGCAGTGACTATGTCTTTCTCATCTGTTTCCTCAGTGCCAAACTCATAGAAGGTATTTAATATTTATGAAATGATAAAAGAATGATTATACAGACCACTAAACTACGAATTAGAAAATCCAAGTCCAAGTCCTACACTAAAAGGCAAAGTAAGTTTTAAGCTCAGTTTTTTCAGTGTAAAATAAGTAATTTTCAATTCAATTAAACATTCGTTGCCATGACTAAAGCTTCCTAATCATTACTTTAACAGATGGGAATATTCTGAGAGTTCCTTAGAGGGGTCACAAAAAAATCCAAATTTTGTTATTACCTCCTCCATCATGACGTCCTGTGTGGCCGAGATTTCTCCTTTGGTTGCTCCACTGTGTACCAGGTTCCGCAGTCGTATACAGAATTCTCTCATCTATGACAGAAACTTATTCAGCACTCCAACAGTTACCCGAATTCAATTGTAAATGACTCTCATAGACCAACGCAAGTTCTATTTTGAGGTATAACTCAGGCCAGACCCATGACAGAGTTCATAAAGGCAAATGTGTTTTTCTTCAACTTGTCCACTTAAACACATAGCTAAAAATGCTTTCCATAAGGAGAAAAGGCATAAGTTACTCCTCCAAAATACTAGACGGAACTGCTCCTTCTCTGCAAACATCGCATAAAGGTGTTTTATGTGTCTGGGCATGGGGAAAACATGTGATCACATAATGCCTATCACTCAGAAAAAGCAGGAGACAAGATAATTATGCCACTATGTTACTCTCATAGATTTTTACTTAGAATTTCAATAGCTGTCCATTTTTCCTTCTCTGCCGGCTGACTATGACTATGGTTATGCCAGCCCCCAATAAAATTTTCATTTTTTCATTTCATTTTTTCACCAAGATAAAGGTGAGTCTGAAATTTAACCACAGTGCTAAAGAGGATGTTGCTCTGACTTCAAATGGAATCAAATGCCGTACTATTAATGATCTTTTAGCCTTTGGATAAGAATCCCCAGCGTTTCCAGGGTGGAAAATAGTCTACTTCTAATGTTGGGGAGACACACCTATAGTTGATTTTAAAATGTAATCTTTCTCCCAGGGAGATGAAAAATCCAATTTCAGCCTCATGGATTAGGACAGCAGATTCTGGCAACTCCCAGTTCTCAAAAACCATGCCTGGCTAGCAAAGCAGCATCCCCGTAGGAATTATAACTCTCCTAGGGAAAACTGGTTATGTAGAGAAGACACAATGATTCATTAAGATAACTGAAGCAAATAAAAAGCAGTTCAATAACTACAACAAATCTTTAGTGGGTGGATAAACCACATTGATGTGGTCTGGGGAAGTCTCAGAACACAGCACACTCTTTAAGGGAATCTTGCGAATAGCTCTTTTTGGTTTTACTAGCACATAAAGCAGTCCTAGCCCACCTCCACTAGAACCAAGTGAGAGACACCGCACCCTGTGTGCTTGTGGCCAATATTAATTGGACATGGGACTTTATTTCCTAACTATCCCCCTAAGAAAACATTAACATCAACAGAAATAAAAGTGGAAGTTTTTTAAAAGGAAAAACCCTCTAATATTAATTATTTTTAAAGTTATTAAGTAGCTACATTGCTTTTGACAGACATTGACATTGGTAGTTATCTTGTACACAAACTGTATACAGAGATACCCAGGAACCCCTTTTAAAAAATAAGTTTGAAGGAAAGTACACTAAACTCAATCCCACCCTGCTTCATATATTGTACCTTGTGATTCAGAATATCATTCATCCTTCTGGTTGCCTCTGTTGTATAAGATTCAGGGAAGCATTTCTTAGGGATAACACCATATTTTTCTAAAAGAAAACAAATTCTAGTGTTAAAGAAGGTAAAAAATTAGAAACCCTGGCAAAAATAGTGATTGTTTCAAAAAATAGGCGATATTTTGCTGGCTTACTTCAGAAAATCTTATACTTCATATTATGAAGCAGGGTTTTTTGTTTTTTGTTTTTTGTTTTTGACAGAGTTTTGCTCTGTCACTCAGGCTGGAGTGCTGTGACACGATCCTGGCCCACTGCAGCCTTGAACTCCCAGGCTTGACCTCCTGAGTAGCGGCAACTATGGTGCATGATACCATGTGCAGCTATTTGTTTTATTTTCTGTAGAGACAGGGTCTCACTATGTTACCCAGGCTGGTACTGAGCTCCTGGGCTTGAGCAATCCTCCTGCCCTGGTCTCCCAAAGTGCTAGGATTACATGCCTGAGCCACCTTACCCAGCCTAAGTAGGTTTTTAATGTGCATATTTATCTGTCTATGTTATCCTTTTTATCTACTATACTTTGTCACTTCTCAGCCTTTTGGTCAAGCTCAAGTGTATCTATCATACTTTTGTAAAGTGCTCAGCATGATGAGATTTCCCCAAAAGATGTTTTGAAGACATTTTAACACAGCTACAGTTTTAATGTGTTTCCTGATTACATCAATGGAGAAGAAAACAATTTTTTCATGGAAAATTAGTTCTCCTTAATACTACCTTTTCTTCTCCAACCCATCCTTCACAGTAGCTCTCTCCTTAATCCTCATTTAAGAAGGCACTTTATAGGTGAGAATGTGAACTAAAGGTCCTTAGAAATAACTATATATCCTTCTTGGAGACCAATTCTACTCTGTACACAACCACCAAAGAATTGGCCCATGCCTAACTACAGGCTTACTTAATCATGCTGAGTTTCAGTTCCATTAAAGAAAGAACTTTTACCAACAATATTAACAAGCATATCCCATTGGCCACCATCATTTGCAGGGTTCATAAGCAAAAACTGCACCAGCCTCCCATCCTCAGGCTCCTTTCTCTGGGCTGTGTCCACAAAAGCACTCAAGAAGAAATAACAGCGTTCAACCTAAAGAGTAAAGAAAGTTAAATAACATTAAAAGAAAAAAGTGTCAATAATTTTATTGGCATTATCAACAGAATGGGAGTCTTGGAATTACCATGGAATCAACATAATAGTTTTTTTTCTTTTTAAAAACATGAAACCTTCATGAATTTGCATGTCATCCTTGTACAGAGGCCATGCTAATCTTTTCTGTATCACCCCAGTTTGGGGACTTACGATGCTGAAACAAGCACCATAATAAGTATTTTTAAACTAAAATTGGTAAATAAACATCAGTATCTGACTTCATCAGAATATCTGAAGTTTCTTCTTTTACCTGTGTATGTATCCCAATATATTGTGTATATGTGTACAGTGTTTACATTCCAATGCTAAAACAAAACATTTAATGAACACCTATGTAATATATATTTTATTTACTTATTTATTTTTAGACAGGGTCATGCTCTGTTGCCTAGGCTGGAGTGCAGTGGTGCAATCTCACTGCAGCCTCAACCTCCTGAGCTCAAGCAATCCTCCTACCTCAGCCTCCTGAGTAGCTGGGAGGACAGGTGTGCACCACGCGTGGCTAATTTTTGTATTTTTTGTAGAGATGGGGTTTCGCCAGGTCCAGACTGGTCTCAAATTCCTGGGCTCAAGCAATCCTCTCACCTCAGCCTCCCAAAGTGCTGGGATTACAGGCATGAGCCACCAAACCAGGTCAGTAATATACATTTTGAAGATTAGGAAATGGAATATGGCCAGGAGTGGTGGCTCACACCTGTGATCCCAGCACTTTGGGAGGCCAAGGCAGGCAGATCACTTGAGGTCAGGAGTTCGAGACCAGTCTGACCAACACGGTGAAATGCCCTGTCTCTACTAAAAATACAAAAATTAGCTGGGCATGGTGGCATGTGCCTGTGATTCCAGCTACTTGGGAGGCTGAGTTGAGAGGATGGCTTGAACCCAGGAGGCAGAGGTTACAGTGAGCCGAGACTGTGCCACAGCCCTCTAGCCCGGGTGGCAGGGTGAGACTGTCTCAAAAAAATAAATAAACAAATAAACAATCAAATAAAATTATTTACTGTTTTTCAGACAAGTTCTTGAGAGGGAAATTAGGTCCTAGAAAAGAACAAATAACCTAAAAAGATGTTAAAAAGGGAGATATATTGAATTGAATATTGAATATAAAATTTAAAATTTTAAATAGACAAGCAAGCAGTAAGATGAGTCAGTAAACTTATTTCATTGCAAAAAAATGGCCACCTACCAACCAAAAACAGTTCTGCCTTTGAAAGAGTCAACTTTTGATACTCTGGAAGTCAGAATAAAAGGTGTCTCACCTATTATGAAAGGGCAGGCTATAACTGGAAAAGCTACAAAAGAAGAGGCAGTCCCTACCAAGGCTGATATCAATACAAAAAGAATCTTGCCAGATCTGTCCCATACCTTGTCCCAAAAAAACAGGTAAGATTGGCTAAACTCAAATTCTTCAATATTTAACTTTTTCATGAATGGAAGCCTCATAACATTCAGACAAGAAAAGATCCAGCATCGCCCTGAAACAAGAAAGCACATCAAGAAATTATGAGGGTTCACATAGACTGCACTGCTCCAACTGTATTTCCCACCAATGAACTCATGACACGATCTGGACAATTCAGAAAGAGTAAATCAGAAAGAGCAGAAAGATTAAAAACAAAACAAGAAAGGTGGTAATTATTATTAGCAATATATATGCAAAGGTTTAATATCTTTAACACAAAAACACTCTTTACGTATCAAATAAAGAATCCATTTTTCAGAGTAATGCCTTCTCCAAATTGTACTCTACTTCAAAATAAATTAACTGAGAGCGCCATTAGAAAAGTCTTTTAAGGTCTTAAATACAGGGAAATTATCTCTTTTCTGAGGGAAAATTCTGAGGGAAAAACTTTGACTTGTATTGGGTATAACCTTTTTACTAATATGAAAATATGTTTATAATATATTGGTAAGTGAAAAAGATAGGTAGCTTACATAACAATGTATAAGGTATCAATGCATATTAAACACTATTAAACACACACACACACACAAAACTTGACAAATATACAAGAAAAATATTTACTTGGTATTTACAAATATTCTACATTAAACAAAAATAATTTTGTAACAAGAAGAAAACTCTAGTTAACTATAGTGTTTTATGAAAGTCACTAGTGCCTATTAGTTCGTCTTTACCTTACATTTACCTGTATGTCACCTCTCTTCTATATGCTATATATTTCTAGTAGAGGGGATCTGGATGCACTGGTGATGTGAAAACTGCATGAAAATAAACTACACAACTCACATGCTATTTGGATCTTTTGTATGTAAAAGTGACACTGCAAAATGTGTAAGACCTGACCTGTTCCCTAACGGGTCACTGCAATCTAAACTATGTAGGACCACTGTGACATTACTAACTGGATCATCTGTAGCCTGAGAGCCCACACCACTCCAAGCACTTTCTTCTAAAGCAAAACATTAATTATTGTAAGGTCTTGACTTTTTCCTTAACATTTAAAAAATCAACTTTATTCAGGTATAATGTACATACAATAAAATGTACTCACGTTAAATGTGTGCTTTGTGAGTTCTAACCGACTCTAAACAAGCACTGATGTGCTTCCTGTCCGTATAGATAGACTGGGGGGTCGTTTTTAAGTATAGAAAGACTTTAAAAAATCCGTTTAGTACAATTTTGTTGTGAGAATGTGCTCCTTATTTAGATTGCTGGATATCCAATCTTTCACTATACCTGTTTTTTCTGAGAGTGGTGCTAGAAAGCAGATAGCAAAACGAGACTTCTTGACCAGCAAGGCATGAGAACAGAACTTTTTTCTGTATTACAAACTGATCTACTGGTGGGAACTGAGCCCATCAGCACATTAGCTTCAGTTGTAACCAAGAAGCATATTTAAAAGTAACATCTGATGACATTTTAATGTAATTACATTGTATCTTTTCTATTTCATAGTATAGGGCCTTCAGGGCATTTCTGGGGAGTCCTCCAAAGATATGAACATTTTCACATGTTCTGTTTTGTGACCAAGACCATACATCTCCAAGACACGGGCTACAAACCACACAGCATTGGAACATAATATAGTCAATTACACTCAAACGTATACTCATGGACATGTCACTTTTGTACTCTAACCGCATGTACTAACAAGCCACAGAACAGCAAAACAAACCACATGGGTAATGTTCTTAGACCTGCCTGTACCTGTGCCTCATTCTTTACGAATTTACGACCAGTTCTTTCAGTACGAATTTAAGACCACTCTTAAATAAGACACCAAAATGGGACGCTGTCAGGAAGGTCAAGGAACGTATGGGAGAAGTGGAAGCCCACACCTGAGCTCTTCTGGTTGGTGATTGGCTTGCCCTCCTGGGGCACGGCGTGCTGGAACACATGCTGCGCGCGCTGCACCGTGGCCCGCTTCAGACAGATGTCCAGCAGGTCGTGGGTGGTCCCGACATTCTGGGCAAGTACGAACTGGGGGTCGGAATTCAGTTTCTGTATCAGAGCAGCTACCTTCTCCGAATTCAGTCCTGTTGGGAGACCAAACAGGATTTTAACGCAAAAAGAGGGGGAAAGGGCTGATCTGGGGCTCCCGCGTCCCGAATCTAACTTCGTAAGCGCATCCTGGGGTGCCCGCTGCAGCGGGGAAACCCATAAGCGGCATCCTCCTCCAAGGAGCTGTCTCCCTCCAGGCCGATCCAGCCTGCCCCGAAAGCTCCCTCCCCGCCATCGCCAAGGGTCCCAGCCCCCGGCCTTCCCCGCCGCCGGGCCTCACGGGGACCGCGGAGCTCCTCCAGAGGACCGCGGCGGGGGACGGCGGCACCTCACCCGAGCTGCTCATGGCGCCCACGCTGCCCGGCGGGGTAACGGTAGCTTCCAGGGTCCTTGGGCGAGCGCCGGGATTGCGCTGCGGCTCGCTGCCTAGGGGGCCCGACCTGTCTCTCGCACCCGGAGCGCCGGAAAAAGGAAACCGGCTCGGCGGCGGCGGCGGCGGCGGCGGCGGGGAGGCTGAGGCTGGGAGAAACGGGGTCCGCGGAGGGACAAAACTCCCCCCTCGCGTTGCTGAGTCAGCGCCGTCGGGGCTGGCCCCGCCCGGGGGAGGGCCGACGGGGGCGGCCTAGCTGACGCGCTGGGTCCGCCAGCGCCCGGGGGCTGAGGCCGCGCCTGCCCCCGCGCAGGACCGCACAGATGGTCTGCGCGCCAGGGCGGCGCCGGCGCCTTCTCCCCCTAGGTTCCCGCCTCCGGGCCGCGCGGGCGCCCTCCCGGGATCAGGCCCGCTCCAAGGAGGGAGGCTGACGGGTTCCCTGTGGGCCCAGACCCCCAGTACTCTAGCATCGGGGAATCGTCCCCAGGAAGCCTTGTGAGAAGCCAAAAGGGAGCTCGAGGCGGGAGGGAGGAGCTGAGAGGTCCCATAATTAAGCGTCGGGCTTAGGACGGGTCGATATGTCACAAGGAATGCACCCGAAGGCTCTTCCTATAGGCTTCGTTTGCTGACCAATCACTGCATTCTCAATGGCAACTTGTTGCTTGGATTCTCATCAGAAGCAAATAATTGTCTTTGAGGGGGAATGGGAACCAAGCTCTTCCCCACCCACTCCAAAGCTACTACCAGAGTTCTACAAATAGACATCTGCTCATTTCAAGAACACTACCCATCTGGTCTTCACGGAGTCCACGAGTGGCTCCTGTATAGTCCAGCATGTCCCGTTGGGTTTAACTCAGGAGGATGACAGAGGCTAGCCGTATGCATCAATATTGTTTCGCCGAGTTCTCTACAAAACTAACTGATGCTCCCCCTCTAGGCTTTCAAGATAACTCAACAGTTTCCCAAAGTTTTGAGATTGTAAAAACCTTGTTTTTGTTGATTCCGTGTTTCATGCCCTGAAATCTCAGCCCTTAGTAAGATGCTGGGATAGAACCCACAGAGAGTAAAACAAAAACACTGAAACCCTGTATCTGCTATTCAAAACGATGAGGTTGAGTGTGTGTGTGTGTAACCTAGAATCTAGGTCTTCTTAGATTGAAAATCATCGCAGTTCTAAGGAACTCTGATATCTGGAAAAATCCATACTCAGGCACCAATCAGTCATTTGAGAAAGCACGGTTTCTATGTCCCTAGAGAGACTCGGCTAAAAATTGGGGCTATAACATAGCAACTATCTTAAGTGGGCCCATCAACCATCCTATTCTGAGGTTCTTTCAATATCTGAAAAAGAAGAGGCTGAAAATTATACAGAAAGAAATCACTGGTCCTTTCACAAAATGATGTTCAAGCATCCTGCCCAATTCAAGTCATAAATTTTTATTCAGTATCTAACATGTACTAGGCACTGGACAAACTGCTGATGACATAGAGACGAACAAAGCTTAATCTTGCCGTTAAGAAACTCAATGTAGTAGGAAAGAGATGCAAAACAACTTTTAGACTATCTGTAGTAGCATACCAATAGTGCTGTAGACTGTAGAAGCAATGAGGAGAGCACTGTCAATTAGGGCCAAAGGGTGCCTGAAAATAGAAGTGACAAGAGAGCATGATCTTGAAGAGTGGATGAGATTTTTACAAGTCAAAGAACAGGAGAAGGGCATTCAAGGCACCAGCGAAGGCGCAGTGAATAAAATCATGTTCAAGAAAGGGTGCATCATAATCGGATGTGGCTAAGAGCAAGGCATGTTTTGGGAGCAGAGGCAAGGTGTAGGACTGGAAAAGTTTTGTAGGTTTGGGCCAAGATATAAAGGGTTTTATGTTCAATGCCTGAGCATCTGGACTTTATCTTATGGTTAATTAGAAGACAAAATGGGTTTTGAAACAAAGGAAAAATATGCTCAAGTCTGTGTAAAAAAAGAAACCTGGTGGCAGTGGGGAGAGTAATTTGGAGGGGAGGGGCTCTGGAGATAGGGAAACTGGTTAGAAGGTTCTTCCAGTAGTGAACTTGGGAGAGGACAAAAGCCTTACATTGCGGAAAGGGAAGAGGCATTGATAATCTTGAAGTTTTCAGCGGAATAAGAAGATGGAAGGTGGTGTCATTAACCAAGAGAGGGCATACAGAAAAATAGGCATATTTGCATATTTGCAAGTGTGCAGATCTGAACTGAGTTTGGGCCATAGCAAAATTAGGATGCCCCACAGGACACCCAGGAAGAGAAGTTCAGGACGTAGATGAAAAGATGTCTAGAGATTAGATGAGACACATAGGTTCGAGGTGGAACAATGAAAGTCAGCAGGGTTACAGAGGGAAAGAGGATAGAGCAATAAAGAGATGAAGACCACAGATAGTGCCCTGGGCTGCAATGTGCAGTTGCACAGGGTGTTCATGGCACAAGGGCACCAGGCTGAGTGTGGTGAGTAGGGACTAAAATGCAGTCCAGGCTCTGCTTGCCAAGCCATGCACCCTGGCCCAGGCTGTGCACAGAGTATGATGTACCTTTCACTACTTTTTTTTTTTTTTTGAGATGAGTCTCACTCTGTCACCCAGGCTGGGGTGCAGTGGCATAATCTCGGCTCACTGCAACCTCCACCTCCTGGGTTCAAGCAATTTGCCTGCCTCAGCATCCTGAGTAGCTGGGATTACAGGCACGCACCACCATACCCGGCTAATTTTTGTATTTTTAGGAGAGACGGGGTTTCACCATGTTGGCCAGGCCGGTCTTGAACCCCTGACCTCGTGATCTGCCCACCTCGGCCTCCCAAAGTGCTGGAATTAAAGGCATGAGCCACCACGCCTGGCCCCTTTCACAACTTCTTATAAGGATGCCATATGGGAGTAGTATTAGCTCTGAAAATGATAATGTTTAAAGTATGGGTGAAGACAGAGGAGCCAGCAGAAATAGAAAGATCAGTCAGCGAAGTAGGAGACCCGGGGAGTTATGTCCTGGAATCCCAGGAAGGCAAGGAGAGGACAGTGAATTGAATTAAAAGCTGCAGAAAGTCAAGTAAGATTGGTTTTGGCAACTGGGTTACAGGCAACCTTAGAGAGGGCAGTTTTAGTGGAAGGGAAGGGTGGGCAGAAGCCACATCGTAATGAGTTGAGAGGGAGGTAAATATTAGGGAAGCTCTTTGGGGAGAAAGGGTAAATTTGTGTCTACTGGAGGATGAGAGGAAGGAACCAGTACAGATGAGAGATTAAATATGTGTCAGAGAGGATACAATTGCAAGAGTAAGAGCTCAGGAGGAGATGGAATCACTGGGGAAGGTGGAGGGGACCAGTTTTACAGCTATTGCCACCCTTTCCATACTGGCGATTACATTTCTCCACCCCATGCCCAGAGATTTCTATCATCATCTCTTTGCTGGCCTCCTGCTCTGTCCTCATCATCAGGGTGGCACCCTTATTACCAGATTTCCACCCAGCAATTCACACCCATGCACTCAGCCCCCATATGGGCATGGTGAGGAGGTACAGAATAAAACCGGTTTCCCAGTGGGTTACCCCCAAATGACCTACCCAGGAAGACATTTCTCCAAGAAGAAAATTCTGTGTTCTATCCTTCTTATTCCAGCCAGAAGAGATGTTGTACAGCCCGGTGACACCTCGTGGGACAAAGCAACCAGAAACAGAATTCTAGTATGAAGTCTCTAATATTAAAAAAGAAAATATTGCCTGTAATCCCAGCACTTTGGGAAGCTGAGGTGGGAGGATTCCTGCCTTGAGTTCAAGGCCAGGAGTTGAAGACCAGCCTGGGCAACATAGTGAAACTCCACCACTACAAAAAAAAAAAAAAAAAAAGAAAGAAAAAGTTTTATAAAAAATTAGCTGAATGTGGTGGCAGACACTTTTAGACCTAGCTACTCAGGAGACTGAGACGGGAGGATCACTTGAGCCCAGGAGTTTGAGGCTGCGGTGAGCTATGATCACACTGCTGTACTCAGCTCTCTCTAAAAAGAAAGAAAAGAAAATCTTTATAAATCCTGTGAGGCAGCACCATTTGCCACTGCAGATATGCCTTCTGCCTGTTGCTTCCATGCCACTCTACCAAGTTAAAGCAAACAAGGCCAGTCTCAAGGCAAATTTTCCACCCTGTGTCTCCTCCTTTGCTGTCCACCAATCTTTGACATGTGTTTGTCAACTACTTCTTTTTTTTTTTTTTTTGAGATGAAGTCTCGTTCTTGTCCCCCGGGCTGGAGTGCAATGGCGTGATCTCGGCTCACTGCAATCTCTGCATCCCAGGTTCAAGCAATTCTCCTGCCTCAGCCTCCCAAGTAGCTGGGATTACAGGCACCTGGCCACCATACCCAGCTAACTTGTGTATTTTTAGTAGAGACGGGGTTTCACCATGTTGACCAGGCTGGTTTCGAACTCCTGACCTCAGGTGATCCGCCTGGCTCGGCCTCCCAAAGTGCTGGGATTACAGGCATGAGCCACTGTGCCCGGCCGCAACTACTTCTATTTCAATAGAAAAGACCAGGTTTTTATGTTGAATGGAAGTCTAGGCTAGAATCTAACACAAACATTCTCCAATTCTATGAAACTCATTCATACTTAAGTGTTGTCCCACTAACTCCAAGATTTGCCTTGGTCAGGAAGCCTCCTTATATTTCACTAGATGTGATAGTCAGCTTCAGAGTTCACACATTGGTAGTCTACTGGAGCAAATTCAGCTTTGAGACGTTTTGTTTGGCCTGCATGGTAATTTAAAATTTTTGAGCTGGCCGGGCAGTGGCTCATGCCTGGAATCCCAGCACTTTGGAAGGCTGAGGCAGGCAGAATGCTCAGGAGTTGGAGATCAGCCTGAGCAACATGGCAAAACCCTATGTCTATAAAAAATACAAAAATTAGCCAGTGTGATAGTGTGCACCTTAGTCCCAGCTACTTGGGAGTCTGAGATGGGAGGGTTGCTTGAGTTTGGGCGGTTGAGGCTGCAGTGAGTCATGATCATGCCACTGCCCTCCAGCCTGGGTGACAGAGCAAGACGCTGTCTCAAAAGAATTTTTTTTTTTGAGACAATATTTATAACTGGGAAGTTTCAGATCCAAATCTGGGTAGCTGCCTTCTCTTTAAAATATTGTTGTTTTGGCTAGGTGCAGTGGCTCATGCCTACCACTTTGGGAGGTCAAGGAGGCAGATCACTCGAATCCAGGAGTTCAAGACCAGCCTGGGCAACATGGTGAAACCGATAGTGACAGGAGGCAGTCAAATGCCTAGGCAGATAGGGGTGGGTCCCCGGTGAAATCCCACCTTCAAGCCAAAGACAGTTTAAAGCCTGAAAGCCAAGCTACAAGTCTTGGATGAATCCATGGACTGGATTGAGAACCCCTCTTCCTGTTTGGCATGGTTTCCTCTGACTGAGCCCCATCCTTCACCTAATTTACATATACCTACCCTTCCCTAATTGATTTTTGACACTGTTGTGCCTTTGTTTCAGCCTTTTTGCCATACCCACAAACCAATCAGCACACGCTGCCCCATTCTGAGCCCATAAAAGCCCCGGACCCAGCCACACTGGGAGAGAGACCACCCAACTTCAGGTGGCAGACCATTCTCGCATTCCCTCTCTATTGAGAGATATTTCATTGCTCAATAAAACTCTTCTCCGCCCTCCTCACCCTTTGATTGTCAGTGTAGTCTCATTCTTCTTGGAAGTGGGACCCTGCTGAATGCAAATATGAAAAGGCAGTAACACTGTAGCCCTCTGCCCTGCATTGGCACCTGGCAGCTGCCCCACACTATGACAGGGCTGGGCCAACCCAGAGCCATGGGCTAGAGCAGGGCAGTGGGACTGATAGAACTGTTAACCCCAGACTAAAAGAGCTGTTAGCATGTTGTAACACCCCCTCTGGGGCTTCAGGGTCACAGGCTTCCCTATTTGGGCACCACCACATTCCCCTCACCTGGATGCCAGAGTCCACCACAGGAGTCTCTTGCGACAGGTGTGGTCCAACTGCAAGCCCCACATGGAGCCCGCTTCTATGCCAGCACTTGGAGCTGCTGGCCAGACCCTGCACTCGCTCACCCACACACCCCTTCCCACTGGGGGCTGAGCATGCAATTGTGGTGCCTGTGGGATCCATGCTGGAGCACAAACCAGGCACAGCCTATGGGCTGAGTGGGCTGGATGCCTCCTGCAGCAAGCCCAGTGCCAAGCAAGGCCAGGACAGGGGCATCACTGGCCAGAGGTCTCTGGCTGGCAAAGCAGCCGAGAAAAATCCCGTGTCAAAACCCCATCTCTCCCAAAAATACAAACATTAGCCAGGCATGGTAGTGTGTATCTATAGTCCCAGCTACTTGGGAGGCTGAGGTGGGAGAATGGTTTGAGCCTGGGAAGCAGAGGTTATAGTGAGCAGAGATTGTGCCACTGCACCCCAGCCTGGGCAACAGAACCGAACCCTCTCAAAAAAAAAAGAAAAAGAAAAAAAAATTGTTGTTTTCCCATGATAGTAATTTCTGCATCAAAAGAGGGGGAAAAAGTGTTACATTTATTGCCTATGGATATTTGCGTTTTCAACTCCTGATTTAGAATGACCTGGGTGGAGTTTGGGAAAATTATTTTTCCCCTTCCACTCTCATCCCCATTCTTATCCTTGTAATTCCCACCTCCCTGAGATGAGCAAAGCCAGCAGGTGTGACCCTGCCAAAACTTTGAGATATTGGATCCTGGGGCTTTTTGGGCCCACAGGAGCCTATATCCCTTCACTATAACTTTTCTCCAGAATGTGGCGTGCACCCATCTGTGTCCAGGAGAACTGGCAGCTTTCTGACATCCACCTTCCCTGCCACTCCTAAACTCCATGTGGGCTTAACCCAACCTGTGGCCTCTCCTTCAGCCCAAAGAACTTTAGATTCAGGTTTTAAATGTTTCAGCATATTCAACATTAGTTGTAGATTATTTTGGGGTTTTTTTTTTGAAACGTGATCCAATGTTCTTGAATGTTGTTGCTTACACCCACATTATTCTCACCTCTGGATATAACATTTCTGCCAGTCACTGCTCTAGGTGCTAGCACTTCACAGAGCATTCTAGGCAGAGGAAACAACATATGCAAAGGTAGAGGCATGAATGGCCTTGAGTCTGATTCAAGAACAATGAAAAAGTTTGAGTTTTATGACCATTTGAGTTATGCAAATTTGAAATCATTCATTATAAACCATTAATAGTACTTCATTATATACACAAAATTTGAAGTGGTGTGAAACCTTTGTAATATTTAATATTTGTCAGGAATTGCATACTTTCAAACCTGGTGGTGGTAAAGTGAGTTAGAAACTGTTTATGCTAGTGCCACATGGTGGAGCCATTTTAGCTGGAAAAATAGTATCTTTCCTTCAATAAATTCACATTTATTGCTATGAGAAAAACAGTCTTGGATTTTGCAAGTTTTAAATTTTATGTGAAGATTTCAGGAATGTATCCCTTTCATAAAATTCGGCTGCTCTAGAATTTGGTGTGGCAGTAGCATAGAGTAAATGGCAGGGGAAAAAATGTATATAGGAGATAAGAGATGAGGTTGAAAAAATGGTTTACAGTCAAATCATGAAGCCCTTTGAAAGGTATGCATCTTTTACTCATGGGGATATGACTCTACTCACAAAATTCTCCTATATCAGTAAAAAAAAAAAAATGAGAGAGAATCAACTTCAAATTATATTTCCCATAAAGGGAATAGGTTGACATTATATTTTCCCCAAATTTCTCTCTTTCATTCATTTATTTAACTGCTTGTTGAACACCTACTGATTGGCAGCAACTGTACTAGGCACTTGAAATACAAAAAATGAAGGAGACTAGTCCTTGACCTCAAGAAGCTTCAATCTAACAGGGAAAATGAACACAACAAAATTAATCATTATTTTTTGATTAATACAAAAAAATTCAGCTGGGTGTGGTGGCTCACACCTGTAATCCCAGCACTTTGGGAGGTCAAGGCAGGTGGATCACTTGAGGCCAGAAGTTCAAGACCAGCCTGACCAACATGGTGAAGCCCTGTCTCAAAAAAAAAGAAAAAAAATTCATAGAGCATTATTACATGTCAGGCACTGTATTAGATACAGAAATACACAGGAAAACCATATAGACAAGGTCTTTCCCTTCTGGTGCTTGCATTCTAGTGGGGGAGTTAGACAATAAACAAATATATGCAGATAATTTCAAATAGTGACATAAAGAAAATAAAACACAATGATGTGATAGTGACTGGCCAGGGGGAGTAGTGGCATTAAAGGCCTCTTTAAGGAGGTGACTATTTGTCCTGAAACTGAATGGCAATAAAGATCTGGCTTTGTGAGGACCTGTGGGAGAAAGCAAGGGCAAGGGCCTTATAGAAACAAGCAGCACTTAACAAGGTCATTGGGTTCATTTTGCCTGCTGCCCAGATAGAGCCAATTTATCACAACAGGGGAATTGCAATAGAAAAAGGGTTTAATACACGCAGAACCAGCTAATTAGGAGACCAGAGCTTTATTATTACTCAAATCAGCCTCCCTGAAAACACAGAGGCTAGGGTTTTTCAAAGACAGTTTGGCAGGCAAAGGAATGGGTTCAGCTGATTGGTTGGGGATACGATCATAGGGATGTGGAAACTCCAGTCCTTGTGTGTTGAGTCTACTTCTGGGTGGGGGCCACAGGACCAGTTGAGTCAAGAGTCATGGGTCTGGGTGAGGCTATCTGGTTGTCAGAAACGCGAAAGCCTGAAAAGACATCTCAAAAGGCCAATCTTAGGTTCTACAATAGTAGATGTTCTACAGTAGTGATGTTATCAGTAGGAGTAACTGAGGAAGATGCAAATCTTGTGACCTCTAATAATGGCTGGTCATTATTTGCACCTAGATCTTAGCAGAATCCATGCTGCTCTAATCCTCCTAACTTGATGATCTTTTATTAGTTTTACAAAGGCAGTTTAATTTGGGGAAAGGCTATTATGATTTAAACTATAAACTAAGTTTCTCCCAAAGTTAGCTTGGCCCAAGCCCAGGAATGAACAAGAACAGTTTGGAGGTTAAAGGCAATATGGGAGTTATTAGATCAGATCTTTTTCATTGTCATAATTTTCTCACTGTTATAATTTTTGCAAAGGCAGTTTCACTTCCTCTTTCAAGTCCAGTGGAAAAAAGTCTGGCTTTTTCTTACTCCCTCCTAAGAGTGAAGGCCAACTTTCCCAGAAGCTTTCAGCAAATCTCTCCCTGAATTTTGTAGTCCAAAAGGAGATCACATGCCTTTTCCTGAACCAATCATTGGTTAGGAGATGGGATTACCCTTACCTCAATGAAGCCTGTCCCTAGTACACTGGTCAGTTCCCCAAATTGTATTGTTTCTCCTCAGTGCTACGGAGATGGGATGGTTGTCGAGAGTTAATCACAGTGTTCACTGCATCATCACAAGAAGTTTAGGTTTTATTCAAAGTGTAATGAGAGTTTTAAGAAATGAGACATGATTTGATTTATGTTTCTAAGGGTAACTTTGAGGATAATTATAACACATTTAATTGGAAAATATAATATTAAATATATAAACATCAAACTAACAATAATATATATAAAGAACTCCAAAATATCAATAGGAAAAGACAAACAATCCAATAGAAAAGGAGACAAAAGACCTAAACAGACATTTTACAAAAAAGAAAGCATAAATGGCAAATAAACAATGATGATGGAAACACAAACTAAAAAGCAAATAAGATGCTTTCACTGGCAAGGGGTCCCGATCCAGGCCCAACGAGAGGGTTCTTGGACCTCGCACAAGAAAGAATTCAGGGCGAGTCCATAAACTGAAAGCAAGTTTATTAAGAAAGTAAAGAAAAAAAAGAATGGCTACTCCATAGGCAGAGCAGCAGTTTGGGCTGCTTGACTAATTATAGTTATTTCTTAATTATATGCTAAGCAAGGGATGGATTATTCATTAGTTTTTTGGGAAAGGGGTCGACGATTCTTGGAACTGAGGGTTCCTTCCCCTTTTAAAGTTAATTTTTTTTTTTTGAGACAGAGTCTTGCTCTGTTGCCCAGGCTAGAGTGCAGTGGCATGATCTCGGCTCACTGCAACCTCCGCCTCCTGGGTTCAAGCAATTCTCCTGCTTCAGCCTCCTGAGTAGCTGGGATTACAGGCACCCGCCACCATGCCCAGCTAATTTTTGTATTTTTTTTAGTAGAGACGGGGTTTCTACTAAACCCTGTCTGACCATGTTGGCCAGGCTGGTCTTGAACTCCTGACATTGTGATCCGCCTGCCTTGGCCTCCCAAAGTGCCGGGATTACAGGCATGAGCCACTGCGCTTGGCCCATATAGGGTAACTTCTTGACATTGCTGTGGCATTAGTAAACTGTCATGGTGCCAGTGGGAGTGTCTTTTAGTATGCTAATGTATTATAATTAATGCATAATGAGGAGTGAGGATGACCAGAGGTAGCTTTCATTGCCATCTTGATTTGGTGGGATTTGGCTGGCTTCTTTACTACATCCTTTTATCAGCAAAATCTTTGTGACCTGTACCTTGTGCCAGCGACCTACTGCATCCTGTGACTGAGTGCCTAACCTCCTGGGAATGCAGCCCAGTAGGTCTCAGCCTTATTTTACCCAGCCCCAATTCCGGATGGCGTCACTCTGGTTCAAACACCTCTGACTATTCCCAGTTTATACCTAGATAAGCAAAAATTTTGAAGGCAGGTATTAAAAAATATGTTGACAATTCTTTTGTACTGCTGATAGAAGTATAAATTAATATTACCACTTTAGAAAACATTTGTCAATATTTTGTAAAGTTGAAGACACACATACTCTATAATCTAGCAACGCTATTCTTGAGTATATTTTCTTGAGCTATTCTGTCCAATATAGTAGCCGCTAGATGCTTGTGGCTATTTAAATCTAAATTAATTAAAATAAAAAATTTAGTTTTTCAGTTATACTAGTTATATTCCACGTGCTTAATAGCCACACATGGCTGGAGGCTACCTCATTGGACGGAGAGCATATATATAGAACATTTTCATTATCACAGTAATTTCTCTTTCCCTAGAGAAGTTCTTGCGTACATGTACTATAAGTCATGGTCAAAACTGTTGGTTCTAGCTTTGCTGGTGATTGCATAAAAACTCAAGAAAAATCCACAGTTCATCAACAGAAATTTGTATGAATTGTGATATAAAAATCTACATGGATGAGTTTCAGAAGCAATGTTGAGTACAAAAATCATGTGGCAGAGCAATGTTGAGTACAAAAATCATGTGGCAGAGCAAATGGCATGAAATCTGTTTTCAAAATTTCAAAACCAAGCACAGTTAAATATTGTTTTTTTTCTTTTTTCTTTTTCTTTTTTTTTTTTTTGAGACCGAGTCTCATTCTGTTGCCAGGCTGGAGTGCAGTGGCTCGATTTCGGCTCACTGCAACCTCCGCCTCCCAGGTTCAAGCAATTCTCCTGCCTCAGCCTCCCGAGTAGCTGGGACTACAGGCACACACCACCATACCCAGCTAATTTTTGTATTTTTATTAGAGATGGGGTTTCACCATGTTGACCAGGATGGTCTTGATCTCTGGACCTCATGATCCACCTGCCTTGGCCTCCCAAAGTGCTGGGATAACAGGCGTGAGCCACTGTGCCTGGCCTAATGTATTGTTTAGAAATATATACATAGATGGTAAAAGATTTTTTTTAACAAGTGAATGTCAAACACCAAATTCAAGATAGTATTTACCTTTGGGGAGGAGACACTGAGCTTCAAAGGTATTTATAGTTTCCTATTTATTTTATTTTATTTTTTTTTTGAGACTGAGTCGCATTCTGTCACCCAGGCTGAAGTACAGTGGTGCGATCTTGGCTCACTGCAACCTCCACCTTCTTGCTTCAAGCGATTCTCTTGATTCAGCCTCCCAAGTAGCTGGGATTACAGGCACCTGCCACCATGCCTGGCTAATTTTGTATTTGTAGTAGAGATGGGGTTTCACCACGTTGGCCAGGCTGGCCTCGAACTACTGACCTCATGATCTGCCTGCCTCAGCCTCCCAAAGTGCTGGCATTACAGGCATGAGCCACAATGCCAGCCTAGTTTCCTATTTGTTAAGCTGATGTTGGGTACATGGGTGTTCATTCTACAGTATTTGTTATACCTAATTTTATACATTGTCTATGTATTTGTATATATGAAATATTTCTTCTTTAAAAGGTCATTGTGACTGCAGTGTAAATGATGGACTTAAAAAAGAAAGGAAGGCCGGGCACGGTGGCTTACGCCTGTAATCCCAGAACTTTGGGAGGCCGAGGAGGGCAGATCACCTGAGGAGTTCTAGACCAAACTGGCCAACACGGTCTACTGAAATACAAAAATTAGCTGGCGGTGGCAGGCACCTGTAATCCCAGCTACTCAGGAAGCCGAGGCAGGAGAATCGCTTGAACCTGAGAGGCAGAGGTTGCATAGAGCTGAGATCGCGCCACTGCACTCCAGCCTGAGTGACAGAGCAAGACTCCATCTCAAAAAAAAAAAAAAAGAAAGAAAAAGTAAAGAAAAATTAAAAAAGAAAGGAATATAAGCAGAAGACTTGTTAGGAGGCTATAATTTGTCCAGTCAAGAGGCGAATGGTGACCTGGATCAAGAAGGCAGTGGTAGGGCTGGGCTCAGTGGCTCACGCCTGTAATCCCAGCACTTTGGGAGGCCGAGGTGGGCGGATCACTTGAGGTCAGGGGTTCAAGACCAGCCAGGCCAACAGGGGGAAACCCCGTCTCTACTAAAAATACAAAAATTAAAAATTAGCTGGGCGTGGTGGCGAGCACCTGTAATCCCAACTATTCGGGAGGCTGAGGCAGGAGAATGGCCTGAACCTGGGAGGTGGAGGTTGCAGCAATCCGAGATGGCGCCATTGCACTCCAGTTTGGGTGACAGAGCAAGACTCCATCTCAAAAAAAAAAAAAAAAATTAGAAAAAAGAAGAAGGCAGTGGTAGAGATGAAAAGAAATAGATGAATATGGAACATATTTTGGAGGTGGATCACATTAACCCTAACCCTAACCCTTGTGCTGTGGTAGAGATTTGCATGGTGTGATGTGGAATGTGGAGGAGGAATATATAAGTCAAAGCTCCCTGGGATCTTTAGGGAAAGTTTCTTGGGAGAGATGACAGATCATCTGAGTTTTGCCCGGTTAGGAGTTTGCCAAGTGATAATAGCTGGGGAAAGGAATTCCAGTTAAAGGAAATATGCAAAAATCTTTTTTTTTTTTTTTTTTGAGACAGAGTCTCGCCTGGGCTGGAGTGTAGTGGCGTGATCTCAGCTCACAGCAACCTCAGCCTCCCAGGTTCAAGCTATTCTCCTGCCTCAGCCTCCCAAGTAGCTAGGATTATAGGAGCCCGCCACCATGTCCGGCCAATTTTTTGTATTTTTAGTAGAGATGGGGTTTCACTATGTTGGCCAGGCTGATCTCAAACTCCTGACCTTGTGATCCGCCCGCCTCAGCCTCCCAAAGTGCTGGGCTGCAAAAGTCTTTTTTTTTTTTTTCTTTTTGAGATAGAGTCTTGCTCTGTCGCCCAGGCTGGAGTGCAGTGGTGTGATCTCGGCTCACTGCAAGCTCTGCCTCCCGGGTTCATGCCATTCTCCTGCCTCAGTCTCCTGAGTAGCTGGGATTATAGGCGCCCGCCACCACACCCGGCTAATTTTTTTCGTATTTTTTAGTAGAAACGGGGTTTTACCACATTAGCCAGGATGGTCTTGATCTCCTGGCCTCGTGATCCACCCACCTCGGCCTCCCAAAGTGCTGGGATTACAGGCGTGAGCTACCGCGCCCAGCCCCACAAAAGTCTTAAAACAACAAAATCTCTGTTTGGAAACTGAGCACAGCTGAACTAAGGAGATAGAGGGCAGGGACCAAGCGTAGACAGCCACCAGTGCCCACAGAGGAGTTAAGACCTTATCCTGGAAGATGCAGGGAAACTGCCTCTATTTTTCTTTCCTCCTGCCAGGGAGAAAGGAAGATCCTTGTGAAGAACAACAAAATAAGGTGCTGATCCTCAGTGCTGTGAGGATCTACCTAGAAAGAAGTCCTGGTTGGGCTACCCTAAAAATGCTTTTTTGCATTACTCTTAAAAAGTGACTACCACAATCATCAAAAACTAAATTTTGTTGAAGTACAGAAAGATTGGAACAAAGATAAAAGGAAAATAAGGGCAAATGGAAGAGAAAGTGACAGAGGTGAAACAGAGGAAATTGAACTTGAGAGAAAATCACAATTAAATACCTTTGGAGACCTTAGATCCCAGTTTCCTTCTGGGAATGCTGTTAGACTGGCATTACTTAAAGCTGCAAAACCAAAGCTTTCTTTAATTCTTCCTTTGTTTATGAATCACATTCTTTACTATCTGAAGCAAATGTTTAAGTATAATAATTATGGTGTTATCTTCTTTTTTTTTTTTTAAGACAGGGTCTCGCTCTGTCGCCCAGGCTGGAGTGCAGTGCTATGATCTCGGGTCACTGCAACCTCCACATCCTGGGTTCAAGCGATTCCCCTGGCTTAGCCTCCCGAGTATGTGGGATTACAGGTACACACCACCACGCCTGGCTAATTTTTGTATTTGTAGTAGAGACGGGGTTTCACCATGTTGGCCAGGCTCGTCTCGACCTACTGACCTCAAGTGATCCGCCTGCCTCGGCCTCTCAAAGTGCTGGGATTACAGGCGTGAGCCACCGCACCTGGCCAGAGGCTTTTTTTAAAAAAATAAAACAAAGCATAAAAATCACAAAACAAAGTGAATATGCAGGAGTTGGTGGCTCAGTTCCACGTTTTCCAGTGCATATCCTTTGTAATGTTTTTTCATCCAATTTCCACTTTTTGTTCTCACTTGATTTTTCTTTCATTTAATTTTATTTCTTCCTTGTTCCAACAAGAGTGATTCATCAGATAAAAGTAAAACTGAACACATTCACAGTGCAAATTAAAATTAAAAACAAAAGATAAACATGCATCTTACCCTGAGAGAAAGAAAGAAAGAAAGAAAGAAAGAAAGAAAGAAAAAAAGAAAGAAAGAAGGAAAGAAAGAAAGATAATTGTTCCCTAAAAGTCCTCAATTAGAACTCTTAATTTCTTACATTAAGTAAGAAAGGCAGCATGCAGTTAGGAAAAAGAGGCCAAAGTTTGAAGTCTATTATATCTGGTTTTAATAGCTTTAGTATTTTAATAGCTTTAGTATTTAATAGTTTTAGTATTTGTAGGTATATGCATTCATTTAATCTCTGAGTCTGTTTCATCTTCTGAAAAATGGGGTGGATAATAATACTAGCTATATAGCTAAAATTTATTGAGTGCTTCCTGTGCCACAGGCATTGTTCTGCTTTCTATACAAGCTTTAGCCCATCTGATCTTCACAATAACCCTAAGTCAGGAGGTGGGTTCTATTACCATTCCCATTTTATAGATGAGGAAATGCAAGAACAGAAAGGCTAGGTGACTTGCACATAATAACTTGCACAGCTAATAAAGTGGTAGAGTCAAAATACAAACCCAAGTAGTCTGATTCCAGAGATTAAAACTTAAACTCTCAGCCGGGCATGGTGGCTCACACCTGGAATTCCAGCAGTTTGGGAGGCTGAGGCGGGTGGATCACTTGAGCCCAGGAGTTCAAGACCAGCCTGGGCAACATGGCAAAACCCCGTCTCTACAAAAAAACAAAAACAAAAACACAAAAATAAGCTGGGCACAATGGCATGTGTCTGTGGGCAGCTACTTGGAAGGCTGAGGCAGGAGGATCACCTGAGCCTGGGAGCTGAAGGCTGCAGTGAGCTGTGATCGCGCCACTGCACTCCAGACTGGGTGACAGAGCAAGACCCTGTCTCCAAAAAACAAACAAACAAAAACTTAAGCTCTCTAAGCCTAAGTATCAAAAGATATAATGTAAGTGAAAGCACTTTGAAACTCAAGCACTTTAGACATACCAGTCTATACAATAAACCTGCAGATTTATAAATGGCTGAGTGTTTTCCTATGTCATTTTTCTAATTGTCCCAAAGCAACCATTTGTGGATAGTTAATGGAACATAATCATGAAGTTTTTCTTAGGCACACAAATTTGCAGCTGTTAAGTTTTCACATTAGCCCATTTTAATTAATCTGTTATAGGTAGAAAATAATGAAGACCACTCAACATGACAAACAAGGAACCACTGATAGAAGACTTTGTTATATGACTAATAGCACTGTAGAATCATACAAGCATTATCCCTATATTTAGAGTGATCAAGAAATTGTGACTCTTAGGCTAGGCATGGTGACTTATGCCTGTAATCCTAGCATTTCGGGAGGCCAAGGCAGGCAGATCTCTTGAGGCCAGGAGTTGAAGACAGGCTGGGCAACATGTGAAAGCCCGTCTCTACTAAAAATACAAAAATATTAGCCAGGCATGGTGGCATGTGCCTGTAATCCCAGCTACTCAGGAGGCTGAGGGGTGAGAATCGCTTGAACCCGGAAGGTAGAGGTTGCAGTGAGCCAAGATCACACCACTGCACTCCAGCCTGGGCAACAGAGTGAGACTCTCAAAAAAAAATTGTGAATCTTTAGCAGAAATATGAACTTGTTAATACATCATTAAATATTGTCTTAAAAACGAGTATAACTCACATCTCAAATTGGAGCAAAGTCCTTTAGACTGGTGATTTCCAAGTGAGTCAAGTTTGTTATTAAACACTTTTATGAAGTACCATAGCTATAAAATCACTTCAGGAATTCAAGGCTATGATTCTTGAGTGGCAACAAAGTTTATATCCTCTTTGGTGGAATTGTTTAATGATGCTCTTGAGCTGCCCAGGAAGTAGTAAGGCCTCCTAAGAGTTGTTTCATTATTATTTTGGGAGTTTTGGGTTTTTTTTTTTTCTTTTTGAGACAGAGTCTTGCTCTGTCACCCAGGCTGGAGTGCAGTGGCACGATCTTGGCTCACTGGAACCTCTGCCTCCGGGGTTCAAGCGATTCCCCTGCCTCAGCCTCCTGAGTAGCTGGAAATATAGGCGTGCACCACTATGCTGACTAATTTTTTGTATTTTGTATTTTTTGTATTTTTTTGTATTTTGTAAGAACTTGGCTCACGCAATCTCAACCTGCCTGACTCAAGCGATCCTCCCACCTCAGCCTCCAGAGTAGATGGGACCACAGGCCCATGCCACCAGGACCAACTAATTTTTGTATTTTTTGTAGAGAGGAGGTTTAACTATGTTGCCCAGGCTGGTCTCGAACTCCTGGGCTCAAGCAATCAACCGGTCTCAGCCTCCCAAAGTGCTGGAATTAACAGACATGAGCTTCTGTGCCCCATCTATTGTTAAACTTTTTGAAAATATCAATCATATAATATGAGGCCTCACAGGATCTTACAGATTATCTTCTGGTCTAGTCCCTTAGTTTTGAACCTATAAAAGTTTACATCATTTGCTTGAGTTGAGCAGTTCATTAGTGGCTGAGTCAGGATGAGGGGCCAGGTTTTCAAAGCAACTGTTCATGGATCCAGTGGCTTCATGTATATCTGGTAGCTACAACTTTTCCATGAGCAATGTTGAATATATACAGCATAGTTGCGTGACAAACTACAGGAATCTAACTACTCCCTTCAGCACTGACCATGTTCAAAGATACAAGTGGAATTATGACTTACTCAAGGATGAGGCTCCAAAGTCAAACAAAAATTGGTCGTAGTCAAAATTATCCTTGCAAATTTTTTGGGAAGGCCTCATCGGAGACCCAAATATCTCCTTTTTGTAAGCACAGTAGGGAAAATTTTTATTCCAGAATGGAAAGAGAGGGCTATTTTGTGGTTGAGAACCAAATGAGGTATTTGGCTTCCTTTTAGGGACTATGTTGTACAAAAAATACAAATTCTTGAACACTAGACTCATCGTCAGCACACAATAGGCTCACGCCTAGAGAGCCATGAGGGAACTAGGACTGGCCAGGGAAGCCGATGCTCCTCCCACTCTTGTGCTCACTTCCAGGCATGTGTTCTTTGAATGGAATACAGGACTCATCACGGCACTTCAAGTTGTGTGTGTGTGTGTGTGTATCTCTCTCGTCTCCCTTTCCCCATTTGCCCCTCCCTCCCTGTCTTTTTATGTTTGCTTTTTAAAAAGTTATTATTTTTCAAGACAGGGTCTCGCCCTGTCACCCAGGCTGAAGTGCAATGGTACGATCTTATTTCATTGTAGACTCAACCTCCTGGGTTCAAATGATCTTCCTGCCTCAGCCTCCTGAGTAGGTAGGAGTACAGGTGCATGCCACCATGTTTGGCTAATTTATTTATTTATTTATTTATTTATTTGAGACAGAGTCTCACTCCGTCACCCAAGCTGGAGTACAGTGGCATGATCTCGGCTCACTGCAACCTCTGCCTCCCAGGTTCAAGTGATTCTCCTGCCTCAGCCTCCTGAGTAGCTGGAATTACAGGCCTGTGCCACCACGCCCAGCTAATTTTTGTATTCTTAGTAGAGACGGGGTTTTGCCATGTTGGCCAGGCTGGTCTTGACCTCCTGACCTCAAGTGATCCGCCTACCTTGGCCTCCCCAAATGCTGGGATTACAGATGTGAGCCACCTCACCCGGCCTAATTTAAAAAAATTTTTTTTAGAGACAGGGCCTCTCTGTGTTTCCCAGGCTGGTCTCAAACTCCTGGCCTCACTGCTTTCTATTTGAATTCAAATGTTAAATGTGTCAATAATGGAGATTAAATAAGTCTATATATGTGTGCTCCTGGAGTATAGGAAGTATCGTATACATGTTCATTCTTAATGTAAAAGGCAATTTAGCCTAGTGGTTAAAGACCCAGGACCATACTATCTTGGCCCAAATTCTGATTTAGCCACCAACAAGTTGTGTGACCCAGAACCCATGACTTAAATCCTCTGTGCCTCAGTTGCCTTCCCTGTAAAATGGGTATGATTTAAAAATAGAACCCTTGTTCTGTGATTGTTAAGAAGATTGAGTTATAATATGTTAAAAGTGCTCAGAACAGTACAAGGTAAGTGCTCATAGGGTTGTAACTTCTGTTAGGTGATGCCACTATACGTCAGGTAATGCAGAGAACTCAATTTTGACAATTCCTAACAATACCCAATGGAAACAATTAGTATTTGTGTGAGATCATTTATTTTGTCACCTCCTGTTGCCACTTTTCCTGTTGTACAGTAATCACCTGTAAGGCAAAAGGACTGAATGATTGTCCTCTACAAAACTAAGAGCAACTGTAGTACTTACTTAGGACCAAAAGGCAGGGTGATGGAGAAATGACTCTTCTTACTAGCTCTGTGACCTTGGAAAGATCACTTAACCTTTCTGAATTTTAGTATCATTTAGTTGCAAATCATAAATAATGATAGCACTACCTATCTCACAGAGTGGCTGTGAGAATCAAACCAAATATCTGTAAAAATGTTTTGTAAACTATACAGTAACATGAAAATATGAGATTGTTATTACTAACTACAATTTAAACAGGCTAGCACTAGTGCTGCTATCAGGAGTGTCAGAAGAAGTAAGGACAAATCATTCAGGAATTCATGGGTTTCCACAGCAACACTTTACTGTAGGGATATGTTGGCAGGAACTCCAGATCTTCCATTTTTTATGTATATATATAAATATATATATATATACACATAAATAAAAATATACATATATGTGTGTGTATGTATATATATATAGATCTGAAGTTCTTCCATTATATATATATCTGTATATGTACATATATGTGGGTGTGTATATATATGTGTGTATGTATATATATACAATTTTCTGAGAACTCACTTTTTTTTGTGAATTTACAATAGTGTTCGCCATGTTTTCCACCAGTATGTATATGTAAACAACCCATGATGTAAGTTGTTTGCCACATAGCAACCTTGAAGTTGCAGAGATAGACTCTTGGGAAAAGATTACCTGAGTATTAGGAAATTTGTGATTAATGTGTCAATTTTATTCCCTATAGTCTCTGGCATGAGATTAATCATGATTTGATTTTTTAAAATAAAATGAGATGAATTTTATTCTGGCTTGCACTACTGTTATTACACTAAGTTATATTGTTTCTCAACTCTTCCTTTTCCTTGCCAATAAAATGGAGGCTTCAACGCCTACCTTTCAGAGGTTGTTGCAAAGATCGGAAATGATCTATGCAAACCCCTTGACAAAGAGTAATACTTGGTGATTATTATCATTAGGAGGACAAGCAAATATTTAGGGCAGCAATTCTCAGCTCCAGTCCTGCAACACTGCAGGGTGTTGCAAATTATCTCAAGGAGTGTTGTAACATTTCCAAAAGGCTCTCCAACTAAGATTATTGTAAATTTCCTTTATTTCCAGAAATAATTTCTCTGAGGGTCATTAGAAGTGGGGTTGTACTGATATCACTCAGCATATTATGAGATATCTCAGCATATTATGAGAGAGGTGAAGTTTTTATTATTCAACCTTTACCCCTTCTGTGATATCCTCTTTCCTACTCCAGTCCCAGGGTTTGGATCAGCCCAGGTATGAATCTCAGCTTAGTCACTCTCTATACATTAATTATGCATTCTGAACCCAGCGTCCTCATCTCCAAAGTTGCGACAATCATGACCATTTCATAGGATTGTTTACAGAGTCAAATTATGTGCATAAAGTCCTCAGCAGACCATAACTAACTGTCCCCTGACTTAGCTCCTCATGATCTTGCCTGATCTCTGGGGAAGCAATGAGTGAGAATTCCAAGAGCTGTTTCACAAAAATCTCCATGAGACAATGAAAGCCCAAGTCAACACTGTTGTAACCTACCTGCCAGAGGATGGCATATAGGATTCTTCTACTCCTAGACATTCAGGATTAAAACAAACAAACAAACAAAAAACATTTTTAAATTAGAGGAATTACACATAAAAATTCAGATCTCTGACTTCTCTTAAAGAATCACAAGATCTGGCCAGGTGCAGTGGCTCACACCTGTAATCCCAGAACTTTGGGAGGCCAGGGTAGGTGAATCACTTGAGGCCAGGAGTTCAAGACCAGACTGGCCAATATGGTGAAACTCTGTCTCTACTAAAAATACAAAAGTTAGCCGGGCATGGTGGTGCATGCCTGTAATCCCAGCTACTTGGGAGGCTGAGGCATGAGAATCGTTTGAACTCAGGAGGTGGAGGTTGCAGTGAGCCAAGATTGTGCCACTGCACTCCAGCCTGACAGAACGAGGCACTGTCTTAAAAAAAAAAAAAAAAGAAAAAAAAAAGAATCAGAAGATCTGTCCCTGATTATAATTATCAGCCTTCTTTTGGACACAGATGTGCTCTCTGTTTGCCACAGTCCCCACCATTCCCTATTATTGTACATCTAGCCTGCTTCACTCATTGATCTGCTTGATCAATGAGTGAAGAATTTGAATTCTTCACTGTAAGAATTTGAATCTGTAAGAATTTGAATCTATAACCCCTGGCCAATAGGGTCAGGAAAGTAGTCATGATGGTGGTGATGACAGGGGTAAAGCTGGTGGGGAAAGAGGTTTGTGAGGTTTTTTTCAATGATTCAAAAAGCCTATTGGCAATGATTATATCTTTAACCTCTAAAAGACTGCACAGGTTAACTAAAGCTCCAGATTTCTTTGCTTTTAGGTGGAATTCTGTCAACTAGGTAACTGTATTGTCATAAAAGAAGATCAAAATGGCAAACAGATATAATTGATTAATGTTTTAAAAATTGGAAAAACAGATAATTCTTATTAATTTTTTTATTATTATTATTTATTTATTTATTTTGAGATGGAGATTCACTTTTGTCACCCAGGTTGGAATGCAATGGCATGTTCTCGGCTCACTGCCACCTCCGCCTCTCAGGTTAAAGCGATTCTCCTGCCTCGGCCTCCTGAGTAGCTGGGATTACAGGCGCCAACCACTACGCCCAGCTAATTTTTTTGTATTTTTAGTAGAGATGGAGTTTCAACATGTTGGCCAGGCTGGTCTCAAACTCCTGACCTCAGGTGATCCACCCACCTCAGCCTCCCAAAATGCTAGGATTACAGGTGTGAGCCACCGTGCTCGGCCTTATTATTATTTTTGAGACAGGGTCTCACTGTGTTGCTGAAGCTGGAGTGCAGTGGTGCAATATTGGCTCACTGCAACCTCTGCCTCCTGGATTTAAGCAATTCTCCTGCCTCACCCTCCCTAGTAGCTGGGATTATAGGTGTGCCACACCACACCTGGCTAATTTTTGTATTTTTAGTAGAGACTGGGTTTCACCATTTTGGCCAGGCTGGTCTTGAACTCCTGACCTCAAGTGATCCTCCCACCTCAGCCTCCCAAAGTGCTGGGATTACAGATGTGAGCCACCGCGCCTGGACAGATAATTATTATTATTTAATAAATAAAATTTGCTTCATAGATTAGCTCTTGGGAAAATGGGGCCCAAGAAAGAGAATGTGATAATAACAAGAGGTATCCTTACTGGTGGAGAGGTTGAGAAGGGAGCCACTGGCATTGTCACTTCTCTGCTGCTACTTTTAGTCCTGTGGGTCGAAACCAGAAGAATGAATGTTGAAATTTCAGGTACCTGATAGTAAGTAGAAAAGACATATGGAAAAAGGCAGTGGAGTCCTCTTTTGAGTACTAGAATTTCATGTCCTCCTCAGGCAGGCTCACTCATGATTTTAGTGTTAATAATGTACATAGTTTTTAATACAGGTTCTGTTTCTCCCATACTGCAAGGCAAAATGCAATGCAATGACCATTTACAATATTGCTGTGCTCTGTTAAAACTAGTTAATGTTCCTTGCCTGTGCTAATGTACAAGGCCACTGTATTTTATAAGGGTGAGGAAACTCTTTACTTATGACCTGTAATTCTCAAGATTATTATATGTCCTAGAATAAAGCTGATTCATAATTCTACTAGGTGGGGCAAAGGGATTACATTTTCAGTCTTTCTTGCCACCTCTTTCCAGCATTTAACTAAATTATGTAGGATCTTTTGAGAATTATAGAATTTTGAAGCTAACGTGTACTTTAAGGATAAGGATCTCCTAATCTAACCTCCTCATTTCCCAAAGGTCCAAGAGAGTTTTTCCTGCCCAAGTTAACAGAGCCAACACTAGAACTCTGGTCTCCTGATTCCAAGTCCAATTTGATATGTATGTTTTCTGTTTCCTTTTCCATTTTAAACTATCCCAACCATCATTGCCCAAGATTTGTTTTTTGCTTTACGGTCTCACGGCTTCTACTTAACGTCTAAATGTTCAGATTTTTTCATAATCCTATTTTATCCTTACAGCATTCTCCTAGGGTTTCCAGATTCTACTTTGAGAACTCTCGAGTGAGGAACGTGATCTGGAGGCTTCCCCACAAAACCCTGCTGGATCCTCCAAGAAGACAGAGAAATGTGTAACCCACAGTCTGTAGCAGTCTCTCTCTCATCCATTCCATACTGAGGTTTCCAAGGAAGCAAAGAGAGACTAACAGGAGGATTATGTCTGTTCTTTTTAGAAACAAGTCTGTTGAGATTTCATACATTCTGCTAATTTCTTCTTTTTGCTTCTATGTCAAGAAGGCTTTTTACCACCTGTCTGACAGCAGATCTCTCTTGCACTGTGGCACATTTAGCTACTGCAAAATTAGATGAAAACAGTTTTGTTTTGTTTTTCTAAGACAGAGGAGGAGCACAGAAGAGACATCAAAGATGATTCTGGCCAAGGCTGCCTCCCCTACAAGCTCCCAGTTGTGTGGGAAAGAGAAGCATAAACTCTTATGGGGGAAAAAAGAAGAAAGAATGGAGATGGGGAAAGTCAATTATAAATTATGAGAGCTGTGGTTTAAATGGGAGAGGTACGAGAAAAGTACAGGCTGACTCATAATTAGTACAGATAGTACAACACAAATTACCAATTTCATTGCTCTTTGAACATTCATTGCCACATAGAGCTCACAAATTTTGTGACCATGTCAACTACAATGAAATGAGAAAAATAGGAACATACGCTGAGTTTTTCATAATACTAAATTTATTCAATTTAAAGGAGCATCTTATATTTCAAGATTATAGTCTTCTTTCTTTCTTTAGTCCTAAAACATTTCTTTTATGAAACGACAGTGAAGGTAGATAATAATTGATTTTTTGTTTGTTTGTTTTTGAGACAGAGTCTTGCTCTGGTGCCCAGGCTGGAGTGCAGTGGTGCCATCTCAGCTCTGCAACCTCTGCCTACCAGGTTCAAGCAACTCTGCTGCCTCAGCCTCCCAAGTAGCTGGGATTACAGGTGCATGCCACTACACCTGGCTTTTTGTATTTTTAGTAGAGATGGTTTTCACTATGTTGGCCAGGCTGATCTTGAATTCCTGGCCTGAAGTAATCTGCCTGCCTCAGCCTCCCAAAGTGCTGGGATTATAGGAGCCACCACACCTGGCATAACTGGTATTTTTTATATGCTTCCTGGGCAACTTAAAAAATTGATTACTCTGTTGTTTCTTCCTTTTTTTTTTTTTTTGGCTTTGCACCAATTTGTGAGACCCAAGTATCTCCTACCTAGAAAAAAAACACACTAAACAGTAAATGATTACCAACCTATTTGGAACAAATCTCAATTAATTAACATATACTTCAAGGAGAAGACTTAACAAAATCTTACTTTTCATTCTTAATAGCTCTTTCCATAAAAATGTTCCACAAGTGTATCAAATTAGTCCTAACAACTACTGTTAAGTGATTAATGAAACAGGAGTGACAGGAGTGAATTTAATAATAGCAATAAATACAGATGGGACTACATAAATTGTGGAGGTCCTGATGCAAAACTCTCTCTGTATTCGATGGCATCTCAGCTTTCTCATCTGAAATGAATGAAGAAATTAATAATAATGATGCTCATAGCAATAAGAAAAAAATTCAAAACAAAACCCATACTCTCTGACAACATGCCTTTGTTCTTATTACCTACTACCCACTTCACATATGCTAGAAGCGCTAAACAAAGCTGCAAAGAGAAGGCAGTATGGGGATGAATGTGGTTCCTGGCCTTGTTGTAAAGCAGTATGGACCAGTGACTTCCTCCAGAGCATTTGCATTGTGTGGCAATAAAATGCAGTTGCACAAACATTGGGCAAACTCACTTAAAGAGGGAGCAGGCTTAGGACTAAAGGTGTTCTCTATTCTAGGCAACTTTTCAACCTGTCTTCCTCTAAAGTGGAGGCAGATTTTCCTCCACCTTCTATTCTCCTTTGAACCCCTTCCCCTTCCAGCACCTCCCATCTCTGGAGTTTGTCTAGAGTGATGCATATCACTGCTATTCATCTGCTTATTTAAAAAGCACTGGTCCCGGCCTAGAGTACTTACAGAGCTGTTTCACTGTGAGGGTCTTTATCCTTCATGCAGAGCTAAAAGCAAACATGGCAGTAAATTAGCCTGCTTTTTAAGGCCCATGGAGAAATATTTTGAATGCATTAAGATGGCTCGAGGACAGGTGTGTGTCCTGTGCACACCTCTGCACTGGCTCAGGCGTCATTTTTGGGGCCACACTAGTAGTTTTTATTAAACTCAAAGAAGATGTAACTCTTAGTTAAGATGCTTCCAGTGTCTTAGATACTTGAGTATTTACTTTTTTATAGAAAAAAAAATGCGGCCGAGTGCAGTGGCTCACACCTGTAATCCCAGAACTTTGGGAGGCCAAGGCAGATGGATCATTTGAGGTCAGGATTTCAAGACCAGCCTGGCCAACATGGTGAAACCCTGTCTCTACTAAAAATACAAAAAAACAGCCAGGCATGGTGCCACATGCCTGTAGTCCCAGTTACTCTGGAGGCTGAGGCAGGAGAATGGTGTGAACCTGGGAGGTGGAGCTTGCAGTGAGCTGAGATCACGCCACTGCACTCCAGCCAGGGTGACAGAGCAAGAATCCATCTCAAAAAAAAAAAAGAAAAAAATGCTTTGTGGCTGGGTGTGGTGGCTCATGCCTGTAATCCTAGTGCTTTGGGAGGCTGAGGCAGGCAGATCACTTGAGCTCAGGAGTTCGAGACCAGCCTGGGCAACATGGCAAAACCCTGTCTACAAAAAATACAGAAATTAGCCGGGCACGGTGGTGCATGCCTGTGGTCCCAGCTACTAGGGAGGCTGAGGTGGGAGGATCACTTGAGCCCAGGAGGTTGAGGCTACAGTGAGCTGTGATCAAGGCACTGCACTCCAGCCTGGGAGAGAGAGTAAAACTCTATCTCAAAAAAATAAAAAAAGAAAGAAAGGAAGACAGAAAGAAAGAAAGAAAAGAAACAACAACAACTAAAATATGCTTGGGATTGGAATAGGGGGTGGAGTGAATTTCTTCTTGAGAGACATGGCTGCCCTGTTGCTATGTGTTCCAAGGAGAATGCCCCTTGCTGAATGATGAACTCAGCCTAGGGCTTTCTGCCTTTTTTGCTCTCCTTTGGCACTGAATTAGCTGGCAGAGTCAAATGCATGGCATTAACCTAAGCATGCACGTATTCTGAATCATACCAACCAACGAGGATAACCACTTTATAATTCAAACACCAGTCCACTACAGCCAGGGCATGTGGCTATAGTCCAGAAGTGAGCAGCCAATGCCATCTTTTCCATGCAGATCTCTGAATCTAGAGCGGATGTTCCTCCCTATATTTATTTATTATACCACAGGTATCATAGCAACAATAAAGGGCAATTTAAAAGGAGGAAAATCAGCCCCCAATTGCCTACCCCTGGCAACACAGCTATTTTCAATTCAGGCTTTGCCCATGTGCACTTCTCTTCTTTGTAAATCTGTACTCATAATGTACATATAATTTTTATTCCCTTGAGCAACTGTATTTTAGATCTCATGGTATAAAGACCAGATTTGACTTTGCCAAGAAGGGTTCCTAACTGAAGTCACTTATATTTCTAGCTTTCTGCCTTTATTCAGATGATGGCTTTTTACTTAAATAGCTCAGAATACTTAGATACCTTCATTATTTTCTTTCTTCTAGCAATCAGTCCAAAGCACAATGTCAGAAAGATCACAACACATGCAGCAATAATGGGCTCTATTGGTACACCCACAGTTTTATCTGTAGGAAATGCAAACACAGGGAATAAGAATGAACATTTATATACTTCCAATACGTCCCAGCAATGGTGCCTTGAACTTTATGTGTGTCATCCCCTTAATTAAACCTTCTCAACAATCTCAAAAAGTAGGTATGATTGTCCTCATTTCACAGGTGAGGAACCAGGAGGTTTGAGGGGTTAGAGTGCTTGTTCAAAGTCATAGAATTAGGCCGGGTGCAGTGGCTCATGCCTGGAATCCCAGCACTTTGGAAGGTTGAGGCGGGCAGATCACTTGACGTCAGGAGTTCAAGACCAGCCTGGCCCACATGGTGAAACCCCATCTGTAAAAAAAAAAGAAAAAAAAAAAAATATATATATATATATAGCTGGGCATGGTGGCAAGTGCCTGTAGTCCCAGCTACTTGGGAGACTGAGGCAGGAGAATTGCTTGGTCCCAGGAGACAGAGGTTGCAGTGAGCCAGGGTCGCGCTACTGCACTCCAGTCTGGGTGACAGAGCAAGACTCTCTCTGTCTCCAAAAAAAAAAAAAAAAAAAAAAGTCACAGAACTGGTAAATGGTAGAGGCAGGTTTTGAATCAATTCCTTTGTGGAATAATAATTTATTGTAATATGAGTAACTCCCCTAAAACAAGTAGACCATTTTGTGCTTCCTTCACCCACAGTTTTTGCCACACACAGAGCAGAAGTAGATTGAAGTCAACGATTTTGCCTGGATTTTGAAAAGTCCAAAATATATTGGGAAGTATCCTGGGGTGGGTGAGGGAAGAGAGGGAGGAAGGCTTTGAGAGCAAGAAGAGAAAGGGTGGAGAGCTTTCTGGACTAAGAAGGAGAGAGAGGTCTGTGGGCCTCAAAAGCAGTGGGGAGCCTTGTACCTGTACTGCAATGGTGCCCCAAGCAGGTGACAAGACATTATAGAAGGTAGGTGGCTGCATAGTGTCTCTAGGGAAGTAGGACTCTAAGCATGAGCCTTCCCAACCTTGGCAAAGTTTTCTGCATCTCTCTAAATGCCATGCAAAGAGAGAGAGCCTACTTCTAACTTGGACTAGGAAGAGATCAGCAGCAACCATGACAGCTTGGAAGTGAAAGCCTACCCCTTTATTTTCTAAACACCAGGTCAACTGAGAGCTATTTTTTTTTTTTTGAGACGGAGTTTTGCTCCTGTTGCCCAGGCTGGAGTACGGTGGTGCAATCTCGGCTCACTGCAATCTCTGCCTCCCAGGTTCAAGTAATTCTCCTGCCTCAGCCTCCCGAGTAGCTGCAATTACAGGCACGTGCTACCATACCGAGATAATTTTTGTATTTTTAGTAGAGACGGGGTTTCACTGTGTTAGCCAGGATGGTCTCAATCTCCTGACCTTGTGATCCGCCTTCCTTGGCCTCCCTAAGTGCTTGGATTACAGGTATGAGCCACCGCACCGGGCCAAGAGCTACTTTATTTATCAGTCACTATAGGCATAGTGCCTGTGTTTGCAAGCTTTCTAAGAGCCTTTGAAAATATTTGAGACCCAGAAAAAAATGATTGGCCCCAAGATATGAAAAGAAAGTAGCAAAATTAATCAAAATTAATCAATGTTTAAGCATCTGTAAAATGCAACCTGGCATCAACTCTAACCGAACTGTTAAATAATAATGTTTAAACCTCAAGAACCAAATGAGTAACTTATTTATAACAAAATTCAAAATCTATACAAGTTATAAAAATTCTTTCAAAAATTTTATAGCAGAAAGCACATACAATGTGCTTTGCTTTAATATCTTTGATATGATATGGAATGAAACTCTCAAAAGTAAAAGTGAAAGCCAGGCAGCGTGGCATATCCGTAGTCCCAGACACTTGGGAGGCTGGGGCAGGAGGATTGCTTAAGCCCAGGAGTTCAGGGCTATAGCACCCTATGATTGCACCTATCAATAGCCACTGCTCTCTACCCTAGGCAACATAGTGAGACCCTTTTTTTCTTTTTTAAGACAGAATCTCGCTCTGCCGCCCAGGCTGGAGTGCAGTGGCTTGATCTCGGCTCACTGCAACCTCTGTCTCCTGGGTTCAAGCGATTCTCCTGTCTCAGCCTCCCAAGTAGCTGGTACTACAGGTGTACACCACCATGCCCAGATAATTTTTGTATTTTAGGTAGAGACAGTGTTTCGCCATGTTGGCCAGTCTGGCCTCGAACTCCTGACATTAAGTGATCTGCCTGCCTTGGCCTCCTAAAGTGCTGGGATTATAGGTGTGAGCCACCATGCCTGGCCAACCCCTTTTTTTTTTTTTTTAGAGATGGAGCCTGGGTATGTTGCCCAGGCTGGTCTTGAACTCCTGACCACAAGCAATTCTCCTACCTGGGCCTCCCAAAGTGTTGCAATTACAGGCATCAGCCACTGCACCTGGCAGGACCCCGTTTCTTAAAAAAGTAACAAAGTAAAAGTGCTTCAGTTCAACAAAGGTTTTAAAGTGACCTTGTCTAAGCCCCTGGATTCTGATGCCATCCAACGACGGGAAGGAGCTTCAGTCATGGCTTAAGTAACATTTTAGGCATTTAAAGGAAATTGAGCATGTGCTATTTATCGCACAATTGAGTTTATGGATTGAGGTGCAGTCAACAAATATTTACTGAGTGACTAATGTGTGTTATGCACTGTGTTCAGCACTGCAAAAAATAGGACAGGTGTAGAAGGCTCCTCTGCCTTCGTGGAGCTCATCTTCTAGTGAGGGAGACAGACATTAAACAAACAGACACTACAGATTAAGTATTAGAAAGGAAACAGGGTCATGAGTTAGCAAGTGAAGGGCAAAAACCAGGGAAGAGGGGAAGAAGTGACTTTAGGTAAATTTAATTTCAAAGCCCAATCCCTATATACCTTAAGATTATGAAATAGGGTTTATCTCCCCTGTCCCCATAACTGTATAACACACTAACCAGTTATTATTATAATTATTTTTGGAGACAGGGTCTCACTCTGTCACTCAGACTGGAGTGCAGTGGCATGATCATGGCTCACTGCAGCGTCGACCTCTAGGGCTTAAGAGATCCTCCTACTTCAGCCTCCTGAGTAGTCAAGACTACCAGTGCGTGCCACCACACCCAGTTAATTTTTTGATTTGATGTAGAGACAGGGTTCCAATATGTTGCCCAGGCTGTTTTGGAACTCCTGGGCTCAAGCAACCCTCCCGCTCGGTCTCCCAAAGTCCTGGGATTACAAGCATGAACCATCCCACCCAGCCTGTAACTACCTTTTTATCATTTCCTGCTCTGGATAATTTTGGGAAATAAATGGATTAAATTTTTGCCCTCTCTTAGCTGTTTCTAAAAATTATTCTCATGAAGGTATGGGTCATATCACCCCTATGGAGAAACTTTGCTCAGGGAGCCTTTTTCTAGTAAGCCCTGGTTCTGTACTAGCCAGCTCTGGGACACACCAAAGGCCCGTCAACCTTACTGGGGAGCCCCTCTATTTGCAAGATATCAAAACAAAGGGGAAGTAAAGGTGGGACAATAAGAAAAAGAAATCAGAATTCAGTCACAGGTTGGAATATTTTTACCAAGCCAGATAAAATGAAGCCACATGTGACAGCTCTTACTCTATTTTTTTATTTTTATTTATTTATTTTTTGAGACAGAGTTTCACTCTTGTTGCCCAGGCTGGAGCGCAGTGGTGCGATCTCGGCTCACTGCAACCTCTGCCTTCTGGTTTCAAGCAATTCTCCTGCCTCAGCCTCCCAGGTAGCTGGGATTACAGGTGGCTACCATCATGCCCGGCTAATTTTTTTTGTATTTTTAGTAGAGACGGGTTTCACCATATTGGTCAGGCTGGTCTCAAACCGCTGACCTCCTGATCCACCCGCCTCGGCCTCCCAAAATGCTGGGATTACAGGCGTGAGCCGCTGCACCTGGCTGACAGCTCTTATTCTATACACAAACCGAAGTAAACTACCTTACCCATTGGCTTGCTTTGGATTCCAAATTTCTGTTGAAAGTGACTTTGGTCGGGGCATGGTGGTTCATGCCTGTAACCCCAGCACTTTGGGAAGCTGAGGTGGCAGATTGCTTGAGCCCAGGAATTCAAGACCAGCCTGATCCACATGGCAAGACCTCCTCTCTACAAAAACAATTTTTTTGATTAGCTGGTTCTGATGGCACGCACCTGTCCCAGCTATTCAGGAGGCTGAAGTGGAAAGATCGCTTGAGCCTGGGGGGATGAGGCTGCAGTGAACTATGATTACGCTACTGCACTCCAGCCTGGGTGGCAGAGCGAGACCCTGTCTCCAAAAAAATAAAAGAAAAAGAAAGAAAAAAGAGACTTTGGCAAGGGTAATTACATAACTGCCCCTCTCCCCTTGTCCTGTTTTATGGTCTCATTTGTAACCAGACCTGATATTTCCCTCCTATATTCATCATGGTTAAATAATCCCAACACATGGGCTAAATCTTGTGCTCAAGAAAAGATCTGTGATGTCGTTTGTAGCTTTGCATGGCCTCATTTAGGTACTTCCTCACTGAGCCGTGAAGCCAGGTGAGGGCTCATGAAAATCTTGGCATTTAGCCCAAGCCCCAGCAGCAGAGCATTTATGCCACCAGCCGTGGGAAGTAGCTAAGCAAGAAGAAATAAGAAAAACAAGTTGGTTTGGAAGAGCCCCACCCAAAACAAGTTTCTGCCCACCTGAAAGCCAATTTGCTAAGCTAGCATCCTGATTGCCACATAAGCTGTACTTTTTTTTAATGTGACACAGAGCAATTATGATTTCTTCTTAACCAGGAGGGATATAATTCCCTGGCCTGCAAGTGTGGTGTTCATAGTCAGGATGGCAGGGCATGAGGCCCACCCTTCCATGCTTTTGTGGTCTTGGGGGAGGTAAATAACCACAAAGCTTTTTCACTGCTTCTATCTCATGGGTATTCAGGATATTTGTGGGTTTGGTTTTTAAAACAAGTAGCCCCTGAGCAATTGTTAGTGCTCCGCAGGACGAATTACTGATCATTCCAGGAATCACAGTGATGGGCATTCAACCACCAGTAAGTCTTCTTCCCCACTAGCCACTCTTTTCATATCCCATAACTCTTCCCCTCAAGGGGAAGCAAATAAGATGTCCTATGGTTACATCACCACAACACTTCTGGCAGGGGTTCAGCTGGCTTCCTGGTGACTGACAAGACTGGCAATAAGTGAGTACAGGGAGGCAAATGACAAAGTGAGTAATGTTCTAACAAGATATGGGAGTCTCAGCTTGTTGGGCTGCTCCTGGTGTGCTAGCATGAGAGCAGACCATGTGTGAATGAGCATTTTTGGCATCTGCTACCCCAGGTATTTTGCCTTTCTCTTTTTGTATGAGCAAGAAATATGAGGAGGGAAAACCCCACAGAGCATCATTTGTTCTGTCATTGTAGAGGTGATAACCCTGGGTAGATGAAGCATGAATCCAAGAGAAAGGGCTTTTTTGTCCCCTTATTTTTTCCTACTCTCTCTGCTGATTACCCTACAGGTTAGAATTTGAGTTAGGAGTGATTGTAGGGATCCATTTTCTTATCTAGTCCTAATTTCTCTTCTCTGTGTGTTTTTTACTTCTGTTAGTTATGAAGCTGTGAACTCAAAAGTCCAGTTGCTACACACATTGTTGCCCAGGAGAATTCATGGAAATACTCTTCCCTAAAAGCCAAGCAGGATTGTTTCCTATATTTGGTTCTAAGAAAGGATTCTTGCTCAAAAAACAGTGTCCTGTATGGAATGGGCATGATTTCCCTGAAAGGATGGACTAGGATTCTTAGTGGAAAAATCCTTGGATGGGGATGATTCTCCAAAGAAAATCCTGGCCCTAATCATAACCGTTATTATCATTTATTGTCACCAGAAATATTCACTGAGCATCTGGTGTGAGTTTTGCACTGTGCTGGGTATTACTTAAAAAGAGCATTACCTTTAACAATCAGGTGAAAGTCCAAGCTCTCCGTTTTCAGAGATGACTTTGCAATACAACTGTAGGTTCCGTTGTCAGGCTTCTCGACTTTGGTGATTGACAGCTGAAAAGACTCACTTGTCTGTTGGATTTGGTGACGGCTTTTCTCTAAATCGAGGAGACTACTGTTTTTGTACCACATCATTTGAGCCTGGGGGTTGGCTTTCACATTGCAAACCAACTTCACATTACTGCCTTCCTCAACTGTTTGGAAGTCGTTTCCACTTAGGAGAGGAGGAACTGCAAGACTCAAGCATTTAGATTTAATTAGCAGATAAGCAATAGTTCACTGTCAGAGTTCAAAGTCTTCCTTCAATCTATCTCATGTGGTCATTTATTCATTTGACAAAAATTTATTAAATACGTACGGTGTGACAAGCACTGGGGTAACAAGGGCAAATAACACTTCCAGTTCCAAATCTCATAGAACTTTTAATGTGATGAAGAAGACAAACCATGAAACAATATATGATTATGAGCATGATATATATAGTAATGATCTATGACAAGCAGACAATTTGTAACACTACCCAAGAGTATAAGCCTTGAGTCTTTCTTCTCTGAGAATTAATAAACCAACCTGTGCTAGTGTTGCACAAAACAGTACAAAATTAAGAAGACATACATTGCAATTAGATCTAATTCCATCTACACCGTTTACTGTGACTTTGAGACAGTTAACTAACTGCTAAGGCCTCTGTTTCTCATGTAAAAAAAAAATGGGATAATCATACATCTCCTGAGATGCTGTAAAGATTAAATAAAATAATCCCTGTAAAGAATTTGCCACAGTGCTAGCCGCTATTATTATTACGGTGGTGGTGGTTTTGAGGGTTACTCTCACCGTCTGTTTTTGCATTTTATCGAACCATTGCCTTGGTAACATATTCACCAATGCATCTTTGCGTTTTCTCAGTGGTGCTCTAGAAATAATGTCCTCCTCCCAGAAGGTGTTCTAAGCATGAGAACTCTGGCATCTGTGGAAGGCAAGTGAGTCCCTCTCATCCCTGTGTGTGAGCAACTCCTTTTTTCCTCTACAATAAGGGCAGTTGTAGACCCATAGACAGTCAACACATCTATCACTGTGCATATTCTGGCAGAAGTGCAGAATAGTAATGAAATGGTTGGAGAGTGGGAACTAGGAAAAAGATAGAGACGGAGAAGGAGGAAAAAGGAGCTTGTATAATCTGCACACTGAATAATTAGACCCTGAGTAGGCTGTGTTATTAATAACTCTCTCAGAAGAATGACATTTTGTTGCTCTTTGGAATGAGCTCGAATTCTGTATCATATCCAACAAGGATGTTATATGGTATTCAGATAGGAAGGAAGCTGCTGGAATAGAGAACATAATTGCCAAATGGAACAATTCCATTTGTGGACAGATTCTGTTAGTGATTTCTTTCTATTTAACTATTTGAAATTAATTTAAGCATATCAGTATATGTGAATATCCCCTCTGTAAAAATTAGTACATTTTAGATAAAGCTAAGATCCAAGCTGGTCACTTCCTGATCCCCAGAGATACCCACTGTTATGAGTTTGGTGTAAATCCTTCCCTATCTTTCTTTTTTCTTAAATAGTTTTCTATACATATAGTGTACCCATAGGAAATATATCATATTATTTTAGGGACATGGGAAGGTTTTACATAAAATACTTCCTTTCTCTCAGTAACTTGCATGTTTTTGAGATATGTTTATATTGAACCACAGAGATCTAGCTTATTGCTTTTAGAATGCTATAGTATAATGTATGCCTTTAATCATTTGTGTTTTGATGGGCTTTAGGTTGTTTTCATTTTAAAATGTTAAACAATGCTACAATAAACATCCTTGTACATATCTCTTTATGATCCTGTACATGTATTTCTCCAACGTTAACATCTAGAAGGAGAAATGGTGTGTCGTAAGATATGCACACTTTAAATTTTGATAAGTATTTTGAAAGAGGTGTTCTCAATTTAAACTTTCAGCAACGAGGTATGAGAGGACCTGTTTCTCCACATTCTCCCCCAAACAGTGTATTATCAAGCTTCCATTTAGTTCTTGATTCTGCTATTTATAACAATAATGGTCCTGCCTTTGAAGGGTACATAATATCCTTGTCACATTTTATGAGCTCATTTTGATTTATTGGTTGATGACTTTGTGTCAGTACTGTCATTATGGATTACTGAGCAATTAACTATACACACACACACACACACACACACACACACACACTTAGCAACAATGATATTTAGGAGATTGTTATAAACAGAATTTAAACAGTGGATTGAGGCTAGAAAACTGAAAACAATTTCTTTAAGTCATCAAATCACATTGTTGGCATTTCTGCCATGTCTCCCTTAAGAGGGTTCCATCAGCCTGGGCAACATAGCAAAACCCCGTCTCTACAAAAAATACAAAAATCAGCTCGGCCTGGTGGTGCACGCCTGTAGTCCCAGCTACTTGGAAGGCTGAGGCAGGCAGATCACTTGAGCCTGGGAGGCAGAGGTTATAGTGAGCTGAGATTGTGCCACTGCACTCCAGTGTAGGTGACAGAGTGAGACCCTGTCTCAAAAAAAAAAAAAGTTTCGTGGAATAAGCACTTAAGCACTAGGTTAGAAGCTTGGGAATTAGTGTTTTATTCTCAGCTGCACCTATGATTTGAGCCCCTAGTCCGGGCCTTAGTTTCCTTAGCTGGCTTTTTATTTTATTTTATTTTATTTTATTTTTTTTGAGACAGGGTCTCACTCTGTTGCCCAGGTTGAAATGCAGTGGCGCAATCACAGCTCGCTGAAGCCTCAAACTTCTGGGCTCAGAAGATCCTGTAGCCTCAGCCTCCCGAGCAGCTGGGGCTACAGATGTGTGCCACCATGCCCAGCTAATTAAAAACACACCTTATTTTTTTTTTTGGTAGAAATAGGGTCTCACTATGTTATGTTTGTAGAGATAGGGTCTTTCTACCAAATCATACTGCATCATTATACCTCACCCATTGCCATACCATCCACACCATTCTCATGCAGAACCAGCTTTTCACCCAACAACCCATGTGATCATCTACATTGTATCACTTGACAGTCCCCTAAGCCTATACAGTTCTACCAATGGGTTACCAATACCTGGAACCCAATCATTGAAAAGCTTCACCTTTTTTGATTTTAAGGTGATGTTTAAAGATTCCCTAATGAAAATCTTTTTTTTTTTTTTTTGAGATGGGTCTCACACTGTTGCCCAGGCTGGAGTGCAGTGGTGGCATCTCAGCTCATTGCAACCTCTGCTTCTTGAGTTCAAGCAATTCTCCTGCCTCAGCCTCCTGAGTAGCTGAGATTACAGGTGCCTACCACCGCACCTGGCCAATTTTTGTATTTTTAGTAGAGGCCAGGTTTCACCATTGTTGGTCAGGCTGGTCTCGAACTCCTGATCTTAAGTGATCCATTTGCCTCTGCCTCCCAAAGTGTTGGGATTACACACATGAGCCACTGTGCCAGGCCATGAAAATCTGTCTAAGCAGAACACAAAAGCTAGGAACTACAAAGGAAAAGACTTGAAGCTTTAAATATATAAACATTTAAAATTTCAATATGGCAAAAAAGAACAATAAAAATTTTCAAAAACAAATAGGAGAAATACTTACAATTCAAAATGACAAAGGACTAATTTCCTTAATCTACAAAGCCCTTGTACAGATTAATGAGAAAAAAGCATAAAACCCAACGGAAAAAAATGAGTTAAGGATACAAGCAGGCATTTCATGGAAACAAACAAAAAAAAGACCATTATGTTTACACAAAGGTGAACACCCTCATTCTTAATTTAAAAAATGAAAACAGGCTGGGTGCAGTGGCTCACACCTGTAATCCCAGCAGTTTGAGAGGCTGAGGTAGGCGGTTCACTCGAGGTTAGGAGCTTGAGACCAGCCTGGCCAACATGGTGAACCCCCCGTCTCTACTAAAAATACAAAAATTAAAAATTAGCTGGGCATGGTAGTGGGCACCTGCAGTCCCAGCTACCCAGGAGGCTGAGGCAGGAGAATCGCTTGAACCCGGGAGGTGGAGGTTGCAGTGAGCCGAGATTGCGCCACTGAACTGCACTCCAGCCTGGGCAACAGAGCGAGACTCTGTCTCAAAAAAAAAAAAAAGAAAGAAAGAAAAAAGAAAAAGAAAAAAGAAAAGAAAAGAGAAAAGAAAAAAAAGAAAAGGAAAAGAAAATTTCAAAGGAGGCTGGCAAATTCTCAGAGTTTGGCGATACTCAGTGCTCATGAGGGTGAGGGGAAATAGGTACTCTCATACTTTGTGGTAGGAGCATAAATTGGGCAATTTGGCAATACCAAGACCTAGATTTCAACTACCACTTCATGTGTTACAGACATTACAGACCCACTAGCTGTTTCTTTTCCCCTCACTCACAAGTAACATTCAGCACCACCGAAACGGACACGGACTGATCCCTCCCCAGCCTGCAGGTAAAGCTGATTCCGTTGTCATTTTCACTGATGGAAGAGACACAGACAGAGCTGGAATTGATTTTGTTTCCAGATTTCAAATCCACTCTCCCCTCCTCTCGGTACCAGAGCAGTTCTTCCTCTCTGGTGTGGTTTTGAACAGCACATATCAGAGATGCTTGGGAGCCAGGTGTAGTATCCAGGATATAGTTCTCAGTTTTACCATTCACAGTTAAAACAGAACCTGGGAGTATAGGGAGAAACTATTTAGATATACAGAGTAAACAACCTTAATGCTCATGAACAGGGGATTGGTTAAATAAGTTATGTTACATCAGTAGAACAAAATAAACTCTCAACGATTAAAAATAGTCATATTGATCTATATGATTTTATAATGAAAAATATTCATAATGTATTGTTAACTGAAAAAGAAAAAGATTAAAATGTGGTCATCAAATTTTTGTGCACATTGGAATCACCAGGGGATCTTTTAAAAAGTACTGATGTAGCTGGGTGCTGTGCCTATAATCCCAGGGCTTTGGGAGGTAGAGGCGGGAGGATCGCTTGAGCTCAGGAGTTCAAGATCAGCCTGGGTAACATAGTGAGACTCCGTCTCTACAAAAAATAAAAAAATAAAAAAAAAAACATTAGCCAGGCATGGTGGTGTGCACCCATACTTTTAGCTACTTGGGAGGATAAGGTGGGAGACTCGCTTGAGCCCAGGAGGTGGAGGTTGCAGTGAGCCAAGATCGCACCATTGAACTCCAGTCTGGGTGATAGAGCAAGACCTTGCCCCCAAAAAAAAGTACTGATGCCTGATTCTCATCCCCAGACATCTGATTAGTTGACATGAGTGCAATCTGGGCATTGTGTTGTTTAAAGGCACCCCACCCCCCGACCCCCGGTGATTTGAGAAGCATCAGGTTAGAAATCAATACATACAGAATGATCATACACATATGTGTGTATGTGTGTATACATGGAAGTATTTTTTCATGGAAAAAAGACAGGAAAAAACCCATATATATTGAATACACACACACGCATGCATATATGTATATACATATACACATACCATATTTAATTTGTTTACTTGAAGGGATTGAAAGTGGGAAAGCAAGGGAATGAAATGGAAAAATATTTAAGGTATAAACTTTAGGCAAAAAGGCAGAATATAAATTAAAGCTCTAATAATTACTACAAATGTATCAAAATTGCACATGCAGATGAGTAAGAACTGATTTGAAAACATTTTCTGCTTAAATGATAGGATTATGGACAAATTGGGTCTTGCATCTATAATGTTTTAATATTGTTTTGGCAGTGAAGAAAAATAAAAAGATGTTTAAGTAGTTGAGGTTTGTGTGGTAGACCAGTCTTTGTGGGTTGGGTGATCAGGATACATACCAGGTTTTTTTTGTTTTGTTTTGTTTTTCAGCTCTGACTTTTAGAAACCTATTCATTGCATAGTAATACACCTGAATTTCGGTTTTTATTTTTCTGATTCAGAAGCAAGTAACAAAAGCTAAAAAAGAACTTTATCTGTCATAAACCTGTACCCCAGATAACATTTGTTAATATGTTCTGTAAACACATTAACCTTCCTTTTAAAACACTTAAGCTGGCCGGGCATGGTGGCTCATGCCTGTAATCCCACACTTTGGGAGGCTGAGGCGGACGGATCACCTGAGGTCAAAAGTTTGAGACCAGCCTGGCCAACATAGTGAAACCCTGTCTCTACTAAAAATACAAAAAAATTAGCCAGGCATGGTGGCGGGCTCCTGTAATCCCAGCTACTCGGGAGGCTGAGGCAGGAGAATCACTTGAACCTGGGAGATGAAGGTTGCAGTGAGCCAAGATCACACCACTGCACTCCAGCCTGGGCAACAAAGTGAGACTTCTTCTCAAAAAAGCAAAAAACTTAAGCTACTTGTAAAGATAATGGTATTGTTGTCTAGTATTTTATTAAAATATGGAATATTGAGTGGTTGTCATCTCTGGATGAAAGTATTTGGGGGGATTTGTACTTTTCTTTTTTTTTTTATAGATTGCCTGATTTATTTTACAATGACTATGCATTACTTTTAAAATCAGAAAAGAGTGGTAGGAGAGCAAATGCTGGAAAGATTTTCATGTGAAATGGTATGTTCAGATAAACAGATGATTATTTGGGGTAACATTAGTAATAAAATGCATTAAAATGTAGGAGGATTCTGGTGGTGGCTCTGGAGAGAATAGAATACTTCACCTTGTCTTGTAATAATAAAACCCTAAAAACAATATTTTTCCATTTGATTTTTTTTTTTTTTTTTTTGAGACGGAGTCTCGCCCTGTCGCCCAGGCTGGAGTACAGTGACGTAATCTCGGCTCACTCACTGCAAGCTCCACCTCCTGGGTTCACGCCATTCTCCTGCCTCAGCCACCCGAGTAGCTGGAACTACAGGCGCCTGCCAGCACACCAGGCTAATTTTTTGTATTTTTAGTAGAGATGGGGTTTCACCGTGTTAGCCAGGATGGTCTCGATCTCCTGACCTCATGATTCACCTGCCTCGGCCTCCCAAAGTGTTGGGATTACAGGCGTGAGCCACCCGCCTGGCCTCCATTTGATTTTTTATTGTTAGTTGACTCCTGTACTGTGAGCCATGCTAACTGTGTAGTCATTCCAATTTGGAATTTAAGGATATATCCAATGCCCATTGATCACTTTTCTTAATCGGAAATTTTTCTTTATCTAAAAAGAGGCCAAAAAGAACTTTAACTTACTTGTCATCTCACGTGGCAGAAATAAAATTACTAAGAGAAGAAATCTTCCCATTTGCATTATGACACTGCTCTTCCATGCCATCTTTAATGAGTTAAACTCAGATCTACTAAGGGAAAAATAGTGCAGTTGGTTTTGTACTTTGGTCTGCAATGAGTTCGTGAACCTTCCTTCTGTCTATTATGCATTTAAAGTGAAGTCCCAGATGAATCATCCCAGCTATAACGGTACTACTTCTAGCTTTTAATTAAACAACCCTGTCTGACTAAGTTCAAAGTACATTTAGTAGTAAGAAATTTTTTTTAAAAGCAACATAAAACCACAGGAAATAGGCTATGACAGATAGAGCAGCGTCAGGGTGCCCTGGGGAAGATGAAACCAGTCTTCCCTAGAGAAACTGATAGAATTTCATTTTAGCAGAATGAAACTTGTCTCATTCTCAGACAGTCCCTACTGAACAAAGTAATTCTTGTTCTGAAAGTTTTTCTTGGGTCATTTTTGTAAAGATGTTCTCTGATAATAGAGAGTTTTTGAGACTACTCCAAATCCCATAGATTCAAATGGTGTGTACGTAGAAAAGCCTCAATTGAAACATGGCCTCTAGTTTAAACCATGTTAATCTTGTCTTTCTCCCACTATTCTCTCTCTCTCTTCCCCTTGACCCAATGGACTAAAAATAATAAATAATAAAGGTGTCCTTTCTCCCTTCTTGCTTTTGCTTCAACTCTCCCTCTCCCTAAGATATTCTCCATTTCCATCTGGGAAAAAAACATATATTCATTACTTCCTTTCAAGAGTACTACTATAAATATAGCGAACCACATACGGAAAACTTTCTGCGCAACAGGGACTGTGCTAAACACTTTACATACATCATTTCAGTCACAATTAAGCCTCCTAACAACCCTCCTGAGGTCGTTTCTATAGATTTAAAGAGACTATGTAATTTGCCTGAGATCCCACAGACAGTAAATGTCAAGGTCGGGATTTGAACCCAGACTCCCAAGACCATGCTCTTAACCACCCTACTCTCAACCACCCTACTACCCAATCTACTGCCTAGATTAATATTCTTTTCCTTTAAGAAGCTGCTGTTAGGCTGGGTGCAGTGGCTCATGCCTGTAATCCCAGCACTTTAGGAGCTGAGGCAGGTGGATTACCTGAGGTCAGGAGTTTGAGACTAGCCTGACCAACATAGTGAAACCCCATCTCTACTAAAAATGCAAAAAAAAAAAAAAAAAATTAGCCAGGCATGGTGGCGAGCGCCTGTAATCCCAGCTACTCGGGAGGCTGAGGCAGGAGAATTGCTTGAACCTGGGAGGTGGAGGTTGCAGTGAGCCAAGATTATGCCACTGCACTCCAGCCTGGGCGACAGAGTGAGGCTCGGTCTCAAAAAATAAAAATAAAAAATAAAAAAATAAAAAAAAGCTGCTGTTAATCTTTTCCAGTCCCTGGCCACTGGGAGTTCTCTCCCCTTAACACCAGTATTAATTTACAAGAGCTGAAATATACCTATACCTACTCTACTCCTCCCCTGTCCCAGGCGTGCCCTGACAGGAGTAAGTTTCATTCATGCCAGGCTCACCCTTTCTGGCAGACAAGCCTGCATCAATCTTTTCGTAAGATGCAATTACTACTAATATTGATTCTTTTGTAATTTTAAATATTTGCCAAAAAGATTTCTATCACAGTGTTGTAACAGTGATTACTGCAGAATGTGGTCAATAGTAGAGTTTTCTCAAGCGCTCTGCACTACAAGTACTCAATAAAAACTGAGAGTGCAGGCTTCTTGCCAGACCTCACCCAGCCCTATTAAGGGGACAAATCTATGTCTTCTCTTTCCCTCCACTCCACCGAGACAGCAACTTTTCAAAATGTATTCCCCTCACTTGGCTTGTTTTTAATCTGTATGACTCTCTACTTTCTATATAAGACAGTCTTACCACTTACCTCTTGAGCTCTGAGAAGCTGACTTCCTTGGCCAACTGTTCCTCTGCCTGAAAACCCTAAATGCTTTCCCTGTTACAATCCTTTATAATACTTGAATTTGAACGCTTTATGACAGCAGGGTCAAATAAATAAGATAACTTGGGTTCAAAGTCTGTTTTTCTTTATGGAGTCTTAGAGAAGATAGTAATTGGGAAAGACATCTTCTTAAGATCTAAGTTTCTATGTCTACCTCGGTTACTAGGTGGGGCCGGATATTACTAACAGGGATGTGTTGTTCCAAGAAAGCTTGAACTTGTGCAAAAATCTGTAGCGCATCTCACTGAATATTGTCATATTTAAGTAAGATGGCTGCGTTTTGATCATCTAGCCTGGGGATTGTGAAGGGACGAGTCCAAAGAGAAGTTTGACTTTAACAGAGGTCAAAACATTGGAAGATTCTACACAACTTAAATAATGCTGGAAAAGTCTTAGTTACCACTAGTAACCCAAGCCCAGTGCATAAGCTGTACCAAGCCAGGCATGGCAGGGAGCCGTTTTTTTGTTGTTGTTGTTTGTTTTGTTTTTTGAGGCAGGGTTTCACTCTGTCACCCAGATTGGAATGCAATGGCACAATTGTGGCTGACTGAACCTCTGCTCCCAGCCTCCCAAGGAGCTAGGACTACTGGCGTGAGTCACCATGCCCAGCTAAACTTTGTTAATATATATATTTTTGGTAGAGATGAAATTTCGCCATGTTTCCTAGGCTGGTCTCTAACTCCCGGCCTTAAGCAATCTGCCCACCTTGGCCTAGGGAACAGTTTTATCCTCTTGAGGCTCTCACCTGATTGGGAGATCCTTGCATTACACTATGTTTATGGTATTGTTAACGATGCAAATTTTATCTGCCAAGTACTATTGTTCCCATTTACACAAAAATATAACAGAAGAATATTTATAGTTATCTACACATTTTAACACACTGCTGAAGCACACCAGCAATCTGCCTCTTACTAGCTATGTAACTTTGAAAAGTTATTTAACCTCCATGAGCCTCAGGATCTTCATCAATACAATGGAAATAGTAATAGTACCCTCCCTACGGAGTCACTGTGAGGATTAAATGAAATGAAGCATGTGAATCTGCCGCACAGTAAGCTCTTGGTAAACAGTAGCTCTTATTACTATTATTATTAATATAGGCTGAGCAGGGCATCCTAAATCAACACAACCTCACTATAGCATTGTTCAAGCAAAAATCAGAGCTAAGAGCAGCTCCTGTTGGCTGGGTTGCAAGCACCACCCAAACAGGTTTTGAGTTTGCCTCTCCAGGGATCCAAGATTGTCATTTTAAAATGAATTTAGCAATGGAGTGATGTTTTGGTTCTTGGTGCCTCCAAAATAGACCCTGAGACAGAGCTTTGAGTGCCAATAGTTTATTTAAAGGTGATCTCGGCCGGGCACGGTGAGTGGCTCACTCCCTTAATCCCAGCACTTTGGGAGGCCGAGGAGGGTGGATCATTTGAGGTCAGGAGTTCGAGACCAGCCTGGCCAATGTGATGAAACCCCGTCTCTACTAAAAATAGAAAAATTAGCCAGGCATGGTGGCGGGCGCCTGTAATCCCAGCTACTTGGGAGGCTGAGGTGGAAGAATCCCTTGAGGCTGGGAGGTGGAGGTTGTGTTGAGCCAAGATTGGACCACTGCATTCCAATCTGGGCGAGAGAGTGAGACCCTTCCTCAAAAAAAAAAAAAAAAAAAAGTGATCTCAGGAAGCATAGTAAGGAAGTAAGATAGGGAAGGGAGGAAACTAGTAAAGAATGTGTTAAAGATTACTACCGTGAGCAACTATATCCCTGGAGCTTTGGACAAGTTGTATTCTGTGCAGCATACCTCAGAATCAACTACTGATAGGGAAGGAAGCAACTTCTCTCCATCTCCGGCTGAGGGACACTCTCAAGGTGTTGACTCTCTGGCACTTTCAGCCTGCCCTGTGAGGGCAAAGTGTACTCTCTCAAGCTGGCCAACATGTCCAGGAAAAGATGCTCAGGAAGTCACTGGCTATATGGGAACTCTTTGCAGGTAACTTCTGGGTAGGCCAAGGATGTGTGAGTAGAGCACCACCAGCAACTTCTACAATTGGATATTAGGTGATATTAGGAAATAATGATTAATTATTATTAGTTGTGATCATGGTATTGCAGTTATGTAGAGAATGTTCTAATTCTCAAGGGATGCCTGCTGAAATATTTATGGGTCAAGTGTCATGATAATTGCAACTACCTTTCAAATGATTCAGCAAGAAAAGTAAACACATAAACACACAGCAAATATAGCAAATGTTAACATTTATTCAACTAAATAGGGGTCTATAGATCTTCATTGTACTATTGTTTCAACTTTTCTGTATGACATTTTTGTCATCAGAATGTTGGGGAAATGTATTCAGCAGATATTTATTGAGTATCTACCATGTGCTAAGTATTCTAAGTATTGAGGATGCCAGTTGCAGCCAAGCCAATATGGTGGCTTTGTCATGAATTAGGGAAAATATGGCTTCTCTAGTCACTCTACTGCCATCTGTGGAAAATTGTTATAATAACTCTACAAAGCTATGATGTCTATAAGATGAATGATGCTTCCAGCTTAATGCTTCCACCACTTAATGCTTCCATAACATTAAGTGGTGATACATAGATGAATAAAACAAGCTCTGCGCTTTTGAAGGTCTTACATCGTAGAGCAGAACGTTAATGATGATCAGGAGCCATGCAGAGTGGCCTCAGGTGCTGAGCAGGGACTTCAGATAAGAAAAATGGTATAATGGCGCCCCTGCTGGAGAGTCAAAGAATTTTGTCATATGACTCGTGCAAGGTCATATAAATCCCTGGAACAGTCCTCTTTCCTAGAACTGACAGAGGGGAGAAATCATTTTTCTGTAAGTAGTTAAGCCCAGTAGTTAACCATTAAGCCTAAGTAGTTTGGCTGTTTGGAGTATTTACAGAGTCCAATACTCCACAGCTTCCACAGTGGCTTAGACCAAGAGGGAAAGAGGAAAAAGCACCCTCGAGTCTGAACATTCCTGGGAATAAAGACCAATCTGGCAGGGTGCAGTGGCTCATGCCTCTAATCTCAACACTTTGAAAGCTGAGGCGGGTGGATTGCTTGAGCCCAGGAGTTCGAGATCAGCCTGGGCAGCATGACGAAACTTCATCTCTACAAAAAATACAAAAAAAAAATTACAAAAATTAGCCAGGCATAGTGGCATGTAGTCCCAGCTACTTGGGAGGCTGAGGTGGGAAGATGGATTGAGCCCAGGAGGTTAAGGCTGCAGTGAGCGTGATCGCACCACTGCAGTCCAGCCTGGGTGAAAGAGCAAGACCCTGTCTCAAAAAAATAAAAAATTAAAAAAAGACAATCTGCTTCCCATTCCTAAGGCCCAGGTACTTCTAGAAGGGTAACAGACAAGGGAGTCCATGACTTTCTGATTAAGGCAAGTATTAGAATCACCTGGGGGAGGTTCCAGTACCTTTCCTTCCTCAGTCCTGATAAGACTTAGAAATTTCATCTTTAACAAGCCTTCCAAGGGACTCTACACAATGGTTTGTGAATCTCCTTTTGAGAACCATGGAGTCAAATTCAAGGTGCAAATTGGGTGCTCTGCCCTGGAAGGGGATGCGTGCACAGGGCTGCCTTATGGGAGGCTGGCTGGGTGGGTACACAGGCCTCACAGTACTTTCTCTGGTATGGGAATGAAGAACAGGAGAGAGAAACAACCAACCAGAATGTGGGAAAGGCCTGCAGGGCAGGGCAGTGATCACTGAGCACTGCCATCCCACAGCCTTTGAGCTGTGACCAAACTTGGTATGACAGAGACAGCAACTCAGGAAATGGCTAGAGGGCCCCAGGGCCAGCAGGGTCATCTGGCCAGGTCACTGGGAATGCCACTGATAGTTTTAAAGTGACAGAAAAACTAGAAATTTGGCAGGCATAGCCTAGCAATGATAGAGTGGTTCTTTTTCTCTTTTTTTTTTTTTTGAGATGGAGTTTCGCTCTGTTGCCCAGGCTGAAGTGCAGTGGTGTGATCTCGGCTCACTGCAACCTCTGCCTCCTGGGTTCAAACCATTCTCTACCTCAGCCTCCCAAGTAGCTGGGATTACAGACGCCCACCACCACGCCTGGCTAATTTTTGTATTTTTAGTAGAGATGGGGTTTCACCACCTTGGCCAGGCTGGTCTTGAGCTCCTGACCTTGTGATCCACCCGCCTCCCAAAGTGCTGGGATTACAGGCATGAGCCACTGCGCCCGGCCAATAGAGTGGTTCTTTAGCAACACAGGGACCCAGTGTGTAGCTGCTGCTGCTGCTGCTGCTTCTTCTTGTCGTTGTCGTCTTCTTCTTCTTCTTCTTCTTCTTCTTCTTCTTCTTCTTCTTCTTCTTCTTCTTCTTCTTCTTTTCTTCTTCTCCTTCTCCTTCTCCTCCTTCTCCTTCTCCTTCTTCTTCTTCTTCTTCTTCCTCTTCTTCTTCTTCTTCCTCTTCTTCTTCTTCTTCCTCTTCTTTTTTTTTTGAGACAGAGTCTTACTCCATCACCCAGGCTGGAGTGCAATGGTGCAATCTCAGCCCACTGCAACATCTGCCTCCCGGGTTCAAGTGATTCTCCTTCCTCAGTCTCCTGAGTAACTGGGATTACAGGTGTGCACCACCATGCCCAGCTAATTTTTGTATTTTTGGTAGAGACAAGGTTTCTCCAGCCCAGGCTGGTCTTGAACTCCTGATCTCAAGTGATCCTCCCTCCTCAGCCTCCCAAATTACTAGGCTCACAAGTGTGAGCCACCGCACCTGGCCTGGTCGTAGCTTAAACGACAATCAGTGATTCTCCAACCTCTCATTCCCCTTTATTAGGATTCCTCCATCACCAGAAATCTTAAACCTTAAAGCAATACCTGAAGGGCTATCTGAATAGGGTTGCCAGATTTAACAAATAAAAATACGGGGCACTCAGGTGAATTTGAATTTCTAGTAAATAACTAACAAATATCTTTTTAGTGTAAGTATGTCCTAGGTAACTACTATGTGCTAATTCATCACAAGCAAATATTTTAAGACTCATTTGTTAAAACATCATTGTTTCTCTGGAATTCAAATTTAACAAGGCATCCTGTCTTTTATCTGGCAGTTCTCCATCTGTCTTCTCCCTTTTTTAGTACATGAAGAAATGAGGTTCAGGGAAGTAAAGGGACTTGTCCAAAGTAACACAGCTATTTAGTGGCAGAGCATGGATTGGAATTCTTTCAAGACGCTTGGCTGCCACATGGCATCTTTTTCCAAGTGTCTAACTTCAGAATTTTAAAATTTGGCTTCTTGAACTACTATGGATGAGCTTTAGAGTGTCAATGAAACCGCTGAAATTGTAGGCAAAACTGTATGTGTGTGTGTGTGTGTGTGTGTGTGTGTGTGCATATGTGTATTTTTCTGGGGAGATGGTCTCCCATCTTAGCCTGAGTGGACTAAGACATCATCCTATGCTCTGCAACCTACCTATATCAAAAACAAAAACTCCTCTGAGCTACCCTATATCCTCCTTTCTTCTTTGCCCTCCATGAATTTTTCATTTGAAGGGAGGAGTCGGAGAACTAAATTTATTTATTTATTTATGTATTTATTTTTGAGATGGAGTCTTGCTCTGTCACGCAGGCTGGGGTGCAGTGTGGTGCGATCTCGGCTCACTGCAACCTGTGCCTCCCAGGTTCAAGTGATTCTCCTGCCTCAGCCTCCCGAGTAGCTGGGATTACAGGTGCACGCCACCACGCCTGGATAACTTTTGTATTTTTAGTAGAGACGGGGTTTCGCCATGTTGGCCAGACTGGTCTCGAACTCCTGACTTCAGATGATCCACCCACCTCGGCCTCCCAAAGTGCTGGGATTACAGGCGTGAGTCACCACGCCCAGCCAGGAGAACCAACTTTAAACAGATACTTATTATACGCTTAGCCCTTTACACATGTTCTACCATTCAACCCTCACATCCACCTAGAAAGTGCCTATGATGATCCCCATTTTACAGGTGAGGAAACCAAGGTGTAGCCAGCTCTCAGGGTTAAGATGATAAAACTAATAAAAGAGTAACCCAAGTGAAAATGCTCCCACAACCAATGCCCTTTCCCCCAAAGCTTCCTGCCTCCAGACTGACAGCAAGCAAGAAACTATCTGTCGGTGTTTAATTCCTCCGCTTCCTCCACCTATTGGGACTGACCCAGAGTTGACAGCGGAAACACCTACACAATAATAGGTAGAAGGTAGCAGAGATGTGACTTTTGCAGTTGACCACTAGAGGTCCCTTTTCATACACAGTGATTTTGAAGTTAGCCTGCTAGGGGTTAGACAAGATATTTCCTTGGAGCAGGTCTCTGTCTGTTACAGACTTCACTGGTCTATCTCATACCAGGCAGTCCGGGAGTGGCCGTGTGACACAGCAGGAGCAATACAGAATAAAATGGCTCCCTCAGAAGAAGGCGGGTGATGTCCTCCAGGATCAGTCTTGAAGACAGGGTTTTCAAGTGGGAACACAGCAGGGTTCTAAAGCTTCCTCTTCATCTAAAAGGAAGAACACACAGGACATTCCACCACCCACCGTCATCAGGCAAACATCCAATTTCCTTTGGAGTGTAGTCTGGCTCCAGGGGCATATTTACTGGAAGCTAATGAAGCTTCGGCTTCAGGGACCCTCATTTGCATAGGCCTGTTCTAAAGGCCCTGACCTTAGTCACTTTATATTTGTAGTTTTGTATTTTTTTTTCCTTAAAGGAATTCCCCTCCACCACCACCACCACCATCAACTGTAAAAACATCAGGCCGCATAGGGCTTGGATCTAGTCCTCTCTGGCTCTAGTTTACAGGATTTCAGAGAAGAGAAAAGAGAATGGGGAGAGTTTCAAAGGGAAGCCCCCCTCGAAACTAATAAGAGGGGATTTCCTGTGGGATGAGAAAAAGCTCCGTACGTGGGCCAAAGAACAAGGTAGTCACTTGATCTCCAAAGAGCTGGAATTGTGGGGGCACCAGACGTGAAGGAGCCCCCTCTTCTTGCCTGCTGGGAGCTTTCCTGAGCCAGCAGGAATTTGCCAAATCTTTAGAAGCAGGGTGGTTCACTGACAGCTCTGTAGCATCCTGTTCACTGCTTTCTGAATAAACAAATGGTCTTGCCAACAATTGTGTAGATTTTGAGGGGGGAAACCACACTATAGTTCCCGAATTTTTTTTTTTTTTTTTTTTGAGACAGAGTCTGCTTTGAAGTGCAGTGGTGTGATCTTGGCTCACTGCAGCCTCCACCTCCCAGGTTCAAGGGATTCTTGTGCCTCAGCCTCCTGAGTAGCTGGGATTACAGGCACAAGTCACCATGCCCAGCTAATTTTTGTATTTTTAGTAGATATGGGGTTTCACCATATTGCCCAGGCTGTTCTCGAACTCCTGGCCTCAGGTGATCCACCCACCTTGGCCTCTCAAAGTGCAAGGATTACAGGTGTGAGCCACCACACCCGGCCTAGTTCCAGAATTTCTATGAGTTGTGATGAGCTACGAACTTTACAAAGGAGTAAATAACCAAGGTGGAAATAACAATTCTGTTTGGGAGATATGAATGGATTCTGGAATAAAAGCAAAAGCAATATCCACACCTTTAGAAGCAGATGCATGGAAGGAGCTGGGAGGTTTTCCATTTCTGAAAGAGGGCAGTGCTGGAAACTTGCAACCAGCAATCTTCTGGAACTGGCTTGCATCGACTGGTGGGAGCTGACTCTGTGTCTCTTCCCAGCTCTGCACTCAGTGACTTCAACTTGATAGCTTGAAATCAGCCACAGTGGGAGTATTTACACCACTGAAATTGGCAATTGGTAAAAATCAGGGCTCTCCGCACTGCTGGTTGTTAACCCTTTACTAGCACATCATTGCCTGAACCTCACCGCTAACATACACACACACACACATGCACACACACACACGCACACAGCACAGAACCTGCAAGCACTCCTCCTGCATATTTATGTGTATGCATAAACACAAAAAGAATCACATATGTACACTTTCCCTTTATAGCCAGCTTGGATCTCCCTGCTCTGTCGTGCTGACAGCTTTAGTGTTTTCCTACTATTTACATCCTGATCTCAGACAGTGATCTCTCTCTTTCTTGAATTCATAATTGTTCTTTCCCTTACATCATGAGACCCTCAGTGTTTCAGGGATGAAGTACCTAATTGTGAAACCTTCTGAGGCAATAAGAGTCAGGCCAGCAGATTACCCTATATATCCCCAAGTGAACAGCAAAGACAATAATACAACAATTGAATGGTCTCCTCCAAATGGAAACCATGTTAAGATGTGGCCAGTGTTCTCTCAAGAAGTTCAAAGGCCTCCCTGAGTTCTCACCAACCTACACCTGTTCCTCTGGCATATGGAGAAACTTGAGATGAGCATCTTTGTGTCAGATGGACAGAAACAGGTCCCAAAAAGTCATGTGACTTGCTGAGGCCAGACCCAACAATGGATGTCACTTCTCAGCCTGAAAACCTTGAGCTGCAAAATATGAAATGAGAAACGTCAGGGAGGGACTGACGTTTGTGTGTCTACTTCAGTCTTTAGTCTTTTTTTTTTTTTTTTTTTTTGAGATGGAGTCTCACTCTGTCACCTAGGCTGGAGTACAATGGCACGATCTCAGCTCACTGCAACCTCCACCTCCCAGGTTCAAGCAATTCTGATACCTCTGCCTCCCGAGTAACTGGGATTACAGGTGCACACCACCACGCCCGGCTAATTTTTGTATTTTTGGTAGAGATGGGATTTCACCATGTTGGCCAGGCTGGTCTCTAACTCCTGACCTCAAGCGATTCTCCTGCCTTGGCCTCCCAAAGTGCCTGGATTACAAGTGTGAGCCACTGCGCCCAGCCTATGAATAGTCTTTGAGCGAGAGATTATTATCCCCAATTTCCAGGGGAAAGAACTAAAGCCAAGGGAATTTCCATAATCTATTTAAGGATATACAGCTAGTAGGTAGTAGAATATCTTGTTAATAATTTAAATCAAATTAAAAAAATCAAATAGAATAACAGGGCTTGTTGGGAAAAACAATTCTTTGCCCTGTTTCTCTCTCCCTCTTCCTTCCCCTAAGTTTGCTCCCCAAGACAATTATTTTAAGACTTTTAACTAGTTCTTCTGTTAGTCACCTTAATACTGTTATATTTCACTAATCAGCTTATTACTAGAATAAGGAGTGCAGCAACTTTGTTTTGTTTATTTTATGGCTATATCCTCAATGTCTAGAACAGTGCTTGGCACATCATAAATATTTGTTTTTAAAGAAAACTCATCATTTCTTTTTTTCTTTTTTTGAGACAGAGTCTCGCTCTGTCACCCAGGCTGGAGTACAGTGGCGCAATCTTGACTCACTGCAATGTCTGCCTTCCAGGTTGAGTGTTTCTCATGCCTCAGCCTCCCAAGTACCTGGGATTACAGGTGCATGCCACCACACCCAACTACTTTTTTATATTTTTAGTAGAGATGTGGTTTTGCCATGTTGGCCAGGCTGGTCTCAAACTCCTGGCTCCAAGTGATCTGCCCACCTCAGCCTCCCAAAGTACTGGGATTACAGGCATGAGCCACCGTGCCCTGCCTGTATACCATCACTTATTGATTTATTAATTGACCTCCTGCTATGAAAGATGAGGATCTAGTACCCTAACATTTTCCTTTTACCTCCCCAACTGCTTTCCATTAAGGTTTTATCAGTATTTTAAATTCCTCAGCTACACCTTTGTAACTATAAGTAACACACATACACCTTTGTTTTCTGTTCCACAACTACAGATATCTTTGGACTTCAGTGTGCAAGTCTTGACTTCATTACAGGGATGTCTAACTTGAGGGTCCACGACCTTCCACTCCATACTGATCCTCCCACACTGACCATTTCTGGGCCAGTGGGTGCCCTTCTGCCTAATATTGGGAAATACGGATTTTGAACTAGAAGCATTCTTGGGCCTGCATCTACTAAAGGAAATTAGACTGAAGTTAATGGAGCGAGTCCTAGCTAGTGTGACAAATTAAAGCTAAATTTAGTTCAGAAGCGTTTGAAAAAATATCCACAGTCCAGATTTTTTGCTGACAATTTCTTGTTCTCTAAGGTGAATTCCTGCCCTTTCCACAAGGCAGGGAATATATTTTACAATAGGAATACTTTGGGTCTAAGAAATTGGTGGATACCCTTGGTTCTCCACTGCTATAATTGGCTCAAAATACCTTGGAAATGCCCCTATGGGTGCCCTGAGGCAAGTGATTTTCTTGGCATGCTATGAAAAGGAGAGTGGGAGCTGAGCACAGCCCTGGTGTAAGCCTGGGTATGGGTTTCACTAGATAAAGTCACTGACACCACGGAGCAGAGGCAGTGAAAGAAAACAGTCATGGCCTTTGTTTTCCCAGGGCCTCTGGCTGGCATTGCACACACAACGCAAACACTGTCCACGTTGGTGCTTTATACAGATTTTTTTTAAGGCCAGTCAAGTGAATCAATGGGAATAGGGAAGGAACAAAGAAATCTGTAACTGGTAGTGATCGATTCGTTGTAAACACCACTGCACTTGCACCAGCCTATATAGATTTTTTTATTTGTGTCCATTGCCTGCCTACTTTCAGAACTCGTTTGTCTTTTATCTGCACTTCCTCATCCCTGGCCACTCCTACTCCTTGTTTTTAAAGCTACCTGCTGGATCTGCAGATCTCAGTTAGACAGGGACTTAATGTACAGGTCTTGTAACTGTCAGGCCTTTGGACTTAGGCAGCACCCAGGGCAGATGGCAGGAGAACTTAGATCAGGGCCCCACAGCCTCTTGCTCGTCCTGTTACCTGAAGAGGAACCAGAGGACTAGCCCCTGCCCCACTCCAGGGCCAACCCTGTGGTTCAGCGGGAGCATACAGCTGTCTGCAAATTGCAACATACTCTGGACACAGTCCATCAACACATCCTGGTCCTTACCCATTATCAGTGGAAACCTGGCAATGTTTGCATAACTTTTGTCCTACACTTAGAGACAATACGTCCTCCACTAGAAGCAGCATCTAGGAGGAAGTAGTGGGGCAGCTCAGGACACAGCAAGACTAGATTTGAATTGCATAAGTTTAGGATTTGGACTTGAACAAAGCCACATCATTAGGTAGGATTACATTCAGTTAGGCATAGTAGAAAAATGTAGAAATGGCTTAAACAAAAATGAGAATGTATTTTCTCTCTTATACTTAAGAAGTCCAGAGATAGTCAGCCCAGGACTGGTATGGCAACATTTGTCCCTACCATGGAAGGAAGAACAAGCTTACAGCCATGCCAGCTGAAAAAGGCCGGGGGAAACCCACCAGCTCTGTAATAGACGTGTACCTGAGGACACCAGCCTTTTAAGTCACAATCCAGCTTACTTAGGCCCTGTACCCATCTCTTTTATTTATTTTTTTTAATTTTTAACTTTTTAAAGACAGGATCTCACTCTGTCACCCAGGATGGAGTACAGTGTGTGATCATAGCTAATTGCAGCCTTCAATTCCTAGCTGTGAGTCATCCTCCTGCCTCAGCCTCCCAAAGTGCCGGGATTACAGGCATGAGCCATGGAGCCCAGCCCTTGCACTTATCACCTAACCCCTAACATGGCTGGTCAAGTTCTGCCTACTGGATCACTGAACACTGAGGATGCAGGCCATGCTGGACGGAGGGGCCTTTGAAAGCTTCGCTGACTAAGACCTGTTGTATCTTAGCTCACCTGGTTCACAGAAGTATATGGATACTGTGTGAGGCAGACTCTGAGAGAGCCCCAATGATCCTTGCTTCCTAATATTCATGCCCTAGAGGTAAACTCCTCCCCTTATATGTGGGCTGGACCTAGTGACTCATTTCTGACAAATAGAATGGGGCAGAAGTGATGGGCTATCAGTTCTGATATGAGGTTACAAGGCTGTGTTTTCTCTTGCTCTCTGGCACACTTGCTCTGGGAGAAGTCAGCTGCCATGTTGTGAGGCTAACTTGGCAAGGAACGGACTTCTCCAGACAACATTGAGGAAAGACAGCAGATGGCCACCTGAGTGAGCTGGAAATGGATCTTCCTCCTATCAAGCCTGAAATGATGCAGCTTCAGCTGATGGCTTGATCACAACCTCATGAGGAATCCTGAGCCAGAGTCACCCGACTAATAACTGGCACCCAGATTCCAAACCCACAAAAACCATGAGATGATAAAAGTTTGCTTTAAGCGGCTAAGTTTTGGGATACTCTGTTATGCAGCAATACGTAACTAATACAGGTTTATATCTTCTTTAAAAAACTCTGCTAGTTTATTCTCATTCTTGACTTTTAAAATTCATTGCTCAATCAGTCCTGAAGTAATAGGTTCAGGTCATGCAGGAATGTGACTACAGAGCTGAGATAACTCATGTGAAAGTAGAGAAACATGTTTACAAGCATCATGAGCGTCTACAAAGAAATACTATAAATCACTTCCTTTATTGAAAAAATTTGTGAGAGTGTCCTGGTAACATGCTTCCAAGGGGAAAAGCAAAATTTTGTGCTCACTGCCTGTTTCCTCTCACAACATGCTGAAAAGTCATTTAATGGTTGTGTACTGATCATATTTGCAAACTTCAACCCTGGTTCAAGGTCAAGGTGCTTGCTCTCTGTGAATGAAGCAGTGTGTGATTGGCATTCAGGAGCAAACTTTTATTCCTAACTAGGAATGTTAGGGTTACTAACACCCTTCTTTGCTAGACACATGGCCAGGGTTCCATCAGTACTGACTCCAACATACATTTTAATTGTTACAGATGAAAAATCTCTTCTACCATAGCATGAGTCTGCAGTGATAAATAGAGTGAAGCATTATTGCGTACTTTTCTCTCATATATGTGGGACACATATCGCAAAGGCTGACTTATGCTCAGCATATCAGCTGTTTCCTTCCCATGTGAAGGGAAATATCTTCTAGGATAGTAATTGCTCCTTGTGATATTATGAAATATATCGTCATCCCCTTTCCTGGCATACATCTCCTACAATCCTTGGACTCTCCAAAGTGATGTGTCTTCTTGTATGCTAATGAGATAACTGGTGGCTGGCAGCCCCTTGGTAGCTTCAGGTTGGGGGCTGACCACCAGAAAGACCAAGGCAGCATTAGAGAGGGTTGGGACTTTTCAGTCCCACCTCCCAACCTGCAGGGAGGAGACGGGGTTGAAGGTTAAGTTGATTACCAATGGCCAATGATCTCATCAATCATGCCTACCTAATGAAGCTTCCATAAAAACCCCAAAGGACAGGGTTTGGAGGGCTTCTGCATAGCCGAACACATGCAGTTTCCTAGAAGATGGTGCCCAGAGAGGGCATGGAAGCTCTGTACCCACTCCCCCAAACCTTACCCTATGCATCTTTTCATCTGGTGTTCATTAGTACCCTTGGTAATATCCTTTATATCAACCAGTAAACATAAATATTTCCCTGAGTTCTGTGAGCCACTCTAACACGGTATTCTAACCCCAGGAGAGGATGGTGGAAATCCTAATTTATAGGCAGTTTGTCAGAAGCACATATAAAACAATGTGAGGCTTGCAATTGGCATCTGAAATGGGGGACTGGCTTAGGGACTGAGCCCTCAATCTATGAGATCTGATGCTATCTCTCCAGGTTTGAATTGAATTAGAGGACACCCAGCTGGTGTCTGCTGCAGAATTGATTGCCTGCTTATTAGTGGGGAAGCCCTTCCCACATTTGGTCAGAGACGTCTTCTGTGTTGACTACTAAGTGAGAGTACAGGCGAAACGGAGTTTGGTTTTATCCTGTATGTTCTTAGACTCTTTCACATTGTATGTTGTTGAATTTTTGCAACAGCTTAGACTGTCACCAGATAAAGGACGTCTGTTTGCTTTCTCTTCAAGCATAAAATGTGTCATTAGCTTTGTAAATAGATTAATACTTTTTTAGCACTAGAGTGATTTATAGCTTTTGTTGCTAAAGAAATATAGATATCAATGATGTGGCTATACTTTTGGTCTTGTCTTTGCCTTTAGATATAAAATTTTCACCTTGAAAAGTATTATTTTGTTCTTATTCTAGGAAAAAAGTATCATTGCTTTTCGGAGAGGTCCCCGTATTTTGTTTGAAAATGACACTAAAAAAGGATGGGTGGCTTATGAACAAGTTCATTATAAACAATACACTGGGCTGGGCCCGGTGGCTCAGGCCTGTAATCCCAGCACTTTGAGAGGCCGTGGCGGGCAGATCATGAGGTCAGGAGATCAAGACCATCCTGGCTAACAAGGTGAAACCCCGTCTCTACTAAAAATACAAAAAAAAAAAAAAAATTAGCCGGCTGTGGTGGCGGGTGCCTGTATTCCCAGCTACTCAGGAGGCTGAGGCAGGAGAATGGCGTGAACCCAGGAGGCAGAGCTTGCAGTGAGCCGAGATTGCCCCACTGCACTCCAGCCTGGGCGACAGAGTAAGACTCCATCTCAAAAAAAAAAAAAAAAAATACTGAGCAGCCGGGCGTGGTGGCTCTGTAATCCCAGCACTCTGGGAGGCTGAGGTGGGTGGATCACGAGGTCAGGAGTTCAAGACCAGCCTGGCCAACGTGGTGAAATCCCATCTCTGCTAAAAATACAAAAATAGCCAGGCATGGTGTGGGGAGCCCGTAATCCCAGCTACTCTGGAGGCTGAGGCAGAGAATTGCTTGAACCTGGGAGGCGGAGGTTGCAATGAGCCCAGATCACACCATTGCACTCCAGCCTGGGCAACAGACCGAGACTCCATCTCAAAAAACAGAAAAGAAAAGAAAAGAAAAAAAAGACACTAAAAAAGGATGGGTGGCTTATGAACAAGTTCATAATAAACAATACACTGAGCGGCCGGGCGCAGTGGCTCACACCTGTAATCCCAGCACTTTTGGAGGCGAGGCAGGCAGATCACTTGAGGCCAGGAGTTCAAGACCAGCCTGGCTAACAGAGTGAAACCCTGTCTCTACCACAAATGAAAAAATTAGCCACATGTGGTGGCACACACCTGTAATCCCAGCCACTCAGGAGGCTGAGGCAGGAGAATCCTTTCCACTTGGGAGGCAGAGGTTGCAATGAGCTGAAATTGTGCCACTGCACTTCAGCCTAAGTGACAGAATGAATGATACTTCGTCTCAAACAAACAAACAAACAAACAATACACTGAGAAGTAGAGATGAATACATTGCTAGCCCAGTGTATCAGTCAGGGTTCCAGAGAAACAGAACCAACAAGATCTCTCTCTCTCCCTGTCTCTGTCTCTATCTATGAATGAAGAGACTTATTATAGGAATTGGCTGATGTGATGATGGAGGCCAAAAAGTCCCATGATCTGTCATTTGGAGATCCAAGTTGGAGAACCAAGAAAGCTGGTAGTGTAATTCAGCCTGAGTCCAAAGTCCTAAAAATCAGGGAGCTGATGGTATAAAGTCCTGGTCCAAGTCCAAAGACCTGAGAACCATGAGTGCTGATATCCACAGAGAGGTGAGATGTACTTCCCAGCTCAAACAGAGAATTTGTCCTCCCTCCACCTTTTTGTTCTATTCCGGCTCTCAATGAGTTAGATGATACCCATGGAATTAGTGAGGACAGATCTTTACTCAGTCTACTGATTCAAATGCTAATCTCTTCCAGAAACACCTCACCGACACACCCAGAAATCATGTTTTACCAGCTATCTGGGCATTTGTTAGCCCAGTCAAGTTGACATGTAAAATTAACCATCACACACGGTAAAATCCAATTTTTGGACACTCATCAGCCCTTTTACTACTATACTGTTATTTTTGAACTATTTATGTAAAAGAATCATATTTTCAGAGGCTTATCCTATCACATACAGGGTCACACTACAGTTTAAGTAGAGTCCTGTTTGTTCACTATTTGCCTTTTTTTTTTTTTTTTTTTGGAGACAGAGTCTCACTCTGTAGCCCAGGCTGGAGTGCAATGGCGTGATCTCAGCTCACTGCAACCTCCACCTCCCAGGTTCAAGTGATTCTCATGCCTCAGCCCCCTGAGTGGCTGGGATTACAGAGCCATCAAACCCGGCTAATTTGTGTATTTTTAGTAGAGGCGGGGTTTCACCATGTTGGCCAGGCTGGTCTTCCTGGCCTCAAGTGATCCACCCGCCTCCACCTCCCAAAGTGCTGGGATTACAGGCATGAGCCACTGTGCCCGGCCAACTTTTGTTTTTTTGAGACAGGGTCTCACTCCATTGCCCAGGCTACAGTGCAGTGGCTTGATCATAGCTCAGTGCAGCCTGGAACTCTTGGGCTCAAGGGATTCTCCTGCCTCAGCCTCCTGAGGAGGTAGGACAACAGGCATGCAACACCATGCCCAGCTTTTTTTTTTTTAAGAGATGGAGTCTTGCTGTGTTTCCCAGGCTGGTCTCAGACTCCTGGCCTCAAGTGATCCTCCTGCCATGGCCTCCCAAACTGTTGGCATTACAGGTGTTAGCCACTGCATCTGGTCACTATTTAACTTTATAATGCTGTTATGATTTGTGGTATTTATATTCCTATGTTCATGATTTTTAAAAAAACTTCAACGGATTTAATATACATAAAATGCACCCTTCTAAAGAATACAATTCTGTGGTTTCTAATATATTCACAGAATTGTGCAAGCATCCTGACTAGTGTTAGAACATTTTCATCCCCACAGAAAGAAACTCTGCATCCCTAAGCATTGACTCCCTATTTCTCCCTCTGCCTTACAGTCCCTGGCAATTACTAATCTACTTTCTGTTTCTATGGATTTGCTTATTCTGGACATTTCATTTAAATGTAGTCACACAATATGTGGTCTTTTCTATCTGACCTCTTTTTTTTTTTTTTTTTTTTTTTTTTTGAGACTGAGTCTCACTCTGTCGCCCAGGCTGGAGTGCAGTGGCGTGATCTGGGCTCACTGTAAGCTCCGCCTCCCGGGTTCACACTATTCTCCTGCCTCAGCCGCCCGAGTAGCTGGGACTATAGGCGCCTGCCACCACGCCCGGCTAATTTTTTTTTATTTTTAGTAGAGACAGGGTTTCACCATGTTGGCCAGGCTGGTCTTGAACTCCTGACCTCGTGATCCACCCGCCTCGGCCTCCCAAAGTGCTGGGATTACAGGCGTGAGCCACCATGCCTGGCCGTTTTTTTCTGGAGATGGAGTCTTGCTCTGTCGCCCAGGCTTGAGTGTAGTGGCGTGATCTTGGCTCACTGCAACCTCTGCCTCCTGAGTTCAAGCGATTCTCCTGCCTCAACCTCCTGAGTAGCTGGGACTACAGGTGTGCATCACCATGCCTGGCTAATTTTTGTATTTTTAGTAGACACGGGGTTTCACCATATTGGCCAAGCTGGTCTCAAACTCCTGACCTTGTGATCTGCCCGCCTCAGCCTCCCAAAGTGCAGGGATTACAGGCTAGAGCCACTGCTCCCGGCCTCTATCTGACCTCTTTAAGTTAGCATGATGATTTCAAAATTCATCCATATTGCAGTATGTGACTTCCTTCCTTTTTACGGCCTAGTATTGTTCAGTGTAGGGATATAACACATTTTTGTTAATTTGTGCATCCTGGATGTTTGTATTGCTTCCAGTTTTGGCTATTTTGAATAATGCTACTATGAACATTCATGTACAAGTTTTTTTGTGGACATGTGTTTTCATTTCTCTTGGCTATATATCTATGAGTGCAATTGCTGGGTCATATAGTAACTCTATGTTTAACATTTTGAAGAACACCTAACTTGTTTTCCATAGTGACTGTACCATTAACAATTCCACCAGCAATGTACAAGGGTTACAATTTGTCCACATTTTCATCAACACTTGTTATTGTCTCTTTTCTATTTTAGCCATCCTTGTAAGTATAAAGTGTCATCTCACTGTGAGGGTTTTTTTTTTTTTTTTTTTTTGGTACAGCTTTATTGAGATATAATTTACCTACATACTGAGATATAATTTACCCATTTAAAGTATACAATTAAATGGTTTTTACTACATTCACAGTTGTGCAACATCATTGCAATCAATTTTAGAACATTTTCATCATCCACAAGAGAAACGTCATACCCTTTAGCAATCTCGTTGAGGTTTTCATTTACATTTCCCTAATATGTAATAACATTGAACATCTTTTCATGTGCTGCTTGGCCACTTGTATACCTTCTTTGGAAAAATGTCCATTCAAATCTTTTGACCATTTTAAGTTTTTTTTTTAATTGTTGAGTTGTAAGACTCTTTATATATTTTAAATACAAATCCCTTAATAGATATATGATTTGCAAATGTTTTCTCTCATTTTGTGGGTTGTCTTTTCTTTTCACTTTCATGATAGTGTCCTTTGAAACAGGTCATGCTCTGTCACCCAGGCTGGAGTGTAGTGGTGTGATTATGACTCACTGCAGCCGTGACCTCCTGGGTTCAAATGACCCTCCCACCTCAGACAGCACCACCCAGCCCCCAACCCCCAGTAGCTGAGATCACAGACATGCACCACCATACCCAGCTAACTGTTAATTTGTTTTGGTTGAGATGGGGGTCCCCATATGTTGCTCAGGCTGTTCTGGAACTCTTGGGCTCAAGGAATCCTCTAGCCTGGCCCTCCCAAAGTGCTGGGATTACAGGCATGAACTACCTACCATGCCCAGCCTGATAGAGGCTTCACAGCACAATTTTTTTTTTTTTTTTTTTTTTTGAGACAGAGTCCTGCTCAGTCACTCAGGCTGAAGTGCAGTGGCACAATCTTGGCTCACTGCAACCTCCACCTCCCGGGCTCAAACCATTCTCCTGCCTCAGCCTCCCGAATAGCTGGGATTACAGGTGCCCACCACCATGCCCGGCTAATTTTTGTGTGTGTGTGTGTTTTTTTTTTTTTTTTTTTAGTAGAGACGTGGTTTCACCATGTTGGCCAGGCTGGTCTTGAACTCCTGACCTTAGGCAATCCGCCCATCTCAGCCTCCCAAAGTGCTGAGATTACAGGCGTGAGCCACCACGTCTGGCCTGTAGCACAATTTTTAATTGTAAAAAAGCTTAACAGTTATTTTTCCTTTTGTCATGTATACTTCTGGTGTCATATCTAAAATACCATTGCCTAATCCAAGGTTATATTTTCTTCTAAGAATTTTATAGTTTTAACTCTTATATTTAGGACCAGATTTATTTATTTATTTTATTTTATTTTATTTATTTATTTTTTGCGACGAAGTCTCACTCCTGTGGCCCAGGCTGGAGTGCAATGGTGTGATCTCAGCTCACTGCAACCTCTGCCTCCTGGGTTCAAGTGATTCTCCTGCCTCATCCTCCTGAGTAGCTGGGATTACAGGCTCCTGCCATCATGCCCAGCTAATTTTTGTATTTTTAGTAGAGACGGGGTTTCACTATGTTGGCCAGGCTGGTCGCGAACTCCTGGCTTCCGGTGATCCACCTGCCTGGGCCCACTAAAGTGCTGGGATTACAGGTGTGAGCCACCATGCTTGACCCAGAATTTATTTTAAGTTAATTTTTGCCTGTGGTGTGAGATAGGAGTCCATATCCATTTTTTTGCTTGTGGATATCCAGTTGACCCAGCACCATTTGTTAAAAAGGCTATTCTTTCCCCCATTGAATGGTCTTGGCACCCTTGCTGAAAATCAATTGACCAAAAATAGTAGGGTTTATTTCTGAATGTTCAATTCCATTCCATTGATCTATATGTCTATCCCTATGCTATTAGCACCCTCTTGATTACTGTAACTTTATACTAGGTTTTGAAATCAGGAAACATGAATCCTTCAACTTTGTTCTTCTTTTTCAAGGTTGTTTTTGGCTTTTCTGAGTCTCTTGCATTTCCATATGGATATTAGGATTAGTATATCAACTTCCACAAGAAAAGATGCTAGTATTTTGATAGGAATTGCATTAAATATATAGATTAGTTTGAAGTATTGGCATCTTACAATATCAAGTCTTCTGATCCATGAACATGGGATGTCTAGGTTTTCTTTAATTTCTTTCAATAGTGTTTTGTAGTTTTCAGTGTACAAGTCTTGCACTTCTTTGGTTAAACTGATTCCTAAGTAGTTTATTTATTCTTTTTGATGCCATTATAAATGAAATTGTTTTCTTAATTTCATCTTTGGATTGTTGTTTGCTAGTGTATATAAATAAAATTAATTTTTGCATGTTGCTTTTGTATCTGGCAACCTTACTGAACTTGTTTATTAGTTTTAATAGGTTTATAATGGATTCCTTAAGGTTTTCTATACGTAAAAGTAAATCATGTCATCTACAAATAGAGATAGTCTTATTTCTCTCTTTCCTATCTGGATGTCTTTTTTTTTTTTCTTATCTAATTGACCTGACTGGAATATCCAGCACAATGTTTAATAGAAAGTGAACATTCTGGCCAGGCACGGTGGCTCACACCTGTAACCCCAGCACTTTGGGAGGCTAAGGCAGGTGGATCACAAGGTCAGGAGATCGAGACCATCCTGGGCAACATGGTAAAACCCTGTCTCTACTAAAAATACAAAAATTAGCCGAGCATGGTGGCGTGCGCCTATAGTCCCAGCTACTCAGGAGGCTGAGGCAGGAGAATCGCTTGAACCTGGGAGGTGGTGGTTGCAGTGAGCTGAGATTGCACCACTGCACTCCAGCCTGGGTGACAGAGCAAGACTCCATCTCAAATAAACAAACAAACCAAAGGAAAAAAAAAAGGAAAGTGAACATTCTTGGTTTGTTCCTGATTTTAAGGGAGCTTTCAATCTTTCACTATTAAGCATTATATTAACTGTGGGTTATATGAATATTTTAATGAACTACTTTTGAGCTACTAGTCCTTTTTTTAAAAATTGGAAATATGATGCACTGTGATAGTAATATTGAAAATGAAAATTTAATCATGGTCCAGTCAGAGGTTTTAGTTGGAAGTAACAGAAACTAACTCTAGCTTATTTAAGCATGAAGGAAGTTTACTGATGACATATTGTAGAGGAGGAGAAAGAAACAGGTTCAGTGAAGGATTGGAACAAGAAGGTCCCAGTAGCAACTAAGACCACAGGCTAAACATTGCCATAAACCCATCCAGGAAGACCATTACTGATGAACCACTAAATGCCACAGCTTGGAATGGGGGCCTCAAAACACTGAATACTGCCCCATTGCAGAAACTCAAGTTGCCCCTAGAAACAGATGTTTCTGCCACCACTGCCACCACTAGGCATCATAACCAATTCCTGATTCTTTGTGTCTCTTGCTCTCAATTGGAGTTGGAGGAAGAAGACTGCAGATGTATTTTCACCCTTGTCTTTCTTACCCTTTGATCTTCTCGTGATGAGGAGGTATAGAGATCCATCATTAAGAGCCCACCTTTGTAATAAGCCTAGGGCAGTTCAAGTATGCAGCAGTGTAGTTGGAAGGAGGTCTTGTGCTGAAGTTGTGTTTATGAGTTACAACACTGCTTTTCCTTAAATTGCATATTTATTTAGGGTGGCTATACTAGTATGTTTTCATGCTGCTGATAAAGACATACTCGATACTGGGAAGAAAAAGAGATTTAATTGGACTTACAGTTCCACATAGCTGGGGAGGCTGCAGAATTATGATGGGAGGCAAAAGGCACTTCTTACATGGTGGCAGCAAGAGAAAATGAGAAGGAAGCAAAAGCAGAAACCCCTGATAAACCCATCAGATCTTGTGAGACTTATTCACTATTTCAAGAACATCACGGGAAAGACTGGCCCCCATGATTCAATTACCTCCCACTGGGCCCCTCCCCCAACACATGTGAATTCTGGGAGATACAATTCAAATTGAGATTTGGGTGGGGGGCACAGCCAAACCATATCAGTGGCTTTGGACAAACTAATGGAAATCCTATAGAGGCTGATGACTGTAGCACCTTTCCACACCAAACATAATTCAGATCCTAGCGGAACCACTTGATTTGATTATGTGAGCTTAGGAAAATTAGTTAGATTTTCTGAGCTTCAGTTTCTTTTTCTTTTTCTTTCTTTCTTTTTTCTTTTTCTTTTCTTTTTTTTTCTTTTTCTTTTTCTTTCTTTTTTTTTTTTAGATAGAGTCTTGCTGTGTCACCCAGATTGGAGTGCAGTGGCGTGATCTCGGCTCACTGCAACCTCTACCTCCCGGGCTGAAGTGATTCTCCTGCCTCAGCCTCCCGAGTAGCTGGGATTACAGGCACCTGCCACCAGGCCCAGCTAATTTTTGTATTTTTAGTAGAGACAAGGTTTCACCATGTTGGCCAGGCTGGTCTCGCACTCCTGACCTCAAGTGATCCACCTGCCTCTGCCTCCCAAAGTGCCGGGATTACAGGCATGAGCCCATGCCTGGCTTCAGTTTCTTTGTCTAGAAAATGGTGACACACTTTCACAGGGTCATTGTGAGAGTGAAAGGGACAATGAACATAAGGCAAATAGGACAGTGTTTGGGACATAATAAGCATTAATAATTAGTGGCTAGTGTTCATATTCTCTGTCAGTCTACTTCTTGGCTACCAGGTCCTTTTCCTTGGAATCAGTCCCAGTGTCTCTTTTTCACTCTAACTTTTGAACCACCTACAGCTCCCAGTCATCTTTCATATGTCAGCTCCCAACCAGTGCCAGTGTTTTTTACCTTGAGTATCTGATCCACCCCAAAACGGCACTGCATCATATTGAACTTGGCCATGCTTTTGGCCAAAAGCTAGAAATACTGTTGGCTGAGAGGCTTAGAAATGCCTCTCCAGCCCTACCATAATCAGCCGTGGCAAGCTGACATGAGGCAGGCCAGAGCAGCCAGGTGTCACAGGCTCTAAAGTTAGGCTGCCTAGAGTCAAACCCACTCATCTCCGCCACTTATCGTTAGTGACTTTGGTGAAGTTATGTAACCTCTGTGTCTCAGTTTCATCTTCTGTAAAATGGGGATATTAATAGTATTATTTTGTAGAGTTATGAGGATTCAATAAATTGATATACGTAAAGCATTCAGAACAACGGTAGGCAAGTAAGCTCTCTAGTCTTTGCTATTATTATTATTATTATTATTATTATTATTATTATTATTCAGTCTGGTACTCAAACCCAAGCACTGGAGAATGAGGGTACAAGGCAGGAAACCCATAACTGGGAATTAAGATGCTAAGATCAAACTGCACACAGCAGAAAGATTGACTGGCTCAGGTTCAACAGTGAGCTGCCAATGTTGGTCCCTCAAAGTTCAGAAGTGGGGCCAGTCTCCAAGCCTGAAGTGTAGCTGTTACAAAGGGCTCACCTGTGCCCCTGAGAAGGCAGCAGGGGGATGGGGGCAACCATGTTATTGAGAAAAAGAGAGCATGGGCTTTATCAATGGATAAATGGCCAATGGATAGATAACGATGGTTTGCTGGCAAAAGAGTAAAAGGATCAGAGCGATGCTTTGTAACAGTGGTCTCCAAAGTGAGGTTTGTGCTAATTCCTGGAATTCATTAGGAGCTGGCTGCCCTGAGCCGCAGAAAAAATATTAGTATTTATATTTATTTTTCTTTAAAAGAATTAAACTTTACTGATGCCCTATATATCAACTGATGCTGGAAGCCACATTTGTCTGAACATGAGTCAAGTGTCATAAATCATAAGAGAGATCTCCCAAGAGGAATTTGTGTGCTGTAGGGTGTCATTAGGCTATTTTTATAAATAAAATAAACAAAAAACACAAGACCTTTAAACTTTAGATAGTAGAATCTTGGGTGGCAGGTTATCTCACTTGGTTAGAGCCCAGTGTTAATAAATCACAGAGTCCTTATAATACTGTAAAGTGAGTTGAAGAGTGACCATCAAAATCAATTGTATCAAATAGGATTATGGGCCATTGAGGGGTAAAGGACTTAAAAGAATTGTCAATTTAAAAAGATGAACTGTGAACTGCACAATTTTTCTCTTACAAAAAGACTAGTGTTCAAAAATTTCTGACCTTTTCTGTGATGACAAATGAATTTAAAAACTGGGCTACCAGGAGAAATTACAATAATCAATCAACTAATTAATAATAAAACAATTACAATAATAAGCACATTTAATTAATATCTTTAAGAAAAAAAATGGTGTTTAACAGTGAATGAAAAGTCACTGTTTTGGGGGGCCAAGGCAGGAGGATCGTTTGAGTCCAGGAGTTTCAGACCAGCCCCGGCAACATAGTAAGACCTCATCTCTACAAAAAAATTAAAGATTAGCTGGGCCTGGTGGTATGTGCCTGTAGTCCCAGCTACTTAGGAAGCTGAGGCAGGAGGATCACTTGAGCCCAGGAGTTTGAGGTTACAGTTTGAGTGCAGCAGCCGAGCTATGATCACACACAGCTCCAGGTATGATTGGGCTACTGCACTCCAGCCTGGGTGACAGAGAGAGTTTGTCTCAAAAAGCAAAGAAAAAGAATAGAAAAGTAACTGCTCTTGCAAAGAAACTCTTTTTTTAATTAAGAAAGCATTTTGAAAATGGATGTCTGGAAGTCAAATTGTCTGTGTTTGCAGACGACATGATTGTATATTTAGAAAACCCTGTTGTCTCAGCTCAAAATCTCCTTAAGCTGATAAGCAACTTCAGCAAAAATCACAAGCATTCCTATACACCAATAAGAGACAAACAGAGAGCTAAATCATGAGTGAGCTCCCATTCACAATTGCGACATTGTTTTTTTATTCCTGAAAATGATATAACTTTATCATTACCTATGAAACATTTATACCTGCATGCTTTACAAAAAACTTGGAAAGAGTCTTTTAATCTATTAATATTCCAGACATAGATTTACAATACTTTTCAATAGCTTGCAAAAATAACTCTTGGACATCAGTAGATTTATTGGCTGAATTTCAATTAAACTTTGTATAGCTGCTGGATAGAAATGAATATTAGGATTTAGCAATGTGTTTGTGGTGCATTTGGCATTGTGTAAATTTGAGACTATATTTCTCAGCTATGATGGCAATTAAAACACGTTTTCAAAATAAAGTTAGAAACACACTTGTGAATCATTTCATCACAAATTGTTAAGCCAATTTTTTTTAAAACAGTGGAATTTACTCAATTATAGTGAGAACAAAAATGTTTTTGTACCTCAAATATATAATATAAAAATTTAAATTAAAAATATTCATTTCTTCTTTATCTCCTTTTAATTTCTATACTTGTGTACATTTATAATATATATATGTTATAGGTGGACATCATTTAGAAATAATATATAATATACATTTATATTAATATATACAATATATTAATATGTAATACACATGTATATATGTAATATATAATACACATGTATATGTGTAATATATAATACACATGTATATAATACACATGTATATGTGTAATATATAATACACATGTATATGTGTAATATATAATACACATGTATATGTGTAATATATAATACACATGTATATGTGTAATATATAATACACATGTATATGTGTAATATATAATACACATGTATATGTGTAATATATAATACACATGTATATGTGTAATATATAATACACATGTATATGTGTAATATATAATACACATGTATATGTGTAATATATAATACACATGTATATGTGTAATATATAATACACATGTATATGTGTAATATATAATACACATGTATATGTGTAATATATAATACACATGTATATGTGTAATATATACATAGTCATAGGTGGACATCGTTTAGAAATAAATAAATTGGGCTGGGCGCGGTGGCTCATGCCTGTGATCCCAGCACTTTGGGAGGCCAAGGTAGGCAGATCGCTTGTGCCTAAGAGTTTGAGACCAGCCTGGGAAACATGTCGAGACCCCATCTCTAAAAAAAATACAAAAATTAGCTGAGTGTGGTGGCACATGCCTGTAGTCTCAGCTACATAGGAGGCTAAGGCCGGAGGATAACCTGAGCATGGGGAGGTCAAGGCTTCAGTGAGCCATGATCGTGGTACTACACTCCAGCCTGGGTGACAGAGTAAGACTCGATCTCAAAAATACAATACAATACAATACAATAAATTAAAATGAATATACTAGAGATTCATGCTCAAGCATTTGTATTGATACGGAGTGTTTTCAAAAGGGTTTGGAACCACTGCTGTAGGAAGACAGGTCTGAGCCTATGTATGAGATAAAAGAACAGAAACGACAAAAAGATGAGAGGACAGAAGGCTAGTCAGTTACTTCTGCAATACGATATTCCAGGCCGGTGTTAATAAGAGGCTGAATTAAGGTGGTGACATTTTCAATGGAAAGGAACAGACTTAATGGAATGAGATAATGAGAAGACGGAAGTAATAAATGTTGACAACCAATGACACATAGAAAGCAGGGGAGAAGGAAGTGTCAGTAACTGAATTGAGAGAAAGACAAAGTTATTGAGGAATAAAACAATGAATTTTGTTTTAAATATGTTGAACTTTAGTGCCTTGGGAACATTAAGTGAAAGGACCTATGGACCAGTTGAAAAAAAGAAACTGGTGCTGGCTTCAGCAGCACATACACTAAAATTGGAATGATGCAGAAATTATCATGGCCCCTGTACAAGGATGACATGCAAATTCGTGAAGGCTTCTGTGTTTCTTTTTTTTTTTAAAGAAAAAACTGGATGACAACGGCTAACAATTACTTTTTAGAGAAGTTCATGTGTTTTGCAATCTAACGTACATTACTGTAAAGATAACATGACTTCGTGGAAACCAACAGCCTTGACTTCTTAAAATATGAACACCTTTTGGAGGCATCCACAACTTGTTTTTCCCCCCAGGACTTCCCACTGTAGCAGAAGACAAAAAAGAGAGAGAATACAGTGGATTAATATGTGGCCATTGCTTTGGGAAACTCAGGTTCCGAACCCACTCTACCATTTTGTAGTAATGAAACTCTGGAGATTTATTTAACACTTCTAAGGTTTAGTCCCCTTATTGTTAAATAATGGCATAATAATACTTATTTTATATACTTATTGTGAGAATTAAATGAGCAAATATATGCAAAGTGCTTATGTCCTTGCCTTGTATAGTTAAGCATTAAATAAAAAATAGTTCTAATTATTATCTATTCACTATAGCTCTTGGAAAATAAATTGACTACTATATTGTCTCTGATCTTAGCCTACTATATCATATTCTACATATTCACATGTGTGTGCTCATACATACACCAAAAAATAAAGATCATTCGCAAAGTTTTTAGTATTTGAAACCTAGACTGAGAAAGAATGTTAAAATTCTCATATTTGGATCAAACCTATAATAATATGATCCTTACATCTACATAGAATTTTTCAGTCACAGAAATTATATACATTCATAAAGCACAACAGAAATCCACCATATCTATACTTGGTGTCCTTTAGGCAGAGAGCAGAGCAAAGTGGAGAATAAAAATATTCAAAGAAAAAAGGTATACTTTCCTGAAATGAAGAACAGAAGCTACAAATTTAAAAGATACAGGCCGGGTGTGGTGGCTCACACCTGTAATCCCAGCACTTTGGAGGGCCGAGGCGGGCGGATCACGAGGTCAGGAGATCGAGACCATCCTGGTTAACACAGTGAAACCCTGTCTCTACTAAATATACAAAAAAAATTAGCCAGGCATGGTGGTGGGCACCTGTAGTCCCAGCTACTAGGGAGGCTGAGGCAGGAGAATGGCATGAACCCAGGAGGTGGAGCTTGCGGTGAGCCGAGATCGCACCACTGCACTCCAGCCTGGGCAACAGAGCGAGACTCTGTCTCAAAAAAAAAAAAAAAAAAGATACACTGTGTAGTAGAAAAAATTAGCATAGCGGAATAGAACTGTGACACAGCTACATGAAGTGACTAAACTTCATGAACTAAGTGCATAATCTTATTGGTATCTAGGTAGAAAACACAAGCCACTTGTAATAGGAAGATGTAAAGCTGAGCTCAAACTCATTCACAATAATCATCCATGCCAAAAGATTATAGAACAATGTTTACAGAGTTCTAAGGAGAAACCAGTGTGACCCAAGAATTTTATACCCAGCTAAATTTCCACTTGTGTATAAGGCCATCAAAAACTAGTCTCAAATGACAAAGGCTTACTTCAGGTAAAACACATATAAACACTGGTTGAAAAAGCTACCTGATGATAAAGTCTAGCCAATTAAGACATTTCTAGGCTTGGCACAGTGGCTCGAGCCTGTAATCCTAGCACTTTGGGAGGCCGAGCTGGGCAGATCACCTGAGGCCAGGAGTTCGTGACCAGCCTGGCCAACATAGGTGAAACCCTGTCTCTATTAAAATACAAAAATTAGCTGGGTGCAGTGGCATGTGCCTGTAATCCCAACTACTTGGGAGGTTGAGGCAGGAGAATTGCTTGAGCCCAGGAGGTGGAGGTTGCAGTGAGCCAAGATCGCACCACTGCACTCCAGCCTGGGCAACAGAGCAAGACTCTGTCTCAAAAAAAAAAAAAGAAAAAAAAAAAGACTTTTCCGAATGAAAAACTAGAAAATGGGAACTATTTAATAAGGCTAATCATGAAGTCTGAATCTATATAAATCTAGAAATAAGGTAAAACAACTATAGATATTACAAAATAGGACCTACATATGTGAATAAGGAAGCAGAGCTGCCGAGCGAAGAGGTGGACATCTGGGTGGTGGTGTGACCCAGTACAGGGTGTCAGAGCCTAAGAGGGCATCATCCACTCAGGGGTGCAGCCCAGCATAGGGTGCCAGAATCTAAGCAGGGTACCTATGTTGGAGGGCTGCTTGAGTGCAAGGAGTGCCTGCATAGGGTGAGACAGGTGTCCATGTAGGGTAGTAGTGGTGGCTCAGTGCAGAGTGTCAGAGTCTGAGCCAAATGAGGAAGGTATCCATGCATGAGGGCGACCTGTTGATGCTATCAGAGCTCAAGCAAGATAAGAAGGGCATCCACATGGGAGCATAGGCTGGCGCAGAGTAAAACCTTGAGCAGCACATAGAGGGACTACCGATGCAGGGTAAAAAGGTTTTTCGTACTTATTTGCCATTTTTTTCTGAAAGTATGTGATTTTTCTTAAAAAGTGCCCTAACATAGATTTCCCCGATATTACAGATAATTACCTGTGGGGAAATGACATAGAAAATATATTTAAAGTATTATTTGATGTATATGTATACAGATACTAGGAGTATCACATTAATCACATGACACTGATTCCTTTCAACTATCTTGCTTTTCTAATACATAAATAATTTTGCATGTGTCATTAAGAAACTTTCTCATGCTGATTTATTAAAGCATTTTAATGCTACTTAAAGAATATGAAGTGTGGCCGGGCGTGGTGGTTCACGCCTGTAATCCCAGCACTTTGGCAGGCCAAGGCAGGTGGATCACAAGGTCAAGAGATCAAGTCCATCCTGACCAACATGGTGAAACCCCGTCTATGCTAAAAATACAAAAATTAGCTGGGCGTGGTGGTGCATGCCTGTAGCCCAGCTACTTGGGAGGCTGAGGCAGGAGAATCACTTGAACCCGGGAGGTTGAGGTTGCAGTGAGCTGAGATCGTGCCACTGCACTCCAGCCTGGAGACAGAGCGAGACTCCATCTAAAAAAAAAAAAAGAATATGAAAGTGTGATGCTGAGTGCGGTGGTTCACACCTGTAATCCCAGCACTTTGAGAGGTGAAGGTAAGAGGATCACTTGAGCCAAGGAGTTTGAGGCTGCAGTGAGCTATAATCACAGCACTACACTCCAGCCTGGATGACAGAGCAATACCTTGTCTCTTTCTCTTAATTTAGAAAAAAAAAAAAAAAAAGGAAGTGGGCAGACTGCAAGTAAACCCTGAGAACTCCTAGATCACCTCAGTTTGCAGCACCCATTCACCTCTTTCCTCACCACTGCCTAAGAAGGCACATGAAGCTTAGTCACTGTGCAGACTCTCAAAACTTTCTGGAACTTCATGCAAAGGTTAAGCCTTGGAACCAACTCTGAATTTCCTTGTGGTTTCAAACTTGTCACATTTTCTTCTCACCTTGTCACCACCCACACAGACTCAGCCTCCTGGATGCATCACGCTTGGGTTGCTTCACTTCCTGGCTCCTGGTAAGCCACAATTGCAAGAGCTATTGCTGGTAAAACTGGTGACCCATTACAGGCACACAAATAAGAACATAGGTGCAGGGGAGCCACAAGTGCACTATCTGAATGTGTCAGGGTGAGAACATTATGTTTCCTCAGCTCTCACTCATCCTCTGGTGGAGAGGACTCTTTGGTCTTCAGTCTTCCAATAACTGTCTATAGAATATTTTTGCATGCTATTCATCTATACCTGAATGCAAGCATGCTTTCAGTACAGAAGAAATGTCATATAGGTCAGAATAATGTTTCAATGGGCTCAGGGTTTTTGTCCCCGGTTGTCCTATCAACCCATTTTGTACTATCTACTGGTAGTGGTTCCAAATTCTGATCTCCGAACTGGTGATGATATGGAAATAATTTTTTCATTATTATTAATCTGTCATGAAATTTTAGAAATAAGAATAATGTGGGAGAACAGGTCTAAATTTCATTTGGTAAAAAAGGAACTCTTTTTTCTTTTTTTTTGAGACAGGGTCTCACTCTGTTGCCCAGACTGGAGTGCAGTGACACAATCATGGCTCACTGCAGCCTCAACTTCCTGGGCTCAGGTGATCCTCCCACTCCAGTCTCTCAGGTGGCTAGGACTGTAGGCATGGGCCACCATGCCTGGCTAATTTTATTTTATTTTATTTTATTTTATTTTATTTAGTATTTTTTTGTAGAGATGGTGTTTTGCCATGTTGCCCAGGCTGGTCTCAAGTTCCTGGGCTCAAGCAATCTGCCCACTTCCCTTGGCCTTGCAAAGTGTTTCTTTTCCTTTTTTTTTTTTTTTTTTTTTTTTTGAGATGGAGTCTTGCACTGTTGCCCAGGCTGGAGTGCAGTGGCGTGATCTCAGCTCACTGCAACCTCCACCTCCCGGGTTCAAGCGATTCTCCTATCTCAGCCTCCCAAGTAGCTGAGATTACAGGTGCCTGCCACCACACCCAGCTAATTTTTTGTATTTTTAGTAGAGACGGGGTTTCACTATGTTGGTCAGGCTGGTCTTGAACTCCTGACCTTGTGATTCGCCCACCTCAGCCTCCCAAAGTGCTGGGATAACAGGTGTGAGCCACTGTGCCCGTCCCAAGAACTCTTCTTTATCCTGAGACTATGTCCTTGTATTTTTAGTTTCAAATATAGCTCTCCTTTCGGGGCCAGGTGTAGTGGCTCACGCCTGTAATCCTGTAATCACGCCTCTAATCCTAGCACTTTAGGAGGCCGAGGCAGGCGGATAACTTTTGTCCACCAATCTCAGCCTCCCAAAGTGCTAGGATTACAGGCGTGAACCACCGCGCCTGACTATTCTTCACATCTTGAAGCACAGCTACCACAGCTGACATAATAGTCCAACAATTTTGTCAGCAAATAGGCCAATCCTTTTTCAAGAATATCAATTCCTCCCCCTTTTGCCACCCAACAGCCTTCCATTCATTAACAACCACACTGGCTACCAGAAATTGGGAAAGAGAAGAGCAGCCACAGTAGCCAGAAAGTTAAGAATTGTCCTCTCCTGAGTCCTCACCTCTTCAAAGGCAGAGGAATGTTTATAGCTGGGTCATCCCTGAAGGCACTAGCAAAGCAGGAATACCAGGATGAGAGTGACAGTGAGAGAAACACTCATCTTTAATTAACGAAATCTGAATTTTGTAATCCCCAAATCTAGAAAGAAGCTATTTTAATGTTAGCATACATGTAAGGTTTATGTCCTCTTGAAAAATCAAATTTAATTTTGAGTTTTCTTTTGGGACAAGGAGACCCTCATCTTTTTAGTGCTTAAGGTCTCTAAGGCTCTCTCTCTCTCTCTCTCTCCCTTTTTCTTTTTTTAATTGAGACACAGTCTTGGTCTGTCACCCAGGCTGGAGTGCACTGGCATGATCTCAGTTCACTGCAACCTCTGCCTCCCGGGCTCAAGTGATTGTCCTGCCTCAGCCACCTGAGTAGCTGGGACTACAGGCGTGTGTCACCATGCCCGGCTAATTTTTGTATTTTTAGTAGAGACAGGGTTTCTCCTGTTGGCCAGGTTGGTCTCGAACTCCTGGCCTCAAGTTACCTGCCCGCCTCAGCCTCCCAAAGTGCTGGGATTACAGGTGTGAGCCACCGCACTCAGCAAGGCTCTTCTTTATCTGGCCTTAATTGTGTTTTCTTCACTTCTGCATGCCTGCAGCCTTGTACTGGCATAAAGACCATGCTTAATCAAGGTCTGTTGAATTAACCAATAAATGAACAAAAGACCTTGGAGAGTAGAATCAAGTGCTGGGAAAGGGACAAAGATAGGGAATGGGGAGCAGGGTGGCATTGGAAAGCACCATAAAAGAACTTGCCTGGAACATCTGCTTCAGATTTGCTGTAATTTCTACCAGTTTTGTCTTATCTTTGGTTACACTAGTTCACCCTCTTTTGTGTGGCTTCATTGTTCTTTCCTTTACTTGAGTGTTTCCCTTGAGCTAGTAATTTTTTCTTATGAAGGTCTTTTGCAGACCTACTCTCCTCTTCTATGTCCCTCCCACTTAGGATTTCCCAGGGAGCTTTGGTTCGTATGTGGGCTTGCAGTATTTGGGTAGCTGCTTTCTCCAGCACTATAATTTCCCTTGTACCATTTTTTTCACCCGGGCCTATAACAGAGAGATGGCTGCAGACTGTTCCCATGAATAGCATCAATCTCTTCACCTTCTGGAGCTTCAGCTTGTACTCTTAAGATGGAATCCAGCTGGCTGGGTGTAAATGTGCTTTGTTTGTGCCAATTCAGTCTCGGCAAGTGTTTTCATCAAAATTAGAGGCTGAAATTGCTGGCTGCCAGGGCATTCCTGGTAACTGAACATTTTTCTGGTTGAAGATGGGAGTCATGCCCTAGGCCCTTTATGCAAGAGTGCACCATCCCAATTTCTTGCTGTTTTTACTGGAGGATGTCTTCAGATCTGGCACACCATACTACATCTGAGCAAGACAGTATTTGGTCCCATTCAAATTTGTTGCTAGAATCTAGGGCCAGCCTTTGTCTAACCTGTAAAATAGGTATAAGGTAGAACCCTGGTGAAACTAAGCTATATTGCCCTGTCTCAGCCCAGATTCACATCCAAAAGAAATCAAAGACCAACTCCTATAAAAGCCTTGAAAAGTAAAGTATGTAAATCTTCACCATTCATTATTCACCTGAAGTGATCTTGAGGGCATCTAGGAGAAAGTTGCTGAGCTCATTATAGAGTACACCGTCACTCTACTAAAGTCGCACACTTCTCAAGAGCTGCTTCCACCCTCATATAAGCTCATTATTACCCTCTTCCCTCTCAGGGGATGCCAATATTTTTTTTATTTGAGGCAAAATTCACATAACATAAAATTAATCATTTTAAAGTGCACAATTGGCTGGGCATGGTGGCTTATGCCTATAATCCCCGCACTTTGGGAGGCTGAGGTGGGCCGATGTCTTGAGCCTAGGAGTTTGAGACCAGCCACGGGCAACATGGCGAAAACCCATCTCCACAAAAAATACAAAAATTAGCCAGGCATATGGTGTGTGCCTGTAGTCCCAGCTACTTGGGAGGCTGAGGTGGGAGGATTTCTTGAGCCGGGGAGGTCAAGGATGCAGTGGCATTTAGTATATTCACAAGGTTGTACAACTATTGGTTCTATCTAGTTCCCTAATATTGTCATTACCCAAAAGGAAACCCTGTACCCATTAAGCAGCCATTCCCCCATTCCCCCCTGCACCAGTATATTTTGTTTTTTTAATATATTTTTAAAAAAACAACAAAACAGAGACAGGGTCTCAGTATGTTGCCCAGGCTGGTCTTGAACTCCTGAGCTCAAAAAATCCTTTCACCTCAGCCTTCCAAGGTGCTGGGATTACAGGCGTGAGTCACCTCTCCTGGCCCTCTTCCAGTAATTTTAAAGGTCCCCTAGGCTATTCAAAAGGGTAGCCAGGGCCAGGCACGATGGCTCATGCCTGTAATCACAGTACTTTGGGAGGCCAAGACGGGCAGATCCCCTGAGGTCAGGAGTTCGAGACCAGCCTGATCAACATGGTGAAACACCATTTCTACTAAAAATACAAAAATTAGCTGGGGGTGTACTCCTGTAATCCCAGCTACTCAGGAGGCTGAGGCAGGAGAATCACTTGAACCTGGGAGGTGGAGGTTGCAGTGAGCCAAGATCATGCCACTGCACTCCAGCCTGCACGATGGAGCGAGACTTCATCTCAAAACAAAAAACAAAACAAGAAAAACAAAAGGGCAGCCAGGGCTGAGAACCGTTAGCGTCATGCGATCTCATTTCCCCTATGCTCTCCCTACTTAGAATGCCACTGTTTATCCAGGTGGCCAAGCAGCTAAATCAAAGATTCTCTTTAGAAATGTGGGGGCAAGTTCTGTTTTTTTGCCCCAGTCACACAGGTACCATTGGCTTTGGCAACCCAACTCCTCCTCTTTCAGTATTTTTCTCCATCATCTGCACTTCATTCTCACTGGCCTTTGCTCTCCAAGAAGCCTGTTAAACAAATCCTCTCTAAGGTAAGAATTCCCACTGTTTCTCCCCATTCCTTAAGGGTCAGCTGATCTCAAGATTCCTTGATGTTTGCCTTTTAATTGACGGAAAAGCCTTTCAGACTCAGAGAACCCCTCTCTAATGGTGCATTTTAGGCACTAAACAGATGGGGAGAGGAAGGAAATGTTTTAGGAATGAAGGAAACTTTTCCAGTTACTCTTCACCTAAGAATGACACATATACTGAACAAAGGATGGGGTTTGCAGTTGGAAGATAGCGTGGTCTTGGGCACCAGTAACCTAATGTCTCAGAGCCTGTATCCTTACCTGTAAAATTATGATAATATTGACCCGGAAGAGTTATATTTCCATAAGTTGCAGCCATAGGTACTGAGTCTGGTTGAAAATGAATTTAATAAAAGGATATTGGTTGGTTCACAGAATTGCTAGGTGAGTTGGCAAAATCAGGGGTTATAAACAGAAAGGAAGAATGCCGCAAAGCAAGCAGCAGAACTTAGGAGACCGCTCTACTGTCACCAAGTACCAGCTGCTGCAGCTCATCCTGCCAGCACCACTGGCGCTGGGGGCTGGGTGTTCTGTTTGCTCTGTTGCCCCAGAAGCTATACATTGCTGCCATTTCCCCCACCACAGCTAGAAAGAATTATCCACAGCCTCTGCTTCTTTGTTTCACTAGCTCCCAATTCAAAGTCTGTCACAGGTTTGTTTGCTTGGTTAAAGCTAGACTATGTGTCTCATGTCCTGTGAGAACAAGCACCTGGCATTTTCAGCCTGCAGAGTGGGAGAAGGCCCTGCCTTCCACCACGACTCCTAAGGTGGGGAGGGTTCGCCGGATGAAGGGAGGGAGTTCAGACACCGGGCATCCAAAAATAAAGACAAAGGTTCCTTTTCCAATTGTGGGGGTTAGTGAGACAAAGTGTATGAAAAGCATAAACGCTGAAGTGCCATGTTGGTATTGCTTAGCAACACTTTGTTCACACTGTCACGTATTGCACTGCATTTCCTTTTTTTCCTCCCTCTCTTCTTCTTTCTGTCTCATACGCAGTTATGTGCCCTCCAGCCCAGGACAGGGCACGCTCATAAATGCCGAATGAATACAATATTCTGCTGCCTTTGCTTGTTTGATGAAGCAGGTTGGTGTTTATTGGTTTGTCCCCGTTGCCAAAGGCCCTGATTTTCATTTGGGGATCCATGTAGTTCATGGGAATCAGATTCCATTCCCAGCACCAGCAATAGGGTTTATATACTAAACTAAGTCGATCAGCATATTCCATATCCCTGGCCATAGCAATTGGTTCAGGAGCAGGCAGGTGACCTAAGGAGTTCCAATCTGAGTTACGCTTGGCAATTTTGCAAGGACAAGAACATCCTCTGTTTTCTTGCTGAACTATGAATGAGAATGCATGTAGCATTGGGAGTTTCTGGCAGCCCTCTTGGAATCACCAGGGGAGTCAGACTTAGAATGAAGTGAACATTGTAGAAGGCAGGGCCACAGGACAAAAAGAAACCAGGTGTTTTGTGCCCATTTAGCCAAAATGGACACAGGAAAAAGCTATGCCCAAATCCAGACTTCTCCTTTGGACTTCTCAGTTATATGAGCCAATAAATTCCATTTATTATTTAAGCTAGAATGAGTCAGGTTTTCTGATTCATACAACTGAAAGTATCTGATACCTGCTTTGCTCCTTCCCTGCCTCATGATAATAGAATTACTGTTTATTCAGTGCTGGCTAATAGAGAGTCTTTTGGAAATACAGATCAAAATTACTATCATGTTCTCACAATTGGGAAACAGCATAATCTATGCCCTAGAAACAGAACTAACTAAAATTTAAAATAGAATAGCCCTACCTAACCTCAGCCAAATTTTAAAAGAAATTTCAGTAAACATCTTTTATTATTCTTTGGCCTAGAAAGATGAAAACATCAAGGAAGTAAGAGAAAACTCTCTTAAACAAACAAAATTAAACAAAACAAGAACACTACACCAGGCCAAGCACAGTGGCTCATGCCTGTAATCCCAGCACTTAGGGAGGTAGAGACAGGAGGACTGTGTGAGCCCAGGAGTTTGAGAACAGTTGGGGCAACAAAGTGAGACCCAGTCTCCACAAAAAATTAAAAAAATTAGCCAGGCATGGTGGTGCACGCCTGTGGTCCCAGCTACAAGGGAGGCGAGGCAGGAGGATTGCTTGAGCTCAGGAGGTTGAAGTTACAGTGAGTCGTGTTCATGCCACTGCACTCCAGCCTGGCTGATAAGAGTGAGACTTTGTCTGATTGTCTGATTAAAAAAAAAAAGTCCACCCCCTACCCTAAATAACACCTCCCCACACCTAAACACCTAAACCAAAACAAACAACAAAACATAATGCAAAGAAAGCAAAATGTATTCTATCTAACCTATAGGGGGAAGTACTATGGAGTGATATCCTACCTGGCTGTCCTAAGGCAGGTTCCTAAAAGCATAGCCTGAGACAGGGATGCTTACGTAAGTGATTTATTGAAGAGTGCCCTTGGGAGAAACCTGAAAGGGATTAAGGGAAGCAGATCAGAAGAAGATGCTGAGCAAGAACGAAAAAAAGAACTCTTACCTCAGCCTGATTCTGCAGAAAGCTCTGCCTGGAGCATAAATTGCTCCAAAGTTTGTCTCATCCAGAGGCAAGGGGGCCTGTATACCAGTAGGATGACCCTGGAAGAGGTGGGGTGGAGGCAGTGTGTGTAATTTCTTAGGCATTTCTGGGCAAAGTAGCTCCTGTCAGCCAAGGTAAATCTTCCCACAAAGATGCAGATGTAAGTAAGCATCAGCTAGGAGATGGGTGCACGAGCCTGGTAGAGAGAATCCGGGCAGACAACCAACAGCACTTGTAAGAACTGATATGGCCAAAGGTTCTCTTGAAAATTCCCTCAATTTGCCCATTTTGAGACTTTATTTAAAAAAAATTTCAGAAAATCATTCATTATTATTATTATTATTTTGCTGCTTGTAACACATTAGCAAATTTATGAAAATTCTAATTGCATGCCATTTCATGTTTCCATCATCCTTGTCTTCTAGGGACAGCTTCTTGTCAGTGCCTCTAATTCTCCTTTAAGTTTATGTGTCTCTGGCTGGGTGGTGGCTCACACCTGTAATCCCAGCACTTTGGGAGGCCAAAGCAGGCGATCACTCAAGGCCAGGAGCTCGAGACCAGCCTGGCCAACATGGCGAAACCATGTCTGTACCAGAAAAATACAAAAAGTAGCCAGATGTGGTGGCGTGTGCCTATAACCCCAGCTACTTGTGAGGCTGAGGTGGGAAAATTGCTTGAACCCAGGAGGTGGAGGTTGCAGTAAGCCAAGACTGCGCCACTGCACTCCAGCCTGGGTGACACAGCAAAACTCCATCTCGGAAAAAACAAAAACAACAACAAAAAAAAAAACAGTTAATATGTCTCTATGGCCCTCAGTTAATTCTTCAATTTCTTCCTCCGCAGGTACTAACCACATTACTGTTCACCTGCATATTGCATTTTATTTTTGTTAATGGTCAGTAAACCTTTAAAGTTACTTACACATCCTTTCTGCAGTTTTAAACCAACATGTACATCTGGTTTTGGCTTTGTTTTTTTGTTTTTGTTTTTGAGACAGAGTTTTGCTCGTCACCCAGGTTGGAGTGCAACGGTGCGATCTCAGCTCACTGCAACCTCTGCCTCTTGGGTTCAAGCGATTCTCCTGCCTCAGCCTCCCGAGTAACTGGGATTACAAGCCCCAGCCAACATGCCCGACTAATTTTTTTGTATTTTTAGTAGAGACGGGGTTTCATCATGTTGGCCAGGCTGGTCTTGAACACCTGACCTCACGTGATCCACCTGCCTTGGCCTCACAAAATGCTGGCATTACAGGCATGAGCCACTGTGCCAGGCCCTACATCTGTTTTAAGTTTAGTTGTTACTTTCATTCTCTCACTTTTTCTCACTGTTAGTTAGATGTGCGCACAATGTACATATACCCTAGAGTGAGTTAAGTGCACTGAACCCCAGCATGTGATGGCAGGAACTCTGGACAGGTTTTGCACACAGCTTAAGTTCCCAGCTGTTCCATGTCCTGCTATTTGACTTGCTTGAGCTGGTGGAGCTTAAAACAAGAATCTTTCTAGGCTGTCCTGATACTCTTCAGAGTTGTGAGCATTGTGTGAGATAACATACCGGAAGGCACACAGAAATATAAGGTGATAGTATTATGCACACTGTGATTGATATGATATTTATATTTCAAATTCCAAATTTGCTTTCAGTTGGTTGCCTTTTGGGTTCTGAGATGACTTCATCTCTTACCAATGTTTCCTGGGCTATAAGTTGCTAGGATTTGACTTTCTCTTGCAGAGGTGACACACAGCGAGTAGTCACTTGTCAAGGTGAGTCAACACTAGGGGGAACCAGGCATTGAGCAAATTGAAGTGGAGGTTTTCAGTGATGCCATCTCTCTTCTTCCTTCTCTATGTTCATCTTCTCAGGAGCCTCCCATGCCCTCAGGGTGGCCGCTGGATTTTCAGAGCCCAATTCACTGGGCTGTAACTACATTTTCCATGAACTCAGACAGACAGCCTCATCAACAAATAAATGAACTAAACAAAGCCAAAAACCTTCTGTTCTATGTCCCATTAGCTTTCAGGTCTAGATGACATGTTAGAAAACTGCTGGGCTCTATTAAGTGTCAATGGCTGGAAACTGTTCTTACCCTCCATTTCTCTCTCCCACTCTTTGAGATGATTATTTCACACCTTCCTCTCTTTTCTCAAACCTCCAACACCTACTCCAACATCCTTACACTCAGCTAGTGGCCTTGCTTTCCATTTCATTAAGAAAATAAAAGCAATCAGCAGAGAACCTTCTCCCAATACCTCACCTACCCACTTAATTGTACCTATGCCCATATATTCTGCCTTCCCATTTGTGACTACTGAAGTGTCTGTATTTCGACCTAAGACCCATCCCTCCACTGGTATATTAGATACACTATCCCTTCCCAACTACTCATACTCAAAGCCATGGCTCCAGCAATTCTCCCTTCTCTCTAATGGGTCATCACATTTTCCCTCTTTACTAGATCATTCCTATCAGTATACAAACAACCTATAATTTCTCCCATGTTTAAAAAACAAAGACCTGGAGCGGTGGCTTGCACCTGTATTCCCAGCACTTTGGGAGGCTGAAGCAGGCAGATTGCTTGATCCCAGGAGTTTGAGACCAGCCTGGGCAACACAGCAAAACCCTGTTGTCAGATCCTGGGGTCTGGGTCCAGCCTATGCGGAATCCAAGGGCAGTGGGTGGATGGGCAGAAAGAACACTTGGGGGGCTGTAGGCAGGTGAAAGATGATTTTATTCAGCAGCACCTCTCATCAACAGCTTTCTCATACTGTCCACCTTTATCTCGGCTGTCTGCTCTGGCTCTGCGGCTCCTGCCACCCTCACAATGCAGTTGCATGGCTGGCTCTCCCTTGCCTTCAGGGTCAGCAGCTTAACTTCTTCTCTCTCTGGGCTCCGGCGCGAGCCATGCTGTGGCTCCCATCTGTCTGTCTGCAGGATGGACAGCTCTGGTTCTCTCTCTCTTTCTCTGGGCACCAGTGTGCCCACCATGTTAAGCCATGTTGAGCCGAGCCGAGCCCCAAGAGCCATGTCTGTCATGCACAGTGTCAACAGGGCAGTTATATCTTTTACAGACAACAGTGGCTCAGGGCCATGTATGAACTTACACAAACAGGTTACATAGCAAGTGGAGGGGTGCCCTTGCGAGCCAAACTCTCCAAGTCATGCAGGCCTGGATATCCGCCTTGGCCTATTCCTTGACCAAAGCACATCCATGTACCTTACACCTGTCTCTACAAAAAATACAAAAATTAGCCAGGTGTGGTAGCATGTCCCTGTAGTCCCAACTACTTGGGAGGCTGAGGCAAGAGGATCGCTTGAGCCTGAGAGGTCGAGGCTGCAGTGAGCTGTGATTGTGCCACTGCACTCCAGCCTGGGCAACAGAGTGAGACCTCGTCTTAAACACCAACAAACACGACAACAACAAAACTGTTCCCATTATCTAGACATACCTGCCGCTGGATTTCATACAGGCATCTCAAACCTAAAAGTTCCCAAAATCAACACCTAATCTCTTTTCCCACACACTCCAAGCCCCTCCATTTAGCATCTTTTCTCCTGCCTTCTTTGTCTTGGATAATGGCAAAGCCACCTACCTGGTCACCCTCACTAGCTCATGAAGTCATCTTTTACTTCTTCTTCCCTTTTACCCATAAAGTTGCTAAATCTTGTCAATCCAACAACCTAAACATCTCTAATTTATCTTCTTTTTATCCTCACTGAACTTGCCAGAATTAGCTCTTGCCTGGATAGCAGCTATCCCTTAGCCTTGCCCAAATGGTTCCTGGAATTTTCTTGCTAAAACACAGGTGCGATCCACACCATTCCTCCTCACAAACAGCTCTGTAAGTTTTCCATTTGCTTTGGAATAAAGCAAAACCCCATTAGTGTGGTATTCAAAGCCTTCATCTACTTCTAGTCTTTGCAGGCATGGCTTCTGCTGCTCTTCCTAACACATCTTGTATTCCAGCCACCAGTCACGAAATCCCTCTCTGTGCATCTATCCTTGCTGGTCTCTCTGCCTGGAGTGCTCTTTTCTCCATTTTTACCATTTGAGAATTTCTATTATTAAAAACAATAGAAATAACGGTGATTTCTGAACGCTTGTTATATGCCAAGTATTATATTAAATGTTATGTATGTATTATTTCTTTTAATTTTCAGAGAAATGAAGTAACTTGCCCTGGTTACAATGGCTGAAAAGGGACTGATCCAGGATTTGAACTTGGTTCTGCTGTTGAAGAGCATGATCAAGCAGTATTGGTGACGTTTTCTCTGACTCTTCATTATTTTTATTTTTAATTTCTTTTATTTATTTATTTTGTATTTTTAGTAGAGACGGGGTTTCACCATGTTGACCGGGCTGGTCTTGAACTCCTGACCTCAGGTGACCTGCCCGCCTCGGCCTCCCAAAGTGCTGGGATTACAGGCTTGAGCCACCGAGGGAGGTGACTCTTCATTATAATGGCTTTTGTGTGTTCCAAAAACAGGTTTTTGTTTTTTGTTTTTTTAAGCTTACTATATAGAAACAGTTTTATTACAGAATTTAAGCACACAGACTCTGAAGTCACACTCCCCAGGTTTGAGTCTTGGATCTGTGGCTTGCCAGCTGTGTGACCTCATGTCTCCTCTCTTTATCTTTGAAATGGGAATGATAATAGCACCAGCCTCATAGGACTGTTGTGAAGATGAAATGAGTCAACCAATGTAAAGGGTTTTGCACAGTGCCTGTTATGTAACTCTTGTCCAGCAGACACATCCAGTCCTGTGTTGTGTCTATGTTCTGTGTCCCTTCCTAGATTCTGTCCTCTGGGAGGGGAGAGATCCCCTTCATTCATTTTCCAATCCTCCTGTACCTGGCACAACAGACCTTTCGCCAGATTGGGTGCTCCACAAACATTTGTCAAATTGAATTTGTAAATCTGCAGGTGTTTGTGCTGGACAATGAGACACTTACAAGTTCCCGGTCTATGCTATGCTTTAATTACCTACGAATCTTGTGAAGAAAATGGTTCTTGAATCAGGCTGGTCATCTAAAAGCTTTTGCCCTGTTTTTAAAAAATCCACGTCAATTCTTTGTCATTTCTTGGTGCTAGAAACATTTCAAATCTCTTTGAGCTAAATGAGGTGATGGCTATCCAGAATGTCCTGGTTTGATCATAATATATTGTATGCATGTATCAAAATATCAAATGTATCCCATAAATATGTACAATTATCATGTATCAAATACAAAAATTAAAAAAAAAAATCCAAGTCATTGCCACTCTGCTTCTGTGAACAGGAAGCCTTTTTACCTTCAAGCCTTTCCCAAGTCCCTTCCATTTGTAAGGCCACACCTTTTCCTTGGGGAAAGAGGAAAGAAACACCTGTCATAAGGTTCAAGACTTCTCAGACACAATTGGAGGTATTCAGCTGTAGGTAAACACAAACCTGTAGGTAAACACAAAAGTGACTGAGGTCCAGAGCTTTGGGTTTCACTTATAACCATAAGCAACTGTGTACCTGCTAAGGAAGAAGGCTGCAGACCTGAAAGAGGCCCACGGAAGGCCTGGGGATTTCTGAGAGGACACCGGCTCAAGTTACATTCCCATATTATTTCACCACCCTCATGCTTGTTTATTTACATTTCAGGCTGCCTCTCTAGGCGAGGCTGCAGGAGTGAAGGGGCTGGAAGAGGTTTCAAAGGAGAGTGAACGTGGTAGAAAAGGAAATATTTGATTAGAAGTTAACATGTCCTCTGGGGCTTCTTTGACTTGGATTACTGTAAAAGTGCATGGTGTAATAGTTGAGCACTCCCGGGAGGTGGTGGGCGGTCTCTCTGTACAGAGTTGTGGCTTTGTTTCTGATGAGTTGCAGCTGCTGTGCATAATGTAGACTAGATCAAATGGGGCATGGAGAAGAGCCATTCACAGGACCGGAGTGACGGTGCTCGCTCTGATGGCAGAATACTAAATTAATCATCTTCACCTAAACCTGTGCTTTCTCCTGGCCTGTACCTCAGTGAATACCTGCAAGTTGCTTAGGCTGTAACTTGAAGTCAGCCTACAATCCTCTTTGTCTCCAGATCCTGTCCACTTTCCTTTCCGAAGGTCTTTCAGATCCATTTCCTTCTTTCCACCTCCACTGGCACTGCCCTCATTCAGAGTCTCATCATGTCTTCCTGGATTGCAGCTTCCTTCCAGGTCTCTCAGCCTCAAGTCTTAGGCCTCCCATTCAATTTTCCGTGTTACTGTCAGAGGAATTTTTCTAAACTAGCTTAAAACCCGTCTGTGGTTCTCCATGGCCTTCCAGATCAAATGTGCTCCCTGAAGACTGGCCTGTGAGCCCCTTCACACCAGTAATCCTGACCCTGCATGCAATTCCCAGAACACAAGGCATTTGTTCTCAAATCCTGCGGCTTTCTTTGCTTGCTTCTCCTCCTGCCTGGGATCCTTCCCATCCTCCATGGTTTCTCTCCTCCTTTCCTCCTCCTCAAGTTCAGATATTTCCCTCACCTGTACCCCCTCTGTTGTAGCATTTATCACAAACTACACTGAATCTCTTGACTGGGCAGAAGAATGAATTGTTTCCCAGCATCTAGCTTTGACATAAAAGTTGCTCAATAAATACTTGACGAATGAATGAACTCTATTAAAGTAGGGTTCAGTCATAGTTCAGGGAAGGGGCCCTGAAATAGCTGGCTCTGAAAGAAGGTAATGCCGGTTATTGCGATTATGTTGTTAGATGGGTAGAATTTCGCATTCGATTAAGGGATAGTTTTGGGTTTCTTCAAGCTAAAGAAACTAAAGCCTATAAAAGGTGATTTAAAAGACCTCTTCTCTAGACTTGATGAAACGCTGTAATTGCCATCTTTGGCTGACACTGAGGAGTTCAGGAATGCCAAGCAAGTGTTTCCAGAAATGTCAAACCTGCTGTTTTAAAATATGTCATTCCAGGGCACAGTTAAATATACAACTTGCTCCGATGAGGTGGGAGAAGTGGGCCGGTGAGCTGTGAAATGAAATCTGCCTAATGAGGGTCGAGGCCAGCACACACAGGGACCTATTTGCAGTAAAACAACGTGGGGTGACGCCTAAGAAATAGACAACATTAACACAAAGGGAGCCTACTACGTAGCACATTTCCGCTAGGCATAAAAGAGACACCTTTCCAGAAAGCAACTCTAAAAATGAATGCACCGCCTAGTGAGGTGCGAGCCTTCCTCCCCACGAGGCGTCCCGTGCAACCGCACGCGGACAGCGGGGCTCCAGCGGAGGCGGGGTGGATGCGGAGACAAGGCGCCTAGGAGACTGGGCTAAGGCTTTGAGTGTCCGAACGAAGATTCTTTCGAACCTATTGATTTTTTCTAGTCTTATGATTCTTTCGAACCTTTTGATTCTTTCCATTCTCGGTTCTAAGCATTAAAGCGCAGCTGAGAAAGGCAGCAACAAAGATGGGAAGAGAACTAGCAGGAGTTCTCAGAGAAAAATGGGTGATAATTTAGGGGAGAAGCCATAAAGAAGAGACTAAGCGAGAAGCGGAGCACACGCAGAAGACGAAACAAGGAGGAGGAGAAGAGAAGAAGAACCTTGGCGAAGGAAGAGAGTGACCAAACTCGTCCCGGACGGGAGGAGGGCAGGCCCGCCCAGAGGGAATCGGCTGCTTTAAGGGAAGCCCCGCCCCCTGGTGGTGACGCTCCACCAGGCCCGTCCGCGATTGGCTGCGGCCAGAGGGCGGGATGGGGTTGCTAGGCGAGGAGGGGATCCGGCGGGCCCCCGCCGCCCGGAGCGCTGAGCCGCGGGAGCGGAGCCGGGGTTAGCGGCGCTGCTGGAAGATGGCGAGCGGCCGGGACGAGCGGCCGCCTTGGCGGCTAGGGCGGCTCCTGTTGCTCATGTGCCTGCTGCTGCTGGGGAGCTCGGCCCGGGCGGCTCACATCAAGAAGGCGGAGGCGACTACCACAACTACGAGCGCGGGCGCCGAGGCGGCCGAGGGCCAGTTCGACCGCTACTACCACGAAGAGGAGTTGGAGTCGGCGCTGAGGGAGGCGGCGGCCGCGGGCCTCCCCGGCCTGGCCCGCCTCTTTAGCATCGGCCGCTCGGTGGAAGGCCGGCCGCTGTGGGTGCTTCGCCTCACCGCCGGCCTGGGGTCGCTAATCCCTGAGGGCGACGCGGGGCCTGACGCTGCCGGGCCCGACGCTGCGGGGCCGCTGCTGCCCGGCCGGCCCCAGGTGAAGCTGGTGGGCAACATGCATGGCGACGAGACCGTGTCGCGCCAGGTGTTGATCTACTTGGCCCGCGAGCTGGCGGCCGGCTACCGCCGCGGGGACCCGCGCCTGGTCCGCCTGCTCAACACCACCGACGTGTACCTGCTGCCCAGCCTCAACCCCGATGGCTTCGAGCGTGCCCGCGAGGGCGACTGTGGCTTCGGCGACGGCGGCCCGTCCGGGGCCAGCGGCCGCGACAATAGTCGCGGCCGCGACCTCAACCGAAGCTTTCCCGACCAGTTTAGCACCGGCGAACCCCCCGCCCTGGACGAGGTGCCCGAGGTGCGCGCCCTCATCGAGTGGATCCGCAGGAACAAGTGAGTGTTGCCTGCCCCCTCCCCGTCCGTGTGAGCCTCCAAGGGCCGAGGCTGGTTCCGGCACCCAGTAGGCGCTCAGACAATGCTGGCATAAGGGGTGGCGGTGGTGAAGGTGAAGGGAGACACCCTGTAACGGGGACAGGGCCCAGGCCGCGTAGCCTCCCGTCCTGCTAATCATCAAAGAATTGCCTCCTAGAGGCTGTCATTTGTTCAAGGGATGGCTGGAGGGGACACTCCTTTCTGACATTTCTGGTCCCTATTCTTACAGGGGCATAGAATATGAGCGAGAAGAGATCTTAAGGATAACCTAGGTCAGCTCACACATTTTATAGATAAGCTGTCAATGTTGTTATCTTATATCAAAAGTGCCTAATGTTATAGGCGCTGTGCTAATTTTTTCTGTGACTGCAGTATCTCACTTTATTTTGGCCACAACCTGATGTCATAGACACCATCAGTTTTGCATACGGGGAAATTGAGGGTCAGATTGGTTAACTGATTTACATAGGAGTGTGGCTGGGACTTAGAATTAGGCAATCTGATTCCCGATAGTCCTCTTAGCCACGGAGGGACACTGGAGCCCAAAAATGGCAGATGATATTCCCAGGATCTTCCCCTTGCCTATTTGACAGAAGCTGATTTTTCTCCAATTTTTACCTCTGACTCAGCTTAAGAAGATATGGACTTAGCTGGAGAACTTGCACAGATCTGTGAGCCGCTTCATTTTAGACTCTGAAGGGTTTGTGATGTCATTTGTGCACCTTATTAGCCTGGGCAGAATGGCTAATGGTCACACTTCTAATACACACTTTAAGTGTTATTAAGCATTGCATGAGGTTTAAAAAATTACAAAGTAGAAGAAGGAGGACCTCAAGAAATTAGTATAAAACAAGAGAATGTTATAAATATTTATGAGGTATGTTGGTGTACCCAGTTAAACTTTACAGGAATTGTTCCCACTGGCAAGATGTGTGTGGGCTGCAATAACACGGACCATCTCTGTGGAAGAGGTAGAGCTTGAGCTATCTCCAGAGATGGGCAGGATTTTCAGCAAAAAGGAGAGGAATAAAATAAGAGGGAACTCACTCCAGATGGCATAGTGTCTGAAGTGAGCAGGCATCTCTTCCCCTTTTCTAGCATCAGCTTTTCCCCATTTTTGTATCTTCATAAGGCTTTTGAAGCAATAACTGATCATTCCATCTGGATTAAAAGAAGATTTCTGAGGGACTGCTAAGATAAAGAAGTTTCCCTGCGGGACTTGGAATCATTTCTTCTACAAGATTTCAGTCATATATAGAAGATCTAGAAAATTCTTGAGTGTTAGGACAGTTCCTGAGTCTTTTCGTCTTCTATCTTTTACTTTACTCCTCTTGATAAGCTCTCTTGTAGATATATAATTTCACATAGACTTTCTGGGAGGATTTTTTTTTCTTTTAAATACGATCGTGTCATCACCTCTGAACATCTGCGTAAGAAATATGACTTTGACATACACTTATTGACAGAGCTGTGATGGCCAGGGCTTTTTGGAGATGATACAACAAATGCACCGTTTGCATTGCTTAAATGTTTAAAATGCTCTGTCCTTGCACCTTTAAAATGCTGTGATCCTTGCAGGGATGTAAATTCTGTGCCTGGATTTTTCTTTTCAGTATTAGTTGTGCTGTGACCAAATATGAAAATAAGCTTTTTCTTGGTGCAAGTCGCCTTGAGGCTATACAGAGTCATTTTGGTCTGTGGCTGTGGACTACCCTAATCATATCTGTTCTTCAAATATGTAACTCTCATTAATCAAAAGGGAAAGTAGGTGATCATATATGGTAAAGAGTACATCCATCCTAACTCAGTCTTCAAGAATTCACTCAAAATGCGTACTCTGTGCTATTAACCAATAACAAAGGACACTGATATGTGAATAAAATTAAAAACACAAGCACACACACAATTTGATATTGATGCCTAAATATAGTGTCAACTTTATGGATGGGATATTTTTAAATACTCAAACATTAGTCTGTATGGGAAAACTACCTTTTTCAGTGTATTTTGTGAGGTAAACCATTTGAGTAATTTCTTGATATCCTATTCACCCAGCTATATTCGAATTAGATTTTTGTTGTTATTTCGAATATGTAAAATTTTAAGGCTTAATTTCCTCCAGCTTGGGAAAATGAAGTTTATTTTCTTTGTTTCACTTTATACTTCATCCAATGGATGTTGAGACAAATACTTAAGAAAATATATAAAAAAATTAACTTTATCATTCAAATGAAGATTTTATAGTTGACTCCTATTTTTTTATAGTTGACCGCTATGCTTCTTTAAGTGAATATACCTGCTTAAATTTTCATAGGTAATTAGCATATAAATGATATTTGAATGTGTTTGTGAAAAGCATTATTACAGTGTTGAGAGTGGGTGCAGATGATTTTTTTGGGGGCTTATGTATACATATCTATGATTGTCTGAATCTTTGAAATTTAGTTTGTCAGATATCAAGTTATCTTAATTTTTTTCAAGTTATCTACAGGGTTACCTGGATAGCGTAATAGAGTTAATTTAGAGATTAACTGTTTAATATTTATAAACTCATTTGTAATATCTCTAATATATTTACCAGCTACTTTAAATCTTATGCAAGGAATGATATGTGATACTGAAGTCAAGTATGAGAAACATTTCAGAGAATTGATTTGAATGGAAACCATAAAGTACCTGTCAAATAAGATTGGAGTTGATTTGCAAAGTTGATTTGACAAAAACTCAAAGCATAATCTTACAGCCATTGTAGTCACTTTCTCTTGAAATCTTCATTGTAAGAATGACACTGGTACTTTCAAAACTGTGTAATTACAGTAAGGAAAATCGAAGTGAATTTTATTACTCAAGTAGATTGCAAATATTTCATTGTTCAAAAGTATTTGATTAGGCCATTTTGACAATATTTCTGAGAAGTGTTGGAAGAAATGTTGAACAAAATGAGAAACAGCATTTTGTAGAGAATCTTGGATTTTAAAGTTTTACTTAACATGTGTAATTAAAGTAGCATGCTTTACTTATTTAGAATATTTAATTATCCATTTTATTTTACTAGAATATGAATGCCCAGAGGGTATTTGTTTGTTTGTTTCGCTCACAGATGTATCTATCCCTGGAATGTCCTTTGGGATGTATCTGTCCCTGAAACGTCATTTGGCAAATAGTTGACACTCAAGAAATGTTTGTTGCCGAATGGATTACCTGACCTGCCCCAGCCTTCTTATAACTTTCCCAGAGTCAGTGGGGGAAAAATACTTAAAAATTGTTTTAGAATTACAAACCAGAGAGTAAATTGTTAATACCTTAGCTATAGGGGAGAGGTGGTTAGAGTGGAGTTAGAAAGTTAGAATATTTACTTAGTTTTTGTTTCTGTATCATTCTATTACCCAAGGACTGGCAGTGGAAGTGGGGAGTAGAATGATAGTTTGTAAGGCAGTGTTTCCTTAAACAGGATGCTAGATACCTCCAAAGAAATGAACATTTGTTGAGCAGGGGCTATAAAGTAGTCTTTATGCCAGATTATGTTTCATGTGTGTTATCTTAATTTTCATGACAACTCTGGGAAATGGGTAGCATTAATCCCCATTTTACAAATGAAAGGAAAACTGAGGTTCAGCGAATTTAAAGGCAGTAACTTCTCCTGATTATGTTATATTACTGGTGAGCAACAGATCTGGGAGACGGAATGTTCTTACCCAAATTTGTCTCCAAAGCCTGTGCCATTGCCACTACACCAAATGGCATTCTTCTCTGGTGTCTGGAAGGGTGCTAATTATAATTATATTAGTTTTTAGCTAGTTTCTTTTCATGGTCTATGCTAGTGTTTAATCAGTGTCCTTATTGGCAAAGATCTGTCTTCTGATGAACAGATTTTGTGTTACAAGTAATTTTCATTGTTTGATCTTCTCTGGGATAATACTACTCATCATGCTTAAAATAGTCTTTCAAATTAGACATGATAGGTTTACTTTTTTTTCAAGCATATAGAAAAATCTTATATATCAACCCCCTTTAGAATTTCTGTAGGTCAGTTAATTTCAACAACAGAAAGGCAGAAGCAAGAAAATCCTATTTAGAATGGAAAAAGAAAAGTATTTAATCTCTACTGATAGTAATGGTTTAAGCTGTTATATAAGGGAAAGATGCTTAAATAGGACTTTAGCATTTTTTTTGCCTTTAGGTTTTAGCTTTTACCATAAAAGGAATTCTTCAGTATTTCTATATAGATAAGTTTGACCAAATTGTAAATTGGTTCACTTAAAAGTAGAAGCATTAAAAAAAATGTTTCTTTTACAGGAGCAGCCTTGCCTCCATGTCAATTTATTTTTTTAATGGCCCAATCAGAAACATTGGGCCTTGAAAGAGCTGCTTCTACAGTGATGTATTGGAGGACTAGTCTTTGACATGGTGTATTGTTTTTCTCTGTAAGCAGCTCACTGAATCAGGTTGTTTTCTTTGTTTGTTTTTTTCCTGAATCTTCTCAACTATGGCTTCTCTCTTGAAAATGTGAATTTAGTATATTGTGAAACTGGAGTGAAACACAAAATATCCTTTTAAAAATTAGACTTCCTATCTTAAAAATTCTCTTTGGACGGTAAATGTAAAAAGCATAAAAGTTATTAACCTAACATATATGCAATGAATATTTATATATACCAGCCATATTTTCTGTGGAATTTACGTATTATGAAATACAAGTCGTAGACTGAACTATATGAAATTGTCATTTTTTTAGGTCAAAAAAATGGGTGAGGGCCAGGCATAGTGGCTCATGCCTCTAATCCCAGCATTTTGGGAGGCCTGGCAACATGGCGAGACCCCATCACTACCAAAAAGAAAAGGGTGAATATTGGCAAGCTCAAAGCTCATATAGTTCAACCTAATACATGAATTTAGAATTCCCTAAATAAGACATTTCCTGAAATATTAATTTATACTGTGTTATCCAGCTATTTTTTCAATGAAGGAAAACTCTTTAAAGTTAGTTTAGGTTAACCTGAATTGTTAAAGGTGTTTGAAATCTTAAATTGATAATACTTTCTTTCCATTTTCTTTTTTTGTTGTTGTTAGTCTCCTTATAACAGATAACAGCTGATAGAGTTGTTTTCTAGGTCTCCAAGAGAGATATTGGAGTTTATTTCTAAAAGATTTTGTGGAATTTTTTTAATGCATGGTGTTTTGTGTCCTTTTTTAGTGATACGTGATTTGGTTGTATTTTCAAAGGTTTGTGCTTTCTGGAAATCTGCATGGTGGCTCAGTGGTAGCAAGCTATCCTTTTGATGATTCTCCAGAACATAAGGCCACTGGAATCTATAGCAAAACCTCAGATGATGAAGTATTTAAATACTTGGCAAAAGCTTATGCTTCAAACCACCCCATAATGAAAACTGGTGAGCCTCATTGTCCAGGAGATGAAGACGAGACTTTCAAAGATGGAATCACAAACGGCGCACATTGGTATGATGTGGAAGGTATGCAAAGCATTGAGTTTGCTACATTTTCCCCCTTGTTCGTTGAATTTTGTTATGTGTATTCTGAGCAAAAAAGAAGAAACTCTGTAGAAATCTAACTTTAAAAGATATTTATTTTTATTTTGAAAATTTCAAATCTACAGCAAAATTGAAGGACTACATGAAGACCTATCTGTCCTTCATTTAAATTCACCACTGTTATCTTATCCCAGATGGCTTGCCTCTCCCTCTCTCTTTTTCACTCTCTACATGCACGTGTATGTGCATGCACACACACACACACACACACACACACAATCACACAATTTTTTTGCCAAACCATCCAAAAGTAGGTTGCAGATTTCACAACACTTTACCTATAAGTTCCTCAGCATGTATTTCCCAAGTACAGGGACATTTTCCTGTTTAACTATATACTATTACCATAACTGAGAAATCAATGATAATTTAATATTATCATACCACATGCCATCCGTAACTCAGATTTCCCCCATTATGTCCAAAGTAGCCTTGGTAGCCCCTTTTTATCCAGATCTAGTATCCAATCAAAGTTCAAGCATTGCAGTTGGCTCTTGTAAAGAGACCGTGCTAATAGTCCTATGGAAAAATTCCATAATCTAGATTGTCACTTTCTTCATGGTAAGATTAGGTCAGGTTTCCCAGCAAGACTATTATATAGATCATGTTGCGCATTATATCAGGAGACCCATAACGTCAAGCTGCAAGTGGCCAAGTTGGACAGCTTGGTTAACATGATGACCACCAGCAACCAGGTCTCTCCATTTAAATTTAAAATGTATATATTTTTTAAGAGATAGGGTCTCACTCTGTTACCCAGGCTGCAGTGCAATAGTACAATCATAGCTCACTGTAATCACAAGCTCCTGGGCGCAAGCAATACTCCTGCCTCAATCTCCTGAGTAGCTGGAACTATAGATGTGTGCCACCATGCTAGCTAATTTTTAAATTTTTTGTAGAGATGGGGTATCGCTGTGTTGCCGAGGCTGATCTCAAACTCCTGACCTCAAGGGATCCTCTTACCTCAAACTCCCAAAGTGCTGGGATTATAGATGTGAGCCACTTCACCCAGCCCAGATCTCTCCATTTTACATAAAGGCACATTTTCCTTTTGTATTTTAATCTGTGAGGTGATCATGGAATGCTGTTTTTTTTATTTTTATTGTGGTAAAACATACATATATATATACATAACATGAAATTTGACAGTTTAACTGTTTAAACATTTTTAAGTGTAGAGCTCAGTGGTACTAATTTTCACAATGTTGTGCAACCATCACCACTATTTCTAAAACTTGTTCATCATCCCAAACAGAAACTCGGTAGGCATTAAATAATAATTCCCACTTCCATCTCTATCCCTTACCCCCAGCCATTGGTAACCTCTAATCTACTTTCTATCTCTGTGAATTTGCCCATTTTAGATATTTTATATAACTGGAGTTATACAATATTCTTCCTTTTGCATCAGGCTTATTTTTCTTAACATAATATTCTTAAGGGTGATCCATTTTGTTGCAGGTATCAGAACTTTATTCATTTTTATAGCTGAATAATATTCCTTGAATGTATATGTTAGTAATACATTTTGTTTATCCATCTATTGATGAGCACTGGGTTGTTTCCACCTTGGCTACTAGGAATAATGCGTAATGAACGTTGGCGTTCAGGTATCTGTATGAGTCCTTATTTTCAATTCGTCTGGATATATACCCAGGAGTAGAATTGCTGGGTCAAATGGTAATTCTATGTTTAGCTTTGACAGACTATTTTCCACAGTAGATATACCATTTACATTCCCACCAGCAATATATAAGAATTCCAATTTCTTATGAAATGTTATTTTTTAAAGAATTGTTTGTTGTTGTTGTTGTTGTTTTCAGATGGAATTTCACTCTTGTTGCCCAGGCTGGAGTATAGTGGCATGATCTTGGCTCACTGTAACCTCCGCCTCCTGGCTTCAAGTGATTCTCCAGCCTCAGCCTCCCAAGTAGCTGGGATTACAGGTGCCTGCCACCAGGCCCAGCTAATTTTTTGTATTTTTAGTAGAGATAGGGTTCCATCATGTTGGCCAGGCTGGTCTCGAACTCCTGACCTCGAGTGATCTACCTGTCTCAGCCTCCCAAAGTGCTGGAATTATGTATGAGCCACCGTGCCTGGCAAGAATTGTTAATACAAGCTTGAACTGTTTACCTTTTCTCTTTAAATGCTATGAAAACAGCTATTACTCTTTTTAAACTTTAGGTATGCTTTGAATAATAACGTTTTTGTTTTTATGCACAGATGTAGATGTAGAGGGAACTTAGAAGGAATAAGTCAACCAATGGAAATGTCATCAGTGTAAATTTTTTCTTTTCTAGGAGTCTGCCCATGATGAAATGCCTTAGGTCTTCCTTACCTTTTTATTGGCAGTCACATTATAAAGTGTCTTATGACATGTCTCTTAATGTATATTTAAACCTTTGAATTACTCTTTTACTTTTTATATCAAGCCATATGTACCCAAAATGGGTCATAAGTTTGAGAATTTAATACTTTCGTTACTGGATCTTTGGGGTATTGCTTTTCTGGTTGGAAACCTCTGTGCCTGGTGGTGCCTTTGCCCAAGTTCTTGTCCTGCATCCAGGAAGAATGAGGTATGCAGACAAGTGGAGGGTGAGCAAGACAAAGAGGAGCTTTATTGAGCTCAGAGGAGACCGGCAGTGGGCATCTCCTCTCTGTAGGCAGGTCACCCAGTCAAGTGTTCAGCCCTCAGCACAAAGGAACCCTGGAGTGGGTGGCCCCTCTCTACAGGCAGGTCATCCTGATGAGTGTTCAGCTTCAGCTTTCAGCAGAGAGGAGCTACCCTCTGGTTGTCCCATCATCTCTCCATCCTCTGCCTTGCTCTGACTGAGCCCAGGGCTTTTATGGACCTCAGAGGGGAGGAAGTGTATGCCGATTGGTTCATGGGCGCCACGGGCAGCCTGGAAAAGGCACAAGTCCCCACTCCAGTCTATGGGACTGGCAGCCTGGCCCCCAGCCTTCAGGACCTCCCTGGCCTGAAGGTGGGGCCTCACCAGGGACCCCCTCCCTTATACCCAGGAGCTAGTCTGCCTCTTGCTGCTTTCCATGGCACCCCGGCTGCTCGTGCTAAGGGGCACCTGCAAGCCAGTGCTGAGTCGCCCTCAGTCCCCAACCTTGGTTCCCTCTTCCATGCTTGTCAGTGCCCAGTCCGGTGGGGGCCCAGGCAACAGGGCCCAAGCATGTGCGTACCCCTCCGGGCAGTGACAGTGCGCCGCCTCAGCTCCAACCCCAATCCCGGATAGGAGCAGACGCAAGAATGGGGAGAGGCCAGGCAGCAGGAGCAGGCATCTCCAAGCCTGCAAGGGTAAGGGGGGCCTAGGAGGTCGGGGGACGCAGCTGCTGCCAGCTCCCAGCTCCCGCCGACTCAGTGGAGCATGCAGCCCCAGCCGTGCCCCCTGGGAGCCTGTGGCGGGTGGCTCCTAATCCTCGCTGGGCCTGGGCCAGTGTCTGGGCCAGGGGCGACATTGCCACAAGCTTCCCTGTTGCCCTGGGGCTAAGGAGTGGCCCGGAGCTGATTGCGGGCCTGGGGCCAGGCTGTCAGGAGTGTCAGGCTGGGAGGTCACCCCACGTGTGGCGGACACTGGGGACTTGGCCCCAAGTGGCCCGCGCAGAGCCTCCTCCCGAGCCCAGGAACCCGGGACCCTTAGTGGGGTGGGCGCAGTGGCTGCACTTCTGGCCAGATCCCCAAAGCTGGAGCAGCTCCTGCTTTCCGCCCCGCCCCCGAAGCACAGCCCCAGCTCCGCATAGGGGTTCCTCTCTGCCTGACTACATTACTCCCCCGCTGTGCTGCTCTGGGCCTGACCCCATTACGGCAGCCCCCAGGGCAGCGGGCTCTGGGGGGTGGCAGCGGGCTGTGGGGGGTGGCTGCAGAAGGGGTGGCTGTCCGCCTCCTTCCCGCACCTTCCGGCCTGCTGCTGCTATCACTTTCTAGAATTTTCTGATCCTCCTATAGTTTCTACCAGTGTTTCTTGTATATCAGAAGCATTCAAAAAGAGGTTTGACATACTATTTAGAAGTGAAACCTTCTCCCCATAACAATTAGAGGTGATTTGAAAATCATTAAAAATTTTTTTGTAGATAATGGACTTACTTTAATGTGTAATTTTTACATTTCAGTCCTTGGGAAATATATTTAATAAAACCTAACTTTGAACTGGTGGTTTTGTAATCTAGTCAAGTTGCTTCATTAATTTGAGATGATGTTACTTAAAATAATGGGGTAAATACTTAACTTTGCCTTTTTGGAAAAAGTTGTAAAAGGTTAGAAAGTAATTTCTAACTGACAATTAATTGAGGAAGGTAAATGTATCTCATACTACTTAAAAAATAAATATCCGGCCTCTACAAAACGTAGGTGTACTTTGGTATTAAGGCCAGAGATTATTTGGTGAAGCTAGTTATCATCAGATTTTTCTGATTATTCAGACATCTGAAGAAGCTACATTATGCTGCTGTCATTTTTATTTTCATGAGCATCAACTTTTCTCTTGTTTCAGCTGAATGTCGGATATGTCCTATGTTATTTCTACAATAACTGGCTTATTTCTCTTCGTACCTCAGCAAATATTGAGCAGTTTCCCCTTGAAGAGGAGGCTGTGATGGTTTTAGTTTCAACAGGGTGAATTCATTGTGTTTAGTGAGTAAGATGTTGTGAAACCTTGTGACTAGGCATATATTCAAAAAACCCGGATGTCCTGGAGTAATTTTTTTTTTTTTTTTGAGACAGAGTCTTGCTGTGTTGCCCAGGCTGGAGTGCAGGCGTGATCTCAGCTCACTGCAACCTCTGCCTCCTGGGTTCAGATGATTCCCGTGCCTCAGCCTCTTGAGCAGCTGGGATTGCAGGTGTGTGCCACCATGCTGGCTAATTTTTTGTATTTTAAGTAGAGACAGGGTTTTACCATGTTGACCAGGCTGGTCTTGAATTCCTGGCCTCAAGTGATCTGCCCACCTTGGCCTCCCAAAGTGCTGGGATTATAAACGGGAGCCACATGCTCAGCCGAGTAATTTTACTGATGTTCTATGTGATATATTTAGGAATTCTAGCTTAAAGAAGTATAGACCTTTAGAGCTGAAAGTGAATATATTGATTTAGTCCAACCCTTTTGTTTTAGAGAAAATCAAGGCCTGAGAGAGGAACTAACTTGTGCAATATAATGTATTAATATAGCAAATATTTACTGAGTTCCTGCCGTGCCACATATACTGTATTAGGTGATGTACCGGTATACAGTGAGAGCAAAACAGAAACAACTCCTGCTCTGAGGAATCAGATAGTATATTAGTAGTGTGGAATCTGGGGTGATTTGGGCCCTAGTGCCTTTGCCTTCATTGCCAGGGCTGGCCCAGCATATCTAGCTGCCTATGTGGGTGAGCCTTGCTTCATTCAACATGTCTCACAAACCTCAGGATCCATTTAGGAAATGGCTATCCTAATAAGGCTGATGAATAGCCACATCCCCTTCCAAAGCCTCGTTATTGTGAGACCTACTCTGGACTTGTTCATGGAGTAAGATGCCTTTTTTTTTTTTTGAGATGGAGTTTCGCTCTTGTTGCCCAGGGTGGAGTGCAATGGCACAATCTCAGCTCACTGCAACCTCTGCCTCTTGGGTTCAAGCGATTCTAGTGCCTCAGTCTCCTGAGTAGCTGAGGTTACGGGCATGTACCACCATGCCCGGCTAATTTTTGTATTTTTAGTAGAAACAGGGTTTTACCATGTTGGTCAAGCTGGTCTTGAATTCCAGACCTCAAGTGATCCACCTGCCTCGCCCTCCCAAAGTGCTGGGATTACAGGCCTGAGCTACCGTGCCTGGCCGCCTTTTTTTTTTTTTTTTTTTTTAATCACAGTGCGCTGATTTGTATGCCATTTGCCTACCGTTCTTTCTTCACAGTTTTGAAGACATTGTAAAAATCATATGATGTTTTGGTATGTTTATTCCAAAGCAGATTTAATAAAAACTGAACTGTAGTTTTAGGTCAACTTTTAAGCCATGGCGTGTGCTTGTAGTCGCAGATACTTGGGAGGCCAAGGCGGGAGGATCTTGAGTTCAAGCCCAGCCTGGGCAAAATAATGAGACCCTGTCTCCAAGAAAACAAACAGACAAAAAAGAATTGCCTTCTTTCAAATTATACAATTTAAGGAAGGGCAGGCAACGTATAGTTGAAATTATTTGATCAAAGATCATAGTTTTATGTAACTTTTAGAAGTTTTCTTGGGCAGAACATTGTTATATTTTATTTTCTTGCAGATAGAAGAACAGTAGAAGGCAGTGCAATGTAGTGGCAAAGAGAGAGCTTTGGAATCCCGTTGCCTTAGGTTGGAATCACAACTCTGCCTTGACTAGCTGTGTGCGTGTGTGTGTGTGGTGTGGGTGAGAGACAAATTAATGAATTTCTCTAAGCCTCAATTCCCACTTATATAAAATTAAGATAAATACTATCTACTCACAAGATTAGGAGGCTCAAGTGAGAATGTGTGTAAAGCACTTTAGCCTAGCATCTGGTGCCATGGCTACTTATATCTACTAGAGTTTAAACTTACTCTTGAAGATAGGGACTTTGTTTTATTCCATTTTCTATTTCTAGCACACACAACCATGCCTGGTATATATAAGGTAAATAATAGTCTTTTTGGAATAAATGAATTTTTGCCATCCGAAACATAAATACATAGTTATTTGATCTTTGGATAATCTTTTTTTTTTTTTTTTTTGGAGACAAAGTCTCACTCTGTCACCCAGGCCGGAGTGAAGTGGCGCAATCTCGGCTCACTGCAGCCTCTGCCTCCCAGGTTCCAGCGATTCTCCTGCCTCAGCCTCCCAGTTAGCTGGTGTTACAAGCATGCACCACTACGCCTGGCTAATTTTTGTATTTTTAGTAGAGACGGGGTTTCACCATGTTGACCAGGCTGCTCTCTAACTCCTGACCTCAGGTGATCTGCTCGCCTCGGCCTCCCAAAGTGCTAGGATTACAGGCATGAGCCACTGCGCCCGGCCTAAAATCTTAGATCTTTAGTTAATCTTATAACAATTTATAAAAATATTCTTCCTAGTTTTGCTCCTACTCTGAGTAAATAAGCTTGCCTTACTGGTAGATCCTAGATCAGTATTATTTGAACTTTTTTTTCTTACTTTTAACCTATAATATGAAATACCTTTTAGTTGTGTATGTACATTTCATATATATGTGTGTACATTAAAAAATTTCATGGAACAATACTTTTACTATACATTCTGGTATTATTTCTTTTAGTTTGTTCTATATCATTCTTTAAAAAATATGTCTGAACCCACTAATATATCTCACAACCCACTAATGCATGATGACCTTCAGTTTGAAAAAACACTATTCTTGATCACCCTGTGGTAGAATTCATTTATTTTCAAATTCTAAGTAGGAACAAAACACCTTACAAGTTGTGTGTGATAACTTATTATTTGGGTTTTTCCTCCCAACTTGTTTATATGTTTCAGTTATTTGCAGTGAGGACTGGGCCACAGATATTTATCTCAGATGTTCTACTTTTAGATTGCTTTCCCTAAAATACGAATGAGTGTTGAGTTAGGAAATTGGTCAGAAATATAGTTGTCAGGCCTATGTATTGCTCATGTGAGTCTATGGATTCTATTATTAGTTAGGACAGCTGCCATAAAGCTTTATATTTGTCTTCTTAAGCCACTATAAACTTGAGGCTGAGCCTTTTCAAACTAGTAATTATGATTGTTTTCTCCTCTGGAAGAAGAATAAACTGTTCTTTGGATTTATCAAATTTTCTTCCCTCTCCTTTTATACAATGGACAGAGTTATGAAATGTGGCCAGAAAGCATATAATGTAACCAATTCAGTTTTTTGTGTGAATATCAACTCCTTTTATCATGCAGACAACTATTCTTTCCCCAAACTGGAGGTCAGACTGAGCAGTAGCAGTGTGCTTTAAATATTGAAGTATGTTTGGCTGGAAGTAGATTGTTGATGGAAAAGGAAGAGCATGGGGAAAATAATTACCCACCTGTTTTCAACAATGCTGTTGAAAGTTTAGATTTGGTCCAGAAATGGACCAGAAAGCTTATTTTTGAGGAGTATTTTCTGTGTCATTAAATAGGATATTATGAATTAACCCAGTAACACCAGAAAATTGTAATCTAAAACAAAAAGGAATAAGATGAACAGTATGTAACTATAAAAATACAATATCTGATATTAAGAAACAGACAAATCCATAAATATAGTAGGAAGTTTAAAATAGGCCTCTTTCAGAACTAGTAGGTCATAGAGATCATAACTGTTAGATCACAAAAATGTGAGTAAGGATACAGTGGATTTGAATAACATAAATAAACCAATCTGACCTAATGAACGCGTACAGAATACTGTCCTTATATCTAATTTTCCTGCAGAGTCTGTTTACTAATTTGAGGTGTGGATGACTAAGAAACCAGCTGTCACGCTTAGGGAAGATGCATCTGGTTCTGTTAGCGCTTGTGTTACTTTGTTTTTAAGATTATATATTAAAAACTAAACAACAAAGATACACAGGTAAAATAGGCCCAGGAGCAGTGGAGCACACTTGTAATCCCAGCACTTTGGGAGGCTGAAGTAGGAGGATTGCTTGAGGCCAGGAGTTTAAGACCTGGGCAACTGGTGAGACCTCATCTCTTAAAAAATACAAAAATTAGTGGGGCATGGTGATGCACCCCTGTAGTCCCAGCTACTTGGGAGGCTGAGGGGCTGAGGCAGCAAGATAGTTTGAGCTCAGGAATGTGAGGCTGCAGTGAGCTATGATTGCACCACTGCACTCCAGCCTTTTTTTTTTTTTTTTTTTTTTTTTTTTTGACAGGGGAAGACCCGTGTCAAAAAAAAAAGAAAAAAAAAAGCTTATAATACAGGGTTCATAGGATCAAGTCTAATACTTCTTAGCATGGGAGCGAAGATCCCACAGTCTGACTCAAGCCTATAAGTTTAGCCTCAGCTCCTACCTCTCCTCTGCCACCGGACTACTTGTCCTTCCCAAATGTGAACCTTCACATGTTAGGCTATCCTCTGTCTGAAGTGCTTTTCACCAGTTTAGCTGTAACCTCTTCTGAAACCTCTCCTATAATAACTGTCACTATCCTACCTTCGAGAGCTTTTTGTTTATACAGTACCATCAGTATAATACTTATCCACTTATGTTGTTAATAGTTTTTTTGTTTCCTGTTAGTGTGTGAATTCTTTGATGATAAGGACAGTGTAGTGCTATTCGTTTTGGAGTTATCTTTGTGCAAAATGTATTGGCAGGAAAGAGTCCTAGAGGAGGGAAAACTAGAGAGGTGTTTACAGTCATCTGGGATGAGGTCTCTTTGGAGATAAGGGCTTTACCTAGAGGGCATGTAGGGGAATGAAAAGGGAGTATAAGATACATATATAAGAAGTTATGCAAGAAGAACTGCAGAATTGACCATCGTTTAAATAGCAGAACAGAATGTCAAAGAGAGGATGTCAAAGATATGACTTTGAGGATTTTGAGCTTGGATTAGAAAGAATGGGAGTGGGAAAAACTAATTGGATGGTGGGGATTGGGAGACAGCAAGCGAGTGAGCATGTGTGTATGTGTGTGTGTGTGTGTGTGTGTGTTCGTTCAGGTGAAAGAGGAGTGAAAACTGGAAATATTAATAGTACTTGATGTACTAGTCACAAGTACCCAATGGGCAGTTAGGGAATAGGTTCTAGAGCTTGGGAGAGAGGTCAAGATGAGAAAGAGATTTAGAAGTTTTGAGACATTTGGAAAGCATATGGCAGTGTAGATGATTTTGAAAATTGAATTAATAGTGTTTTCTGGCATAATTTAATTGCGTGGAGCTAGAAGTTCAACCAGAACATATATATAAATGAACAGATGGGTGCTTTTTTTTTTTTTTTTTTTTTACCTCTAAAGTGAATGCATTTCGTACTGGGATGTTTTCCTTAAGGAATGCCAACAATTCAGATATTAATTCTCAGCCTGATCATATTTTAAAGGTACAGTTGATAATCAAATGTGCATTAGTAAAGTGCTTTTGGTCTTACCTGATCTTGCACATTAAAGACCTGGTTGAGGCTTTTTCTTCCCTTTATTTTCTCTTTTAAAATCTGAGTGCTGCCTAATTTAAAAGGAAAGCAAAAAGGTAAAACAATACTCCAAAACAGAATATTTGCTTGGAGTCACGAGTTGGCTTTAGTAAATTGAAGCATAACCTAGTATAAAGACTGACCTTTAGGAGCAGTGCAGTTGTGTACTTTGTAACGTGATAATAGGCCTAAATGAAGAGAACCTAACACTCCTTTAGGATTTGGCCCCCAGTCTTTAGATCTAATGTGTATAAATTGGATGTACTTTTTTCTTTTCCTTTTTTCCTGTTTAACTCAGGTGGTAGAGAATGGGAGAGTACATTTAAAAAAAAAAAAAAGGAAAATACAGTTCAAAGAGCTATGTGGGAGACAGTGTTAACCAAGTTAGACAAAAATGAAAACAGATGTAGGACTGTGTAATTTAGTTTAACTCTGTAGAATCATATCATTAGCAAATATATATTCAGTGGGAGTGGTGAAGGAAATAGATTTTCACAAGATAGGTTGCTCAGAATACAAAGACCAGGTTCAGTTAGTTAAGATTTGATCAATGTGAACTTGAATTTAAAAATTAGGAATTTGGGGAATTTTTTTAAGAGCAACCTCTGATTTTTCCATTGATTTGGCCCAGATTTTCCACCTAAAATTTTTTTACAAACGTTATGCTCATTAGCTTTTAAAAATATCTCAGAAAGTACAAAATTATCACTTAATAACTCACTTATTGCCTATAAAAAATTGTTCAGGAAATTCAAAGTCGTGAGAGAATTTCTCACTATCCTTCAAAGTAGTTTTAATAAAGTAATATCATTAAGCTCCAAGTTGAAATATAGGGTAGAAATTGTCTGTCTATATTCCTAGACTTTAAAATGCTTTTCCTATTTAAAAAAACACATTGTAGTTTCCTTGTAAAAGATTAATAGGGTTCTTGTGTAATGCAGTTTGACACTTTATAGTTGGCCTGCAGAGGCAAGTAAAAAAAAAAACAAAAAAAACTTGCTATGTTTCTTAACACTGAAGCATTGGCTGTATTTTTTCTTTTGGCTTTCTGTTTGAGACAGAAGAGTGAATCTTTAGTATCTTTGAATGAAGGATTGAATTTATTAATCTCCCCTCCCCTTAAAAGCTAGATCTTTCTGTGGTGAAAAGAGTGATAAGAGACTTGTTTCCTAATCAAGACGGATTGAGTATCTTAAAACACATGAAGATTAGTTGTGCTACAAATCGATTGAAAGAGTTTAATGGGTACGAGTAGATCACTTGATCAGAAGATTTAGCTATCCGTAACAATTAGCATTGGTATTGATCACAATTTGCAGTATTACTAGACAGATTCCTAATGGTTACACTTTGAGTCTTGTTCTTTGATACTGGTAAATGAATGGTAGGTTTCTTTCTTTCCTTTCCTTTCCTTTCATTTCCTCTTCCTTTCTTTCCTTCTTTCCTTCCTCTCTCTCTCTCTCTCTTAATTTTTAGATCTCAGTTTTCATACGTATTCTTTCCTAAAATTAATCTGCCTGAGAAAGATACTTGCTGTGGAGGTTCTATCTCATATTCTCTTCTCCCAATTGACTGAAGACAGGCATACTTTTCTACCCACCTGAATCACATTATGGTGTATTGCCTTGGAGTTTTACAAACTTCCAGGGCACTAAAACAAAAGGAACAATTTGGTGATTACTTTAATGGTTAAACAGTACCATAAGAGCATCACCCCCAATTTTTCTTTGAAAGATGTATTTTCAGTAATTATTTCTTATATTTACTATTTTATTATTTACCAAAATTTGTAAAAAAAACTATGCCTTTTTGATAAATTGTGTGCTAGTGACTATTGTAATAATTCAATTTAGAGGACACAGAATTAATACTTAGAGCATTACAGTCATTGGAAATTAAGAAAAATTTAAATACACTAACATACTATAGATTGAAAAATTATAGAATGATTGGTGAAAGACTTTCAAGCATGCAGGTATATCACATTCAAATAGCATTCTGTGGAGGAAGTAGAATGGAAAAAAAGTTCAAAGAGAAAAAGAGAAGATGTGGCTGGGTATGGTGGCTCAGGCCTATGATCCTGGCACTTTGGGAGGCCGATGCAGAAGGATTAGTTGAGCTGAGGACTTCAAGACCAGCCTGAGCAACATAGTGAGATATGTCTCTACAAAAAGTAAAAATAAAAAAATTAGCCAGGCATGGTGGTGCACATCTGCAGTCCAGTCTACTCAGGAGGCTAAGGTGGGAGGATCACTTGAGCCTGGAGGGCAAGGCTGCAGTGAGCTGTGACTACGCCACTGCACTGCAGCTTGGGTGACAGAGCAAGACTCCTGTCTCAAAAAAAAAAAAAAAAAAAAAAAAAGAAGATATAAAATTCCTTAAAGAGGCATGTTCAGGCAACTTTTAAATAGATATTTCTAGAAATCAAATCTCTGGCATTTTTATTTGGATATATTTAAAATAATAATATAAAAGTTTTATTTAAAAAAAACTGGTCATGGTGCAGTGGTTCACACAGTGTAATTCCAGCACTTTAAGAGGCCAAGGTGGGAGGATTGCTTGTGCCCAGGAGTTCGAGACCAGCCTGGGCAAAATAGTGAGACACTGTCTCTACAAAAAAAAAAAAAGAGAAAAATTTACATTATGCAGGATATTCCTTTGTTTACAACTATTTAAACTTAAGATGAAAACTTGTGAATACCAACTTAAAAATTTGTGAAGCGTCGCATATTTTTTCAGTTATTTTAGTATTAACAAACAAATTGAAGATCATTGGTTTATATAACCCCCTGAGAGACTAATAGTAGAATAGAACAGAATAATAGAATAGAATAGAACAGAATAGAATAATAGAATAGAATAATAATAGAATAATAGAAACTCGCTTATTTATGATTGTTAATAAGTAGGATAAATTGCAGATCATTTATACTATTAAAGTGCTTTATTGCTTTGAGGTGTGCCTGTAACTGAATGTTTTACTTCCAAAATTAAAATTTTCTTTGGCTGAATAAAGATATTCTGAAACCTGACATTTCTCCTTTAATCTTTGTTGAGCCAAATGACATATCAACTTAAAAAGATAAGCAAATATATTAACTGAATCTGGCAGTAGCTGCAGCTGTTATTAATGTCAGGCCTATCTACAGATCAGTGGCTGCTCCCTGTTTGGGTGAACTCTAGCTTTGGGTAAGTAGGTTTTGTGTTGAGAAAAAAAAAATTAAGACAACAAACCTGAACCAGCTACTTAGTTAGGATTACTTATTATACAGTCTTTGACATTTGGTTTCAGAAAAATAAATGTTAAGTTTAACATAGATGGCAAATAATGCCTATCTGTGACATCTCACAAAAAATTCTTGAATTATTCATAACTTAATGTCCCCATTTGGTTCCATGTTTTAAAATAATTAAAAAAATAAATTTAAAAATAATTTTAAAAATAAAAAAAATTTTTTTAAATAATTAAAAAAAAATTCCTAAACCAAAACTTGAAGTTGATGAATAAAGACGTTTTGATATTCTAATGCTAGGATAGTTTATCTTTTTGTCTTATGAAATAAAAATTAGTTTGCTACTCTTCAGACATTTATGAGTTTGAAGAAGATAAAGGTAGACATCACAACTCATTAATTGCCTTCTGAAAACAGTTCATTATTATAGACTCAGAGGAAACGTGCTTTACTTTTATGAGATTGTATCAAGACAGAGATAAATATTTTATAATATATTTATGTTATTGATTTCAATATAATAACATCGTGGTCAGAGAACACCCTTTGTATGTAAGTTTGACCTAGGTCAAACTTAAATCATACAAAGTTTGACCTAGGATATGGTCAGACTTGGTGCATGTTCCATTTGTACTTGAAAAGCATGTGTATTCTGCCATTGTTGGGTGGGGTATAGTATAAATATCATTTATAGATCTAGTTAGTTGATAGTATTATTACATTTTTCTCTATCCTTTGCTGATTGTCTTTTCTGCTGATTACTGAGAGAAGAATGTTGAAATGTGCAACCAAAATTGTGGATTTACCCATTTTTCCTTTTAGTTCTATAAATTTTTGTTTTATATATTTCAAAATTCTGATTGTTGCATGCACATCTAGAATTATGTCGTTTTGGTGAATCTACACTTTTATCGTTATGTAATGTCCCTCTTTATCTCTGGCATTTTTCCTTGCTCTGAAGTCTATTTTACCTGATAGTCATATAGCTACTCCATCTTTTGATTTGTGTGTGTATGGTGTATTTTTTTCCTTTCTTTTAACTTACCTATACCATTATATTTAAAGTGAGTTTCTGACCTGGTGCGGTGGCTCATGCCTGTAATCCCAGCACTTTTGGAGGCTGAGGCAGGTGGATCACTTGAGGTCAGGAGTTCGAGACCAGCCTGGCCAAAATGGTGAAACCCCATCTCTAATAAAAATACAAAAATTAGCTGGGCATGGTGGCAGGCACCTGTAATCCCAGCTACTCGAGAGGCTGAGGCAAGAGAATGCTTAGGAAACCGGGAGGCAGAGGTTACAGTGAGCCGAGATTGTACCACTGCACTCCAACCTGGGTAATACAGCGAGACTCTGTCTCAAAAAATAAATAAATAAATAATAAGTAAATAAATTGTGTTTCTTGTAGTTGCATAGAGTTGGGCCTTGTTTTTTAATGAGTTTTACAATTCCTGTCTTTTAGTTGGTGTGTTTGCACCATTTACACTGAATATAATTATTGTTATGTTTGGATTTAGGTCTACTTTCTCATTTTTCAGTTTGCCTCTCTCATTTTAATCCCACTGCTTCCTTTTTCCTGCCTTCTATTGGATTGTGTTTTCAACGATATCTTTTAGTTGCTCTAGTAAATACAAGTTACTACTTAACTTTTCACAGTTCTACCTAAAATTAATATTTTACTTCAAGAGGAATGTACGAACCTACCCACCATACCCTTTATCCTCCCCTTTTATGTTGTACTTAACTTATATATATATGCTGCACTGAAAACCCTACTAGACAATGTTATAATTTTTACTTTCAACTGTCATACACAGTCTAAGGGACTTAAGGGGAGAAAAATAGCTGATTGTATTTACCATTTCTGTTGCTTTTCATTCATTCCTGAAGTTCTAAGTTTCTCTGTGGTATAACTTCTCTTCTGCCTGAAGAGCCTTCTTTAGCATTTCTTTTAAAGCAAGTATGCTTATAATGGATTATCTTAGTTTTCCATCTCTGAGAATGTGTATTTTGCCATCATTCTTTTTTTTTTTTTTTTTTTTTTTTGAGATGGAGTCTTACTCTGTTGCCCAGGCTGGAGTGCATGGCGCGATCTCAGCTCACCGCAAGCTTTGCCTCCTGGGTTCACTCCATTCTCCTGCCTCAGCCTCCTGAGTAGCTGGGACTACAGGCGCCTACCACCACGCCCGGTTAATTTTTTTTTTTTTTTTTTTGTATTTTGTATTTTTAGTGGAGATGGGGTTTCACCATGTTAGCCAAGATAGTCTTGATCTCCTGACCTCGTGATCCGCCCGTCTCGGCCTCCCAGAGTGCTGGGATTACAGGCGTGAGCCACTGCACCCGGCCTTGCCATCCTTCTTGAAGGACATTTTTATTGGATATAAAACTCGGGGTTGTGGATTGTAGTTTGTTGTTTTTGCTGTTTGTTTTTTAGAGTGCTTTAATAATTTTGTGCCATTGCCTTCTGGCCTCCATGGCTTCTGCTGAGAAATTCAGTCATTTGAATTTTTCTTCCCCTTTATACGCACATCATTTTTCTATGGCCACTTTCAAGACTATTTTATTGCTGCTGCTGCTGCTGCTTCTGCTTCTGCTTCTTCTGCTTCTGCTGCTGCTTCTTCTCCTTCTCCTTCTCCTCCTCCTTCTTCCTTCTCCTCCTCTTTCTCCTCTTACTCCTCTTCCTCTTCCTCCTCTTCTTCCTCTTCCTCTTCTTCCTCCTCTTCCTCTTCTTCCTCCTCTTCCTCTTCTTCCTCCTCTTCCTCTTCTTCCTCCTCCTCTTCTTCCTCTTCCTCCTCTTCCTCTTCTTCTTCCTCATCTTCTTCTTCTTCTTCCTCTTCTTCTTCTTCTTCCTCTTCCTGTTATTATTATTGTGAGACAGAGTTTGGCTGTGTTTCCCAGGCTGGAGTGCAGTGGTGCGGTCGTGGCTCACTGCAACCTCTGCCTCCCAGGCTCAAGCTATTTTCTTGCCTCAGCCTCCTAAGCAGCCGGGACTACAGGCACGTGTCACAACACCTGGCTTATTTTTTTGTATTTTTTGTAGAGACAGGTTTTCAACATGTTGCCCCAGCTGGTCTCAAACTCCTGGGCTCAAGGGATCCGCCTGCCTCGGTCTCCCAAAATGTTGAGATTACAGGCATGAGCCATTGTGCCCAGCTGACTTTTTTTCTGTCTTTGGTTTTCAGCAGTTTGATTATAAAATACCCATGCATGGATTTTTTTGCACTTATAGTGTTTGAGATTTGCTGAGCTTCTTGAAATGTAAGTTTTTGTCTTTTGCCAAATTTATGGTGTTTCTAGCCATTATTTCACTTTTTTTTTTTTTTTAAATAGCATGGCGCCATTTTTTTTTCTCTCCTGAGACTCCAGTGATAACAATAGTAGGCCTTTTGCTATTGTTCTTAAAATTTTTTCTTCTTTTTTTTCAGATCTTTTTTTCTTCTTTCTCTGTTATTCATAAGGCAATTTCTACTTACCCATCTTCAAGATAACTCACTTTTTCCTATCATTTCCATTCTTCCATTAAACCCATTCAGTTTATTTTTTTAATTTAGTTACTGTATTTTTCTGAAATTCTGAAATTTCTACTTTTTTCTATTTTGCATGTTTGGTATCTTTCTTTTACTTTAAGACTGTTTAATCTTACTTCCTTGGAAGGCTGGGCGTGGTGGTTCACACCTGTAATCTCAGCAATTCGGGAGGCCAAGGTGGGTGGATTACTTGAGGTCCAGAGTTTGAGACCAGCCTGGCCAACATGGTGAAACCCTGTCTCTACTAAAAATACAAAAATTAGCTGGACATGGTGGCACATGCCTGTAATCCCAGCTACTCAGAAGGCTGAGGGACGAGAATTGCTTGAACCTGAGAGGCAGAGGTTGCAGTGAACTGAGATCGTGCCACTGCACTCAAGCCTGGGTGACAGAGCGAGACTCTGTCTCAAAAAAACCAAACCAAAACAAAACGAAAACCTTAATTCCTTGTAACATGGTTATAATAACTGCTTTAAGGTTAGTCTGGTAATTCCAGCATCTGTGTCACATTGGAGTTGGTGTCTGTTGACTTTTTTTCTTTATAATATATTGAGCTTTTACTGGTTATTTGAATGTCAAATAATTTTGGATTATATCCTGGACATTTTGAATCTTATGCTATGAGATCTGGGTCTTGTTTAAATCCTATTAAAACATAATACTTGTTGGCTGGGTGTGGTGGCTCACACCTATAATCCCAGCACTTTGAGAGGCCGAGGCGGGCAGATCACCTGAGGTCAAGAATTCAAGACCAGCCTAACCAACATGGAGAAACCCTGTCTCTACTAAAAATACAAAATTAGCTGGGCATGGTGGCACATGCTTGTAATCACAGCTACTCAGGAGGCTGAGGCAGGAGAATCGCTTTAACCTGGGAGGTGGAGGTTGCGGTGAGCAGAGATAGTGCCATTGCACTCCAGACTGGGCAACAAGAATGAAACTCCATCTCAAAAAAATAAAATAAAATAAAAATAATAATACTTGTCTGTTTGTGCCATCAGGGAATGACCCAGTTAGGTTCAGCTGCAAGTTTTGACTCGCCTTATGTAAGCTGTAATTCCAATGTCAGTTCAGTTTTCAAAGCCTTTATAGTGCTATTCAGATCTGTACTGTATGTGCACCACTCAGGGGCCAGTCTGGGTGCTGGGCAGTAACCTGTTTTGTAGTTCAGTTCTCAGTGCTTTTGGTGTGCTGTTTAAGGTCAGACCTGTACATGTGCAGTTTAGAGATGATCCCAGGTGGTCACAGGCAATTTTATGAGATCCCTTTCTCACATTCCCTCATATCTGCCATCTCACTAAAGTCTCTGTCTTCCAGGGTCTCCAGTATAGAAGATAAATAAAGACATGAAAGATCTCCTTTCATGGGAAAGAAAGGATGTGCAATATCATTTGTTATCAGTGAAATACAAATTAAAACCACAATTAGATACCACTCGTCTTCCACTAGAATGCTTAAAATTTAAGAGACTTTCCAGTGGCATGAGCAACTTGTTAGGTGATGATGCAGAATAACTAAAACATGGATACATTGCTGGTGGTAATATGAATATGGTACAACCACTTTAGAAAACAATTTCTTACAAAGTTAAACTTACTATAAGATCCCTCCATGCCACCTCTAGATATTTACCCAAAAGATAGGAAAACATATGCCCACATTAAGATCTATGCACAGCTTTAATCACCAAAAAACAAGAAACAACTGAAATAACCATCACATGATGAACAGATAAGCAAATTGAACTACTTTTATTCAATAGAATACTTAGTAATGTAATGGACCATTTATATATGAAGAATATAGATGAGTCTCAAAAGCATTATGCTAAGTGAAAGAAGCCTAATACAAAAGGCTATATACTATATGATTTTATTTATATGACATTCTAGAGAAGGCAGAAATATAGGGAAAGAAATTAGATTAATGGTAACCCAGGGTCTGGGAACCTTCTGGGATATAGAAATGTTCTGTATTTTTATTGTGGTGGTAGTTATGTGACTGTATACATTGCACTGTACATGTAAATGGGATGAATTTTATAGCATATAAGTTATTATACCTCCATAAACTTGACTTTTAAAAAGGCTTTAAAGCACCGTGTTAACTAGATTGTCAAAATTCTTTTGAATCATTTACTTAATACTTAAGTGAAAGGAAATTATTTAAGAACCTCTGTATGCTTCAAAGAAGAATAAAATTCAAAGTATCATGCAAAAATATTTGCCTTGTATATGCCGTTTTATAACCTTTTTTGATGCATGGTAAATATCGTGACAATAAATATATGCCTGCAGTAATTTAAATGGCTGCATAGTAGCCCATTTTATATCATAATTTACTAAACTGGTCTTTCATTTTTGAACATTTAGATTGCTTCCAGTTTTATGCTCTTTCAATTTGAATACTATAGCCCTCATCCTTATAGCTATTATCTTGGAATAAATTTCTAGAAAAGGAATTTCTGGTTGAGGTCATACCTATTTTAAAGATTTTATATTCATATTACTAAATTTTCACCCAGAAATGTTCTATAATCCTTTGTCATCTCTTTTTTTTCTTTCTTTTTAATGAAAGACACTTCATCTTTCATTTTCTTTAAAATTTCTGATGGCAGCTTTTTGGCCAACAGATATTTTACTAGCTTTTTGGTAGTTGAATCTGTTAGGTAGTTAAATCTTTTAGGTAGTTAAATCTATTCATCTATTATTCCTCTCATGGTTTTATACTACTTTGTTGTCATACTTAGAAGGGCTTTCCTCATTCTGAGAGAGTAAAAACATTTATGTTGGCTTCTGGTTTCATTAATGGCTTCATTTTTATGTTAAATTCCATATGGATTAAAGAGTTTACTTGGTATGATACTGTAAACCAAAAAGTATCTGTCTCTAAGATGGGTCTCAATCAATTTAGAAGTTTATTTTGCCAAGGTTAAGGACATGCCCGGAAGACATAAATACAGTCACAGAAACCGTCTGTGGTCTTTCCCTTTCTCCAAAGATGACTTTTGAGGGCTTCAATATTTAAAGGGGAAAAGTGAGCTGGAGGGGAAAGAGTAAAGGTCATCCACATAGTGCAAGAGAAAAGGAGCAGTTGGGGGAATAGTCAATTATGTATTCATCTCATGCTCAGTAAATGGGCACTTTTCATGAGATAAGGTGAACATGAAAGAGCTACCTGTGGAGATATTTACCCCTTTATCTGTAGCTATCTGCTTAGGAACAAAAGGAAAGGCAGCTTCTTGCATGACTCAGCTTTCAGCTTAATTTTTTTCTTTTGGCATAGTGAATTGAGTGAATTTGGCATACCTTTCACAATATGATGTAAAACTCCACCAGTATTTTTTGCCACCTAGTTAACCTAGTCAACCACTTTTAACCATGTAAGAGTTACTAATTTTTTCCCCCATTGGTTTTAAATACCTTGATCATATTCCAAATGCTTTTGTTTCAGTTACTGTGATTTCTATGTTGTTCCGTTGGTCTCTTTATTTTTATACCTGAAGTGAACTGCTTTAGTAAGTGTAGTTTTATTATATGTATTTTAGTAATATGGCAATGCAGGTCCCCTCTTAAACCACTCTTATTTTTTAATTTTTTGGGAGATATTCTCAGCCATTTCTCAGAAATTCTCACAAAGTTACTGGTACAGTTTAACTTCTAAATCATTATGTCCAGTTGCAACAAAAAAATCTATGTTTTCATAATATTTATAAATTAATTTGGGGAAATTTGATATTTTTATAAGCCTCTTATCTAGAGGCATAATACACTTTACTAAAATCTCCTACATCCCTCAGTAGCATTTTATAATATTGATTTATATTATGCATTTTATTATACTTCATCCTATACATTTTGTGATTTCGTTGCTGGAAACTTTTTAAAAATTATATTTGCTGATTATTGCTGAAATACAGTAAAAAATATTGATTTTTATATTGTTTTTAAGTAGTCATCTTTTTATTTCCAGTGTCATTTTACATGACTTTTTATTTAACTTAAATATGGTCTTATCAAAGAAAAATTTGGGGACTGTATGTCAGGATTCAACTAATATTTTCTATTTCCATTAGATTTTACACTGTGAAGCTAATATTAAAATCAGTCTATAAGACCTAAAATAAAAGAGGCTTGTCTCCATGAATCTGACTTTTAGTAATTGTTTGTAGAGATATATATTAAAAAGTCAATATTTATATTATATGCTCTGTCAAACTAAGGATGCTAAATGTATTTTCTTCTCTTGGAATTAAGTCTTATTTTAAAATGATTTCTGTCCTTCCTCCCTACTTGCTACCTGGGGGATATATTTGTATGTGTCATTAGATGGAATTCACAAGTTATGGTCCAATTAAAGTTACCTTTAAAAACCTGATTAGGTAACACTCTAAAATGTTACTGTAAACTTGATCTTCTTGCTGGGTCTTAGCTAGTATTTCTTAAATTGCTGCTAAAATAGGACAATTAAGGGATAGACAAAAGAATGCTAGGACTCAAGCCTGGGGATTATAGTGTTACTCTACGTCATTGCCTTCTAGCATAATGAAAGTGTGAGTTGGCCATGTTTGCAAATTAACACAGCTATTAAATTTTACATATGCAAAAAAACCCTTAGATTAGTTTACATTTATATGGCCCTGAAATTGTTATTATTATTTTTTCTTTTTTATTATACTTTAAGTTCTAGGGTACATGTGCATAATGTGCAGGTTTGTTACATAGGTATACATGTGTCATGTTGGTTTGCTGCACCCATCAGCTTATCATTTACATTAGGTATTTCTCCTAATGCTATCCCTCCCCCAGTACCCCACCCGCCTACAGGTCCTGGTGTATGATGTTCCCTGCCCTGTGTCCATGTGTTCTCATTGTTCAATTCCCACCTATGAGTGAGAACATACGGTGTTTGGTTTTCTGTCCTTGTGATAGTTTGCTGAGAATGTGGTAGTTTCCAGCTTCATCTATGTCCCTGCAAAGGACATGAACTCATTCTTTTTTATGGCTGCATTGTATTCCATGGTGTATATGTGCACATTTTCTTAATCCAGTCTGTCATTGATGGACACTTGGGTTGGTTCCAAGTCTTTGCTATTGTGAATAGTGCCGCAATAAACATACATGTGCATGTGTCTTTATAGTAGCATGATTTATAATCCTTTGGGTATATACCCAGTAATAGGATCGCTGGGTCAAATGTTATTTCTAGTTCTAGATCCTTGAGGAATCGCCACACTGACTTCCACAATGGTTGAACTAATTTACACTCCCACCAACAGTGTAAAAGCTTTCCAGTTTCTCTACATCGTCTCCAGTATCTATTGTTTCCTGACTTTTTAATGATCGCCATTCTAACTGGCATGAAATGGTATCTCATTGTGGTTTTGATTTGCGTTTCTCTGATGACCAGTGATGATGAGCATTTTTTCCTGTGTCTGTTGGCTGCATAAATGTCTTCTTTTGAGAAGTGTCTGTTCCTTTCCTTTGCCCACTTTTTGATGGGGTTGTTTGTTTTTTTCTTGTAAATTTGTTTAAGTTCTTTATAGATTCTGGATATTAGCCCTTTGTCAGATGGGCAGATTGCAAAAATTTTCTCCCATTCTGTAGGTTGCCTGTTCACTCTGATGGTAGTTTCTTTTGCTGTGCAGAAGCTCTTTAGTTTAGTTAGATCCCATTTGTCTATTTTGGCTTTTGTTGCCATTGCTTTTGGTGTTTTAGTCATGAAGTCTTTGTCCATGCCTATGTCCTCAATGGTATTGCCTAGATTTTCTTCTAGGGTTTTTATGCTTTTAGGTCGTACGTTTAATTCTTTAAAACATCTTGAGTTAATTTTTGTATGAGGTGTAAGGAAGGGATCCAGTTTCAGCTTCCTACATATGGCTACCCACTTTTCCCAGCACCATTTATTGAATAGGGAATCCTTTGCCCATTTCTTGTTTTTGTCAGGTTTGTCAAATATCAGATGGTTGTAGATGTGTGGTGTTATTTCTAAGGCCTCTGTTCTGTTCTGTATCTGTTTTGGTACCAGTACTATGCTATTTTGGTGACTGTAGCCTTGTAGTATAGTTTGAAGTCAGGTAGCATGATGCCTCCAGCTTTGTTCTTTTTGCTTAGGATTGTCTTGGCTATGCAGGCTCTTATTTGGTTCCATATGAAGTTTAAAGTAGTTTTTTCCAATTCTGTGAAGAAAGTAATTGGTAGCTTGATGGGGATGGCATTGAATCTATAAATGACCTTGGGCAGTATGGCCATTTTCACGATATTGATTCTTCCTATCCATGAGCATGGAATGTTCTTCCATTTGTTTGTGTCTTCTTTTATTTCATTGAGCAGTGGTTTGTAGTTCTCCTTGAAAAGGTCTTTCACATCCCTTGTAAGTTGTATTCCTAGGTATTTTATTCTCTTTGTAGCAATTGTGAATGGGAGTTCACTCATGATTTGGCTCTCTGTATGTCTGTTATTGGTGTATAGGAATGCTTGTGATTTTTGCACATTGATTTTGTATCCTGAGACTTTGCTGAAGTTGCTTATCAGCTTAAGGAGATTTGGGGCTGAGACCATGGAGTTTTCTAAATATACAGTCATGCCATCTGCAAACAGGGACAATTTGAGTTCCTCTTTTCCTAGTTGAATACCCTTTATTTCTTTCTCTTGCCTGATTGCCCTGGCCAGAACTTCCAACACTATGTTGAACAGGAGTGGTGAGAGAGGGCATCCTTGTGTTGTGCCAGTTTTCAAAGGGAATGCTTGCAGTATTCAAAAAAACTGGCACAGTATTCTTGTGCCAGTTTTCAAAGGGAATGCTTGCCCATTCAGTATGATACTGACTGTGGGTTTGTTATAAATAGCTCTTATTATTTTGAGATACATTCCATCAATACCTAGTTTATTGAGAGTTTTTAGCATGAAGGGCTGTTGAATTTTGTCTAAGGCCTTTTCAGTATCTATTGAGATAATCATGTGGTTTTTGTCATTTGGTTGTGTTTATGTGATGGATTACATTTATTGATTTGCATATGTTGAAACAGCCTTGCATCCCAGGGATGAAGCTGACTTGATCGTGGTGGATAAGCTTTTTGATGTGCTTCTGGATTCGGTTTTCCATTATTTTATTAAGGATTTTCGCATCGACATTCATCAGGGATATTGGTCTAAAATTCTCTTTTTTTGTTGTGTCTCTGCCAGGCTTTGGTTATCAGGATGATGCTGGCCTCATAAAATGAGTTAGGGAGGATTCCCTCCTTTTCTACTGATTGGAATAGTTTCAGAAGGAATGGTACCAGCTCCTCTTTGTACCTCTGGTAGAATTCAGCGGTGAATCCCTCTGCTCCTGGACTTTATTTGGTTGGTAGGCTATTATTGCCTCAATTTCAAAACCTGTTATTGGTCTATTAAGAGATTCAACTTCCTCCTGGTTTAGTCTTGGGAGGGTGTATGTGTCCGGAAATTTATCCATTTCTTCTAGATTTTCTAGTTTATTTGTGTAGAGCGGTTTATAGTATTCTCTGATGGTAGTTTGTATTTCTGTGGGATCGGTGGTGATATCCCCTTTATCATTTTTTATTGCATCTATTTGATTCTTCTCTCTTTTCTTCTTTATTAGTCTTGCTAGCAGTCTATCAATTCTGTTGATCTTTTCAAAAAACCAGCTCCTGGATTCATTGATTTTTTTTGAATGGTTTTTTATGTCTCTATCTCCTTCAGTTCTGCTCTGATTTTAGTTATTTCTTGCCTTCTGCTAGCTTTTGAATGTGTTTGCTCTTGCTTCTCTAGTTCTTTTAATTGTGATGTTAGGGTGTCAATTTTAGCTCTTTCCTGCTTTCTCTTGTGGGCATTTAGTGCTATAAATTTCCCTCTACACACTGCTTTAAATGTGTCCTAGAGATTCTGGTATGTTGTGTATTTGATCTCATTGGTTTCAAAGAACATCTTTATTTCTGCCTTCATTTCGTTATTTATCCAGTAGTCATTCAGGAGTAGGTTGTTCAGTTGCCATGTAGTTGTGTAGTTTTGAGTGAGTTTCTTAATCCTGAGTTCTAATTTGATTGTACTGTGGCCCGAGAGACAGTTTGTTGTGATTTCTGTTCTTTTATATTTGTTGAGGAGTGTTTTACTTCCAATTATGAGGTCAATTTTCGCATAAGTGTGATATGATGCTGAGAAGAATGTATATTCTGTTGATTTGGAGTGGAGAGTTCTGTAGATGTCTATTAGGTCCACTTGGTGCAGAGCTGAGTTCAATTCCTGGATATCCTTGTTAACCTTCTGTCTCATTGATCTGTCTAATGTTGATAGTGGGGTGTTAAAGTCTCCCATTATCATTGTGTGGGAGCCTAAGTCTCTTTGTAGGTCTCTAAGGACTTGCTTTATGAATCTGGGTGCTCCTGTATTGCATGCATATGTATTTAGGATAGTTAGCTCTTCTTGTTGAATTGATCCCTTTACCATTATGTAATGGCCTTCTTTGTCTCTTTTGATCTTTGTTGGTTTAAAGTCTGTTTTATTAGAGACTAGGATTGCAACCCATGCATTTTTTTGCTCTCCATTTGCTTGGTAGATCTTCCTCCATCCCTTTATTTTGAGCCTATGTGTGTCTCTGCACATGAGATGGGTTTCCTGAATACAGCACACTGATGGGTCTTGACTCTTTATCCAGTTTGTCAGTCTGTGTCTTTTAATTGGAGCATTTAGCCCATTTACATTTAAGGTTAATGTTGTTATGTGTGAATTTGATCCTGTCATTATGATGTTAGCTGGTTATTTTGCCCGTTAATTGATGTAGTTTCTTCACAGCATGAATGGTCTTTGCAATTTGGCATGTTTTTGCGGTGGCTGGTACTGGTTGCTCTTTTCAATGTTTAGTGCTTCCTTTAGGAGCTCTTGTAAGGCAGGTCTGGTGGTGACAAAATCTCTCAGCATTTGCTTGTCTGTAAAGGATTTGATTTGCCCTTCACTTACGAAGCTTAGTTTGGCTGGATATGAAATTCTGGATTGAAAATTCTTTCTTTTAAGAATGTTGAATATTGGCCCCCACTCTCTTCTGGCTTGTAGGGTTTCTGACGAGAGATCTGCTGTTAGTCCGATGGGCTTCCCTTTGTGGGTAACCTGACCTTTCTCTCTGGCTGCCTTTAACATTTTTTCCTTCATTTCAACCTTGGTTAATCTGACAATTATGTGTCTTGGAGTTGCTCTTCTTGAGGAATATCTTTGTGGTGGTCTCCATATTTCCTGAATTTGAATATTGGCCTGCCTTGCTAGGTTGGAGAAGTTCTCCTGGATAATATCCTGAAGAGTGTTTTCTAACTTGGTTCCATTCTCCCCGTCACTTTCAGGTACACCAATCAAATGTAGATTTGGTTTTTTTACATAGTCCCATATTTCTTGGAGGCTTTTTTCGTTTCTTTTTACTCTTTTTTCTCTAATCTTGTCTTCTCGTTTTATTTCATTAATTTGATCTTCAACCACGATAGCCTTTCTTCCACTTAATCGAATTGGCTATTGAAGCTTGTGCATGCGTCATGAAGTTCTCGTACTGTGGTTTTCAGCTCCATCAGGTCATTTAAGGTCTTCTCTACACTGTTTATTCTAGTTAGCCATTCGTCTAACCTTTTTTCAAGGTTTTTAGCTTCCTTGCGATGGGTTAGAACATGTTTCTTTAGCTCGGAGAAGTTTGTTATTACCAACCTTCGGAAGCCTACTTCTGTCAGCTTGTGAAAGTCATTCTCCATCCAGTTTTGTTCCGTTGCTGGCAAGGAGCTGCGATCCTTTTCAGGAGAAGAGGCGCTCTGGTTTTTGGAATTTTCAGCTTTTCAGCCCTGGTTTCTCCCTATCTTTGTGGTTTTATCTACCTTTGGTCTTTGATGTTGGTGACCTACAGATGGGGTTTTGGTGTGGATGTCCTTTTTGCTGATGTTGATGCTATTCCTTCCTGTTTGTTAATTTTCCTTCTAACAGGCCCCTCAGCTGCAGGTCTGTTGGAGTTTGCTGGAGGTCCACTCCGGACCCTGTTTGCCTAGGTCTCACCAGTGGAGGCTGCAGAACAGCAAATATTGCAGAACAGCAAATATTGCTGCCTGATCCTTCCTCTGGAAGCATCATCCCAGAGGGGCACCTGCCTGTATGAGGTGTCTGTCGGCCCCTACTGGGAGGTGTCTCCCAGTCAGTCTACATGGGATCAGGGACCCACTTGAAGAGGCAGTCTGTTCATTCTCAGAGCTTGAATGCCATGCTGGGAGAACCACTGCTCTCTTCAGAGCTGTCAGTCAGGGACGTTTAAGTTTGCAGAAGTTGTCTGCTGCCTTTTTTTCAGCTATGCCCTGCCCACAGAGGTGGAATCTATAGAGGCAGTAGGCCTTGCTGAGCTACGGTGGGCTCTGCCTAGTTCGAGCTTCCCAGCTGCTTTGTTAACCTACTCAAGCCTCAGCAATGGCAGACGCCCCTCCCGCCATGAGGCTGCAGCCTCGCAGGTTGATCTCAGACTGCTGCAGTAGCAGTGAATAAGGCTTCGTGGGTGTGGGACCCACCGAGCCAGGCACAGGAGGGAATCTTCTGGTCTGCTGGTTGCTAAGACCATGGGAAAAGCACAGTATTTGGGCAAAAGAGTACTGTTTTTCCAGGTACAGTCTGTCATGGCTTCCCTTGGCTAGGAAAGGGAAATCTCCCCACCCCTTGCACTTCCCAGTTGAGGTGACGCCCTGCCCTGCTTCGACTTGCCCTCCGTGGGCTGCACCCACTGTCCAACCAGTCCCAATGAGATGAACCAGGTATCTCAGTTGGAAATGCAGAAATCTACCCCTCTTCTGTGTCAATCTTGTCGATCTTGCTGGGAGCTGCAGACCGGAGCTGTTCCTATTCGGCCATCTTGGAAGTGACTGAAATTGTTATTTTTATGTGTTCTCTGTTTTGCTTCCTCACCAAGACTCTAAACTCTGGATGGAAGTATATCTGTTGTTTATAATTCCCAATAGTCTTAGTATAATCCCTTACACACAACGACCATTGTATTGTGACCAATGTAGTAGTAAAAATTGGAAAAGATTTTCAATAAATATTATGACAATGAATGCACGTGTGTTTACGTGTATATGTACAAGTTAAAGTTACCAAAGATGATTATAGGTCAGCAATGACTAAAGGTGACTAATATCATAATGACTAAATATGGCTTGGTAGGGATAGGAAAATCAGCATCTTACCCATTTCCTGCCAGACTCAAGGTGAATAAGAGAAAGCTAAAAGATTGCCTTGCCCTAGGAGACAAGGTTAAGACCGAGTTACTAGGCTTATGGTGGTCATAAACCTGCAAATATTCTGAGAAGTCAAAGTCTGTTTGACATCCCCATATGGATATTCAATGGGCATTTCAAACTTAATGCTTTAAGAACAAACATCTTAATTTCCCATTGCTCCAACCTCCTTTTATTCATTTAACATATATTTATTGAAGGGCTACTATGTGGCAGGTACTGTTTTAGTCTTGGAATGTCCATCAATGGGCATAACAAAGATCTCTGCCCTTGTGTTGTTTATAATCTGGCAGGGAGAAACAGGCAGTAGATAGTAAACACAGTAGGTGAATTGTTAAGTGTTGTAGAAAAAGCAACAAGGTAGAAAAAGGGTAAGAGGAACTGGGAGTGCTGGTGGGATGGGCTTGGGGATAGTGATGGAGAGATGTAAGTAGCAACTTCAATTGGGGAGGTCAGGATGACCTGACTCCATTGTCAGGTTGAAATTGGAGCAGAGAGCTGGGGTTGAGGGAGTTAGTCAAGTAGTAAGGTTATCCGGGGGAAGAGCATTCCAGCAAAGGGAACAAGTAGAGCAAAGTCAGGAGGTACTTAGAGTATCCCGTGAACAGCAAGGAGGCCATGTGTCTGCTGCAGAGCCAGTGATGGAGAGAGTATAAAAGGAGGTTTAGGAAGGAAAGCTGGGTGATGGGGATCAAATCATACAGGGCCTTAGGCCACTGAAAAGACTTTGGCTTTTAGTCTGAGTGAAATACGGGGAGTCTCTGAACTGTTTTGAACAGAGAAATAACATCTGACTTGCATTTTAACAGAATTACTCTGGCATCTCTGTTGAGTAAAGAATATAAAACGGCAAGGGCAGGAACAGGGGAACCTGTTAAGAGCAATTGCAGAGGCTGGGCGCAGTGGCTCATGCCTGTAATCCCAGCACTTTGGGAGGCCAAGGTGGGTGGATCACGGGGTCAGGAGATCGAGACCATCCTGGCCAACATGGTGAAACCCCGTCTCTACTAAAAATACAAAAATACAAAAAATTAGCTGGGCACGGTGGCGGGCGCCTGTAGTCCCAGCTACTCGGGAAGCTGAGGCAGGAGAATGGCATGAATCCGGGAGGCAGAGCTTGCAGTGAGCTGAGATCACACCACTGCACTCCAGCCTGGGTAACAGAGCGAGACTGTCTCGGAAAAAAAAAAAAAAGAGTGATTGCAGAAATACATGCAGAGAAATGGCAGTGGCTTGTACAGGGCCACAGCAATGGACATGAGGATGAACATATTTTGGATTCTGAACATATTTTGAAGTTAGAGTCGGCATGGTTTTCTGACACTTTGGATATAAAATGTGAATCCAAGGCTTTTTGCCTGAGCAACTATTTAATAGAAGAATGAAAGTGCCATTAACTGCAGTGGGAAAGACTGTGGGTGGAGCAGGTTTGGAGAAGATAAGTAGTTCAGTTTTGGATATGTTAAGTTTGTGATATCCAAGTAAAGATTTTGAATAGGCAGTTGGATGTACAAGTCTGGAGTCTGGGAAGAAATCTAGGCTGGGGACAGAAATTTGAGGGTTGTCACCCTGTAGATCATGTTTAAAACCACGGGACTGTATGAGTTTCATTATACCAAGGAAATAAGTAGTAAGAGAAGAGGACCAAAGGCAGAACCTTAGGGATGCCACCTCTGTTGCCTTTGTTCTCTTTCATCTTTTCAGTAAATGGCACTACTATCTCCCTGATTTCTCAAGCCTAAAATCTAGAAGTCGTCCTTGATTTCTTCCTTCTACATCCAGACCCGTCCTCTTTGTCTCCACTACCACCAACCTAGTCCAAGTCACCATTATCTTCTAATACATCTCCATGCTTCCCCATTTGTCCCCCTACAGTCATTTTCCATCCAGCAGTCAGAATGATCTTGACAGAATGAAGGTAATTCTAATTGTATCACACCTCTGTGCAAAGCCTGCCAGTGTTCTGCACAGCAAACATTGTGAATGAATGTTCTGACTCACAAATCACTGTGAAATATTGTCCAACGTGAAACAGAGTGAAAAGGCAGCCTACAGAAAGGAAAAAAATATTTTTTTCTTAGAATAAAATATTCTAATAAAATATTAACCCCCTAAAAAGGGGTTAATATCCAGAATATACAAAGAACTCCTACAACATAACAATAAAAAACAAATAATCTAATTTAAAAATGGGCAAAGGACTTAAATGGACATTTCTCTAAAGAAGATATACACATGGCCAACAAACATTGAAAAGATGCTCTACATCATGAATCATCACATACCCATGTTCATTGCAGCATTATTCACAATTACCAAGAGGTGGAAGCAATTAAATGTCAATTGACAGATGAGTGGATAAAGAAAAGTTTGTATATACAAAAAATGGAATCTTATTCAGCCTTAAAAAAGAAGGGAATCCTATCATATGCTATAACATGGCTGAACCTTAGGGATATTATGCTAAGTGAAATAAGCCAAAAAGACAAAATACTGCATGATTTCACTTATATGAAGTATCTGAAGTAGTCAAACTCTTAGAAACAGAAAGTAGAAAGGTGGTTGCCAAGAGCCGGGGAGAGTGGCAAAAGGGGAGTTGTTTATAATGGATATGGAGCTTCATTTTTTGCGAGATGAAAATGTTCTAGGGCTGGGTGCGGTGGGTCACGCCTGTAATCCCAGCACTTTGGGAGGCCAAGGCGGGCGGATCACCTGAGGTCAGGAGTTCGAGACCAGCCTCAACATGGGGAAACCCTGTCTCTACTAAAAAAAATACAAAATTAGCCGGGCGTAGTGCTGCATGCCTGTAATCTCAGCTACTCAGGAGGCTGAGGCAGGAGAATTGCTTGAACCTGGGAGGCGGAGGTTGCGGTGAGCCGAGATTGAGCCATTGCACTCCAGCCTGGGCAACAAGAGCGAAAGTCCGTCTCAAAAAAAAGAAAATGTTCTAGAGCTCTATTGCACAGCAATGTGGATATAGTTAACACTATTGTACTGTACATGTAAAAATGGTTAATATGGTGAAATTTGTATTATGTGTTCTTTAGCACAATAAAACAAAAACCAAATCCCTCCTGTGGTTCCTACTGCACTTAGAATAAAATCCCCAACTTCTTGCCCTAGCTGCCAAAGCTGTTTATGATGTTGTTTTGCCAGAATCCCTCGACCTCAACTTGTGCCATTCTTCCTTTGTCTGTTATTGTCCAGCCACAGTAGCTTTCTTTCTATTCCTTACACTTACCAAACTTTTCCCCCTGCCTTTGAAATGTTCTTCCCGCTGACTTTTACCAGGCTAGCTGCATCTTGTTTTTCAGATCTTGACTTAATGTTACCTCCTCATGAAGGCTTTTTATAACTACCTAGTCTCTAGTTGCCACCAATCACTAGCTGTATCACATCACTCTACTTAAATTTTCTAGGCCGGGCGCGGTGGCTCACGCCTGTAATCCCAGCACTTTGGGAGGCTGAGGCGGGTGGATCACGAGGTCAAGAGATGGAGACCAGCCTGGCCAACATGGTGAAACCCCGTCTCTACTAAAAATACAGAAAATTAGCTGGGTGTGGTGGCATGAGCCTGTAGTCCTAGGTACTCGGGAGGTTGAGGCAGGAGAATTGCTTGAACCTGGGAGGTGGAGGTTGCAGTGAGCCGAGATCGCGCCACTGCACTCCAGCCTGGTGACAGAGTGAGACTCAGTCTCCAAAAAAAAAAAAAAATTCTGCATAGCACTTCTCACTATCTGATATTTTTCTTATTTATATTTGTTTACTGTCTGCTTCCCCTATGTAAGAATTCTATAAGTTTTTTATATTTTAGAATTTAAAGTTTTTAAATTTTAAAAGAATGTTACGAGAAAGCAGGGACCTTGTCTGTTTTGTTCATCACCATATCCCCAAGCACCTAGAATAGTGCCTGGCATATACTAGGTGCTCAATAAATATTTGCCGAAAGAAAACTGAACTTCCTAGTCTTAAATGATCATTTCTTGAAAAGGACTACTCTTCTCCCCAAGCTCCAGACCTGTCTTTTTGAATTCCTTCTTGGGTATTTCTGTCTAAATATTCTACAAATACCTCAAATTCAACATGCCCCTTTCTGCTCAATTACTCTTACAGACCTTATTTTTTCTGTTAATGGCATCATCATTAGCCCAATTGATCAGGCCAGAGGTCCTCTTTGATTCCTTTCTTTCTCTCAACTCCCACTATCTATCAGATCCTGTCAGTATCTTGTCTCACATCTTTCCCTTCTCTTCCACAGAGTTGCTACCACATCATTTTAGGCCTAATTACTTTTTACTTGTATCATTGTAAGAAACTGCCTAACCGGGCTTTTTGCTTCCAATCCCCCACGCCTTTCCAGACCATACTGTCTTCTATTCATCATACTACTTTTCTGTTCAAAACTAACAAATGAAATGCCATTTTTTTTTATGCTTTGGAAAGCCACGGAAAACTTTATCCTCAGCCTCCTTTAGACCCTACTTACCTTTCCAGCCTCACCATTCATGACATCCCTGCAGCTCTGTGCTGCTGCCCTCATTCTGTGGCCTTATCAGCCTCATAGCTGGTGGTCACATACACCAGCAGCCTCCACCTTTACAAAGCCATTTTCCCTGACTGCAGTGCTCCTGAACCCCCGCTCCTTTTGGCTGACTTACAGTTTTATCTTTAAGATATAACTAAAAAACTGCCTCCCCAAGAAGCCTTTATAGATCTTCCCTCAACTCCAAAATTGAAATTAGTGGCATAGACCCATAATATCTCTATTATTAATATCATTTTTTTCTTTTTTTTTCCAAGATAGGTCTTACTTTGTTACCCAGACTGGAGTGCAGTGGCGCAATCTTGGCTCACTGCAGCCTTGAACTCCTGAGCTTAAGCAATCCTCCCACCTCAACCTCCTGAGTAGCTATGATGACAGGCATGTGCCACCATGCCCAGCTAATTTTTTTGTATTTTTTGTAGAGATGGGGTTTTGCTATGTTGCCTAGGCTGGTCTCAAACTCCTGAGCTCAAGCAGTCTGCCCAGGCTTCCAAAATATTTATTGAGCACCTACTATATGCCAGGCACTATTCTAGGTACTGCCCTCAGCCTCCCAAAGTGTTAGGATTACAGGCATGAGCCACCTCTCCCAGCCTATTTCATTTTTTAAATTGTGGTAAAGTATACATAATATAAAATTTACCATTGTAACTGTTTTTAAGGGTACAATTCCCTTGCATTAAGTACATTTACATTGCTGTACAACATTCACCACTGTCCTCTGCTATCATATTTAATTATTTATGGATGTAGTTGTCCCCTCCTCTGATTGGAAACAAAACGCTTGGCGTTATTTGTAAGTGCTGAATTAACATGGATGAACATGAATATAATCAGATCATCTCCTGAGATGAGATGTCATGTCACAAGTATCCTTGTGATCCTGCTTGGGTAACTTCAGGATTGTGTTCAGTTTTCTTCCTTGTACTTATTCAAAATGGCATTGGTTAGAGTTCACGGAGTCCTGGATTTTTAAAGGTTCTTTGCCTAATTTCTTCTTTACAAGTTTTTGGTGCGTACACTTAACCTAACTTTTTTGTCTTACCAATATCTATCCTATAAATATGCCAGTGAAATGGAGCATATTGCGTTAGGTAAGGTGTGCATATTTCAAGAACTAGATGTGTTTCAAAGCACATAATGAAACTTCAGCAAAAATGAGATTAAGAGTTTAGGCTCCAATAATATTGCTGCGATTTTATTTCTGTCAAAGTTTTGTTATTTTTGCTGTATTGTTTGCTTTTCTTCAATGTTTTGTAAGCCCCGGTTCTTTGATGAACTCCTAATAAGCTGTGCTTAAAACTATGACATTGACCTTTCTCCAGAAACAGGTTTCAGAATTGTCTGTTTTTCATGTTCTCTCCCTGCCTTTTCTCTTGTAATCAAATCAGCATGTTTTTGTTTTTGTTTTGGAGACAGAGTCGCACTCTGTTGCCCAGGCTGGAGTGCAGTGGCACTATCTCTGCTAACTGCAACCTCTGCCTCCTGGGTTCAAGCGATTCTTCTGCCTCAGCCTCCCGAGTAGCTGGGACTACAGGCACGTGCCACCACACCCAGCTAATTTTTTGTATTTTTAGTAGAGACAGGGTTTCACCATGTTGCCCAGACTAGTCTCAAACTCCTGAGCTCAGGCAATCTGCCCGCCTCCACCTCACAAAGTGCTAGGATTACAGGCATGGGCCATTGCACCCAGCCTAAATCAGCATGTATTTTTAAACATCATAGAATGCGAGGGTTTGAAGTGTCTTTTGTGATCATCTAACATTCACTTTGCATATAAATAAATAAATAAAGACCCATGTTAATGCCAAAGGGAGTGAGTGGCAGAAGAATCTATGACGGAAGCATATCTTTTGGTGCTGTCAATGAAAGGGAAACAAATGCTTGGCATTATTTGTAAGTGCTGAATTAACATGGATGAACATGAAAATAATCAGATCATCAGTTATTCTCCCTCCTGATCTGAAGGATCCTGTGTGACATCATCTGAGATGCACTGGGGGTTGAGGAAAGATGACCCTTAAAATCCACATTTGTACTTTCCAAGAGCAAGGTGAGATCATAGAGAAGTTACACCCGCTCCTTTCTCCACTTTTTAGTCTTTATCCACTAAAAACAAGATGTGAGAAAATCAAGTGACAAGAATGATAGGGTAATAGGCTGTCAACAAAATGAGTGTGTGGGCTTATATAGGTATAAACATGGTGAAGGTGATAGACCATGGATGCTTAGTCCCTTTTAAGTTCCATCTTCCGTTTAACACATTTTGAAAGAATTTATTGTGTCTTATTTTCCCCTGATTTGTGTAGCTGTGCCACCCTAGATAACAGTTTTTCTTTTTGCTCTTGCCACCTTCTTGATAAAGGCAAGTACAGTTAGAATCGTAGGTACTTAATAATGCTTCGGCATGAATATGCTTCACAACTTTGAGATGTGTACCCTTTATTTTCTTTCTGTTATAAATCTTAATTTCTTTGTGCCCTACTTTTCATATCTGTAAAATGGATGAAATAGTAGTATCTGCCTCATATAATTGCTGTAAAGATTAAATGCTAATACACATAAAGCTCTTAGAACAGGTCTGGTGTATAGTAAACACACAAAGCTGCTATTATTATTGTTACTGGTATTAACTGATATATTCATACTTTTTATAACTGCTCATCCTATTAATTAAATGTATTTTTTCACTATATATTCTTTTTCAATGTATATTCCTTTTAATCTTCCTTCTTAGCCTCCACTATAGTTCAGATGCCTTCTCCAATTTCAAACAATTTAATGAAAAGAAAAGAAAATTTATACATCCAGAGATGGCTGATTTAATTTCTTCAGTCTTTTGGAGGGTAGAATTATTTTCCTTCTGAGAGTAAACTTATTTTTTCTATGTTACAGGTGGTATGCAAGATTACAATTATGTGTGGGCCAACTGTTTTGAGATCACATTAGAACTGTCTTGTTGCAAGTACCCACCTGCTTCACAGCTTCGACAGGAATGGGAGAACAATCGTGAGTCTTTGATCACATTGATTGAAAAGGTAAAAGTAGATGACTGGAATGTTGGGGTATAGAAACAGGATTAAATAAGGGAGAAATTTGGATGCATGTGAATGATAATCTATACAGTATTAGATGTCATTTATCTCTTTTTATTACTTAAGATTATAAATTATCTTTAAAGATTATTAGATTATAATCTATTAAAACATATTCTAGCTCTGCTTCCCCTGCCCCTTACCCCCAGCTCTCTGCTCCATAGGGCTTCCTTTTCCTATCTTGGAACACTTACTTATACAAACTGAAATAATTAGCCAAATTTGTACTCTCAGGTTCTTACAATGTCATGTGATCATATTTGCTAGTGAGCCTTTACCACTATATGAACCATAGACATCAGTTTAATTTAAACATCACCCAGACTAATACAGCAATTGAATACACCAGCAGTTACACCTTGTTGAGAAAATTAGAAATCTGGCTTTGAGGAGAGGGAATTTTAAAAGCACCTTACTAGTGTCGAGTTCAGACATATGACTTAAGTTTAAGGATTTAATACTTCTGTCTGTATTTTATTTAAACTTCAAGGGATTGAAAATGTTTTGGGGGAGAGAGAAGAGTCACTTTATTTTTTAGAAATTCTAGTATCGGTGCAGAGAGAAATTATGCGCTCTTGCCTTCCAAATTCACCGTCTCTGAGCTTGGATTCTTGTCTTCTTAGGTTCACATTGGAGTGAAAGGATTTGTTAAAGATTCCATAACAGGATCTGGGTTAGAGAATGCAACCATCTCAGTGGCTGGTATTAATCATAATATCACAACAGGCAGATTTGGTGATTTCTACCGATTACTTGTTCCTGGAACTTACAACCTTACAGTAGTTTTAACTGGGTAAGAATTTAAACTATGTAGACTCTTAGTTAAAATGTCAAGTCTCTGTTTTATATCTGAGACAGAAATATAGTCTAGTACATGTTGTTTATTTTTTGTGGCTTTTATTTTTCCTTATTTTCTGATTTTTCTCGTTTTATAATAAGAAAATACTATTGTGGAGTTTTTTGTCACATAGTCTAATAGTACAATGGGATGTGAAGCATAGTTGTAGCATTAGAGGAAGGACAATTTTTAAAACTTGAAAAGATATTCAGCTGTGTAAAGCATTGCCTTAAAGCTAACCGAATACCAGAGTAGAAGAAACCCATTGCTCTGTAAATGACATTTTGAAGAACTGTCTTATCAGCTTTCTAATATATTAAATGAATGGTTTCCCACCTCCCCTGGAAAGCTTTCTGGAAGCTCACTTTGATAAGGATTTAATTGATAACCTTTAATCTTGAGCTTTCCTACTTGAAAAAGAAGTTGGAATGTCAGTTTGATAAGACACTGCAAAGAATTGTGTAATTTATCCCTTCTTTGAGTACTGTAGCAGTGGTTACAATGGAGTAACAACCACATCTTTCAACATGTTCTTTCCTTTGAGTGTAATTTTTTTGGTATACATTCTAGTGTGTGGTACTTGAGAAGATTTGGTGAGAGAAATAGTTGTTCAATCTGGGGTTCTTTGTGAGATAATGTCCTAAAACTCTTAAATTTACACATCTCTCTTTATTTAGTTTGAGTTTTGATAGATCGCTAAGTGTAAGAGGATGAAAAGGCTACTGTGCTTTTATAATATTAAAGCATTGTATGTCTTAACTATAAACCATTTACTTTTTCAAATTTTTTTTTCAGGTATATGCCATTGACTGTTACTAATGTAGTGGTGAAAGAAGGACCAGCCACAGAGGTGGATTTTTCTCTTAGGCCAACTGTAACTTCAGTAATCCCTGACACGACAGAGGCTGTATCAACTGCTAGCACAGTTGCTATACCTAATATTCTTTCTGGAACATCATCCTCCTACCAGCCAATTCAGCCAAAGGACTTTCACCACCACCATTTCCCTGATATGGAAATCTTCTTGAGAAGGTTTGCCAATGAATATCCTAACATTACCCGGCTTTATTCCTTGGGAAAATCAGTAGAGTCAAGAGAACTTTATGTGATGGAGATATCTGATAATCCGGGTGTCCATGAACCAGGTAATTGGTATGGTCTTACACATAATTTCAGTAGTGCCCCTCAAAGCCATGTTCAATATTGCTATGTTTCATTCAGAAAGGTCGCCTACAGTTTGTATAACTGGCATTAAGAAAACCTAACTAAAATTAAAAGAAAGCAAAAAAGAAAATGTAACCAATCTTTTCCCAGAAGAGAAGGAAATCCTTTTGCTAACCCATATTAGGCATGGTATTTAATAAGTGCATAGATTAGATTTATTCTGCTAATAGTGTTTTATTTATTTATATTATATAGCATATATATGCTTTGAGCCTGCTCAGACATATGTATTAGTAAGGAAGCTGCTTTATAAGATGTTTCTGAAGGTTTTTTCTGCCTCCTTTGCCAAAATACATGTTTAAAAAATTTTTTAGTATAGGATTTATATATGTTGCGGAAAAAAACTGAGTCCATGATGATTAAGAAGGAAAAAAAGCCTTCCATGTAATTATTTTGTTTTCAGGTGAACCAGAATTTAAGTACATTGGAAATATGCATGGAAATGAAGTGGTTGGAAGAGAACTGCTGTTGAACCTCATAGAATACCTTTGTAAGAACTTTGGAACAGACCCTGAAGTCACAGATTTGGTTCATAACACTAGAATTCACCTTATGCCATCCATGAATCCTGATGGGTATGAAAAGTCCCAGGAAGGTAAAGAATAGCATTTAATTCTTAATCATTTGATCATCATATAGAATGATTATTTTGATGGAGAAGAGAATTTGAACTGGTTCTTTTGGAATTTCTTCCAATTTTTTTTCCTTTTAATTTATGATTGATTTTAGCTCTTGTATTCTTATATGATGATCTGGTCTGTTCAACAATTAGGTGATCAAATTTATATATTTAGTGGTGTCTTCCACTTGGTAATGGTTCTAATTTACTAGAAATAGAGTATAAGACTTTTATAAATTGTTTTATTTTAGCAATAGTTCTGTTGACAAAGAGTCAAACTCTGTAAAATATTTGAAGAGATTTATTCTGAGCCAAATATGAGTGACCATGGCCCATGACACAGCCCTCAGACCCAGAGGACATGTGTTCAGGGTAGTCAGGGTGCAGCTTGGTTTTAAACATTTTAAGAAGACATGAGACATCAGTCAGACACATTTAAGATATACATTGGCTTGGTCCAGAAATCGGGCGAGGGTTGAAAGATTTATTATCAATCGAAAGGAATGTCTGGGTTAGGATAAGAGGTTGTAGTTACCAAAGTTTGATCATGCAGATGAAGCCTCCAGGTAGCAGGCTTCACAGAGAATAGATTGTAAATGTTTCTTATCAGACTTAAGGTCTGTGTTGGTATTAATGCTGATTGACTTTTCCTGATTTCCAAAAGAGAGGAGGCATAATGAGGCATGTCTGACCCCCATTTCCCATCATGGCCTGAACCAGTCTTTCAGGTTAACTTTGGAGTGCCGTGGTCAAGAGGAGGGAATCTGTTGAGATAGGCCCTGCCTATTGAGCGGGGCCTTAGAATTTTGTTTTGGGTTTACAGTTCTTATTAAATCATTATTTTGGGAACCTTATTTCATAAGTGAAAAACCAAACCAGATATCTGTCTGAGTCAGTGACTCTGTTTTGACTCTCAGTTCTACTCCCTCTGCATATTCCAGACTTGCTAATTTATTGACTTCTCATTTCTTTGCCTTCCCTGGGCAAGCCCATCTCTCCTGGGGCGTTATAGTGTGGGATGGGACAGCAGACCCTTATGCACAACACTAGGGGAGTAAGAATTCATCTTTTCCCAGCCCATGATTTCTTCCAGGCAATGATATCTATCAGGCACCATAGTATAATATGGAGCCTCATGACTTATTACTAGCACTGACCTGACCATTGGGAGGATCAGTTGGTCATTAGTTGGTCATTAGTACCCAGAAGTTGGTCATTAGTACCCCAGAAGCTCACTTGAACAAATAGGCACAAGATCTTACTTATATATGTATATATTTCAGATTTTTCCCCCTAAGGTTCTCATTCTTTGTCAGTGCCACAAGTCCCTTCTACATACTCCCCAGACCTTTCTGAAAGGTGGAACTAATTACACTAGTGAGCCCTCCAGTTTTCTTTAGTCTCTTGCAATTTTTCTCATTATAATGACAATAGTAAGGCTCCCACTCCCTATTAAAATGGAATATGCACAGTTAAGCTTAAATTGAACTTTCTCCTCCATCAGGTTAAACTTCCAGCTGTGCTCTTGGCTAACTTTACCTTTTTGTGATCACTTTAATGTGAGCATATCACAATTTTCTTTTCATTTGCTCTATTTCTTACAATGTCTTAGTGAGCTTTATACAAGTACAGAGAGGAGTATAGAGTTCCTGGCCAGGCGTGGTGGCTCATGCTTATAATCCCAGCACTTTGGGAGGTCGAGGTAGATGGATCATTTGAGACCAGGAGTTCAAGAGCAGCCTGGCCAACATGGTGAAACCCTGTTTCTACTAAAAATACAAAAAATTAGCTGGACGTGGTGGTGCACACCTGTAATTCCAGCTACTCGGGAGACTGAGGCACAAGAATTGCTTTAACCTGGGAGGTGGAGGTAGCAGTGAGCCGAGATGGCGCCACTGCACTACAGTCTAGGCCACAGAGTGAGACTCTGTCTCAAAAAAAAAAAAAAAAACAAATAGAGTTCCCCTCTGATCAGTAATTTCCACTCAACATTGTGATAATGTCATTATATGTGGATTATTGACACTTAAACAGTGCTTTAATATAATTTGTCTAATTGGAATATTTTTCCTCCCAGATTATGAGCAGAGGGCAAAAATAAAAAGATAATGGTTTTACCTCTCTGTTCAAAATATCTGGAAGAGATACAGTTTTTAAACACGCAATGTGAAAAAGATGTGTTTTAACTGTAATGCCTGGCCAGGTGCTGTGGCTCACGCCTGTCATCCCAGCACTTTGGGAGGCCAAGGTGGGTGGATCACGAGGTCAGGAGTTCGAGACCAGCCTGGCCAACATGGTGAAACCTCATCTCTACTAAAGATACAAAAAATTAGCTGGGCGTGGTGGCGCACACCTGTAATCCCAGCTACTCGGGAGGCTGAGGCAGGAGAATGGCGTGAACCCAGGAGGCAGAGGTTGCAGTAAGCCAAGATTGTGCCATTGCACTCCAGCCTGGGCGACAAGGCGAGGCTCCGTCTCAAAAAAAAAAAAAAAAAAAAGAGGTAATGCCTGACAGGTTCTTCCTGCCTGCTGCACAGGCAAAACAGTTCATTGAGACCATGGTATCGCAGTAAAGAGTTTAATTAATGCAAGGCCAGCCACGCAGGAGAATTGGAGTTATCACTCAAATCAGTCTCCCTGAAGGCTCAGAGGTTAGGGTTTTTCAAAGATAGTTTGATGGACAAGGGACTAGAGAATGGGTTGATTGGTTGGGGATGAAATCATAGGGATGTGGAAAACAGTCCTTATGTGCTGAGTCAGCTTCTAGTTGGGAACCACAGGACCAGCTGAGTTACAACTCACTCACTGGTCCAGGTGACGTCAGCTGGTTGTCAGAAATGCAAAAGTCAGAATAACATCTCAGAAGGCCAATCTTAGGTTCTACAGTAGTGATGTTATCTACAGGAGTAGTTGAGGAAGTTACAAATCTTAACAACTTCCAAAACAATGACTGGTTATCCTTTAATTACACATACATGTTAGCCAAATTCAGGCCCCTCTTATAATCCCAACCTTGTGACCTTTCATTAGTTTTACAAAGGTGGTTTAGTTTTGGGAAAGGTTGTTATCATCCTTGCTTTAAGATTAAACTGTAAGCTAAATTTCTCCCAAAGTTAGCTTGGCCGATGCCCAGGAATGACCAAGGACAGCTTGGAGGTTAGAAGTAAGGTGGAGTCTGGCTGGGCGTGGTGGCTCACTCCTGTAATCCTAGCACTTTGGGAGGCTGAGGGGGGTGGGTCACCTGATGTCAGGAGTTCAAGACCAGCCTGGCCAACATGGTGAAACCCCATCTCTACTAATAAATACAAAAATTAGCTGGGCATGATGGCAGGTGCCTGTAATTCCAGCTACTTGGGAGGCTGAGATGGGAGAATCGCTTGAACCCGGGAGATGGTGGTTGCAGTGAGCTGAGATTGCGCCACTGCACTCCAGCCTGGGTGACTGAGTGAGACTCCATCTCAAAAAAAAAAAAAAAGGCGGAGTCAACCATGTCAGATTTCTTTTACTGTTATAATTTTGCAAAGACAGTTTCATAATCATAGGTGATTGATAATAGCGAAGCCTGATGTGTTCACATTTGCCTTGAGTTAAGGTATCTAAAGTAGTACGTGTTGGAATAAAATATAAGTGAACATGGCTTATATTCAAATCCTTTATCATATCATACAGGAGATTCAATAAGTGTAATTGGCAGAAACAACAGCAACAACTTTGACCTGAACCGAAATTTCCCAGACCAGTTTGTTCAGATCACAGATCCTACGCAACCAGAAACTATTGCTGTAATGAGCTGGATGAAGTCCTATCCATTTGTACTTTCAGCAAACCTGCATGGAGGTATGGCAACTTTATATTCTACTAATCAGTTCTTGTTGAGAGCATTTGGAAATCCTGGTGGAATTTTATCTGTTTGTAGTGTTATGCTTTCTTAAAATGAGTATCCTGTTACTGCTCTTATGGCAGACAACAGTAAAGGTCTTTTCTCATTACTTTTTCAGCCAGTGTCCTGGCTGTTTCTTTCCTCCTTCTTTCTCTCTTTTTTTCCTCCTCTTCTCTTCTCCTTTTACCCCCATCTCTTCTCTCCACCCCTTTCTCCTCTCTTTTCTCACCTACTACTTCTCTTTCCCTTCTCTTACCTCCTCTCCCCTTTCTTCTCTGTCTTGTCTTTTTTCTCCTCTCCTCTCCTTCTCCCCCGCCTGTCCCCCTACTCTGTTCTTCCTCCTCCTCTCCTCTTCCTCTCATAGTTCTTCAGGTATTTTGTATTTATCTCTCACATTGGGAACTTGGTAACATATTCTTTGTCATTCATAAAAATTGATCCAAATGTTTAGTTCTGTTTTCTCCCTGAAGTTTAATAAACTCTTTTATGTAAATTTAGATTTTGATATTCTCTTTTTTACTTGGTATATCCTTAACTGCAGCAGAGTGACCACATTCTCATGTAGTACCTGAGCTCATATACCTCCATATAATTTAGCAGGATGGATCGGTTGAATAGGATGAGTGTCAAGATTAAAAATCGCCACAATGTCCAACTAAGGTTGCGAATAAGAGTGAAGATATCAGTACCCAAGAGAACCAAACTGTGTCCACACATAAACTCACTTGAACAAAATGTTCACTCATTTAATGTACAGTGCTCATGTATATGAATGTTCAATGTACATGAACGTTCATTCAGGATTATTCACAATAACAAAAAAGTTGAAACAACCCAAACAACCATCATCTGATAAATAGATAAATAAAATGTGGTCTGTCCTTACAATGAATATTATTTGGCTCGAAAAGGAATCAAGTGCTGATACATGCTACAACATAGATCCTTGAAACCTTACACTAAGTGACAAAAGCCAGTCATAATAGACCACATAGTGCATGATTATTATTTTTTTCTTTATCAAGTTGATTATATTTTTATGAAATTTTTAGAATAGGCATATCCATAGAGACAGGAAGTAGATTAAAGATTGTATTGGGCTGGAGTGAATAGTGGTAAGAGGTGATAGGGGAGTGACTGCTAATGGATTTTGGGGTTTCTTTTTGGAGTTATGAAAATGTTCTATAACTGGATAGTGGTAGTGGTTGTACAACCCTGTGAATATAAACAACTTTAAATGGGTGAATTGCATGGTATTTGAATTACATCAGTAAAACTACTAAAAAAAAAAAAGTGACAAGTATTAGCACCAGGGGCAATGGGGAAGAAATTTAGTTTCAACATTTACTGGAATATCCAGAAGTACCATAGTGGAGACTTCATGTCATATAGAGTAGCCTGCCATTTTAGAATGACAGTACATACTGATGGATATTTAGATTTAGGAGGTTAATTGAGATTCTCCAAAAATTGCTTTGAAAGATTGCCAATAGTAGAAAAAAGTACTTCTACAGTTGGTAATCATATATTGTTCTCAAAGAGTCAAATAAGAACTATGAAGTTATACCCTGGTTGGCAAAATAAATTTTTTGTTTTCTTTTATTATATTTTATGTGTTTAATGCTATGTTTGATAAAATTCACTTATTTAGAGCTTTAAAAATAGTCTCATAATAAATCACACATCATGTTGGCTAAATCTGGAAAGTTAATAATAGTTACATTCCAGTGAAAATAAGTCACAGATTTACAGATGTGGTGTCCAGACCTTGGCATGGTGAGAGGTAGGAATCTTCAGTCATGCAGACATTTTTCTTTCCATGACATATTTTGTTTTCTCATCTTAAAATCCTTATTTAAATGGAGTTTGAAATCTTGGCAAAGCAGTTTGAAGGAGAATTTCTTTGTTGCTGTACAGGAGTAAAAAATCCTCATAGAGTCCGCAGCTGGAGCTTGTGAATTAAGCTGATAAAAGACAGATTAAAAGAAAAAAGCATACAAATTTTATTTGATGTTTGTATGTGGCACAGGCAACAGGCAGTGGGGGAGTTCATAGGAAAGACGTGAAACCCTCAAAAAAGCAGTGTTAAGGACTTAGTGCTCTTATAACAAAGGGTAATACCTTGTGGAAAAGTGACTACACAAAGGAAGGGGTTTAGACTTCTAGGGGTAAAAAATTGTGGGAAAGTGACTAGGAAATATGCGGGGGAAACTAATGAAAGATGAGGGTTATTTTACTAAGGTTTGTTTGTGTCAACTCATCTTGGTGTTGACTATCCCATCTCTGATGGTACCAGGAAGGTGCCTTTCTCACGGGAAATTTATGCCCTAATTTTAGGCAGAAAGAGGGAGGGTAGATAGCCTTTCCTGCATCTGCTGTTTCTCAGTTGCCTTCAGCTCTAAATAATTAACATGCTAAAGAGTTATATTCTGGGGCAGAATGTTCTGATTCCTTTCCCTGCCATCTTTATAATTTAGAAGGATCTTGAAAGAAGATAGGGGAAAGCAATATTCTTTTTCATAAAATTTCAAAAATTTTGATACTAATTTTTTTATTGAGGTGAAGTTTACATAATTCCAGTGGCGTTTAGTGCATTCATAGTGTTTTGCAACCACCCCCTCTATCTTGTTCCAAAACATTTTTATCTCCGCAAAAGGATACCCCACACCCATTTAACAGTGACTCCCCTTTCCCTTCTCCCCTCAACCTCTGGTAACCACCAATCTTTGTTCTGTCTCTAGGGATTTACCTATTCTGGATATTTCATAGAAATGGAATCCTATAACATGTGACCTTTCGTGTCTGGCTTCTTTCATTTAGCATAGTGTTTTCAAGGTTCACTCATGTTGTGGCATATATCAGTACTTCATTCCTTTCTATGGTTGAATAATAGTACATTGTATATACATATGTATATATCAATATCACATTTGCTTTATCCATTTACGTACTGATGGACATTTGGGTTGTTTTGACTTTTTGACTACAATGAAAAATGCTTCTATGCCCATTGGCATTCAAATATCTATTTGAGTTCCTGTTTTCTTTTCCCCGTGCCCCCCTTGTTTTGAAACAGAGTCTCACTCTGTTACCCAGGCTGGAGTGTAAGTGGTGTGATCATGGCTCACTGCAGCCTCAAACTCCTGAGCTCAGGCAGTCCTCCCACCTCAGCCTCCCAAGTAGCTGGAACTGCAGGCATGCACCACCACACCTGGCTTATTTTTAATTTTTTGTAGAGACAGGGTCTCCCAGTGTTGCCCAGGCTGATCTTGAACTCTTGGGCTCAAGCAATCCACCTGCCTGCCTTGGCCTCCCAAAGTGCTGAGATTATAGGTGTGAACTACTGTACGCAGCCCCTGTATTCAGTTCTTTTGGGTGTACACTTAGGAGTGAAATTGTCATATGATAATTCCATGTTAAGCTTTTTGAGGAATTGCCAAACTGTTTTCCACAGAGGCTGGACTATTTTACATTCCCGCCAGCAATGTATGAGGTTCCAGTTTCTTCATATCCTCACCACCACTTATTATTTTCTATTTTTATTATTATAGCTGTCCTAGTGGGTGAGAAGTAGGACCTCATTTTGGTTTTGGTGTGCATTTCCACAATAACTAATGATGCCGAGGATCTTTTCATGAGCTTGTTGGCCATTTATCTATCTTCTTTGGAGAAATATCTGTTCAAGTCCTTTGTCCAATTTTTAATTGAGTTTTTGTCTTTGTTGTTAAGTTGTAAGAGTTTTTAAATACTGGACACTGGACCCTTATCAGGCTTGCAAAACATTTTCCCCCATTCTATAGGTTGTCTTTTCTCTTTCTTATGTTCTTGATGCATAAAAGTTTTTGATTTTGATGGAATCCCGTATATCTGTTTTTTTCTTTTGTTGCTAGTCCTTTCCGTATTGATGCTAATTATTTTTTTGAGGTAGACTGTTTGGTAGAAGTACTATAAATCTTTTTTTGTGGCTTTAGAAAATTAGCCATTTGAAAGATATCTTCTCACTTATTCACTTTGAATTGAAGAAATTAGTGTAATTTTCATTTCTGTTGAGGAAATTCTGCTTGGCAAATTTTATTGTTTTCTCTTCTCTGGCAGTATTCTGAAAAGCTTTATGTTAATAATCCATCTTGAAACAGACAACATGATACATTTTCCTCTTTTCCCTTATAGGTTCTTTGGTGGTTAACTACCCTTTTGATGATGATGAACAAGGACTTGCCACATATAGTAAATCACCAGATGATGCTGTGTTCCAACAAATAGCACTTTCTTATTCCAAGGTAGGCTTGTCTTTGAATATAAAATGTTACAAAATTAATTCTTTTATTTAAAAATATGCTTTAAAGTCCTGCAAGACTCAGGTCAAGTGCTTCCATAGTTAATAAAGCATGACTTTTTCAGCTGTTTCCGAAAAATAGCTTTTTCTCCTGTTTCCCACCTCACTTTTGAATACACTACATGTCTTTCTCCATTGGCCTTTTATCTATGGTTTTAGCACAGTACCTGGAACATATACATGTCAATTTATTTCATTTGACAAATAAGTTATAAGCCCAGTAAAGTAGGCCAAGATAAGGGCTTAATGAATTATAGCTCTGGAGCCAAATCTTGCCCACCACCTGTTTTTGTAAATAAAATTGTATTGACACACAGCCACAGCTATATTTTTATATATTGTGTGTGGCTGCTTTCTCCTTCAACATTTCAAAGTAAGTCAGTATAATTTACTATATTAACAAACTAAAGAAGGAAAATCCAGTGATCAAAGGGCAAAGTTGGGTAGTTTCAACAAAGACTTTTGCATCTAAAAAGTCTGAAATATTTGCTTTCTGGTTTTTTACAGGAAAAAATTGCCAAACTTTAGTCTAAGGTATTTAAGATCCTGTAGTTACATATAGCAAGGAAAAGCAGGCAGAAATTTCTGTATTTTCCAAACTTCCTATGATAAACATGGATTACTCTTACAATCGGGAATGTTAAAATGTGTGTGTGTGTGAAAATTTAATTTAAAAATCGTTCTTAGGACCAGGCTTGGTGGCTCATGCCTGAAATCGTAGCACTTTGGTAGGGCAAGGCAGGAGAATTGCTTGAGCTCTCAGGAGTTTGAGACCAGACTGGGCAACATAGCAAGAGCTTGCCTCTACTAAAAATAAAAAATAAAAAAAAAATTAGCCGGTTGTGGTGACATGCATTTGTTGTTCCAGCTACTTAGGAGGCTGAGGTGGGAGGATTGCTCTATCCCAGGAGATTGAGGTTGAAGTGAGCTTGATCACAATACTATACTCTAGCCTGGGTGACAAAGCTGAGACCCTGTCTCAAAAAAATAAAAATTGTCTTAGAAAACATGTTAAAAGTTGAGGCTTGTAAACTAAGCTTGTTAGTTTCAATGTTTGGTGTTACTACTGACTTAGTATTGTTATTGGTTATATTGGTACTATTATTGGTTATAGGTAATGAATATTATTACTGTAACTCTGCACTCTCCAGTCACAGTCCTCCATCCTTCCACTTTTCCCATTCCCTCATCCTCTGCAAATGAATCTTGTGAGATTGTTCAGAGTTTCTACTAGAGGAGTACAGCTGTTCATTTCACCTTAGAGAATTATTGCTTTCTGTTTGGACATATATGTTTTTTTGAAGTACATACGTGGAGTAATAAGAGAATGTATAGTGTCCCAACCATCAAAATAAAAATTAAATGGCTGGATTTTGCATATTTTCTCATCACATTCTATGCTCATTCTCATGATTTCTGCTTTTCGCCTTCATTTTGGCTTCTAGTTCCTTATCTTCTCTTTGTTTTCTTAGACCATTAACCCTTTTGATTTGATTTACCTTTCTCTGTAGGGTAGACCCATGGACATACCTTTTCAATGATTCTCCTAAGGGTCTTGTACACCCCTTTGACATAACTGCTTTGCCCTCCAGTCCTCAGTAATTACCATTATCTCTTTTCTCCATACCAATATTACAAGTACAGCCTAGAGTGGTCACACTGTCACGGCAATTTGCTATAGTCCATATGTGTGCTCTCCAACTTCAGCTGAACCCTCAGTCCTACATGGCAACATTTCCTGTTTAGCTACTTGACTCCCTGGCTCAGTTCCCACTATGGTGATTCAGAGCCTTTATCCTCTATCTGAGCCTCCTGTTCCAGCTCTATCCCTCTTATTCATAGTAGATCACTTTGCATTGAACTCAAGTAGAACTTTGAGTAATCTGATGTGAGTTCACTAAGATTCTGTCTTCTCAATTGTTTCTCATGTGTGTCTTAACAATATTCTCCTCCATTTCTTGATCCCACTGCATTCTGCCTCCTCGAATCTTGTGTCTTCATATCTTATTTTATAAATGAGGAAGGTGATAATTAAACTCCCCAGTCTTCACTCACAGCCTTTTTTCTCTTGGTCAATAAGCAGCTCCTCTAAAAATATTGTCTTCTGCTAACCTTAGTAAGCCCCCATGAAGCTACCATTCAAAGTTTCTTTATTTTTACTCTTCAAAACTTCTCAAAAGTAGATAGTCTTGGGAGACATCTGAGCAGCCAAAGACAATGATGGCTATGTGATAACCTATCTCCCAGGGTTTTTCTTTAAACAATATAAAACGACTTAAAAACTACCAAATTTTACACAAAACCACACTGTTGGCATCACAAAAGATCCTGAAACTGCAAAATAACTGTAAATTTTTTAAAAATCAAGAAGTCTCAGCATGATCTATCATGCACCTACCCCACCTTCGCCCCACCACAAGGCTTTGTGGTGAGGTAAAACAGACCAAGAAAACTTACGGAGAAGACAGAAGTGGGTGCCAGTGAAGGGCAGCTGTGAAGGTAATTTGGAATGACCACCATACATCACATATGCACTAAATCCAAAAATACTAAAAGAGTAACTGGGCAGATTAGAGCTCTGGAATACAGGGAAGAGATTTCAAAATGCACACAACTTAAAGGATCTGGTGTGATTTAATGGGATAAGTACAATTTAAAAGGAGAGGATGGTTACAGGGAGATCTTCCAAACTCATAGCTTCTGGAGAAGGAAAAAAAGAGGCAAAGATAGAAATGAAGAAGTGCTCCTTGGCAATTAGATGGTGAATGGGAAAAGGAAAAAGTGGGGAGAAATGTAAGGTTTTACAAGACAGAAAAGAACTTTAAAATCAGAAGATTCTCAGCTCCACCCTTACCACCAAGACAAATAAATAACCACACTGAGGTACCTGGATTTTGCTAGACCGACAGAAAAGTGTACCATTAAGCTAGGAATAATATTAAATGCCCAATATCATAAAAATAAAGAGGAAAATAAAGTCCATGGAAAATGATTGCAGAAAATTAGGAAATGAAACTTCACATATAGACACTAAGGAGACCCTACCATTAGCAAAAAATAATCGAGAAGCAGAAGAAAACTGTTCAGTTGGCATTCTAAACAGATTAAGTATACCCAAATATACGTTGAGAATATGAGAAACTACCTCAACTCAGATAGTCAAAAAATAAAAACAGAGGCCAGGAAACAAAAAACAGGGATAAATAAAATAAAGTTTATAGGACTCAGGAAAAAAATGGAAGAAAAAGACAAAATTATCTCTGAAATGAAGAATAAATGACAAAAGTTAGGGAACTCATACATCCAATTTCAAACTTACTACAAAGCTACAGTAATTAAGACAGTGTGGTACTGGCATAAAGACAGACATATAGATCAATGAAATAGAACTGAGAACCCAGGAATAAATTCTTATGTTGATGGTCAGTTGATTTTTTTTTTTAGAAAAGGATGCCAAGACAATTCAATAGGCAAAGAATAGATTTTTTAAATAAATGGTGCTGGGACAATTGGATATTTATATGCAAAAGAATAAACTAGATACCTTCCTCACACCACACCCCAAAATTAGCTTAAAATAGGTCATAAACCTAAATATAGGAACTAAAACTATAAAACTAAGAAAAAATAGGAATACATTTTTGTGATTTGGTCCTCCTCTAGATATGACATCGGAAGCACAAGTGACAAAAAAAGATTGATACATTGGACATAATCCAGATTTAAAACTTCTTTACTGCAAAAAAAAACTGTATTTGTTTCCTAGTTCTGCTGTAACAAAATTCCACAAACTGGGTGGTCTAAGACAACAGGAATTTATTGTCTCATAGTTTTGGAGGCCAGAAGTCCAAAATCACAGTGTTGGCAGGGCCATTCTCCCTCTGAAACTGTGGAAGAATCCTTCCTTGTTTCTCCCTAGTTTCTGGTGCTTTGCTGGCAACCATTGGCATTCCTTCACTTCTAGGTGCATCACTCCAACCCTTCATCATCACACGGCATTCTCCCTCTGTCTTCGTATCCCAGTTTCCCCTTTGTACAAGGACACCGTCATATTGGATTAGGGCCCATGCTAATCACCTTATTTTAACTTGATTACCTCTGTAAGGAACTTATTTTTAAATAAGATCACATTTTGAGGTACTGAGGGTTAGGACTTCAATATATTTTTGGAGGACACAACTCAATCCATAACATATAACATCCAGGAAGTAAAAAGACAACCCACAGAAGCTGGGCTTGGTGACACGTGCCTGTAGTCCCAGCTACTTGGGAGGCTGAGGCCGAAGGATTGCTTGAGCCCAAGAAGTAGAGGCTATCGTGAGCTATGATCATGCCACTGCACTCCAGCTTTGGTGACAGAAGGAGACCCCAGCCCCCAAAAAATAAATAAATAGATGACCCACAGAATAAGAGAAAATTTTTGTAAATCATATATTTTGATAAAGGTGTTATATCTAAAATATATAAAGAACTCTTATGGCTAAATAATAAAAAGACAAATCATCCAAGTGAAAAATAGGCAAAGGATCTGAATGGACATTTCTCTGAAGAAGAGAAAATGGCCAATAAGCACATGAAAAGATGCTCAATATTATTAGCCATTAGAGAAATGCAAGTCAATACCACAATGAGATACCTCTTGTTACCCACTAGAATGGCTGTAATTTTAAAAAATGGAAAATATGCATAGGCAAAGGTGGAAAAATTGAAACCTTACATACATTGCTGGTGGGGTGTAAAATGGTATAACTGCTTTGAAAAACAGTCTGGCAGTGCTTTAAAACATTAAATATAGAATTGTAATATGACCCAGCATTCCACTGCTAGGTATATACCCAAGAGAAATGGAAACATGTATTCACACAAAAACTTGTACATGAATATTTGTAGCAGCATTATTCATAATAGCCCCAAATGGAAGCAACCAAAATGTCCATCAACTGATGAATGGGTTAACAAACTGATAAGTAGACATACAAAATCATACAGTGGAATATTATTCAGCCATAAAAAGTAATGAAGTAATGATACACAGTACAACTTGAATGAACCTTAAAAACCTACTAAGTGAAAGAAGTCACAAGAGACTACATATTGTATGATTCAGTTTATATGTAATGTTCAGAGTAGGCAAACCCATAGAGACAGAAAGTAGATTGGTGGTTGCCTAGGGTTTGGAGTGGGGGTGGGGAGTAGGGGTTGGGGAAAAATGGAGAATGCTAATAGGTATAGAGTTTCTTTTTGGGGTGATGAAAATGTCCTAAAATTTATTATGGTGGGTGGTTATACAACTCTATGAATACTAAAAACCATTGAATTGTACACTTTAAATGGAGTCAATGTGTGGAATGTGAATTATATCTCAATAAAGTGGATTTTGAAAACCTAAAGAAGACTGAGGGGTGGAGGATCCATTCTGTATTCGTATATAAGTTAAAAAAATGAGATCTAAAAGTTATATACCAAGCCCGGTGTGATGGCTCACACCTGTAATCTCAACACTTTGGGAGGCCGAGGTGGGCAGATTCGTTGAGCCCAGGAGTTCGAGACCAGCCTGGGCAACATAGTCAAACCCCATCCCTACAAAAAATACAAAAATTAGCCAGGTGTGTGGGTGCATGCCTATAGTCCCAGCTCCTCAGGAGGGTGAGGTGGAAGGATCACTTGAGCGTGGGGAGATTGAGGCTGCAGTGAGCCTGTGTTTCCACTACTGCACTCTGAGCTGGGTGACAAACAAGACCCAGTTTCAAAACCAAAACAAAACCAAAACAAAACCAAAGCAAAAGAGCATGCATATAATTATTACAGTAATCTAAAATTATGGTTTTTATTTGATAAGAGAGTGATGGGATGATAAGCCTATAATTGGCATATTAAGTTTCTAGATGGGGATCGTTTATTTTATTTTGTTTTTGTTAGGACAGAGTCTTGCTTTGTCACCCAGGCTGTAGTGCAGTGGTGCAATCATGGTTTACTGCAGCCTCAACCTCCTGGGGTCAAGCTATTTTCCCATCTCAGCCTCCCAAGGAGCTGGTTCTACAGACATGTAGCACCATGTGTGGCTTTTTTTTTTTTTTTTTTTTTTTTGTAGAGATGAGGTCTCACTGTATTGCCCAGGCTGGTCTTGAACTTCTGAGCTCAAGCAGTTCTCCAACCTTGGCCTCCCAAAGTGTTGGGATTACAGGTGTGATCTTACCTGTCCCTGTTTATATATTTTAAATGGTTAATTCTCTGTGGTAGAAAAATGGGAAATTATTCTTTTTCTCTTCACACTTTCAGTACTTTTTTTCTGTTTCAAAAAGAGATAAATGAAGTTTTGACCATCTTTCAAAGCTCAATTTCTTCTAGGAAACTCCCCCTGCCACTCTCATCAGATGTAATCTTTCTCTCCTCTTGCTTTCAATGGCATGCATTTGTGTCTCCATGGCAGTTTTTCTTACCCTTCATTGAGTTATCAGTTGGACACCTACTGTATGCTAGATGCTGAGGACACAGAGACACAAACTGTTTCAAGGAATAGTGTATTGTCTTTAGGGAAGAGAAAGGTGCAACTAGTTGTAATAGGGTAAGATAATTGTACAGAGGGCAGTCAGAGCACAGAGGGGCCATCTTATTCCTGCTAGCAGTCAGGGAAAGCTGCTTGCTTTTATTGTGTGTGTATTATCTTTTTTGGACTTCAAGCTCCTTGAAAGCATGAAACGAAAGTATAAATATGAGCAGAAATTTTTTTTAGAGAGGGGTTCAGCTAGGTTTTATATTACTTGTAATTGCGAGTAATAAATGAAGTCAATATTTTCTTACGGAGCACATTGTATTTTGATTTTTAAAAATAGATAAGTTCAGATAGTGAAAAATCAAAATGGCATAAAAAGCTATACACTGAAAAGTCTCACTGCTCATAGCCCCACCCCACTCCCACCTCCACCCCTCACATACCCTGTTGGAAGCCACTTTTATTATTTTCCTGTATCTTTCCAGTATTTTTTTTTGATGGAGATACAAACAAATAGAAGTAAAGATTCTTTTTGTTTTTCCAGGAAAATTCCCAGATGTTTCAAGGTAGACCTTGCAAGAATATGTATCCTAATGAATATTTTCCTCATGGAATAACAAATGGAGCTAGTTGGTATAATGTGCCAGGTAAAGATTCTTTTATATCAAGGCCTTACAACTTGATGGCCTTTCTGCTTTCCTAGATGGTGCTTCTTGTTATTATCTTTTAGTTTTGAGGAATAATAATTATTTTTAAAACATGGTTTAAATAGTTTAAAATATTTAAATAATCTTTTCAACTACTTTTATGTTTGATGTACGTTGAGGGTTGAGTAAGAATAATGCACTAAAACTTGATTAAATGGTTACATTTTACTTCTGGCTATTAGAAAGAATCTTACATGTGCTAATAGAAGAGTGTAAGCTATATTTGAATTCTTTTTTTTCTTTACAACGTTACTTTCTTTTTTTTTTTTTCTTTTCTTTTTTTATTATACTTTAGGTTTTAGGGTACATGTGCACATTGTGCAGGTTAGTTACATATGTATACATGTGCCATGCTGGTGCGCTGCACCCACTAACTCGTCATCTAGCATTAGGTATATCTCCCAATGCTATCCCTCCCCCCTCCCCCCACCCCACCACAGTCCCCAGAGTGTGATATTCCCTTTCCTGTGTCCATGTGATCTCATTGTTCAATTCCCACCTATGAGTGAGAATATGCGGTGTTTGGTTTTTTGTTCTTGCGATAGTTTACTGAGAATGATGATTTCCAATTTCATCCATGTCCCTGCAAAGGACATGAACTCATCATTTTTTATGGCTGCATAGTATTCCATGGTGTATATGTGCCACATTTTCTTAATCCAGTCTATCATTGTTGGACATTTGGGTTGGTTCCAAGTCTTTGCTATTGTGAATAATGCCGCAATAAACATACGTGTGCATGTGTCTTTATAGCAGCATGATTTATAGTCATTTGGGTATATACCCAGTAATGGGATGGCTGGGTCAAATGGTATTTCTAGTTCTAGATCCCTGAGGAATCGCCACACTGACTTCCACAATGGTTGAACTAGTTTACAGTCCCACCAACAATGTAAAAGTGTTCCTATTTCTCCACATCCTCTCCTGCACCTGTTGTTTCCTGACTTTTTAATGATTGCCATTCTAACTGGTGTGAGATGGTATCTCATTGTGGTTTTGATTTGCATTTCTCTGATGGCCAGTGATGATGAGCATTTTTTCATGTGTTTTTTGGCTGCATAAATGTCTTCTTTTGAGAAGTGTCTGTTCATGTCCTTCGCCCACTTTTTGATGGGGTTGTTTGTTTTTTTCTTGTAAATTTGTTGGAGTTCATTGTAGATTCTGGATATTAGCCCTTTGTCAGATGAGTAGGTTGCGAAAATTTTCTCCCATTTTGTAGGTTGCCTGTTCACTCTGATGGTAGTTTCTTTTGCTGTGCAGAAGCTCTTTAGTTTAATTAGATCCCATTTGTCAATTTTGTCTTTTGTTGCCATTGCTTTTGGTGTTTTGGACATGAAGTCCTTGCCCATGCCTATGTCCTGAATGGTCATGCCTAGGTTTTCTTCTAGGGTTTTTATGGTTTTAGGTCTAACGTTTAAATCTTTAATCCATCTTGAATTGATTTTTGTATAAGGTATAAGGAAGGGATCCAGTTTCAGCTTTCTACATATGGCTAGCCAGTTTTCCCAGCACCATTTATTAAATAGGGAATCCTTTCCCCATTTCTTGTTTTTCTCAGGTTTGTCAAAGATCAGACAGTTGTAGGTATGTGGTGTTATTTCTGAGGGCTCTGTTCTGTTCCATTGATCTATATCTCTGTTTTGGTACCAGTACCATGCTGTTTTGGTTACTGTAGCCTTGTAGTAAAGTTTGAAGTCAGGTAGTGTGATGCCTCCAGCTTTGTTCTTTTGGCTTAGGATTGACTTGGCGATGCGGGCTCTTTTTTGGTTCCATATGAACTTTAAAGTAGTTTTTTCCAATTCTGTGAAGAAAGTCATTGGTAGCTTGATGGGGATGGCATTGAATCTGTAAATTACCTTGGGCAGTATGGCCATTTTCACAATATTGATTCTTCCTACCCATGAGCATGGAATGTTCTTCCATTTGTTTGTATCCTCTTTTATTTCCTTGAGCAGTGGTTTGTAGTTCTCCTTGAAGAGGTCCTTCACATCCCTTGTAAGTTGGATTCCTAGGTATTTTATTCTCTTTGAAGCAATTGTGAATGGGAGTTCACTCATGATTTGGCTCTCTGTTTGTCTGTTGTTGGTGTATAAGAATGCTTGTGATTTTTGTACATTGATTTTGTATCCTGAGACTTTGCTGAAGTTGCTTATCAGCTTAAGGAGATTTTGGGCTGAGACAATGGGGTTTTCTAGATATACAATCATGTCATCTGCAAACAGGGACAATTTGACTTCCTCTTTTCCTAATTGAATACCCTTTATTTCCTTCTCCTGCCTAATTGCCCTGGCCAGAACTTCCAACACTATGTTGAATAGGAGTGGTGAGAGAGGGCATCCCTGTCTTGTGCCAGTTTTCAAAGGGAATGCTTCCAGTTTTTGCCCATTCAGTATGATATTGGCTGTGGGTTTGTCATAGATAGCTCTTATTATTTTGAAATACGTCCCATCAATACCTAATTTATTGAGAGTTTTTAGCATGAAGAGTTGTTGAATTTTGTCAAAGGCTTTTTCTGCATCTATTGAGATAATCATGTGGTTTTTGTCTTTGGTTCTGTTTATATGCTGGATTACATTTATTGATTTGCGTATATTGAACCAGCCTTGCATCCCAGGGATGAAGCCCACTTGATCATGGTGGATAAGCTTTTTGATGTGCTGCTGGATTCAGTTTGCCAGTATTTTATTGAGGATTTTTGCATCAATGTTCATCAAGGATATTGGTCTAAAATTCTCTTTTTTTGTTGTGTCTCTGCCCGGCTTTGGTATCAGAATGATGCTGGCCTCATAAAATGAGTTAGGGAGGATTCCCTCTTTTTCTATTGATTGGAATAGTTTCAGAAGGAATGGTACCAGTTCCTCCTTGTACCTCTGGTAGAATTCGGCTGTAAATCCATCTGGTCCTGGACTCTTTTTGGTTGGTAAGCTATTGATTATTGCCACAATTTCAGCTCCTGTTATTGGTCTATTAAGAGATTCAACTTCTTCCACATGAAGGTATAGGTGTTTTGCTTGTATCGCAAGCATCAAAGTGCCCTCACATGAACACGTTAGCTTATCAATGCTGATAAGAGATAAATTTGGCTTTTTACTAGGAATGTTGCTTACCTTTTGGGATCTGAGCTGTTTAGAACTTCTTCAGAGTGACTAATTTTAATTTTTATCTTTTAGGAGGAATGCAGGACTGGAACTATTTACAAACAAATTGCTTTGAAGTGACTATTGAACTAGGTTGTGTGAAATATCCACTTGAGAAAGAGCTGCCAAACTTTTGGGAACAGAATCGAAGATCACTAATCCAGTTTATGAAACAGGTGACTATTCAGGAGTGAAGTATGAAATTTCTCCCGAGGGTGAAAAGATTTTTGTGCGTACACGTGGTTTTTGTGCAGTGATTTTGGAATACACTCTTTAAAATTTCAATTCATTTTAGTATATTTAACCAGTTTGTATATTCCAAGGTGTTTAATATATTTATCTAGAAAATTCGTGAATGGAAATGAGTTTATTTGTATATGTGAGGAAAAGTTGAAGAAAATGATTGAACAAGGTAGTGATATTTTGCTCTTAAGGGTTAGTGGTCACTTTTTACCCGTGTTTAAAAAAGACCAGCATAAATTGGATACACACCTAATCATTGGCCAAGTGATAGAAAGATGGGCTGTGGAGTGAATGTTTTTATTCTTTTTCTTGTTGCCAGTGATTTACTGTGAAATGATTAATTTCCTTTTGTTTGGATATGTGTGGTGGCCAGTAGGTAAAGATTATAAGAAATATACTAATGTTAATTAGGATAATCAGACTAATACTTTCTGCCAGTACATTTCTGCATTTTTCTTTTTCCTGAGTGGTGTGACATAAAGTCTGTGAGTTTTTTTTACTATATTTAAAGACATTTTATTCTGAAAAATTTTAAATATACAGAAAAGTTATGACTAGCCAATAATTATTCCTATACCTAGATTTAACATTTTTAACATTTTGTTATATTTGCTTTATTTTAATGTAAATTTTATTTACACACTCACATACACATACATATTTTTGACTGAACTATTGTAATATAAATTGCAGGTATGGTATTTTACCCCTAAATATTTCAGCATCTATCTCCTAAAAATAAGGAGCTACTACATACTATCTCTAAGTGCTACTGTCCTACCCAAGAAAATTAACAGTAATTCCCTAATATTACCTAATACTTAGTTTATATTTAAATGTCCATATTTGTCCCCAAAATGTAATTTTACAGCTGTATTTTATGACCAGGATCTAGTCAAGTTTCATGCATTGCATTGGATTATTATATCTCTTTACTATTCTTTGAACTATAAGAGTCCTTCTGTTTTTAAAAAATGCCATTTCCTTTTGAAAAGGCCAGGTCTGTTTTCTTGTAGAATGTCATATATTCTGAAATCATCAGAATGTGCTAAAGTTTAAACAGTGTTATTTATATTCTTCATGATAAAGAGAAACAAAGCCTATGAAAAATTAGCCTTCAGAAATATTTTAATGAACATTTACATTGAACTTTACTCTGAACTCCTAAATTCCTGTTTGTTCCATTTATTTGTGTTGACAATCTGTTATTTTGAATATGACCTCCCAAGATAATTAGATGATGATGTTTATTATTGAAATCTGGTGTCCTTGTACTTAATCCAGGTTCATCAGGGCGTCAGAGGATTTGTTCTAGATGCCACAGATGGCAGGGGTATATTAAATGCCACCATTAGTGTTGCTGAGATTAATCACCCAGTGACTACTTACAAAACTGGAGATTACTGGCGTCTCTTGGTTCCAGGAACTTATAAAATCACAGCATCTGCTCGAGGGTGAGTGACTGAATGCTTTGAAATAGAGTGCTCGGAGGACAAACATGGCTCCATTCTGGAGGATTATTACTAGAACGTTCTAGAGAGCCTGTTAAGCAACTTTGAATGGATTGCTGCGAAGTTTAGGGCTGGTTATACCTTTGACTCTCCTTTAGTGGCAGATAGAGTACACGAAAAAAAAAAAAAGGAAAGATTCCTGGGGTAAATATTCTAGTTATTGCTTAGTTGACTCATTGTGACATGCTTCCAACCTGGACATTAAACAAGACATTTTAGAATACACATCAAATCCTGATCCTCATGGCCTTAGGTTTTTTATTTAAAAGGAGAGTTAGGCTGAAGTAATTCTACAGTCAGTTCCAATTCATAGTAGAATTTATTGGAAATGTGTTCAAGATAGTTTTTCCTTTAAAGGAGTAACAGAAGTGTTAGTTGATGAAGCACAAAGAACATAGAAAATGCATAGAAAGAACATTTCTCGTTCTTTTAATTTGCTAAATACAGGTAAGCCCAAAGCAATGCAGTCTATTTAACATGCTAGTAACTTTTTTTTTTTTTTTTTTTTTTTTTTGAGACAGAGCTTCTCTCTATCGCCCAGGCTGGAGTGCATGGCACTATCTCAGCTGCCTGCAACTTCTGCCTCCTGGGTTCAAGGGATGCTTGTGCCTCAGCCTCCCAAGTAGTTGATATTACTGGTGTGTGCCACCACACCCGACTAATTTTTGTATTTTTAGTAGAGACAGGGTTTCTCTTGTAGTTTTCTTTTTTATCTTTTGATAAGTATAGATGTTACCACAGGATATTTTCCCTTCCTCCTGCTAGCTAACTTATTTCTGAAGAGTTAGTTTGAATACCCATTGAAGTAAGGGTAAAATATGAAAGCATTTTAGTCGTTGCCTTTGTTTTTTAATGGTTTTCAGATATCTAGTGGTCCGTAAATGAATGGGTTAGAACCTCACACTAATGAGTAATGAGGTCTTTTCTGTGATTCTTCCATTTTTGGCAGAGTGTTAACTAAAGCAGCAGGGGATCCGAGAAACAGGGTGAGAAGGATGTGTTTGGCAGAGAATGTCATAACCTAGCACCTCTGCAACTTTCCCACCCGTATACCCTGATAGAAGACAAGTGAATTTAAGTTCCAGGAGACATGGGAGTATCCACTACAAGCACTAAATTTCTTTTGAAGCCATATATTTAATCTTAAAAACCTAGGCCAGGTGCGGTGGCTCAGGTCTGTAATCCCAGCACTTTGGGAGGCAGAGGCAGGTGGATCACTTGAGGTCAGAAGTTTGAGACCAGCCTGGCCAACATGGTGAAATCCTGTCTCTACTAAAAATACAAAAATTATCCAGGCATGGTGGTGGGCACCTGCAATCCCAGCTACTCAGGAGGCTGAGGCAGGAGAATCACTTGAACCCAGGAGGCGGAGGTTGCAGTGAACTGAGATGGTGCCACTGCACTCCAGCCTGGGTGACAGAGCAAGACTCCATCTTAAAAAAAATCATGAAAAAAAATCCATTCATATTTTGTAATATACCCATGTCTATTCTTTATTAATGTATTAAAAATAATAAATTACTCAACGTTAAAATTTTGTCTCTTTAGGAAACTGCACCACATTTATCCCAAGGATTCTTACGTTCTCTGCACACCTGCCTTCCCAGGGTTTGGGTACTCCAGCTGCAGGAGTGTGGTTCTGATCTGTCTCCTTTATCATAGGTATAATCCAGTTACCAAGAATGTGACTGTCAAGAGTGAAGGCGCTATTCAGGTCAACTTCACACTTGTTCGATCCTCAACAGATTCAAACAATGAATCAAAGAAAGGAAAAGGGGCTAGCAGCAGCACCAATGATGCCAGTGATCCAACTACTAAAGAGTTTGAAACTTTAATTAAAGACCTTTCAGCGGAGAATGGTTTGGAAAGCCTCATGTTACGCTCCTCCTCAAATCTGGCTCTGGCTCTTTATCGATACCATTCCTACAAAGACTTATCAGAGTTTCTGAGAGGACTTGTAATGAACTATCCACATATTACAAATCTTACCAAGTAAGTGTCACTTTCTATTGTCTTTTTTTTTTTTTCAAGACAGTAAAATCAGCATTAGCCATGTTGAATAGTTGTAATTTATATAGAAATATTTGGGAACAGAATGTACAGAGAGTTGGAGTTTACTTATTTTGCAACATGTATTTGCTTGGAGATCTTTTTTTTTTAATTATGCTTTAAGTTTTAGGGTACATGTGCACAACGTGCAGGTTTGTTACATATGTATACATGTGCCATGTTGGTGTGCTGCACCCATTAACTCGTCATTTACATTAGGTATATCTCCTAATGCTATCCCTCCCCCCTACCCCTACCCCACAACAGACCCCAGGGTGTGATGTTCCCCTTCCTGTGTCCAAGTGTTCTCATTGTTCAGTTCCCACCTATGAGTGAGAACATGCAGTGTTTGGTTTTTTGTCCTTGCGATAGTTTGCTGAGAATGATGGTTTCCAGCTTCATCCATGTCCCTACAAAGGACATGAACTCATAATTTTTTATGGTTGCATAGTATTCCATGGTGTATATGTGCCACATTTTCTTAATCCAGTCTATCATTGATGGACATTTGGGTTGGTTCCAAGTCTTTGCTATTGTGAATAGTGCCACAATAAACATACGTGTGCATGTGTCTTTATAGCACCATGATTTATAGTCCTTTGGGTATATACCCAGTAATGGGATGGCTGGGTCAAATGGTATTTCCAGTTCTAGATCCCTGAGGAATTGCAACACTGACTTCCACAATGGTTGAACTAGTTTACAGTCCCACCAACAATGTAAAAGTGTTCCTATTTCTCCACATCCTCTCCAGCACCTGTTGTTTCCTGACTTTTTAATGATTGCTATTCTAACTGATGTGAGATGGTATCTCACTGTGGTTTTGATTTGCATTCTCTGATGGCCAGTGATGATGAGCATTTTTTTGTGTGTCTTTTGGCTGCATAAATGTCTTCTTTTGAGAAGTGTCTGTTCATATCCTTCACCCACTTTTTGATGGGGTTGTTTGTATTTTTCTTGTAAATTTGTTTAAGTTCTTTGTAGATTCTGGATATTAGCCCTTTGTCAGATGAGTAGATTGCAAAAATTTTCTTCCATTCTGTAGGTTGCCTGTTCACTCTGATGGTAGTTTCTTTTGCTGTGCAGAAGCTCTTTAGTTTAATGAGATCCCATTTGTCAATTTTGGCTTTTGTTGCCATTGCTATTGGTGTTTTAGACATAAAGTTCTTGCCCATGCCTATGTCCTGAATGGTATTGCCTAGGTTTTCTTCTAGGGTTTTTATGGTTTTAGGTCTAACATGTAAGTCTTTAATCCATCGTGAATTAATTTTTGTATAAGGTGTAAGGAAGGGGTGCTTGGAGATCTTTTTAATAGTGAATCTTGGGAACTTTAAGGAGAATTACTTGTTAGATTAGAAGTAGATAGCCTGTGATTCCAGGAAATGTAAAATTGCTCTTCCTGATAATTATTTTGACTGATTGTAAAACCCTTTCCATCACTCAGCTACAGATCTATTAATATGTTCTGACTAAATATTGTTTAGTTTGTTTTATTTTGCTTGGGGCAAGGGAGGAATTTAGAACTGTAAGCTCACCTGTTAGGGATTATGTGTAACTTTTTTTTTTTAATTAGAAAATGAAGCCTAGTTGCTGTCCTAATTCTAGTCTCTATTCACAGTCTCTTACTTGAAGCTTTAGGGACATGTGTGATCGTGGGTCCCAGGGAAAACATACAGTCCTGGCTTATGTAAAACTGATAGCTGAGATAGCCTTTACCTTCACTTTGTGGTGGTTGCTCTGCCTCACTTGCACTGCTTCATTTTAGATTTTGTTACAGTTACTCCAAAATTATTTCTATGATTTGTTGATTCCTATGGTTTGCCTGTTGTAGTTAAGGTCTTTACATTTTGCCTTGAGCATATAGTTCTCTGCTGCAAACCTCATGAACATTATTTAGCCTTTTACCTTTTTACTTTGTCTTTCTTCATGGGTCCTTTTAATTTCATCAGAAAACTTAGTTCCTCAAATTCTGATTTATAATATTCATAGATGCAGAGTGATACTTAACTTTCTTTGGCAATACCAATTACTTTTCTTCCTTAACTGATTCTTGGATATTTCTGGCTATTTCAGGTTTTAATATCATACAATCTTAGTGCCATAGAGTTCATATACTTTTTTATTTTAAAATAAAACCAGGCTGGGCACAGTGGCTCACACCTGTAATCCCAGCACTTTGGGAGGCCCAGGTGGGAGGATCGCTTGAGGCCAGGAGCTCCAGTTTACGTTGAACTATGATCACACCACTGTACTCCAGCCTAGGTGACAGTAAGATCCTGTCTCTAAAACAAACAAAAATTGGGCATTATTTTGCTGTCTGTTTACTTAGTTGATTTAATTTTTTTAACCTCCTAATTCAAGACACACTTTTTAGTTAAATATTTTCTCAAAATATGCCACACATGCCAGTGGTGGGGCACAAGAGAGTTTTAGGTGGTACACCAACAGGCACTAAGTACCATTGAATAGCGTCATGAGAAAGCAATAAGGTTTCTGTTAATTTTTCTCAATTTAATATGATTATTTTTTTCTGTCCAATTCTTGTAAATCTCCCTTTATGCTAAAGAAAGCAGACCTTAAGCTCAAAGCTCTTGGGCAAGCAGAGTATTTGACCATTGTTTAATTTTCATTGAATTAGTATTTTTTTCCCCACTCAAATTACTTTTACTGTGAAACTGGTGTTGCATTTATAGTAAAATATAACGTGACTTATTTACAAATATTAATTTTGATTAAAAAGGGAGGGCCAGGGTGGTGGCGCATGCTGTAATCCCAGCACTTTGGGAGGCTGAGGTGGGAGGATTGCTTGAGGCCAGAAGCGCTTGAAACCAGCCTCAGCAATATAGCAAGACCCTGTCTCTACAAAATTTTTTTTAAAAAATTAGCTAGGCATGGTGGTGCAAACCTGTAGTACTACTCCCTTAGGAGACTGAGGCCAGAGGATCACTTGAGTCCTGGAATTCAAGGCTGCAGTGAGCTATGATCAAGCCATTGCATTCCAGCTTGGGTGACATAGTGAGACCCTGTCTCTTAAAAATATAATGACAATAATATAAATAAATAAATAAATAAATAAGGGAGGTTATCTATGTTCATACATACTTAAATATTTCTGTAATAAAAATTTAATTTGTGAGTTAGTACAAAATATATTAACTAAATAGTAGTGTAGATTAAAGAAGATAGGGCAAATATTGTGATGATTGTATGAGAATTACTGAATTTGGAAGGATGGTAAACTAAATCATAATCTTTCCTAAATCTTTCCTAAATCTGATAATATCATCTATTTGATAAATGTTCTTTGGTCAAGGAAAACTAATTTTCTTAAGGTTTTCTGATGCAGTGATTCACTCTTTAAAGACTTTTTAAAACTTTTTGTGTTTTGTTTTCATTTCTATTTTTAAAGTCCATAAGTCAACATTAACATAGTGCTTGATTACTTGCTGATTTTTTTGTTTCTGGTTTTTGAAAGTTTGGGACAGAGCACTGAATATCGTCACATTTGGTCCCTTGAAATCTCCAATAAGCCCAATGTATCTGAGCCTGAAGAACCAAAGATTCGTTTTGTTGCTGGTATCCATGGAAATGCGCCAGTTGGAACTGAACTGCTTTTGGCTCTGGCAGAATTTCTCTGCCTGAACTACAAAAAGAACCCAGCTGTTACCCAAGTAAGAGAATAGCCGAGGTTGACATGCTTTAAAAGGAAAAAGCTCAACATTAATATCAGGGCACCATTTTTAAAATTTTTAATTTCTTGCTAGATTTTACAGAGTCACTTGTAGTACATTATGAACTTTACTCTTTAAAAATGAACCATCTTTGTAGTATATACCCTTTGTTAATAGTGTCTTTCTATTATATTTCCTTGTATGTCTTAAGAGGCATGCAGGAAAGAATACTAAAAATTTACATTCAATTTCCTACTCCGTCATTTAATAGCCACACTACCCTTCCAGTCTTTATTCATAGTTCTTTACTTTTTTTTTTTTTTTTTGAGACAGAGTCCTGCTCTATCACCCAGGCTTGAGTGCAATGGCATGATCTCGGCTCACTGCAACCTCCACCTCCTGGATTCAAGCAATTATCCCGCCTCAGCTTCCTGAGTAGCTGGGACTACAGATGCCCACCACCATGCCCGGCTAATTTTTTTATATTTTTGGTAGAGACGGGGTTTTGCCATGTTGGCCACGCTGGTCTCGAACTCCTGACCTCAGGTAATCCACCTCCTTTGGCCTCCCAAAAATGCTGTGATTACAGGCGTGAGCCATGGCGCCTGGCCAGTTTTTTACATTCTGACTTGAGGGACTTCCATTCTGAATTACTTATAACTAGGACACTATATTGAAAAATCTAGTGAAAGCCTAGTTTTTCAGTATAGTTTTCTTTTTCATGTAATACATAAAAAATTATTGGACATCTTGGCTGCTAAGAGATTTTAGAAAAAGCAATATGGTGTTATCTACTTTAGCAATCTGTGACTACAGAAAAGAACTTTGACTGGGGTGTGATGGCTCATGCCTGTAATCACAACACTTCAGGGGGCTGAAGAGAGAGGACCACTTGAGGCCAGGCGTTTGAGACCAGCCAGAGCAGCAGAGTGATACCTTGTCTCTACAAAAATTTAAAAAATTAGCTGGGCCTTGTGGTGCACACCTGTAATCCTAGCTACTTGGGACGCTAAAGTGGGAGGATCACTTGAGCCTAGTAGGTCAAGACTGCAGTGAGCTGTGATTGCACCACTGCATTCCAGCCTGGGTAACAGGCTGGAATCTCAAAAACAAACAAAACAAAACAAAACTTTGACCCAGAGGCTTGGGCACGTATGATTAAGCATCCTAGTTGTACGTTGCCTCAGAGAAGGGAAGGAAAGAGTGAAACACTCACTAATTGGCACTGTCCATAGTGGACTTAGGAAAGGGAAAAAGAACTGATATTTATTGAATACATATTTTGTGCTGGGTAATATACCAGGTATTTTATATACGTCATTATATCCTCAACCCTGTGATAATGATTATCTCCATTTTATAAATGTAGAAACTGAGGCAGTCCCACAGCTAGAAACTGGTAAAACTAGAATTTAAACCCACGTATGTCTACTTTGAAGCCCAGTGCAGTTCTGCCTCCCCAAAACAAATTGGGAAAGAATTGATGTCATGATTAGGATCAGAAGGGACCTGTGTAATTAGGTGACATGAACTTAAATCAGACTGACCAAAAATTATGTTATCTTCCTTTGTGGGACAGGTGCTCTGTGTTGCGAACTTACTCAACTCTGCCATTAGAGCACAAAACAGTCATATGTAAATGAATAGTCATGCTTATGTGTCAGTAAAACTTTATATACAATAGCAGGCACCAACTGGATTTGGCCTGCTGTTAGTGGTTTCTCACCCCTGTTCTAAGTCACTGGAAGGTCTCTGGGAACATTAGCTGTACAGTAGTTTTTTGCTTATTTTTAATATATTTGAAGCAAAAGGAAATTTAATTTTTTATTTTTTCATTCATCTTAGTTCTGTCTTTTAAATTAACTATGTGTAGAATAAACAGACTTTCTGTTTGAGGCATGAGAGGGTACCCATTGATTCTACATGCAGCTAGTAACTCGTTAATTTCTGTTTGTGCTTCAGTTGGTTGACAGGACTAGGATTGTGATTGTCCCTTCTCTAAATCCAGATGGGCGAGAGAGAGCTCAAGAGAAAGACTGTACTTCAAAAATAGGACAAACAAATGCTCGTGGCAAAGATTTGGATACAGACTTCACAAGTAAGACTAATTTTTAGGCTACTAAAGTACTTAGGAGATAATTTTCTTTCTGCTAGAAGATTGATTGATCCTATTTTGTCAGTGAATAATGGAGTACTTTCTTGTCTGGGTTATGAATGTGAGGTATAAATGAATTCAGACATCTGGAAAAGTTTTTGAATTTTTCTCCATTATTATTTGCAAAAATAATTTAAGTTTTTCATAGAAATTCAATCCATTATATTGGGATGTTTGTTTCTTCACTAGTTGTGTAGAGATGTGTATTCTCTCTCCCCTCCTATGTATGTGTGTATGTGTATACACGCACAACACACACGTATGTATATTGATTTGGAGAGCCCTATTTCTTATTTACTTAAATGGGACCTTTTTCATTGAATATGTATCATTGACATGGTTCAATTTCAGTACTTATAGATCTCTAACATTCTTTTTCTTTTTTTTTTTTTTGAGACAGAGTCTCACTCTGTTGCCCAGGCTGGAGTGCAATGGTACAATCTTGGCTCGCCTCCGCCTCTTGGGTTAAGCAATTATCCTGCCTCAGCCTCCTGAATAGCTGGGATTACAGGGACCCGCCACCATGCCTGGCCAATTTTTGTATTTTTAGTAGAGATGGGGTTTTATCATGTTGACCAGGCTGGTCTTGAACTCCCGACCTCGGGTGATCCGCCTGCCCAGCCTCCCAAAGTGCTGGGATTATAGGCATTAGCCACTGTGCCAGGCCCAACATTATTTTCTAATGGCATCTAGTATGCCATGAATCTATGACAGTACTCTTAATTTATTCAACCATTTTCTACTGATAGATATTTACTTTATTTCTGATTTTTTGCTTTTGTAAACAGTGCTGCAGAGAACACCCGGCTTTCTGAAACTCTAATTTTCTTCCAAAGATAATGTATTTGTCCATTTTCACACTGCTGATAAAGGCATACCCAAGACTGGAAAGAAAAGGAGTTTTAATTTGACTTACAGCTCTACATGGCTGGGGAGGTTTCACAATCATGCTGCAGGATGAAAGCCACTTCTTACATGGTGGCAGCAAGAGAGTGTGAGAAGGAAGCAAAAGCAGATCTGATAAACCCATCAGATCTCATAAGACTTATTCACTATCACAAGAATAATACGGGAAAGACCCGCCCCCATGATTCAGTTACCTCCCACCGGCTCCCTCCCACAACAAGTGGGAATTCTGGGAGATAAAATTCGAGTTGAGATTTGAGTGGGGACACAGCCAAACCATATCATTCTGCCACTGGCCCCTCCCAAATCTCATGTCCTCACATTTCAAAACCAATCATGCCTTCCCAACAGTCCCCCAAAGTCTTATTTCAGCATTAACTCAAAAGTCCACAGTCCAACATCTCATCTAAGACAGGTCCCTTCTGCCTCTGAGGCTGTAAAATCAAAAGCAAGTTAGTTACTTCCTAGATAAAATAGGGGTACAGGCATTGAGTAAATACAGCCATTCCAAATGGGAGAAATTGGCCAAAATGGAGGGGCTACAGGCCCCATGCAAGTTCAGAATCCAGCAGGGCAGTCAAATCTTAAAAGTTCAAAAATTTTCTCCTTTGACTCCATGTCTTGCATCTAGGTCATGCTGATGCAAGAAGTGGGTTCCCATGGTCTTGGGCAGCTCCACCCCTGTGGCTTTACAGGGTACAGGCTGTCTCCCAGCTGCTTTCACCAGCTGGCATTGAGTGTCTGTGGCTTTTCCAGGGGCATGGTGCAAGCTGTCGTGGATCTACCATTCTGGAGTCTGGAGGATGGTGGCCCTCTTCTCACAGCTCCACTAGGCAGTACCTCAGTAGGGACTCTGTGTGGGGGCTCTGATCCCACATTTCCCTTCTGCACTGCCCTAGCAGAGGTTCTCCATGAGGGGCCTGCCCCTGCAGCAAACTTTTGCCTGGACATCCAAGCTTTTCCATACATCTTCTGAAATCTAGGTGGAGGTTCCCAAACATCAATTCTTGACTTTTTTGCACCCGCGGGCTCAATGCCACATGGAAGCTGCCAGGTCTCGGGGCTTCCACCCATTGAAGCAACAGCCCGAGCTGTACCTTGGCCCCTTTTAGTCACAGCCGGCACAGCTGGGACACAGGGCACCAAGTCCCTAGATTGCCCCCAGCACGGGGACCCTGGGCCCAGCCCACAAAACCAGTTTTTCCTCCTGGGCCTCCAGGCCTTTGATGGGAGGGGCTGCCGAGAAGGTCTCTGACATGGCCTGGAGACATTTTCCCCATGGTCTTGGGGATTAACATTAGGCTCCTGGCTACTTATGCAAATTTCTGCAGCTGGGTTGAATTTCTCCCCAGAAAATGGGTTTTTCTTTTCTATTGCATAGTCAGGCTGCAAATTTTCCAAACTTTTATGCTTTGCTTCCCTTATAAAACTGAATGCCTTTAACAGCACCCATGTCACCTCTTGAATGCTTTGCTGCTTAGAAATTTCTTCCGCCAGATACCCTAAATCATCTCTCTCAGATTCAAAGTTCCAAAAATCTCTAGGGCAGGGGCAAAATGCTGCCAGTCTCTTTGCTAAAACATAACAAGAATCATCTTTGCTCCAGTTCCCAACAAGTTCATTATCTCCGTCTGAGACCACCTCAGCCTGGACCTTATTGGTCATATCACTATCAGCATTTTTGTCAAAGCCATTCAACAAGTCTCTAGGAAGTTCTATGCTTTCCCACATTTTCCCATCTTCTTCTGAGCCCTACAAACTATTCCAACCTCTGCCTGTTACCCAGCTCCAAAGCTGCTTCCACATTTTTGGGTATCTTTTCAGCAACACCTGGCTCTATTGGTACCAATTTACTGTATTAGTCTGTTTTCAAACTGCTAATAAAGACATACTCGAGACTGGGAAGAAAAGGAGATTTAATTGGACTTACAGTCCCACATGGCTGGGGAGGTTTCACAATCATAGCGGAGGATGAAAGGCACTTCTTACATGGCAGTGGCAAGAGAGAATGAGAAGGAAGTGAAAGTGGAATCCCCTGGTAAACCCATCAGATCTTGTGAGACTTATTCACTATCACAAGAATAGCATGGCAAAGACCCGCCCCCATGATTCAGTCACCTCCCACTGGGTACCTCCCACAACACGTGGGAATTCTGGGAGATACAATTCAAGTTGAGATTTGGGTGGGGGTACAGCCAAACCATATCAGATAGGTTATTTATATATTCCCTAAATTATTTTGTAAAGCTGGATATGCTTATTCTTTTTGTTTTTTTAATAAGATTTTTCTTTAACTTGCTTAGAGTCATTAGTATATACACATCCTGAAGTACATAATAAAACTCAGACTAACCTACCTTCTGTAATGTATCTTTCTTGCTTGAGATAGTGGCTTATGGAGAAATAAAATATTTATCTACAAATTTTTAAGTTAGCATTTTGATTGTATTCAAGTAGAGAATATTTTCTTAGATACTCATACTAAGATTTAAAATTTGATATTTTATATTTGACTTTTCTCTTTTTTAGATAATGCCTCCCAACCTGAGACCAAAGCCATCATTGAAAATTTGATTCAAAAACAGGACTTTAGTCTTTCTGTTGCCTTAGATGGTGGTTCCATGCTGGTCACATATCCTTATGACAAGCCAGTACAGACAGGTATGTAGAATGTCATTTTATATATATACTGTTTAAGCTTAGGTAGCAAATCCCAATTAAGTAATGTCCCTTCCACATTTTTATAAATAGTGAGCATTTGAGCACACTCTATGAGCAAATTACCAACCAAAGAAGATTGTACATACATCAGCAGTTCAGTTACTTGGAGAGCTCAGATCTAATGGTAGCCCAGCTTTATTGAGTCTAGCTATCTTGTTCCATCTGTTCCATTTAGTCCACAAGCATTTACTGAGCAATTATTATGTCTGTAAATATTGAGAATATAAAAGTGAGTATGACACGGTTTCTGCCTCATGAAACTCCTATGTAACCAAATACTAACAGTACAGATTTGTCCTTCCCTGTTTTAAACTTTGACTAAGTGGTTGCACCTTATGGTGAGTTAAATAGTTGGTTGTTTAATCTCTGTGGGGTCGCAGTATATGGAGATAGTTTGGGTGGTTTTCAGTGCATCTTACAAAGAATATTGTTATTAGGCTACAGTTGTCCCAAAATGCAGTAAGACATACCAAAACAAGTTTGTATTTTAGTGTGATAGTCTGTTGTGAAAACTCACCATTAGAACCTTTTCATGTAAAGAGGATGTTTGTCTTCTATTATCTTGGGCTAAATAAAACCTTTTAGGGTTAATTATAGTAACAGTATACTTAAGTGGAGTGCAAAATTTATTAGGAGAAAAAGATGACTTGTATCCATGAAGGTTAACTTGGGGGAAAAAAATCATTTGGATTTCTCCACTGACTTCTAAATTTTTCTTTCTATAGTGGAAAATAAAGAGACTCTGAAGCATTTGGCATCTCTTTATGCAAATAATCATCCATCCATGCACATGGGTCAGCCCAGTTGCCCAAATAAATCAGGTAGATGTTTTCCATACCTTTTGTTATTGCTGTTGTTGTTGTTGCTTTTGTGGGGAAAGGAGTTTCACCTTAAGGTCTTCCTGATTCCACATCTCTTAATGCTTTTATAGATGAGAATATTCCAGGAGGAGTAATGCGTGGAGCAGAATGGCATAGTCACCTGGGCAGCATGAAGGTATGCTTTCTAGAACATGGTTAGAATGGAGTTATGGCCAGGCACAATGCCGTATGTGTAAACCCAGTGCTTTGGGAGGCCAAGGCAGGTGGATTTTCTGAGTTTGGGAGTTCAAGACCAGCCTGGCCAACATGGTGAAACCCCATTTCTACTAAAAATATAAAAATTAGCTGGGTGTGGTGGCAGACGCCCGTAATCCCAGCTACTTGGGAGGCTGAGTCAGGAGAATCGCTTGAACCTGGGAGGCGGAGGTTGCAGTGAGTCGAGCCGAGATCGCACTACTGCACTCCAGCCTGGGCAACAGAGCAAGATTCCATCTCAAAAAAAAAAAAAAAAAAAAAAAGAATGGAGTTTATGAATATCAGCCATTGAGTACAAGAATAGGTGACTTTTCTGGTATTGTAAAGTGAATGGCATCTGCCTCATGGCTTTCTTGACATGTTTAGCCCTTACATTAACCCGACAGTACTTTTTTGGCCATTTTAACCATTTTTAATTGTACAGTTTAGTGACATTAATTAAATGTTGTGCCCCAAAAACCATATCTATTTCCAAAACTTCATTTGCCCCAGACAGAAACTCTGTACCCACTAAGCAATAACTCCCTATTCCCCTCTCCCACGGCTCCTGGAACCCCTGTCTACTTTCTGCCTCTATGAATTTGCCTATTCTAGGTATTTCATGTAAGTAGAATCATACAATATTTACCCTTTCACTTAGCAAAATGTTTTTAGGATTCATCCATTTTAGAGCATGTATCATTACTTCATTCATTTTTATGGCTGAATAATATTCTATTTATGTTTATACCACATTTTATTTGTTAATTCATGTGTCAATGGGCACTTGGATTTCTACTTTTTGGCTGTTGCAAATGATGTTGCCATGAAGATTGGTATTGCAGGTATCTGTTTGAACCCTGTGCTGCCATGAACATTGGTATTACAAGTATCTGTCACTTCTTTGGGGTAGATACCTAGGAGTGGAATTGCCTGGTTATATTGTAAGTCTATGTTTCACCTTTTGAGGAACCACCAAACTGTTTTCCACAGCAGCTGCACCATTTTACATTCCTTACCAGCAATGTTTGAGGTTTCCAATTTTCCCATATCCTCTCCTCACCAACACTTATTTGCTGGTTTTTTTTTTTTTAAACAGAGTCTCACTTTGTTGCTCAGGCTGGAGTGCAGTGGCTATGGCTCCTTCGCAGCTTATTGCAGCCTGAACCTCCCAGGCCCAAGCAATCCCCCCACCTCAGCCTCCTGAGTAGCCAAGACCACCCGCATGCACCACCATGCTGAACCAATTATTTTTAATTCTTTGTAGAGACAGGGTCTCCCTTTGTTGCCTAGGCTGGAGTTCTTTATATATTAATATAAAAGGCTGAGCGTGGTGGTGGCTCATGCCTATAATCCCAGCACTTTGGGAGGCCGAGGCGGGAGGATCACCTGAGGTCAGGAGTTTGAGACCAGCCTGGCCAACATGGTGAAACCCATCTCTACTAAAAATACAAAAAAATTAGCTGGGCGTGGTGGCAGGTGCCTGTAATCCCAGCTACTTGGGAGGCTGAGGCAGGAGAATCGCTTGAACTTGGGAAGCAGAGGTTTCAGTGAGCCGAGATTACACCATTGCACTCCAGCCTGGGCAACAAACACGAAACTCTGTCTCAAAAAAACGAATAAACAAACAAAACCCATTCTGGATGCTGTGTATTCTAGATAGGAAATTCTTATCAGATACATGATTTGCAAGTATTTTCTCCTATTCTTTAGGTTACCTTTTAAATTTCTTGATTATGTCCTTTGATACATGAGTTTTTAATTGTAACGAAATCCAGTGTACCTGTTTTTGTTGTTGTTGCTTTTGCAGTTGTTATCCTATCTAAGGATCTGTTGCTAAATCCAAGGTCATGAAGATGCCCCGCCCCACCCCATGTTTTCTTTTCTTTTTTTTGGAGGGCAAATGTGGGATGAGTGGGAGGGGCGGGGTACATGGCCCCCCTGCCCACCTCCCTGCTCCCTGCCGCCTATCCTTGTGTTTTCTTTGAAGAGTTTTATGGGCTTGGCACGGTGGCTCAGGCCTGTAATCTGAGCACTTTGGGAGGCCAAGGTGGGTGGATCATTTGATGTCAGGAGTTCAAGACCAGCCTGGCCAACATGTTGAAACCCCATATACTAAAAATACAAACATTAGCCAGGCTGTAGTGCTGCGCACCTGTAATCCCAGCTACCCGGGAGGCTGTGGCAGGAGAATTGCTTGAGCCTGGGATGGGAAGATTGCGAAGAGCCGAGATCTTGCCACTTCACTTGAGTCTGGGCAACAGAGTGAGACCCTGTCTCAAAAAAAAAAAAAAGAAAAAAAAGAGTTTTATGGATCAAGCTGCCATATTTCAGTCATTGATGCAGTTTATTTTTTATGGTATGAAGTAGGAGTTCAACTTCGTTTGTTTGTATGTAGAAATTCAGTTGTGTCAGCACTATTTGTTGAAAGACTATTCTTTCCCCACTGAATGGTTTTGGTATCCTTCCCAAAAATGAGTTTACCATAGATGTGTGGATTTATTTCTGGACTCTCAATTCTATTCCATTGGTCTATATGTTTGCCTTTATGCCAGTATCACTTTTTTTTTTTTTTTTTTGGTTGTTGTTTTCCTTTTTTTTAATTTATTTTTTATTTATTTTTATTTATTATTTATTATTTATTATTTATTTTTTTATTATACTTTAAGTTTTAGGGTACATGTGCACAACGTGCAGGTTAGTTACATATGTATACATGTGCCATGTTGGTGTGCTGCACTCATCAACTCATCATTTAACATTAGGTATATCTCCTAATGCTATCCCTCCCCCGACCCCACAACAGGCCCTGGTGTGTGATGTTCCCCTTCCTGTGTCCATGTGTTCTCATTGTTCAGTCCCCACCTATGAGTGAGAACATGCGGTGTTTGGTTTTTTGTCCTTGCGATAGTTTGCTGAGAATGATGGTTTCCAGCTTCATCAGTATCACTGTTTTGATTAATGTAGGTTTGTTGTAGTAAGTTGTAAAATTGGAACGTGTGAGTCTTTCAGCTTTATTGTTCTTAAAGATTGTTTTGGCTATTCAGGGCCCCTTGTCATTCCATTTGAATTTGAGCATTGGCTTTTCTTTTTCTGAGAAAAGGGGTGTTGGAATTTTGTTAGATGTTGTGTTAAAACCGTATATCACTTTGTGTAGTATTGACATCTCTACAATATTGTCCTCCTATCCATTATTTAGGTCTTCTTTAATTTCTGACAGCATTTTAATTCATTGTCCATCCACTTCAAATTAGGCAGGAGTTGTTAGCAGATGGGTGGTTGGCTGATCATTTTATTCACATGTGCAACCAGAAAATTGACTTTATTCCCATTTCTGCCTGTCTTCCCTCCTTTATTTACTAAGAACTTACTACTGGGAGGCATTTTGCTATATTAGTGATAAATAAAATATACTGCCTGGCCTATTGTACGAATTAACTGTGTTACATAATTAATTGATTTGATCTGGAAGAGAGCAACTCTCAGCAGGCCGTGAGAAATTAAAGACACAAAAAATTATATCTAGTCAGAGATACAGCCTTTTCTCTTTAGAGGAGATGGCATTTGGGCTGCAGAGATAGTGAAGCAGAACATTCCAGAAAGAGGAAGCAGTACATAGCAGAAGTCTAATTTAGTTAGAATATGGGGTGTAATGCAGAGCCACAGAAGTTTAAGAATGGAAAGAGTGCTTGTTGCTTTGAATGCTTTGTTTTAATAAGAATGGGAAACTGAGGTTTTGAGCAGGGGTAACAATATTGACATGATCTGAGCTATGCTATGGGAAAACTAATCTCTAAATAATCAGTTAAGATAGTTTGGAGGAAGGAGAGACTGGTACAGGGAGACCGGTTTGGAATTATCTAGACAAAAAGTAATGAGGGCCTAGGTTATGCTAGTGGCAACGAGAGTAGAGTCAAAGGATGACATTTTAGATATTCTATAGAGGTAGAATTGACAAGATTCAGCAAATTATGGATGATAGTGAGATAGAGAAGTCAAAGACAAGAGGTTTCATTGCTATGTAAGAAAATGAGTTAATACCATTAACTGAGTTAGGAAAAAGAAGAGATTTTGGGAAAAGGTGGTAAGTTGGGTTTTTGAACCTGTCTGCACAGGCAGTTCCTGTACCTTGATAATATCAATGCCGTATTGCAGGGAGTGGATATTGTCACCAGCAGGGGTCCAGGTTGAGGGTATGAGAGAGCTGATGATCATTATCTCCATAGCTTCAAGTACAACTGTGACATTTCTGGGTTTTGAGGGAAGCTGACCCTCTTCTGCATGTACTCATTCATTCATTTCTTCAGCAAACCCGAATAAACCCCATCTACCTGGCACTACCAGGCACTGTGGGAAGCACTGAAGATAGGAAAATGAATTCGACATAGCCCCTGTCCTCAAGGGCTCTCATAGAGTTTGTGATTGATTATAATACAGAGAGGTTTATTTATATTTGTCATAAAATGCTTTACAGCTTCTTTGTTTACGTCAGCTACGTTTTCTTTTCATTTACTCCATTTGTTGTATTACAAAGCCTTATTCTTTCTTTTACTTATTAATTTTCCCACATTTGATTTTGAACTTTATATTCTAGGATTATAGTGTCACCTATGGCCATTGTCCGGAAATCACAGTATACACAAGCTGCTGTTACTTTCCTAGTGCTGCACGACTCCCTTCCTTGTGGGCAGACAATAAGAGATCTCTTCTTAGTATGTTAGTGGAGGTGAGTCTTTTCCTTTTAACTAGAGGCAAACTCCCAGGAATATGTTCAGTGAAAACCTTTATCAAAACATTGTCTTTTACCAAAAATGTATATTATTTATTTTAAATTTATATAGAAAGAAGAGTTTTGGTCATTTTATGTTTCCTAAATAGATGCCATTTATTCACATCTCTGGAATCTGCTATAATTTAGGTAATTTGACCTTGCAAGATGCTGCAAGTTCTTTAATTTGAATATCACAGAGTTACTGGAGTCAGTATACCATGGTGGGAAGGAAATCACTCAAGGCATTGGAAGATTGGGTTCTAATGCTTCAGGCTATGACAATATCAGAGTTCTCTTTTATTTCCAGCTCTGTGAGCCTGAATATTGAATGAATAGCAAACAAGGTCAGAGTCAGTGGGGAGGGAAGAGAAGAAGCAGGCCATACAGAGTTTGATACTTGTTTGTGTGTGGTTTTTGTTTTGTTTGTTTGTTTGGTTGGTTTTGGTCATGCCTCAAGCTAGTGCCTCTACCATGTCTGGCATTATGACAACATAAATTTATATTTTAAACATTTTTTCAGGTTCACAAGGGAGTTCATGGATTTGTTAAAGATAAGACTGGAAAGCCAATCTCTAAAGCAGTCATTGTACTTAATGAAGGAATAAAGGTACAAACAAAAGAGGGAGGTTATTTCCATGTACTCTTAGCGCCAGGTGTCCATAACATTATTGCCATCGCTGATGGGTACCAGCAACAACATTCACAGGTAAGAAACTCAAATTGAGTAGCATCATGTAAATTTTTATTCTTAATAATACTTCTGTTTTATTTTGAAACTCTTGTTAGAAATCTTGAAGGGAATAAAGAAATTAAAAGTGTGACTGCCTCTTGATTATGATATCTTGTTATCCTTGTACCCCTTGCTAACAAAAGGGAAAATTTTCTAGCATTTTGTATACTTTAGATGGCAATGCATCATCTCCTTAGTTTGCTATATGGGGCCTAATAATATAGCAGGGATACAGTACACCTTAAGCAGAATTTGTCATGATTCTTACACTTTCTCCTTCTAGGTCTTTGTGCATCATGATGCAGCTAGTTCTGTGGTGATAGTCTTTGACACAGATAACCGGATATTTGGTTTGCCAAGGGAGCTTGTGGTAACTGTATCAGGTAAAGACATTTTGATTTTTAGTAGTAAAAGTTAAAAACAATCTTGACATTTCAATATGAGAGTGGGTCACCTCTCTCATATTGATCCTGAAACTAATCACTTGTCTTCTAATGTCTCCTTATCTAAATGTGATTTTCCTGGACCTCTGTTCTCGCATATGTTCTCCTGGCTTGCCTTTCTCTGCCGAGACCAGCTCCATCAAGGAGACCCTAACCCAGCGGTGCTAGAGAAATTAAAGACACACACAGAAATATAGAGGTGTCAAGTGGGAAATCAGGGGTCTCATAGCCTTCAGCGCTGAGAACCTCCAACAGAGATTTACCCAGGTGTTTATTAACAGCAAGCCAGTCATTAGCATTGTTTCTATAGATATTATATTAGCTGAAAGTATCCTTTATGGGAAACGAAGGGATGGGCCAAAATAAAGGGATGGGTTGGGCTAGTTATCTGCAGCAGGAGCATGTCCTTAAGGCACAGATCACTCATGCTATTGTTTGTGGTTTAAGAACGCCTTTAAGCAGTTTTCCGCCCTGGGCGGGCCAGGTGTTCCTTGCCTTCATTCCGGTAAACCCACAACCTTCTAGTGTGGATGTCATGGCCATCATGAACATGTCACAGTGCTGCAGAGATTTTGTTTATGGCCAGTTTTGGGGCCAGTTTATGGCCATATTTTGGGGGGCCTGTTCCCAACACTTCTCTTTCTTCAGGTCTATACTCAAACGTCACCTCCACGGAGAGGCTTTCCCTGATCACCCTAGCTACCCCTGTCACTATCTCTATCCTGCTTTTTTTCATTATAGCACTTTCATAACATTATATATTTGTTCATGTATTTGTCTATATTCAATCTCTCCCACTAAAACATAAGTTCTGAGAGAGGGAGGAATCTACCTGTATCCTCCAAGCCTAGAACGATGGTTAGCACGCAGTGGGTCTTAATGAAGAGTTGTTGAATGAATGAATGATTTGCTTTATATTAAAGTCATAAGTTCCTAGGACTTTGACTTATATTAGTTCCGCTTTTTCAAGATCCAGGAAAGAGGAAATGTTTGTTTACGCTGGAACTAATTCATGTCATTGCTTGGATTACTGAAAGGTTAGGAAGGAAAAAAATGTGGTAAAATGAATACTCTGCTATACTTTATCTATTTGATACAAACAGCCTTAGTTTATTTCTAAGTGCAGCTTGGATGAGGCAGAATAACCAAGTTTTATCACAGGGTTCCTGTGGGAGAGACCCTTAGTTGAGAGAAAGTAGTATATTGGAAACATGGCCCAATCATAGATCCTGTGTGGTGTGTTTAAAGGGTTCTTAGCTTGTCTCAGATAAAGTGTAAATAACTTAGTGGTTAAAAACACAGGAGGTAGAATTCAGCCATGGTTTAAATCTGGCTCTGTCACCCATTAGCTATTGTGAACTTAGTTTTTATTACTTTTAGTTTCTAACACTTTTATTTTGATAACCTTGTACAAATTTAAAATAAACAAGGAGATTTGGATGAAATGAAAGTTTACTGGAAAGGAAAAGTATAATAGAAGTCATAAAAAGCAGGTTGCAGAACAGTAGACACAGTATAATTTCATTATGGTAAAAGAAAAAAAATACATGTACGTGCATATGCATAAAGAAAGATCTGGAGCCAGGCATGGTGGCTCACGCCTGTAATACCAGCACTTTGGGAGGCCGAGGCAGGTGGATCACTTGAAGTCAGGAGTTCTAGACTAGCCTGGGCAACATGGCAAAACCCTATCTCTAGCAAAAATAAAAAAAAATTAGCCAGGTGTGGTGGCATGCACCTGTGGTACTACTTGGGAGGCTGAGGTGGGAGGATTACACACACACACAAAAGATCTTATAACTAAAAATGATCTCTGGGTAATGGAAATGTAAATATAGGAGGTTTTTTGGTTTTGGCTTTTGTTAGTTTGCTTATCTGTATTTTTAAACTTTGTATATTGTACATATACTGCTTCTATAATAATAAAGGTTGTTCTTAAGTGCATGAAATAGAAATAAAATAAATGAGGGGTATATTATTAAAAGTTCCATTGTAAGCGGCTGCTTATTAATATCCTTAAAGTATAATATCACCCACATGATGGTTTTTGTTTGTCAGGTGCTACTATGTCGGCATTGATCCTAACAGCTTGCATTATTTGGTGCATCTGCTCAATCAAGTCTAATAGACACAAGGATGGCTTTCATCGGCTCAGGCAGCATCATGATGAGTATGAAGATGAAATTCGCATGATGTCTACCGGCTCCAAGAAGTCCCTCCTAAGCCATGAGTTCCAGGATGAAACAGACACTGAAGAGGAAACATTATATTCTAGCAAACATTGAAAAACACATTTTGCATATCTCCCAGCATAAGTACCAAGCAAAATTACAGTTCCTCTTGGGAGAACACTGCATTAAGAAGAGAGACTCTCTTGCTTCTTCAAAGAGCTTTGGGAAATTAAATTGCTAAATTTGTATTCTCTGTGAATTTCACTGGCAGTTTTGAACTTCCCTTCCTTAAAGTACTCTAAACCTTTAAAAAAAAATCTGATTTATGCAGCAGAGATGGGACAGCCACTTTTTCTTTTTAATTTAAGATGAGCTATTTGGAGCTTATGTAATAATGGCATAAAGCCAACTAGAGGATGTTGTATTTTGCACATCAGATGTTTACTAGTGGCTTTAGTATTTTTCTTTGTTTTAAATGGCCAAAAGAATCCAGAAACATTAAGGCAGGGACAGCAGTCAGAATCGACATAAAGCTTTAAAAACTCAAGGTTTTTTCAACCTACTGAGGAGTACTTTTCTCTAGTTGTTAAATAGCTGGAGTTTTTCTTATTCAGGTTTAATGGAGGTTGAATTGATTTTTAAACACATATAACAGTAGGAAATGAATAAATGGGCTTCTGCATTTGGCTTTCTACCTGTTCCAAGGCTAGATCGGAACTGGTAGACTACGCTGTAAGCAGGATTTCACTACCTCTCTTAAGGTTTAGCAAACTTCTAAATAGCCCATTTTAAGGGAGAACTTACTAACTTTATTGTGAAAGGTCTAAATGCCCACTTGAATGAAGCTGAGAGAGAGATCTAGCAAAAGCTAAAACTCATGTTGTCTATCTTTGAACTTGGTAAAAACCCACAGGTGCTGCTGCTTATATCTGTGAAGCACTAGCTTATTCTAGGAATGCCTGATTCTTTAATATTGCCTAAATCGGAACCTTTTTCTATGTTGCACACATGGTTTTCAGATGACCCAGCCATCTACAAGATCTGAATTCTACTGAAAATATCTAGAAATGTGGAAGAGACCTACTTGCACATTCTTAACCTGTATTTGAACACAAAATATCTATACTTCATGCTCCAGCCCAAGCCTATACCCTGTAATAGCATACTATTATTGAAATCGCTTGACCGGTCTTGTTCACATAGGCCTCTGGGAGTGATTTGGTTCTTTGCCCTAATGTTTCATTTGACGGTCTCTTTTTGATCAACCAATTTTTCTAAAAGTTCAGTCGAAAGCTTTTAAGTATAGCTTCCTCCCTTGAAAAAAAATGTAAACTATGACTGCTGAGTGATAAAACACTGTGGTGTGAAAGTGTCATCTTCACTGCCAATCAGGCAAAGACCGGAAAGATTTGCATTTTATTATGTCTGTCTTATCATGCAATGGAAATGATGCTTTTTGTAAGTATGCATCTTACCAATGATGTAACGGTTTAATACCTTTGAATGTTTTAATAACCAAGTTGCTGCTGAACTTATACTAAATCAGGGGACCAAAAAACTTGCTCTTATCTTCTCAAATTGTATTCTATATCCATTAATGTATCAGTTATCCCAAAGCCTTCAGGTGGAGGGGTTTACCACCTTCCTAGGTCGTTCAACCAGGTTTTGTGAGGAATGCATTCAAAGTGGCTTTATAAAAGAAGATTTTCTTTAGCAAGAATAATGAGGTCATGTCATTTGTTAATAAGTATCTGTGATAAATCCGTGGTTCAAGGTTAAGCCATTCTGGTATTCTGGTATTAGCAACTGTAAATTCTGCCACCTCATACATGGAACAGAGCTTGTGGGATGCTAATAGTTAGTGAAGTATACATGATTTAATTTCTAATAATCTTTATGTTTTCTTTAAGGATGGTGGTGTATTGCTCTTTTTCAGCTTTATTTTTAAGAGTACAGTCAGGAAACCAACAAGGGGCCTAAGAGTGGCTGCCCCTGCTTGGGACATTACAGCAAGTGAAACAAAGTTAATGTGACAAGCTTTGCTTTGTTATCATTGGTCTTCACTAGAGGATACCTTTTACATGTACTTCTCTCTTGGATCAAATATGTCTTTAACTGTACATCTCAGTGGCTGGAGGCCATGCCTTTTAAGCATGTGTAAAATTTTTAAAGAAATGAACATACACATAGTTATTTTAGTAATATTTCCTGAAAGAAAAACCAAATTCTGCTATAAGTCTTGATCTTCAATGAACTTTTAAATAATGCATTTAGCTGGAAAACAAGACTTTCCCAGCTTGTATTACCTAGAAGCGTGAATGTATAGGATACCTGACTACTAAGACTATATTCTCAGCCCTGCCCTGTCTTTTATTTGCGGGTCTAATCTAATATTAGAATATATTAACCGCTTAAGGCATTGAAGCCATATGGGATGGGGAATGCATTTCTTCAGTGTTTCTCCGAGAGACTTTCCATTTCCTTGGAGTTATGGCGGCAAGTAAGTATCATAGTATTAAGAAATTTGCCTAAATCTGAGTTGTGCCTTTCTTTACTCACAAGGCATGGGCTTTGTCCTGGTGATCAGTTTGTAAGCCTTCTTCCTTCCCAGCTCCTTAATAAAAGCAAAGTGATTGAGTAGGTAATGTTCAAAGTGTCTGCCTGTGTACATGTACTTGTATTGATTATGTAGTTCAGTAAGATGTGCCCAAGTCATTTCAGAAAGAAAGACCCTTCAGTTTTGATGCATTTTGCTGAACACTTGGGTAGTGAGTGGGATCCTATCCAGTTGAGGAATGCTTGCAATGCTCATTGAAGGGATTTGCTTTGGGACTTTGTCATCTTCCAGAAAGGAAACATATTGTATATTTGGCCCAGTGTGATTGATTGCTTTATCTTTGGTAACTTTTACTTGAATGGGATTTGCTGAATTAATGACTATTGAATTTAAAACTAATTATGAGTTGACAAATAAATAAAAGGTAGTGTTTATGTCTGAGCTTATTGTGTTTGAGCTAACACCAGGTTACTCAGTAACCATGACCTGCTCCTCCATTTCCATTTATTCTCAACATTAAATAGTTTTATCTTGTTGTTGCCAGAAATGCACTTGTGCCAGGTATTGTCCCTGCTGTATGAAAAGCTTCTTGGCAATGAATTCTGTAATAGTGCCCTACATTATGGTTTTCTGGTGGAATTGTTTTAACAGTGACAACCCAGGATTTCCAATATATTTTTGTTTTATTGTTATTACCAAAAATTCCACTATGATTGATGTTCAGTGATTTTCTATAGCAACTTTTTTGGTAACTCTTTGGGTTTCTGATTTGTTTTAGCTAAAATTTTGGGGATATGATTTGGGTCTTTGATTAATGTCAGCTGAACTTGGATTTCTAGTTCATGAAGAAATCTCTCCCAATACCCATTTATCCTATTTTTAGCAATAATTCGTTAATGATTCCACTTGATTTTCAGAATATTGTCCTGGTTGATTTTGATTTGACAGCATACATTATGAAATTTGAAAGTAGGTTACCATTTTGAGGCAGTTGGATATAAATTATGTAAATATGTATGATTATGATTTTTATAAATGGCATAACATGAGTGTACTAACTACCTTCTATGCTGGCCATGCTACAGATTTTCTGGAGGTATGACAATAGTATTTTTTTATGCTCAGATTAAAAATCAGCTTTTCACCTCTCCAGTTTTTCCAAGTGATACTCCCAGTTCTAGAGCAATCTACAGCTGTTTATGTGAGGTGCCCAACACCCATTCATCTCAAGTGCTTCAGTCTTTGGTTTATTTCATGCACTGTGCCTTCAAAATGAAATTTTTAAAAGGGACTTTAAATGAAGTTGAATAGTAGTTTTTAAAAGTCAATTTGTAATTTATGTGAAATCTAACTGTAATGAGGTCCTTTCTGTTTTTTATATGTAAACAGATCTACTAATCCTGTATAAAAGTTATTTTACGATGTTTGTCTTTCTTTGTGTTTTGTCTCATAATCTTTTTTCAGATGCAATATGCCGGAAAAAGTTATAGGTCCAGTTTGAAAATTATTTAGTTTTTCTGCCTATGCTAGTGGAAAAATAGTACCAGGATCAGAATACAGGGTATCACCTATGGAATGTTTCTGTATTTATGAATTGACTCAAAAGAAAGCTTTGTTTCTGAAATCGCATTATGTAGTAGCCACAGTTTTCTGTTTGTAGCTCAGCTAGATTGTTATATATGTTCAATCATTTCACAATAACAACACAAAACTGGTCATTGAAAGGTTTTTATGTACGCATTTTAAACTTGTTCGTTAAAAATTTGGTCCTTTTTCCAGGTGAGGCCCAGTTAGAATAATGTGTCCCGGCACTTTTAGGCACAGCAAGGATGAATTCAATATCCCCTTTTCACTTAGCAACAATGTGTTACTTCTACCCTAATAGGAATTGGGAAAGCAAAGTTGTATGAGAAACAGACTCTGCTGATAAAGTACTCATAGTCCAGACCAGAGAAATATAAATGGAAATAGGTTATATTTCAATAGTGATTGGTTCATCTAAAAGTCTCTGCTGTAAAGGAAATAAAGCATAGAGGTTTGAGCATGGACTTTGGAGTTGGACCAATCTGTGACTGATTCTTCGTTCTGCTACTTGCTTCCAATGTGACCTTGTACAAGTTTCTTGACATTCTCTGAGCCTCAGTTTCTCTACTGGTTGAATAATCCTTGATAGGATTGCAGTGGAAAATTAAATGAAATAATGTTAGCAAAGGTCCCAACATAATATTTGACTTGGAATTGAATGCCCATGGTAACCAGCATCATTTTCCTTCATGTGATGTCTTCTTATGCCTTTGAAAGAAAGTTACTTTATCAAATGTATAAATAAAGATCTGTTTATAGGTGATCTTTTTAATTTAGAAGAAATTCTGAGACACAAATAAAAAAAGAAATTTTTTATTATGTGGTTCAATAGATTGTCTAAAGCATGGCAGTAAAGTTTTAATTATGCCAAGATGCTTCATATTTGTTTTTAAATGAAATTAAGTTGTATTTATGCTTCTTTAGTGAAAACAACGTTACTTAACTGCTACAGGAAGTGTGAATAGTGATAACAGTTCTTTTTCTCTCAGTGTTTGAAATATTTTCCTGAATTTTCTTAGTTTTCTCATACCTGAATCAAGAACCCTTTTGGTTTGTTTCATAAACAGTAATCTAGTTATTATGTTCAGCTTTTCAGATTTATAATAGCTGATTGTTCTCAGCAAATTAAACATGATGGTCAACGCTAATACTACTCAATTATGAATAAGTGCCATTGTGTGGGTCTTCATGTCTTAGACTCACTTATAGTTAGAATACCAACTGGTTCTATGCTATTTATTGCAAACCTCAGATAAATACACCATTAATTATTACACACAACTTTAAAGCAATAAAATCAGTAGATAAAGCCCAATTTTACCTTTCTCTCTCTCTATATATATATATGTATGTATATGTACATACATACACACGTGTATATGTATGTACATATACACGTGTATGTATGTACATACGTGTGTGTATGTATATGTATATACATACATACGTGTGTATGTATATGTATACACATACATATGTATGCATGTATATACATATACATACATATATATGTATATATATATATATATATTTTTTTTTTTTTTTTTTTTTTGAGACAGAGTCTCACTCTGTCTCCCAGGCTGGAGTGCAGTGGCACGATCTCGGCTCACTGCAACCTCTGGCTCCCGGGTTCACGCAATTCTCCTGCCTCAGCCTCCCAAGTAGCTGGAATTACAGGCATGCGCCATCACGCCCAGCTAATTTTTGTGTTTTTAGTAGAGACAGGGTTTCGCCATGTTGGCCAGGCTGGTCTGGAACTTCTGACCTCAAGTGATCCTCCCACCTTGGCCTCCCAAAGTGCTGGGATTACAGGCGTGAGCCACTGCGCCCGGCCCAATTTTAACTTTAATATCACAATTTTCACCTACATTAGTAGAATATTAAAAGTAAACATGCTATTTCTTTGGCATTTTAGTTGAGGTCAAATAATCCTCTTCCCTAATTACTGTGTAAACAAATGTAGACAAGGTAAGCACGAATGAGACAGGATGGCCTATATGGAGTAGTAAGGTGTTGAAGTTTAGAGGCCAGCCTAGAAGACTGAGGAAAAAAGGGTGAGAATTACTTGATAAGATTGAAGGTATGGTAATTGGAAGTGGGAGTATACTGAGATGGATATTTCAAATTCAGCAATATGAAGAGGCAGTGATCAAGTCAAAACTGTAGGTGGAAAATCAGCAAGTGGAGAAACTTAAGACGGAACACGGAGGAAATAGAGTGCAGATTAAATAGAAATTGCTATGATAACATGGATTATATTCTGTGATTGCCATTGAGGTGGAGCCAAAGTGAAGGAGTAATGGAGAAAGTCTAGATTGCTAATTTCAAATATTTGAGGTTATTCCAGTATTTATTATTGTTATTTATTATTTATTTATGTACATATGGTTCCTAGCAGAGTTTTTCAAGACTAAACAGGCTTTTGATCTACAGTCAAAAGCATTGATGCTATTGAGAGGGAATGGAACAGAAAGGGACTGGGCAAGTTACAGTAATGACTGACAGGACTGCTATATTTTTAAAAGTAATAATTTTAGATTTATAGAAAAGTTGCAGAGATCATACAGAGTTGACTCCTGGGTTTTGATTTGGAAGATGTGAGTGTTGGGAGGACAAAAGAGGAAGGATTATACACAGTTTTCTATTTAGCAGAACGTGAATGGAACACATTGGAAAGAGGGCCTGGGCATAGGAAATAGGATGTCTAGAATCTAGGCAGCCATGCACAGTTTGGGTACTCCAGGTGTCAAGCCATGTGGCTCTGCTTCTAGGTGACCAAGTTCAATTGAAATCTCTAGTGGAAGGTGTGTCCCTCCTAGAGTTGGAGCAGACCTCACAATTTTTCACAAGTAAAAGAAGAGCAGAAAAACTTTTATACAGGTTTCAGATGTTTATATTATTGAACACTGTAAAATATAATTATTGTTTTCAAATGAATAAAAGATAAACCTGAGACTATCACAAAGATCTATAAAATAATAGCAGAACTTCTGGAAATGAAAGTACAGAAACTAAAATGGATAGTTGGAGTGGCAGATTGGGCACAGAGAAGTAATTAACTAGAAGACAGATCTGTAGAAATTCTTACGTAGCATGGAGACAAAAAGGTAGAAAATACAAAGGAGAGGGTTAAAATGTGGATTTGGCATACAACTAATACCACATGTTTGATAACCACAGTTTTAGAAGAAAGAAAAGAAAGTGCATAGGAAACTAAGAGGCAATGAGAATTTTCCCCAAATTGATAAAGATAGCAACCCATAGATTAAAGAAACTCAATCCAAGCAAGAAAAAGTAACATCCACACTTAGATCAGTGAAATTGCAGATCAACAAAGACAAAGACAAAAGAGATTAGCAATTAGACACTCTCAACAATAGAAGCCAAAGTACATTGAAATTATACTTTAAAAATGCTGGGGAAAACATTAAATAACTTCCAACATAGAATTCTGTATTGAACATACCTTTCAAGAATGAAAGCGAACTTCCCGGTCGCTGAAAACATTAGTGGCAGCCTAGCTACCTGTCTCCCGATATTTCATTGCAAAATAATGCAAGCACACGAAGGAAAAAGTATACAGAAATCACACTCTCAGCATAATTTGAAGTCAGAGAATTTTGAAACTTCAAACTGAGTAAGATGAGGAAAATCAGCAGATCGCAACATGGATTCTCACAGGCCCACCCCAGCAGCATCCCACAGGCTCTGTGGAGCGAAGCCAGATGGAGATAAACTGCAGGGAAGTCAGGAGAGGGACGCCAGAAAAAGAAAGTAATGTTCTAATCTTGGCCTAAAACTACTGCCAGAAAGACTAGGTCCACCTAACTCTCAATCTCAAAAACATGTCCAAGCAGATCCGGGCAGAAACCAGAGGCAAGAGGCTTCAGAGTGAGCACAATTTAAAGGGGGCAGGTGTGACTTAATGAGGCAGTCTTTGAAACACACAGCTTCAAAAGAAAAGAAAAGAAGAGCGTCTAGTGAAGGGAAAAATGAAAAAAGGAGAAGCACCTTTGACAATTAGGTGATGAAAAGAAGCAAAAGAAAATTAGGTGATGAAAAGAAGAAAAGGAGGAAATTCGAGTCCTGCTAGTCAAATGAGAACTGCAAAATCAGAGCACTTACAACTCCTCCCCGAACATGCCAACAAAAATACCTACTAAAGTATTTAATACCTTAGCTTTGCTCTATTATCAGAACAGATCTCAGCCATGAAACATGAAAATATAAATAGCATATATGAATGAATATTGATAAGATGAATTTGTCATTATTAGATGATATGCTTATATATATGGAAAATACAAAATAATCTACAGATAAATTAGAAATAATAAAATTTAGTTCCACTTCCAGCTGTGAGTGGATTGGCTTGAAATGGAAAGACTTCTCGTCAAGAGCAATTAGAAAAGCTAAATTTTATTTTAAAAAAAAACTGTTTGAAGGATTGGAGAACTACTAATGTAAGAAGGACTTATAGGATCAAGATCCCGGAACAAAAAGAGCTGAGAGGTGAGCATGATGGTAAAACTTTCACCTCCAGGTATGTTTCAATTCATAGGTGACAGAAGAGAGGCCAGGCAAGAGACAGAGAACTCAAACAGAAGTTTTAGGCAGTATCACTGGGTGGAGGAAAATATGAGGTTAGCACCTGTCAAGGAGGTGGCACTGGTAAACAGTCTTCCAGTTAGGAAACCTGAATGGCTAGACATTAGAATTAAGGGTTAACCAAAAATAGACCAATTTTAACAAACACAGAATCCCTCTTGGTATTAGTTCCACCCCATACTGGATTAAGCTGATCTGCCCCTACCTGAACTGCCTGCAAGAAGAGGCAGTAAATTCTTTCTGGAGAAAGACAACATCATCTAGATCCTCAAATGATTAATACAAAGTTGTATCTATAATATATAGCATCCAATCAAAAGTTCTTATTATCAAAAGACAAGATTAAATTGTGAATGATCAAGAAAAATAGAAACAATCCTATGGGAAGTACAGATTTCTCAGTTATCAGAAATTTTTAAAGAATGATGATGGGCCGGGTGCGGTGGCTCACGCCTTTGTAATCCTAGCACTTTGGGAGGCCGAGGTGGGCGGATCATCTGAGGTTGGGAGTTTGAGACCAGTCTGGCCAACATGGAGAAACCTCATCTCTAATAAAAATACAAAATTAGCTGGGCGTGGTGGTGCATGCCTGTAATCCCAGCTACACGAGAGGCTGAGGCAGGAGAATCACTTGAACTCAGGAGGCGGAGGTTGCAGTGAGCTGAGATCACGCCATTGCACTCCAGCCTGGGTGACAAGAGCGAAACTCCGTCTCAAAAAAAAAAAAAAAAAAAAAAAAAGCCGGGCGCAGTGTCTCATACCTGTAATCCCAGCACTTTTGGGAGGCTGAGGTGGGAGGATCACAAGGTCAGGAGTTCGAGACCAGCCCAGGTAATATGGTGAAAGCCCATCTCTACTAAAAATACAAAACTTAGCCAGTGTGGTGGCAGGCACCTGTAATCCCAGTTACTTGAGAGGCTGAGGCAGGAGAATCCTTGAACTCAGGAGGTGGAGGTTGCAGTGAGCCGAGATCGTGCCACTGCACTCCAGCCTGGGCGACAGAGCAAGACTCTGTCTCAAAAAAAAAAAAAAAAAAAAAAGAATGATGATGAATGAATTCAAGAAAGTAGAAGACAAGATGAAGAATTTTAGCAGGTTTTTTTTTTTAAGACAGGGTCTTACTCTGTCACCCAGGCTGGAGTGCAGTGGTGTGGTGATGGCTCACTGCAGCCTTGACCTCCAGGGCTCAAGCAATCCTCCCACTTCAGCCTCTTGAGTAGCGGGACTATAGGGCGCATCACCACGCCTGGCTAATGTTTAAATTTTTTGTAGAGATGAGGTCCTACTATGTTGCCCAGGCTGGCCTCAAACTCCTGGACTCAAGCAATCCTACCACCTCAGCCTCCCAAAGTGCTGGGATTAGAGGCATGAACCACTACATCCAGCCCGATAATTAAAACATTTAAAAATTAAATCAACAATTTCACTTCTGGACAAAATGGATTAGCTGTATTTCTTTCTATTTTTCCCACTAAGCACAGCAAAAAAAAAAAAAATCATATATATATATTTTTAAAAAGACTCAAAAAGGTGGAAAGAAGAAGGCAGACCAGCTAAGGACCTCAGAATGTAAAGAACATGAAGGTGAGTTCCCTGGGTTTCCTTTTTGTTTCCTATGTCCTATACTGGGTGCTGGAGAAACTGGCAACCTAGAAATGCCAAAGGGTGCAGACAAGAAAAGTCCAAAGGAAAATGGAAAGCCTTCTCTCTCCAGACAAGGGATGAGGAAACAGGTATCCTAACAAGACAGAATACTTTTGGACAATAATTTCACCACTCTGGACAAATGCCACAGAAAAAACTGAGGCCCATCTTCACTCCTTGCCATCAAAGGCTGAGTGAGGAGGCTAGGCTTCCACACTCACCTGGCTCTAATGAAGCACTCCACCCATCCCCCACTTGGACTTCTCGTCCATTGCACAGCAGCAATGAGGCTCCCTGCCATGGTGGCAGTGGGGACCACATGCGGAGCAGTAACAAGGCACCCCCTCCCTGGGGAATCAGTGAAGGCCAAGGGAGAGCCTGAACTTCCACTGCCACCTGGAAGTAGCAAGCATTTCCCTATGTCCCCCAGCAGCATAGTGTCAGAGGAAGTCTGCTTAAACAGAAGACATAAATAAGATCAGAATCTCATAACAAATACCTGAAACATCAGGATACAATTTATAAAAATTGTCATTCCAATAGCCCAGAGAACTTCGACTTGAGTGAAAAAAAGACAACAGACCCCAACATCAAGATGACACAGATGTTGGAATTATCTGATGAGGACTTTAAAGCAGCTCTAATAAAAATACTTTAGTGAGCAATTACAAACAAACTTAGAACAAATGATAAAACGAGTCTCAGCAAAGAAACAGAAGATATAATGAGGAACTGAACAGAAGTTTTAGATACGAAAAATGCAATAATTGACATGAACTCAACGAATAGGCTCAACAGCAGAATGGAGGGAACAGAGGAAAGACATACTTTCTGTCAGCAAATCTGAAGACAGAATAGTAGATAGTACCAAATCCGAATGATGGAAAATAGACTGAAAAAAAATTAGCATAACTTCAGAGCTATGTGGGACATTAACACAAGATCTAGCATTCACGTCATCAGACTCCCAGAAAAAGAAGAGAAACAGTATGAGACAGAAAAAGTATTGGAAGAAACAATGGTTGAGAATCCCCCAAATTTGGCAGAAGACATAAATGTCAGAATCAAGAAGCTGAGGATATCCCAAACAGGATAAATCCAAAGAAATCTACACCAAGGCACATCATAACTTCTGAAAACTAAAGAACAGTTCTTGAAAGCAGTGAGAGAGAAAATGTATTTTAGCTACAGTGGAAAAACAATTCCAATTTTAGTCAATTTCTTATCTGAAACTATGGAGGCCAGAAGGAATTGGCACATTTTTCAAGTGCTGAAGAAAGAAATTGTCAACTTCAGATTGTATATCTGGCAACAATATCCGATCCCCCAAGAATGAAGGGAAATCAAGACATTCTCAGATGAAGAAAAACTAATAGAATTTGTCACCAGCTGATCTACTCTTTAAAAAAAAAATGGCTGAGGGAAATTCTTGAAACAGAAAGGAAACGATTAGAAAAAGGAATCTTGGGACACTAGGAACGAAGAAGAGTAAAATATGCATAAATCAAGTAAGCTTTCCTCTTCTCTTGAATTCTCTAACTTATGCCTGACCCTTGAAGCAAATATTGTAACACTGATGTGGTTCTCCTCAATGAATGCAGAGGAAATACTTAAAAACAACTATATTATAAATGAGTGGGGGAAAGAACTTTACAGGAATTAAGGTTTCTACACTTCACTAGAATTAAGTCAGCACCGGTAGACTGTGATAATTTATGTATCTATAAAGTGTGGGTTTGGACAGCAGATTTTATCAGGTTGAGGGCTCAGGCCGAGAGCATGTAGAAGCAGTTAGCTCACTCTTTCTAGATGTGGCGGCTGACAAGGACAAAGAGGGCTGGGACTAGAACTGCTGTAGACAAGGAAAGCAGCCAGTGGAGAAGAGCGCATACGCCAAAGAACGTGGATGATGGAGCACAGGCGGGGAGGTAGGATGAAGGAAATGGCTCTGGGAAGAAAGGGTCTCTATGTCTGAGAAAGGAAGAAATTGGCTGAAGATACAAATTAGAGACAAGGTGAGGGAAATTGAGGGAGTTGCCTGAGGATGATTCTCCTCCCAGTCAAGTAGGCACCTGCTGAGAGAAAGGATAAGCCGAGATGAGGGAGATGATGATGGTTTGGGGCGCAGAAAGCGGGAATGAAAGACAGGAGCTAAAGCCGAAGTTTTTTCTCTCTCGCTACTTAAAAGCTGTAAGATAACGAATTGATCAGCAGGTGGCAGTGTCCGCGGAGGCTCGCATCCCGTCGGCCCTGGCTCTCAAGGCGGAAACACGCACCATGGTGACTTTCCGGCCTGCATCGCCTCTGCTCCCCTATCCCGGCTGACGTTGGACGACAAAGATGGCGGCAGGGACCAGCAGTTACTGGGAAGGTGAGGGCGAGAAGGCCTCCGGGTGCGTCCTACGAGGGTGAGAGGGGCTGAGTGAGGACAGATCTTGGGAGAAGCAGCACAGGAAAGAACCAGACTCCCGGAGCGGCCGAGCTGAGCAGCGGGGCTTGCCTAAGTGGGATCCCCGGGGCCTTGGGGATACCGAACGGTCTGGGGTAGGGGTCTGGCCTGGCCGGGGCGTGTGAGCGGGACGTGGGGCAGGGGTTGGGCAGAGTGGACAGAGCGGGGATGTAGAGGAAGAGGGCTCTCAATCGCCTGGGTAGAATTGTGTTGAGGGAGTAATGGAACTCGGACGAAGGGGCTTGGGGTACGAACTCTGAGAGGAAACGAATGTTGAGGGAGAAGATCCAGAGCCCCGGAGACTGGAGGAGTCAGCGCATTGGAGCTGAGGTCACTATTGGAAAACTGAGTGGGAAAAGAGAAGGAGGAACTTGCATTCCGGTCCGTCGGAGGAAGTATGAAGAGAATAGGAGACAGAATGTCTCTTATTGGGTCTCCATGACAACTACAGGTTGGGGACTTCCAGGACTGGGTGTTTGAAGGAGGAGAAAATAACTTACCCTTCTGCTCTAGAGTCTAGAATCGGTTTTATTGAAAAAGTTGAGAGAACCTGTGTGAATTGCAGTTACATTTGCTATACTTCTCCCACCAAAAAAACCTTCCTGTGATTTGACAAATGCATTTGTTTAATTCCTGAAACTATAGTCGGATAAAGTGAGCTTACATAAAACTCATTCGTGGATTATGATGATCAACAAGAGCAGAGAAAGCTCACCTTTTTCTCCCAACTGTCTCTTTGCTTTACAGCCGCATAGAAACTACTTTCCAAATTCCTTTGACCTGTTTTTATTGCTATACACTGAAGCCTCTAGAAACCACAGTATTGTCACTATCAGCCCCTTGGTCTAAGAAACTCAATTCTAAATTTATCCAGATTTGCCTATCATACTTTCAAAATGCTTTTACTTATGTTTCCTACTAGAGAAGACAATTATTCCAATCACAGAAAAGCGTGCTTATAGTTTAAAACATGTATTACAATGCCCATTTGAAATGTGTGTACCAGCTAGAAAACTTTTTTTTTTTTTTTTTTGGAGACTCGCTATGTCGCCCAGGCTGGAGTGCGGTGGCGCTATCGATCTCGGCTCACTGCAGCCTCCGCCTCCTGCGTTCAAGCGATTCTCCTGTCTCAGCCTCCTTAGTAGCTGGGACTACAGATGCATGCCACCACGCCTGGCTAATTTTTGTATTTTTAGTAGAGACGGGGTTTCACCATGTTGGCCAGGATGTTCTTGATCTCCTGACCTCGTGATCCGCCCGCCTCTGCCTCCCAAAGTGCTGGGATTACAGGTGTGACCCACCGCGCCTGGCCGCTAGAAAACATTTTAAAATTATGTAGAAGAGGCTACTGATATCTTTATTACTAGTCATTAGCCTGTGGTTTTTTGAAGCAGCATGCTATAATATTACAGCGGCTCATTACTGACAACCTACTCTGTGCCAGCTGCTGTAAGCATATGATTACCAATACATAAGCAAACCCTGAAGGTAGGGGTTTAAAAAACAAGAAGCTGAAGTTCATAGGTTAAGTAGATTGTTGATAAATCATAGAGTCAGTAAGTGGCTGTGCCGAGATTCGAACTGGCATTTGGTCTCTGGGCAAATATGCTCCACTATGTTAACTACGCTTTCTATTTCTGGTTGAAAAGCATATTGAAATAATGTTTTGTATTCTTTTTGAAAGAGAGATTCTTATACCATTACCTCTGGTACTTCTGCCCTTTTATTTTAACCTTCACTTCACCATGAATGAGAATACTCGTATCTGTGTGTGGGTGTCCAGACTGTGGCTTCTGTCACGCAACCCTTAGATGCCAGACTGCTAAACCAATTTCTCTACTTGCCTGTTTGCTTCTGCTATTAAAACTTATGTACTTATTTCTATCATACTCATATTCGACCTTGTTAGTAGCACATTGTTTATTGTTAGTTTTAGCCCTCCAAATTACTTTCAGTAAGTTTTTTTCTTTTTTTTAGATGGAGTCTCGCACTGTCGCCCAGGCTGGAGTGCAGTGGCTCAATCTCCACTCACTGCAAACTCTGCCTTCCAGTGCCTTCCAGGTTCACGCCATTCTCCTGCCTCAGCCTCCTGAGTAGCTGGGACTACAGGCGCCCACCACCACGCCTGGCTAATTTTTTGTATTTTTAATAGAGACAGGGTTTCACCGTGTTAGCTAGGATGGTCTTGATCTCCTGACCTCATGATCCGCCTGCCTCGGCCTCCCAAAGTGCTGGGATTACAGGCGTGAGCCACTGCGCCTGGCCTCAGTAAGTTTTTTAAAGGCGGTTTTTGGCCAGGTGCGATGTCTCATGCCTGTAATTCTAGCACTTTTGGAGGCCCAGGCAGGAGGGTCACTGGAGTTTAGGAGTTCGAGAGCAGCCTGGGCAACATTGTGAGAAAAAACAGAAAAGAAAAAAAGAAAGAAAAAGGCAATTTTTGTGGTAACTTTTTTTCTTTATGTTCAATTGAGAAGTCATTTTGGTCCGGGCGTGGTGGCTCACACCTGTAATCCTAGCACTTTGGGAGGCCAAGGTGGGTGGATCACTTGAGGTCAGGAGTTAAAGACCACCCTGGCCAACATGGTGAAACCCCGTCTTTACTAAAAATACAAAAATTAGCCAGGCATGGTGGTGTGTGCCTGTAGTCCCAGCTACTTGGGAGGTAGTTGAGGCATGAGAGTTGCTTGAACCCAGGAGGTGGAGTATGCAGTGAGCCAAGGTCATGCCACTGCACTCCAGCCTGGGTGACAGAACGAGACTCCATCTCAAAAAAAAAAAGAAAAAAAAAGGTAAGTCATTTTGCTATTATGAAAAGAAGTTCATAAGCCTAATAAAGCTTTGGAACATAAAAAGCAAAATCCCTTTCAAAAGAATAATGGCTTCTTTCTTATAACATTAACTGGTAAGTTGATAATGCTGGTCATAAACCATATTTTTAGTTCCTTTGTGATTTGTATTATCTTCTTGTTTTTCTCTGAATTGCAGAATTTTAGTTATTGCTATACAAATAGTTTCAGGAAGGATAGAACAACATTTGTTTTCTAGCCATCTTTGGAGTAAAGCTGCGAAGTTGCATCTACCATTACTATTTCCCTTCTTGCCCCCTCTGAAGTTTATAAGTGACTAATCTGCTTTGCTGGGCAAGTCCTTGGTTTCCTTCTTTTAAGACTTTTATTTTCCTTTTTTTGAGACATAGTTTTGTTCTTGTTACCCAGGCTGGAGTACGATGGCGCAATCTTGGCTCACCGCAACCTCTGCCTCCTGCGTTCAAGCGATTCTCCTGCCTCAGCCTTCCGAGTAGCTGGGATTACAGGCGTGCGCCACCACACCTGGCTAATTTTCTATTTTTAGTAGAGATAGGGTTTCTCCATGTTGATCAGGCTGGTCTCAAACTCCCGACCTCAGGTGATCCGCCCACCTTGGCCTCCCAAAGTGGTGGGATTACAGGCGTGCACCACCGTGCCCAGCCAACACTTTTCTTTATGGGGGTAACAAGATCAGTATATGATCATTTTCATAGTTTGTTTTCTTTAGAATGGTGCTGTGATTTTTGTGTCTACTTTTTATGTCTAATTATTTGTTGTTATAATTTTGTTAAAGATCTCAGGAAACAGGCTCGACAGCTGGAAAATGAACTTGACCTGAAACTAGTTTCCTTCAGCAAACTATGTACAAGTTACAGTCATAGCAGTACCCGAGATGGAAGACGCGACAGGTATAGGTACTACCAGATTCTGTCTCCTATGCCTTAACTGTGTTTTTAAAGCATTAAAAAATAAACTAAAATATATAACTTCTGTAAGTTGGTCTATTGGTGAATTTTTGGTGTTTTGTTTTGCCATTCATTGTTTTATTTTTTAGTGACTTATTAAAATTCTTCTGAATTCTCGAGACTAGCATTTATTTGGAATCCTTAGGCAAAGATTGTTACAGTGTCAGAAGAAACCTGCTAGAACTTCAGAATAAGTTTGTATCAAAAATATAAGTGTCTAATTCAGCCAGTGTAGGGAAAAGGTGGCTGATTTGCCCGTGTGGCATGTATTTCTTGTGTTTTTCAATTGCTAAATGGACCTGTGGATCTACCCAGGTGCCAGGTATACATACTGCTTTTCTGGTGTTTATTGTATTAGAGGGTATCTAATGCACTGTGTATCCTTGTTATTAATTATCAAAGCTATCTTTAATTTTGGTACTTTTTTGGGAAACTAGTGTATTACCATATTAAATGTATGGAAAATACATTCTTATCTTTGAAGCTTATGCTCTCTGTAAGTCATCCACTTGTTTCAAGAAAATATTGGGAGTAGCCAGGCACAGTAGATGACGCGTGTAATCCCGGGACTTTAGGAGGTTGAGGCGGATGGATCACTTGAGCCCAGGAGTTCAAGACTAGCCTGGGCAACATGGTGAAACCCTGTCTCTAAAAAAAATAGAAATAAAAAAAAATTTTTTAATTAGGCAATATTTAAGACAGTTACAAAGAATAATATCATGAACCCCCATGACCCTATCTCCCATTTTTAAAAAATGATAATTACTCATTCCACTGAAGCCCCTTATGGCACCCCACTTTCTCCCACCCCATAATCCACATATATTCTTACTGCATGTTTATATTCCTGAGCAATTCATAGTATTCTATTATGTTATATAGTATATATATAATATAGTTATTCTACAACTTTTTCTTTAACATTTTTGAGATTCAGCTATGGATTCATTTAACTCTGGTATATTCATTTGTAATTCATATGTAGTATTTTATGACTATCACAGTTTAACCATTTGATGATGGCCATTGTTTCTAATTTTTGCTAATTAATAATAATTTTGATAGCTGACATAAGAGTGTTCATTATATGTTAGGTAAGAGCTTTCTATAAATGCTGCTGGGAACATTTTTACGCAGAATGTTTCTATATACCTAGCGGTGAAATTGCTGGTAGCAGAGTTGTTGTTAATCCACACTTATTTTACATACTTTTTCAAAGATTAGAAGTGAGTAGGATATTTGTCAGCTAATAAAAACAATGAAATCTGAGCTTAGATTTGAATCTAGATCTATCTCCAGAGCCCACACTCTAAACCCTACTATAGTGTATACATTTGAACAAAAAGCTGATTTCAACACTATAGCCAAATTACTATTTCTTTTTCATAAGGACTCCTTGGTTGTAAAGGCAGCAAGGCCAACATTGACTCTAGGATCTAAAAATAAATTACTAACACATCAAATAGATTGCATTGCTTTGGGCTTGGCTTTATTTAGCAAGTAAAGAGAATGAAGAATGTTCTTTCTATGCATTTTCTATGTTCTGTGTGCTTCATGAACTAATACTTTTGTTATTCCTCTAAAGGAAAAACTATCTTGAAAACATTTCCCAAGAAATTCTACCACAAACTGAAACTGGCTTTGTAGAATTACTTCAGCCTAACTCCCCTTCTAAATAAAAACCTAAGGCCATGAGGATCAGGATTTGATGTCTATTCTAAAGTGTCTTGTTTGATGCCCAGGTTGGAAGCATGTCACTATGAGTCAACTAAGCAATAACTAGAATATTATTTATTCCAGGCATCTTTCTTTCTTTTTTTTTTTTTTTTTAACTTTCTGTATTTTGAGAACTTCAAGGTCTATGAATCATTACCCACCTATAAGATGAATTAAATTTAACTGAATCCCAGTATTGTGAAGAATTAGTGTTTGGCCATTTCCCTTTACTCTTACACTGTCCTGATGAATATATGAATACAATGAGTATAGAATAACCAGTAGTAGAGATTGCTCTCGTGTTCATTCATTTATTCAGCAGAAGTTTAATGAGCATCTACTATGTGCCAGGCTGTATACTAGGTGCTAGGCATATATCTATGAATAAGACAGAGCAGTTTTTTCCTTCCTTCATGAAGCTTTAATTCTATTGGCATATTGTTCTTTTTCATATATCTGGTAGAGGAGGATTTATATTAGTAGTCTACAGAGCATTTATTTAATACTTTTCATTTGCCACACCCAGGCACTGTCACAGGGTAGCACAAAGTCTTCAGTAAGATTGGAGACTATAGTCATTGCCTGGGCATTTATCTGTGTCCAGTATAACTCTGATCTGTATTGAGCTGCTCATCAGATGCTAATACATACCTAACCTGATGAAGGTTAGTGGTGTTTTGGAAAAGGCAAAAGAAACACTGAGGACAGGTGGGTTTAGAATTTGAATCTGTCAAACCTAAGTTTCACTTGTAAAAAGATAGATTTTTGACTATTCAGATTTGAAAAGGCAATTTAACACAATTCTACAAAACAAAAGGATGATTGCATACTGTAAGTGAAAATGGAGAAGATTAGTACCAAAGCATGCAGGACATGGCTGTATATATTGGATTTAAAGCCAGTTCCTGAGTATTCGTTAGCTAGTTATCCAATCTGTGGATCATTTAAACCTCAATCTTATTTCCTCTTGGTAAGAGTCAAGGAAAGAAGAGAGAATGTAATGTTGAGGTTGAAGGAACCATAATTCCTTTGGGGTAAAAATGTAAAAGATCGTTTCTCACAGACCCTATATAACATAATCCATAATTCATTTTATGGCTCCTATTAATCACCTTATTATTTTAAGTATGTTTTAAAGGACTGATTTGAGTAATGGATCCTCTTTAACTGAACTTCTTTTTAGTTCTGATACAACACCCCTTTTAAATGGATCAAGCCAAGACAGAATGTTTGAGACAATGGCGATTGAGATTGAACAACTTTTGGCAAGGGTAAGTGCTTTCTGTTAAATGGCTATTTTGCAAATAACTGTATACTTGTTACGTAGGATCCTGGATTATATTGAGACAGACATGTTTATTGAAATTATCCATTCCATTCAATATGTGTACCTCCCCACACCACTTGAATTTTGATGACAGCCATTCTCAGGTGATATGATGTTATTTTGGTCTTTATGGATTATGTGGGGGAATGCTGAATTCTTACTTGCTCTCTTGTTTGTTTTTTGTTTTGTTTTGTTTTGTTTTGTTTTGCTGTCAACCAAAAGGGCATATAGGCAAATAATTTGCTTTTAGCTGTTTATAGTGCTTAGTAAAATATTTTGATTGTTTTTTTTTTCTTTATTTCTAGCTTACAGGGGTAAATGATAAAATGGCAGAATATACCAACAGTGCAGGTGTCCCCTCCTTGAATGCAGCCCTGATGCATACATTACAGCGGCATAGAGACATATTGCAGGTAATATATTGGGCTCGAGATGTTTTCATTATCACAGGAGTTTGGGTTTTTTTTTTTTTAATCCCTGCATTGGATATGTGCACATATATTTAAAAGGACAAAGAGAAAAATCTGAGAAAATAAATGCCATGCTAAAGGGACTTGTTTTACTTTTTTTTGGGGTCACCATTATAAAATTCTGAAAATATCTAATAGCTCTTGCTATTTCTTGGCGAAGTTGAGTAATATTCATCACTGGGTACATATACTTCCACTATGGGAGACCTAGCTAGCTAGCTGTAACAGTGAAATAGCCAATGGTCATGTATAGACAATAACGTGGTGGGTAAGCGTGTACTTTCAGCTAGCTTTGAAGATAATATGGAGGGGGAATTATTTACTATACTTAGTATATTGTTTAAGAAAACAGTAAATGTGTATGCACCAATAAAACTAAATAAACTTTTAAAGATTTAAATGGAGGATATGTTAAAAATATGGTAGTACAAATAGGAAGGCAATTTTTTTTTTTTTTTTGAGATAGGGTTTCTCTGTCACTCAGGCTGGAGTGCAGTAGTACAGTCACAGCTCACTGCAGCCTCAACCTCCCAAGCTCAAACAAGCCTCCTACCTCAGCGTCCTGAGCATCTGGGACCACAAGCACATGCCACCACGCCTGGCTAATTTTTTAAAAGCTTTTGCAGAGACAGGTCCTTGCCATGTTTCCCAGGCTGGTCTCTAACTCCTGTGTTCACGAGGTTTTGCTATATTGCCCAGGCTGGTCTCTTAACTCCTGTGTTCACAGGTTTTTGCTATGTTGCCCAGGCTGTTCTCTTAACTCCTGTGTATGGGCAATCCACCCCCTCAGCCTTCCAAAGTGCTAGAATTATAGGCATGAGCCGCTGTACCCAGCCACAAATATTTTTAATATTGAGAAAAGTCAGCAACTATTTCTAATTTTAAAAACTGTTTTTAAAAGTAGGAATAGATGGCCGGGCGCAGTGGCTCGTGCCTGTAATCCCAGCACTTTGGGAGGCCAAGGCAGGTGGATCACCTGAGGTCAGGAGTTGGAGACCAGCCTGGCCAACATGGCGAAACCCTGTCTCTACTAAAAGTATAAAAATAAGCTGGGCATAGTGGTGGGCGCCTGTAATCCCAGCTACTTGTGAGGCTGAGGCAGGAGAAGCTTGAACCCAGGAGGCGGAGGTTGCAGTGAGCTGAGATTGCACCACTGCACTCCAGCCTAGGCTACAAGACTGAGACTCCATCTAAAAAAAAAAAAAAAAAAAAAGTAGGAATAGAAAGATACTTTAATACAAAAATGTATTATCGGGTTAAAAGCTAGCATTGTGTTTAAAGAGAAAGCAATAAAAACATTCCCATTGTATGAAACAAGACAAGGATACCCATGATCGCTACAAATGTATAACGTTGTTTTTTAAGTTCTTGATGGTGCAATTAGACAGTAAAAAGAAATGAAATGTATGCTGGGCATGGTGGCTCACACCTCTTATCCAAGCACTTTGGAGGTCTGAGGTGGGCGGATCATTTGAGGTCAGGAGTTGGAGACCAGCCTGGCCAGCAGGGTGAAACCCCTTCTCTACTAAAAATACAAAAATTAGCGGGGCGTGGTGGTGGGTGCCTGTTATCCCAGCTACTTGGGAGGCTGAGGCAGGAGAATAGCTTGAACATTGAACCTGGGAGGTGGAGGTTGCAGTGAGCCGAGATTGCACCACTGCACTCCAGCCTGGGCAACAGAGTGACTGTTTCAAAAAAAAAAAAAAAGATGTAAATATTGGAAAGGAAGAGGCAAAATTTCTGTGAGGTAGCAGGATAAAATTATATGTCTAGTACACGCAAGAAAATTACCTGATAAAAAGTTAGAAACAATTAAATTCAGTAAGATGGTAGATCACAAAATGAATACATAAAAGCAAATAGTTTTCCTATTATGATAGGAAATAAATGATAACCTGTTAGAAAATACAATGGAAGAAACTATAAAGCATTTATATATGAATTAAATAAGAAATGTGTAGGACTTGTATGTGCAGAATTCTACTGAGGGACATAGAACAAGATTTAAGTAAAGGAAAGAATCATTCTGTTTTTGGATAGGAAGACTTTCGTCTAAATTGCATGACATCCCAGTGGAAACAGCAGGGTTGTATCGTTGTTTGTTTAATTAAAAACAAATGACATAATGACACCAAAGTTCATTTGGAATCATAGACATACAAGAACAACCAAGAAAAACAACCTGAAAATGAAGATAAGTGGTAGAGGGTTCCTAGTTCTACCAGATCTTAAAACCTGTTAAAAAGCTGGAATAGTTAAGACAGTTTGATACTAGAGAAAAAAAATAAATAAATAAAAACAATTAAACAGAGTTTATATGTAGACCCAATTATGTTTGGAAATTTTTAGTTTCTGATAAAGATGTTGTTTAAAATCAGTGGGGCAAAGAGAAATTATAAAATAAATGGAACTATAACCATTGCTTAATTATTCAGAGATTTTAAAAAAACAATTCTATCTCAATCCTCACATCCAGAACAAATTCCAAATGGATCCAAGAAGGATAGAAAAAGAAACCATAAAGCAGAGGTGAAATTTGTAAACTTTGGAGCAGAAAGGACTTTCTAAATAAGACTTGATACTGGAAACCATAACGAATGGCTAATTTGCTTACTACACAGAGATATAATAGAAATAAGAAAAAGACAGTAGGAAAATGGACAAAGGATATAAAATTGCTTACAAAAAAATGAATGGCCAAAACTATAAAAACATTTTCAGCAGTATTTCCAAATAAAAATACAGAAATCTAAAAGAGGTGATTTTTCACATGTCAGATTAGCAAATGTTGAAACATTTATAACCCATTATTGGCAAGAGTAAAAATTTAAAAAGGGTACTCATATATTGCTGGTGGGAACATAAATTGATGTAATGTTTATAGAAGGCAGTTTAGCACTACCAGAATTTAAATGAATGTGAGATTCTTTGATCCAGTTATTCTTTTTTTTTTTTCTTGAGACGGAGTCTCGCTCTGTTGTCCAGGCTGGAGTATTGGAGTGCAATGGTGCGATCTCGGCTCACTGCAGCCTCCACGTCCTGGGTTCAAGCGATTCTTCTGCCTCGGCCTCCCGAGTAGCAGGAACTACAGGTGTGCGCCACCACGCCCAGCTAATTTTTGTATTTTTAGTAGAGATGGGGTTTCATCATATTGATCAAGCTGGTCTTGAACTCCTGATGTCATGATCCACCCACCTCGGCCTCCCAAAGTGCTGGGATTACAGGCATGAGCCACCGTACCCAGCCCTGATCCAATTATTCTATTGCTAGTCATTTACTCCTTTTTTTTTTTTTTAAGCTCTGTTGAACTTAATAGACATTTACTCTTTAAATATACTTTTTTTTTTTTTTTTTTGAGACAGAGTCTCACTCTGTCACCCAGGCTGGAGTGCAGTGGCGCGGTCTTGGCTCACTGCAACCTCTGCCTCCCGGGTTCACACCATTCTCCTGCCTCAGCCTCCCGAGTAGCTGGGACTCCAGGCGCTCGCCACCATGCCCGGCTATTTTTTTGTATTTTTAGTAGAGATGGGGTTTCACCGTGTTAGCCAGGATGGTCTCCATCTCCTGACCTCATGATCCGCCTGCCTTGGCCTCCCAAAGTGTTGGGATTACAGGCGTGAGCCACTGCGCCCAGCCTAAATATAGTTTTTTTTAAAATAAAAGAGTTCAGTTTAAAAAATATATGTAAGAATGTTTATTGGCAGTATTTTTTTTTTTTTTTTTTGAAACAGAGTCTCGCTCTGTTGCCTAGGCTGGAGTGCTGTGGTATGATCTCAACTCACTGTAACCTCTGCCTCCCAAGTTCAAGTGATTCTCCTGCCTCAAACTCCTGAGCAAAGTAGCTGGGACTACAGGTGCGTTCCACCACACCGGCTAAGTTTTGTGTTTTTAGTAGAGACGGGGTTTCGCCATGTTGGCCAAGCTGGTCTCGAACTCCTGACCTCTAGTGATCCGCCCACCTCAGCCTCCCAAAGTGCTGGGATTACAGGCATGAGCCACCCTGCCTAGTCTTGCAGTATTTTTAATAGCAAACAAAATGAAAACAACTAATGTGTTTATCAGTAGGGAATTTATTAAATTGTGATAGTCATAAGATAATATTCTATGCAGCTATTAAAAAGAATGATGTAGATTTCTTTTTCCTAATATGGAAAGATTGCTTGATACTTTATGAAGTACAAAAAGCAAGGTGTACATCAGAATGTATATTATGACTTACTTGGCAAAGTGAAAGAAATAATAGATAAGCTTGTATATGTAAAAACATATTTCCTGGCCAGGTGCAGTGGCTCACGCCTGTAATCCCAGCATTTTGGGAGGCCAGTGTGGGTGGAACTGTTGAGGTCAGGAGTTCAAGACCAGCCTGGCCAACATGGTGAAACTCCATCTCTATTAAAAATACAAAAATTAGCTGGATGTAGTGGCACGCTCCTATAGTCCCAGTACTAGGGAGGCCAAGGCACTAGAATCGCTTGAACCCAGGAAGTGGTGTTTGCAGTGAGCTGAGATGGCACCACTATACTCCAGCCTGAGCGACAGAGCAAGACTCTTGTCTCCAAAAAAAAAGAAAATAATAATTTCCTGGAAGAAAATACAAAATGATGGTAACAGTTATGAGGTATGGAGCAGAATGTTTTGTTTTCCTTTGTTTCACCTTTATTTCTTTTGGTGCTCTTTTAATATTCTCCTCCATGTTTATGTGTTACTTTTGTTTTTTAAAAGGTCAACAGGGACTCTGGGAGACAAGATTTTGATTTTCTTCTTTATCTACATCTCTGAATTTATGAAAAGTAATGAAGTACTTTTAACAGTGGTACAAAAATAGTAGAAAATGTTTAAAGATTATTTTGTTCCTTATAATTCTCTTGATTCTGTTCTTTTTTGTTTAGGAATTAAATTTTTTGTGAGAGCTCCAAAATGATGAAATTTGAAAATAAGCTCTATTAAGTATACTACTAAGTAAAAAGAGCCTCTCAAGTTTTCTCCTAGACTATTTGAAGTTATTTTATCTCAGAATTTTTTTCTTCTTAATTCTGCCTCGTAAGACAGAGTACTAGGAGGTACAAAGGATAGTGATTTAATGGCACTGTTTCCCTAGCACTGAATTATTTTCACTTGAAAGAAGTTGGTCACTCTTCAGGAAAGTAATTTTAAAGTTATTTTTACCTTTGGTTAATTTGATTTCTTAAATAGCAGTTTTCTTGACAAATTTACAGTGTGATGACGATACATAACTGGTTCAGTGAGATGAAAATCCATAATTAGCTTCTGTTGAGACTGGATGTTGATTTATTACAGGATTATACACATGAATTCCATAAAACCAAAGCAAACTTTATGGCAATACGGGAAAGGGAGAATCTTATGGGATCAGTACGAAAAGATATTGAGTAAGTTACTTTTTATATTATTTTGTAGAATATTTATTCAGATTTGGCTTTAGGATATGTTCACGGTTAATTGCAAATTGAGTGGCAGAACCGTGGTTGAGATTTTAGGGTTTCCAATTCCCATTTCACTGTCTTTTTAACATTGCTGCTACAATGTCATCCTAATCTACTTTTCCATTTTTATCTCATGCTTCCTCTTACTTTATCATTGGCTCCTGCCAACCTTGACTTTCCTGTCTTAATTCAAAGTCCAGCTTAGGTGGTTCTTCATGGTTCTCTGATCTCTTACCTCCCACCCTAAGAATTATAATGTTACTTTTATGATCCTCTGCAGATGTGTCAAAGAAAAAAAAATTCTTTAATTGTAACATTATCAGTAACTGAAGCTCCCTATGTTTCTCTTCCTGATTATCACCTATCCCCTGGCCCTCTCCCTTGTCCCAACAGTTACATATTACAAACAGTAATATGTACAAACTCACTCATAGCCTTATGTTAAATTATTTAAGGACTCCCAACATTCTCATACTGATCTCAATCTATAATTTTAAATATTTGTTTTTTTCTTCTGTCCCTTCACCTCACCTTTAATGATCTATTCTAGCATTTCATAGCATTTTTGGAAATTTTTTTACAACTGAACACTACTGACAAAGTTAAGTCCCATGGGCGTCTCATTGAAGCTGAAGATGTTCCAATTTGGAGCCATCTAATGATACCTGTCATCATCTCATTTGTGATAAATTATGTGATACATTTTATAAACTATGATACACATTTATGGTAAACTGTATATTATGTGTACTCTCGAAAACACTTTCCTAGAGATCCTTTATTTTATTGTAACAGTAACAGTTTCAACAGTAAGATTGTTGTAATATTTTTAGTCCTTCAGGACATTTAAGTCTTTTGTTTAATTTCCATGTAGTCCATTTATATATATGTTTTGAGGAATGCATTGGGAACCCATATAGGGGATGGTCTTTAATGTATAGACACTGAGCCCCCCCATAATTTGTGGGAATCACTAGAATGCAACCCATTGTAATAACTTGCTTTTTGAAAAATGGCCATAAAAGATATGTTCATCTATTCATTAAACTGTCTCCTGAGTATCAACTCTGAGTTAGTCACAGCAGAAGGTAGAAATGAAAAGACCGGCCAGGCGTGGTGGCTCCCGCCTGTAATCCCAGCACTTTGGGAGGCTGAGGCAGGTGGATCACTTGGGGCCAGGAGTTCAAGACCAGCCTGGCCAACATGGTGAAACCCCGTCTCTACTAAAAATAAAAAAATTAGCTGGGCGTAGTTGTAGGCATCTGTAATCCCAGCCACTCGGGAGGCTGAGGCAGGAGAATTGGTTTAACCTGGGATGTGGAGGTTGCAGTGAGCTGTGATCGTGCCACTGCACTCTAGCCTGGGTGACAGAGCAAGACTCTGTCTAAAAAAAAAAAGAAAGGAAAAGACCAATGTGGTCCTGTAGGAGTTTAGAATCTAGGTGCTAGAGGAAAGTATATGTAGTAGTTTACACAGTATTTTTTAATGTATTATATTTTTTTGGCCTCATAGCAATCTTTTGGTTAAGATAGAAATGATCAGTCTCATTTTACAAAACTAGGTATTGAGACACTTGTCTGAGGTGAAGTGGCTATGAAATGATTCAGTATAGATTTAAATCCAAGTCATCAGTCTCCTGAGTCCAATGTGTTCTTGGTTATATTATTCTGCTTTCCTTGGTGGTGGTTTCTCCTGTAGCACTGCCTTTCAGCCAGTATTTCAGTTTTAACAGCATGTTGGCTGCAGTGAGCCAACATTGTGCCACTGCATGCCAGTCTGGGTAACAAAGTAAGACTCTGTCTCCAAAAAAAAAAAATTGTTCCTGATACTTTATTATTAGTGGAAAACAGAAAAATTAAATTTTTGATAGTAGTGATAAGAGTAATTTTTTTGTCAACTTCAATACACTGAAGACCAAAATGGTTATCCTTAAGTGTGCCAAAATGAGCAAATCTTTAGCTTGATTTCAGTGTTCCTTAGGCTTCAGTTGGTGGACCACATATATTATTGTGAAAGAAAACATTTCATTTCAACAGCTTTCCCACCCTGTGTGCTGTGTACTAAATCAGTCCTAAGTTTTACTTCTACTTGGAGAAAAATGAAGATATCAGAGATAGGAGGTAAAGGAAAAGTAAGATTGTTTTGGTTGTTTGTTTCAGAATGTTGAGTTATTTTGGTGAAAAACAGTAAACTGTTGGGCCTAAATTAGAGATGCAGAGGCATTAATATTTATCTACCTAAAATAGATAACATTTTTCAGAGGGAAATGCAAAGGATTATGTACTTTCATTGTTCATTCAAAACTCTGGAGAGGCTCAATTTTTCTACTTTCAAGATCACTAGGGTCAGTCAATCTGATTTTGTATTCTCTGCCAAAAATGTTTTTAAATTTTCTCTTTTGTCCCAGGTCATATAAAAGTGGGTCTGGAGTAAACAACAGAAGAACTGAGCTATTTTTGAAAGAACATGACCACCTTCGAAAGTAGGTATTGAATGTATGTGCATTATGTGGTTTTCCACGTTTATTAATTCATTTACTTATGTAACCAACATTTTATGATGTTTATTATACTGAGTGCCTTGTCCATGCTAATTCATTTTATTCTCCTAATGACTCTTTTCAATAGAAAAGGAATTGCAACTGTTCCAACCATAATTAGGAAAGATCCTATGCTGTTGAATATTTCACATCACTTAATTGTTACCTTAATATGGTTGTTATTTTTTTTTTTTTTTCTCTGAGATGGAGTCTCGCTCCGTCACCCAGGCTGGAGTGCAGTGACTCAATCTCAGCTCACTGCAGCCGCTTGCCTCCCGGGTTCAAGCGATTCTCCTGCCTCAGCCTCCCAAGTAGCTGGGACTACAGGCGTGTGCCACCATGCCTGGCTAATTTTTTTGTATTTTTGGTAAAGATGGAGTTTCGCCATGTAGCCAGGATGGTCTCCATCTCCTGACCTCGTGATCCACCCACCTTGGCCTCCCAAATTGCTGGGATTACAGGCGTGAGCCACCACCGCACCCGGCCAGTGCATGTGCTAATTCTCTACAGAGAGAGACTGAGACAGGATGAAACTGAATGGAATAAGAGCTCCTGATGAATTAGATGAGTCGTAGAGACTGAAAAGATGGGCTTCGTCATTGCCCTCAGTATGATAACACAAGCTTCTAAATACTTCTCTTAAATCAATTTTTTTTTGTAATTACAAATACTTGCTAGGTAATAAAATAACATTAAAATTATCAGTAAAATATGTTTACAAAATAATGTGAAAAACTTTAGTTTTTCAGTGTTTTTGTATTTCATTTGCCAAGTGCTTTGAGGAAGAAGTGGCAAGATTTTTTTGAAATAACTTTAAATAACAAAAGCTAAATGCCTTTCATAGTGCTCATTTTAGAAAGTATGGATAGTTCAACAACACAAAAAGAAAATTGAAATGACACATTACTACAAATTCTGTAATATTTTTTACTCTTCAGTAGATTGCAAGCTTTTTCCCATATAATTTGATTTTTTGTTTTTTTAAAATAAATGGTGCATATATTCCATAATAAAGATAAACCATAAATTATGTAACCATTTCCCTAATGTTGGCCTTTTGGGTTATGTTCTGTTTTTACTATTATACACAGTAAAGCCTTTGTGTGTATCCGTCATGATTTCCTCATTCTAAATTCCTAAATCAGAATTGCAGGATTAAAGAACACACTCATTTGCAAAGTTTTTCTATAATATTGGCAAATTTCCAAGTTTGATATTTTGCAGTAGGGTCGGACCTTTTATGGCTAGAACTATGTTTAAGCTTTTGCTTCTTCATAAATATTGTTTTTTAATGTTAATGTAATTTTTTACTTGCTCCAAAAGCACATATTTTTGCCTGGAAAAAGAGTAAATCAGTTTTTGTAAATGAATGCCATACTTAAACACACACACACACACACACACAACTTTGTAATGAATTGTTTTTACCAGCTCTCCTTAATACTCTTTTTATATAAAAATAAATGCTGTTAGGTTTTAGCAATTTATGTTATGGATGACAAATTTCTTTTGCTATATGGTGGATAAAGTAACTTTCGTTTTTGGCTTCTCTTTCCCTGAGTCTGTCAGTCAGAAGAAAATACTGACTTTGAATTAGTGTCAAGCTTGTAACTACTTGTTTTTTGCTGGACTGTTGATACATTCTCATAGGGTTTTTAGTTGCTATTTAGATAATTTCTCTTTCTTTATGTAATTGTTCTTTTTCACTACTCCCTGATATTTTTCTTCTTGAAAAAGTATCTAGTTAATTTTGTATAGTTCTTCTCCCCACCCCAAGAATTTCTGCCTTTATAATCTTTTCTTTCTTTTTTCTTTAAGACAGAGTCTCACTCTGTTGCCCAGGCTGGAGTGTCGCGGTGTGATCTCAGCTCACTGTGCCCTCTGCCTCCTGGGTTCCAGCGGTTCTCCTGCCTCAGCCTCCTAGGTAGCTGGGACTACAGGCACCTGCCACTACACCCAGCTAACTTTTGTATTTTTAGTAGAGATGGGGTTTCACTCTGTTGGCCAGGCTGGTCTTGAACTCCTAACTTCAAGAGATCCACCCACCTCAGCCTCTGAAAGTGCTGGGATTACAGGCGTGAGGCAATGTGCCCAGACTTTTTTTTTTTTTTGACTTGAGGGTCTCACTCTGTCACCCATTGTTTCTCTCTTTGTATTTATTTTATACAAGATATATGGCTTTTTCTGGCCAACATGGTGAAAACCCATCTCTACTAAAAATACAAAAATTAGCCGGGTATGGTGGTGGGCACCTGTAATCCCAACTACTTGGGAGGCTGAGGCAGGAGAATTGCTTGAACCCGGGAGGCGGAGGTTGCAGTGAGCCAAGATCACGCTACTGCACTTCAGCCTGTGTGACAGAGCGAGACTCCGGCTCAAAAAAAAAAAAAAAAAAAAGACATGGCTGATTATATTCTTGCTGTCTTTATAGATGGAGAATTAAGGAGTAGAGACAGACAGACTATATTACCTCAAACATTGAAATGCCATAATTTATCCAGAATCATACATTCATTACTTGACCAGGCATATGATGCTTTTTCTCTAGAAGCATTTTGTCATTTTGAATAAAATACGTCTTCTGTATTTACCTTAATGAAGTTGACAACTTTCAGAGGTTTTCAGTGGTGAAGATAAACTTGAATAAGGAGATAACTTACACAAGCAGAAAAAGCCTCATCTCTTCTGGATTCCTTTAATGCCAGTGGTCATCACCAGGTGTAGATCAGTCACCTTTTACCCAGGCTGGGACCACCACCTTCTCATCTACAGGTGTGTCACCTTAGCAATCTTCTGCATCTCACTGTCAGCCAACACATTTTCTCCTTCCAAGCCTCTGCAGTCTCATGAGTTTGTCTGTATTTTTCTTCTTATAACCTACCTTGCTACCTTAGCCAGCCTGGATCTCATAGGAGATTAACTGAAATACTCCCAACATTGGGCCTTTCCTGTGCCCCTGTCTTCCTGCTGTACCCTGGCAAAATGCCAGCCCAATCCAGTCTGTTGTTCTACTTCTGTATGAGAGGGCTAAAGAAAAAGCAACTAGTCATACAGATTAACTCTGTTTTAAATTAACTATTAAATATTTTCAACCTCATCTGAGTACTCTGCCTTGCCTGATGCCTTTTGCTTGCCTAGCCCTGTTTAGTTCTCATTCTCTTCAAGAACTTTACCAAATCTTCTCCTTCCCCCTCTTGACCTTCCTGTCTCTTCACCTGATACAGAGGTTCTTAGCTTCCACTTCATTGAGATTTTTAAGGTTTTGATCTTTTCTATAAATTGACCTATAGGAGTATCCCTCTTTACCCCTTTCCTATAGTTGTTAAGGGATGGAATATTTGTCCTGAGAAGGCCAATACGTGCATTGGACACTTGTCTCTATCCCCATTTGCTGTGTAAGTATTTGACTCTTCAGCCATCCGGTACACTGTCTCTGGTTTACACCTGCTGTCTCTGTGTCAGCACTCATTCCCGCTTTAGCCCATTGACTTCTTCCCTCACAACACTACTGAACTTGCTGTCAATAGGCACATCAGTGATCTCCTGCATGCCAAGTCTCATGGACATTTTTCTTCATGTTGTTTGGCTGCTGCTCTGCCTGACTTGATATCATAGTCTCCTTTCCTTGAAACCCTAGGCTACTGTGGCACTACACTTTACTGATTCTCCACATACCTTTCTTACTTCTCTTTTGTTTTTTTCCTGAGTCCCTCCAGATGTGGCCTAGGAATCCTTTTAAACACAGTGTTCCAGGCAGAAATTAGTTGGAGTTAGTTCACAAGATGCAATTTATTTGCCATCCACCCTTGCATTTCAGCTCCATTATTTGTCCTTGACATGCTTGTCTATAAAAACACTTTCTCCTTCCCAGAGATGGCAGCTAACAATACCTAGCAAAGAGAAATGGGAATTTCATTCACAATGTCATAGGGAAAGCAATTGGTAAAATTATTTTACTGCCAAGGATAATAAGATTAGAGAGTTGAAGAAAGAGGCATGAATTCTGAAATTGTATAGAACCATCTAAAAGGTAAAGCTGAGGAGTTTTATCCATACTTAACAGGCTGTGACTGTTTTCATAGAAGTACTCTCTGATTTATGGGCATGTCATTGATTACAACTAGAATTGCAGATTGTGCACATTAAACACATCAGCTTAAAAATCCTTGACATTTTAAAAATACCTTTGGCAGAGTTTTAGAGTAGTCATGATATTTAAAATATTATCCTAATTTGTTGGTTTCCTAGAGTATATTTTCATTTAATCATATGTATGATAAGAACATACAGACTTCTTGCTGGGGGCATTGGCTCATGCCTGTAAAGCCTGTAATCTCCGCTACTCAGGAGGCTGAGTTGGGAGGATTGCTTGAGGCCAAGACTTTGAGATTGGTCTGGGCAACATAGCAAGACTCTGTCTCTGAAATAATAATAATAATAAAAATACTAAGTATATTTCTTGGTTTCTAGGGTTAATTTTTTTTCATCTTCCTCTCATTAATTTACCACTTTTATCTGACTAAGATACCTTAAGTTTCTTTATTCCTTGGATTGGTAGTATAGTGAAATGATTAGGGCAGGGCTTTGAAGCCAGAGAGTCCTGGGTTCAAATCCTGGTGTGGACTCTATCTTTTTGGGGTAAGAACCTTTAAATTCTCTGACTTTCCAGTGTCTTTTAAATGGGTGAAATAACCCTTACTTTATGGAATGTTGCAAAGATGAGAGAGGATGTATGTAAAATGTTAACCTATTACAGAGCTTGATATGGAGTAGACGAATTCTAAAATTACATTGAGCCATTTTGCCTATAGTGGTGTTAGAATAGAAAAGTATACTCATACATTAGAATTGTGCACCTAGAGCTAAGTGATTCCAGCCCTGTGGAACCCGTCAATGCCAGAATGGCATGTAGGACTAGATAGATGAATGTCACCTGACCCTGATTGTCTATTAAAACTCAATGTATGGCCAGATGCAGTGGCTCACGCCTGTAATTCCCGCGCTTTAGGAGGCCGAGGCAGGAGGATCACTTGAAGTCAGGAGTTCAAGACCACCTGGCCAACATGGTGAAACCCCATCTCTACCAAAAATACAAAAATAAGCCAGGTGTGGTGGCAGGCGCCTATAATCCCAGCTACACAGGAGGCTGAGGCAGGAGAATTGCTTGAACCTGGCAGGCAGAAGTTGCAGTGAGCTGAGATCGCGTTACTCCATGCCAGCATGGGTGACAGAGCAATACTCCATCTCCAAAAAAAAAAAAAAAATCAATTTATTTTTAAATTACTCTTATTAGTCATTAGTCTTATTATATATCAGTATAATGAACATTTTATTTATTCAAATCCTTTTTTTTTTTAGATGGAGATAATAAAATTTCAGTTGCATTCCACCTGTTTCTTCATGTGCATATCCGGATGCACATATAATTTGTTGGTACCAGTTTTGGTTGTTTTAACGAGCATTTGTTGAGCATCTATGATGTGGAAAGTATTGTGCTGGGTGCTGGAGATAGAGAAGTTGAGTAAAGCATAGTGGCATCATCCCTGTCCTCAGTGAGCTCAGCCAGGTGGGGTGGGGAGCAGAAAAGAAATGTGAATCGGTAGTTCCAGTGCAAAGTAATAAGTGCTTTATTATGATATGCAAAGGTTTGTGCGTACCCTAGAGGAGCACATGAAAGGGAGTCATTACTCTGCTGAAGCTTCTGAAAGGGCTTTAGAGAAGTCGAACATCTGATCTGGTTCTTGAGGAATGAGTAGGTGTTCTCCAAGTAGAGATAGAAAAAGATTGAAAAGTTGAAACTCAGACCTCATGACCATGCCTTTGTCTTCTCTTCTTAAATCCGTATCATTCCTCATACATTATTAAATGGATCTATTTTGAAACGTCACGCATTTACTCATAGTCCAAACCCTCTCCCAGGTTATAGGTCTCACTCTGGCACCTGAAGAGGACACACTGGGCAAAAGAAAGTGAGCAGTGGGGGGGCTCTGAGTGTCACCGGGGTCAGCCGAGGCTGCCATTCTTTTTCCTCATAAATCAGATTTACTGAGGTAGAATTTACTTACAGTAAAAATGTATCCATTTTAAGTTTACAGTTTGGTACGTTTTAACAAATATATAGACTCTTTTAACCGCCACCACAGTAAGACAGAGAACATTTCTATCACCCCAAAAAAGTTCCTTATGCCCCTTTTGAGTCAGTCCCCGTCCCTCAGTCCCGGGCAGCTGCTTACTGGCTTTCTATCACTATAGATTAGTTTTACCTTTTCCAGAATTTTATACAAATGAATTCATACAGTCTGCACTTATTTCACCTAGCATAGTGTTTCTAAGACTTATTCTTTTTCTTAAATGTCAGTAATTGATTTCTTTCAATAGCGGAATAACTTCCATTGTATGATATACCACGATTTCTTTATCCATTCAACCATTGTTGCACAGTTGGGTTATTTTCAGTTTTTGGCTATTAAAAACAAAATTATTATGAACATTCATAAACAAAACTTTGTGTGGTCACATGTTCTCATTCCTCTTTTTTTTTTTTTTTTTGAGACGGAGTCTCATTCTGTTACCCAGGCTGGAGTGCAGTGGCGCAATCTTGGCTCACTGCAACCTCCACCTCCTGGGTTCATGACATTCTCCTGCCTCAGCCTCCCAAGTAGCTGGAACTACAGGCGCATGCCACCACGCCCAGCTAATTTTTTGTATTTTTAGTAGAGACGGGGTTTCACGGTGTTAGCCAGGATGGTCTTGATCTCCTGACCTCGTGATCCACCCGCCTTGGCCTCCCAAAGTGCTGGGATTACAGGCGTGAGCCACTGTACCCTGCCGTTCTCATTTCTCTTGAGTAAATACTTGGAGTTGTATTGTTGAGTTGTATGGTAAGGATGTGTTCCAATTTATAAGAAAGTGTCAAACTTTTCCAAAGTGGTTATACCATTTTTGCATTCCTGTCAGTGGTGTGTGGGAGTTCAAATTGCTTTAAGCCCTTGCCAACACGCCTTTCTATTGTAACCATTTTAGTAGAAGTGTAATGGTTTTTATTGTGGTTTTGATTTGTATTTCTCTAAGGACTGGTGATGTTAAGCCTTCCTTCAAGTGCTTATTAACCATTCACGTATCTTCTTTTTTATTATTCACAACTCACAGGTTATTGTGACATTTGTATATCTTCTTTAGTAAGGGGGTCTGTTCAAGTCTTTTTGCCTTTTGTTGTGGGCTTTTTTCTATTGTGTTATAAGGGTTCTTTGTGTACTCTGGATGTAAGTCCTTTGTCAGATAAAGGTTTTGCAAGTATTTTCTCTGAGCCTGTGACTTCCTTTTCTTTTCATCTGGTGACTTTCAAAAGAGCCGAGGTTTTTAATTTTGATGAAATCTGGTTGATCAGTTTTTTCTTTCTGATTCATGTATTTTGGTCCTATTTAAGAAATCTTGGCTATCCTAAGGTTACAGATTTTTTTCTTTTGTTTTCTTTCAGGAGTTTTAGTTTTAGCTTTTTTGTTTGTTTGTTTGTTTTTAAACCTGCAGCCAACATCATACAGTTTTAGCTTTAACATTAGGTTTATAATCCACTTTGGCTTCACTTTTGTGTGTGGTGTAAGTTAAGGGTCAGGATTCATTTTTTTTTAAACACATGTATATTCCATTGTTTCAGTACCATTTGTTGAAAAGACTCTTTTCCTCTGTTTAATCTTTTCAAAGATGTTGACATCTTTCTAGAGAATTAATTGGACACTTGCTAGTTTATTTCTGAACTTTGTTCTGTTCTGTTGACCTACAGATCCATCCTTAGGCTAGTTGTACTCTGGTTACTGTAGCTTCATAATAAGTTTTGAAATGAGGTAGTGTATAAGTCTCCTAACTTTATCATGTATCTTCAAAGTTATTTTGACTCCTCTGGGTCCTATGCACTTCCATATAAATTTTAATATCACATTGTTTAAAAGCCTGCTGAAATTTCAAATAAGATTATATTGAATCTAGAGATCCATTTGGAGAGAATTGACATCTTAACAACTGTAAATCTTCCAATCCAGGAACAAGGTCTTATATGAAAATATACAAAGAACTCTTTTTTTTTTTTTTTTTGAGACGGAGTCTCGCTCTGTCGCCCAGGCTGGAGTGCAGTGGCGGGATCTCGGCTCACTGCAAGCTCCGCCTCCCGGGTTCACGCCATTCTCCTGCCTCAGCCTCCCAAGTAGCTGGGACTACAGGCGCCTGCCACGACGCCCGGCTAATTTTTTGTATTTTTAGTAGAGACGGGGTTTCACCGTTTTAGCCGGGATGGTCTCGATCTCCTGACCTCGTGATCCGCCCGCCTCGGCCTCCCAAAGTGCTGGGATTACAGGCGTGAGCCACCGCGCCCGGCCACAAAGAACTCTTAAAATTCAACAATTTTAAAGTGGAAAAAAGATCTGAACAGCCATCTTAACCAAGGAAGATATACAGATGATAAATTAAGCATGTGAAAAGATACTTAATGTAATTAAGTATCATTAGGGTACTGCAAAGTAAAACAACAGTAAGATACCACTGCACAACTGTTAGAATGGCTAAAATCCAAAACACTGACAACATTAGAAGGAACACTGAAGGAAGTGGAGTAACAGGAACTCTCACTCATTGCTGGTGTGAATGCAAAATGGTACAGCGACATTGGAAGACACTTACGCAGTTTTGTTTTCTTTTTCTTTTTTTTTTTTCCGAGACAGAGTCTAGCTGTGTCACCCAGGCTGGAGTGCAGTGGCGCGATCTCGGCTCACTGCATCCTCCGCCTCCCGGGTTTAAGCAGTTTTCTGCCTCAGCCTCCCAAGTAGCTGGGATTACAGGTGCGTGCCACCACACCCGGCTAATTTTTGTATTTTTAGTAGAGATGGGGTTTCACCATCTTGGCCAGGCTGGTCTTGAACTCCTGACCTCGTGATCCACCCGCCTTGGCCTCCCAAAGTTCTGGGATTATAGGCATGAGCCACCATGCCGAGCCTGGCAGTTTTCTTAAAAAGCTAAATATGGTCTTACCATACATTCTAGCAGTCATGCTCCTAGTGATTTACCTAAATGAGTTGAAAACTTACATTTACACAAAAACCTGTGCATGAATGTTTTACAGCAGCTTTATTCATAATTGCCAAAAAGTTGGAAGCAGTCAAGATGTCCTTAAATAAGTGAATGGATAAACAAATGGTGGTACATCCATGCAATGGAATATTATTCAGTCATACAAAGTAATAAGCCTTTAAGCCTGGAAAAGACATGGGGGAACTTTAAATGCATAAAAGCAGCCAGTCTGTGAAGGCTACATACTGTATAATTTTAACTATATAACATTTTGGACAAAGAAAACTATAGAGACAGTAAAAAGATCAGCAATTCTCAGGGGTTGAGGATGGGAAATGGAGGAAGAATGAATAGGTGAAGCACAGGATACTTAGGGCAGTAAAACTCTTCTGTATGATACTGCAAGGATGGATCCATGACAAAACCCCTACCACCGTGCAATGCAAAGAGTCAACTCTAAAGCATGGTGTTTAGTTAGTAATTTATCAGTACTGGGTGATCAGTTGTAACACATGTGGCACACTAAGGCAAGAGGTAATCACAGGTGGAGGAGAACGGGTGTATAGTGTGTACTTTCTACTGAATATTTCTATATGTCTAAAATTGTTCTAGCAATAATTCTATTCATTTTTTAAAAAGGAAAAAGTGATTTTCTAGGATCTCACTGCTAATGACTCAGCTTTTATTTTTTTATTTTCTCCTTGAACTGAGCAGGAATCTGTCAGGTGCTTCACTTTCTGTCTCCCGGTAACTTGCTGTGATTATGAAAATGTTTGTGCTAAACAACCCATGAACAAAGCAAATAAAGATATTCCTTCATCTACCCAGACTGAAAGGAATTATGCCACCATATCAGTGTTAATGGAAGAGAGGTTACAGCTGGTTTCCACTTTCATCTTTGTTTTCCTGTATTTTCCAAATGTGCTCTGTAAAATAAAAAGCTCTTAGCACTAAAACAGTATATATGTATTCTACTGCAGCTTAATTGTATTCAGTTAACATAATTGAAGAGATTAAATAAGAAATGTAGAAATAAGTAAGACGTAGATCTTAAGGATCTCTCTGGTTAACTGTAAGTGAAAGACTATCTCACCACAATGCTTAATGTAAATGGTCTGATTGGTTAGTGACAACCTCATCAATTATTGCAGCATGCAAAGGGATTGATTTTTAAATTTTTATTTATTATTCATTATTTAGTATGTACTTGCTTGTTTGCTTTCTTATTTAGTTGCTTATTTATTTGCTTATTACTTTCCTACCATTTTAAAAGAGGAAGAAGATACTATCTAAGTGATTTTGCCAAGTTCTTACATTTTGTTGGTTTATATTGCTTTAAAATACATGCTTGAAATCACATGTTTGCTCTTGAAATGTGTGCCTTTTGTAGTGTGTGTGTTGGGGGAAATAAGTTATTTTTTAAAAAGAGAATTATTTAAATATGGCTTTAGTGATTCCTCAGCACGATAACTGGTGATGAAATGTAGCTTATTGTTTTCAGCTAGTTTAAATTGGTCTTGAGACAAATGGAAATTTGTTTCTTAATTACAGGCTCTAGATGACTTTATAGAACATCTCTGGGCTATTATCAAGTACTTGCTTAAAAAGGACAATTCCACTTGAATTATATATTTTATACCCCAAAGGAAAATAAGTTTAAATTTAATTTTAACCAGATGATGCCATCTGCATGGAGTCACTCTGTTGTCGTGTCCACACGTCCAGGATATGTTTAATGAATGGTGTTTGTTTACTTTATTTGGTCTTAGCCAAATGAGTAAAGACCTGGAGACTGGGCAATTTGAGAAGACATTTAGGAATCCCTGGCTTTTCTCTGTTGATGCCACCATATAAGCTAAGGATGACAGTGGGTAGGGAATGTGTGTGGAATTCCTGTGTGATTCACTGTAACTGTGGTGTGCTAAATGCATGGTTAAGCTAGTGTCAGCATCGTCTTCCTGTAAGTTAAAGATCCCTTCTGTGAGCAGGACTCCTGCGTACTCATGTATATTTTGAAATATGCTTTACAGGATATTTTAGGACTTAATAAAAGATGACTGATGTGTAAGGGGACTTAAAAGGAAGAAAAACCCCTTCTTCTGTAGGGTAGCATATTTGGGATTATAATTTTCATTTTCTTTAGGTTGGTTTCATTTAACTTTTTTTTTTTTTTTTTTGAGTCAGGGTCGTGCTCTGTCGCCCAGGCTGGAGTGCAATGGCACGATCTCGGCTCACTGCAACTTCCGCCTCCCGGGTTCAAGGAATTCTCCTGCCTCGGCCTCCCGAGTAGCTGGGATTACAGGCGCCCGCCACCACGCCCGTCTAATTTTTGTATTTTTAGTAGGGACAAGGTTTCACTATGTTGGCTAGGCTGGTCTCGAGCTCCTGACCTCAGGTGATCCACCTGCCTCAACCTCGCAAAGTGCTGGAATTACAGGTGTGAGCCACCACACCTGGCCAGTTGGTTTCATTTTCAAGTGAATCCAGCAAACACTCTTTTCTTTGACTTGTAGTTCCAGTATTGCTGTAAAATTACTGTAATTTGAGGATAGTTGTCAATCTCAAATATATAAAATGACCAATTTCAGTGACCATTTATCCTTTTACGAAAACCTATTCTATGAAAATCCAATTTTGTGCAAAAAGTGGGAAATAAGTGGGGGGCGTAAGTGTTTGCTTTATGAGACTTTATTTGATTCATGTAAATAGAAAATGGTTTCATTACATGTAAAATGTGATTTAAATTGGTCAAAATGTCATTTTCGGAAAGTATACCTAAGATGTATGTACTCATTACGTAATGAGTACTAAAATTGGGTCTCATTACACAGAACAAGGATTCTATCTGTGTGCCACAAACAACTTCAAAGAATTTTCTTTATATGTAATGACACAGAAAGTTGTTCCTTAGCGTCCATTTCAACTCCAGTTCCTCAGGAACATTGAATACAAATTATAATGAGTTTATTTTCCAACTAAAGTGTAGTAGTTAGGCTAGTTTATTAGCTAGTTTAGTTCTGACCTCTATGGTTGAGAACAGATACAAGAGAATTATAGAAAGCAGATAGTGGAAATGATAAAGTGTACCTGGCTGGCTTTCTGACGATTTGTGTGAAGTGCTTGGCTTTGTAATTTTATATTTCTTTCTAGGCTGATACATTGAGTTTATTTAGTTAGAAGTGTATTTCCACAGACTGATTATCTGTTTTTTTAAATGCTTCTTCACAGTTGTATACCACTTAAGGTATGTAGCTTTGTAGCCAATCTAAATTGGAATTGGGTTTTTGTTATTGTCGTTTGGTACATTGGTCACTTTATAAATGTTTAACTTTTTGTTTTGAGTTAATTATAGATTTGCATGCAGTTTTAAGAAATAATAGAGAGAGGCCGGGTGTGGTGGCTTATGCCTGTGATTCCAGTTACTTGGGAGGCTGAGGCAGGAGGATTGCTTGAAGCCCAGAGTTCAAAGATGTAGTGAGCTGTGATGGTGCCACAGCACTCCAGCCTGGGTGACAGTGAGACCCCAGCTCTACAAAGAAAAAAAATAATAATACAAAGAAATCTCATGTACAGGCCTACCAAATTTTGTGTTTTGCTTTATTGCACTTTACAGATACTATTTTTTACAAACTGAAGGTTGGTGGCAACCCTGTGTCGAGGAAGTCTTGCAGTGCCGTTTTTCTAACAGCATATGCTCACTTCGTGTCTCTGTGTTACATTTCGGTAACAGTATTTTAGATGTTTTCATTATTATCATATCTGTTATAGCGATCAGTGATCTTTGATGTTACTCTTGTAATTGCTTACAACCTCACTGATAGAAGAGGGTGAACTTAATAAATGTTGTGTATGTGTGGGGGTTTTTTTGTTTTGTTTTGAGACAGGGTCTTTCTCAGTTGCCCCCAGGCTGGAGTGCAGTGGCATGATCCCAGCCCACTGCAACCTCCACCTTGTGGGCTCAAGCAATCCTTCTACCTCAGCCTCCTGAGTAGATGGGACTACAGGTGCACACCACTGTACTCGGATATCTTAAAATTGTTTGTATAGACAAGGTCTCATTATATTGGCCAAGCTAGTCTCAAACACCTGGGGACTCAAGTAATCCTCCCACCTCGGCCTCCCAAAGTGCTAGGATTACAGGCATGAGCCACCGTGCCCGGCCAGTTGTGTGTGTTCTGACTGTGTCATCCACCATCCATTCCCAACTCACTCCTCCTCAGGCCCCTCTCTATTACCTGACACAGAACAGTATTGAAATTAGGCTAATTAATGACTTTGCAGTGGCTTGTAAATATTCAAGTGAAAGGAAGAGTTGCACAACTCTTTCAATCAGAAGGCAGAAACCACTACCTTTAGTGAAGAAAGCATACCGAAAGCCAATCTAAGCTGAAAACTAGGCCTCTTGTGCCCGTTAGCCAAGTTGTGAAAGCAAAGGAAAAGTTCTTGAAGGAAATTAAAAGTGCCACTCCAGTGAATACACAAATGATAAGAAAGCAAAACAACCCTATTGCTGATATGGAGAAAATTTTAATGGTCTGGTTAGAAGATCAAACCACCCACAACATTCCCTTAGCCTAAGCCTAATCCAGAGCAAGGCTCTCTTCAGCTTTATGAAGGTTGAGAGAGGTGAGGAAGCTGCTGAAGAAAGGTTTGAAATTAACAGAGGTTGGTTCATGGGGTTTAAGGAAAGAAGCCATCTCTATAATATAGAAGTGCAAGGTTGAAGCAGGAAGTGCTGGTGTAGAAGCTGCAGCAAGTTACCCAGAAGATCTAGCTAAGATCATTGATAAAGGTGGCTCCACTAAGCAACAGATGTTTAGTGTAGAATAAACAGCCTTTTGTTAGAAGAAGATGCCATTTAGGACTTTCCTCCTAGAGACGAGAAGTCAGTGCCTGGCTTCAAAGCTTCAAAGGACAGCTGACTGTCTTTTTAGGTGCTGATACAGCTGGTGACTTTAAATTGAAGCCATTGTGTATTTACCATTCCAGAAATTCTAGAGCCCTTAACAGTTATGCTCAATCTACCCTGCCTGTGCTCTCTAAATTGAATAACAAAGCCTGGAAGACAGCACATCTGTTTACCACATGGTTTGCTGAATATTTTAAGCCCACTCTGGAGACCTACTGCTCAGAAAAAAAAGAATTATTTCAAAATATTACTACTCTTTGACAGTGCACCTCTGATGGAGATGTACAAGGAGAGGAGTGCTGTTTTCATGCCAGCCGACACAGCATTCATTCTGAAGCCTGTGGTTCAAGGAGTGATTTTGACTTTTAAGTCTTATTATTTAAGAAATACATTTTGCAAGGCTAAAGCTGCCATAGATAGTTATTCTTCTGATGGATCTGTGCAAAGTAAATTGAAAGCCTTCTGGAAAGGAGTCCCCATTCTAGATGCCATTAAGAACATTCATGAGGAGGTCAAAATATCAACATTAACAGGAATTTGGAAGAAATTGATTTCAACCGTCATGAATAACTTTGAGGGGTTCAAGCCTTCAGTGGAGAAAATAACTGCGGATGTGGCAGAACTAGCAAGAGAACTAGAATTAGAAGTGGAGCCTGAGCTGGGTGTGGTGGCTCATGCCTGTAATCCTGTAATCCCAGCGCTTTGGAAAGCCAAGAGGAGCGGATCACCCGAGGTGAGGAGTTTGAGACCAGCCTGGCCAACATAGTGAAACCCCAACTCTACTAAAAATACAAAAATTAGCTGGGTGTGGTGGTACACACTTGTAATCCCCGCTACTCGGGAGGTTGAGGCAGAAGAATCACTTGAACCCAGGAGGCGAAGGCTGCAGTGAGCCAAGATTGTGCCATTGCACTCCAGCCAGGGCGACACAGCAAGACTCTGTCTCAAAAAAAAAAAAAAAAAAAAAGTTAGAAAGCGGAGCCTGAAGATGTGACTGAATTGTGCGGCAATCTTATCTCATGATAAAACGTAAACAGGTGAGGAGTTGATTTTAACAGATAAGCAAAAGAAGTGGTTTCTTGAGATGGATTCTACTGGTGAAGACGCTGTAAACATTGTTGAAATGACAACAAAGGATTCAGAAGAGTGTAGAAACTTAGTTGATAAAGCAGCAGAGGGGTTTGAGAGGACTGACTCCAATTTTGAAACAAGCTCTACTGGGGGCAAAATGCTACCAAACAGCATCTTATGGTACAGAGAAATCTCTCAAGGCCCCAGTTTTTCCTAAGTGAAGAGAATTTTAGAATCAATCTCATAGATTTGTTGGGAGGATGAAGTTATGTTTTAACTTGTTTAGTAAGACATTTAGGATAGGACGTGGCTCATAGTAAGCTCTCTGTGAGTATTAGCTATCATTATTCTTAACAAAATTAGTAAATTAATAGATTGTTTGCTCTTTTTTACTTTATTTAGTAGTTTATTTCATTTATTTTATCTTCATTAAGGCTGTTGGCACAAAACTAGTTTGTTGATTTGGGCAATATAAATCTTTATGTTCATATTATACTTCCTAGATTTTGGAATATCTTATGTTTATGCTCTTTAATGTGCTAAGTGGCCCTGATGAAGACAGTCAGCCAAACCATTATATTGAAGAAGGAGGTATTAACCCAAGTTAACCCCCTTTTTTGTGACCTTGTGGCCACTTCACCAGATGCCTTTTGGCATGTGTCTTGTCTATCTCCATTGTAAGATCTTGGCAGGTTAGTGCCATATCTTTGTAGCCACTTTCTGACCCAGTGCCCTTCAGGGGTGCTTCTATACATGTTTGTTAGAAGAGTAAGTGCATAGTTAATAATCATAGATTTCATCAGAATAGTGAGTTTATCTGGAAATTTATATCAATTTTCTGCTTAGATTTACAATGTGTAGTTATTGAGAAACTAATAGCAAAAAATACTTGACACTTACTGTGTGCCAGGTACTGATCCAATCACTATACAAACCCCTTTATTTGAACAAGTAGGTTTTATTATCCTTGCTAGTCTACAGATGAGAAAACTGGGGCATGGAGAAACTTGCCCTGTGTCAAATAACTAATAAGTGGTAGATTCAGCATTTAAATAGCCACAGTCTGTCTTTCACTACCGTCTTTGTAATTTTTGAAATTTTTAATAACAGGATTTATATATGGTATTTATGACTTTTTTTTTTTCCTGAGACGGAGTCTAGCTTGTCGCCCAGGCTGGAGTGCAGTGGCGCAATCTCGGCTCACTGCAACCTCCACCTCCTGGGTTCAAGCGATTCTCCTGCCTCAGCCTCCCGAGTAGCTGGGATTACAGGTGCCCGCCACCATGCCCAGCTAATTTTTGTATTTTTTAGAAGAGATGGGGTTTCACTGTGTTGGGCAGGCTGGTCAAGGACTCCTGACCTCATGATCCACCTGCCTTGGCCTCCCAAAGTGCTGGGATTACAGGTGTGAGCCACCGTGCCCAGCTAAATTTTGTATTTTTTAGTAGAGATGGGGTTTCACTGTATTGGCCAGGCTGGTCAAGAACTTCTGACCTCATGATCCACCTGCCTTGGCCTCCCAAAGTGCTGGGATTACAGGCATGAGCCACAGCACCCGGCCGGTATTTATGACTTTTTAAAGCTCATTTGTTCCCTAATATATGCAGTAACTTAGATTACCTAGTCCACTAATTTATAATGAAACCTTGACTTCGTAGCATGAACTTAGAAATTCTTTTGGAAATAAGTAGTTGGAAAAATACATGCAGATATTTATTTGAGTGCCTACTGTGTACTTTATGCCAAGTGGATACAGATGTCTAGAAGTTTGTTTTCCTACTTCTGCTGTAAAGATGGCCCTTTTCCAAACTTTACCTATTCATTTCTCCCTAAAATGGCTTTGTTTGTTTCTTTCTTTCCAGTGTGTGCTGCATAAAGGCAGACAATTTACAGATAAAAGGTGTATTTGGTTTCTTAAGATTCTTGAATTCTAAAGTTTAGTAAGCTGAAATTTTAGTTAAAAAAAAGCCTGTTTCCCAAAAAAGAAATAAACATTAAGATGTAAATATTTACTACTTATAGACATCAGAATTATATTTGCCTATCCTGTCTCAACAAGTTGGTTCTGATTCTTAAGTTCTGAATAGATGATAGTGACAACTTTGAGCTATTTAAAGAGAAAGTTCATTTCTTTATGCTGTCATTAAAACTGTTCTGACTCTAATTGTCAGGTATCTCTGTGGAAAAAATAGATTTAAGCTAACGAAAGTGAGATAGAAATTATTTGTTTGGAGTTTTTTTGAGACAGAGTCTTGCTCTATGGCCCAGGCTGGAGTGCAGTGGCATGATGATTTCGGCTCACTGCAACCTATGCCTCCCGGGTTCAAGCAGTTCTCGTGCCTCAGCCTGCCGAGTAGCTGGGACTACAGGCACACATTAGCATACCCAGCTAATGTTTGTATTTTTGGTAGAGACAGAGTTTCGCCATGTTGGCCAGGCTGGTCTCGAACTCCTGGCCTCAAGTGATCTGCCTGCATTGGCCTCCCAAAGTGCTGGGATTACCGGCGTGAGCCACCGTGCCTGGTCGTAAGATGGAAATTATATATATTGTATGCGAATGAAATTAAATTTATTTCGAAGTCCAGGCCAGCCACAGTGGCTCACATCTGTAATCTCAGAGCTTTGGGAGGCCGAGGTGGGCAGATTACCTGAGGTCAGGAGTTCAAGACCACCCTGGCCAACATGGCGAAACCTCATCTCTAGTGAAAATACAAAAATTAGCCAGGCATGGTGGCGGGTGCATGTATTCGCAGCTATTTGGGAAGCTGAGGCAGGAGAATAGCTTGAACCTAGGAGGCGGCAGCTGCAGTGAGTTGAGATTACACTACTGCACTCCAGCCCAGGTGACAGAGCGAGACTCTGTCTTAAAAAAGAAAAAAATTAGAGTCCAGAATTTTCTCCAGATGCTTTGAAAAAGCTAGACATTCTGTATACATAAATGACTAAAAAGTTTATAGATGTAGAAAAATTAATACAGGTTTTACATGTGCATTTAGTAAATTCAGAATTTGAATTTTTCTTTTTATTTGCAGCTCAGATCGTCTGATAGAAGAGACAATAAGGTAGGAATAAGTTTTTGTTTTGCTTTGTTGGTTTTTGTTTGTTTGCACGTAAATTTAATGAACAGTGTTACAGCTGTTTTAGAATTAAAGAAAAAACATTTTAATGAACAGATCAAAGTTCGTTTATCCTCCTTAAAGATGAAATTTTTACTATGTCCTTTCCTTACAAGAGACGTTTGACACCCAAAGTAACATTTCCATAGTTACTTTAATTAAGCTGTTTTACTTAGGTTAATTTTTCCAATTAATTTATACTTAATATTTTCAATCTCAGTCTTTTTATTCCCACTTTTTAAAGCAAAGTGATTTAAAGCATAATTTGATAAATAACTTTATGCCATTCATATAGACTTTGCTGTTATAGCACCTGCAGAAAATCTACTGCAGTAATAGTTCATAGTATCTGTAATAACATTGAACTAGTTTCTTGCTTAAGTTAAGGGACATTTATTTCTTGTTTTGAACTGCTTAGCTTTCTAGGTTTGATGAATTTTAAAGTATCTATTTTATGACAGTAAAAAAGTACATTAACTAGGTCTCTGTGCTCTAGAATTCACCAATGTGTAAAGCATTGGTTTTCAGGAAAGGTAAATCAAAGTACATGACAATAACAAACATTTGTATTTTTTTTTTTTTTTAGATGGAGTTTCACTCTTGTTGCCCAGGCTAGAGTGCAGTGGTGCCATCTTGGCTCACTGCAACCTCCGCCTCCTGGGTTCAAGTGATTCTCCTGCCTCAGGCTCCTGAGTAGCTGGGATTTCAGGTGTGTCCCACCATGCCTGGCTAATTTTTTGTAATTTTAGTAGTGACAGGGTTTCATCATGTTGGCCAGTCTGGTCCCGAACTCCTGACCTCAGGTGATCTGTCCACCTTGGCCTCCTAAAGTGCAGAGATTACAGGTGTGAGCCACTGCGCCCAGCCACATTTGTATTCTTACCATGGATATTGGACCTGTGCTAAAAGTACTTTGCATGCATTATTTTATTTGATTTTCTCAATAACCCATTAGATAGACACAAATCATTAGGAACTATCTCCAAAACAAAAAAGAAATTAAGTAATTTGCCTGTGGTCACATGACTAGTAAATAGTATTAAGGATTCAGATCCTGATTCAGTCTTAGTCCAACTCTAGAAACAGAGCTCTATTTAAACCACTGCTATATTTACCACATTGCAGAAAGAATACAAGGTTTTGGGTCTGATTTGGTTTGGAACCTGCCTGTGCTGTTTATTAGATCTTAGATTTCTGTTCTTTAGATAATTAACTTCTTGGAACTTTCATTTTCTTATCTGTTTAAAAATATAGTATTGATGATAATACTTATCTGTAAGACTGTTAAGGATAATGTGAGGAAAATGCCTGATCTAATACTAGGTAATCTGTAAATGGTAGCTATATTATTAATACCAATCCTTTCTTTTTTAGCTTTTTATTTGGATATCATTTCAGATTTCAGAAAAATTTCAGTAGTGAAAAGAAGTCCTATATACCCTTTACCCAACTTCTACAAAGTTTAACATACATTGATGCTCTTTACTCCTAAATATTTCAGTGTTCGTTTCCTAAATATCTGTTTCTTTTGTATGGCTTCATGGATTCTTTATTCAGTGGATTGGAATATTTTCCATCATTAATCATCTTAATACATTTTAGTCTTTTATAACAGTAAGCCATGATTGTGTCTTGAATTTTTGTTTAAATTGTATGTGCTGAGCCTTCCACCTGAAGAAAGTTTTCACAGAATTTCCTTATGTTGACTGAAGTTTCTTCCTTGTAACTTTTTCCTTTTCATCAGCACATGAGATCTGATCACATTTTGCCAGGAATTCTTTACTTAAAGTTTCCCAATCATCCTTTTTCTTTTTTCCTTTATTTCCCTTTCTTTCTGCCTGCTCTTCTAGGGCCAGGCTGCCTTAATTAAGCTTTCACTTCAGAACTGGCCTATTTAAGGGCTGGTAATATGAGTATAAAAACTTGGGGTACCTCATAGGGCAAAAAAGAAATTAAAAGGAACAATTGAGAACCATTGAATTGTTACTATTATTTTGCTAGTTAGAAAACATGTTATTAGGTCTTTTATTTCAGTATTTTCCCTTGTTTCAAAATATGATAGGCATTACAAGAAAAGTTTCACTGAGTATAAAGCTAGTTATGATTTCTTATGAAGAATATAAAGTTTGTGTCAAATAGTATTTTTGCATATTCCATATGGAAAAATTTACCTTTTCCTTTTAGAGATACATTTTAAAACTATGTGAGCAACTGAATATAGACTTTGACATCAACTTATTGAAAAGAACTAGCATTTTTAACATTTATAAATTCATTTCTAACCTTTAAATGTATGACTTGTATTATCTGTTGTTGAAAAAAAGGTGACTGAGTTCAGTTCACAGAGCAGGTAACAGGTAAGAAAGTTGAAGTTCCTGTAAGCATATCAATGATTTATCATTTTAAAAGCATTATGTATTATTTAGAGCTTATATTTTGCTTCTAAATATTTGACCCTTGAAATAACAGCCTAGATTTCATTCTGCTTGACTCTGAGTCATGAAATGAGATGAGAAAGTATGTCTAGATATACTTTGTGGTACTGGAAATCATGCATCTTCAACAAGTTAACATAATGTATGATGATGATATCTATTCCCCAAGGAATACAAAGTGCTTTGCAGAAATTATTTTTTAACCTCTGTCCACTTGTGAGTCAAAGTCTACAGGAAATGGTGATAGTTCCAGTTTGAAAAACAGAAGCAGGCCCAGCATGGTGGCTCACACCTATGATCCTAACACTTTGGGAGGCTGAGGCGGGAGGACTGCTTGAGGCCAGAAACTCGAGTCAGCCAGAGCAACATAGTGAGACCCCATCTTTACAAAATTGTTTCTAAAAAGCTAGGCATGGTGGTGCACATCTGTAAGCCAACCACTTGGAAGGCTGAGGCAGGAGGAGCACTTGCACCCATGAGGTCAAGGCTGCCATGATGGTGCTACTGCAGCCGTGCCTGCATGGCACAGTGAGGCCGTGTCTCAAAAAAATAATAATATATCATTCAAAGATTGATATATGGGCCAGCATAGGTTTGAAAGCTGTTACTTTATACAAGACCATAGTATCTACTTGCAATACCTTGTAAACTTTTCTACAAAACAGCCACATTTTCAATGTATCACATTTTGTCATAATCTCTCAAACTGAAAAATTATGAATAAGAACTAAATGATGCAAAGGAAGTTGTTTGTTAAGCTCTTCTTGTGTTCCTTTCATTTGGGGATCAAAAATTCAGTGTATTGTGTGGTTGACATCGCTCCCTCCTTCTGCTCTAATCTTGACTGGTGATTCTCTACACCTCCAACATTGTTCTGGTCCTAGATGTCCTTCCTCCATTACCCTAAAATAATTTCCTCTATTGGATTACCTACTTGGGATTAGTGCCTTCCACTTTCTTACTTTATTCCCTTATTATGCTGAACCATGTCCTTAGTAACTTCCTGAGAAAGAACAGGAGGTAAATTGTTTTGGACTGCCCACATCCAAAAAGTCTTTATTCTGCTCGTATTCTTGATTCATTATTTAACCTAACCAAGATAGAATTCTGAGTTGGAAATAATTTTGAAATTTTTAAAGGCATTGCTTCTAAAGTCCAGGCTGGCATGCTTCTAAAGTCCACAGTGGCATGCGTCTTTTCCAGTCCAATGCTCTGGGCATTGAGTGAACTCTTACAATCTGGAAACTCATCTTCAGTTCTTGGAAATTATCTTAACGTTCTTTATCATTTTCTTCCCTCTTCTTTCTCTGTTGTTTCATGCAAAAAAATATTAAAAAGGTTATGTGTTGGGCCTTCTGAATTGATCCTTTCTTACCTTCTCTCTGTTTCTGTTGATCTTTTTGTTTAACATTCTGGGAGATTTACTGAATTTCTCCTTCCAATTCTTCTATTACATTTTTATATCAGCTCTTCATTTAATTTACATGAGCTCTTTCGTGAGAGACAGATACACACATTTATGTGTATGTTTTGTGGATGTAGTAATCTTTTATCTCTCTGAAAACATTAAATGTAATTTTATTTTAGAGTTTCTTGAGCTTCCTTTATTGCCCTGTTTGCTCAGCCTCACTTTTCTGTTTGCTGGGTGGTTTATTTGAACTCTGCCTTTCATGTTACCTCCTCACACATCTAGTGATTATTGGCTGTTCCTTCATATTTAAGGGTGTGACTCCAAAAGAGGATGAGCTTCCAGTCACTCATTGCTGTTACCCAGGCTGGAGTGCAGTGACATGATCATGGCTTACTGCAGCCTTGACCTTCTGGGCTCAAGCAATCTTCCCACCTCAGCATTCTGAATAGCTGGTACTACTGGCACACACCACCATGCCCAGCTAATTTTTTTTTTTTTTTTTTGTATTTTTCTGTAGACATGGTGTTTCTCCATGTTGTGAAAAGAATGTGTGTTGGGAAACTCATCCTGTGAGCATAGGGTGGTGACACTTGTTGAGTGTTAGGCCTCACCATGCGTGATCAGGCGGACCTGGCTGTTTCACTGGGGACTTCAAATTGCCAGACCTCTATGTCTCTTCTCCTGAGCTAGGTCTTCTACTGGACTAGGGGCAGCCACCTAGCTGCATGCGTTAGGAAGGGCAATTTTGGGTTATGGCAACTCCTTGTACAAATTTCTACAAATCTCCATTTTTAACCCTACTCCACAGTTCTGCCCTCAGAGAGAGTGATCCCTTCCATTCTTGAGCATTTCTGAGATCTGTGGAAAACTTTTTAAAATCATTGCTTGACTCATAATTTTATTGAGGTGCATCACAGTGGTGGATTTGGAGCTGCTAATGTATTTTTTTGTTTGTTTTAGTTTTACCCAGTTACATTTCTTTATTCTGAAATGTCATTTCAAAAGACCAGACCATAATATCTCCACATGAACAGATATTTTTCTAGAATAGGCCTAAAAGTATTGGGAAGATGGGATTGTCAGCATTAAAACACATAGGAAATCAGGACCCTGGAAGAACTGTAATATTCTCTAGGACTTTTCATTTTCTAAATTTGCAGATATTGCCTGTGATTTCAGTTGAAAGTGATCCAAATCCTAGTGTGTCCATGTTAATTGTGTGTGTAGCTTCAAATGTTATTTAACGTTTCTTAATCAAGTGGAATTTTTCTAATGTTTTCATTTTTCTTTTATTAGACACTTGTATATTGTATATTATACAAGTACAGTGTTCTTATTGTAACAACTTAAATAATACTAAAACGGATAAAGAAAAAGTCAGCCGGGCGCGGTGGCTCACGCCTGTAATCCCAGCACTTTGGGAGGCTGAGGCGGGCGGATCACGAGGGCAGGAGTTCGAGACCATCCTGGCTAACACGGTGAAACCCCGTCTCTACTAAAAATACAAAAAATTAGCTGGGCGTGGTGGCAGGCGCCTGTAGTCCCAGCTACTCAGGAGGCTGAGGCAGGAGAATGGCATGAACCTGGGAGGCGGAGGTTGCAGTGAGCCAAGATCGCGCCACTGCACTCCAGCCTGGGTGACAGAGCAAGACTCCGTCTCAAACAAAAAAAAAGAAAAAGAAAAAGTCAGTCTCCTGGTAGTACCCCTCCATTCTTAACCCCTGAAGCAACTTGTGTTAACTGACAGTTGTGTATCCTTCTGATACCTTTTTCACTGTCATACAGACATCCCCAAAGATGTTTGTTTCTGTAATTATTAGAGGATTCATATTCTATACATTCTGTGGCTTGCTTTAATCACTCAATATGTTATAAACATCCCTTCAAGTTAATAGAAATACTAACTTTGTTTTGTTTTGTTTGAGACTGCGTCTTGTGTTGTCACCCAAGCTGGAGTGCAGTGGCGCGATCTCAGCTCACTGCAACCTCTGTCTCCTGGGCTTCAAGTGATTCTTCACCCTCAGCCTCCCAGTAGCTGGGATTACAGGCGCTCACCACCACGCCTGGCTAATTTTTGTATTTTTAGTAGAGAAGAGGTTTCACCATGTTGGCCAGGCTGGTCTTGAACTCCTTGGCCTCAAGTGATCCACCTGCCTTGGCTTCCCAAAGTGCTGGGATTACAGGCATGAGCCACCGCGCCTAGCCCTAACTCATTTTTTTAAATACCCAAATACTATGTAATCACTGCCTGTGATTTCAGTTGAAAGTGATCTAAATCCTAGCATGTCCATGTTAATTTTGTGTGTGTGTGTAGCTTCAGATGTTGTTAACATTTCTTAATCACTCAGGTGGGATTTTTCTAATGTTCTTTTCATTTTTCTTTATTAGATATTTATATATTATCGAAGTACATTTGTATATTATCAAAATGTTCTTATTGTAACAACTTAACTAATACTAAAATGGATAAAGGAAAAGTCAATCTCCTGGTAGTACCCCTCCATTCTTAACCTCTGAAGTAACTTGTGTTAAGTGACAATTGTGTATCTTACTGATATACAACTTTTTCACTGTCATACAAACATCCCCAAGGGTGTTTGTTTCTGAAAATATTACAGCATTGATATTCTGCACATTCCGTAGCTTGCTTTAATCACTCAATATGTTATAAACACCCCTTCGTGTTAATAGAAATAATACTAACTCATCCTTTTTAATAACCAAAGTATGGTTATATCATAATCTATTATACCATTCAAATGTTACTTCCAGTTTTGGGGGATTTTTTTTTTTTGGTCTTTTTGCTGTTGTTGTTCATTTTTTACTATTCCAAAAATGCTTCAACAAATATTCTTTTACAGATTGAATGTTGCTTATCCAAAATACTTGGGACCAGAAGTCTTGGGGATTTCTGATTTTCAGATTAGGGATGTTCAACCTGTATATACCTCCTTACACACTTTTGTTTCTCTTTTGCCATCTCAAATCTTGAAATTCAAGTTTTGATTCATGTGTCATTTGTTTAGAATATTCCTTCTAGCATTTCCCTTCAATAAGATACATGGTGGTTTACTCTGTGAGACCTTACCTGGCCAAAAATGTGTTCACTCAGCTCCCAGATAGATCCAGCTATGAGAGCCTCTTAAGCAATGGCATATCAGGCAGTGATGCATCCATCACTGGGCTCTTCCCTTAGGGGCTGGGCATCACACCAGCTACAAGACTATCGGCTCTCTGCTTGTCATCTTTCTGGCTGCATGTAGCAGTCCTTTCCCAGCTTCAGTGCCTGGGAGCAATTTCACTGCAACCCCTGTGTATGCAGATCCATAGTCTTCCACTGTCTGGGTTCCTCAGGAAGCAAGGAAGCCCTAGGTCTTTGCCTCAAGCTTGAAGAAAAATCTAAGCTTCCCTGCTGTCAGTTCCCTGGTTCTCTCTTCACTTCAGAGAGTATAGCCCTCTACCTGGCTTTCTTCCCTGGAGATCTCAAGGGAACTTGGGGCCTCAGATGGACCCTCCTTAGTGTGTCTGCTTTTATTCTTGTGCTACTCCATGGAGGAAATGGACCAAAGGTCAAGTCAGGAATTTATACTCTCACCATCATCTTCCCCAAATCTCAATCTCTTGATTTAAAAAAAAAAAAAAATAGATATTTTCAAAATTGCTCAACAGCATTTCATTTTCTGTTGCTATTTATAATGTCAACATGCAAAGCACTCCTCTGAGTGTTACATATCAAAGTGGATACTGACCCTGCCCTCTAGGGCTCTAATGTCCAGAGAGATAAGACTATGGGAAATGAATAATCCTGGAAGTGATAGCAAAATGATACTAACTTAGGGCCAAGCTTGGTGGCTCACACCTATAACTCCAGCACTTTGGGAGGCGGAGGTAGGAGGATGGCTTGAGCCCAGGAGTTTGAGACCAGCCTGGGCAACATAGGGAGACCCCATCTCTAGAAATAATTTAAAAATTAGAAAAAAAAAATTAGCCAGGCATGATGGCACATGCCTGTAGTCCCAGCTACTCAGGAGGCTGAGGTGGGAGGATTGCTTGAGCCCAGGGAGTCAAGGCTGCAATAGCCACAGTCACACCACTGGGCTCCAGCCTGGGTGACGGAGCAGGACCCTGTCCCCCAACCCCCAACCCCCCCCAAAAAAAGGATATTAACTCAAGAGATCTTTTAAACAGGACATCAAGGTAGTCACAGGGAAGAGATTGTGTTCGACCAAAAGTGACTTTCTCTTTTCTCTTTAATCTTTTCTTTTTTTTGAGACAGGGTCTCGCTCCATTATTCAGGCTAGAGTGCAGTGGCTCCATCACAGCTCGCTGTAGCCCCCCCCTCCTGGGCTCAATTGATCCTCTCACCTCAGCCTCCCGAGTAGCTGGGACTACAGGCACACATGTCTAGCTAATTTTTTATTTTGGTAGAGTTGGGATTTCACCACATTGCCCAGGATGGTCTTGAACTTTTGGGCTCAAGTGATCCTCCCACCTCGGTCTTCCAAATTCGGTGCTGGGATTACAGACGTGAGCCACCACACCCAGCTGTTTTAGCCACGTTTAATGAGTCTGTGACCTTTGTCAGCCATCATGGAAACCCAGCATAATGTTGCATGCATGCCTAGTTGGTTCTCAAGTAGAATTTTGGAACATAATCTCTTCATAAATTAAGGGCTGGTTGTGTATTCACATTTTATGATATTTTATATTTCTTTTCTATTTTTATAATTATAATTCCCTTTCAACAGTTTTTCCTGATTAAAGATATTTTAGTAGCTGGCTTCTTTTTAAACTCTTTTTAAACTTTTTAAAGTTTTTAAACTTTAAATTTTAAGAAGCTTTTGTAATATGTGATTTGTCTGTTTATGCCTTATTTTGTTTGTTATTTTGAAGCAAACATAGGAAGTGGCTTACTGCCTTGTATAAAAAGATATCAGAGAACAGTGGAGTCATTTGGAAAAAGCGCAGTGGTAAAGTGGCTTCGGAAGTGATTTTTTCCCCTTATTTTCTGGCACAGTGCTTTCTAAGATGATGTTGCTCACTGTAGTTTTCTTTCACTTTTAAAGGCATGATGGTTCCAGGCAGGATAATCTTAAATGGTGATTTGTCATCTTTTTTTCCCCTTGCAGCATTGCTATGGCAACAAAAGAAAATATGACTTCACAGAGAGGAATGTTGAAGTCAATTCACAGCAAAATGAACACTTTGGCCAGTATCCTTTTTGAATGTTCGCAGTCTGTGTTTTGAGGGTAGAGGGGAGAAGTGTCTGTGTGTGCTTTTATAGGGGGCAGGTTGCCATCATCAGTAGCAGTAGAGCCCATCAGTAATTGCATAATATGAATATACTGTGCATTCCTACTTTGTGAAAGTTTATGCTCTTTAGTACCATTCCTAAAAGACTGCACCTCAGAAGTTTCTTACTACTAGATGTAGAAGAAAAAAATTATAAATGTGAATTTAAAAATTATCCACCAATTTCTTCTACATTTTAGAAAGCTTTTAAATTCATGTTAGAACTCCACACTATACATTATTCTTACCTAAACATGATAAATTATATGCCTTTGTTGTTTTTCCCATTTAGAGATAAGTCAGTGGCAGATGCTTGGAAGGGGGAAGGAAGGAGACAGCCACCCGTGCAGATGAGCTATAGCTACTGATGGAGTTTGTAACTCTATGCACAGGCTGAATTCTAGGATACATTCTCCACTTGTTTGTTGTAACCTCTACTTTAAAATGTTTCAGTTTTCTGTTTTAAATTAGGATTATTAATACTTCCCAGAAACCCACTAGGGAACCAGAAAAGCCTGGCACTCTGAGTCATTTCATTCAGCGAACCTCTGAAAAGACAAGCCTTCTAGGCAAAAAGCTTTCCTCCCCAACTGCCAAAGGGGGAGGAACCTAGAATTTTCAAAAGCTGAGTATCTTGTAGTCCTAGATAATTTGAGTTCACTTTTAGTTTGATATGTCTTTGCCTAAGGAAAAGACTCTCCTGATGTGTGCTGTTATTCTCCAGTCCACTGTGAATTTTGTTCTTGCCTTGTCACCCTAAGTATAAAACCACATGTCTAAAATCACATTTTAGATAGGGCTATAAAATTTACAGAGTGCTGTTATATACATTATCTCATTTTACTAAACTATGAACTCAATTGCCAGCCAGAAAAGCTGATCAGTGAATTTAAGAGTTTGTATTTAGTGAAACTTTTGAAACTTTGAAATAGAAGTGTGAGTCAGATAGCTGATGATTTAAAACACTAAAGCCTTTCTCAATTGTTCATTAGAATTTACCACCACTCTTCTTTGTGACCTCTTCTCTACTGCTCTGTAAGCATCTCTCCCATAAGTTCTCTCTCTCTTTTTTTTTTTTTTTTTTTTTTTTTTTTTAAGACAGAGTCTCACCCTGTTACCATCCAGGCTGGAGTACAGTGGCACGATCTCAGCTCACTGCAACCTCCAGCCTCTCAGGTTCATGCAGTCCTCCCGCCTCAGCCTTCTGAGTAGCTGGGACTACAGACACGTGCCACCATGCCCGGCTAATTTTTGTATGTTTTGTAGAGATGGGGTTTCACCATGTTGCCCAGGCGAGTCTCAAACTCCTAGGCTCAAGCAGTCCTTCAGCCTTGGCCTCCCAAAGTGCTGGGATTATAGGTGTGAGCCACCCTGCCCAGCCCAACACTAAGTTCCCTTAAGGCAAAGTAGTATACTGGAACCTAGCATAGCGCCTCATACAAATAAGTCACATGGGAATTTTACAATTACTCCAAAAGAATGTGTTCAAAAAAAAAAAAAATCAAAAAAAATGGGTGTGGGTCAGGGCTAAAGTTTAGTCCACTTTCCTCCTGTATCTGCCTTCTGCTGCGAAGTAACTTTGAAAATATTAATAATTCACCAGTGTCTGATTATATAGACCTTAGAGTTGGTTCCCATGAATTGCCTGAATCTAAGGCGGGAAAAGATCAGGTATTTCTTCAAACTCTCAGGCAGAACTCCCCAGTCTCCTGAGAGAAGAGGAAAAGAGAAGGAAAATGAGGAAAGGGAGGGAAATGGGTGGTGGTGGCGATGGGAGCTGGCTATGCCTGTGCCTCCCTGCCAGAGTTCCTCCATTCCTGGCCACGCTGGCTCCCACCCTGACCTGAAGCCTGGCAGTAAGCCCTCAGTGCTTGGGAACTGTCATCGTCCTTTTCTTCTCCCTCTCTCTCTATTACTATTCTTATTTGTGTTACACACAAGACTGGGAGATGTGTATTGGTTAGGGGCCTTGAGCCGCAGCGCGTTCCCGGTTTGGGCAACTGCATCTGCTAAAGATTCCCTTGGTGTGAGTTTCTTCCCCATGCCTTTCATCACTGTTTCTAGACACCACTGATCTCTATTTTTGTGATTCCTACGACTTTTCGCCAGAGAGGCTTCTTCCAAATATGACCTTAATAAAGATTTCCCAAAGATCGTTTTCCTGCTGTAAACAGCCTGATCCAGAGGATCAACCTGAGGAAGCGGCGGGACTCGCTCATCCTAGGGGGTGTTATTGGGATCTGTACCATCCTGTTGCTGCTGTATGCGTTCCATTGATGGGACATCTTCAGGGACTCTTGACAGCCACCGCTTTCACACCCTGGTCTGGAATAAGGAAACATCGGAGGGAGAAGTTGACTGTCTTGATAATTAGCCTGACCAGCAGGATGAATGCAAGACTGACAGTGATGGACTCTGTGACATGGTCAGGTTGAGCTGAAGCCACAGTTTCTCTGTGCTGTGTTTTCTAACACATTTTTCTGTTTTTAATTAAAAAAAAAAAAAAAAGGTTTTCAGTTGCTTTTGTCTCCCTAGGAGGCAGGTAAACCAATCAAAAACAGAGTTTTCTGTGTTTCCATGATAGTGTTGAAGCCTAATGACAAGCCAGGTCTTACAGCTGGGCTCTTCAGAAAACCAGGTTTCTACATCCAAAGACTGCTTTTCTTTTAGCTGCCAGATTGGATTGTGAATAAAAATAATTCTTCCCTCTCCCTCTCCCTCTCCCCACGGTCTCCCTCTTTCCACGGTCTCCCTCTGATGCCGAGCCGAAGCTGGACTGTACTGCTGCCATCTCGGCTCACTGCAACCTCCCTGCCTGATTCTCCTGCCTCAGCCTGCCGAGTGCCTGCAATTGCAGGCGAGCGCCGCCACGCCTGACTGCCTCGGCCTCCCGAGGTGCCGGGATTGCAGACGGAGTCTCGTTCACTCAGTGCTCAATGGTGCCCAGGCTGGAGTGCAGTGGCGTGATCTCGGCTCACTACAACCTCCACCTCCCAGCCACCTGCCTTGGCCTCCCAAAGTGCCGAGATTGCAGCCTCTGCCCGGCCGCCACCCCGTCTGGAAAGTGAGGAGCGCCTCTGCCCGGCCGCCATCCCATCTAGGAAGTGAGGAGCGCCTCTTCCCAGCCGCCATCCCATCTAGGAAGTGAGGAGCGTCTCTGCCCGGCCGCCCATCGTCTGAGATGTGGGGAGCGCCTCTGCCCCGCCGCCCCGTCTGGGATGTGAGGAGCTCCTCTGCCCGGCCGCGACCCCGTCTGGGAGGTGAGGAGCGTCTCTGTCTGGCCACCCCGTCTGAGAAGTGAGGAGACCTCCGCCCGGCAGCCGCCCTGTCTGAGAAGTGAGGAGCCCCTCCGCCCGGCAGCCACCCCATCTGGGAAGTGAGGAGCGTCTACGCCCGGGCAGCTGCCCCGTCCGGGAGGGAGGTGGGGGGGTCAGCCCCCCGCCCGGCCAGCCGCCCCGTCCGGGAGGGAGGTGGGGGGGATCAGCCCCCCGCCCGGCCAGCCGCCCCGTCCGGGAGGGAGGTGGGGGGCGCCTCTGCCCGGCCGCCCCTGCCCGGCCGCCCCTACTGGGAAGTGAGGAGCCCCTCTGCCTGGCCACCACCCCATCTGGGAGGTGTGCCCAGCAGCTCATTGAGAACGGGCCATGATGACAATGGCGGTTTTGTGGAATAGAAAAGGCGGAAAGGTGGGGAAAAGATTGAGAAATTGGATGGTTGCCGTGTCTGTGTAGAAAGAAGTAGACATGGGAGACTTTTCATTTTGTTCTGTACTAAGAAAAATTCTTCTGCCTTGGGATCCTGTTGATCTATGACCTTACCCCCAACCTGGTGCTCTCTGAAACATGTGCTGTGTCCACTCAGGGTTAAATGGATTAAGGGTGGTGCAAGATGTGCTTTGTTAAACAGATGCTTGAAGGCAGCATGCTCCTTAAGAGTCATCACCACTCCCTAATCTCAAGTACCCAGGGACACAAACACTGCGGAAGGCGGCAGGGTCCTCTGCCTAGGAAAACCAGAGACCTTTGTTCACTTGTTGATCTGCTGACCTTCCCTCCACTATTGTCCTATGACCCTGCCAAATCCCCCTCTGCGAGAAACACCCAAGAATGATCAATTAAAAAAAAAATAATATAATAATAATTCTTGTCCTCTTATTTTACACTCATAATGAGAAATCACAAGTTCTTTCTTGATGATCTGTGCTATAGATTTCTACTCTGTCTCCTCAACTCTGTTGATATTTGGGGAAAATTCTGTTTTTCATAGATTCTTTGAGATGCTGATGGACCAGCTTCAGCATGTTTGAGGTTGTCTGAAATGGAGATCACTGTAAAACTGTCTTTTTCTTTTAAATTACAAGTACACTGGGGTTAACTGTATTGCTGGAAAAACATCAAGAATGACAGTCTTATATTTAAGGCACCAGTCATTGTTTCCATTTTTTTTTTAATTCTTCCCTTGGATTAATATTTTCTACTGAAAAGAAATGAAATCTCAGTTCCACTATGATAAAAGAAACGAATCACCAGTGTCTGTCAGTGCCCCCACTGCTCCTCCTCATACCAGCATTGACACTGGTAGCTGAGGAAGGGGACTGCTCAATTTCTAATGTGATCTATTCAAGAAGCCACATATAAAAAGGCATTGAGGGCTCACTGTCCAGAGAATTGCTTTTGTAAATGCTCCACAACGTATGGGCAAAAGTTTAAGGACTACTGCCTGATGTACCAGGAATCCTGAGTTCTGTGAAAATCTGTTCATTCCAAATCTGTTAAGCATTTCCAAACATCCAGAGAATGGTTTCACTGTTGAGGGTGCATGTGGCAGAATCTGTCTCTCTCTGCACCTGTCTTCTGTTACCATCCCTGGACAGTGACAGATTTTAAGCCAGCCACCAGAATTCTTTTCGAGTTAACCATTTCTTAGTTTCTGTAAATTCATGACTTGTCTTACTGAACTACAGCCTGGTTTGTAGACTTCCAACATCTACACTGCTGCTCTTCACCATTGGAATTCACTGTGGTATTTATAGTATTGGCTTCAGTCCGAGCCACAGGCAATAAAAGGATATCAGCTGTAGTTCTCAGCTACATCATGGTGTATAGATGCTGTTATTCAGGCGAACTTGCTCATGGGTGGACTAACACCTGGTTTGGTACAGAGACTGAGAAGTTTTTCATTCTGGTGTCAAAGTTTTGTTACATTATGGGTGTGAAGGGCATTTGATATATTTTTCTTAACTATGGGGTTTATTTTTCTAAATGTGGGTTGATTGACTGTTAATTGATTCAGGGTACCCTTAAAAGAAAAGAAGTTTTCCCATTGTGAACCTTAAATGATCAGAGAAGTAAGTTCATTGATTAAATTCTCTGTTGGGAGAACAAAACTTTTCTCCCTTGACACTTTATTATCTTTGATTTTTCAAAGGGCCTTGATTGGTGGTTGTGTCTCGGTTAAAATTTATGGGACTTTGCTATGTAGTTGGCATTTATAAAATCTGAAGTATCATAAATAAAGTTATTTATTTAATTATACTACCAGTCTTTTTTACTGGTCTGATTCTTTTGTGCATTCATTAAAGCTGATTGTGTGAGAGTGAACTGGGACACAAGCTAGTCTAGCTCACTGCAGCCAAGCAAACCCTGTTGATGGCTGATGGGCCTTTCCATTAGGGTTTTGCTTATGTGAAGTAATGGAATTATGTTGGTTATTTTCTTTATGAAAATAAACCAGTTCTTCCAAGGAAGTTAAAAGGCTTGGTATGGATGTTGGTGTCAGATAGGTCTGACTAACCTCTCCGTGCTGCAGCCTATACTAAGGTGACCCAGGGCCACATGTAGACAGCTAGGCCAGTGCTTTTTCCTCTTAGGGTTTCTTTGCAGAAAGAAACCTCCAGCAAGGGAAGAGAGGTGTGTGTCCACAGGAAGGGGCTCCGTGGGGATCCCATGAAGGGATTTGAGCTCTTTCAGCTCCATGTCATTTAACTTTTTTGTTTAACCACCTTGGCTTTCTCTCCTTTTTTGCTGTCCTCCTTACGGACCAGTTACCAGATTCAGAGGCTAACAGTTAGTTACTTGTTAATGCTAGTCACAGCCAGGAGGTCAGAAGGAATTTTCTACTTCTGGATCCAAATGTTACCTCTTAGGGGAAGTTATGCCCCCTCAACTATTGTCTTATTATAATGAATCTTTCCTTTTTGGTCCTTTTAAGTAACCACTCAAAACTTTTCATTTCACTGAAAAAATATGAAAAACCATGACAATAGGGCTGGGTGCAGTGGCTCACGCCTGTAATCTTAGCACTTTGGGAGACCAAGGCAGGCGGATCGTTTGAGGCCAGGAGTTTGAGACCAGCCTGGGCAATGTAGCAAGACTCTGTCTCTGCAAAAAAAATTAAAAGATACCTGAGAGCTCACTTTAATATCAAGGTATTTGCATCCATTCCCACCCTGTTAGCTCTTAAGGGAGGAGGGAAATCAATTCCAACCATACTTTCCTGTGATGGAAGATGTTTCCTCTTGAAAAAATGCCAATACAGATTTTTAAAACCTATTGTTTTCCAAATGCACTTTGTAAGTTTTTGCTTTTAAAATAGCTTCTTGGAACCAATTTTATTGTATTTGTACTTAATTTTTGTTCTCATCTAAATGTGCATTTTCTGACTGTATAGAAGAAGCTTTGGTATGTAATTTAATAATAAATTAGAAATCTAAATGATTGCATTTGTAATTGTTTATATTGAAACAGTAACCATCAAGGTAGTTTGGGGATAGAGATTATGGTATCTCTGGTGTTGATAAGTGTTTCTCATGATGTCCTGAAACCCAGGATGAAATAATACAGGTGCTGAAAAGCTGTCACATGTCATTCAGAAACCATCATATGAACAGTCCACTAGTATTTTAGCCCTAGAAGTGAAGGGGAATCTCTTAACATGAAACTTCAGGAGGCATAATGGGAATCTACAATTGTAGAATTGGCTGGGTGCAGTGGCTAACACCTGTAATCCCAGCAGTTCGAGAGGCCGAGGCAGGAGGATTGCTTGAGACCAGGGATTTGAGACCAGTCTGGGCAACACAGCAAAGACCTTGTCTCTACAAAAACTAAAATTAGCCATTCATGATGGTGTGCACCTATAGTCCCAGCTACTCGGAAGGCTGAGGTAGGAGGATCATGAGCCCAGGAGGTCAAGGCTGCAGTAAGCAACGATTGTGCCACTGTACTCCAGCCTGGGTGACAGAGACCCTGTCTCAAAAATAAATTAATTTTTTAAAAATCGTGTACTGCTGGGCTTTAGTACATTAGTTGTGCAACCAGCCCCACTGTCTAATTTTAGAGCTTTGCAATTAATCCAGCCAGTGATCAATTCCTCTTCTATAAAATGGTGATAAGGATGGCTACCATAATTGTGCCCTGATTATATTGTCAGGGTTATGTGAGGAAATGCTCATAAGCATCTCAGCAAAGCCAGGGGTACAGGGCTCACCTGACATAAGAGATATCCTTGGGTTTGTCCTAATAGCGAGAAACCGGGCCTCTTTTGCCTCTTTTTTTCCCTCTTGCTGATGTGGGAGAGGAGAGAACATTCAAGAGGTGATCAGCAGACATCCTTAATTTTGATAAAGGCAGCTGAGCGGGGAAATATAAGGTCGGTTCTGTGTAGATAGACAGGTGGAACCCAGCAATCAGTTTAACCAGCCTCCAAGCGGTTCTGATGCATGCCAGAGGTGGAGAACCACGCTCTATAAGTACACACATTCTATTTAGTCATTCCATTCTAGACCGATAGCTTTTATTTTTAGTTTGGAACTATTACAAATTGTGCTGCTCTGGACATTCTCGAACATGGGTTTTGGGACACACATGTACACTTTTCTGTTGCTTATACCTAGGAATAAGATTGTTGGATTATAGGTGATGCACATACTCAGTTTTAAGATATGTTGTCAGACATTTTTCCAAAGCAATTGTGCCAATGCCCGTGCCTACCAGTAATGTGTGAATATTCCATTTCCTTCACATCTTCAGCAACACTTAATGATGCCAGTCAGAATTTGCATTTCCCTGATAGCTAACGAGGTTGGGCATTTTTACATGCTTGCTAGCTGTTAGGATATCTTTCTTTATGTAATATCCCTTCAGATGTTTGCATATTGATTAATCCGACTGTTTTTTTCCAGTTAATTTTTCCTTTGTTGAATAAATATGTTGCAAATATACCTTCCCATTCTGTGACTTGTCGTTTATTTTCTTTCCTCTTTTTTTTTTTTTGAGACGGAGTCTCACTCTATCATCCAGGCTGGAGTGCAGTGGTGTGATCTCGGCTCACTGCAACCTCTGCCTCCCTGCAACCTCCACCTCCCAGATTCAAGCAATTTTCCTGCTTCAGCCTCCCCAGTAGCTGGGGTTACAGTCATGTGCCACCATGCCCAGCTAATTTTTGTGTATTTTTAGTAGAGATGGGGTTTCACCATGTTGTTCAGGCTGGTCTCGAACTCCTCCACCCACCTCGGCCTCCTAAAGTGTTAGGATTACAAGTGTGAGCCACTGCACCCAGCCATACTTTCTTTTTTCTTTTTCTTTTTTTTTGAGATGGAGTCTTGCTCTGTCACCCAGGCTGGAGTGCAGTGGTGTGATCTCAGCTCACTGCAACCTCCATCTCCTGGGTTCAAGCGATTCTCATGCCTCAGCCTCCCAAGTAGCTGGAATTACAGGTGCGGGCCACCACACCTGGCTAATTTTTGTATTTTTGGTATTTCACCACGTTGGTGAAATAATTTTCATGTATTTCACCATGTTGGTCAGGCTGGTCCCGCCCACCTCGGCTTTCCAAAGTGCTGGAATTACAGGCATGAGCCACCATGCCTGGCCTTGTTCTCCTTTCTTAATGGTGGTTTTGATGAAGTTCTTAATTTTAATGTAATTCAATTTATCAATTTTTTTCCTTTGTGGTTAGTGTTTTTGTATCCTGTTAAGGAATCTTTGCCTACCTCCAATGCCATGAAGATATTCTCCTTTTTTTTTTTTTCTAAAAGCTGTATTATTTTGCTTTTCAATTTAGAACTATAAATATTGTGCAACTAATTACTATGTATGATTTGAGGCAGGGGTCAAGATTCATTTTTCCATATGGATATGCAATTGATCCAGCACCATTTGACAAGGTCATCCTTCCTTCACTGCACTGGAGCACCAGCTTTGTCATGAGTGAAGCAATTGTCTAGGTGGGAGTCTTTTTCTGGATGTTTCATTCTTTTCCATTGGTCTGTTTTTCTACCCTTGAGAAAATACCACTCTATCTGAATTACTGTAATTTTACAATAAGTCCTGATATCTGGTAGTACAGGTCCTGCCCATTTGTTCTGTTTCCTCAAGGTTGTCTTGGCTATTCTTGGTCTTTTGCATTTTTATATAAATTACAGAATCACTTTGTCAGCTTCCAAGAAAAACGTGCTGGATTTTGATTGGTATTATACTAAATATATAGATCAATTGGAGGAGAATGAACATCGTTACAGTATTGACTCCTTCGGTTCATATCATGATATTTCCCTCCACTTATTTCAATCCTGTTAATGTTTCAGTACTGCTCCACCTGTCTGCCCTCCAGGCTGGTGCTGGCCTCTGGGATGGAGGAGCTTCAGGTATACTTGGAGAAAGAACCCCAGGTGTCTCCTCCAACCCTTCATGTTCTCTCCTTGACTGTGGCAAGGAGAGGTGGGAAGGGAAGAGACCAAATAGGAGTCAGAGGAAAGGAGGCTGCAGTAACCCACTGCACCTTGGTACAGGGTCCTGTGCTGGAGAAATCTAGAGATGATAAAATATGTAAGGAAAAAAACACAAGGCTGGTTACAATCATACTGGGTAGCAGACAATGGGATGTAAAGGAGAAAGAGGCCTGGACACTTGGGCAAGAAGAGAGCTTAGTATGCATGGATTGGACAGGACTGGTCCTAAAACTACCTTCATCACAAAAAAGCTGCATGTCCCTGGAGAAGACTCCCCTCATTGGGCCTCTTTCCTCACCGTGAAATGAGAGGACTTGGACCTGATGCTCTGGATGCTTCCTTCAGCTCTGCCACTAGGACACTGGTACTGATGGAGGATGATGGCAAGAAGCTAGGTTGAATGTAAGTGACTTGCCCTTTGCCCTGTCCCTCCAGGTGTAGTCTTTGAACTCTAACCATCCACGCACTCTTCCTTTCCACAGAACAGATCCCTGTTTCAGGCTGACTTCATCCCGCTGGATGGAATTCCAGCCAATGTGATCCAAAGAGGGAAGCAGTACCAGGCTGCAGCCCTCGTCATGCTGAAGATGGAGCCTCCTGGGAAGCTGCTACCCATGGTCATCCAGGTGAGGGCCCTGGACCTCCCTGCCTACACTGTGCTCTGTTCATTTTAACCTCTGCTCCCAGGGACCCAGCCTCCTGCCTTTTGGCTCCCAAAGCTACCCCCACTCAGCAGGTCCAGTCCTTGTGTTCAGCCACCCAGTGACTGCTTGCTGTCTTGTCCTTCCTCACCTGGAACTACCTTCTGAGAGTCATAACGGCATCTCTTGGTTCTCATCCTGAGGCTACTCAACCTCTTTGTGACCTTTGAATCTATTGAACATTCCCTCTTTCTTAAACATGTTTTCTCCTTTTGGTTTTAATGATTTTTTTTTCACTCCTATTGTTCACACAGTGAGTGGACAGGGATTGTCAGTTATCTCATACATCCAGCTTCTCCTTCTCATTCCACTATCCTGACTCAGACCCTCATGACATTTCTCCCAAAGCACTGTTAGCCTTACTTGGCTTCCTTCTACCATTCTCTCCTGCACTTAACCTATCATTGTATTCACAGGGCACCACAGATAGTGAGAGGCAGGGTGGAGGGGTCTTCATTCTTCATACTACCTGGAAGGCAATAATCTTACATTAGCCATATGTTCCCCCCGGAACACTCAGCATAGCATCATCCATATGGGGAGAGGTGAATAAATGCTTAATTCTTCCTCCTTCTGGCTTCACCCTCCCAGCTTCAGCTCTCCCACCCCAATACTGTTCCTGCCCTCAAATCCTTTGCTTGCCTGGCTCCTGGCTAAATCCTGGATCTGAAACTCCGATTCCAACTGCACAAGCTCCGATACTATTTGCTGAACACTCATCTCGTAGCTGAAGTCATTGCTATTGTCACCATAATGTGCCTCCCACGTTTGCGCCCTGTCTTCAAGGTACAAGCTCCACCACTCTCCGTGTCCCAAAGCAACAACCCAACAGCTGCCTAGTTTTAAAGAAATCTGAGGCACCTGGGACAACATGTAAACAGAGCTGCTTGAAATTTCACAAACATCCATATGATATTACAGCAGAGAATCTTCATGGCAATTTGTAAATGGAGGCGAGAGGAGATGGATAATTGAGCCAGGGCCTTCAGCCTTGTGATTGTACTTTTAATGTCTAAATTAATTTAATGTAAGCTAATTATAGACTCACAGGCAGTTGTTAGAAATACTAAAGAGATCCCATCTATCCCATTAAGTCAAGTCACTTAGCATTTATCCAGTACATACTGTAGGGTGGTTCTCTGAAATTCTCTAGTAGTGGGTCTTGAGTAGAGTAGGAATACAAATATATTAAGCAAAAGTGTTGCATCTGCATTGGGAGATTTATCATTTATCATGAAAGACAGGCAGTACATATGAGAAAAAAACAAAACAGTATCTGTGATATGGTTTGGATGTTTTCCCTCCACTTCTCATGTTGAAGTGTAATCCCCAGTGTTGGACGCAGGGCCTGGTGGAAGGTGTTTGGGTCATGGCTTCATGCTGTCCTCCTGATAATGAGTGAGTTCTCACTCTGAATTCACACGAGATCTGGTTGTTTAAAAGAGATCTTGCTCTTGCTCTTGCTCTCCTGCTCCCTCTCTCCATGTGACGTGCCTGCTCTGCTCCCCCTTCACCCTCCACCATGATTGAAAGCTTCCTGAAGCCTCACTAGAAGCTAAGCGATGCCAACATGCTTCCTGTACAGTCTGCAGAACCATGAGCCACTTAAACCTCTTTTCTTAGTAAATTTTCCCGTCTCAGATAATCCCTCATAGCAATGCAAAACAGACTACCACAATCTAGAAACAGAGTTTGAGATGAAGAGAAATAGCTGTAATCACTATAGTATCTATGGAGAATGTTCCACCACAAGTGGGGAGTCTTTAGGTAGAAGACCAAAGGGCAAGGCGAGCAGCCCAGCGGGTTTCTCATACCTGACTAAGGAGAGAGGTAGATAAAGACATTAGCATGGCAGTGACAGGAGGATGGAAGAGAAAAATCAAATACGTGGTGATGGGGGAAGAGTAGCTGCAGCATGCCTGTGTCCAAGATGGAATGGAGATGTAAGCTTCCTCAACACCTAGGAGCCTACGGGGGGCATGTTGTACTTCCCTAGAAATACTAACATTTTACAAAACAGTGAGTCTACTATCTATTGCGAGGCAGAAAGCAGCAAAGTAAAACTTGTGCTTGCTTAAACATGTTTTCAAAATCTTTATGACATTTTATATATAGAAAAAGGGAGCAAAATGATATAAGCTTATGAACCAGAGCAGTGGTCAGAAACAGTAAAGTCAGGAGAAGGAGGCAGTTTCGGGGACAAAGATGAGGTGTTCTGTTTTAGATGCATGGAGTTCGAAGAGTTGGCAAGATATGCAAGTGAGCGCCTGGCAGGCAGGACAGCTGGATTGTGTTTCTGCTGCTGGTCACCACCTCCACCCCCAAATCTGGCTATTACTAGTTGTGGTCCCTCTGGGTCTGAGAGAACATAGATAAGGTAGGCATTAATATACTTTATGGAATCTTAGACTTGATTGCGTTCATGCTGCCTTTGCCTCACCACCTGGTGCCCAGGTTGAATAGGTTAAGCCCACTCTCACATCTCAGAATCCCCCTTCACTAGTTCAGCCCTCTGTTCACTCATCTCCCTCGCATAACCACTTCCTCCTATGGCAAACAGCTGAGTTGTTGTCAAGACACAGAGGAGGGCTAAGCCCACAAATATCATAAAAGTGACCTGTGCAGGCTCTGGACTCAGACTGTTGGAGTCTGAGTCCTCAGTACTTAACAGGTGTGTGTTTCAGGGTCCTCATCTCTGAATGGAGATAACAGAATTTCCATTGTGAGGTTGTTAAGGGATTAAACGACAGGACAGGCAGTGTGACTCAGGATAAATAGGAGCGATAGGTGAGTCTTTCCTATTACTATGTAGCAATATGTTATTATTGTTAGTTGTTTATCCTTGGGTATGTTGTTATTATTTTTTATTCTTTTTTTTACCTTCAGCCAACTCACTCCATGTTGTTGTTATTAGTTGCTTATCCTGGGTATCTACCCACTTCATCTGGACTTTGGGTTTTCTATGACATTCACCATCTTTCCATGGAGTTTTCCAGGTTCAAGCCAACGTGAGCTGCTTTGATATCTTTGCCTCAAGAGTATTCTTTGGGCCGGTCCCGTGTGTCCGGCATTAAAGACCTTAGATAGATACCAATGGCATAAATCCTGCATATGAACCAGTTGAAAATGAAAACAAAATAGTTCTTTTTTTGTTTTTTTAGAGACAGGGTATTGCTCTGTCACGTAGGCTGGAGTGCAGTGGCACAATCACAGCTCACTGCAGCTTCAGCTTCCTGGGCTCAAGAGATCCTCCTGCCTCAGTCTCCTGAGTAGCTTAGTCTAGACATACACCACTACACCTGTGTACCTGGCTAATTTTTAACTTTAATTAGGGACAGAGGCTTGCTGTGTTGCCTAGGCTGGTCTCGAACTTCTGGCCTCAAGTGATCCTCTGCCCTGGCCTCCCAAAGAACTGGGATTATAGGTGTGAGCCACCATGTTTGGCCCCAAATAGGTTAAGAATAAAAAAATGAATGCGAGAATCAGGGACCCCTTTTTTAAGAGTCAAAGAAAAGCAGGAAAGAGGAAACCTAATAGTATCTAACTGGGGGCCAGGGAAGATTTGATGAGAATAGCTTGGCTTTGCTCCATGAATTCTGACTGAAGCCACCGTACTCAACACCACTTCAATATAAACAATAAGAGTAAGATGATCAGAGATTGGAGGAACAGCTTTGAAAATAAGCAGAGGCTAGTTTAAGCTATAAGGATGTGAATGATGGAGGAGGTATATAAAAAATCAAACGTTAAGGGGCTGATTCTTAAAGGGCAGCTGTACTCAAGGTGGAAATAATAGAGGTAATGATAACAGCTGCTATTTGAGGACTTGTGTACCCAAGGCACTGTGCTAAAAATGCTCTCTGTACATCACGGACATAAACATAACGACAGTGCCTGAAATAAGAGACCTGGTTATCACCTCCCACTGACAGATAAGGAGATTGACACTGGGAGAGTTTATTATATCGCCAAGTATCGAAATTAGAGGTGAACATGGACTCAAATCCAGGTCAGTCTGACTCTGGGGCATTACGCACAAGGAAGTCGGAGAGCGCGAGCGTGAGTGTCAGGGCAGCAGCAGACCAGTCTGTCAAGGCAGCAGCGGGGAGGAAAGCATCGAGAGGAGAAGGCTCCATGCTGTGTAATGGGCCCTCCCAGGAACGAGCCAAGCATGGTCTCCACCCACCACCCCTCCAATCTCCTCGCCAGCTCCTGATCTCCCATATCTACTACATCATGGAAATCAACATCTGGACCTGATCCCAACACATCTCAGATGGTGGAATATTTGCTAGGGTAAGAAGGGAATGGGGCATGAGGCCACCTAATCATCCAACAATCTCTGTCCTGCCAGCTTCAAGATCTCCCAGGCCAACCTGTGTGAACGTCCTGAAGCTTAAGCCCCTGAGCCCTATCCCTTTTATAGCCATGACTTTAAATATGAAAACCCCACCTCTGAACCCCCTTTATAGCATGTCCTCATTCTCCAGCTGTGCTCCCATCCCTCAAGACCTGTCATCTCTCTTGTCCCAGGCAGTGAGCACAGGTGGAGGGGGCCATGTGCAGTTGCTCCATTGGGCAGCGGCTCAGCTGACCTGCTGCTCCCTCTGTTGTCCTGATGACCTGGCTGCCTGTGGCCTGCTGGGACTCCCACGTGCTGTCCATACCCATGATGCTTTAGGCCCTGGGAGATTATTACCCAGTAGGATGTCCTGAAGGCACGTCTTGTGAGGTCTATCCAGATATACTGAAAGCATTGGGCAGATGTCACAGAAAGAGGAGGAGAGGTCAGAGGCCGGGCCTCCTGCTCTCCGAGGCTCAGCGCCTTCTCCCCTGGGCAGGTGTGTGGAGATCGTCCACCTCTTCCACCAAAGGGATGACACGGTGAGGGTGGACCCTGAGCTGCAGGCCTGGGATCAGGAGATCATGGAGGTGGGGCTGTGCCAGGCCCAGGACCGAGGTAAGATCTGTCCCAGAGATAGGAGCTCCTGGGAGACTCTGCCAGGGACCCTTCCCAGTGCTGCCCTTCTGGGGACAGGACCCCACCCTCTCCTCACACCTCCCTTCCTCCACACAGGAGAGCATCTGCATCCCATTCCCACCTCCCCAGACTCAGGACACTTCTAGAGACCTGAGGACTGTCCTCCTCGGAGACCCTGGCCATCAACCCTACCCCCACCCCACCCCAGTCACAGATGCCCCTGAGCTGCCATATCCTGGGGCCCAACCAGGCCAGAGCCACAGCTGTGAGGGGGTCTGCCGGTCCCTGCTGGGGCTCATGTTCTCACTTCACGTTTGTCTGCTTTTTACCTAAGGATGCAAACAGGGAGATTTTCCCTTCCAAAGCTCAGAGTGACCTACCTTGGCTTTCCCTCCCTTCCCCTCCTGCCTGCTACTGTCCAGCACACACGAAGGGCACAGACCTGCTGCACCCTCGCAGCAGTGCAAGGCCAGCTCTAGAGGCCATCTCAATACTGTATATGCTTTGGCTCCAACCTGAACTCAATGCCCTGACGCTTGGGTCAGTCCCTTCCCTAGGATCTAGCTGCTACCTTTTGTCCCCGCCCACTGCATTTTTATTTATGGAGAAGACATAGCCTTTCTTGGGCCCTTCCCAGGTTCATTTTCCTCTCTCTCGCACACATGGGCCAGCCAGGATTGTTTCAGGTCATCCTTCAGCTTCTCTCCCTTCATCCTTCAGAGCAACACCTTGAGTCCCACCCTTTGCCTGTGTGGGAAAACGCAAACACCCACTGGCCAGGCCCCGGGGACGCCCATATCAATAAATTAACCCCTGCCTTAAAGGGGAGTCTTGCCCTGGAGGACCTGGGGCTACACCACCTTACCCATCCCACCCCACCCTTTGGGCCCTTCAAGAACCAAACTTTCTCCATATATTTTTTTTTTAATTGATCATTCTTGGGTGTTTCTCGCAGAGGGGGATTTGGCAGGGTCATAGGACAATAGCGGAGGGAAGGTCAGCAGATAAACAAGTGAACAAGGGTCTCTGATTTTCCTAGGCAGAGGACCCTGCGGCCTTCCGCAGTGTTTGTGTCCCTGGGTACTTGAGATTAGGGAGTGGTGATGACTCTTAAGGAGCATGCTGCCTTCAAGCATCTGTTTAACAAAGCACATCTTGCACCGCCCTTAATCCATTTAACCCTGAGTGGACACAGCACATGTTTCGGAGAGCACCGGGTTGGGGGTAAGGTCATAGATCAACAGGATCCCAAGGCAGAAGAACTTTTCTTAGTACAGAACAAAATGGAGTCTCCTATGTCCACTTCTTTCTACACAGACACAGCAACAATCTGATTTCTCTATCTTTTCCCCACATTTCCCCCTTTTCTATTCGACAAAACCGCCATCGTCATCATGGCCCGTTCTCAATGAGCTGCTGGGTACACCTCCCAGACGGGGTGGTGGCCGGGCAGAGGGGCTCCTCACTTCCCAGAAGGGGCGGCCGGGCAGAGGCACCCCCCACCTCCCTCCCGGACGGGGCGGCTGGCCGGGCGGGGGCTGCCCCCCCCACCTCCCTCCCGGAGATTTTTTTTAATTTTATTATTTTTATTTATTTTTGGGATGAGGTCTTGCTCTGTTGCCCAGGCTAGAGTGCAGTGGTGTGATCTTGGCTCACTGCAACCTCCACCTCCTGGGTTCAAGCGATTCTTCTGCCTCAGCCTTACCTTGACCAGGCTGGTCTTGAACTCCTGACCTCGTGATCCACCCGCCTTGGCCTCCCAAAGTGCTGGGATTACAGGTGTGTGCCACCACGCCCAGCCACTTTCTCGAGTTTTCTAGGTTCTTTCTTTTAGGCAACCCATGCCCCAAAAGACCATTATTTTTCTCCTTGGCTCTCTTCTCCCCATGAAATAGCCACATTAGAGATTGTACAATACATATTTACACATAAACTTTAACCTCTCATTCCCCATTTCTCTTGCGCCATATTCAATACTCTTTTTACCTCACCATTCTGTCATCACCTGAGGAAAAGGCAATGTGCTAATTTTCTTTAAATTTAACTTTTATTTTTAAGTTCAGGGGTACCTGTGCAGGTTTGTTATATAGGTAAACTTTTGTCACAGGGGTTTGTTATATAGATGATTTTGTCACCCAGGTATTAAGCCTAGTACCCATTAGTTATTTTTCCTGATCCTCTCCCTCCTCCCATCCTCCACTTTCCCATAGGCCCCAGTGTCTGTTGTTCCCCTCTATGTGTCCATGTGTTCTTGTCATTTAGCTCCCACTTTAAGTATTTGTTTTGTTCCCACGTTAGTTTGCTAAGGATAGTGGCCTCCAGCTCCATTCATGTTCCTGCAAAGGACATGATCTTGTTCTTTTTTATGGCTGCATAGTAGTCCATGGTGTATCTGTACCACATTCTCTTTATTCAGCCTACCATTGATAGGCATTTAGGATGATTCCATGTCTTTGCTATTGTGAATAGAGCTGCAGTGAACATAGGCATGCATGTGTCTTTATGATGGAATAATTTATATTCCTTTAGGTATATACCCAGCAATGGGGTTGCTGGGTCAAATGGCATTTCTTTTGTTAGGTCTTTGAGGAATTGCTGCACTGTCTTCCACAGTGGTTGAACTGATTTACACTCCCACCAATGGTGTATAAGCTTTCTTTTTTTCTCCACAACCTTGCCACCGTCTGTTATTTTTTGACTTTTTAATAGTAGCCATTCTGACTGGTGTGAGATGGTATCTCATTGTAGTTTCGATTTGCATTTCTCTAATGATCATTGATGTTGAGCTTTTTTTCATATGATTGTTGGCTGCATGTATTGTCTTATTTTGAAAAGTGTCTGTTTGTGTCCTTTGCCCACTTTTTAATGGGGTTGCTTTTTGCTTATAAATTTAAGTTTCTTGTAGACGCCAGACATTAGATCTTTGTCAGATACATAGTTTGCAAAAATTTTCTCCCATTCTGTAGGTTGTCTCTTCACTCTATTAATAGTTTCTTTTGCTGTGCAGAGGCTCTTTAGTTTAATTAGATCCTGTTTGTCAATTTTTGCTTTTGTTGCAATTGCTTCGGTGTCTTCATCATGAAATCTTTGCCCATTCCTATGCCCAGAATGGTATTGCCTAGGTTGTCTTCCAGCATTGTTATAGTTCGGGGTTTTACGTTTAAGTCTTTAATTCGTCTTGAGTAAATTTTTGTGTATGGTGTAAGGAATAGATCTAGTTTCAATCTTCTGCATATGGCTAGCCAGTTATCCCAGCACCAGCCAAGTGGTTTTTTCATCCCCGCTATGTTCAATTCAAATTTATTTAACCATGGAACAATTATTTTATTTTTATTTTTATTTTACCGTAATATTTTACCAAACAAATACTGTCAATTGAAAGGAGCATTTAACAGAGCATGCATGTCAGATTTATTTGAGGAAATTTGAAAACAAATACGTATATACGTCTCTCAGCTTCCATTGATGGGAGTAGAAGAAGGAAGTAAATGATATCAAAGACACTTAGAAATTATCCGGTAAACCAGCAATTCCAATGAAATCTACGTAACAGTAATGGCACAGTCCTGACACATGAATCACAAACTTGCATGGGACTTCAAATGGTAGCACTTAGGTGATGATCCTTTAAATGAACAATAGCTACCTAATTTTATTATATTTTACTCAGATTTCTTTCCTTTGTGTCTATCATCTAGAAAATACAAACCAATATAAGCCACTACAATATACATATGATTAATAAGGTAGACCTTCCAGTCTATAATGGCAAGGATCAGTGTTTTGAATAGTAAAGAGCAAAGTGGCTAATATTTCTCACTTATCACTTGAAGGGGCTTGGTTCATGCGGGTTCTACAGGACTCATCTTTCTCTACATTGTTCATTTTCAACTAGGAATGAGTGTCACTTACTGAGATTTAAAATTTTTCTTTTAAGGACTAGGATGGTCCTCTTTTTGGCTAAGTGACCTTGAGCAAGCTATTTAATCTCTGAGTTCTGGTTTCCTTATCTCTAAAATGGATGTATTGCATGCCCCCCCCCACCACACACACACACATTCAGATTTTTGAGACCAAATAAATAATGAACGTGACATTGTTGAAGTGTGGGTAGTACAGTTGGCATAAGATGATTGTTATCATATGCCCCACTCTACAAAAACTACCTCCCCAATACGCATGTGGAGTAGGAGAGCCCAGGCCCTGCCACATGATGGAAGTCATTAAATTCTCTGATGCCCATCTCACATGTAAATTGAGTGGAATGGAATAGTTGATTTCCAGTTTCCTTACTGTCTTTGACATGAGTCTAGGACCTCTCTATTTCTCTACATTATAATCCAGATACCTAAAACCACTGCCTAAAACCTCCTGGGAATAGGAGGGCATGCTTCGGTATTCTTAACTACTTTGGGTGTCAGAGACAGATTTCACTGAAATAAAACAAACTTACAGAAAAGTTGTATAAATCCTAAGTGTACAACTTGATATGTTTTTCCTAAGGTTACAAACCTATATGATTAGCACTCATATCAATCAACACAGTACTAGCAGCTTTCCCAGAAGCTCCTTGTATTTTCTCCTAGTCTTTTGATCCAAAGGTAACCACTGTCCTGATTTCTAACAGCGTAGGTTACTTTTTAATTTGACATAAATGCAAATAAAAACACTCACTCACCTGTGCTTGGTTTCATTCTCTAAGCAATAGGTTTAAGATTTACCCACATTGTTGCAGATAGTTCTTCATTTTCATTTTGTGAAGTATCCCATTATATAAGTATGGCACAATTTATTATTTTTTTCTGCTATTGATGGACATTTAGGTTGTTTCCAGTTGGAGGCTAACAACGTCAGTGCAGCTATGAACATGGTTGTATGTGCATTTCTGTTGGGTATATACTTAGAAGTGGAATTGGTAGATCATAGGTTATGTGCATATACACTTTTAGTAGTTACTGACAAGTTTCCTGAAGTAGTTCCAGCAATTTCCACTTTTTCCAGAAGAATATGAGTTACAGTTGCTTCACATCCTCTCAAATACTTGGTGTTTTCTTTTCTTTTCTTTTCTTTTTTGAGATGGAGACTCACCCTGTCACCCAGGCTGGAGTGCAGTGGCATGATCTCAGCTCACTGCAACCTCCATCTTCCAGGTTCAAGCAGTTCTCCTGCCTCAGCCTCCTGAGTAGCTGGGATTACAGGCGCCTGCCACCACACCCAGCTAATTGTTTTGTATTTTTAGTAGAGATGGGGTTTCACTGTGTTGGCCAGGCTGGTTTCAAATTCCTGACCTCAAGTGATCCACCCATCTGGGCCTCCCAAAGTGCTAGGATTAAAGGGGTAAGCCACCGCGCCCAGCCATACTTGGCATTTTCTGTCGTTTTCACTTTAGCTGTTGTGGTGAATATGCTGCATTATCATGTTGTGAGTTGAACTCACATTCTCTCAATGACCAGTGGATCTGAGCACCTTTTCCTAGGCTGAGTAGCCACATGGACATCTTCTTTTGTGCAGAGCCCTTTAAAATCGTTTTGCCCATTTTCCTTTTGTCTCCTATTATTCCCTCATTTTAAACTGTTTTTTAACAGGGAACATTTGACCACCACACAGCCTCTCAGATTTCCTCATCCTTCAAAATCTACCATAATAATCATAGCTATAAGGTACTGAGGGGCTTTATATCATCATCTGATGTATAAGGTAATTAATATTATCCCCACTTTCAGAGGCAAATGTTGAGGCTCAGACAGAGTGAGCAACAGGTCCAAGGGGATGCAGCTGGGCAGCAGCAGGGCCAGGACTGTACCCAGAGCTGATGCCACAGCCTGTGCTCCGACCACAGCACTCCCTGCTTTGCAGATGATTGTCATTGAGGCTTGCTCCCTTAACGAAATTACCAGCGATCATCTCTGACTGTTCATATCTCCTTTTGCTGCTTTATTTCTATTCTTATCCCTAACATACTATGCGTAACTTTAATTTTTAATGATTCTATATATGCTCTTTCTTCTCTATTAGAATCTAAATTCTGAGAGGGCGGGGATTTTTGTTACTTTTGTATACCCACGTATTCCCAATGCCTAGAGAGTGCCTGGTACATAGCAGTTGTATACTTTTTGAATAAATGAATAAACACTCATTAATTCTAAGGCTTGGGTGTCCCAGGACATGAGGATTTATTTTTATATCCCCTCTGGGGCTGCAGACTGTAAACTTGGCTCATTCTTCTCCTAGGTTTCCCTGTCTCCTTCCAGTCTCGAGCTCAGCTCTGCCGTTTCCTCGCCATGTGAATCTTCACATGCACCCCCCACCATGCAGCCATCAACCAGGGCCAGCCGTGGATAAACAAAAGCCTGCATCTGTCAGGGCAGGTGTCTGGACTGGGGGTTCTTGAAAGAGACAGCCGGGGGCTAGTGTCCACACATCAAGGTTCAGGGTGAATTCAGGTTCCTCTTCTAGCTTGACTGGTATGCCTGGATCCCTAATGGCCCGTGCTCAGTGAGGATGCCCTCACCCACCACCAAACAAGATGCGACAAGGCCCACAGTGATGAGGTCACTCCCTGATGTCTGGCAATCCTATGTTCAAATAAGCATCATGTGGCTTCTGAGCTGGCGGCAGGTGGACGTGGTGAGAGGGGACCTCTGAGACTACAGAGGAGATATCAGGGTGCGGGGATGGATTCCGGGTCCCTGTGTCTTGGAACTAGGAGCTCATTCATCCTCTTTTCTGCCCCAGGTACCCCCTTGAGCATCAGAAAGTATATGTCTCAGGCCCTGAGCCCAAAGCTGTGCTGAGACAATTTCAAACAGATCTGGACAACCTGGAAAGGGAAATTGTGGCCCGAAATGAGAAACTAGACCTTCCCTATGACTATCTGAAGCCCAGCTACATAGAGAACATATCACTATCTGAGATCAAATATTCTGGTCCTCAAAGACCTTAGGCCATCATTACTATGAACATTTTCCTCCTGAATCTTGTCTTTTCTTAGCTCTCAGTTGCTGTGTTTTTCTTTCCTCCTCTGATTTTTCTACCTGAGTATCTCATTAGCCTGAGGCACTGTACTTACCTTCAGGGACCCTATGAGAACGATCTGCACATTGCAATCACATTCCTTAGAGAAATCACCCATATACTCCTGTAGCTTTCCCTTGGCCCTGGAAATTTACCTACTCCATTCATCATAGAATGTTTAGGAGTGATTATCTATATGGCACGCTATAGAGGTGCAATTTCATTTCTTTCTATCTGGATAATCAGTTATGCCAGCACAGTTCATAGAAAAACTCATTCTTTCCCACTAATCTGCAATGCTGACATTAATCAAATTCCTGTATACAAATGTTACTACTGGAACTGTCCGTTCTGCTACATTCATCAGTTTTTCCTTCCCTGCATCACAGTGATGTAAGTACTATGGGTTTATACCTAACACAGCCTACTATTTGATAAGACATACTCATCCAATTTGTTCTTTCCAGGTGCTCTGGCTTTTCTTAAACATATAAATATTACAATTATTTTGTTAAGTTTCAGAAATAACGGATGATGTGATTTTGATTGGAATCACATTGTATGTATAGAAATTTTAATACAAAATTTTTGCATTACAAAAATGTCAACTTCAGCCAAGTTTGCATTTTTGAGATATATCCAAGTGGGTCCTTTTATGTATTGTGATTCCATTTGTTTTTTGTTTGTTTGTTTGTTTGCCTGTATTGCATCTGGGTTCCTGGGTAAGATTGGCCTATGAAGGGTTATAGACTTGTAGAGAGGCAATATCAGGAACTCTGCTAAAATGAGTTCATTAAAATAATAGTGAAGAACAAAATACAGAATTCTGTCACTAGAGACTCAAATGCATTTGCTGAAATCATGTACAGTTGGGCCTCCACATCCCTGGATTCAACCTATCATGGATGGAAAAGATTTTTTAAAATAATGGTTGCATCTGTACTGAACACATAAGACCATTTTTTCTTGTCATTGGTCCCTAACAGTGCAGTTTAACAATTCCTGGCATGCCTTGTTTTATTGTGCTGTGATCTCTTGTGCTTTCCAGATATTAAAAACACAGTTTGCAAATTGATAGTGTGGCAACCCTGCCTCGAGGAAGTTCTTCAATGCCATTTTTTCCAACAGCATGTGCTCTGTGCCTCTGAGTCACATTTTGGATATTTTTACAATGTTTCAGACATTTTCGTTGTAGTTCTATCTGTTATGGTGATCTGTGATTGATGACCTTTGATGTTACAGTTGTCACTGCTTTGGAGCTCCATGAACTGTGCCCATCTAAGATGGCAAACTTCATTGATAAATGTTGTGTGTCTGATTGCTCCTCCAACCAGCCATTCCCCCATCTCTCCTATTTTCCTTGGCCCTCTCTCTTCCCTGAGACACAACAATATTGAAATCTGGTCACTTAATAACCTTGCAGTGGCCACTCAGTGTTCAAGTGAAAGGAAGAGTTGCACATACCTCACTTTAAATCAAAAGCTAGAAATGACTAAGGATAGTGAGGAAGGCATGTCTATAGCCGAGATAGGCCAAAAGTTGGGCCCCTTGTACCAGGTCGCTAAGTTGTGAATGTAAAGGAAAAGCTCTTGAAGGAAATTACAAATGCTACCCTAGTGAACCCATAAATGACAAAAAAGTGAAACAACCTTATTGCTAATAATGGAGGATGTTTGAGTGGACGTTTGAGTGTTCTAGATAGAAGATTAACCAATCCACAACACTTCCTTAAGCCAAAGCCTAATCCAGAGCAAGACCCTAACTCTATTCAATTCTATGAAGACGGAGAGAGGTGAGGAAGCTTCAGAAGAAAAGTCTAAAGCTAGCAGAGGTTGGTTCATGGGGTTTAAGGAAAGAAGCTGTCTCCATAACGTAAAAGTGCAAGGTGAAGCAGCAAGTGCTGCCGCAGAAGCTGCTGCAACTTATCCAGAAGATCTAGCTAGGATCACTGATGAAGGTGGCGCTACACTAAGCAAGAGATTTTTATGTAAACCAAACAGCCTTCTACTGGGAGAAGCTGCCATCTAGGATTCCCACAGCTGGATAGGAGAAGTCAAGGCCTGGCTTCAGAGCTTCAAAGAACAAGCTGACCCTCGTTTCAGGAGTGCACGCAGCTGGTGACTACAGTTGGAATCTGGTGCTCACTTACCATTCCAAAACTACCAGGGCCCTTAGGAATGAAGCTGAATCTACTCTGCCTGTGCTGTTTGAGTGCAACAACAAAGCCTGGATGACAGCACTTCTGTTAACAGCATGGTTTGCAGAATAGTTTAAACTCACTGTTGGGACCCACTGCTTGGAAAATGTAGATATACCTTTCAAAATATCCTGCTCATTGATAATCCACCTGGTTACGCAAGAAGTCTGATAAAGGTACACAAGGAGGCTGATACTGCCATAGATAGTGATTTCTCTGATGGATCTGAGCAAAGTAAATTGAAATCTTCTGGAAAGAAGACAACATTCTAGATGGCATTCATATCATTCAGGATTGGTAGGAAGAGGTCAAAATATCAACATTAACAGTAGTTTGGAAGAAGTTGATTCCAGCTCTCATGGATGACAAGGGATTCAAGACATCAGTGGAAGAAGCAACTGCAGATGTGAGGAAATAGCAAGAGAACTAGAATTAGAGGTGGAGCCTGAAGATGTGACTGTATTGCTGCAATCTCATGAGAAAACTGGAACTTATGAGGAGTTGCCTCTTACAGATAAGCAAAGAAAGTGGTTTCTTGAGATAGAAACTAGTTGTGGTGAAGACGCTGTGAACGCTATCCAAATGATAACCATAGATTTAGAATATTACATGAACTTAGTTGATAAAGCAGTGGCAGGGTTTGGGAGGATTGACTCCACTTTTGAAAGATGTTCTACTGTAGGAAAAATGCTATCAAATAGCTTCACATGCTACAGGGAAATCTTTCTTCAAGGGAAGAGTCAATGGATGCAGCAGACTTCATTGTTGTTTTAAGAAATTGCCACAGCACACACCCACCTTCAGCAGTCATCATTCTGACCCGTCAACAGCCATAAACATTGAGGCAAGTCCCTCTACCAACAAAAAGATGACAACTCGCTGAAAAAATTTTTAGTGTTTTTAGCAATATTGTTTTAAATTCCAGCTTTTATTTAAGATATAGGGGGGTACGGGTGTAGGATTGTTACATGGGTATGTTGGATCCGGGTAGTGAGCCTAGTACCCAGTAGATAGTTTTTCATCCTGTACCCTCCCCCTTCCAATAGTCTGCACTGTCCAATTTTCCCATGTATTTGACCACATGTGCTCAGTGTTTAGCTCCCACTCTCCCACTTGAGAACATGTGGTATTTAGTATTACGTTCTTGTCTTAATTCACTTAGGATTACGGCCTCCAGCTGCATCCATGTTGCTGCAAAGGACATGACTTCATTCTTTTCTGTGGTGGTGTAGTATTCCATAGTATACGTGCCACATTTTTCTTATCTACTCAATCATTGACAGACACCTAGGTTGGTTCCATGTCTTCCCTATAGTGAATAGTTTGGCGATGAACATATGAGTGCATGCATCTTTTTGGAATAATGATCTATATTCCTTTGGTTATATACCCAGTAATAGTACTTCTGGGTGAAATGTTAGCTCTGTTTTAAGTTCTTTGAGAAAACTCCAAACTGCTTTCCACAGTGGCTGAACTAATTTACATTCCCACCAACAGTGTGTAAGCATTGCCTTTGCTCCATGGTTTCACCAGTGCCTGTTGTTTTTTGGCTTTTTAATAGTAGCCATTCTGTCTAGTGTGAAATGGGATCTCATGTGGTTTTGATTTGCATTTGTCTAATGATTAGTGATGATGGGCATTTTTTCATATGCTTGTTGTCCACTTGTATGTCTTCTTTAGAGAAGTGTCTTTTCATGTCTTTTGCCCATTTTGTAGTGGGGTTATTTGGGGTTTTTATTGCTTGCTGATTTGTTCAAGTTTTTTATAGATTTGGATATTAGGCCTTTGTTGGGTGCCTAGCTTGTGAATATTTTCTCCCATGGTGTAGGCTGTCTGTTTACTCTGTTGATGGTTTCTTTTGCTGTGCAGAAACTCTTTATTATAAAGTGTATAAAATTTATAATCAATAAATGTACATTTGCCGATTCAATAAGTCAATCACATTTATTGATTTACAACATAATTTACTTAGGTCCCACTTGTCACTTTTTATTTTTGTTGCAATTGCTTTTGGAGACGTAGCCAAAAATTCTTTGGCAAGGCTGATGTAGAGAAGGATATTTCCTAGGTTTTCTTCTAGGATTTTTATAGTTTGAGGTCTTATATTTAAATCCATGGTAGGATAGCACCTCCCTGTCCCTTTGAAGTGAACCATGTTACCTGCTGTGAGCAGTGAAGTGGAGCAGAAGTCACAGGTGCCATTTCTGGGCAGAAGCTTTGAAGGGACCATGGTGAGCCACCCCATCATTTCTTCTGCCTAAGCAGTTTTGGGGGCACAGAAGTCGGGTGTTATGGGCTGAATTGTGTCCCCCACCCCCAAGTTGATACGTTGAAGTCCTAACCCCAAGTGCCTCAGAATGGGATTGTGTTTGGAGATGGGACCTTTAAAGGTGTAATTAAGGGGAAACGAGGTCATATGGGTGAGCCCTCATCCAATCTGTCTGGTGTCCTTATAAGGAGAGGAGATGAGGACACAGACACAGACCGAAGACCACATGGAGACACAGACAAGAGGGTGGCCACTTATAAGCCAAGGAGCCAGGCCTTAGAAGAAACCGATTCTGCTGATACCTTAGTCTTGGACTTCTGGGACCCCGAACTGTGAGAAACAATATTTCTGTTATTTAAGACCTCCATCTGTGGTATATTCTTACCGTAGCCCTAGCAAACTCGTATTGATTTTTGATACCAGGAAGTGGAATGCTGCTCTAAAAAATACGCAAAAATGTGCAAGTGGATAATGAGTAGAGGCTGGAAGAGTTTGGAGGTGCATGCTGCAAAGGCCTAGATGGTCTTTTTTATATGTTTAATTTCTGGTCAAAAATATTTTAGTTGTTTTATAGAGTTCTGGGAAAATAATTACCTAAGGAAAAGAAATAGCATTGCTTATAGGCGGGTTTGAATATTAGCCCTGTAGCTTTGCTGAGAAATTGAGAAATTCTTCTTGGTTAGAGTCCTGAATTACATTAAATGGAGGGATAGGGTTAAGGTGTTTATTTTGTGTTTTTTGCTTTCAGCTTGGTGTTTTTGGTTGTTGTTGTTGCCCCAAGTGAGTCCAAAACCCAACCGGGAAAAGAACATTAAATCTTAAAACTTGAGAACCTTCTTTGACTCCATGGCCCATGTTCCAGATATACTAGGATGTGGTTGGGCGGCCCAGGGCTTCAGGTGGCTCTTCCCCCATGGCTTTGCTGGGTGCAGCCCAGGCAGCAGCTCTCACATGTTGGAGTTTGATGCCTGAGGCTCTCCCAGGGTGGACTTGCACACTGCTGGCTCTACCATCCTGGAATCTTGGGGATAGCCTCTTCCCCACGGCTCTGCTGGGCATTGCCCTAGTGGGAACGTTCTGTGGTGTCCCTGCCCCTGTGGCAGTTTTCTGCCTGACCCCAAGGCTGTCTGGGACATACTTTGAAATGCAGGTGGAGGCAGCCATATCCCACAGCTATTGCACTCTGCACACCTGCAGAATGAGCACCACGTGGATGCTCCAAAGAGTTTTCTGCCTGTGTCCTCTGGAGGGGTGATAGCATGTCCCCCACTCCACCAGGGCCCATTGAGCAACACTTGGAGCAGCCAAGGAGCACCACAGCACAGTGTGGGAACCAGCGACTTCAGGGAGTGCTGGGCAGCAAGCCCCAAGGTCCTCAGGGGTCCTCAGGGCGCCCCAGGGCCTTTCTTGGAAACCGTACTGCCGTCAGTGCCCTGGCACCATGGGCCTGTGACGAGAGTGCGGCCTGAGTGATCCACACAATGCCTTCAGGGTCGCTCTTCCATTGTCCTGGTGAGGAGCACAGCCCTGATCCACGCAGGCCTCCTGACCCACACCCTCGTGTTCGCTCCCAAACACACTTTCTTATCTGTTCAAAACGGGCAGGCTGAGAAGGCTAAAAGTTTCCCAAATCTTTAAGTTCTGCTTCCCTTTTGATTATAAGTTCTGTCTCTAAATCATTCCTCTTTTTCTTTCATTTTCCTATAAACGTTCAAGACAATCAAGCCGCTCCTTCAATACTTTGCTGAGATATTTCTTCTGCCAAATTTCAGTTACATCACTCACAAGTTCTGCCTTCCACCAAACACTAGTGCTTTGCCACTTTATGGCAAGCGTCACTCACCTTTCCTCCAGTTTCCATTTACCTCTTCTTGATTTCCATCTGAGACTTCATCAGAATGACCTTTCCTTTCCATATTCTTTTTTTTTTGTTTGTTTTTTAGAGACTGGGAGCCACCGACATGCCAGGAGACAGGCCTGGAACAGAACCTTCCTGCACAGCCTCAGAAGAAACCCACCCTGCTGACACTTTGATCTTGGACTCATGGCCTCCAGTACTGTGAGACAGTAAGATTCTGTTGTTGAAGGTGCCCAGTCTGTGGTACTGTAAAACAGCCCTAGGAAACTAACATAGCCTATTAGCCTACAGGGTGAAGAGATGGAATTCGCAATGGACCTCCAGGCTTACTGTCTACAGCTCCCAAAGTGTGCTGTCGGACCCTTGGGTGTGTGTAGGTATGCAAGATAATTTTGGGTGGTGCAGAGTGAATAATGTCAACTTACATAATGGATTTATCTTACTGGATAAATCACGGGTTCCCTCCTGTTTGGAACCAGGCTGCACAGCAGGAGGTGAGCAGCCAGCCAGTGAGCAAAGCTTCATCTGTAGAAACAGCCGCTCCCCATCCCTTGCATTACCACATGAGCTGTGTCTCCTGTCAGATGAGTGGTGCCATTAGATTCTCATAGGAGCATGAACCCTACTGTGAACTGCGCATGCCAGGGATCTAGGTTGTGTGCTCCTTATGAAATCTAATGCCTGATGATCTGTCACTGTCTCCCATCACCCCCAGATGGGACCATCTAGTTGCAGGAAAACAAGCTCAGTGTTCCTACTTATTCTACATTATGGTGAATGGTATAATTATTTCATTATATATTACAGTGAAATAATAATAGAAATAAAGTGCACAATAAATGTAATGGGCTTGAATCATCTCCGCATCATCCTTTCCCCTTCTCCCGGGTCCGTGGAAAAGTCTTCCATGAAACTGGTCTCTGGGACCAAAAAGGTTGGGGACCACCGGTATAAATGCTTCTAAGAATAGTTAAGCAAATTAAGGTTTACATGCTGCTAAAAATATGGGTTTCAATGCTAAGAAAAATGGATGCACGTGAAAACACTCTCTTGCTGTGGTCCAGGGAATCTAAACCATTCTAACAGAGAAACGTGCAGCTTGGAGCTGGAGCTGCCCTCCGACATCCTGTCCACCTCATATCCCTGCACCACACACGCATGCACACATGCAAGCAGACATGTACACATGCATACGTGCATGCACATGAACGCACACACACGCACACATGCACATAAATACACGTGCATATACCTGCACACACACACACTCACACACACACACACACTCTCACTGTGCTTCATGCCCTAAGGTGGCCTGGGAGGGAATGCGTGTTTTTAAGGGGAATGAAGATGACTCAGGCCCCTCGTTCTCCTGGCGTTTGCACCAGTGTCTTCTCTGCAGACCATGCTTCAGTCTCTTTCTTGGCTCTCTCTCTTAGTGAAAGCAAGAAGCAGAGCCCCTGCGTGTACCTGGCTGCTTAGGGTGCAAGCCAAGTTCACAAGCTTCCCGGGGAGCCTGGTGAGAAGAAGGCACTGCAGAGCCTCCCCAAAAGAGGCGTCAACTTTTGGTGGATCCTTGAGCCTGGGAAAATGATAGACGGGACATCACAGTTCATCAGAAGACACAAACAAAATCCACTCAGGAAGAGCAGCAGTCAAAGGTTTTATTCTCTCGGAGAAGGTTCTCGGGGGCTGTAAGCAGCAGGCAGAAGACTTTATTGCATGTGTGGTTAGGTGATGGCAACCTCCAGTTTTCACTGGGAACTGGGATCAAGAGTGACCCGACCTCCTCCGCAGCCCCTAGGGATGAGTCAGCTGCCTCTTCTGCATGCTGACAAACCTTGGCTCTCATTTATGCCCCACCGCAAGCCAGCCACACCCCTGCCTCACCAGCATAACCACCTCCTCCTGACTTTAGCCCTGACAGCACTGCTTCCTGGTAACCTTCCCCCTCCCACCATGGTCCAGGCAAGCCTAAATGCCAGCGCCCTCCACCCACCCTTCCTGGGTGCCACTCTACTGTCTGCTTACCCAGATGTCTTAACCTGGCTTTACCAAGATGGAACAGACAACAGGGATGAGCCCCCAGCCTCTCCCAGGAAGGTTTGGCAAAATGCTCTCCATTTAGAAGCAGGGGCAGTGACGCGGCCTAGGGATGACCCCAGGCTTGTCACCCAAGCAGTAAGAAGGGCAAGGAGCCCAGTTTCATGCCCTTACCCTGGGAGGATGTGGCCAGGGCTCCACAAGTCCCTCGGGGGTAGGGGGAGTGCACAGGAGAGCAGATCCACCCTCCTTTTGAGGAAGTAGCCACCACTCCCAGGAAGCAGCAGATGGGGTGCACTGGCAGAGACCCTGCGTGCTGTAGAGCAGGGCCAGCAGATTTGCACTCAGCCTCAGCCCCAGGGGAGCTGCAAGACAGACTGAGACCCTCACAGGTTTGGCTCTGTGTCCCCACTCAAATCTCATCTGGAATTGTAATCCTCCTGTGTCAAGGGAGGAACCTGGTGGGAGGGGATTGGATTTGGGGACAGTTTCCTCCCGTGCTGCTCCCCTGATAGTGAGTGAATTCTCAGGAAAGCTGATGGTTTTAAAGTGTGGCACTTCCTTGTTCTCCACTTACTCCCTCCTGCCACCTTGTGAAGAAGATGCCTGCTTCCCCTTCACCTTCCGCCATGATTGTAAGTTTCCTGAACTGCGAGTCAGTTAAGCCTCTTTCCTTTATAAATTATCCAGTCTCAGGTATTTCTTTATAGCAATGTGAAAACAAACTAACACAGACCCCTTCCCTGAAGTGCCTTCTCCTTAGGCCACCAGCTGCCCCCATGCTCCTCCTCTGCCCCCTGGTCTTTCTTTTCCCCTCATGAGGCCCAAGTGATCCACAAGGCCAGCTTCACCTCCATCCTACTGCAGGCCTGTGCAGCTGCTGGAGAGGCCGGGCTCCTTTCCTCACCCCAGAGTGTATACGCTGCAGGCAGGCATGTTGACGCCTCAGGCAGTGGATACTGACTCTGGGCCCTGCTGACCCGGGCAAGGCCCCATTGTGATGCGTGCCATGACCTCAGAATGTCACTGGTGCTTAGCACCTGCTGCTCCCCGGCTTGCCTCTGTGTTCTACAGCAGCTACACACAGACAGTGGTATCTGTGAGTGGCTCTGTGGACTCAAAGGTTTTCTCCCTGAGAGGCATGACCCAGGCCAGCTGATTCTTCAGAATCAGGTGAGTGTGACCTGCTCTCTTCCCTGCAGGCTGACTTGGGGACAGTGGCTACGGGGTGGGCGATGTTGGCCTCTGGGCACCTGCTGAGGAGGGTCATCCCTGAGCACTCACCGGGTGCCCGTTCTACACTGCCCGTGTAGACAATTGTCTCTTTCGTCCTCATGGTGCCTCCATAGGGTAGGTGCTGTTCCCAAATGTACCCATTTGACAACTGAGACGTCTGGGGTCAGAGAAGTGGTAATCAACCCGGGAATCCCGACATGACCCTGGGTTTTGCTCTCAGCCCTGCCCTGTGCTGGGCTGGACTTAAGGCCTGAACCCTGTGGTCTCCCTGCCCTAGATCCCAAATCTGTCGAGGGTTTCCGATCCCGATGGGGCAGAGCCTGGCCCTGGCAGAGCCACTGGGATGGATCCACTGTGGGTGGGGTGGAGGGGAGGGTCCTAAGAACACATCTGTGTCCTAAGCTGGGTCCTGATGGTCCCTGTGGGACCAACTGAACACACATGGTCCCTTGTCCGGGAGTGGCATGGGGAGCCTTCTGCCTTTGGGCAGCTGTGGAAAATGAAGGAGCCCTGGAGAGCTGGCTGGAGGGAGGCTATCTTCCATCCTGTTCAACGGGGTCCAGGAACTGGGGTTGTCCCCAGGTATTTCTTTGTCTGGTCCTATCCAGGCCTTGCCCTCCTTTTGCTCCAAGTGTTCCCAGGAGGGACGATCCATCTAGGTGTTCCCCAGGACCAAAGACCCACTGTTCTTCCTCCGTGACCCAGGAAAATGAAGCCCCCTCCTGTATGGATAGCTCAGAATGGTGGAGTCCACAGTCCCTCCCCGAGAGATGTGGTTTCTATGAGTACAGAGGCTGCGTTGGACACAGTAGCTTATTTTCATTCCTTAAACCTGTTGTTCCTAAAGTGGCTTCACTGGTGAGACTGAAGGGCCATGGTAGCCCAAGTGATGAGCAGAGTAGAACCGAGCACTCAGGAGAGACCTTGTTCCCCGTAGGAAACTGAGCATCTCTGTGGTCCCGAGCATCCCAGAGACCTCTGGTCCCTGTCCCCAGTCTGCCTCCATATCCCTGGAATAGCCCATCATGGGCCCTTCACCCTTGGCAGGTGGACACCATTGAAACTGCCGGGGCAGGTGTATGCCCATTTCATGGCATTTGGGGACAATGGGACTCTCTGTCCAGGTCCCACTGTCCTCAAGTCCTTGGGAAGATGCACACCCCTGCTGGAGACTCCAGAGACCCATGCAGGTGTGGGCCACTGGGTCTAGCCCCTTTTCACCTGAGGGCGGTGGTGGAATGGGGGGTTACGCAGCCAGGCAGCATCTGGGAGCCGGGCAGGAGCAGTTCAGGTGTTCTCCGAAGCTCTCAGGTACAGTGTAACCTTTAGATGTTTTTGTCTCACAGGATGGACCTGATAGAGGACGCGGATACTTTGGAGGAGTGAGAGGACATCACTATGAAGTATGAGAAGGTACAGATCCATCTACTCCTTGGAGGGAGGCCTCTTCCAGTGCACCCTGGTCAAATGGTCCTGGGCTCCCTAGGAGCACAGTGCAGGGTGGCCACTACCCCCAGGCCCTTTCAGCCTTTACCTTGGACCCCTCACCAAGGCTCCCTCTGGGTTACAGGGACACTGAGCTGCACTGCCAGAGGACATGGGGCCTGTGCCTGTTGGAATCTACGGAAACATTGATCGCTTTGGGATTCTGCAGTGAGTCCTCTGTGCTCCTCTCAGCCCCTAAATCACCTGTCTCAGCTCATGGATGGGTTTGCTTTTAGAAAGGCCTTTCTGACGCAGGACATGTCTCCCCAGGTTGAGCCAACCTCCTTTCCAGGGTCAGAACTCCTCCCTGGCTCCCCTGCAGGTCCAGCCTGAGGTTGTTGTTAGGCCAGAGGTGTGGGGCCCATCTAGGGAGTGGGTGGGAATGGAGAGGGGGCTAGGTCAGGCCCCTGGGCTCTCAGCAGTTCTGTCGGCAAGTGAGCACAAAAGGAGCGGGGCAGCCTGAGGGTCTGGCCCTGTCTACCAGGAGACAACCCCAGTGAGATCCAAGGGTTGTGGCCACAGGGTGAGGAGACACCTGGCCCAGCCTCAGGGATGTTGTCCAGCAGGTCTCTGGGGGCCCAACTGCCCCTGTTCTCCCCCACTTCCCTAGAGCTACAGCCCTCACTGTCCCCATGGGGAAGGGGGAAAGGCATGAGGACCATAGGGGCTGTGGCCTTAGGGGAATGGGGGAGAAGATGGGCAGGGCCAAGTTCTGGGCATCTCACAAAGAGGCCAGGGAGGCAGCAGAGCTTGCAGCTAATGACCCTGGGTCTGGTGCTGGGAAGGGATCTGGGGCCAGGTAAGAGGAGCCTAGGGCCAGGTGTAGTCGCTCACGCCTGTAATCCCAGCACTTTGGGAGTCCGAGGCAGGCAGATCACAAGGTCAGGAGATCGAGAGCATCCTGGCTAACATGGTGAAACCCTGTCTTTACTAAAAATACAAAAAATTAGCTGGGTGTGGTGGCGCATGCCTGTAATCCCAGCTACTCAGGAGGATGAGGCAGGGGAATGACATGAACCCTGGAGGCGGAGCTTGCAGTGAGCCAAGATCACGCCACAGCACTCCAGCCTGGATGACAGAGGGAGACACCGTCACAAAAAAAAAAAAAAAAAAAAAAAAAGGAGCCCAGCCTGGAGCCCATCCCTCAGGGATCATAGGATGGAGAGACGGAGGACCTCGGGGGAGGTAGGGTGGGAGGAAGCTTATGAGCCATGCCACTTCTGAAATGCAAGGCGTGTGGCTCAGGTGCAGGGAGAGGCAGGTGGATGCTGGGAGGTCATACCCTGCGAGGGCCTTGGGAATGTCGGGTGGGATGGGCCCCTGGCGCACCCTGGGTGCACTGGGCAGGTCTCAGGGCAGGCTCCCTAGACCCTGGCGGGTCCACATCATGTGGTCACTCCCTGAGGGACTCCTGTCAGGGCCCGGTCACCCACCCTGGGCAGCCCCCATCCCATCTCAGGGCTGACCTTTCTCAGCTCCAGCAGAAAGCACCACCTCGAGTCCAGGATGGGCAGCCCCATTGTGCAGCCTGACCACCCCCGACACCAGGGGCCCCAGTAACCTTGGCCACGCTGGCTCTGCACTCCCTCTTCTCCCAGGTCCTGACCCCTCCTGGGAGTCAGCCCCACAGGAAGGCCTTTGTCCTCCTTTCCCTGTGCCTTCTCCTGGGCTGAGACCTGAGCTGGATGGGACAGAGCCAGTCCTTTCTGGAGGTCGACTCCCTGACCCGGATGGCTCCAGGCCCTGTGCAGGTCCTCAGCTCTGCCTGGGTTGCCTTACAGTGAGAAGAGGCTGCCCCCTGTCAGCTCCCGGGAGGCAGAGGTAAGAGCCTGGTCCAGGGACGGGGGGACGTGGCGGGTTGTTGATGAGCAGAGGAGGCAGTGGGCCTGGGCGGTGGCCAGTGAGGATAACACGCTGTCACTGGGAGGGGTAGCAATCCCTGCTGGACCTGACCTCAGGTTGCTGTATCTCTGGCAGTTTGATGAAATTCCAAAGTGAGAACCACAGTCCTGGCTTGGGGATGGCTGCCCACTTGTGTTAGGACCCCACCTAGAGGCTGGGCTCTGACCTACGACTGGTGTGTCTGTGGCCTGAGGATGGCACGTCCCAGGGTCCCAAGGCCAGCCCACTGGTGCTCATTCGCTCAAAGGCTCTCAGCCCTTAGGGTCTGCCCTTCCCTGGCTTTTTCTAGCTGGGTCCCACCAGGGCTCCAGAGCCCAAGACCCAGCATCCAGGGACGGCTCCGGGAAGCCTGGTAGCTCCGCTAACTCCAACATTCCTCATTTGACAGCAAATGCAGCAGGAGATGAGACGCAAGAGCAAGTGGATGGCAATGCTGGGAAAATGGGAGACATATCAGAACAGCAAAAAGGTCATGTGTGGAGGGAGAGGCCCCCAGAATCACTTTCTGCAGAAACAGGGCACAGGCACCCATGGCTATGACCTGGCAGCGTAAGCCTCTCAGAGGGCAGGTGGCACACTGTCCTCACCTAGAGGACCGCAGGCCTGGTTGCCAGCTTTGCTGCCTGTTCATGCAAGCGTCACCTTGCTGAGAGAGAATCTATATCTAGGGCTGGGGCCACCGGGAGCTCAGGGCTAGGGAAGCCTCCTGGTGACCTGAAGGAAGGAAAAGGTCCAGATCAGAGTTCAGACTTTGAGTGTCCATCCCCTCTTTCAGTCCTGGGAAGGGAGACCCTGTCCCAGCTTGACATCACCTCTCCTGACGAATCATGGGGCCAAAATCAAAGATTTCCAGAATCCTCGGGCTCTGGTTCTCGCTGGGGTTGTCGCGGGGCCTGTGACACCAGATCGTTTTCTGCCCACAGCTGATGAAGCGAGTGTATAAGGGCATTCCCATGAACGTCCGGGCCGAGGTGTGGTCAGTCCTCCTGAACATTCAGGAAATCAAGGCGAAAAACCCCAGACAATACCGGGTATGCTCAGCCACAGCACAACAAACAGGCCAGGCCGTGTCAGCGGCCCAGGTCTCCAGCTGGAGGGAACGTCAAGCCCCGCTTTGGAGGGTGGGTGGGATGGTCAGATGCACATCCTGAGCACGGACAGTGACACAGGCACCACAGGTGAGCTCGGCTCTGGTGACCCTCCCTGGCTTCCGAAACAAGCCAAAAAGCAGCTTTCTGCAGAAAGAAACCTTCCTTCTTTCCTTCCTTCCCGAAGTGCTGACTGTGGGCTGACTGCCATTTGGGGCAGGGAGTCTTCCATCTGTTCTGAGGCTGTTTCCTCCTCTTGGCCCTGCCCTACAGGTCATGAAGGAGAAGGGCAAGAGGTCATCTGAGCACATCCACCAGATCGACCTGGCTGTGAGCCAGACACTAAGGAACCACATGTTCTTCAGGGATCGATATGGAACCAAGTAAGCCTATGGGAGCCACAGGGTCCCAGCGGAGATGGGGTGAATGAGAGGGATGGGGATTTCCCCGGAGCAGAAGCCAGGGTCACCCAGGAGGGATGACAGAGCTGCCAAGAGCTCTCCTGGTCCAGGGAGCAGGCGGCACCATGGACTGAGCACCTCCCAGGTTCCAAGCCCTGGGCCAGACTGGAACATGGGGGGCCAGAACCCAAGAGGATCCTGAGGAGACAGACGGCAGCAAACAAAATCATGCACAATGGTGAAAGGTGCTCTCCCTGACCCATGGGGACCCATGGTAGGACCCTCGGGAGGGTGGCAGGTTGGAGGGCCCGTAAGCCTCCCCAGGCAACACTGATAGTACCAAAAGCTGGGGAGATTCAGGGACCTGGAAACTGTCATCCAGGTCTGCTGGGAACGTGACATGGCACAGCCACTTTGGCAGCCAGTTGGGCAGTGGCTCACAAAGTTCAATGGACTTGAACCACGCGTCCCCAAAGTGTCACAGATATTGAACCCACTGATTTGAAAACTGACGTCCACATGAAACCTGCAGGCCAGGTTCACTGCTTGATTCCTCGTCACTCACACACGGAGCCTTCGGGGATGGCCTTCAACACGGGAATGGGGAGAACAAGGCTGGTCCTCCCTTCAAACGGAAGACCCAGTGAGAAAAGGGAACGAGCCAGTGATGCCCGCATGAACGTGGGTGGATCCTAGGTGCATTTTGCTAAGGGAAAGAAGCCAGACCCAATAAGCTACCAAAGTAGGATTCCCATTCTTAGGCCATTGTGGAAAAGGCCAAACCATAGGGACTGAGAAGCAGTCTGGGTGGCCAGGGGCTGACGGATCGGGGAGAGGCTGGGTGCATAGGGGCCACCCTGGAGACTTGGAGGATGAAGGAGTCGCTCCAGGAGGGGCTGGAGTGGTAGCCGGGAGACTCTGCACATTGGTTTAGAACCATGGAGGACCTGTACACCCAAAGACTGAATTGGCGTGTGTGCAAACTGAAAAAAAAAAGATCATTCAGAGTGAAAAGGATCAGGCAAGTCACTGTACAACTGGGCTATTTGCATGTCACAGATGTGGATTTTACTGAAACATTTCTTCAACAGTCAAAGTCCCTGAAGAGCTCACTGCTTATCTGGTGAATCATCTGAACCTGAAATGGGATTTGTTGTTAGGGTTTGTAGACAAAGTGAAACTAACAGCATCTGCACAACACAAACCAAAGCCCCCTTTCTCTGTTTCCCAGGCAGCAGGAACTATTCTACATCCTCCTGGCATATTCGAAGTATAACCCAGTGAGTATTCCTGGCAGTGAGGTTCCCAGGCCGTATTTCCATATTCACAGGAGTGGGTGTCTGGTGGGAGTGTCGTTGCTTCTTTTAAAGTTAGTATTTGTGACCCACCAGGATATAGGAGGTAGGATTCCAGCTCACCGCTGGCATAAACCTCCAGCAAGGGGGTGGTCTCAAGGGGTCAAGCTGAGACACAGAGGAGTCAGGGCCTGGACTCCTGGTGTCACCTGGGCCTGACCACCACTTATCGGAACAAGCCCCTCCTCCTGGGGCTGCCCCAAAGCCCGGGAGCTTGGCAGCATCACACACAGAATGGTGCTATCAGGAGACATTTTGGACAAGGTGCTGAAGTGCCCGATGGATATGGCTCTTGTCATGAAATGAATTTGCATCCTGAGGAAGTCTCTTCTTCAGAGGAAGCCTTCCCAGTCACCTCTGCCCTCTCCGATGACATGAGTCCTCCCAGGTGACCTCAGCCCTCCCAAGTGACTTACTTCCACGGTGACTCTGGCTGTTGCAGGTGGTGGGCTACTGCAGGGACCTGAGCCACATCGCTGCCTTGTTCCTCCTTTATCTGCCTGAGGAGGACACATTCTGGGCACTGGTGCAGCTGCTGGCCAGTGAGAGGCACTCCTGCAGGGTAGGTGAACAGCTGCCCCTGGGGCTTCACGCAGCCAGACCCGGGGATGGCCACCCTGGCCAGGTGATCTCGGCTTTCAGCCAAGGCACCTTCCTTGTGTCGCCAGCTTGTTGGGAGCCTTTAGGACGTCTCTGCTGACGGTCCCAAAGGAACCCGGAACTGACCCCCCAGAGCCCAAGTCAGACGCCTTTCATCCCCATCAGCAGAAGGCATCTCATCCTCCCCGTGGCTGCCCTCTGTGTCCTGGAGCCACGCCCTCCGGCTCTGATTCTGTGCAGCTGGCTCTCCGCAACCTGAGAGTCCTCCTGCCCTTCAGTTGCTCAGGCTCCAGCTGCCCTTGGTACCCACGAAAGGGTACCAAGCCCAGATGGCAGCATCTCCCCATCCCGTGTCCCTTGGCCCAGCCCCACTTCCAGGAGACGACCACAAAGCCCAGCACCCACCCTGTTCTGGCCGCCCCCTGTCGTGGCCTCAAAGTCAGGCTTGCCCTCCCGGCACCCTGGCCCAGGAGGCCTCCAGGGGCACCTCCAGCCAGGCTCCAGGGGATGTTCCCACCCCTCCTCCCCAGGGCCAAGGCCACATGGTGGGGTCACCAGATGGGAGGGTGGGAGGCCTCGGGGTCTGGGGGGCTCTGCAGCTGCCCAGCTCTTCCAGCTGATGGCTCCACATCTTGGGGGAAGGCTCTGATTTCATGACGGGCTGGGGGCTTCTCAGGATTCCACAGCCCAAATGGCGGGACAGTTCAGGGGCTCCAAGACCATCAGGAGCATGTGGTACCCACATCACAACCCAAGACCATGGGGCATCTGGTGAGTTTATGGTCCCCTCGGCTCTTCCCCAGAGGCCCTGCATCCTGGGGGGCTGGAGGAACAGCGGGGGCTGCAGCCCCTCATGGGGCTGGTGACAGGCTGAGTCCCAGCCAGGGCCTGACCTGGGATGTCGGGTTCCCCATGGGCTGGGAGTTGGGTTTCCTTTCCAGCCCTGGAGGAGACAGAGGCACAGGGATGGGGGCCCTGCTCCCACAGAGAAGGGCTAAGGGCAGTGTGTCCACCGGGAGTGCCGGAAGGGGAAGATGTTGCGGGGAGCCTGGGACACTGCCCAGTGTTCTGCACTCGGGGAAGGGTCTTCAGAGGGCCCTGGAAGAGGGAGGTTTTTAGGGCAGCCCATGGGGCCCTGAGCACCTCTGTTCCTCCCATCAGGACAAGGAAGGTCTATGCACACAGGGTTCCTCATTCAGCTGGCTTCTCCGGGTGCTGAATGATGGGGTAAGGAGGCACAGGGAGACCCTGGCTCAGGGACCCTCCTTGCCCTGCAGTGCCCTGCTTCCCCAGCCAGGGGGTCCAGCTCACCCCAGTCCACAGGAGGCTCAGGCAGATCCCCAAAGGACACACAAGCAAGACCCTCTGCCCAAGAGGGCTCATCCCAGTGCAGAGGACAGGGCTCAGGACCAGCCTCATGGACAGACTGGGCCAGGACCCAACTAGGGAGGGCTCAGGGGAGCCTCAAGCCCTGGGCAAGCCCCTCTCTGCACTGAAATGAGTGCCCCCCCATAAGGAGCTGCAAGACCTTGTCTGACCCAGCCTCCTGGAGGGGTCGGGTGACCCTCATGGGGAAGGTCAGTGAAGCCCCAATGGGCTAGCTCGAGCCACCAGCCCCAGCCTGGAAGGGCCAGGTCCTCCCATGCCTACTTTCCCCACAGATCTCTCTCGGGCTCACCCCGTGCCTGTGGGATATGTATTTGCTGGAAGGGGAACAGATGTTGATGCTGATAACAAGCATTGCCTTTAAGGTTCAAAGGAGTAAGTCCACGTGTGCCCAGTGGGGCCTGGGGAGCACTGGGGTCAGACCCCGACTAGCCTAAGGGCAGCTTCCTCACACTGTCCTCATGATCCTGTTCTGGCCAAGGGGGAGGTCTGGCCAGGTGGGCTGGGCAGGGCACAGTGACACCGAGCCCATCCCTCACATGACCCAGATGAAAGTCAGGAGTGTGGTGAGCACTTCCCTGCCCAGGCCCCCCCAACCAGCCACAGCCTTCTGTGCACATCTGGACCCCTGGGGTGGCCACAAAAGGATCTGGCACTGCCCAGTGGGAGACTGAAGTGGTCACAGGGTGTGGGCTCTGACCCTTCCCAGGGAACTCTCCTGGCCTGATGCCCACCTTGTCCCTAGAGCGCCACATGAAGATGTCCAGGTCTGGCCTGTGGGCACGTTTTCAAAACCAGTTCTTCCATACCTGGGCCCTGGATGATGACACTGTTCTTTTTTTTTTTTTTTTTTTAATACTTGAAGTTCTAGGGTACATGTGCACAACGTGCAGGTTTGTTACATATGTATACATGTGCCATGTTGGTGTGCTGCACCCATTAACTCGTCATTTACATTAGGTATATCTCCTAATGCTATCCCTCCCCCCTCCCCCCACCCCATGACAGGCCCTGGTGTGTGATGTTCCCCTTCCTGTGTCCAAGTGTTCTCATTGTTCAATTCCCACCTATGAGTGAGAACAGGCAGTGTTTGCTTTTTGGTCCTTGCAATAGTTTGCTGAGAATGATGGTTTCCAGCTTCAGCCATGTCCCTACAAAGGACATGAACTCATCCTTTTTTATGGCTGTATATGTGCCACATTTTTATGGCTGTATATGTGCCACATTTTCTTAATCCAGTATATCATTGATGGACATTTGGGTTGGTTCCAAGACTTTGCTATTGTGAATAGTGCCACAATAAACATATGTGTGCATGTGTCTTTATAGCAGCGTGATTTATAATCCTTTGGGTATATACCCAGTAATGGGATGTCTGGGTCAAATGGTATTTCTAGTTCTAGATCCTTGAAGAATCGCCACACTGTCTTCCACAATGGTTGAACTAGTTTACAGTCCCACCAACAGTGTAAAAGTGTTCCTATTTCTCCACATCCTCTCCAGCACCTGTTGTTTCCTGACTTTTTAATGATCGCCATCCTAACTGGTGTGAGATGGTATCTCATTGTGGTTTTGATTTGCATTTCTCTGATGGGCAGTGATGATGAGCATATTTTCATGTGTCTTTTGGCTGCATAAATGTCTTCTTTTGAGAAGTGTCCATATCCTTCACCCACTTGTTGATGGGGTTGTTTTTTTCTTGTAAATTTGTTTGAGTTCTTTGTAGATTCTGGATATTAGCCCTTTGTCAGATGAGTAGATTGCAAAAATTTTCTCCCATTCTGTAGGTTGCCTGTTCACTCTGATGGTAGTTTATTTTGCTGTGCAGAAGCTCTTTAATTTAATGAGATCCTATTTGTCAATTTTGGCTTTTGTTGCCATTGCTTTTGGTGTTTTAGACATGAAGTCCTTGCCCATGCCTATGTCCTGAATGGTAATGCCTAGGTTTTCTTCTAGGGTTTTTATGGTTTTAGGTCTAACATGTAAGTCTTTAATCCATCTTGAATTAATTTTTGTATAAGGTGTAAGGAAGGGGTCCAGTTTCAGCTTTCTACATATGGCTAGCCAGTTTTCCCAGCACCATTTTTTAAATAGGGAATCCTTTCCCCATTTCTTGTTTTTGTCAAGTTTGTCAAAGATCAGATGGTTGTAGATGTGTGGTATTATTTCTGAGGGCTCCGTTCTGTTCCATTGGTCTATATCTCTGTTTTGGTACCAGTACCATGCTGTTTTTGTTACTATAGCCTTGCAGTACAGTTTGAAGTCAGGTAGCATGATGCTTCCAGCTTTGTTCTTTTGGCTTAGGATTGTCTTGGCAATGCGGGCCCTTTTTTGGTTCCATATGAACTTTAAAGTAGTTTTTTCCAATTCTGTGAAGAAAGTCATTGGTAGCTTGATGGGGATGGCATCGAATCTATAAATTACCTTGGGCAGTATGGCCATTTCCACAATATTGTTTCTTCCTATCAATGAGCATGGAATGTTCTTCCATTTGTCAGTGGATGACACTGTTCTTAATCATCTTCAGGCCTCTATGAAGAAACTAACAAGGAAACATGGGGACCTGCCACCCCCAGGTGGGCTCCAGTACCAGGTCCCTTCCTGAGTCACCTTCTGGGGCAGTCAATACTAGGGGAGTGCCCAGGAACCCCATCCCTACTACCTGGGTCTTCCTCTTCAGCTTCTCTTCTTCCTCTTCCTCCTGGACTCTAAGAAAGTACAGGAGGCCCACCATTCCTCAGGGCAGGCGCTCAGTGCGTGTGTACTGGACGTGCTGTGCATGCAGGAGGGGGATGTGGGCAAGACCCTCCAACAAGCCCCCTCCCACTTCCCACGGTAGCCTGTTCTCCCCCTCACAGGGCCCTCAAGGGCACTGGAAGAGCCAGACCCATTTGTGAGAGCCTCCACTCCTCCCTGCAAGCGCTGACAGCCTCAGAGAGCAGCAGAGGCCCCTCACTCCTGCAGACTCCTCCAAGGGTGCCAGGACAACAAGCCTTGAGCCGGGGAGACAAGGGAATCAGTGTCTCATTATCTCTACCATCTCTACCATCTCGGAGAGGGAGATGTGGCAGGATAATAGGGTAATAGTGGGGTGAGGGTCAGCAGGAAAACATGAACAAATGTCTCTGTGTCATAAACAAGGTTAAGGAAAAGGTGCTGTGCTTTGATGTGCACATATATAAACATCTCGGTGCATTAAAGAGCAGTATTGCCTCCAGCATGTCTCACCTCCAGCCCTAAGGCAGTTTTCTCCTATCTCAGTAGATGGAATATACAATCGGGTTTTACACCGAAACATTCCATTGCCCAGGGACAAGCAGGAGACAGATGCCTTCCTCTTATCTCAACTGCAAAGAGGCATTCCTTCCTCTTTTACTAATCCTCCTCAGCACAGACCCTTTACGGGTGTTGGGCTGGGGGACGGTCAGGTCTCTCCCTTCCCATGAGGCCATATTTCAGACTATCACTTGGGGGAGAAACCTTGGACAATTCCTGGCTTTTCTAGGCAGAGGTCCTTGTGGCCTTCCACAGTGTTTTGTGTCCCTGGGTACTTGAGATTAGGGAGTGGTGATGACTTTTAAGAAGCATGCTGCCTTCAAGCATTTGCTCAACAAAGCACATGCTGCATAGCCCTAAATCCATTAAACCTTGAGTGAACACAGCACATGTTTCTGTGAGCACAGGGTTAGGGGTAGGGTTACAGATTAACAGCATCTCAAGGCAGAAGAATTTTTCTTAGTACAGAACAAAATGGAGTCTCTTACGTCTACTTCTTTCTACATAGACACAGTAATAGTCTGATCTCTCTTTTTTTCCCCACCGCCACCGCCACCCCAAAGAGGGGCAAAGGGGACCCCGGAATCTTGGACAAAAACCTCAGTGTTCAGGTGTCAGGGTGGGCCTGGAGTTCCGGTCCAACCACAGACCCATCACCCTCAGAACTGAAAATGGTCTTCAAGGTCACCAAAGGCTATCAATACCCCAACCGGAGAGGGCAAAAGCCTTATCCAGGTTAAGCAGCACAAAAGTGAGAGAGCAGAGACTCGAGCCAGCTCTAACTCCCAAGCCAGGATTCACACCAACTCTCGAAGTGGAGTCTCTGAGAACTCTTCACTCTCTGCCCCCATCGTGTGTGCGTGCACACACACCCCTTTCTCATTGGCTCACTGCCCCCCGCCAAGTTCCCCATTCCAGGAGATGTCTGGGCGGGATTATACACAAGCCCAGCACTGCAGAACTGAGGATATGCATGGGCTGAGAAGCTGCAGGAAGTTGCTGACCAACGCACCAAACTGCTCAGCCAACACCACAGATCACGCACCTGCTGTGTGCACAGCTCTCGGGGGCTGGGGGTGAAGAGGGAGATGATGACACAGCCTCAGACCTTATAAGAACTTATCATTTGACCCTGGAGGGAAAACTAATGCTGGAAAATACAGAACCTGGCTAGAAAGCCTGGGGTGCTGGGCTTGCCTGCCACGCCCACATCACAGGAGGCAGCTGGGGTAGGCATTACCCCGCTGAGCCTCAGCGGGGGCTGCCCTCAGGGGGCTGCCCTCCTGGCCTTGATCCCTGAAAGGGTCCTAGCAGAGAGAGGCACCAGCAGGGCCTCAGAGGATCTGAGTTGACAGAGGAGGAGGAGGCATTTCCTCTGCACCAGTGATGCACACCTGCCCCAAGGTGGCCAAGATCCAGGACCAATAAGCCTGGCGAGCACAGAGAAGCCCGGTGGGCATCCTCCAGGCAGAGGATTCCTCCCTGCACCCTGCCTCCTTCCTCCCTCCTTCATCCTGCCCATGTCAAGCATGAGGCATGAGATCATGGCATACCTGAGGCAGCTGGGAAACACCATTGGCCAATGCCACATCTTGGCTTGCAGTGACTCTCCAACCAGACAGATCATCAGAGTCCCAAAGAAGATTCGCAGCCCTGCTCCAACTCCCGCATCAGCACCGCTCAGGATAAGCCTGCTGGTGGGGCTGTTTTACAAGCTCCCCAGCCAACTCAGGCTGGGAAGGCAAGAGGCAGCTTAGGGGGGCTGAGGAGGGGGGCAGAGAAGCTGAGGGGAGAGAGGGGGCTTCTGCAGGGCCCCCAGCTCCGGGTGGACAAGCCAGAGCCACAGGCTTCAGGGCAGGAGGAAGGAAAAGTAGAGCCCCACTGAGCCAGGACAAAGCAGCCTGGAATCGGGGCAAGCAGGGGCAAAACCTTGGGCAGGACATTCAGCCTCTCTGAGCCTCAGTTTCCTTCTCTGGGAAATGGGAATAACAGCCCTGCCTCACAGGCAAATTAGGGGATTAGAGGCCAAATAAATAAAGCACCTGGCAAAGGCTGGTGGCTAGCGTTATGTTTATGAGCAGGTGTTTATAAAGCACCTACTATGTGCCTGGCATTGTGCTGGGCACTCAGACTCAAAGAAGACAGAGAAGCCCTGGAGACATAGTCTTCTGAGGGGAGAAGCTGGTAAAGACAATCCCAATACACTAGTATCAGGCCACGATGGGGTACTGGGGTCCTGCAGAGAAACAGAGGGAGCAGAGTCCCTGGGGGAGAACGAATGTCCAGGCCCAGGCTCTGCCCCTGTGACAGCTCCCGGGATCTGGGGAAATCTGTGAGTGCCAGGCCACCTTCGGGGGTCCTCTCACCTCCTGCATGTTTGATACCCCCTTCTGAAGGTGGGGCTGTCATAGCCCTTCACAATCCAACCACAGATCTTCAGCTTCTGCCTTGATGACGGGGTGAAACATTCTGTGCGGTGGGCAGGGTGGGTGTGGACGAACTGTGAGTCCCTCCATGAGTCCCATAGCTGGCTCCCCAGTCCAGCCCAGGCACATGTCCTCAGCAGCCTGGGCCCACTTGGGGTGCCTATTCTGCACAAACAAGGGGCCCAGACTCCTGTGTGAGTCTCGGGAAACCCCCAAGAGGGGCTCCCATTGCCCCCACCCCAGGAATGTGAGCAGGAAGCTGGTGCCTCCAGGGAAGGCTGTCAACCCCAGGGGGGTGTGGGAGAAAGAGTGGGCCTCTCTCAGGGATGTTTCTTCAAATGGTCACTACAGCTCAGGGTGAGGACGGGACTCTGTCAAGCTCAGTTATCCCCTCGGCTCTGTGCATGGGGGGAGACCTGCCTGGCTCTGCTCCCTCTGTTCCCCTCATTTCCCCAAAACCTGGGTTGCCACAAGAGACCCACACTGCATAAGGGCTGAGGGACTGTTGTCACTCCTTCAGGTCCCCATGGGGCAGGCACTGTCTCACGGAGTCAGGACTGCTGTCTCCTCCTTCCCCTGGACTCAGTACAAACCAGACACAGAGCGATGTCATGCCATAGATGAGTGTCCCCCACCACATCCGTCTCCCTACAAGACATGCTGCCAGGTCAACCCCTGCAAGGGGGGTCTGGAGGCAGCTACCACTGGCATGGGCCTGGCCTGAGAGTCCTATGTGTGTGTCCATCACATGAGACCAGGTGTGGCAGCTCCATAGGGCAACCACATATCCGCAGCTTCTGCCTTGATGACAGGAGTTGAAACATTCTGTGCAGTGGGCAGGGAGTGTGTGGACGAACTGTGAGTCCCTCCTTGAGTCCCATAGCTGGGTCCCCAATCCAGCCCAGGCACACGTCCCCAGCATCCTGGGCCCACTTGGGGTCCTTGGACAAAGTCACTCAAGTCTCCCCACCACCCCTGGCAACCACTGCCTCTGGCACCTCGACATCACACTGCACACACATCCCTCCTGTCCCTGCCACCGCCTCCCTCCATCCCATCCCTCTGCCGGTGGCCCTGTGTGAGTCTTGCCTCCCCAGATGGGTTATTTGATTCTGACCCAGTGTGTCCTGCCAGGGAGGAGCCATGTAGACTCCATGAAATCCGTCTCCATTTCTCTGCAGTCTCCAGGACATAGATTTGCTCCCATCTCCCCCATCAGACTGGGATCACCAAGACAAAAACCAGGCCCCTATCTCCTCCATTAGACTACAAACCCTGGGGCTAGGATCATGTCTTCTCCATCAGACTGGAATTTGGAGGACAAGGACCATGTCCCTATCTCCCATCAGGCTAGAGTCCCCAGAGACAGGACTGCTTTTGCTCATCCGAAAGCTGTCAAGAACAAAGATCATGAGACCATGTTCCTGTCTTCCCATCAGATGACAATCTCCAGAGCTGGGACCTGTCTCCATCAGACTAGGATCTCCAAGGTAAGGACCAGTTCCCTGGCCCACCCCCATCAGACCAGACAGCGTCTCTCTCATTTGATCTTTTCCTGAGTATCAATCCTCAGTGCTAATGGGTCACTTCTCCCACCCCTGCTGAGGGACAGCCATCACCTCCTGGAGCTCCTGAGGACCCTGCCCCAGCAATGTGCAGGTGGGCTGCCTGTCCCATGCACCCAATCCCCAGGGCCTCAGCCACGAAGATGCTTATGTTCTTTCTTGTACTGAGTCAGGCTGAAAGAAAAAAAATAAAAACAGAGAGGAAATTAGATGTGAGTCTGAGAGCCCCACCCCTGCCAAGAGGTCCGCAGCCCTGACCCCAGGCTCCCTCACTCACTGGGCATCCTCGCCCTCTAGCAGGCGGTGGTAGGTGGCGATCTCCTGCTCCAGCCGCGTCTTCACGTCCAGCAGGATCTTGTACTGCTGGTTCTGCTGCTCCGTCTCGCAGCGAAGCTGGGCCAGCTGCTCCTCCACACTGCCGATCAGCCCCTGGATCTGGGACAGCTGCATGCAGTAGCGGCTCTCTGTCTCCGCCAGGTTGCCCTCCAGGGATGCTTTCTGTAGGACGGCAGGAAGACCAGGGGTCAGTGAGGGTTGTCAGTGTCCTCTTCGGGGCCCACCCCCATGCACAGGGCTGTTCCTACCATGCTGAGCTGGGACTGCAGCTCGATCTCCAAGGCCTGCATGGTGCGCCAGAGCTCCGAAATCTTGCTCTTGCCGCTCTGGACCAGTTCGCTGTTGGTAGCCACCTCGCGTTTCAGTTCCTCTGTCTGCAGACAGGACACAGGACAGGGTGGTGTGAGCCTGGATCCCTCTCCCAAGTCAGGCCTCCTCCCAAATCTAACTATGGAGAGAGTGGTGCCTTCTCACCAGCTTCCCACATCCCAAAGCCCAGAAATTTGAAATGTTAGCTTTCTATGGTTAATCCCTGCGTGTGGGAGGCACAGACCGGAAACTTGAGAACCAGCCAGAACATGTAGCCTGGCTCTTGCTGCTAGTTCCTGACTTCTTGAGAGAGAGGTGGCGACTCCCAAGGTCTTTACCCTCTGCCTTTATTCTGTGGGGGCTCCCTACCTCCCCACCCACCCCCCAGATCCCAGCTTGAGCTCAGCTCCAGGTCTGTTGATGCAGCGTGTGACCCTGTGGTCCACGCAGCTTGCTGAGGAGTGGGCACCTCCAAGACACCTGGCTGTGGCCTTACTGTCAGTGCTAAGGCCCCTGAGCCCCAGCCCCGAAGAGAGACCTCTGGCCTGCAGCAGCCCCCACCTTGCTGAAGAACCAATCCTTGGCATCCTTGCGGTTCTTCTCTGCCATCTTCTCGTACTACTCATGCATCTCGTTCAGGATGCGGCTCAGGTCCATGCCTGGGGCAGCGTCCATCTCCACATTGATCTCACCGCCCACCTGGCCTCGCAGGGCGTTTATCTCCTATGGAAAAAGGGGATGTGGATGTACGCATCTGGACCCATCCTGACCTCTCACTCCCAAGCCTTCCCCTACGAGGGGACCCCACTCCCCACAAGGACCCCTCCTTTGTTCTCCCTCTGCTCTGTCTGACCCTCTAAATGATTTTTATTCATCTGCTCAGTATTGCCTCCACCATCAGACTCTATCTCCCCCATTAGACCAAGGGCTCTCCAAAATAAAATCTAATTATTAGGCCTATGCCCCAAACATTTCCCCTCTAATTTCCAAGCTTCTATGTAGATGTTCAGCTTTGAGAGTTTGAAATGGGACAAGAAGGAGACTTCTTTACTTATCCCCCGCCCTCATGAGGGAGGCCAGGGCAGGTAGAGGGAGCCTCTGCGGGCCCCTGGGAGGTTCCTTGGGTACTGAGAAGCAGTGTGGTACAAAGAGGAGTCTGCCCTGCACGCTAGACCCCAAGGATCAGGGCTCTGCAGACAGGGAAGCCCTCTAAGGTGACTAATCCCAGTGCGCCTGCTCTGCTCTGCTCTCTCCCATGGCCTCAGCCATGGCCCGGCCCCAGGGCTCTGCCACCCACTCCTCAGCATCTTTGACCTTCTGCCCCAGCCACCTCACCTCCTCGTGGTTCTTCTTCAGGTAGGCCAGCTCCTCCTTGAGGTTCTCAATCTGCATCTCCAGGTCGGCTCTGGCCAAGGTCAGCCCATCCAGCACCCTGCGCAGGCCATTGATGGCGGCCTCCACACTCAGGCGCAGGGCCTGCTCTGTCTCAAACCTGCCGTGGGAATCAGGGACTTCAGCCCAGGCTGCTCGGACCTGCAGGTCCAGGTCCTGGCTGCTCCCCTGCCTTCATTTTGCCAGGACTCTAAGGGGTTGGAAGGGCTGATGAGAGGGTCGAGTGGAAATGAATTCCAGCCCCGGGGCCCCGGGACCATCACAGGGCCAGATCCCACGCCCACCAGCTTCCTTACTTCTCTCTGCCTCCCGCCTCCCCTCCCTCTCTTCTATTCCCTGCCTGAGCCCAGCAACCTTCAGAACTGGCTGCCTTCACTGCATCCTGGACTAAGGGGTGGGGCTCCTGGGACTGCCCCACCCTGAGCTCCTGGGCCTTGCCACAAGCAACCAAGGAGTCCTGGGGTCAGGAGGGGTAGGTACCCTGAGATCCTCCCCCAGCTGGCCCAGGCTGCCCAAGCCCACAGCTAGGACTCACTTGGTGCAGAAGTCAGCAGCAGCCAGATGGGCATTGTCAATCTGTAGCAGGATGTTGGCATTGTTCAAGGTGGCTGTGAGGATCTGAGGAGATGGGAGAGTTGTCAGGTCACTGGATGGGGGTGGCTGAGCCCACACCAGGGTTCTGAACAGATCTTCCTGCCTGGGGGCCTCTCTTCCTGCCCAGCACCTCCCCTGCCACCCAGCCCCTCCCTTGCCCCGTGCTGTATTATTGGCAGAGGAGGGGCAAGCAGGAGTCTGAAGGGCTGAAAGGTGCCTCTTCTTCCCCTGCTACTCAGTACCCCACCAGACCCCGATGCCAGGCTCAGCCTTAAAGGAGAAGAGACAGCTAGCTGGCTGGGAGTATGAGGCAACCAGAAAAGAAAGGGAAAATGTCCCCAGGGCAGAAGCTGTCCCAGAATTCTAGAACAAGGGAGGGGATGTGGGCAACCCCTTCGCTTTACAGTCATCTAGGGGGTACCCCTGACAGGCTCCCCCAAAAGGAGGCTAAAGGAGCCCTCACCAAAGAGTGGTTCCAAATCACAAGTCAGGACCCCTCCTAATCCCTAACCCTGGGCGCCAGCCAGCAGCCCCGCCCCCTGCGGTTTTAAGGGACAGCAGGAGGAAAGGAGAAGCCAGAAAAATCCCCAAATAAGGCACATCAGAGGCCTTCCCCACCCTGAGGTCCTGCCCCCTCCTTTCTGCCTCCCCCCGCAGCAGGTGCTATTGGGAGCTCACTCAGACACCCCCACTCCACATCTCCCAAAACCCCCTCCTGCTGACCCCTGCTCCAAAGGAGCAAGACACCATGCATCCAGCGGCCCACGGGCCCAGCCCTCCATCTGCATCCTCCCGCCTCATCCTACAACCTCTCCAGGTGGAAGAGCTCCACCAGGGAGAAACTGAGGCTCCAAGGGGCTCCACGAGGCCTGTTTGTTCCTGACTCAGCCTGCTGCCCCCAGAAAAGGGGCATGTGGGCCACACAGGGGCCCCAAGGCAGGTTTCCAGAACCTAAGCCACAGCCAAACCACCCTTGGCTCCCTGAGACCCTATGGCTGGACTCCATGCCTTTGGCCAGGGCAGGAGTTGGGGGGAAGAAGTCATGCCCCCCGGAGACCCCTCCCACCAGCAGACCCTACCTTGTTCTGCAGCTCCTCGATTGTCCTGTAGTACTGGCTGTAGTCACGGGCGGGCCCCGGGGCCTGCCTCTGGTACCAGTCACGGATCTTCACCTCCAGCTCAGTGTTGGCCTCCTCCAGGGCGCGCATCTTGTCCAGGTAGGAGGCCAGGCGGTCATTGAGGTTCTGCATGGTGGCCTTCTCACCTCCGGCCAGCAGCCCATCAACGCCCCCAAAGCTGCTGCCATAGCCACCGCCAGAGCCAAAGCAGTAGCAGCTGGAATAGCTGCTACCCCGGAGGGCACTGCCCAGGCCACCAGCAGATCCCAGCCTGCAGGAGCCGGCACCCAGGCCGCCAGACAGCCGGCAGGAGGTGCGGGATGAGCCACTCCCAGGCCGGAGGAGCCCTTGATGGAGCTGGAGGAGGTGAACTGGTGGATGGTGGTGGTCATGGTGGCGGCGGCAGGAGGCAGGCACACAGGAGAAGGGCTGGGGAGGAGAGGGGCCCCAAGTTGTGTAGGGCTGTGGGGGTTCACACGCTTCCCTGGGCTTTCATCACCATGGGCCACCTGCTAGCTCCCAGGTGGCTGGGGACCCCCTCCCCACCCATCATCAGGAATTTGCCTCATTTCTCCAAATCCTCATGCTGGGTGCCGTGCGTGTGCATGTGCGTGCCACTGCTCTCAGGCCTGTCACCTGTGATTCGGGCGGGCCCTCCAGCTATGCTTTCCCATGACCCAATACAGAGAAGAGGAGAAGGCAGGACTTCACCGTCCCCAGGCCTTCCCAGGCAGCCACCACCCCAGCCCAGCCTGCCTCAACCCTGTCTGGTGGGGAAATGGGTTGCAGTGTCAGGTGACCCCCTTGAAGTTGCTGTCTTTCACCCAACACTGCTCCACCTATGGTGCTGGCCCGGGGCTGGGTGCTGAAGAGAAAGAGGGGACCAAGAGCCTATCCTGCCTTGGAAACTGAGCCCAAACCCACCAGGCCCACCTCACAGCACAGAAATGCCATCAAGCCTTGGAGACCAACCCACATCGCACATAAAGAAACTGGGGCTCCAGAGGGGTGCAGTGTCCACACTGGCCCCTTCTGCAGAGCCTGACACCCAGGAATGCACTCTAGGGGCTACAGTTCCATCCAGTCAGCTTCTGTCCCTGCCCCATCCCTAGAAGCCCTTGCTAACCCAGTCTCCTCGTGTAAACCTTTCCCCAGGTTTACACTCCAGGCTGGGGTGGGCAAAGAGGGGCTCAGCTATAGGATGGGGAAATGGTGGGCTGTGCTAAGAGAGGATCTAAACCAAGGATGCCCCCTTCCACTCCTCTCACCCTTCTGTACCCCAAGAGACCTCAGGGTCAGGTGAGGGGCATTTATCTCAGGTCTCAGCCCACAGGAAACCTAAAGGACATTGCCCAAGAAGAAGCTCTTACAGAGACCCCAGCCAGTCCCCTCCCCACTCCAGGCTCCCCAAGATGTGGCTCCTCAGGTGGGCCATGTGCCCCACCCCACAGCCCCATCCTGCCCTGCCCACCACCCCAAGGCCGGCCCTGGGTCCCAGGGTCCCACCAGGCCCGCTGGGTGGAAGGTGGTCATGTTTCAGACTGCCGATGGCTTCCACTTCCCAGACAGGCCCAGATAGCCCCACCAGCAGCCGAGAGAGATTCCTCAACAGCCCAGTGGCTGCCAAGCCACCAAAGCAAACAGGACACCCCCCATGCATACACGCACAGCGGCCACCCCGCCTCACACACACCCTGAGCTGGGCAGAGCCGGTCTGGTTTCCCAGGCTGCCTGCGTCGCTCTCACCCCCTCTCACTCATCAATGCCCTGGACCACTCCTTCAGAAGCCCCTCCCCACGGAGCCCCTCTCCTTCTGCTCTTGAACCTGCCCTGGGCTGAGGCAGGGAGTGCTCCCCAAAAGGCATGGTGACGGGGACTCGGGGCTGATTCTTAGAAACTTTTCCCAATACAAGGGGCTGTCCCATCCCTCCACCCTTAATCCTTTCGCCTCCTCCCTTCACGTCTTTCCAGGAGCCCCCGGCCTGGATGGAGTGGGCAGAATAGATTGGCAGGTGACAAGCTGATACCCAAACACTCAATAAACTATCCACCTCCCCCAGTCCCTCAGCCCACACTGCCCCAAACCAATGAACAGACCAGATCACACGAGGCATTGAACTTGGAGCAAAGCTTTAATAGCAGGCACTGGACAAACCCAGGAGGCCTCCTCAGTGAGGGGCTGCAGAAAGTAGATACAGAAAGACAACAGGTCATGAACCGGGGCCCAGATGGACACTCGGGGCATGGCAGTAGCATGCTGGCAGCTGGAGCTGATGGCTGTGCCATGGCCCTTGAGGTGGGGCTGTCACAGGCAGAAAGGGGCCTCAGTGGGGGGAGAGGTGGACCTGCTCACAGAAGGAGACCACCTCTCCAACCTGGACTTCCTCCGTGATGGCACACCTGGTGGCTGGTCACTGTGGCTGCAGGCGATGGAGGAGGGAGGCACAGGGAACGTCAGGCAGGAGCTCTTCCCCCTACCTGCCCCCGAGTCTGTGGTCCCCCCAGTCTCCCACACAGAAGGGCCCTCAGCCTCTCCCCTCCCTTGGGGTCCACACAGCAGGAGAGGGCAACTTCTTACCTTCCCGGGTGGGCTGCGAGGCCAGGGACAAGGAATACTGAGTGGCCAGCCTGCAGGGAGAGGAGCACCCATCAGCCCAGGGATGCCAGCCAGCCCAGGCTCCTGCAAGCGCTGCTGGCATGAAGCAGGACCTGGCAGAGGAGGTTCCCCCAAATTGGTGAAAAATCACAGTTGGGAATGCACAGAAATTAGCACAGGCCCAAGAATGAAAGGGCAGGGGTTCAGCGCAGCAGGAAGAAGAAAAAGAAACAGCACAGCAGTAGGCCTGGAGGCACTCACCAGGAATTTACAAGGAGAAGCTGAGCAAGTGGTTTTTCCATATCCCAGAGGGCCCAACAAATAGACCCAATTAAAGCAGGAGAGACTGTCGTTAGACTATAGATGGACTTCACCATTTTCGGGGAGCAAAAAGCTGCAACGTGTGACTAAGCATGGAGACTCCAGGAAACTGTCAGCTGAAGGCCTGATCACCCTTCCCACCTGCAAACCCGACCACCACCCACCTTGCTCTTCACCCTGTGGCTGATGGTATCACCACTCACACAGTCGTCGGAACCAGAAACCCAGGGCCATCAATGCCCACTCCTTCATATGTGTTCACCCGACACTTACTGAGTCCTGACTGTGAGCCACGCTTACCCTGAGATCCAGGCATCCAGTCCTGCTGTTTTGAGCTATAACCTCTCTTCTGCGTGCACCACCTTCCTTCCCCTGCTGCCCCACCCCCCCTCCACCCCGCAGGACTTCTCTGGCCAGACTCCCTACTCCAGCCCCCTGACGCATCTCTCTGGCCCCACCCTGACCCCTCTGATCCATTTCTCCCTCTGCAGCCAGAGTGAATGTTCTAAAATATCTTGATGTTCATTCCCCTCTTCAGCTCCAAATCCCTCCATGGCTCCCCATTGCCTACGTGATCTAGTCCAGACGCTTTAACTTGGCATTCAAGGCTCCTCAGTCAGACTCCAGCCTGCATGGTCAGTTTCACCTCCTGCAAACCCCCACAGGTTCCCACATTCACACCTCCTGAACTTCGCTGGTGCTCAGACACCAACTTCTCCCTGGGTGAAGCGGGTCCCCAGGCCGCCCCAGCAGGTACCCGGGTGCACACTCACTGGGCGTCCTCAACCCCCAGCAAGCGGCGGTAGGTGTCAATTAGTTCAACTTCTATGGAAAAAGTAGGGAGGTATCTCAAAGAACTAAAAGTACAACTACCTTTCGACCCAGCAATCCCACTACTGGGTATCTACCCAAAGGGAAAGAAATCATTATATAAAAAGGCACTGCACTCCCATGTTTATCGCAGCATAACTTACAACAGCAAGGTCATGGAACCAAGGTAAGTATCCACCAGCGGTTCATTAAATAAAGAAAATGTGGTACATATACACCACAAAGTACTAGGCAGTCATAAAAAAGAACAAAATCAAGTCCTTTGCAGCAACACAGATGCAGCTGAAGGTCATTATCCTAAGCGAATTAATGCAGAAACAGCCAAATATTGCATGTTCTCATGTATTAAGTGAGAACAATGGGTACACATGGACATGAAGATGGAGAGAATACACTCTGGGGACTCAAAATTTGGGGGGGAAAGTTGAAAACGTACCTACTGGGTACAACCTCCAATATTTGGGTGATGGGTATGCTAGAAGCTCAACCCCCCCATTGTGCATGTGATATACATATAACAAACAAGCACGTGTACCTTCTGAATCTAAAATAAAATAGAAAAAGAAAAAAGCCAAAGAAAAACATCCCGGTAATCCAGGGAGCAGCGGCTACTGCCTCCACTGCTCACTGCAGCCCGCAGGTTCCACGCCGGCAGCTCCTGCCTGCGGGGCAGTGGAGCTGCGGAGAATGGTGGGATGGGTCTAGGTGCCAGGGCCAGAGCCCAGGAGGGGCACTGAGTAGGGGCCTGGCCGGCCTCTCCCTTGCACCGGAGCAGGGGTGCCTGGTGAAACGGACAATCTGATGCTCTCTGGGCCCTGCCCATGTTCCCCTTCCATCCACCCTCCTTTGCATCTTTCTGTGCCTGGGGTCCCCATAGGAAGCGGTCACATCCAGACTCACCAGGCCTGAGATGCTGGAGGATGGAGAAGCGCTTGCCACGGGAAAAATCCTCCAGGAACACATGAACAAAACTTCGCCTGCACCTGGGACATCCTTCTCTACGGCTGGCCTATGAGGCAAGTGTTCTGCACACGCTCCTTGGCTAACTCCAATGCAGAGGAGCACATGAGCCCAACCTCCACGGCAGGTGCAGATCTTTGCCTCCCTTTTATAATGTCTGTATTCAAATGACATACCCTGGAAGCCTCTTTCTGATAGGATGAGAGCAGACTCTGTACTACAACACAGATTGGATAAGTCTCCAACTCTGATTAGTTAAGATTATCCAGTCAGAGCAGGAGACTATTATCCAATAAGAGTTGTCGAAAAAAGTTCCTTCTCACCCAATCAAAACAAAGCTTCCAAGATACAGCGGTTGAGTACAGCCGTTATAAAAGGGAGGCGAAGGCCCATTCCGCCATTTTCTCTTTGTGGAGGCTGGGTTCGCGTGCTCTTCTGAGCTGTGGTCGTCATGGACCGGAAGCGTGTGCGGCGCGCCTGCCTTGAGGCCAGCATCAGGGAAGGGTGTCCCAGGTGCAGGCGAAGCTTCCTTCAGGTGCTCCTGGAGGACTTTTGGCTCGCAAGCGCTTCTCCATTCTCCCAACGTCTCGGGCCTGGTGAGTCTGGATGTGAGCGCATCCCACGGGGCCCAAGGCACAGAGAGAGGGAGGAACGGGGTGGAGGGAGGGAAGCGTGTGCAGGGGCCAGGAGCGCCAGGCTGCTCGGGCTTCCCGGCCCCCGCAGCCCGCCAGGAGCTGTGGCCCCGCTCGTGCCAAGGCAGAGGCCTGCCCTCCTGCTGCTGGCGCTGTCACCTCCCCGTGCTCCTGCCTCCTGAGTCCCTGAGGGCCTCCTGTCATCTGGAACTGGAAATGTTAGTGAAGTGACGTTTTGTGAATATTTATTGGCCTTTGCGTCTTTGTCTTCATTTTCAGTGCTGGCTTTTCTGTTGGGTCATTTGTATTCTTACGTTGATTTGAAGAATTTAAAAAGGTATTCTATAAATTAATCCTTTATGGGGTCATTTGTAGTGCAGATAGTTGTTTCTTAGTCTGGTCATTGTACCTTAATTATATTTCACATTTCTTTCTTGCTGGTAAATAAGAAGCTAATTGATTTTATAGATTGATTTTGTATCGTGTTACCTGGCTTAATTCACATATTCATAGCCATCATTTTTGGATTGTGGTGGGTTTTTCATGTACTTATGTACATGTAGTTATGTACTTACGTACTTACGTACTTAAATACTTACGTACTTAGTGTCAGCCACGCGTGTGTCTCCATCCTTGTGCCTGAAGCCTGTATCTTCTCTCCAGTATCACCATCCCGTAATGACTGAAGCCCACGTCTGCCCTTGTGTATTGTCACCTGGTCTGTCCTCTGCCTGCACTTTATGCCCCCTGTCAGAAGTCTCCATTTCTTGGTCCTGCAGCCCGTGCCAGCCGTGTGAGTCTCCATCCTGTGTGCTTGCAGCACATTGCTTGCCTTGAATGTTGCCATCTCCTTAGCCTTCAGGCAGTAGCAGTCCTCCAGTGCCTCAATCCCTGTGTTTGCAGCCCATTCTGATGTTTTTGTCCGTCTGTCCCCTGAGCTTCTGCCCATGCCAGCTTATGTTTGCTACATTCTCTGTCCCCCTAATCCGTGTCCACAGTCAGTGTTTTCATCCATGCTTTTTGGGCCATGTCTGCACTCGTGTGTCTCCTTCCCCTGTGCCTTCAGCCCATTTCTGTCCTTTTTCTGGATCATTTCTCCCGGGAGACTATGCCCAAAACTCCTATCCCCAGTGTTTGTACGTGCAGCCAGTCTATTTCGTTGAGTATCTCCGTCTGTTGTTACTGCAGCAGAGGCGTGTCATTGAGTGTGCCTGCTTCCCATGCCTGTCTTCCTGTGTCTCCAGCCCTTGTCCATGCAGCCCACATTAGGACTCTTGTGACTCCACCCTTCAGCCTACAGCCACATCTACCTTCGGGTATCTTTATCTCTGTGCCCCCTGCCCACGCCAACCTTCACCTACTCCTCTATCCTGCACCTTTACCCGTGTCTGTCCCTGGTGTGCCTCTCTGCCATGCAGCTGTAGCCAGCGAGCTCCCTTTTTGTCTGGATCCCCTGTGATTGTAGCCCAGGTCTTCTCTCCTGTGCCTGCAGCCCGTGTCTGCCCTTGAATGTCCCCATCCTCTGTGCTTGTCACCCACTGGCCAGGCCTAGCATGTTTCCACTCTGTGCCTACACCCATGTCTGCCTCCAGGGTCTCCACTCATGGTGCCACAGTTTGGTTCCCGGTCCCTATCCTCCTGGGGTGGATTCTGGCATTGTGTTGGGAGGGAGAAGGTGACCCATGAAAGCGAAGCCTGGAATGATGTAATGGGCAAGGAGGCTGCCATTCAGCAGGCTGCACAGTGGCAGAGAAGACATGGCCAGTCAGAATCCTCCCTGCATCGGGGCACTCACGTGGGGCTGTGCCTGGTGTGGGGAGTAAGGGGAAGCTGGAGTAGGAGGTCTGGAGCCACCTGGCCCTCTTGGGCCTGAGACCCTCCCCACTGCAGGGGCTCCATCACTTCCCTGGTGGTCCTGCCTCCTGGGATCCTGCCCTGCAGTGTTTCTGCAGGGATCCTCTCACCTGGAACTTGCAGTGGCGGGTTTCATGTGAGGTAGAGTTTAGCAAATGTTTATTGGCGTCTGGGCCTTACTTTTCTTCATATGCTTTGCTCATTTTGTGCGTGTTTTTGTAGGGTCCTTTTTTTATATTTATTTGAAGGATTTATCTTAAATCTGCAAATTGATCCTTTATTGGCTCATTTTTGTCATAGATACTTGTTCTCTAGTTTGATCATTATTTTCTATTGGTTTCATACTAGTATATAGTAATCTGGTTGATAACAATAATGTATCCAGTAAGTTATTAATTGAAACAGTTTTGGGGTTTCCAAGGATTGTCTAGGCATGTAATAGTGTCATATACACATAATGACAATTTTTTTTGTTTAAAAATTAATCCTAATGCCTTTTTATTTCCTACTGTATTGTTTCTCCACTACAATGCTGATTAAAGAGTGATAGCAGGCATCCTCGTCTGTTCTTGCACTGGGGGAAAAAGCTTCCCATAATTCTCTGTTAGTTATGTTATTTGTTATTGGCTAGTATTAGACTTTATCAGATTTCATCAAATTAAGGAAGTTGCTTTTTTTTTTTTGAGATGGAGTCTTGCTCTTGTTGCCCAGGCTGGAGTCCAATGGCTCGCTCTCAGCTCACTGCAACCTCCACCTCCTAGGTTCAAGCGATTCTCCTGCCTCAGCTTCCCGAGTAGCTGGCAGGGAAAACCCAGCTGCAGCCTAGACCTAGCCCAGATAGTAAATTAGCAGGGCTGGGAGTCTCTGTCATATCAGCAGTCATATGTCTTAAAACCAGAATCTACCCAGATTATATATATATATCTTGTATCTGCCGCTGCCATTACCTTCTTTTCACTTTATGTCAAAAAAAGGAAAAGAATCCCAGCACTGAGGCAGGAGGATTGCTTGAGCCCAGGAGTTTAAGTCTGCAGTGAGCTGTGATAGCACCACTCCACTCCAGCCTGGGTGACAGAGGGAGACCCTGTCTGAAAAAAAGAAAAGAAAAGAAAACCTGTCATGTTACTGACCAGTAATAGGGGCTCCCAAAGTATAAACTCGCCTCAGACCCCTGTTTGTTCTTCCTGCTACCCTGTCCATTCTGCCTCTGCCCGGTTCCGAGGCTGGACCATACCATGAAGGAAGGCCCCTTGGTTACAGCCTCCCCAGCCCGTCAGCCATGCTGCCAAGAACACTGGAAAGAGTGAAAAGCTAGAGGGAGGTGGCTGCCTGCAGGAGGTTTAGCATAAAGGAAATAGGAATGGTAACAGGAAATTGAAGAAAACAGTTAAAAAGAGCAGTCATTCAAGAAGGACTCCACTGATGCTGTGCTGTCCCCCACCTGACAGAAATGGACTGAGGCAGCTGCCAGAGTGGATATGCAAAGGCAATTCACATGTTCATTAGTGCCCTTTTATAATGTAACCTAGTCATAATGAGATTGCAGGGAAGAGATGGAAAATAAGATGTTTCCAAGCTTGATCATAAGAATAGTATTTCCTGCTGGCGTGATTGTGTGTGTGTGAATATTTTGGATTAGTTTTCAAAACATTTTACATTTGATGAGACCCAAAACTCATTTTGCCTTGAGTAATTTTTATTCATTGTTAAATCTGTGTAAAATTAGAAATATAAATATGTGTCTGCTTTATTTACTCTTCACAAAATATGGTGTCTAGACCTGTTTGTCTATGATGCCTCATAGGCTTGTTCTCTCAGAATTAGGAAGCCAAAAAAAAGTGGTGAAAGTCAGATGGTTCATAGTCTTTTTGAAAACCAGTAGCCATGTGCATTTTACTTAAAATAACTTTTCTTTTTACCTCACCAAAGTACAGCATGATAGGTTATGTTCAATCCCTCTCTCTCTCCGTGTGTGTGTACATATATATGTATTTTACTTGAGATTGAGGGGGTACATGTGCAGGTTTGTTACATTGGTATATTGTGTGATGCCGAGGTTTGGGGTACAGTTGATCCCATCACTCAAGTAGTGAGCATACTATACAATGGTTAGCGTTTCAGGCCTTGTCCCCGACCCTGCCTCACCCCTTTCAGAGTCCCCATTGTCTGTTGTTCCCATCTTTGTGTCTCTGTGTACTCTATGTTTAGCTCCCATTTATAAGTGAGAACATACAGTATTGGGTTTTCTGTTCCTGCCTTAGTTTGCTTAAGATAATGGCCTCCAGCTGCATCCATCTTGCTGCAAATGACATGGTTTCCTTCTTTTTTATGGCTGTGTAGTATTTCATGGTGTATATGTACCGTATTTTCTTTATCCAGTCTATCATTGATGGGTATTTAGGTCCATTCCATGTCTTTGCTATTGTGACTAGTGTTGGAATAAACATATGAGTACACATGTCTTTTTGGTACAATGATTTGTTTTCTTTTGGGTACGTATCCAGTAATGAGATTGCTGGGTCGAATGGTAGCTCTGTTTGAAGATCTTTGAGAAATCTCCAAACTGCTTTCTACACTGGCTAAACTAATTTACATTTCCACCAACAGTGTATAAGTGCTCCCTTTTCTCTACAGCCTCACCACCATCTGTTATTTGTTTGACTTTTCAGTAGCCATTCTCACTAATGTGAGAAGGCATCTCATTGTGGTTTTGATTTGCACTTCTCTGATGATGAGTGATGATCAGCATTTTTTCATGTTTGTTGGCCACTTGTATGTCTTCTTTTGAGAAGTGTCTATTCATGTCCTTTGCCCATTTTTTAATGGGGTTATTTGTTTTTTGCTTGTTGATTTAAGTTTTTCTTATAGATTCTGGACATTAGATACATCGTTTGTGAATATTTCTCCCATTCTGTAAGTTGTCTGTTTACTCTGTTGATAGTTTTCTTTGCTGTGCAGAAGCTCTTTAGTTTAATTAGATTCCACCTATTTTGGTTGTTATTGCAATTGCTTTTGGGGACTTAAGCCAAAAATTCTTTGTCAAGGCCAGTGTTGAGAAGGGTATTTCCTAGGTTTTCTTCTGTAATTTTAATAGTTTGAGGTCTTAACTTTTTTTTTTTTTTTGGGGGGGGACGGAGTCTCGCTCTGTTGCCCAGGCTGGAGTGCAGTGGCGCGATCTTGGCTCACTGCAAGCTCCGCCTCCCGGTTTCACGCCATTCTCCTGCCTCAGCCTCCCGAGTAGCTGGGACTACAGGCACCCACCAGCATGCCTAGCTAATTTTTTGTATTTTTAGTAGAGACGGAGTTTCACGTATTAGCCAGGATGGTCTTGATCTCCTGACCTCGTGATCCGCCTGCCTCAGCCTCCCAAAGTGCTGGGATTACAGGCGTGAGCCACTGCGCCCAGCCGATAAGAGTTTTTGAAAACAGAAATCAGTATGTATTTTATCAAATGATTTAGAGTACAAAATTTTTCTCTCTTAATGTGATACAACAAGAGAATGACTTTGAAAAATTTTCTAATGTAGAACCAGTCCTGAATTTCTGAGATTAATTCATTCAACAATTCATTCATTCAACAAATATTTATTGAATGCTTATTATGTTCAAGTAGGGTTCTCAGCACTAGGAGGAGGAACAAAAGAGAATCAACAGAACAGCAGTGAATCAAACAGAATCAAAATTCTTGGGCCATACCACCCGGAACAGGCCTGATCTCCCCTGCTCTCAGAAGCTAAGCAGGGTTGAGCCTGGTTAGTACTTGGATGGGAGGACTAGAGTGCCTACCTGCAGGAAGTACCCATTCTAGTTGGGGGGAAACAGAGAACTTTTGTTAAAACAATGTAAAGTATTCTGGAGAAAAATAAAACTTGGAAAGGGAATATGAAGAGAAGTGTGTTTGTGTGATTTTTTTTTTTTTTTTTTTTTTTGAGAAGGGGTCTTGCTCTGCCACCCAGGCTGGAGTACAGTGGCGTGATCTTGGCTCACTGCACCTCCCCCGCCTTCTGTGTTCCAGTGATTCTCCTGCCTCAGCCTCCTGATGAGTAGCTGGGATTACAGGTGTGTGCCACTACACCCGGCTAATATTTGTATTTGTAGTAGAGACGAGGTGTCACCATGTTGGCCAGGCTGGTCTCGAACTCCTGACCTCAGGTGGTCCACCCACCTTGGCCTCCCAAAGTGCTGGGATTACAGGCATGAGCCACCATGTCCGGCCTGAAGTGTGTTTGAGTGATTTTTAAACATGGTGGTCAGGAAGGAAGTGCAGGAGAGAGCCAGGTGACTTCCTGGAAAAACATTCCAGACAGAGGGGACAGCAAATACAAAGGTTCTAAAGAAGCAAAATCTGGGCTGTTCAGGAAACAGAAAGGACAGCTGCAGAGCTGGAGTGGAGTGAGCAAGGGGAAAGGAGTGGGAGGTGATAATAGGCAGATCATGTAGGTCACTGGAAAGACTCTGGCTTTTAATCTGACAGATTAAAACGGGAATCACAACAGGGTTTTGAGCAGAGCAGGGACAGGATGGGAATTACACTTTAAAAGGATCCCTCTGACTGCTCTGTGGAGACTGTGCTAAGGTGCAGTGAAAACAGAACCAAAGAGACCAGTGAGGAGAATGCTGCAGTGATTCAGGTGAGAGAGGAAGATGGCCTGGACCAGGGGGGTAACAGGGGAGATGATGAGAGCTAACTGGATTTGGGGGTTGACTGGATCTGCAGAAAGATTGGATAGGGTGTGTAATAGAGAAGAGTCAAGAATGACTTCAAAGTTTTTGCCTCCAGGTTAGATTGGACATTAAGATGGTGGAGACTGCAGGAAAGCAAGTTTAGGGAGAAAAGTAGGAATTGACTTTTGAGCATATTGCCCATTTGAGATGCTATTTATGAGAGTTGGATTTATGAGTATGGAGTTCTGAGGAGAACTCCCACCCAGCAAGAGATAGAAATATGGGAGTCATCGGCTGGGTGCGGTGGCTCACACCTACAATCCCAGCACTTTGGCAGGCCGAGATGGGCGGATCAAGAGGTCAGGAGATCGAGACCATCCTGGCTAACATGGTGAAACCCCATCTCTACTAAAAATACAAAAAAATTAGCCAGGCGTGGTGGTGGGTGCCTGTAGTCCCAGCTACTTGAGAGGCTGAGGCAGGAGAATGGTGTGAACCCGGGAGGTGGAGCTTGCAGTGAGTTGAGGAGATCGTGCCACTGCACTCCAGCCTGGGGGACTGAGTGAGACTCCGTCTCCAAAAAACAAAGAAATATGGGAGTCATCAGTCTACAGGTGGTATTTAAAGCCACGAGGCAGTAGGAGTTTATGAGGGGAGCAAGTATAGGTAGAAAGGCCATCTAAAGACTGTACTCTGGGCCGGGCGTGGTGGCTCATGCCTGTAATCCCAGCACTTTGGGAGGCCAAGGTGGGTGGTTCACGAGGTCAGGAGTTTGAGACCAGCGTGGCCAATATAGTAAAACCCTGTCTCTACTAAAAAATACAACAATTTGCTGGGCATGGTGGCGTGTGCCTGTAGTCCCGGCTACTTGGGAGGCTGAGGCAGGAGAATCGCTTGAACCCAGGAGGCGGAGGTTGCATGAGCTGAGACCTCGCCATTGCACTCCAGCTTGGGTGACAGACAAGACTGCGTCTCAAAAAAAAAAAGACTGTACTCTGGGGCACTTCAAGGTCAAGAGATCAGGAGGATGAGGAAGAACCGGCAAAGGAGACTGAACCTGTGCCGCCAGAAGCAGCGGGAGAATCAGAGGAATGTGCTGAGAAAAGTTTTCTATTTTGTCTTTTTGAGACAGGGTCTCGCTGTCACTCAGGCTGGAGTGCAGTGGTACAATCATGGCTCACTGCAGCCTTGATTTCCCAGGCTCAAGTGATCCTACTGCCTCAGCCTCCTGAGTAGATGGGACTACAGGTGCATGCCATCACACTGGCTACTTTTTAGTTTTTGTAGAGATAGGGTCTTGTCATGTTGCCCAGGCTGATCTTGAACTCCTGGGCTCTCATGATCCTCCTGCCTTGGCCTCCCAAAGTGTTGGGATTACAGGTGTGAGCCACCACGCCTGGCTGAGAAAAGTATTTTTAAGAAGAGGGAGTGATCGGCCAGGTCAAATGCTGCTGAAAGACTGAATAAAATTAAGAAATGAACATTGACCATTGGATGTGGCAGTGCAGAGGTCATTTCGTGGAGTGACTGGGGTGAGAGTCTGTGGGAAGGACTCAGCAGAGAACGGGAGAAGACAAATGGAGTCAGCACATAGACACAACGCTTTGAAAAGTTTTGTAGAGAATGGAAAGAAACAAATAGGATAGTAGTTGGGGGAGGAGTGAGGCTAAGTGACTTTACCACACGGGAGAAACGTCACTAAATTTATCTGTTGTTGGGAGTGACCCAGTGAGGGGAGGGACTGCTGGTGCAAGGGAGCAGGGGAGCTGCTGGGGCCCTGCCTGAGAAGCTGCAGGTGGTGGATCCAGAGCTCCAGGGGAGGCCTGGCTTTGGCTCGGAGCCTGGACCGTCCATCCATGGTGAGAGGAGAGGACACAGAATTGGGACACAAACATAGGGAGGTGGGTGGTTTTGCCTGTGTGGGGAGGTGGAAGTTCACTCTTAAATGCTTCTCCTGGTTTCTCAGTGATCAGAAGTGAGGTCAGCAGCTGAGGCTAAGGATGAAGGAGAAAGTGTTGGAGGTTTGAGGAAAGAGGAGAGAGTCTGAATAGCTTTTCTGGAGAGAAAGCAAGACAGAGAGAAAGAAGGAGAATGGTCAACAGCAACATAGTAGGATTCTTAGGAAGCAAAAAGGGCTGCGTGATCATGAATTTTGAAGCGAGATTGTTTTTTCTCCAGACACACTGAGCTGAATGGGTGCAGGCTCCAGCTTGTAAACTTTTGCTCTTTTTATTGACCTTTTGCACAGAACCAATATTTTGCTTTAGGCCAGGCGCGGTGGTGCCTTCCTGTAATCCCAGCACTTTGGGAGGCCAAGGTGGGCGGATCACCTGAGATCAGGAGTTTGAGACCAGCCTGACCAATATGGTGAAACCCTGTCTCTAATAAAAGTACAAAAATTAGCTGGGCCTGGTGGCACGCACCTGTAGTACCAGCTACTCAGGAGGCTGAGGCAGGCGAATCGCTTGAACCCGGGAGGCAGAGGTTGCAGTGAGCCGAGATCGCATCACTGCACTCCAGCCTGGGCGACAGAGCAAGACTCCATCTCAAAAAAGACCAAAAAAAAACTGCTTTATTGACCAGGTCAAACATCTTCCCTTTCACTTCTGCCTTTATTAATTATTTCTTTGAGGTCTCCCATCTTTGAGAGTTGAACATTTGGCTTCTTTATTATCAGGGGTTTTTTTTTCTTTTTTTTGAGACGTAGTCTTGCTCTGTCGCCCAGGCTGGAGTGCAGTGGTGCGATCTTAGCTCACTGCAAGCTGTGCCGCCTGGGTTCAAGCGATTCTCCTGCCTAAGCGTCCCGAGTAGCTGGAACTACAGGCACAGGCCACCACGCCCAGCTAATTTTTTTTTTTTTTTTTTTTTTTTTTTTTTTGGAGATGGAATCTCACTGTGTCACCCAGGCTGTTGCGCAGGCTCGTAATCCCAGCACTTTGGAAGGCCGAGGTGGGCAGATCACTTGAGCCCAGGAGGTTCAAGACCAGCCTGGGCAACATGGCAAAACCCCATCACTGCCAAAAGTACAAAAAAATTAGCCTTGTGTGGTCGTGTACACCTGTGGTCCCTGCTACTTGGGAGCCTGAGGTGGGAGGATCTCTTAAGCCTGGGGGCAGAGGTTGCAGTGAGCAGAGATCACGCCACTTGTATTCCAGCTTGGGAGATGGAGTGAGACCCCGTCTCAAAAAAAAAAAAAGGCATGTCTTTTATCTGAGTCTTTTAAAGCATCCTTTGAAAGAGTTTTATATTTTTCCTCATAAAGATTTTGTGCATTTGTGTTAGGTTAATTCCAGGATACACAATAATTTCTGGTGCTATTGTGTCATATCTTAATTCACATTTTCTCATTACTTATTGAATCAGTAGTATCAGTTACATCATTTATGTATGGCTGCATAATAAACCACTCCCTAAACTCAGTGAATAAACACAACCAGGCCAGGCACAGTGGCTCACAGCTGTAATCCCAGCACTTTGGGAGGCCAAGGTGGGCAGATCACCTGAGGTCAGGAGTTCGAGAACACCCTGGCCAACATGGTGAAATCCCATCTCTACTAAAAATACAAAAAAATGAGCCAGGCGTGGTGGTGGGCACCTGTAATCCCAGCTGCTCGGGAGGCTGAGGCAGGAGAATCGCTTGAACGAAGGTGAAGGTTGCAGTGAGCCAAGATTAGGCCACTACACTCCAGCCTGGGCTACAGACAGAGCAAGACTCCATCTCAAAAAAAAAACCACAACCATGTTATTACTCATGATTCTGGGGGGTCAGAGTTTCAGGCAGCTCTCTGCAGAAAGTGCTTCACATGACATCAGTGGGGTGACTGGACTGTCTTAGAGGCTTCAAGATGGCTTCATTCACATGTTTGAGGGCCTGGTGGTGGGCAGGAGAGCAAAGGCACATTGCAAAGGGGTGGATCCGGAGAGGCATGATTCACTGGGGATAGTTTTTAATATTTTACCTTAGTGAGGAGGAACATTGTATTGGTTAGATTTATGTGTCAATTTGACTGGGCCATGGGGTGCCCAGGTATTTGGTCACACATTATTCTGGGTGTTTCTGTGAGGGTGTTTTTGGGTGAGCGTAACATTTAAATTGGTAAACTGAGTCAAGCAGATTGCCCTCCATAATGTGGGTGGGCCTCATCCAATAAGTTGAAGGCCTGATCAGAACAAAAGGCTCACCATCCCCCAAGTAGGAGAATTCTCCTGCCTGATGGCCTTGGCCTTTGAAATGAGTCATTGGCTCTTCCTGGTTCTACAGTAGCTTCCTGACTTCACACTTAAACTGAGACATTGATTCAGACTTGGGCTGATTTGGATTTGCCAGCCTCCATAATTGCATAAGCCAATTCCTTCTAATAATCCTTTTTTATTCCTTATGAATGAATGAATGAATGCACCCTAGTGACTGTTTCTCTAGAGACCCCTGACTATTAATTTTTTTTGTTTTTTTTTAGATGGAGTCTCGCTCTGTTGCCCAGGCTGGAGTGCAGTGGCACAATCTCAGCTCATTGCAACCTCTGCCTCCCAGGTTCAAGCGCTTCTCCTGCCTCAGCCTCCCAAGTAGTTGGGACTACAGGCATGTGCCACCACGCCCAGCTAATTTTTGTATTTTTAGTAGAGACGGGGTTTCACCATGTTGGCCAGGATGGTCTCGATCTCTGGACCTTGTGATCTGCCCACCTCAGCCTCCCAAAGTGCTGGGATTACAGGCATGAGCCACCATGCCTGGCTATTAATTTTTTAAGTGATCATTTACACAGCAATGTTGGTGAACTTTCTGATTCATAAATTTTTTGCTTCCCTAATAAACCTTATAACTCTAATTTATTTTTCTTGCCTTATAATGATGGCAAAGACTTCCAATACTACAATTAAATGTAGCTTTGACAATGGCTATCTTTGCCTTTTTTCCCCAATTCAAAGCAAAATGAGTCTGAAATTTCTCAGCTAACCATAATGTCTTTCTGTAGGTTTTTAGTAGATGTCAAGTTAAGGGTATTCTGTTCCTAACTTTCTGATAGTTTTTTTTAACCATAAATAGCTGTTTACCTTTGCCAAATGCCTTTTCTGCATTTACTGAGATAACTGTATGTTTTGCTTTTATATTGATTAATTTTCTAATGTCAAATTATTTTGATGGGCCTGACTTTTGTCCTCTTTTCTATTTGATTTACTAACATTTTATTTAGAATTTTACCATCTTTGTTGATAAGTAAAATGAGCCTAATTTTATTTTCTTTTACTGTTTTATATGACTTTAGAATCATTTATACCTGCTCCACAGAATGATTTGGGTAACTTTCTATTTTTATTTTCTGGAACAACTTGCACAAGACATGAGGTTTTATTCCTTCCAAGTTTGGTGAAACTTACCTATGGAATTATCAGGACCAGAGAATTTGAGGGTTGTGGAGGATATCTTGATTACCAATTTCTTTCTTTTTTTTTTTTTTTTTTTTTTGAGACAAGGTTTTGCTCTGTTGCCCAGGCTGGAGTGCAATGGTGCGATCTCAGCTCACTGCAACCTCTGCCTCCTGGGTTCAAGCAATTCTCCTGCCTCAGCCTCCCAAGTAGCTGGGATGACAGGCCTGCACTACCACGCCCAGCTAATTTTGAATTTTTAGTAGAGACAGGGTTTCACCGCGTTGGTCAGGCTGGTCTCCAACTCCCAACTGTTATGTGCGTCCACGTGAAGAGAGTCTACCAACAGGCTTTGTGAGAGCAACAAGGCTGTTTATTTCACTTGGGTGCAAGTGGGCTGAGTCCACAAAGAGTCAGCAAAGGGAGATAGGGGTGGGGCAGCTTTATAGGATTTGGGTAGGTAGTGGAAAATTACACTTAAAGGTGGTTATCTCTTGTGGGCAGGGGAGGGGTCACAAGGTGCAGGGTTGGGAGATCATGAGATTCATTGTCCAGGGGAGGAATGTCACAAGGTCGATTGATTAGTTGGAGTGGGGCATGTATATGTGCACGTCACAGGGATTATGATGGCTTAGCTTGGGCTCAGATGTCTGACATTGAGGATCCTTCTTTATCTTCCTCTGATGCCCTTCTATGAGAATGAATCTGTTTTGGAAGAAAACGCAATTAAGATTCTGCATCACAACAACCATTAGCTCCAAATCTGTATTCATTCCTTTTATTCATTATAAGTCTCATCTACCCGAAGAGATAACTTTTTTGAAGACAGGAATTATATGCTGTTTAACAGTGCTTTGATTCTTCCACAGTTCAGTCATCCTTGCTACCTTGCGGGGGACTGGTTCTAGGATACTGCTTCCACAGCATACCAGAATCTGGATGCTCAATCCCTTACATATAATGGTGCAGTATTTGCACATAACTAACACACATCCCCCCATATACTTTATTTACTTACTTAGAGACAGGATCACCCTCTGTTGCTCAGGCTGGAGTGCAATGTCACAATCACAGCTCACTGCAGCCTCAACCTCCTGGGCTCCAGTGATCTGCCCACCTCAGCCTCTTGAGTAGCTGGGACTACAGGTGCATACCACCACACTGGCTAATTTTTCATTTTTATTTTTAGTAAAGACAAGATCTCACTATGCTGCCCAGGTTGGCCTCCCAAAGTGTTGGGATTACAAGTGTGAGCCACCGTGCCTGGTCCCATGTACTTTAAGTCATCACTAATAAAATGTATAGATATTGTACAATGGTGACAGTTGTTATATTGTACTTTCTATTTGTATTTTTATTGTTTCTTTTTTCAAATATTCAGCCTCATCTAATTGAATCTGAAGATGTGGACCTGCTGATGAAGAGGGCTGACTGTATCTAACTTAGGGTCTTGCATGCAGCTGGCACTTAATACATTTTATTGACTGTTTTAGCTAACATTCAACAGACAATTCCTAATAATAATTTAAAAAAAACTCTTAAAAGTAGGAAATAAAGGAAACCTGAGTCCTTCCTCTAAAGTGGCATGAAAACCAGCCTGGAAAGCATAGCGAGACCTTATCTCTACAAAAAAATTTTTAAAATTAGCTGCTTGCCTGTAGTCCCAGCCACTCAGGAAGCTGAGGCAGGAAGATCCCTTAAGCCCAGGAGTTTGAGGTTACAGTGAGCTAGATCACACCATTACTCCCCAGCCTGGGTGACAACAAGGCCCTGAGAAAGAAAAACAAAGAAAGGAAAGGAAAAAAAGGGAAAGGAAAGGAAGGAAAGAGTATAAGTATTGAAAAGGAAGAGACAAAACTATCATTATTTGCATATGAAATGATAAATGTTAGACAGCCTAAGAAGCCTGAGAGACTCAACTAAGATTTTACTGGAAGTAATATGAGAATTCAGTATGGTATGTCAGCCTGGGTGACACAGTGAGATCATGTCTCAAATTTTTTTTTATCTACATAAGCAGAATAGGCACAAAAATTATCTAAGATATCTTTTTTTTATTAATTTATTTTTATTTTTTTTTTTTAGACAGAGTCTCGCTCTTGTCAACCAGGCTGGAGTGCAATGACACGATCTCAGCTCACTGCAACCTCTGCCTTCCCGGGTTCAAGCGGTTTTCCTGCCTCAGCCTCCCTAGTAGCTGGGATTACAGGTGCCTGCCACCATGTCTGGCTAATTTTTGTATTTTTAGTAGAGACGGGGTTTCACCATGTTGGCCAGGCTGGTCTCAAACTCCTGACCTCAAGTGATCTGCCTGCCTTAGCCTCCCAAAATGCTGGGATTACAGGCATGAGCCACTACGCCTGGCCCTGGGCATCTTTTTAAACTGCAGGCACTGATTCAGTAGGTCTGAGCTGCGGGCAGAGACCCAGTACTTGTCTAATAGGCTTCCTCTGAAGCCAGGCTGCAATTCTGCACCACACTTGGAAGAGCAGGTTCAAGACCAGTGTATCTTCTGCCATTTCAAACTACTCAAAAATCCTTCCTCCTATCTCAAGGTCTGTCTCAATGTAATTCCAATTGCATCCCCACCACACTGGTCCTGGCTACTTCCTGCAGAACCACATGGAACAAATTTAATTGACCTGAACTTGATAGCTTATCAGCTATGTTAAGGCAGCTAGCTGTTAGGGTCCCTTGAGTTTTCTTTTCTTTTCTTTTGAGACAGGGTCTCACTCTGTCACCCAGGCTGGAGTGTAGTGGCACAATCTTGGCTCCCAGGTTCAAGCGATTCTCATGCCTCAGTCTCCCCAGTAGCTGAGACTACACGTGTGCACCACCACGCCTGGCTAATTTTTGTATTTTTTAGTAGAGATGGGTTTTCGCCATGTTAGCCAGGCTGGTCTCAAACTCTGAGCCTCAAGCGATCTGCCCACCACAGCTTCCCAAAGTGCTGGAATTACAGGCGTGAGCCACTGCGCCCAGCCGACAATTAGATATCTTTGAAAGAAAGACTCTATAGCAGTTGATGATAACGCAGAAGTTTTTAGTTTTAGTTTATTGACGTGACCCTTCTCCTGACTGTGTAACCACTTATCTTCCTCTTCCCATTCATCTAATATGGGGTGGTATAATATGTGATATTACCAATAAAATTCTAATATATGCTTTTTGTGGAAAATTCAGAAAACATCGAAGCTAAACATGAAAATCTGCCAGGCAAGGTGGCTTACCCCTATAATTCCAGCACTTTGGGAGGCCAAGGCAGGCAGATCACTTGAGACCAGGAGTTTCAGACAAGCCTGTCCAACATGGCAAAACCCTGTCTCTACTAAAAATGCAAAACAGCCTGGCATGGTGGTGCACACCTGTAGTCCCAGCTACTTGGGAGGCTGAGGCAGGAGAATCGCTTGAACCCAGGAGGTGGAGGTTGCAGTGAGCTGAGATTGTGCCATTTCACTCCAGAAGCCTGGGCGACAGAATGAGACAAAAAAAAAAAAAGAAAGTTGAAAATGAAAATCTCATATGATGCCATCATCTAGTGGCAACTACTATTGACGTTGGGTATATTTCTTTTATTTCTTTTCTATTTGCATATTTTATCTTGCTAAAACTCAATATCTTACCTGTTTTAACAATAGATGTTCATTACAGAAAAAGTGGAAAATATGAATATGCCAAAGAAGAAATAGAAATCCCCATGGTCCCATTACCTAGAAACAACCTCTAGTTACATTTTGACGTGTTTCCTTAAAGATGTTTAAATTGGCCAGGCACAGTGGCTCACACCTGTAATCCCAGCACTTTGGGAGGCCAAGGCAGGTGGATTACCTGAGGTCAAGAGTTCGAGACCAGCCTGACCAATATGGTGAAACCCCATCTCTACTAAAAATAAAAAAATTAGCTGAGCATGGTGGTGGGTGCCTGTAATCCCAGGTACTTGGGAGAAGCTGAGGCAGCAGAATCGCTTTAACTCAGGAGGCGGAGGTTGCAGTGAGCCGAGATTGTGCCACTACACTGCAGCCTGGGCGACAGAGTGAGACTGTCTCAAAAAAAAAAGAAAGAAAGAAAGAAAGAAAGAAATGGGGGATATATATTCTATACACATTAAAAAGGTAGTAAGGAAATACTAAAACTAGTTCTACATAAATTCAACAACTTAGATGAAATGGACCAATTCCTCAAAAAAATGAAAATAATCTACCACAATTCATCCAATATGAAATGGATAATAAGAACAGCCTTATGGCTATTAAGAAAATTAAATTTGTAATTAAAAAATTCACAAACAAGAAGTCTCCAGACTCAAATGATTTCACTAGACAATTCTACCAGTTAAAAAATAATTAACACCGCCAGGCAAGGTGGCTCACACCTGTGATTCTAGCACTTTGGGAGGCCGAGGCTGGTGGATCACAAGGTCCAGAGATCGAGACCATCCTGGCCAACATGGTGAAAACCTGTCTCTACTAAAAATACAAAAATTAGCTGGGCATGCTGGCACGCGCCTATAATCCCAGCTACTAGGGAGACTGAGGCAGGAGAATCACTTGAACCCGGGAGGCAGAGGTTGCAGTGAGCCAAGATCATGCCACTGCACTCCAGCGGGGGTGACACAGCAAGACTCCGTCTCAAAAAAATAATAATAATAATAATTAACACCAACCCTACCCAAACTCTTTCAGAAAATAGAAAAGAACATTGCTTAATCATTTTAAGAAGTTAGTATTTACTCTGACACCAAAACCAAAGGAAGCACACACAAAAAAGGCGAAAACTGCCAAACAATACCCATCATAAATAAAGATGCAAAATCCTTAACAAAATATTAGCAAATAGAATTAATATATGAGAATTACACAACATGACAAAGGGGGGTTTATTCCAAGGATACATAGCTGATTTGATATTTGAAAATTAAAAGGCTAAAAGAAAAAAAATCATGTCAATTAATTTCAGAAAAAAAGTATTTGACAAAATTTAACACCAACTCATAATAAAATTCAGGTAAAATAGGTATATGGGGGCTAGTCGCGGTGGCTCACACCTGTAATCCTAGCACTTTGGGAGACCAAGGCGGGGGCGGGGGGGGGTGGGGGGTGGATCACGAGGTCAGGAGTTCAAGACCAGCCTGGCCAAAATGGTAAAACCCCATCTCTACTAAAACTACAAAAGTTAACCAGGCGTGGCCGGGTGTGGTGGCTCACGTCTGTAATCCCAGCACTTTGGGAGGCCAAGACAGGCAGATCATGAGGTCAGGAGATCGAGACCATCCTGGCTAACACAGTGAAACACCGTCTCTACTGAAAATACAAAAAAAAAAAAAAAAAAAATTAGCCAGGCTTGGTGGCGGGTGCCTGTAGTCCCAGCTACTCGGGAGGCTGAGGCAGGAGAATGGTGTGAACCCGGGAGGCAGAGCTTGCAGTGGACCGAGATTGTGCCACTGCACTCCAGCCTGGGCTACAGAGTGAGACCCCGTCTCAAAAAAAAAAAAAAAAAAAAAAAAAAAAACCCAGGCGCAGTGGCAGGCGCCTGTAATCCCAGCTACCTGGGAGGCTGAGGCAGGAGAATCGCTTGAACCTGGGTGGCAGAAGTTGCTGTGAGCTGAGATTGCGCCACTGCACTCTAGCCTGGGCGACAGAGTAAGACTTTCTCTCAAAAAAAAAAAAAAAGTATGAAAGGTATATGGGGAGAATTTCCTGAATTTGATTAAAAAAAAAAAAACCTGCCAAAAAATTAGAGTTAACATTATAAAGTGCTGGGATTACAGGCACGAGCCACTGCACCCAGCCGTCTTTTTTTTTTGCTTGTTTTTGAGACAGTCTCAGTCTGCTGCCCAGGATGGAATGCAGTGGCGCTGGAATGCTGAAGGGGGCCTGCCCCTCCACACCTGTGGGTATTTCTCGCAAGGTGGAGATGAGAGACTGAGAAAACAAATAAGACACAGAGACAAAGTATAGAGGAATAAAAGTGGGCCCAGGGGACCAGCGCTCAGCAAGCAAGGGCCTGCACCAGCACTGGTCTCTGAGTTCCCTCAGTATTTATTGATCACTATCTCTACCATCTCGGCGAGGGGGATGTGGCAGGACTATAGGGTAATGGTGGGTAGAGGGTCAGCAGGAAAACGTGAGCAAAGGACTCTGTGTCATAAACAAGTTTAAGGAAAGGTGCTGTGCCTCGATGTGCACATAGGCCAGATTTACGTTTGACTTCACGCAAACATCTCAGTGCAGTAAAGAGCAGTACTGCCGCCAGCACGTCTCATCTCCAGCCATAAGGCGGTTTTCTCCTATCTCAGTAAATCGAATGTACGATCAATCGGGTTTTACACCGAAACATTCCATTCCCAGGGATGAGCAGGAGACAGATGCTTTCCTCTTATCTCAACTGCAAAGAGGCCTTCCTTTTTCACTGATCCTCCTCAGCACAGACCCTTTACGGGTGTCGGGCTGGGGGACGGTCAGGTCTTTCCCTTCCCACGAGGCCATATCTCAGGCTGTCTCAGTGGGGGGAAACCTTGGACAATACCCAGGCTTTCTTGGGCAGAGGTCCCTGCGGCCTTCCGCAGTGCATTGTGTCCCTGGGTACTCAAGACTGGAGAATGGCGATGACTTTTACCAAGCACACTGCCTGCAAACACATTTTTACCAAGGCACATCCTGCACAGCCCTAAATCCATTAAACCTTGAGTCAATATAGCACATGTTTCTGCGAGCACAGGGTTGAGGATAGGGTTACAGATTAACAGCATCTCAAGGCTTTCGGGGGACCTGCCCCGATAATCATGTAGGTTCTTTTCTATTTTTCCTAAGCGTCGGCCGGCTTGAGAAATAAAGGGACAGAGTACAAAAGAGAAATTTTAAAGCTGGGCGTCCGGGGTAGACATCACACGTTGGTAGGATCCGTGATGCCCCACAAGCCACAAAAACCAGCAAGTTTTTATTAGGGCTTTTCAAAAGGGGAGGGAGTGTGCGAATAGGTGTGGGTGACAGACATCAAATACTTAACAGGGTAATAGAATATCACAAGGCAAGTGGAGGCAGGGTGAGATTACAGGACCACAGGACTGAGGCGAAATTAAAATTGCTAATGAAGTTTCGGGCACTATTGTCATTGGTAACATCTTATCAGGAGACAGGGTGTTGAGATCAATTGGTCTGACCAAAATTTATTAGGCAGGAATTTCCTCTTTCTAATAAGCCTGGGAGCGCTATGGGAGACTGGAGTATATTTCATCTCTGCAATTTCGACCATAAGAGACAGGCGCACCTGGGGGTGCTGTTTATAAGCCTATACCTCCAGGCGTGTATTCTCTTCCTCAGGGACGTTCCGTGCTGAGAAAAAGAATTCAGCGATATTTCTCCCATTTCTTTTGAAAGAGGAGAAATATGGCTCTGTTCTGCCCGGCTCACCAGTGGTCAGAGTTTAAGGTTATCTCTCTTGTTTCCTAAACATTGTTGTTATCTTGTTCTTTTTTCAAGGTGCCCAGATTTCATATTGTTTAAACACACATGCTCTACAATTTGTGCAGTTAATGCAATTATTACAGGGTCCTGAGGTGACATACATCCTCCTCGACTGACAGGATTAAGAGATTAAAGTAAAGACAGGTTGGCCGGGCGCAGTGGCTCACGCCTGTAATCCCAGCACTTTCAGAGGCCGAGGTGGGTGGATCACGAGGTCAGGAGATCGAGACCATCCTGGTGAACACGGTGAAACCCCGTCTCTACTAAAAATACAAAAAATTAGCTGGGCATGGTTGCGGGCGCCTGTAGTCCCAGCTGCTCAGGAGGCTAAGGCAAGAGAATGGCCTGAACCCGGGAGGCGGAGCTTGCAGTGAGCCGAGATTGTGCCACTGCACTCCAGCCTGGGCAACAGAGCGAGACTCCCTCTCAAAAAAAAAAATAAATAAAAAATAAAAAAATAAAGTAAAGACAGGCATAGGAAATCACAAGGGTATTGACTGGGGAAGTGATAAGTGTCCATGAAATCTTTACAATTTATGTTTAGAGATTGCAGTAAAGACAGGCATAAGAAATTACAAAAGTATTAATTTGGGGAACTAATAAATGTCCATAAAATCTTCACAATCCATGTTCTTCTGTCATAGCTTCAGCCAGTCCCCCCATTTGGGGTCCCTGACTTCCCACAACACAAGGCAGCAGAATTTTTCTTAGTACAGATCAAAATGGAGTTTCTTTTATTTATTTATTTATTTTTTATTATTATACTTTTAAGTTTTAGGGTACACGTGCACAATGTGCAGGTTAGTTACATATGTATACATCTGCCATGCTGGTGCGCTGCACCCACCAACTCATCATCTAGCATTAGGTATATCTCCCAGTGCTATCCCTCCCCCCTCCCCCCACCCCACAACAGTCCCCAGAGTGTGATGTTCCCCTTCCTGTGTCCATGTGCTCTCATTGTTCAATTCCCACTTATGAGTGAGAATATGCGGTGTGTGGTTTTTTTGTTCTTGCGATAGTTTACTGAGAATGATGATTTCCAGTTTCATCCATGTCCCTACAAAGGACATGAACTCATCATTTTTTATGGCTGCATAGTATTCCATGGTGTATATGTGCCACATTTTCTTAATGAGTCTATCATTGTTGGACATTTGGGTTGGTTCCAAGACTTTGCTATTGTGAATAATGCCGCAATAAACATACGTGTGCATGTGTCTTCATAGCAGCATGATTTATAGTCCTTTGGGTATATACCCAGTAATGAGATGGCTGGGTCAAATGGTATTTCTAGTTCTAGATCCATGAGGAATTGCCACACTGACTTCCACAATGGTTGAACTAGTTTACAGTCCCACCAACAGTGTAAAAGTGTTCCTGTTTCTCCACATCCTCTCCAGCACCTGTTGTTTCCTGACTTTTTAATGATCGCCATTCTAACTGGTGTGAGATGGTATCTCACTGTGGTTTTGATTTGCATTTCTCTGATGGCCAGTGATGGTGAACATTTTTTCATGTGTCTTTTGGCTGCATAAATGTCTTCTTTTGAGAAGTGTCTGTTCATGTCCTTCGCCCACTTTTTGATGGGGTTGTTTGTTTTTTTCTTGTAAATTTGTTTGAGTTCATTGTAGATTCTGGATATTAGCCCTTTGTCAGATGAGTAGGTTGCGAAAATTTTCTCCCATTTTGTAGGTTGCCTATTCGCTCTGATGATAGTTTCTTTTGCTGTGCAGAAGCTCTTTAGTTTAATTAGATCCCCAAAATGGAGTTTCTTATGTCTTCCTCTTTCTACATAGACACAGTAACAGTCTGATCTCTATTTCTTTCCCCCACAGAATGCAGTAGCATGATCATGGCTCACTGCAACCTTGACCTCTGTGGGCTCAGGTGATCCTCCTATCTCAGCCTTCCGAGTAGCTGGGCCTATAGGTGCATGCCACCACTCTCGGCTAATTTTTTGTAGATATGAGGTTTCGCCATGTTGCCCACGTTGGTTTCAAACTCCTGAGCTCAACTGATTCCTCTGCTTCAGCCTCCCAAAGTGCTAGGATTACAGGCATGAGTCACCATGCCCAGTCCTTGAATGGTTTTAAAGTGTTATTCTTATCTGAATATTTGTTTTAAACAATAGTATTTAAACTTACAAGAAAGCCTAAATACAAACCTCTGCATGTTAACCCTGTATACATTTTTCTATGCTGTCACTTACATTTTTGAATGTACTGCTTTAAACTTCAAAACAAGCAGTCTCCCCCAGGTCTCCCATCACCTTCTGAAATACTAACTTACATTAACTAATATAAAGCTACAAATTATGTTAGTTGGGTGGCTGGAAACAAAGAATGTGCCATAAAAATAAGGCAAATGTGAATGTGTACATCAGTTTGCTAAGTTTTTTGCCACTGTTCAGCCTCTTAAATTGTGGTAGCAGCTATTGTTCACATTGATTTGTATATATCTGTAGTACAAGGAAGCATTTCTAAAGGACCTTGCTCATTGTTCTGCACAAAATAGCCACTTAATATTTGTTGAATGAATTGCTGGCACTATCTCTGGTATTTTTATTTTTATTTATTTATGTATTTATTTTTGATACGGAGCCTCATTCTGTTGCCCAGGCTGAAGTGCAGTGGCGTGATCTTGGCTCACTGCCACCTCTCGGGATCAAGCGATTCTCGTGCCTTGGCCTCCCTAGTAGCTGGGACTACAGGCATGCGCCATCACGCCTGGCTAATTAATATATATATATATATATTTTTTTTTTTTTTTTTTAGCAGAGACGGGATTTCACCAAGTTGGCCAGGCTGGTCTTGAACTCCTGACCTCAAATGATCCGCCCGCCTTGGCCTCCCAAAGTGTTGGGATTACAGGGGTGAGCCACCCTGCCCGGCCTATCTGTGGTATTTCTAGTGTGATGTCTAGAACTTCATATACTTTTTTGGATTACTTTAATTGTAAGGCTGTATCCAAACTGATGAAATGCTCTCAGAGGTAACTATCTGGAGAGGTGACTACACTGATGCATTAAAAGAAATGACTGGCATGGAATAAGGATTAAAATATATTAATCCAAAACATTTAAAATTGCATTAATAACAGCCTAAAGCAAAACTAATGAATCACATAAAAAATCTCCCACGCTGTTGTTCTTAGTAGTTTACATTGTGCTACATACTTTCGCATGCATATGCATACAACTTCTATTCTGTTTTTAAACTTTGCATTACATATACATTCTTCCATATTATATGATCTTCATAAAACTTGTCAGTTAAATGGCTGCATTAAAAAGCATGCGGTTCATGGACCATTATGCTGTTCCCTCATTCCTTTTGTTATTAATGGAATATAGCAAAGAACATCTTCCGTACTATTATTTATTTGTCAAGAATAGGGCCAGGCATGGTGGCTCAGGGAGCCGAGCCTGAGAGCACTTTGGGAGGCCGAGGCAGGCGGATCTCTTGAGGTCAGGAGTTCGTGACCAGCCTGGCAACGTGGGGAAACCTAAATGTCTCTACTAAACATGTCTCTACTAAAAATACAAAAATTAATGGGGCGTGGTGGTGCACACCTGTGGTCCCAGCTACTCCAGAGGCTCATGTGAGAGTATCACCAGAGCCCAGGAAGTTGAGGCTGCAGTGAGGCGTGGTCACACTACTGCACTCAAGCCTGGGCGACAGAGGGTGACCCTGTCAAAAAAAAAAAAAAAAATCCTAGCAGTAAAGTTACAAGGTCAAAGGATAAGGTACACATTTAAAAAGAAATTTTCTTTCTCCTCCTGAGATAACTAAATACAGCAGTGTATGAACAACCCTTCATACATTACTCTCCAAGGTTTATCTTGTTAATCCTTTCAGATGTTATCATCTCCCTATCCTTGGCTGCACCTGAAAAGAGCAGGAGCCGGCAGGTAACCCGATCGCCTCCCCCAGGTGAGTCTCCGATGGAGGTGTCAACTACAAGACCAGGAGCAGAGCAGTCCTGGGGCTTTGCTGGAACCATTGGCGTGGGAATGCTGTCTCTTCCCTCGCCCGAGAGACGCCAGATTCCCAGCGGGCAGCGGACTCGGTTCTAACCTTCCTCGCCCCAGCCTCTAGGAGCGCTCTGCACGCAGTGGGCGTCTAATAAATGCAGTCGGCCCTGCTTGGACAAAAGCTCTCCTTAAGTGGACCGGACACTATGCCCCTCCAGGTGCCAGAGTTGTCGCCCCCGCTGCCACTTTGCTCCCTGCGCGCGTTCCGCGTGAGACCCTCGGCGGCACCTCACCCACTCCCTGACGGCCGGTGCCAGCCCGGGGCACCCTGGGTACTCTGCGCGCGCCCGCTGGCCCCGCCCGGCCCCAACGGCCCCAACTCCCGTCTCCTCCCAGTCCCCCGGAGCCGACCAGTGGTGGCGGCAGCCCCAGGTCCCGGGTCCCTCAGACAAAAAGGCGGGTGGAGGAGGAGTAGCCGAGCCCAGAGTCCTGCTCCGGCGCCGCCGAGCACCGCCCGCCTCAGCCGACCAGCCCCGTCGGCTACTGGGCCTAGCCTAGAGGAGAGGAGGGAAAGGCCGCGGAGGCCGCGAGGAGACGGCTGGGGCGCCAGCGGCCGGCTGCCGCCTAGTTGTGCTGCCCGGACCAAGGAAGGAGAAGTGGGAGGAGCGGGGAGCTCAGCGGCTCAGGACGACGACGCTCGCCACATCCGGGACCCTCCGGCCGTGGCGGTCGCAGCGCCGGCAGCTCGGGCCTCAGCCCCTGCCTCTGTGGTGACTCCGCCGCGCTTCGACGTCGCCCCTGTCCCCGTCCCGCCCGCCGCCCCCGCCAACCCCGCCGCCGGGGACATGTCCAACCCCTGAAGCCGGAGGAACGGGCCAGTCAGACTGCGCCCGACAGGTGATGGGGAGCGGCGGCCGGGCTGGGCAGCCGCCGGGTGGGCGAGCTGGCGCGGGGTACCTGTTGACTTGGGAAGGGCCAGGATCGCGATCAATGGTGAGTTGGGGGTCGGAGGAGTAGGAAGGCCTAGTTCAGGGAGAGTAATTGGAAAGCCACTCGCTCTGGTTTGGACATTCTTTAAAAAGCCGAGGATGACTCGGGGAGGCGGGGTAGTCTTTTGTGGAGGGGAGGATACACCCGTTCGCATCGCAGCGGATTTCGGGCTGAAAAGTCTTGGTCAAGGAGCCCGACGCTGCCTCCCGGGGCTCGGGGAGCAGCAGCCCCTGGGCTACGGCCCAGGTGGGCTCGTGAAGGGGATTATTGAATCCGGTTGCAGACTGCGCGCAGTAAACACTCCTTAAAGATGGAGCGCTTAACGGGAGGGTGTACGTGTGTGTTCCCGGGTTGTTACCTTGCACACCCACTTATGCCCGCTTGCAAAACCTTTACTCCCCGCCTCTGGCCACCGTTGCCGGGGCCGCACACCTTAAACTCAGGTCTCTCTGAGGAGAGGAGACTGAGGTTGACTTTTCCCATGTGCCTGTCTGATCCGACGGCTCGGGCTCATTGTACACTGTGTTTTGGAAGTGTCTGATTGTAGGGTGGCATGTTTGGGGTTGTACCTTGTAGGCCGCAGAACTTGTGTCACTTCTAACTCCAGACCTGCTTTAAAAACACACTTTTGGAGGCGGGTAGGGGGTACTTTTCTAACTATGTGCTCATACAAACTTTAGAGCAAACTTTCTCTTACTCTCCCCACCCTCCCCCTTCCTTTTTCTAAATGGAAAATAATGTCCGGAGGGGTTGCTAGATAGAAGACTACACTTACAAAGTGTTTATGATTCCAGGCGCATGAAATCTTTAACATTACAGGTACATTTTTGCTTACAGTGCCATTTTTGGTATTCTTACATGGACATGTCACCCCCATTTTAGGAAAACTTGTATTTGGTTTGAAAAGGAATTGAAATCACGACGTTATCCTACCTTCACCATTTACCCCTGATAAATTGTCCACGTTTATATTCCGATGAGTGGTGAGAAAGATAATTTTCCGTAGAGGATTTGTGTGTGCGTGCACGTGTACGAATAAACTGTAATTATGTTTGTCCACACTAGACTTTGAGATTTATTTGAGCTAATTTTGTGGTTGAATGCCTGTGTGTCACATCCCAGTACAGCTAGATGAAAACTTGCAGTGAATTTGGTATTTGAGAATTTATCTCGAATGTCTGTTGGCTGCAATTTAAATAATATACGACCTTCATGACAGTTTTGCTTTCCCTAGGGAAAAATGCAGGGAATCATTAACTGAGTGGTTCTTAATGGAAAACCTGGATTGGAGGATACTTGTATTTCCCCCTACTCCCCCCCATTCAATGTCCTTATATTGGGAGAAGTCAATGGAAACCTTTTTAGGGGATCTTTGTTGCTTTAGAGTTTATCTGTTGCTATCTGGAATCAGTGATCATCGAAAGAACATGCGATCCCAGGTGTGCAGAAAGCATCAGAAATAAGCTGTTTCCATTTACTTCCCTCAAGGCTACATAGAGAAAATGAGGGAAAAAATAGGGATTTTGATTTTCTGCAGATAAAATGAGTTGAGGTTTTTAGTATGACTCAGTAGATCTTAAAGTGTTTATCTGTGGTTTCTGTACTGCCTATGATACATTATAAAAATTTATAAGTAAAGTTTGTTAAGAGGAAAGATTATGCTTATATTTTAGGGGAAGAGGGAATATTGAACTACATTTATAGAGTGATTTTGTTTCAGGTTTTTCTGAGGATTTTTTAAATACCCTGTGTCCACTTAATAGGAAAAACAGTTTGAGGTACTCTGAGTTTCTTACAACTATTTGTCTCTGAATAGTTTTCTCTTAAAATTTGACAAATGTTAAAAACATTGTCCTTCCTCCTTTGGTTATAGTGGAGTCTTCTGTTTTGCCAGGAAAGCGAACATTTTTTTTTTCATTTTTGTTCATCATTTACAAATTAGATGGGATATATTTTAGCAAATAGATCTCAAGAGCTGGATTTAATTAGCAGCTTTTTAGGACATAAACATTAAAGGGTTAGATGGAAAAGATTGTTTTGACTGACAGGATAAATGACAGGGCTGTGTTTGATGTGCGTCCAGGAATTGGTCTGGAGCTGGTGCCCAACTTCTCAGTCCATCTTGAGAAGCCAAATAAAATACTTAACCTAGGCCTCATTTTGTTTAAAAAAAAAAAAAAAAGTTGATTCTTTGTTAAGACCTTAAGAAATGTTTGGCATACCTTTAGACTAAGTGTTTAACAGTTCATTTAGACCTGGGTTCCCTAATAGAGGAAAAAAAATCACTTAAAAAAAGACAGATCCCACAGTGAATTTATATTTGGTTTACAATACACTTGGGCTGTAAGATGTTTTAAAATTATTGTTCTTTGCTTTAAGTTAATACCATATTAGTATTTTAAATTTATAGAGTACCTTTGATTTCAATATGCTGTATAAATTTTAGTTACTTGGTAATAACCTTATTGCGGAATTGCCTTTTTACTGAAAGGTATAAACATTTCTTGCATGGTGACACACACACACACACACACACACACACACACACACTCACACACTCACACACTCATACACTGTCTTTCTGAAATATTTGAACCGTGAGAGCTCTGCCCACAATTGATATTAGACCTTTCCACATATTATTCTTAAAACCACAGTCAGTGAATTGTTTGGTATTTGTCAATGCTAAGAAGGTGGGACTAATTTAATAATTTGATCCCAAATTTTAGATTCCTCAGGCAATTGGGGGTTAGAATCCAATTTCATCCATCAAGCTACTTCTGTTCTTTGTGACACATTAACATATGATCATTAAAATGGGCTGTATGGTAACACTATCAACTTCAACTAATATTTCTAGAACAAATTGATTATAAAATGTATAATTTCTATACCATTATACCTATATGACTGTCAGATACAGGCTTTTCTTACAATGGTTTGGATAGAAAAATATTCTTTACAGTAAAAACTTTAGGATAATTTTCAGACCATTATTGTTTTTGAAAACCAAAGGCTGCAAAAAGCAGTTTAATGTAATTTCTAATATTTTAAATTCTTAGGTATGGAGAAGTAGAATAAGATTACTCCTTCAGAACATTTATTTCAGATCTTTTTATAAATTTAATGTTTTTGTATGCTGCTTCTCATATTATTAATTTCAAAGCCCTTGGCAGTAAGGAGGTTAACCTTGTCTATAATGTAAGGAAATTTAACTTTAAAAATTTCCCTTTATATATGCTAGCGTCTTAATCTTGTTTCACTACATATTTTATTAATTCAAGGCCTTGAAAATTATGGCTTTATTCTATTACACAGGTTTTTAAGTATGCCTATACACCATAATGACGTTATTTATTTATTTATTTATTTGAGATGGAGTTTCGCTCTTGGCTGGAGTGCAGTGGCGCGATCTCAGCTCACTGCAACCTGGGCCTCCCGGGTTCAAGCGATTCTCCTGCCTCAGCCTCCCGAGTTGCTGGGACTACAGGCGCATGGCGCCACGCCTGGCTAATTTTTTGTATTTTTAGTAGAGATGGGGTTTCACCGTGTTAGCCAGGATGGTCTCTATCTCCTGACCTCGTGATCCGCCAGCCTCTGCCTCCCAAAATGCTGGGATTACAGGCGTGAGCCACCACGCCCAGCCAAGAAATTTTTTAAATGCAAAGTTCTCTAGCCACTTTGTATTTACCACTACATGTCTCACTAACTTCAGGAAACCTGATAGCTTTTGACCACATTAGAGTAACTTGGCTCTCAAGTTAACTTTTTGTAGAATAGTATAATCAGGTTAAGTTGAAACCTATCTTTCTTTAGTCTTCCAATATAATTATAGGACACTTTTTGGTTAAACCATTGTTCCATGTTTACATTATTATGATTATGTAAATATCCATAGTTGGGTCACATGGGTACAAGAATTATATTTTCTTTCTTGACAGCTTTTGTTTTTTCTGAAATTAGTAGCTACTTTTCCCTTTTGTTTAGTTTTCTATTCCTCTCCTAGCTAGAAATGAGAAATTACATGTCATAATCCTCAAACTCTCCTACAGAACTGAAGATCTTTTCTCCATATATTCAGTTCTGTCAGTATTCCTTTGGCTTTGTTTCTTCTTGGAGATACCCCTCCTGGGGGTCTGTGTTCTCTTTCTTCAGCCTGGCATAATGGTTCTCTAAGACCTGCTGGGCAGTTGTCCTGGGACTTGCCTGTATTGTTATGTTGGCAATTTCCTTTGTCTCTTCTAGATTTAGTGACTTCCTATTTTTTGTTTACTCTCCTGATTTGGTGAACTCTATCTTCTGTTGTCATTTTGAGAAATAATACAAAGATGGGAAGAAAGTTTAGATCTTATCAGAAAATATATTTTGATTTCTTATCTGTTGGTATGGTTCGAGTACAGGCTTCTAGATGAAATAGGACTTTATCTCCAAATGTTGAATACATTGGTCCATTATCTTCTAGATTTAGATCCGAACTGTTGAGTAGAAATATAATGTAAGCCACAAATGGGAGCTCATCTGTAATTTTAAATTTCCTAGTATCCACATTAAGATAAGTAAAAAGAAACAGATGACGTTAAGCATAATAAACTGGGCATGGTGGCTTGCACTTGTAATCCAGCTACTCGGGAGGCTGAGGTGAGAGGATAACTTGAGGCCGGCAGTTTGTGACCACACTGGGCAACATAGCGAGACCCATAATATAATATATTATGCATAATAAGCATAATTTATTATGCTTAAAATGAAGCATAATATATTTTATTTAATTCAATATATCAAAAATATTTTCTACATGGCAGTATAAAAATATTGAGCTACTTACATATTTATGTATATATACATATTTACTATGTCTTTGAAAAATCAGTGGTTTTCTCATTTTATGTTAAGAAAAATCAGTGGTTTCTTTTGCAGCTTGCCTCAATGTGGACTGGCCACATTTGAAGTACTCAAAGGTCCCATGTGGTTGGTGGATACCATTTTGGACAGTGTAGGTTCAGAGTATTGCTGATGGCATCCTGATTTTGATCTGTCATGACTGTTGTTTTCCACTGGAAGTTTCTTTATTCTTCTGTCGCTTGTTATTTTCCTTTAAAAAAATTGTAGCCCCCCTAGTGGGTATGAAGTTGTACCTCGTCATGGTTTGGAAGTGCATTTCCCTCATGACTAATGATGTTGAACATCTTTGCATGTGCTCGTTATGTTTTATCTTACAGTTAATATTAATTGGCTACCAGAGGCTTCTCTCTTGCTTGTGTCTGAGGTCATTTTGCAAAATCCTTGCCTTTAATTGGCTAAGTGTACAAACAAAAGTCTAATAATTAAATTTTAGCCCAAAATCCTGAGTATATATATTGTACTTTTGTCTATATGGTAACATTATATTCACCTATAGAGGTTGCCATCTACCCCTCTCAGCAAAACATGCTGAAACTTGTTTATAAATCATGTATTTGTTAGTGAAGTCAAAGTTTTAATAGAAGCTAATAGAGCCCTCTATTTAACTTTCAATTATAAAAGTCTTTACTTTTTCTTTTATGTGGCCATGTATGTTATATTACATGAGGTTTCATTAAAGTGAGAGCATGTACTTCTCTGTGTATAAGAAAAGGTAATACTTCTGATTAATTTCTGGCCCAGGAATATTTGGACAGAATGTTTGTGACATGTACACTTAAATAATACAATATATTTCATAATTTTGAGTAATTCAGAGTTAGGCTGTCTTCTAGAAGGTCCATAATTAGCAATTTCTTATTATGGTTTAATGTAGAGCTTCCCAACCTTTTCATATCATGGTACACATAAAAAATATTATGGCACACTGGACTAAACAGGTGAAGTTGCTTAAGCCAGTGGTGCATTGCTCTGAGGACTGAGGTAATCGATATATGTATTTCAGCATACCTGTAAACCAGGCTTATTAGTTGGACAACTGGTTTAATGTGACTTTAAAAAAAATGTTTGGTTTGGGTAATTCAGCTACTTAATTACTGGATTCTGGCTCTGGAATTACATGCCAGTAGATATATACCAAGATAGGTCGGGTAGGTGTATTTGAAAATTGGTACATGCATACTGAACAATATTTTAGTTCATGTCTTTTCATTTGCAAGCAACAGAGACCAAGTTCAAATCGGCTTAATTTTTAAAAAGGGAATGTACTGATTTGCATAATGAAAAGCCCGGGGGTGGGCATTTTTTAGGCACAGCTAGATCCCGGGGCTCAAGTTTACCTTCCATATTCCTTATTTGAAAGCTTTAGTCCTTACTTCAGTGGTTTAGGCTTTTCTCTATACTAGGTGAATTTTTCTGATATTGCTAATTTATTTAATTAGCAATACTTTAGACTAAAACTTTGACCTCTTAATGTCATTGAAATAGAGCTAGGATTCTACTGACATCATTATGTTATTATATTATCTTTTTGCATGAGTTGATGCCATGTTACTAATTGGCTGTGATAGAGCCTTTACGTACTTGCAGGTATATCCACAGACAAGTACAGTAATGCTTCTCCCTGCACTGCTTGTCTGCAGGAGGTGAAGTGAAATCTGCAAGAGTCCTGCTCGTTCAAGGCCTGCATACAGGAAAGAAGCAGGGGAAAAGCGTTAGAAACAGCTTTTGTTCTACAGCATTTTAAAATATAATAGGTAGGTCAAATTTTTGGTCTGTCAGCCTTGACACTATCCCTTGAAAGTAGGTCATGTCATTGAAATGTATTTAAAATGTGACTGTGATAAAAGTTGTTTTTTTGTTTTGTTTTGTTTTGTTTTTTGAGACGGAGTCTCGCTCTGTCTCCCAGTCTAGAGTGCAGTGGCGCGATCTCGGCTCACTGCAAGCTCCGCCTCCCGGGTTCACGCCATTCTCCTGCCTCAGCCTCCTGAGTAGCTAGGACTACAGGCGCCCGCCACCACGCCCGGCTAATTTTTTTTTTATTTTTTATTTTTAGTAGAGACGGGATTTCACCGTGTTAGCCAGGATGGCTTGATCTCCTGACCTCGTGATACGCCCGCCTCAGCCTCCCAAAGTGCTGGGATTACAGGCGTGAGCCACTGTGCCCGGCCATGATAAAAGTTTTTAAGATTCTTTTTCTTGGAAAGAAGTTATTTAATAAACTCCCTTAGTGTTATTAGACACTAGCTACCAAAATAGCCTTTTTACTAACTAGAATTATAGCCCAGCTTGAGAGTGGCAGATGTGATAAAAATATACTAAAATTGTTTTTAAAAATTTTACTTTCAAGATTTTTTAAAACTTTATATTCAATCCTGTGGATTAACTCATGTATTTTGCATAATCTAGCCAGGCTCTGAAGCATATTTGTAACTTTAGGGTATAAAAAGAACAAAAGAAAAATTTTACGCCCACTGCCTTATAACTACCAACATACTTATGCAGCCATTTTCATTTTTAGGTATATTGAAAAGTCTGATTCAGTTACAATCAGTGTATGGAATCACAAGAAGATCCATAAGAAACAAGGTGCTGGATTTCTCCGTTGTGTTCGTCTTTTTCCAGTGCCATCAACCACCTCAAAGACACTGGTTGTGAGTAGATACTACTGCTTTTCAAATTATATATATATATGTGTGTGTGTGTGTGTGTGTGTGTGTATGTATGTGTGCATATACATATATGTGTGTGTGTATATGTATGTGTGCATATACATATATACATGTAGTATATATGTATTCTCAAATATATATGAAGGATATATATATTTGAGTATGTTGGTAGGGGTTCAAACATAACTTCTTGTGTATGTCTGAAACATTGGTAAAAATTCCTGGTCTAAATTTATTTTGTAGACTTAAAAAAAATGAAACGTTTTAAATATGTGAAACTTACAGCTAAATGAGAGCTGATGCTTCATTTCCAGTTAATTTAAAAGTATTAAGAAATGATTGATATCTAGAATGGCAAAAAAAAAAGGTGTCAGGATGTATATACCTTTTAAAATTTCTTAGTACCCTTTTCTGGTTGTGGTGGATTTGTGGACAACATGTTTTTATTTAGGTGATTGGAGTCTTTAAGGTGGCAGTTAAAGAGCAATTACGAAGGGATAAGAATGGTATAATATATAAAACTGCTGTGACAAAATTAAAAGTTAAAGAAAGATTAAACATTATTTTGAGTGTATGACGGCTCTATGAACTACTTAACTGTAGCTCAGTTTGTCACCAACCTGGGTGTTTAAAAGATTAGACCAAGATCAAGACATTAGAAGTGGTTTTCATAATGGATTTATAAGGTGACTTAGCATAACCAGGTGACGGTCTTTTGGGTGGGTCTTTCCATTGGAACATAAATGGGAATTCCTTTTTCAACAGGTTTTCTGTGTGTGTGTTTGTTTCTATAGAATTCTTGTGTATATAATGTAAAAAATACTGTTAGTCTTCGTAATGGGATTTTAGCCCAGATGCATATGCTAAACAAACTCGCATAAGAGCTAAAGAAATTAATAAACAGAAAAGGAGTAAATTTAGCATTGAATGTTAAATATGTTAAGAGATTGTCTCTTTTAATGTAGTATGATACCACAGCATAGGTATATATTGACCTTGTGAAAAAGAAAAAGGCAGAAAACTGAGCTAGAAGTTCTTAGTCCAAGGTATTTAAAGGCATCTGAGAAGTTCTTGTATTTCTGGGCTGACAGGGTAACCAACAGGAGAGAAAGGAAACGAGTTGCATATAAAAATGAACTGTTTTCTTACTCAGCAAACTGAAAAATTATAGGTCAAATGTCTGACATTATCCCTAGTTCAATTTAGCCAACGTTTATTGAAGACTTAATGTGCTACTGTTCTAAACCCTGGCTGTATAAAGGAGAAAGAGGCATGAACCCTGTCCTCTGAGAAGGAAGGGCAAAGGCCTGCTGGCAAAGGGAGCATGCCGCATGGGAAGGACTGAATAGGAGAGGAGTTGCTCTGCAGAATCCACTGTGTAGCCAACTTAGCAGCACCCATTTATTTTGCAAAGAGAAAAGTGTCTGTATTTTTGGTTGGATAACCAGGGACTGTAGTTTAGGGGCATGGATTTTTCTTTGTGTTTCTTGTGACTGTCTCATTGTATTAATTTATTTGACTTTTTTGATGTGCAGTAATACTGAATTTATCAAATATTTATTGAGCACCTACCTGATGCAATGTTCTACGGGGTTGGAGTGGAAAATACAAAGACTACGATATGGTCTCCTCCTTTTATCAATTCACAAATAAGTAGACAGATGGCATACGGTTGTAAAAGTATTCAGCTATAAGTACTGTAATCAAAGTAAAACCAGCATGCTTTGGGTGACATTGTTCCTTACTGTAACTTTCAGGGTCAGGCCAGTGTTATATCTCTTTTACAGATGAGGCATCTGAGAGAATAAATGAGTTGCTCCTGAATGAATTAGTGGCAGAACTGATGCAAACCCAGATTCTACAGTTTATTCTTGGCTTCTTATTAATACTTTTTTGTGTGCATGTCATTTGAAATGGTTAGTTAAAAAATAATAATGACAACTAACATTTGTTGACCATTTATGTGCCAGGCACTATGCTGTGAGTTTTGCATAATTATCTGATTTAATCCTTAAAAAATATGAGGATTCACATATTGCCATATGTGAGAAAACCAAGGCTGACGGATAAATTCCTTAAGACCAACAACTATTAAGACTCAGACTAAAGTGGTCTAAAAGTTTTGGAGAGAAAGTGACTGCATGTTGGCAATGTAGTACACTAGTGTTTCATGGTTTTTGAAATCTGAATTCTTTAAATGATAGGTTTGATTTCTAATAGATTGTGGAAATTTATTGTCACTCTATAGACATGAGAATCTCTGATACCAGCTAATGTTTTCATTGCTTTCTTTGTTGATTTCAAATAGATCAGAGGTTGGATTTATGCAAACTTGGGCCAAAGGACAGTTAGAAGACAGTAGGTAAGTGTGAATTTAAAGTTACATGAATTTTGGTTTCATTCAAACTGACCTAAAGTCTAAATACCTTTTAAATCAAAGTATGTTAACTGTAGCTTCATAGTGTTGGCCTGAATTAAATGAATCAGGTAAAATGTTACAGTGAATCCAGGATCCAGGTTAACTTAATTTTTAAAACTTTAATGTAAAAAAAAAGTGTCGTGAAGAACTGTTGATCCTTTAGGAAATAATTCTTTCAAAGTATCCTAACATAGTAGAGCACTGAGTTCAGACTTTATAGATGTTATTAAAGTTTACTGAAAATAATTCTCAAACTAGTTTTTTTAGTAAGAAGACAACATTCTATTGAACTTGTTTTAATGTTTAATGCTTTACAGCTTTAAAATCTATGCTAATTGAAAAAAACAGAATGAGCAATGGTAGTGTAACACTGGAAAAAGGGAGAAATTGTTACCTTACTCATGAGGCACTTAGTAGCCTTATATGTTATTTAGGTGTCTTGAATTGACCTGGAGGGAAAGGCTTCAGATAAAATTTGCTGAGACCTTTCCTAAGAATCGATAGAGATTTGATCAAGGTGCATAGTATGGAAGGACACTGTTCATCTTGGAGGCTTCTTGAATTAAAGAAGAAAAATGTGGCCGGGCACAGTGGCTCATGCCTGTAATCCCAGCACTTTGGGAGGCTGAGGCGGGTGGATCACCTGAGGTCAGGAGTTTGAGACCAGCCTGGCAAGCATGGTGAAACCCCATCTCTACTAAAAATACAAAAAATTTGCCGGGCATGGTGACAAGTACCTGTAATCCCAGCTACTCTGGAGGCTGAGGCAGGAGGATCGCTTGAACCCGGGAGGCAGAGGCTGCAGTGAGCCGAGATCACACCATTGCACTCCAGCTGGGTGACAAGAGCAAGCCCCTGTCTCAAAAAAAGGAAAAGAAAAAAAGAAAAATCCAATAGGACTGTCACACTTCATGATAAAGCAGAACTTAGAATAAGATTATTTTGTTATGAACCCATCATAGAGGTTTTAAATACTGAAGGTACTTGAAGGACTTCATTTCACAAGGCAGTGAATTGGGTTCATGGAGAACTACCAGGGTAGCCACATAGCAAAGCCCTACTCTGGTTATCTTAGGGAAGTATCTACACCAGCACTCCCCGACCTTTTTGGCACCAGGCACCGGTTTCACAGAAAACAGTTTTTCCATAGACCAGGCTGGGGTGGAGTTGGTTTCAGGATGATTCAAATGCATTACATTTATTGTGCACTTTATTATTATTACATTGTAATATATAATGAACTAATTATACAACTCACCATAATGTAGAATCAGTGGGAGCCCTGAGCTTGTTTTCCTGCAACTAGATGGTCCCATCTGTGGGTGATGGGAGACAGTCACAGATCATTAGGCGTTAGATTCTCATAAGGAGCAGGCAACCTAGATCCCTTGTGTGTGTGGTTCACAGTAGGGTTTGTGCTCCTATGAGAATCTAATGTCACCACTGATCTGACAGGAGGCGGAGCTCAGGCGGTAATGCTTACTCACCCACTACTCACTCCTGCTGTGCGGCCTGGTTCCTAACAGACCCTGGACCAATACCCCATCCATCCATGGCCTGGGAGTTGGGGATCCCTGATCTACACTACAGCATTACTGATAATTCCTGTCATCCTTAGATTGAGAAGGAAGCAAAAACAAAAAAAATCTCAAAAATCAATTCAGTCATAACAGTACTTTCACATATAAGTGTTCCTTCTGTATTTGATTTATTATGTTACATAATGCTTGCCAACTACTGTCTAGTAGTAACGAAATAGTTTTACTAGATGTGAATTTGCATTTATATAAATAGCAGACTTTGTTAGACATTAGAAATATACCTACTGGAGGTCAGGTACAGTGGCTGACACCTGTAATCGCAGCACTTTGGGAGGCCAAGGCAGGTAGATCACCTGAGGTCAGGAGTTCAAGACCAGCTTGACCAACATGGAGAAACCCCATCTCTACTGAAAATATAAAATTAGCCGGCGTGGTGGCACATGCCTATAATCCCAGCTACTCAGGATGCTGAGGCAGAAGAATCACTTGAACCTCGGAGGCGGAGGTTGCAGTGAGCCGAGATCATGCCATTGCACTCCAGCCTGGGCGACAAGAGTGAAACTCCGTCTCAAAAAAAAAAAAGAAAAAAAAGAAAAAAGAAATATACCTACTGGAGTATACTACATAGAAAACAAATGTTTTACTCTTAAATATGTGTATATATGTATATATATGTATTTATTTAAAGCTCTTGTGTGAATCTGCTGTTCATAATAGGACCATTAATAAGAGAGAGGGAGGCTGGACTCAAACATTATGATTCTTTAGTTCTGTCATTCAAAAACAGAATGAGTTCCAGTTCTTTCAGAATTAGCCCTCTAACAAATAATTGTAAGTAGGTATATATACTTTTTGGAAAATGGAGAAAAGAACACTAGAGGACTAACTTTAAAAACTATATTCCCCTCTAGTATTTTTATATACATAAATATGTATATAAAATGTATATATTTATGTCTTTAATTCCATTGAAGATTAAATTTCTACTTTGCTTTCTTTCACTTACCATAATCGTTTTTAGTATTTATAATCTTTGTAATTATATATATATATATATATATATATATATAGATAGATAGATAGATAGATTTTTTTTTTTTTTTTTTTTTTTTTTTTTGAGACGGAGTTTCACTCTTGTTGCCCAGGCTGGAGTACAATGGCGCGATCTTGGCTCACTGCAACCTCCACCTCCCAGGTTCCAGAGATTCTCCTGCCTCAGCCTCTCAAGTAGCTGGGATTAGAGGCATGCGCCACCACGCCTGGCTAATTTTTTTTTGTATTTTTAGTAGAGACAAGGTTTCTCCATGTTGGTCAGGCTGGTCTCCAACTCCCGACCTCAGGTGATCTGCCCGCCTCAGCCTCCCAAAGTGCTGGGATTACAGGCGTGAGTCACTGTGTCCAGCCGTAATTAATGATTTTTAAAGGATGAAGTATATAGATATATCACAACTTAATAATTAAAAATTTTTTTTGCTATTATAACATTGAAACTTGCAAACATTTTTGTACACTTCGCTTTATTTTTTAGAATCATTGCTGGTATGAAAAAAAAATCTCCCAAGTTGAGATAATTGATTCAAGGAGTACAAAGTTTTTTCCTTGTTTAAAACTGTGATGACCCAGCTACATTGGGAGGCTGAGGTGGGAGGATCATTTGAGCACGGGAAATCTACTGTATTGGCATCGTTATCACTTGGATGTGTACTTTTTCTATGTATTTTTTTAAAAAATGAGATTATACTGAATTTTTAAAAACTGGTTTAAATTTATCATAAACATCTTTGTTTTTTTGGCCCATAAATACATTTCTATAGCATTGTTCCTTTTTTTTTCCTACTTTGCATTAAGGCTTGCAAAATCTATAGCATTTTTAATGTTGTGTGGTAGTCCATGGTGGGTATGTAATTCATTTAACCAGTTAATAGCTCTGCTATTAACAGCATTCTGGAGATGTAAATTGAAGCCCATGAAATTCTTTAGTTTTGAATCTTACTATTATTCTAAACAAAGCTAACGAGAAAATACATTGTTTCTACTGTGATTGTATTTTGATAAGCATTTCACTTATTTTATCTATTTAAAAACTGATGGATATAGTTGTCTAGCACAGTTTTCATAATAATGTTTTGTTTACATTTGCTGAGTAGGTGTTTGTAGTGTTCTGTCCTCTAAATGGGACTTAATGTAAAGGAGCTCTATGTTGAACTGATCCTTCAAAATATTCACAGAACTGGAAGATTTCAGAATTTTGAGACCCTTCTTTGAATGAAGGGTCATTAGATGTAATAATACTTTTTGTACTAACCTATTATTTAAGAAGTTGGATTATAGTCAAGTTTGACTGTACCTCTTTCTGTCTTTTGGGAGAGTTACTAGAATTAGAATTAAACAATACTGGAGCAGCAAAGAAGGACTTCAGTGAGATATCAATTAAGCTAACTTTCTCATTATTCAGATGGGGATTATCTAAACCTTGTTTGTTAAGTGTTTTGTTCAAGTTTACAGTGCTAAACTGGTTACTAGAGCTTGCTCTAGAATCCACATCTCTTGGTTCTTCATTTTTTGCGGTGGTTTTATACTACTCTGGATAATAGTGTCCTGTTAAAACTCATGGAATCCAAGGATTGCTTTCTTGCTGGAATACCAGGATGGCCCTCTTGCTCGAATACAGTATATATTTTTTTTCTTTTTTTGAGACGGAGTCTCACTCTTTCACCAGGCCGGAGTGCAGTGGTGCAATTGCAGCTCACTGCAACCTCTGTCTCCCAGTTTCAGGTGATTACCCTGCCTCAGACTCCCCAATAGCTGGGACTACAGGCACAGGCCACCATGCCTGGCTACTTTTTGTATTTTAGTAGAGATGGGGCTTCACTATGTTGGCCAGGATGGTCTCAATCTCCTGACCTTGTTATCCACCCGCCTTGGCCTCCCAAAGTGCTGGGATTACAGGCGTAAGCCACCATGCCTGGCCCAATATATTTTTTAGATGGTGAGATTACCAAGTATTAAACTTAATGTGGACTTTTCAAACTCCTTTGTACATGAATATACTCTTAATATGTTATGCCTCTTCTTAAGTACAGTAGTGACTCTGCTATGCCCTGTTACTATGGTAAAGAAGGAATTAGGCTTCTTCCATGAACATGATGAAGTGTAGAAAACTTTAGAATTCTAATATTACTCCTAAAGGGAAAAATCTATGGGAAAAGAAATTATAAATTTTAGTAGAAACCAAAGAGGTCATTCTAAAGTATTAAAATAAGCTAAGCCAGATGTTTTCTAAAGATAGAAATTTTTGATTATAGTAATTCTTTCTAGTTGTATGAATCTTAGTAATATTTCTATCATTTAATAGTAAGTCTTCAGTCCAGGGACCAAATCGGCACAGGAGGACAAGTTGTGGACTGCAGTCATTTATTTGATAATGATTTACCAGACAAGTAAGCTAACATCACTGAAATCATTAGAGAAATATATAGATAATATCTATATAGAAATATATATATATAATATATAGATAATATATATAATATATATCTATATATATAATATATAGATATTATATAGATAATATATATATCTATATATAAGGCTCCCGCTGTCTTCATCCTCAGTGTGCCTGTGTTCTTGCTACCATCGCAGCTGAATGCAGTGAAGGGCGGTCCTCTGAGAGGAGCAGGGTGGAGATGCTAAAGTGGATGCCCCCTCCCATTGCTGATAGATCCTCATCTGGCATGTGCTCCACCCACCCACCCCATTCTCTGCTCCCACATATCATAGCCCCATCACAGAAGATGCGACATGGGAAAAAACACTGTGTCCACCTTAGTTCTTTTCTTAAATTTGGGCAGGGATCCAGGGTGTAGGTTAGGAAATTTTTAATTTGCCAGATTGTATGCCTATGTTGTTAAATATACAATGAATCTATGGTATGGTAGCAGTTTCTGGATAAACATTACTTGAGGTCCTAAATGCAGAAGGGAAAAAGCAACTTTTGTCAGATGCCTACTTCACTTTCATTCATCTCTAATATTTTGGATGGGGAATCATCCAAAGCTTCTGAGTGCATGAAGGTCAAGTGTGCCAGTGTGCAGCTGGGCTTCTTTTCCAGAATTAAAAGTATTTTGGGTGGTGCTGAAGGTCAGCGGAAGAAGTAAAGATTGCAAGAAAGGAGAAACATGGGCTTGGGGAGATCCCAGAATTGGGGACAGAAGACCTGGCACTAGGCTACAGCACTTAGCACCTCTGATCTTGTTTTTCCTCACCTGTAAAAGGAGATTAACAATGCTTTTCTGCCCGCCTCTTGGGGAGAAGGGAAGAATATAATTGGTAAAAAAAAAAAACAAGAAAAGAAAAAAAAAAAAGTTCTGAAAAATAAGCAACACTGTCTTTATAGAGGTAGCCAAGCATTATTAATTATCCACCCCATATCACTGGTAGATACCTGTATTCAAGCAGTCACATTTTAGAAGTCATGAAGTTGGTGCTAATAAACCTAATCTACAGAAAAACTCTTGAAAGCATTTGAGCATTTGTTCTGCGAATAGAAAGGTTTGAGATTCAGAGCAAGTTCAGAGTTGGATGGACTAAGAATGGAAAAGCCCTCCATTCCAATAGAAGAGCCAGGTAGCAATTTCTGGTTATGGAACCAGAAGCTCTCAGGCTTCAAATAAAACAGCATCACTTCTACTCTTATAAAACTGTAAAAACAAAAACAAAAACAAAACCGGATCTACATCTGTCCTAAAAGGCAGAGAGTACTTGAGACCTCATGGATATAAAACCAGCTTACAAACTACATTGCACTATATGAAGAAATTATCACTGGGGGCAAAGCACCAAGCAGAGAGCACAGTACACAGTGTGTGGATGTTAATGTTATTCCCTAGCCTTCCCATTCCTTTCTCTTGGTCCTTTATGCATATGGAACGGTTCCATTATTAAACTTTGTAATAATAACTGAGAACCTGACTCCCAGCAAGGGAGTCGTTCAGAAGTTGAGGGAGTTGAAATCTGACTGAGTAAATAAAACAATTAAATCATTAGCTTAACATTTCATCAATTAAAAATAAAAATTTAAAAACAAATACTTAAAATAATGTAACAATTTATCATCACCAGGCAATTTGGACTCACGACAGTGTATGCTGTTAGACATGCAGTGTTGCAATGCAGCTTGACTGTCTTGCAGACAGCCTCAATGCTATTTTTAAATTGGCAGAGGCAGCAGGCCATATGGCTAGGTAAGATCCTATAGATGAAAACACAAAACAATAAATTAGTGGTAAGGCGGTTACTTGAGTAGGTAAAGGAGGCAGCCAACGCTACCACAGGGCTGGGCAAAGAGGTGTTACTGAGGCCTGTGGACTGGACACTTGGGTAGGAACCAGAAGGCCAATGGGAAGGAGGACACAGGTGCCCAACTGAAGGGTAAGCATGGCAGTGAGTATGGTATGCCTAGAATAAAGGTGGTTGGGATTAGAATTGGGTGACACTGATCAGTAGTTTAAATTCAGAGGTATCTCTTCCCGACTCAAAAGTCTCACTTTGGGCTGAAAGTATACAGGAAGAAGGTAGACTTCTAAGAAGAGTCTGAATAAGCCCCCAACTTCTGAAGGCCCTTTCTCAATTTCTGTTGGGAGTGGGAAGTATTAGAAATTACTCTGGGCATTAAAAATAGCTCAGCTTAACCTGGATTGTGGGGTTAAAAAAAATAACGGAGATTGCATTGGCCAAATCTGGACAATTTGAGCTTTCAAAAGAATAACAACAATAAGCTACAACATAATATATAAAAAATCCATGAAGAATGATATTTTAAAAGAGGGGGAGTTGTTCTTTAATGAAATAATGCTAGCTAATAAATGTAGAAGGAATGACAGAATTTTAAAAAGTGTCACTTTGCAACCACCAATGTAATAAAAATAGATTCAGACAAAGATTATCATTGATGAACAGTTGGGTGAAAAGACATTTGAGAACAGGATCTTCACTGATCTCAAAGTACCACCCCACAGATTTTTTATTAATTACCAAAGGGAAAAGTTATTTTTTATTTTTTTATGAGACAAGGTCTCACTCTGTCACCTAGGCTGAAGTACAGTGACAAAATCATAGCTAACTGCAGCCTCGACCCCCTGGGCTCAAGTGACCCTCCAAATTCAGCCCCCCAGGTAGATGGGACTATAGGCTTGCACCACCACCCCAGCTAATTTTAGTTTTTTGTTTTTGTTATTTTTAGTAGAGACAGGGTTTCACCTTGTTGTTCAGGCTGGTCTAAAACTGGACTCAAGTGATTTGCCCATCTCGGCCTTCCAAAGTGCTGGGATTACAAGTGTGAGCCACCACACCCAGCAAAATAACCACAGTGGAGAGATCTGGAAGATCACCTTAAACAAGTGATCAAACTTAGCATTATGAGCCACCTGGGGTCACGAGGCAGGAAAGATACATCACCTATGCAGTATTCTTCCCAAAGATGCTTACCTTGAATCTCATGTGGAAACAGAGAAATCCAGATTGTGGGACAACTTACAAGACAACTATCTTTGACTCTTAAAAAATGCCAATGTCATGAAAGATCAAAAAAAGTAGAGGCATGTTTTAGATTAAAGGAAATGAAGACATGACATGCAGTGCCTGATCTTTGACTGGATTCTGTAGTATTCTTTCATCTTTCTGCATGTTTGAATTTTTTTCAAAATATAAATTTGGGCAAAAGAGATAACCAAGATAATTGATTAATTTATTGTTATGGCTTCTTGGGGGCAGTTTCAGAGAAATAAAAACAATCTCTGTAACTGGAATAAATTCTCAAGGTTAATCTTAAGCAGTATAGCATGGTCATTAAGAATACAGATTCCACAGCCAGACTAGGCTTAAATCCCAGCTCTGTGAATAATGTAAATTTGGGCAAATTGCTTAATCTCTGTTCCTTGGCCTTGTCATTATAATAGTACCTACCTCAAATGAGTTTTGAGGATTAAATGAATCCCTACCTGAAAAATGTCTGGCACACACTGAGTGATCAATAAATGTTAACTACTATAAATATTACATTACAGAAGTTGTAGGGGGGCCTCTTCTGAATCCTCTAAAAGGATGACTTTGTTAGGGCCACATTAAGACTGTGGAAACAGAAGAGTATTCAATGGATACATGAAGTCTGTGAGTTGGGGGTATGATGTATAGAGTTTTAGATTAAAACTGCATCCAATAAGTTGGCCTGATAAATCTTTCAAACCTACAGAGGAATAATCACAAGTGACTCGTATTCCTTTGGGTCCAATAGAAGCCTCTGATCTTCATATAGATTGAATGTACCCAGAACCATAACCTAGCATTTTACTTATATAGCAACCTTAACTCTGACACAAAGATGTTTCTTTTGTTTTGAGGCTGAGTCTCGCTCTGTTACACAGGCTGAGTGCAGTGGTGCAATCTTGGCTCACTGCAGCCTTTGTCTCCTGGGCTCAAGTGATCCTCCCGCCTCAGCCTCCTGAGTAGCTAGAACTACAGGTGCGTGCCACCACACCTGGCTCATTTTTGTATTTTTTGTAGAGATGGGGTTTCACCACGTTGCCCAGGCTGGTCTCAAACTCCTGAGCTCAAGCAACCCCCTCTCCTTGGCCTCCCAAAGTGCTGGGATTACAGGCATGAGCCCAAAGGTTTTGTTATTCTTTTCCTGCCCCCAACTTTTGATTTTAAACATTTTCTTTTTTTCCTTTAAGGTTTAGGATGGCTAGGAAGCATTTTCAAATGGTATAACGAACACCTGTATAACTTGCATCTGGAATCAACAGTAGCTAATACTTTGCCACACTTCCTTTCCATGTGTGTATGTTTATACATTCTCTGGACAAACCATTTGAGAGTCAGTTGCAGACATAATGACCCTTCACCATTAAAGACTTCAGTGTGCAGCCCCTAAGAACCAATGCATTCTCCTCCATAACCAGAAGACTCTCATCACCCAATGGAACTTAATATTATCATTGCCTACTATGCATTCCATATACACATTTTCACAATTGTCCCAATCATAACATGGCTTAAAAAATTCAGAATCCAATCAAACATCAGACATTGCATTTTCTGTTCATGATTTTTTTTTTTTTTTTTTTTTGTAGAAAGACCTTTAATACTTCTGTTTACAAAATTCGGGCATACATTTCAGTTTGCCCTGAACCGTGCCCAAGGCTGTGTGCTCATCTCTGCCAGGGTGTCTGTGCCCTTCATGTACTGCCGACCACGAGGGTGCAGAGCAGAGCCTGGGGTCCGGAGGCTTCGCTGGGCCTCAGGGGGAGGGGAATGTGAATGTGGCCCAGCCCAGAGGACCCTCCATTTCGTCGATTTTGGATTGGGCGACAGAGGAAGCAGATGTCGGGGCTGCAGACATGCTGGCCTGGACAGGGGTCTGGGGACCCCGGGGCTGCCTGCCGTGGTCTAGAGGAGATGGCTGGGGCCACTTCCCACAGGGTGGGTTGGCAGCGGCTCGGCAAGGGGAGGCCTGGCTACCAGGGGCTTGAACATTTGCTCACTGGAGCCTTTGTGCTTGGCCCTTAGCAGCACAGCTGGGGCTGTGGTCCCGTGCGAGGTGTGCTGGGGGGGTGTGTAGGTGGCTGGTGGTGGCAGCTTGTGCCAGAGTGACACAGGCTTCCGTGGGCCTGGCTGGGGGCAGTTAAAAAGCTGAAAAGGTACTTGGTGTGTGAGGGTAAGGCTTGGGAGGCAGGGCCCTAGAGGAGGCCATGTTCTCTGTCCTGGTTGAGGGGAGCAGTATGGGGGGGAAGGTGGGGCAGATCCCAGCTGGCCTCTGTCTCCTGGTTGCAAGCTGACAGCAGGCCAGGGAAACAGTGAGGCCCTCTGCCCTGGCCTTGGGGAGAAGGAGTGCATGTGTGAGGCTGGGGTACTGTGGCCCTGGAGTGGGGCTAGGGTTCATCGCCAGGAGCAGGCTTGTGGGGGGATTTAAAACCAGGGTCCTGTCTCTGAGCCACCCCACAGGGACACTCGATCCAAGCCTGTTAAGGCCGTGGAACTCGAGGGTAAGCTGTGGGCTGGGCCCCCATGGGGTCAGGATGGAGGTGGGGGCTGCCCTGGAGGAATATTAGTGTTTCTGAGAGCACCTTAGTGTTGCCCCGTCTGGGCCAGCTGGGTGAGGAGTTGGGGAGCGGGAAGAAGGCCGGCGCCATGGAGTGAGGAAGGGAGCCGTCACCGTTAGGGGTAAGCGCTAGTGTAAACAAGCGTCCCCACCCACCCCGATAAGCCTCCCACCCAAGTGTGGCTCCCTGCTGAGGGAGTACCTCAAGGGCCCGGGCCTGGGTGGCGCCAGAAGGTTTGGACACACAATTAGCCGGGGGTAGTGGCGGGCACCTTTAGTCCCAGCTACTCGGGAGGCTGAGGCAGGAGAATGGCGTTATCCCAGGGGGTGGAGCTTGCAGTGAGCAGAGATCACGCCACTGCACTCCAGCCTGGGCGACACAGTGAGACTCCATCTCAAACAAAAAAAAAAAAGAGTGCTTTATAGATTCTAGATACAAGTCTTTTCAGGGACCAGGTACAGTGGCTCATGCCTATAATCCCAGCACATTGGGAGGCTGAGGCAGGAGGATTTCTTGAGGCCAGGAGTTTTAGACCACCTGGGCAATATGGTGAAACCTTGTCTCTACCAAAAACATAAAAATTAGGCAGGTGCGGTGGTGCTCACCTGTGGTCCCAGCTACACGGGAAGCTGAGGTGGGAGGATTGCTTGAGCCTGGGAGGTCGAGGCTGCAGTGAGCTGTGATCGCCACTGCACTCCAGCCTGGGTCACAGAGTGAGATACTATCTCAAAAAGTAAATAAGTAAATAAATTAAAAACAAAAAACAAGGCCTTATAGATATGTGTTTGGTAAATATCTTCTCTCAGGTTGTGGTTTGTCTTTTCATTCTGTTAAAAGTGTTCTCTGGCTGGGCATAGTGACTCACACCTGTAATCATAGCACTTTGGGAGGCCGAGGCAGGTGGATCACTTCAAGTCAGGAGTTCGAGACCATCCTGGCCAACGTGGCAAAACCCCAATCTCTACTAAAAATACACAAATTAGCCAGTTGTGGAGGCCCATGCCTGTAATCCCAGCTACTCAGGAGGCTGAGGCACAAGAAGTGCTTGAACCTGGGAGGTGGAGGTTGCAATGAGCCAAGATTGCACCACTGCACCCCAGCCTGGGCAACAGAGTGAGACTCTGTCTCAAAAAAATAAAGAAAGAAAGAAAATAAATAAGTAAAGTTTTGTGAAGAGCAGAAGTTTTTAATTTTGATCAGCTTTAAGTTAGCAATTTTTTCTTATATGGCTTGTGCTTTTTTGTTTCTTACCTAAGAAATCTTTAAGAACCTGTTGTTTAATCCAAAGTGGAAAAGATTTACTCTCTATGTCTTCTCCCAGAAATTGTATAGTGACATTTAGATCTATGATCCATTTTGAGTTAATTTGCATATATGGTGTGAGGTTTATTGTTTCTTTGTTTTTTTGCAATTTTATTTTTATTTTTTGGAGAAATGAGGTCTCACTGTGTTGTCCAGGCTGGTTTCGAACTCCTGGCCTCAAGTGATCCTCCGGCCTCGTTCTCCCAGAGTGCTGCAATTATAGACATGAGGCATCATGCCTGGCCTTCTTTGTAGATATAGGTATAGATATATATCTATCTATATCTATATATATCTTCACCAGGTGTGATGGCACATTCCTGTAGTCCCCGCTATTAGGGAGGCTGAGGCGGGGGTATCGCTTGAACCCAGGAGGTAGAGGTTGCAGTGAGCCAAGATGACACCACTGCACTCCAGCCTGGGTGACAGAGCAAGACCCTGCCTAAAAAAAAATATATATATATATATATATATATATATTTATATATATATACACATATATATTTATACATATATATGTATATATTATATATCTTTATATATATTTCTATATATATTTTATATATTTATATTATATATATATTTTATATATTTTATATATATTATATATTATATATATATATTTTATATATATATATATATTTCTGCAGGGCCCTATTGTGAGTTTGTTACACAACTTACTGCAACTTAAATTGTGCCACCACACCCCCCCCCACAATATGGCAAGCTAAATAGAAACTCAGTTATGCTAAGGCTGGTTGAGGGCATTATGCAAGATTAGCATGGAAAGGGCCCTCTATTTGGCACTCTGCTCCGTTCATTTTTGTCAGGTCACTTTTTTATCTTCACCAGGTTGTCAGATCTGTTTTACTGCTCTAGCCTCACTTTCCTCAGCCTCCTGCAGCATCTTCCCTGTAAGCTACATCCCTTCCTCTCTGGATGAAGTCCTCTTCATCGACCAACTTTCTCACTTAGTTCTCTAAGATAGTGAGGATCTGTCTGCTTTTTTCTTGACCATTAGTGGATAGGAAAAAAATGCTCTGATTGTCTGTAACCATTTGTCACCAAGGCCATAAAGACGTTGAACTAATTTCCTTATTGGAGTTCATTATTGGAATTCTTGAGGAGTTTACACATTTATATACAAAGTAAGTAGGCCAGCTCATTTGTCTTGGCTCATGTGTAATGATCTTTAACGCGTATTGAAAAATTACTATTCTCAAGTAAGGATAATGTATATCTCAGGTCACTTACAGTCTCAAAGTTTTGTCAGTATACTTTAAAACAATCCTGCGAACAGATCTAGATTGAAGGAGACTAAAGAATCATGAACTCGAGGCGGTGCCGGGGCAGGCGCAGAGCTGGCAAGCACGTGGTGGGGCCCCTGAGGTGTGCAGAGGGTCGCGCACCTAGAAGCCTGTCGCTGGCGCGGTCTGGGCGGGAGGTTCTGCGGCGGGAGGCAGCCTGTTGGTTGCAGGGCTGAAAAAGCAGTTCTACAAGGCAAGCCAGCTGGTCAGTGAGAAGGTCGGAGGGTCTGAGGGGACCAAGCTGGACAATGACTTCAAAGAGATGGAGATGTCATCAGCAAGGCGGTGATGGAAATGCTGGCAAGGACCATCAAGTACCTGGAGCCCAACCCAGCCTCACAGGCTAAGCTGACCATGCTCAACACAGTGTGAAAGATCCAGGGCCAGGTGAAGAACCCCGGCTACCCGCAGTCGGAGGGGCTCCTGAGCGAGTGCCTGATCCGCCACCAGAAGGAGCTGGGCAACGAGTCCAACTTCAGTGATGCACTGCTGGATGCCGGCGAGTCCATGAAGCACCTGGCAGAGGTGAAGGACTCCCTGGACATAGAGGTCAAGCAGAACTTCATTGACCTCCTCCAGAACCTGTGTGAGAAAGACCTGAAGGGGATCCAGCACCACCTGCAGAAGCTAGAGGGCCGCCGCCTGGACTTTGACTAAAAGAAGCGGCAGGGCAAGATCCCCGATGAGGAGCTGCGCCAGGCGCTGGAGAAGTTTGAGGACTCCAAGGAGGTAGCAGAAACCAGCATGCACAACCTCCTGGAGACCGACATTGAGCAGATGAGTCAACTCCGGGCCCTGGCGGAGGCGCAGCTGAACGACCACTGGCAGGCCATGCAGATCCTGGACGAGCTGGCAGAGAAGCTCAAGCGCAGGATGCGGGAAGCTTCCTCACGCCCCAAGCGGGAGTATAAGCCCAAGTTCTGGGAGCCCTTTGACCTCGGAGAGCCTGAGCAGTCCAACGGGGGCTTCCCCTGCACCACAGTCCCCAAGATCGCAGCTTCATCCCCTTTCCAATCTTCCAACAAGTCCATCTGTACTCCTAGCAGGAGCATGCCGCCCCTAGACCAGCCAAGCTGCAAGGTGCTGTATGACTTCCAGCCTGAGAACCATGGGGAGCTGGGCTTCCATGAGGGCGACGTCTTCACGCTCATCAACCAGATCAACGAGAACTGGTACCAGGGCATGCTGGACGGCCAGTTGGGCTTCTTCCTGCTCAGCTACATGGACGTGCTCATGCCTCTGCCCAGTGACTCACTGGTGCCCCCGCCCCACCCCTCCATCCACACTGGGTGGCACCCCCTGCCAGGTCTCCTGCCTTCCATGGGCTCCTGCTGCCAGGGCGGTGTCCAAGCCTTCTGGCGCCACCCAGGCCCGGGCCCTTGAGGTACTCCCTCAGCAGGGAGCCACACTTGGGTGGGAGGCTTATCGGGGTGGGTGGGGACGCTTGTTTACACTAGCGCTTACCCCTAACGGTGACGGCTCCCTTCCTCACTCCATGGCGCCGGCCTTCTTCCCGCTCCCCAACTCCTCACCCAGCTGGCCCAGACGGGGCAACACTAAGGTGCTCTCAGAAACACTAATATTCCTCCAGGGCAGCCCCCACCTCCATCCTGACCCCATGGGGGCCCAGCCCACAGCTTACCCTCGAGTTCCACGGCCTTAACAGGCTTGGATCGAGTGTCCCTGTGGGGTGGCTCAGAGACAGGACCCTGGTTTTAAATCCCCCCACAAGCCTGCTCCTGGCGATGAACCCTAGCCCCACTCCAGGGCCACAGTACCCCAGCCTCACACATGCACTCCTTCTCCCCAAGGCCAGGGCAGAGGGCCTCACTGTTTCCCTGGCCTGCTGTCAGCTTGCAACCAGGAGACAGAGGCCAGCTGGGATCTGCCCCACCTTCCCCCCCATACTGCTCCCCTCAACCAGGACAGAGAACATGGCCTCCTCTAGGGCCCTGCCTCCCAAGCCTTACCCTCACACACCAAGTACCTTTTCAGCTTTTTAACTGCCCCCAGCCAGGCCCACGGAAGCCTGTGTCACTCTGGCACAAGCTGCCACCACCAGCCACCTACACACCCCCCCAGCACACCTCGCACGGGACCACAGCCCCAGCTGTGCTGCTAAGGGCCAAGCACAAAGGCTCCAGTGAGCAAATGTTCAAGCCCCTGGTAGCCAGGCCTCCCCTTGCCGAGCCGCTGCCAACCCACCCTGTGGGAAGTGGCCCCAGCCATCTCCTCTAGACCACGGCAGGCAGCCCCGGGGTCCCCAGACCCCTGTCCAGGCCAGCATGTCTGCAGCCCCGACATCTGCTTCCTCTGTCGCCCAATCCAAAATCGACGAAATGGAGGGTCCTCTGGGCTGGGCCACATTCACATTCCCCTCCCCCTGAGGCCCAGCGAAGCCTCCGGACCCCAGGCTCTGCTCTGCACCCTCGTGGTCGGCAGTACATGAAGGGCACAGACACCCTGGCAGAGATGAGCACACAGCCTTGGGCACGGTTCAGGGCAAACTGAAATGTATGCCCGAATTTTGTAAACAGAAGTATTAAAGGTCTTTCTACAAAAAAAAAAAAAAAAAAAAATCATGAACAGAAAATGCAATGTCTGATGTTTGATTGGATTCTGAATTTTTTAAGCCATGTTATGATTGGGACAATTGTGAAAATGTGTATATGGAATGCATAGTAGGCAATGATAATATTAAGTTCCATTGGGTGATGAGAGTCTTCTGGTTATGGAGGAGAATGCATTGGTTCTTAGGGGCTGCACACTGAAGTCTTTAATGGTGAAGGGTCATTATGTCTGCAACTGACTCTCAAATGGTTTGTCCAGAGAATGTATAAACATACACACATGGAAAGGAAGTGTGGCAAAGTATTAGCTACTGTTGATTCCAGATGCAAGTTATACAGGTGTTCGTTATACCATTTGAAAATGCTTCCTAGCCATCCTAAACCTTAAAGGAAAAAAAGAAAATGTTTAAAATCAAAAGTTGGGGGCAGGAAAAGAATAACAAAACCTTTGGGCTCATGCCTGTAATCCCAGCACTTTGGGAGGCCAAGGAGAGGGGGTTGCTTGAGCTCAGGAGTTTGAGACCAGCCTGGGCAACGTGGTGAAACCCCATCTCTACAAAAAATACAAAAATGAGCCAGGTGTGGTGGCACGCACCTGTAGTTCTAGCTACTCAGGAGGCTGAGGCGGGAGGATCACTTGAGCCCAGGAGACAAAGGCTGCAGTGAGCCAAGATTGCACCACTGCACTCAGCCTGTGTAACAGAGCGAGACTCAGCCTCAAAACAAAAGAAACATCTTTGTGTCAGAGTTAAGGTTGCTATATAAGTAAAATGCTAGGTTATGGTTCTGGGTACATTCAATCTATATGAAGATCAGAGGCTTCTATTGGACCCAAAGGAATACGAGTCACTTGTGATTATTCCTCTGTAGGTTTGAAAGATTTATCAGGCCAACTTATTGGATGCAGTTTTAATCTAAAACTCTATACATCATACCCCCAACTCACAGACTTCATGTATCCATTGAATACTCTTCTGTTTCCACAGTCTTAATGTGGCCCTAACAAAGTCATCCTTTTAGAGGATTCAGAAGAGGCCCCCCTACAACTTCTGTAATGTAATATTTATAGTAGTTAACATTTATTGATCACTCAGTGTGTGCCAGACATTTTTCAGGTAGGGATTCATTTAATCCTCAAAACTCATTTGAGGTAGGTACTATTATAATGACAAGGCCAAGGAACAGAGATTAAGCAATTTGCCCAAATTTACATTATTCACAGAGCTGGGATTTAAGCCTAGTCTGGCTGTGGAATCTGTATTCTTAATGACCATGCTATACTGCTTAAGATTAACCTTGAGAATTTATTCCAGTTACAGAGATTGTTTTTATTTCTCTGAAACTGCCCCCAAGAAGCCATAACAATAAATTAATCAATTATCTTGGTTATCTCTTTTGCCCAAATTTATATTTTGAAAAAAATTCAAACATGCAGAAAGATGAAAGAATACTACAGAATCCAGTCAAAGATCAGGCACTGCATGTCATGTCTTCATTTCCTTTAATCTAAAACATGCCTCTACTTTTTTTGATCTTTCATGACATTGGCATTTTTTAAGAGTCAAAGATAGTTGTCTTGTAAGTTGTCCCACAATCTGGATTTCTCTGTTTCCACATGAGATTCAAGGTAAGCATCTTTGGGAAGAATACTGCATAGGTGATGTATCTTTCCTGCCTCGTGACCCCAGGTGGCTCATAATGCTAAGTTTGATCACTTGTTTAAGGTGATCTTCCAGATCTCTCCACTGTGGTTATTTTGCTGGGTGTGGTGGCTCACACTTGTAATCCCAGCACTTTGGAAGGCCGAGATGGGCAAATCACTTGAGTCCAGTTTTAGACCAGCCTGAACAACAAGGTGAAACCCTGTCTCTACTAAAAATAACAAAAACAAAAAACTAAAATTAGCTGGGGTGGTGGTGCAAGCCTATAGTCCCATCTACCTGGGGGGCTGAATTTGGAGGGTCACTTGAGCCCAGGGGGTCGAGGCTGCAGTTAGCTATGATTTTGTCACTGTACTTCAGCCTAGGTGACAGAGTGAGACCTTGTCTCATAAAAAAATAAAAAATAACTTTTCCCTTTGGTAATTAATAAAAAATCTGTGGGGTGGTACTTTGAGATCAGTGAAGATCCTGTTCTCAAATGTCTTTTCACCCAACTGTTCATCAATGATAATCTTTGTCTGAATCTATTTTTATTACATTGGTGGTTGCAAAGTGACACTTTTTAAAATTCTGTCATTCCTTCTACATTTATTAGCTAGCATTATTTCATTAAAGAACAACTCCCCCTCTTTTAAAATATCATTCTTCATGGATTTTTTATATATTATGTTGTAGCTTATTGTTGTTATTCTTTTGAAAGCTCAAATTGTCCAGATTTGGCCAATGCAATCTCCGTTATTTTTTTTAACCCCACAATCCAGGTTAAGCTGAGCTATTTTTAATGCCCAGAGTAATTTCTAATACTTCCCACTCCCAACAGAAATTGAGAAAGGGCCTTCAGAAGTTGGGGGCTTATTCAGACTCTTCTTAGAAGTCTACCTTCTTCCTGTATACTTTCAGCCCAAAGTGAGACTTTTGAGTCGGGAAGAGATACCTCTGAATTTAAACTACTGATCAGTGTCACCCAATTCTAATCCCAACCACCTTTATTCTAGGCATACCATACTCACTGCCATGCTTACCCTTCAGTTGGGCACCTGTGTCCTCCTTCCCATTGGCCTTCTGGTTCCTACCCAAGTGTCCAGTCCACAGGCCTCAGTAACACCTCTTTGCCCAGCCCTGTGGTAGCGTTGGCTGCCTCCTTTACCTACTCAAGTAACCGCCTTACCACTAATTTATTGTTTTGTGTTTTCATCTATAGGATCTTACCTAGCCATATGGCCTGCTGCCTCTGCCAATTTAAAAATAGCATTGAGGCTGTCTGCAAGACAGTCAAGCTGCATTGCAACACTGCATGTCTAACAGCATACACTGTCGTGAGTCCAAATTGCCTGGTGATGATAAATTGTTACATTATTTTAAGTATTTGTTTTTAAATTTTTATTTTTAATTGATGAAATGTTAAGCTAATGATTTAATTGTTTTATTTACTCAGTCAGATTTCAACTCCCTCAACTTCTGAACGACTCCCTTGCTGGGAGTCAGGTTCTCAGTTATTATTACAAAGTTTAATAATGGAACCGTTCCATATGCATAAAGGACCAAGAGAAAGGAATGGGAAGGCTAGGGAATAACATTAACATCCACACACTGTGTACTGTGCTCTCTGCTTGGTGCTTTGCCCCCAGTGATAATTTCTTCATATAGTGCAATGTAGTTTGTAAGCTGGTTTTATATCCATGAGGTCTCAAGTACTCTCTGCCTTTTAGGACAGATGTAGATCCGGTTTTGTTTTTGTTTTTGTTTTTACAGTTTTATAAGAGTAGAAGTGATGCTGTTTTATTTGAAGCCTGAGAGCTTCTGGTTCCATAACCAGAAATTGCTACCTGGCTCTTCTATTGGAATGGAGGGCTTTTCCATTCTTAGTCCATCCAACTCTGAACTTGCTCTGAATCTCAAACCTTTCTATTCGCAGAACAAATGCTCAAATGCTTTCAAGAGTTTTTCTGTAGATTAGGTTTATTAGCACCAACTTCATGACTTCTAAAATGTGACTGCTTGAATACAGGTATCTACCAGTGATATGGGGTGGATAATTAATAATGCTTGGCTACCTCTATAAAGACAGTGTTGCTTATTTTTCAGAACTTTTTTTTTTTCTTTTCTTGTTTTTTTTTTTTACCAATTATATTCTTCCCTTCTCCCCAAGAGGCGGGCAGAAAAGCATTGTTAATCTCCTTTTACAGGTGAGGAAAAACAAGATCAGAGGTGCTAAGTGCTGTAGCCTAGTGCCAGGTCTTCTGTCCCCAATTCTGGGTTCTCCCCAAGCCCATGTTTCTCCTTTCTCGCAATCTTTACTACTTCCGCTGACCTTCAGCACCACCCAAAATACTTTTAATTCTGGAAAAGAAGCCCAGCTGCACACTGGCACACTTGACCTTCATGCAGTCAGAAGCTTTGGATGGTTCCCCATCCAAAATATTAGAGATGAATGAAAGTGAAGTAGGCATCTGACAAAAGTCACTTTTTCCCTTCTGCATTTAGGACCTCAAGTAATGTTTATCCAGAAACTGCTACCATACCATAGATTCATTGTATATTTAACAACATAGGCATACAATCTGGCAAATTAAAAATCTCCTAACCTACACCCTGGATCCCTGCCCAAATTTAAGAAAAGAACTAAGGTGGACACAGTGTTTTTTTCCATGTCGCATCTTCTGTGATGGGGCTATGATATGTGGGAGCAGAGAATGGGGTGGGTGGGTGGAGCACATGCCAGATGAGGATCTATCAGCAATGGGAGGGGGCATCCCTCCCTGCTCCTTTAGCATCTCCACCCTGCTCCTCTCAGAGGACCGCCTTTCATTGCATTCAGCTGCGATGGTAGCAAGAACACGGGCACACTGAGGATGAGGAGAGTGGGAGCCTTGTGCTCTCTCTGCATATGAGGCAGGACAGCACAGGGTATGGAGCAGTCTGCAGAGAGGCCAGTTCATCAGCTCATCAGGGAAGCACTTGTCTTCCACCTTGGGCTTTGACTGAGCACTGGGCAATTGGCCCCTGGGGATCAACGGAATAATCCTAAGCAGAGTTACTCTATGTCACACTATGGAATGTTCCAAGTAGGTGGCCATGTTTTCAAAAGATGTCTTTTCCTCCTTTCGTTGTTGCCGTTTCATAGGTTTAGGTTTGGGTGTATGTTTCTCCTCTCTGAATGGCACTCGAATGTTTGCTGACTCTTACTCTGTGTGACTGGGGCATACAGCTATGGACTGAGTATGAAAGATGATCAAAGATATTTCATGATCAAAGCAGTCTCTTCTTTTCTGACAGCTGAAGAAGCATCTGTAGGGAATCCAGAAGGAGCATTCATGAAGATGTTACAAGCCCGGAAGCAGCACATGAGCACTGAGCTGACTATTGAGTCGGAGGCGCCCTCAGACAGCAGTGGCATCAACTTGTCAGGCTTTGGGAGTGAGCAGCTAGACACCAATGACGAGAGTGATGTTAGCAGCGCACTAAGTTACATCTTGCCTTATCTCTCACTGAGAAATCTAGGTGCAGAATCAATATTGTTACCGTTCACTGAACAGCTATTTTCAAATGTACAAGATGGAGATAGGCTCCTGAGTATTTTGAAAAACAATAGAAAGAGCCCCTCACAGTCCAGCCTTCTAGGTAACAAATTTAAAAACAAAATATTTGAAAAAAAAATTAGAAACTGCGCAACCACAGGAAAACCGCCTGGCAAAGATTCAAAGTGTAGGCAAAAACCTGCAGAGAGTGAACAGAGTCCTCATGGGCCCAAGGAGCATCCAGGAAAGGCACTTCAAAAAGGTGGGAAAGCACAGCACTAGGAAAGAACAGGATGCCCAGGCATTTGTGGACAATGCTGCCAAAGGAAAAAGGCTTGAGGGTCCAGCCCCAAGGGAGCTGGAACAGCCTCACATAGTGCAGGGGCCTGAGAAGGTAGTGGGAAACACCATCTACACCAAGCCTTCATTCACCCAAGAGCATAAGGCAGCAGTCTCCTCTGTGCTGAAACCCTTCTCCATGGGCGTGCCTTCTGCCTCTAGCCCTGCAAAAGCCCTACCTCAGGTCAGAGACAGATCGAAAGACTTAGCCTACACCATTTTAATTTTAGAAATGGCAATGGCTAGAGTGAAAAACATGAAGGCTGCTAAACCAATCACACATTCCAGAAAAAAATAGCGCTTTTATAAAACTCACTCCATTGTGGCCCACAGAACACCCAAGGCCAAAAAGATTAGAAAGTTTAGAAAGGGCAGTTATCTCAACAGACCGATGCTCGCAAAGAGGCCGCTGTTCTCTGCAGCAAAGAGCCTCATACATTCGCAAGGGATTTTTTCATCCTTAGGAGACCTGAGTCCTCAAGAAAACCCTCTTCTGGAAGTAGTTGCTCCTTCAGAACGTTTTACAGAAAACACTAATGTAAAAGACACAACTAATGTAAAAGACACAAAAGAGATGTGTTCAAAGACACATCTCTGAAAACACAAACTACAATCATCCTCCTGAGGCAGTTTCCGCTGGGACTGCATTCAACTTAGAACCAACTGTTAAACAAACTGAGACAAAATGGGAATACAACAATGTGGGCATTGACTTGTCCCCTGAGCCCAAAAGCTTCAATTACCCATTGCTCTCGTCCCCAGGTGATCAGCTTGAAATTCAGCTAACCGAGCAGCTACGGTCCCTCATCCCCAACGAGGATGTGAGAAAGTTCATGTCTCATGTTATCTGGACCTTGAAAATGGAATGTTCAGAAACACATGTGCAAGGGAGCTGTGCCAAGCTCATGTCGCGAACAGGCCTCCTGATGAAGCTTCTCAGCGAGCAGCAGGAAGCAAAGGCATTGAATGTAGAATGGGATACGGACCAACAAAAAACAAATTATATTAATGAGAACATGGAACAGAATGAACAGAAAGAGCAGAAGTCAAGTGAGGTGAGGAGCACACAGAAACATGAGACCCAGATTTCCCATCATTTAGCATATGCCAGGAAAGTGCCCACATAGGAGAACCTGGGACTCCCAGGCCATAGCTTGTCTTGGCCATGTAACTTTGGCCATGACAGTGATCTCCCACTTTGCTCATGTAGACAGTGAAATAGATTAGGGCACAAGATGAACTGTAGGCCAGGGGTGGTAGCTCATGCCTGTAATCCCAGCACTTTGGGAGGCCGAGGTGGGTGGATCACTTGAGGTCAGGAGTTTAAGACCAGCTCGGCCAACGTAGTGAAACCCCGTCTTCACAAAAAATACAAAAATTAGCTGCGTGTGGTGACACGTGCCTGTAGTCCCAGCTACTCAGGAGGCTGAGGTGGGAGGATCACCTGAGCCCAGGGAGGTCGAGTCAGTAGTGAACTGTGATCGCACCACTGTACTCCCGCCTGGGTGACAGAGTGAGATCCTGTCTCAAAAAAAATAAAAAGAACAAAAGAACCTGTAAGCTACTCAACTGGAATACTGGGGTTTTGAAAAGTTAGCTTCCATTCTCTCTCTCTTTTTAATTGTTCTTTCTTTTTTCTTTTTTTTTTTTTTTTTTAGCTCATGAAAGAAGTTCCAGGATATGACTATAAGAACAAACTCATCTTCGCAATATCTGTGACTGTCATACTAATAATTTTGATTATAATTTTTTGTTTTATAGAGGTAAAGACAATAATTAATTCAGGTTTTCAAAATACAATCCTGTGTTTGTGTGGATTCAGAATCCACAAACTGAAAACCAACGTCACTTTCCCACTTGACATTCTTCTTCTGTCATTTAAGGCTGAGGTGTGCTTTGTTCTTTTACTGCAATGTATATTCCAGGATTGTTAAAGGATCCTCGCTTCCAGGAGGTCTCTGTGAAATAAAACCAAGTTAATCCCACTAGACTATTTTAAGAAGTTAAGTTGATATAATAGCAAAATTTCTCCCACCCAAAACTATGTCAACAATTGGATGTACTCACTGAGTCACCCCTTACTCTGCCACTAATTTATTTCCTTGTTGCTTAAATGATGAGAGACATATAATCTCCACCCTCACGGAGTTGTCATCACCCTGGAGAGGAAGAAGACAGCCAAAAGAGAGAAGTATTGTCTTGTAGACTTACTAGATTCACATAGTATCATCCTTCTCCAGTGTGTAAGGTGTTGTCTAAATAGGTCCAGTTAAAGAACTACAGGGTAGCCATTTTTAAAAAAAAATTTTGGCCACGTTTTCAAATTCACAGGGGAGGGGGAATGTCTCATACTCCAGCCCTCCTGAGCCTAGGCCCTCTGTGAGATGTGTCACCATTTCTTGGACACCATATGAGACATTCCCCCTCGGATTAGAGATGCTCAACCTGCATCAACAAATCTAAAGCCTGCATCTGGCTACCCTGGGGCGAGTCCTGTTTACAGTGCCTATTCCTGGAGCTCGCCTCTTTTTGCCTTTTGTTTGATTATGTGATGTATTACTTTTCCCAGCAGGCCAGTGCTAGCATACTGGAAGAGGGATTTAATAAGCTGGCACCCTTGATGCTATGCTCCTAATCCAACCTTATTTGCCTCATTGGCCATTTCCATTATGGTGGCAGCCCTCCATTCCAGCCACAGCAGCCCCTCAGCGTCCCCCAGTCACACTGTCCCCATTGCTGCTCATCTGTGCCTTTGTCCATCTACAATGCCCTTATTTCACTCTGCCTGTGGGAGTCCTGTGAATCTCTCCAAAGCCAACTCAGTTCATCTTTCTGCTTGAAACCTTCCCTGAATAGGCCAGGTGCGGTGGCTCACGCCTGTAATCCCAGCACTTTGGGAGGCCAAGGCAGGCGGATCACAAGGTCAGGAGATCGAGACCATCCTGGCTAACACAGACCATTCTCTACTAAAAATGCAAAAAATTAGCTGGGTGTGGTGGCGGGCGTGTGTCGTCCCAGCTACTTGTGAGGCTGAAGCAGGAAAATGGCATGAACCTGGGAGGTGGAGCATGCAGCCAGCCAAGATCGGGCCGCTGCACTCCAGCCTGGGGGACAGAGCGAGACTCTGCCTCAAAAAAAAAAAAAAAAAGAAACTTCCCTGAATATTCCAGCCCTCCTGAGCCTAGTCCCTTTGTGAGATTTGTCCCCATTTCTTGGACACCATATAAGAGACTTCAGAGGCTGAAGTGGGAGGATTGCTTGAGCCTGGGAGGTCGAGGATGCAGTGAGCTGTGGTCATACCACTGCACTCTAGCCTGGGCAACAGAGCGAGACCTTGTCTCAAAAACAGCCACCACCAAAAACTATCTTGGGATTTGAATAGGATTACCTTAAATTTGTAGATTAATTTGAGAATTGACATCTGTACGACATTCTAGAACATGGTATTTCATGTCATGTATTCATTTCTTGTTAATGTCTTTCAGAAGAGTTTTAGGGTTTCCATCATATAGATCTTACACGTCTTTTGTTAGATAACAGATCTTTGTATTTTTGTTCCTAAATACTTCAGACATTTGTATTGCCATTGTAAATGGGATCTTTCTTCCATTTTCTAGTTAGTTATTGGTGGTACATCTGAAAAGCATTTGAGGTTTGTGTGCTGCTCTCTTGATTTTGTTTCTAGCCACCGTACTGAATTCTCATATTACTTCCAGTAAAATCTTAGTTGATTCTCTTAGGCTTCTTTGGCTAACATTTATTATTTTATATGCAAATAATTATAGTTTTGTCTCTTCCTTTTCAATACTTACACTCTTTCCTTCCTTTCCTTTCTTTTTTTTTTCTTTCTCAGGGCCTTGTTGTCACCCAGACTGGAGAGCAATGGTGTGATCTAGCTCACTGTAACCTCAAACTCCTGGGCTTAAGGGATCCTCCTGCCTCAGCTTCCTGAGTGGCTGGGACTACAGGCAGGCAGTGAATTTTAAAACTTTTGGTGTAGAGACAAGATCTTGCTATGTTGCCCAGGCTGGTTTTCCTGCCACTTTAGAGCAGGTTTCCTTTTTTTCATACTTTTAAGAGGTTTTTATTAGGAATTGTCCATTGAATGTTAGCTAAAACAGTCAATAAAATGCGTTAAGTACCAGCTACATGCAAGACCCTAAGTTAGATACAGTCAGCCCTCTTCATCAGCAGGTCCACATCTTCAGATTCAACTAGATAAGGCTGAATATTTGAAGAAAAAAACAATAAAAATACAATTAGAAAGTACAGTATAACAACTGTTGCCATGATACAATATCTATACATTTTATTAGTGATGACCTAAAGTTCATGGGACCAGGCACGGTGACTCACACTTGTAATCCCAACACTTTGGGAGGCCAACCTGGGCAGCATAGTGAGACCTTGTCTTTAATAAAAATAAAAATAAAAAAATTAGCTAGTGTGGTGGTATGCACCTGTAGTCCCAGCTACTCAAGAGGCTGAGGTGGGCAGATCACTGGAGCCCAGGAGGTTGCGGCTGCTGTGAGCTGTGATTGTGACACTGCTCTCCAGCCTGAGTGACAGAGGGTGATCCTGTCTCTAAGTAAGTAAATAAATAAAGTATATGGGGGGGATGTGTGTTGGTTATATGCAAACACTGCACCATTATACGTAAGGGATTGAGCATCCACAGATTCTGGTATGGTGTGGAGGCGATATCCTAGAACCAGTCGTCTGCAAGGTAGCAAGGATGACTGAACTGTGGAAGAATCAAAGCACTGTTAAACAGCATACAATTCCTGTCTTCAAAAAAGTTATCTCATCGGGTAGATGAGACTTAAAATGAATAAAAGGAATGAATACACATTGGAGATAGTGGTTGTTGTGATAGATAACCTTAATTGTGTTTTCTTCCAAAACGGGTGAATTCACATAAAAGGGCATCAGAAAAATACAAAGACAACCCATCAATATCAGGAGCCTGAGCATGAGTTAAAGCATGTGGATGGCCTAGAGCCATGTTTTTAAAATTGTTATTAAATATTGGTTTTTTACTTAAATCAATGAAAACTTTCTTTACTTTGTGGTTGTGTTCCTCAAAATGAGAATTTTTAACAATAATAAAAATAAAGCTTATTAGATCATTTTTAATGGTAATAAATTGGTTACTGAAGATTTGACTAAAGAGAAAACTAGGCCAATCTAAGTAGAGTCCAAATGAAGTAGAAAGTCCATAGAGAACAGGCAAAAAGGAAGTTGTGGAACCACAGACAGTAAAAGGAAAAAATTGGCGGGGCGCAATGGCTCATACCTGTAATCCCAGCACTTTGGGAGGCTGAGGTGGGTGGATCGCTTGAGCCCAGTTCAGGCAACATGACAAAACCCCCACCTCTACAAAAAAAATAGTCAACATGACAAAACCCCCAATGTCTACAAAAAAATACACAAAACATATGAGCCAGGGGTGGTGGTGTGCACTTGTAGTCCTAGCTACTTGGTAGGCTGAGGTGGGAGTATCGCTTGAACCTGGGAGGTGGAGGTTGCAGTAAGCTGAGGTTGAGCTGTTATACCCCAACCTGGGTGACAGTTGAAAGAGTGAGACCCTGTCTTTAAAAAAAAAAAAAAAAGGAAGAAAGCAAAGAAAAAAAAATTTATTTTTGTGACAAGTTCTCTTTCTGTCTCCCAAGCTGGAGTGCAATGGCATAATCATAGCCCACTGCAGCCTCAAACTCCTGGGCTCAAGGCATCCTCCTGCCATAAAGGCCTCCCAAAGTGTTGGGATTACAGGCATAAGCCACTGTGAGGCTAGATTTTTTTTTTTTTTTTTTTTTTAAGCAAGGTTTGGCTCTGTCACCCAGGCTGGAGTGCAGTGGTGCAATCTTGGCTCACTGCAACCTCTGCCTCCCAGGCTCAAGTGATCCTCCTGCCTCAGCTTCTCAAGTAGGTGGAACTACAGGCACGTGCCACCAAGCCTGGCTAATTTTTGTATTTTTTGTAAAGAAGGGGTCTTGATACGTTGCCCAGGCTGGTCTTAAATTCCTGGGTTACAGTGATCCACCCACCTCAGCCTCCCAAAGTGCTGGGATTACAGGTGTGAGTCACCACGACTGGCCAAAAAAAGTTAAGTGTTAAAATCAAAAAGAAAATTCACCAAGCCATTTTGCATATTTTTCTGGAAAGATACAGATACATATATATACATATATATAGAGAGAGAGAGAGAAAGAGAGAGAGATCTGGACTGGACACCCTATACTATCAGTTGGGTACAACTTTGTTTCAGAAAGGACAAAGGGAACTGATTAGAGTTAAGGCACATATATGTGTGTGTGTGTGTGTGTGTATTTTCCCAATTCCTCATACCACTCCTTTTTATTAATTTTTATTGAGATATAAGTTATACACCATAAATTCACCCTTTTAAATAAGTGCAGAATTTAGTGGGTTTTAGTATAGTATTCACAAGGCTGTACAGCCATCACCACTATTTAATTCCAGAACATTTTCATCACCCCAGAAAGAAGCCCCAGAATCACTGGCCCTGCTCCCCATTTCCTCTCCTATTTCCTGGCAAGTATTTACTTCCTATGAATTTGCCCATTTGGGACATTTCATATAAATCATACAATACATGATTTCACTAAATAAGACTTTTGTGTGTGGCTTCAAACAATTTTTAAAAATTGAGGTAAAGTAGGCATAATATAACATTTACAGTCTAACCACTGCCCCCTCTCCCCACCTATTTTTTGAGACAGGGTCTCACTCTGTCTTCCTGGCTGGAGTGCAGTGGTGTGATCATGACTCACTGCAACCTCAGCCTCCCCGGGGCTCAGGTGATCCTCCCACCTCAGTCTCGCAAGTAACTGGCACCACAGGCACACACCACCAAACCTGGCCAATTTTTGCATTGTAGAGACAGGATTTCGCTATGTTGCCCAGGCTGGTCTTGAACTCCTGGACTCAAGTGATCCTCCCACCTCAGCCTCCCAAAGTGCTGGTATTACCGGCATGAGCTACCACACCTGGCTGTCTCTAACCAGTTTTAAGTGTACAATTCAGTAGTGTTAAGTATATTCACACTGTTGTAAAACAAATTTCCAGAACTTTTTCATCTTCCCAAATTGAAACTCTGTACCTATTAAACACTAATTCCCCATTCTCTCCTCCCAGCCCATGGTAACCACCCTTCTACTTTCTGTCTTTATGAATCTGACCACTCTAAGTACCTCATATGAGAGGAATCACACAGTATTTGTCCTTTGGTGACTGGCTTATTTCACTTAGCATAATGCCCTCAAGGGTTCTCCATGTTGTAACATGCGTCAGAAATTCATTCAAGGCTGAATAATATATCCGTTATATAGATCAATCACATTTGAGTTATCCATTCATCAGTTAATGCACATGTAGGTTATTTCCACCTTTTGGTCATTGAGAATAATGCTGCTGTATACATACGTGTATGCGTTTCTGCATGACTATTTGTTTGCAATTCTTTTGACTATGTATGTCTCGGCTCACTGCAACCTCCGCTTCCCGGGTTCAAGCGATTCTCCTGCCTCAGCCTCTCGAGTAGCTGGGATTAGAGGCACCTGCCACCACACCCGGCTAATCTTTGTATTATTAGTAGAGACGGGGTTTCACCATGTTGGCCAGGCTGGTCTCAAACTCCTGACCTCAGGTGATCCACCCACCTCAGCCTCCCAAAGTGCTGGGATTAGAAGTATGAGCCACCACACCTGGCCATGAATTTGGTCCAGTGTCTGAACTTCACCTCTAGAGTCCCTTCCAGCCTCCTACCTCACTCCCACCTTGGCCTCCTGAGTAGCTGGGACAACAGGCTTGCGCCACCATTAACCAGCTCATTAAAAAAAAGTTTTTTTCTTTGTAAATATGGGGTCTCCCCATGTTTCCCAGACTCCAAACCTATTTCCTAACCTTTATCATTATCTGCTTCTGTGGGATGTGAATGGAAGCGAGGTGTGCTACATTCAGGCTTTTAACACCTCCCACCTGCACCTTCTAATTCTTCCTTTGCATCTTCTGGCTGGACAAAGAGGGTCTTGTGGGGCCTCTGAGTCACTGGAAGAAGGTGAAGCCACAATATAGCTGGAGTCTGGTTCCCAGGTGCAGCAGTGTGATGTGAGTGAGAAAGTAGCCTTTAGTGCATTAAGCCACTGGGATCTACAGGTTGCTCGTAGATCAACCACGTCTACAGACGTGGGGGCACCACCATGCTCAGCTAATTTGTTATATGTTTATGTAGAGATGGGGTCTTGCTATGTTGCCCAGGCTGGTCTCAAACTTCTGGGCTTATGTGATCCTCCCATCTCAGCCTCCCAAGTAGCTGGGACTGCAGGCTCATGCTACCATACCCAGCTAATTTTTAATATTTTTTTCTGTAGAGATGGAGTCTTGCTATATTGCCCAGGCCAGTCTCGAACTCTTGGGCTCAAGCAATCCTCCCGTCTCAGCCTCCCAAAGTGCTGGGATTATAGGTGCGAGCCACCACGCCCAACCAGTTGCTTAATTCTTACAACAGCCCTCGGAGGTAGGTTCCATTGTTAGCCCCAATCTTATTTATTTAGATGGAGTCTCACTCTGTTGTCCAGGCTGGAGTGCAGTGGCATGATCCCAGCTCACTGCAACCTTCGCCTCCTGGGTTCAAGTGATTCTCTTGCCTCTGCCTCCTGAGTAGCTGGGATAACAGGCACAGGCCACCATGACTGGCTCATTTTTTTTTTTTTTTTTTTGTATTTTTAGTAAAGACAGGGTTTCATCACGTTGGCCAGGTTGATTTTGAATTCCTGACCTCAAATGATCTGCCCACCTCGGCCTCCCATAGCCCCAATCTTTAAATGAGGAAATTGAGGTGCAGAGAGGGTCGGCCACTTGCCAAATGGGAAAAGCTAGAATTCTAACCCAGACCATTTGCCTTCAAAACCTACCCTGACCACCACAGTAACCTGTGATAAGGTGCAACTCAGAGTAAATAACCTCCTCTCTGGGCCCTGATGTCTCTCTACCTACAATGGATTTCCTGTTCCTGTGTGGGGAGGGAGGTGCAACACCAGCCCCCGAGCTTTGAGCCTTGCCTCGTCCTCCCTGTATATTAAGGAGTGCTCAGATGTGGCTGTAGCTGCACCTCTTTCTCCAAGATGGAGCCCACCCAGAGATGCTGTGTGCAAAAGGCTTGACTCATAGCCGGCGCATAATATGCCTTCAATAAATGTTTGAAATTATTATTCTCGATGGTGTCACGGTGCTGGCTGAAAGGCAGCATAGCTCAGCAGTTAAGCCAGACGGTCCGGGTTCAAATCCCATCTCTACCATGTAATAGCTGTGTGACCTTGGGTAAGTTACTCAACCTCTCTGTTCCCCCATCTATAAAATGGGGGAAATGACACTATCTATTTTATAGAGCTATTGCAAGGATTAGCATAGAAAATGCCTCAACCGTGCCTGCCACTGATGTCAGGTTTTATTATTGCTGTAACACTTTCCCCTATTCAGAGTTTCATCTCCTAGATCCCCGGGCACGGCAACAGCTGGCTTTCAGATCAGGGCCTCCCTGGGAGGTTTTAGTCTCAGCACAAGTCACCTGCCTTCCCCCTCTCTGGCTCCCAGCAGCCCCATCCTTCCCCCAGTCTTGGCCCGGGTTCCAGCACCGTCTCCTCCCCTCCCCTTTGCCCCTCAGCCCCAGGGTGACCAAAGCCTCTGCCTCGTGGGACGGCTTTCTAGCACTTTCCTCCTTTTAAGAGATTGACTGCAATTTCTATAGTAACATCACATTAGCCAGAAATTAATGTCCTCATTAAGATAGCAATTAGGCACATTAGCGTGGCAATAAAAGAGAAGCTTATGAAATAACTGCTGGTTCCAAAATGCCTTTTAATTTAGTATTTTATATTGTGCCATGTTATTAATTTTTTTCCCTCGGCAGAAGATAATAAGAGAAATGTTTGAATTGTGGGGAGGTTTAAAATAAAAAAAATTTTTGAGAAGGAAAGCAATGTTGATACCTGTAGACAGACGATCTGTCTTCTCCCCAAAACCCCATTGGTCCTGAGTCCATAGGGTGACTCCATGGGGTGTCAGAAGAGGGACAGCATTGATGGGTAGGGGGCCAGGCCATGTCCTGGGACTTTTGGCCAGGCTTGGCATCCAGCGGAGATTGGAGTGGAACAGCCTTTGATCCTAGAAGCAGGAGAAATGGTGCCATGTTTCTTTGCCCTAAACAACGAATACCTGTTGGTTTGGGATTTTCCCCCAATAGGCTCCATCTCCTGAATTCAAATTCTTTCAGCAAATGTTTCCTTGGTACCCTGTGGCTCTGACTCTGCTGTTGAGGGCTTTCCAGATTGTTGGAGACGACAGATGTATAAATGGGAAAATGCCATGATAAACTGGGAATGCAGTATTTTGCAACTTGTAATGAAATCATGGCTCTAGGCCGGGCACCGCGGCTCACGCCTGTAATCCCAGAACTTTGGGAGGGCAAGGTGGGAGGATCGCTTGAGGCCAGGAGTTCGAGATCAGTCTGGGAAACATAATGAGACCCCCCCGCAACCCCGTCTCTTAAAGAAAAAGAAAAGAAAGAAAGAAATCATGGATCTAGGACATGATTAGCCATGGATAGTAAAATCATTAGGGGAAAGGTGGATGAGGAATGGTTTTGTGTGGCCAGGCACAGTGGCTCACACCTGTAATTCCAGCACTTTGGGAGGCTCAGGCAGGCGGATCACCCGAGGTCAAGAGTTCGAGACTAGCCTGGCCAACATGGTGAAACCCCATCTCTACTAAAAATACAAAAATTAGCCCGCTGTGGTGGCAGGTGCCTGTAATTCCAACTACTCGAGAGGCTGAGGCAGGAGAATTGCTGGAACCTGGGAGGCAGGGGTTGCAGTGAGTCAAGATCGCGCCACTGCACTCCAGCCTGGGTGACAGAACAAGACTCTGTCTCAAAAAAAAAAAAAAAAAAAGAAAAAAAAGAAAAGAAAAAAAAGAAAAGGAAAAAAAGGAATGTTTTAGGGGAGGCCTGTTCTGCTCCCATCTGAGCCCTGGGTCAAATTTAGCGTCCTAGGCTGGACATGATGTGGCTCCCATTGGGAGCAGTAGTAGTAGGTTGGTGAGGGCCTGGAAGGAGACGTATCTCCCTGAGTTAAGGAGGGCACCTCAAAGGATCAGGCACATGAACAGAGACCTGAAGGAGGAAAAGCGGAGGATACACATAGAGATCTGGGGGAAGAAGGTTCCAGACAGGAGGAACAGCGGGTGCCAAGACTCTGGGGTGGGAACTAGCATGGAGAAGTAGAGATCAGCTAGGAGGCTGATGTGGCTGGACGGAAGTGAGAGAGAGAGGAGAGGAGGTGCAATGAGAGATATACCAAGGAAAGAAAACATGGGGCGCTGGGCACGGTGGCTCACGCTTGTAATCCCAGCACTTTGGGAGGCCAAGGCGGGCGGATCACCCGAGGTCAGGAGTTAGAGACCAGCCCGGCCAACACGGTGGAACACCGTCTCTATTAAAAATACAAAAATTAGTGGGTCATGGTGGTACATGTAATCCCAGCTACTCGGGAGGCTGAGGCAGGAGAAACGCTTGAGCCTGGGAGGCAGAGGCTGCAGTGAGCCGAGATCGCGCCACTGCAATCCAGCCTGGGCAACAAAGCGAGACTCCGTCTCAAAAAAAAAAAAAAAGAAAGAAAAAAGAAAGAAAGAAAGAAAAAGGAAAAATGGGGAATTTCATTGGAAGGCCATGCCAAAACACAAACAAAAAAGAAACAAATAAAGGAAAAATGGGGAAGGATTCCTCAGGAAGTTAAAGAGTTGACAATCAATTTCAGGGACCCCGGGATTTGAGTCTAGCTCCTTCGTGGGCAAGGGGACGTGCTGACCAATGCACACCTGTGCCTGCCAGGCTCCTTGTCAGTTACCTGTTGCCAGTTAAGCTGTCTAACAAAGGCCAGGCACAGTGGCTCATGCCTGTAATCCCAGCACTTTGAGAGGCCAGGCAGGTGGATCACTTGAGGCCACAAGTTTGAGACCAACCTGGCCAACATGGCAAAACCTCGTCTCTACTAAAAATACAAAAATTAGTCAGTCGTGGTGGCGGGTGTCTGTAATCCCACCTACTCGGGAGGCCGAGGCAGGAGAATCGCTTGAACCCGGGAGGGAGGCAGAGGTTGCAGTGAGCCAAGATTGCACCACTGCATTCCAGCCTGGGCCACAAAGTGAGACTGAGACAAAAAAAAAAAAAAAAAAAAAAAAAAAGCTGCCTAACAACGCCCAAATCCAGCAGCTTAGGACAATCAGCATTAATTTTGGCTTCGCAGGCTACAGGGCAGTTTTTCTGCTCCTGGCTGGGCTCACCCACCAGCGTCTATGGGTCCAAGAGTCACACTGTATTTATTCAGGCTGGGTCTTTTCGTATATTTGGGCCCGGCTGGCTATAGGCTGGTCTAGGACAACAGGATTCTTCCCTCATCCTCCAGCAGGCTAGCTCGGGCTTGGTCACCTGACAGGGGCAGGGTTTCCAGACGTCGACCAGAAAGATGCACCACCTCTTCAGGCCTAGATTGGGAAGTGACTTCACTTCTGCTGCAATCCATTGATTGGCCAAAGGAGATCACGAGACCAACCCAGATTCAAGGGGTGTGGAAGTAGGCTCCACCTCCCAGTGGGAGGAGCTACCTAGGCAAAGAGTATAGATGGTGGGCGGTAGAATTGGGTCCGTGAAGCCAACTTGACCAGCCCCATGATTCCTTTGGGGCTTTTGATAATCATTCCCTGCCCCTCCCTGGGTACCCCAAGGCATTCTATGGTCCTCGACCCTAGCTTTGGCCCCTGTAGAAGTTCTTTTTTTTTGAGACGGAGTCTCGCTTTGTCACCCAGGCTGGAGTGCAGTGGCGCGATCTCGGCTCACTGCAAGCTCCTCCTCCCGGGTTCACGCCATTCTCCTGCCTCAGTCTCCCGAACACCTGGGACTACAGGCGCCCGCCACCAAGCCCGGCTAATTTTTTGTATTTTTAGTAGAGACGGGGTTTCACTGCGTTAGCCAGGATGGTCTCGATCTCCTGTCCTCGTGATCCGCCCGTCTCGGTCTCCCAAAGTGCTGGATTACAGGCATGAGCCACCGCGCCCGGCCCTCTGTAGAAGTTCTTTCTGCCCAGGTTTGCTCTCTCTCTAAGCTCCCACAGGAGCTGTGGCTTGGGTTGTTCAAGGCCCCAAATTCCCGACTGGACTTCCTTTCTTCAGCTCTGCATTGGGGTGTGACCAGGACTGAAGTATTTTATTGAAATCATTGGCTCTCCTGATAGCAAACAGAGAGTTGGTGTCAGTAAGGCAGAGGAGAGTTTAGTCTGTAGTGTGCTATGGAGTAAGGGAGCAATGGAAATCGGGAGCTTAGTTTGAACACACTCAGTGTCCCCTTGTGCAGTGTCCAACCTGCCCAACCGTACCAGCCCACCCTGATTGAGGGACTAAAGAGTGGAGGAAAGGAAGGGGAAAGGGATTTCACTGACAGCTGGAGCCTTAGCCCTCGGGCCAAATGAAGGACCTTCCCAGAACAGAGTGACCCAGAAGGAAGCTGTGGCCCAACCACCAAGATGGGTAACCCTGACAGGCACAACCTGCCCTCTTGTCAATCAAGGCTGGACCACGTGGTGTGGGGAAGGGGTGAAGGACTAAGAGAGGGGGCAAAGAGGAGGGTAGGAAGGTCCTGGCCTAAACGACCCAGTTAGTTTCCCCATCACCCCCTACCCCCATCCTGTATCCCAGGGAAGTATAGTGCAGCTGGGTTCTTGGTTGCCATGGCGACTGACAAAAAAAAAGACTTGAGGGGAGGAAAACACCCCGGGGCATGAAGAAGCAATTTGCTCTCAGGTCTGGGAGTCAGCACCGGAATCAGAATGTCCTAAGAAGGAAAGAAAACTGAGCGAGCCGGGCTTGGGTAGGTGGCAAACCTTCCCAAGGCCCCCTGCCAGCCATCCTAAGAGAGAGAGGGTAGGGGCGACCCCAGCTCTGTGTGGGAGGCGCCAACTCTAAGCCCCCACCCCCGAGGCTGCCCCTCCCACCCGAAGCGTTTAGCACCCAGGGTCTGGGGTGGGGGGCGAGGCGGGGGCGGGGCTTCCCAACGGATTGCTTTTTTTTTTTTTTTTTTTTTTTTTTTTTTTTTTCTTAATTTCCAGTTCCGCCTTGGGACGAGTCCCTGGCTGGGGGAACCGCATCAGGCCTGACACCCATCCCATTCCCCCCTAAACCCAGAACGAGATCCAACCTCACTCCCCAGCCCCTTCCCGACCTCGCCGCTCAGGCTGTGATGGGAAGGTCCCTGGGAGTGGGGAGGAGGGCAAATTTAAACCCGGAGGGGATCCTGTAGCCCAGTTCTCCTCGGTTCCCTAAACCTCCAGGAAAGCGGAGAAAGTCACATTGTGGTGGCAGCAGCGGGTTTTTTTTTTAATCTGTTAATAAAACGCAAGTGAATCAAATCCGCCCTAAGGGAATTTGGGGGGCGCGGCGAGGCAGAGGCCATGGTGTTTGCAGAAGTTGGAAATTTAATAAGAAGGAAAAATAAAAATAGCCACTGTGCTGGAGAGAGAGAGAGAGAGAAGGTTGGGAGAAGCAGGCAAGTGTGGGACTCCTAGCTGGGTGGAAACGTGCAGAGGGGGCTGGGGAAGGCGAGGGCACCACTAGTCCGGAGGAGCAAGGGAGACACTGCTGGGGATACCAGGAGGGGAGTCTTTGGGGTGTCACCAGAACAGTCCAGTTCCTTGGCAGATTTTTCACCAGCAGTGAGCTGGGCACAGAGGTTGGGGTTTGGCCCTCTAAACACCTGGGTGTAGAGGTCCAGCCTCTGGTTACTTGGTCTTCACAGCGCCCCCCACCTTCTGAGCTACTCAAGAGATGGGGGACAGTAGCAGTACTGCCAAGAACAGTTGTGCAAGTTGCGCACTGCACAAGCATGCCAGACAGAGGCTAGAGCAGAAGCTAACATCATCTGTTCCCCTCACCACACATTGCATCTGCCCAGAGGAAGAGGTACCTTTTATTTATTTTATTTTATTTTATTTATTTTATTTTTTGAGATGGAGTCTCACTGTTATTGCCTGGGCTGGAGTGCAATGGCACGATCTCAGCTCACTGAAACCTCTGCCTCCCAGGTTCCAGCAATTCTCCTGCCTCAGCCTCCCGAGTAGCTGAGATTACAGGCGCCCACCACCACGCCCAGCTAATTTTTGTATTTTTAATAGAGACGAGGTTTCACCATGTTGGCCAGGCTGGTCTCGAACTCCTGACCTCAGGTGAGCTGCCCACCTCAGCCTCCCAAAGTGTGGGATTACAGGCATGAGCCACGGCACCCAGCAAGGAAGGGGTACCTTTTAAAGATCTACACAAGGCCGGGCGCCATGACTCATGCCTGTAATCCCAGCACTTTGGGAGGCCAAGACGGAAGGATCGCCCAGGACCTGAAGACCAGCCTAAGCAGCATAGGGAGACCACCATCTCTACAATAAATAAATAATGAGAAAATAAACATCCTGGCCGGGCGTTGTGGCTCACGCCTGTAATCCCACTGCTTTGAGAGGCCTAGGCAGGCAGATTGCTTGAGCTCAGGAGTTCAAGACCAGCTTGGGCAACATGGTGAATCCCTGTCTCTATGAAAAATACAAAAATTACCCAGGCATGGTGGCGCACAACTGTGGTCCCAGCTACTCAGGGGGCTGAGGTGGGAGGATCGCTGGAGTGGAGGCTGCAGTGAGCTGTGATCACGCCACTGCACACCAGCCTGTGTGACAGAGTGAGATCCAGCCTCAAAAAAAAAGAGAAAAGTCCACACAAAGTTGACAGTGAACCAGCTGCATCTCTGAACACATCCAGTGATACCCCCTCCACCCCGCTCCAGGAAACCCAAGATTGCTGACAGGCCCAGCTACAGCAGCTTTGAGCTGGCTGCAGCCTGTGGGGTCCTCTGGGAGCAGCTGAATGGAATTTGTTCATGCTTTCACTCAACAAGTATTTACTGGGTGTTTATTTCATGCCAGGTGCCGTGCTGGGCAGTGAATGAATGAACCTTGCCCTGGGGTTAACACTCCAGTGGGATGAACAGACAAACCCCACAAGCACTGCATACGGTATGCAAAATGGGGTGCATGCTATGGAGGGAAATACAGCTGGGAAGGGTGGGGGCGGGCAGGGGCCCTGGGTGCAATTTTTACAAAGTGACCTCACTGAGGAGGTGACATTGCAGCAAACCCAGAAGCAGGCAAGGAGGAGTCATGTGGCTGGCTGAGGGAACAGCATTTTAGGCAGGGGGAACAGCCTGTGCAAAGCACTGAGACCTTGTTTTGTGAATTGAGCACCTTGAAATATGGGTTGCTTGGCCCTAGTTAAGGTTCTGAAAGAGCCTTTAATTTTTTTTCCCCTAGACCTGGGTGGGGCGGCTCATGCCTGTAATCCTAACTACTCAAGAGGCTGAGGTGGGAGGATCACTTAAGTCCAGAAGGTTGAGGCTGCAGTGAGCCATGATCATACCACACGGCACTTCAGCCTGGGTGACAGAGCAAGACTTTGTCTCAAAAACAAAAAACAAAAAAATCCAATTCCGGCCAGGTGCGGTGGCTCATGCCTGTAATCCTAGCACTTTGGGAGGCCGAGGCAGCTGGATCACAAGGTCAGGAGTTCGAGACCAGCCTGGCCAAGATGGTGAAACCCCGTCTCTACTAAAAATAAAAAAAAATTAGCTGGGCGTGGTGGCATGTGCCTGTAGTCCCAGCTACTCGGGAGGCTGAGGCAGGAGAATTCCTTGAACCTGGGAGGCGGAGGTTGCAGTGAGCCGAGATCGTGCACTGCACTCTAGCCTGGGCGACAGAGCGAGACTCCATCTCAAAAAAAAAGAAAAAAAAAATCCAATTCCAACCTATACAAGGCAGCAGCTGTGAGGTGACACAAGTATGAACCCCATTAAGTCCCCCCAAAAGCCAAGAATCTTGGATTTCCTTCACAAGTGAATGACCCCCCCAAATCTTGAAGGAAAATCATTCTAGCAGCAAATCCTAGACAGGAGTTACTATCAGCCAGATATTGCCATCTGCCTTAACTGGTTTAATCCTGACAGTGAACCCCAATGATGTAGAAAATGTTACCACCATTTTTTTTTTTTAATACAGAGTCTTGCTCTGTCCCCCAGGCTGGAGTGCGCTAGTACAATCTTGGTTCACTGCAACCTCTGACTCCTGGGTTCAAGTGATTCTCCTGCTTCAGCCTTCCAAGTAGCTGGCATTACAGGGGCACGCCACCACACCTGGCTAATTTTTATATTTTTAGTAGAGATGGGGTTTTGCCATGTTGGCCAGGCTGGTCTCGAAGTCCTGACCTCAGGTGATCTGCCCGCCTCAGCCTCCCAAAGTGCTGGGATTACAGGCGTGAGCCACCGTGCCCGGCTGTTATCACCATTTTACAGGTGGAGAAACCAAGACACAGAACAATGCAGTGGCTCCCATGTGTGGATAAGAAGTAGCTTGTAGATTTGAACCCAGGACACCTTTCTGTGCATTGAGCCAGGCCGATCTGCACCCAGGCACCTGCCCAGGTGGATGCAGGGCCTGTGAGATTCTTCCAAGGCCTCCCATTTTGATGGGGTCCCCAGGCCTCCAGGCCTGCACTGGAGCTGGTCTGCTTCCAGGTGGAGCCAACGGAGGGTCCTGGTGCGGGGGAGTCGGCGTTGGTGGGTGATTGATGGTTTAATATCTCGCGCTGCGACCTGGGCCCCTCCTCTCCCACGCCTCTGTGGGTGGCCCCCAGTGAGAGGCGGAGATGGGATAATTCGGTTACCAAAAAGAGAATGAAAATTCCAGAGAGAGAAAGAGACAGAGAAAGAAGTGCAGACCAGGGAGTGCGCTGGGAGCTGATTTGGCAGGGCTGGGCTGGGCTTGGATGGGAGGGAGGAGGCCGACTCTCAAATCCGGAATCCCTCTGGGGGCCTGGGGACTCATAGGTCCCAGCCGTCTTCAACTCCCATCTGACTTCCTGTCTTGAGAACAGAGACAGCAGATGTGACAAGTGAGAGGTCACAGGCAGGGGCAAGGCCTCAGAGGAGAGGGAAGCATGTGGCCTCCGCCTGGGACAACTGCTGGCAGGTGAGGCCAAGGGGAGGTAGGGACTAGTGGAGTTGGGGTGGAGGGAACGGGAGACTCCAAGTTCCCAGCTCAGAGGCTTCTGGTCATCCTTGACTGGAGTCCTCTCTCTCTTTTTTTTTTTTTTTAGATGGAGTCTTACTCTGTCTCCCAGGCTAGAGTGCAATGGCATAGTCTTGGCTCACTGCAACCTCCGCCTCCCGGGTTCGAGCAAGTCTGCAGTCTCAGCCTCCCGAGTAGCTGGGACTACAGGTGTGCAGCACCACGCCTGGCTATTTTTTGTATTTTTGGTACAGACGGGGTTTCACTGTGTTGGCCAGGCTGGTCTCGAACTCCTGACCTCAAGTGATTCTCCCACCTTGGCCTCCCAAAGTGCTGGGATTACAGGCGTGAGCCACCGCGCCCCGCTGGAGTCCTCTCTTTTTTTCTCTTTCCATCCACGTTCGAACCTCGGACTTCATTTCTTCCCCACCTCCCCGGCCCTCACCTGGTCCAGCCCAGCATCCCTCACCTGGACTGTGCAGTTCCCTCTACCCTTGCTCAGGTCTCCAGCCTGGCCCTGAAGCCTGTTCCCTCCGCAGCCTCCAGAGGGCGCGAGCGAACACCTGATCAGGCCACGCCCCCTCCTCCCGCTCAGAACCCAGAAGGCTCCCAACTTGTGTTAATTTCCCATGGTTGCCGTCACAAGCTAGCGTTTTTTTAACGACGCAAATTATCCTACAGCTCTAGAGGTCAGAGATGTGGTTCGGGTCTCACCTGCCTAAGACCAAGATGTCAGCAGGCTGCAGTCCTTTCTTGGAGGTTTTAGGGGATGATCTATTTCTTGCTCATTTAGGGGTGCAAGATTCAGTTCCTCGGGGTTGTAGAACTGAGGCCCCTGTTTTCTTGCTGGTTGTCTGTTCCCCGTTTCTAGAAGTTGCGTGCATTCCTTGGCTCGTGGGCCCTCCCTCCATTTTCAAAGCCAGCAATGACGAGTCAAGTCCTTCTCATATGACAGCCTTCAACTCCCCTCTGCCGCCGCCTTGCACTTTAAGGACTTGTGTGATTAGATGATCCAAGGTCATTTCCCTGTCTGAAGGTCCTTAATTACCTAATCAGCAAAGTCCCTTTTGTTGCATGAGGTAGCAATTCACTAACCTTGCTTCTCAGGGCCTGGCTGTGTCCAAAGGACTCTTTCTCCTTTAGACACTTTTAAGTGTCTCACCTGTCCTCTGCCTCTCCCTGGGCACCTGCTCCCTGCTCAGCCTGCCTCTCCCGCAATTCAAGCCAGTCATATGCTTGACACTCCTCCAGGAAGCCTCCCTGAAGTACCCATGTTTATCAACCCACTGGAGCAGTTACCAGCCCCTTTCTCCTATCCTCCCCAGGCCACGAGATCTTGAAAGTTTAGGATGAGGAAGTAGATATGTTGGGAAGGAGGGCATTATTCTCCTTACCAACTGCCTCACTCAGAGCAAAACTCCAGTCCTCACGGAGGCCAGAAAACCCAGCTTTCTCCAAGCAGATGGGCCTCCTTACTGTTCTCCAAACTCACCAAAGACATCCTGCCTCAGGGCCTTTGCACAGGCTGTTCCCTCTGCCTGAGTCATCCTCCCCCAGATATCCACATGGCTCCTCCCTCACCTCCTCCAGGTCTCCCTTCACGTGTGCCCCTCCCCAGGGAAGCCTTCTCTGATGCACACACACCCAATTTACAACATCCACAGACTCTTATTGCTGCTTTTTTTTTTTTTTTTGAGACAGGGTCTCGCTGTGTTGCTCAGGCTGGAGTGCAGTGGTGTGCTTTCAGCTCACTGCAACCTCCACCTCCGAGTTCAAGTAATTCTCCTGCCTCAGTCTACTCAGTAGCTGGAATTACAGGCATGCTCCATGACACCTGGCTAATTTTTGTATTTTTAGTAGAGACGGGGTTTTGCCATGCTGACCAGGCTAGTTTTGAACTCCTAGCCTCAAGTGATCCGCCCGCCTCGGCCTACCAAAGTGCTGGGATTACAGGCCTGAGGCTGCTGTATTTTCTCCATTGCACTGGCTACTTTTGGCTACACCACAGAATATTCACTCCTTGTTCATCTTGTCATCGCCCAGGTCTCCCACTGGAAAGTCAGCTCCAAAAGGGAAGTTCCTCCACACTGTTCCCTTCTGGCTCTGTATGCCGCCCCCTTCCCTGGCCCTTGGCATACAGCAGGTGCTCAATAAGTGTTAAGGCTGGGCGCAGTGGCTCACGCCTGTAACTACCAGCACTTTGAGAGGCCGCGCGGACAGATTTGAGCCCAGGAGTTCAAGACCAGCCTGGCCAACATGGCAAAACCCCGTCTTTACTAAAAATACAAAAATTATCCAGGTGTGGTGATGCATGCCTGTAATCCCAACTACTCGAGAGGCTGAGAAATGAGAATTGCTTAAACCTGGGAGGCAGAGGCTGCAGTGAGCAGTGATCACGCCACTGCACTCCAGCATGGGCATCAAAGCCAGACTGTGTTTCAAAAAATAATAATAAGTGTTTGTTGAGTGAATGGATGGCAGGCAGGCAGGGCCCCAGCCCAGAGGAGGATGGGGACCCAGTGGAAGGTGGGAGCGGCGGGTGGAGAGGGATTGGTGTGGAGATGGTAGAGAAAAAGACCTTCTAGAACAATCCTGGGGGTCAGGTGGTCCCTGTGATGAACCATCATTGTGTGAATTCAGTCAAGGGCTGATCTCTCATGATCTCTATAATGTGCTTTTCACAGGGAAACATGTCCCCCCTGCCCCACAATCCCCTTGATAAAATCTTAGCTTTATGACTTTGTTCTCTGTTCATCTCAGATAACAGATGTTCCTGGAGTTGCCTTAGTCACAGGGCAGCGTGGCTTCAATTCAAAACAAGGAATGTCCAGACCCAAGCTGGGGCCTTGATTTAGACTTCAATCCTATTTCCTTCTGCCTCTCCTCCATCCCCACCAGCATCATGTTCTGGGGGTCTGGGTAGTGCAGGGGCCCCTTCCTTCTTGCTTTCCTCTCCTTTCCTTTCACGGCCAGGGCTGCAGCTCCAGGAGGGAATATAGTGTGTCAAATGGTGGCCCCCCAAAAGGATGTGTCCACATTCTGGCCCCTGCAACCTGTGAATGTGATGTTATTATATTCACTTTTTTTTTTTTTTTTGAGATGAAGTCTTGCTCTTGTCTCCCAACTGGAGTGCAATGGCGCGATCAAGGCTCACTGCAACCTCCGCCTCCCAGGTTCAAGTGATTCTCCTGCCTCAGCCTCCTGAGTAGCTGGGATTACAGGCGCCTGCCACCACGTCCATCTAATTTTTGTGTTTTTAGGAGAGACGGGCTTTCCCCATGTTGGCCAGGCTGGTCTCAAACTCCTGATCTCAGATGATCCGCCTGCCTCGGCCTCCCAAAGTGCTGGGATTACAGGTATGAGCCACCACGCCTGGCCAACTTATTTTTTTTTTTAAAGACATAGTCTTGCTCTGTCACTCAGGGTGGCTAGAGAGCAATGGCATGATTTCGGCTCACTGCAGCCTCGACCTCCCAGGCTCAAGTGATCTTCCCACCTCAGCCTTCCAAGTAGCTGGGACCATAGGCATGCAACACCATGCCTGGCTAATTTTTGTATTTTTTGCAGAGAGAGATTCTTGCTATGTTTCCCGGGCTGGTCTCAAAGTCCTGGCCTCGAGAGAGCCTCCCACCTCGGACTCCCAAAGTGCTGGGATTACAGGCGCGAGCCACTGCGCCTGGCCTGAATGTGATCTTAGGTGGATAAACTGTAACTGTCATAGGCCCATTGTTTGAGGCACTGGGCAAGTCAACATGCTGAGATACCAGTTTGCAGCAGAGAAGGAGGTTTAATCATAGGGCCACAGATCGAGGAGATGGGAGCAAATCTAAAATCCATCTCCTGGGTGGGTGTGGTGGCTCACACCTGTAATCCCAGCACTTTAGGAGGCTGAGGTGGGCAGATCACTTGAGGCCAGGAGTTTGAGACCACCCTGGCCAACATGGCAAAACCCTGTCTCTACTAAAAATACAAAAATTAGCCGGGCGTGGTGGTGCATGCCTGTAGTCCCAGCTACTTGGGAGGCTGAAGTGGGAGAATCAGTTGAACCTGGGAGATGAAGGTTGTAGTGAGCCAAGATCGCACCTCTGCACTCCAGCCTGGGTGACAGAGTGAGACTGTCTCAGAAAACAAACAAACAAAAATTTATAAATAAAAATGAAATAAAATAAAAAAATTCATCTCCCCGAGGAATTTGGGGCTGGGGTTTTTAAGGGGTATGGAGTGGGCCCAAGTGTGGAGATCCTTTGATTGGTCAAAGAGTGCAAGGTGAAGTCTTGGGAGAGAGGATTGGGCGGGAGTTGAGGGACAAGGGGTGGGTGAAGAAGCTGTATTCTCATGCTGATCCCATTCCTATATGCGGGGTCTTCTTCAGACTGGTTGCTGGAATTCAAGATCTGCAAAAACATCTGAAGTGATCCTTAAGCAAAAGCCATATGATCCTGACTGGGCGCAGTGGCTCACGCCTGTAACACCAGCACTTGGAGGCCGAGGCGGGTGGATCACTTGAGGTCAGGAGTTCAAGATCAGCCTGGCCAACATGGTAAAACCCCTTCTTTACTAAAAATGCAAAAATTAGCCAGGCGTGGTGGTGCACGCCTGTAATCCCGGCTACTCTGGAGGCTGAGGCAGGAGAATCGCTGGAACCCGGGAGGCAGCGGTTACAGTGAGCTGAGATCACATCAATGCACTCCAGCCTGGGTGACAGAGCAAGACTCCATCTCAAAAAAAAAAAAAAAAAAAAAAAAAAAAAAAGCCATATGCTCCTAATGTCAGAGATCCTGTCTGTAGAAACAATGGGATGTATTTGTGTTTTGTTTTGTTTTGAGACAGAATTTCACTCTTGATGCCCAGGCTGGAGTGCAATGGCACGATCTCGGCTCACTGCAACCTCTGCCTCCTGGGATCAAGCGATTCTCCTGCCTCAGCCTCCCCAGTAGCTGGGCTTACAGGCATGCACCACCATGCCTGGCTAATTTTTGTATCTTTGGTAGAGATGGGGTTTCTCCATGTTGGTCAGGCTGGTCTCGAACTCCCAACCTCAGGTGATCCACCCGCCTTGGCCTCCCAAAGTGCTGGGATTACAGGCGTGAGCCACTGCGCCCGGTGAAACAATGGGGTGTAAAAGTGCTACCTGACTTTTAGCAGCAAGGAAGGGGGCCCTAGTGCAGCCTGATTCATGGTTCATTGTAACTGTATTTCTGTCTGGAATCTAGCATGCAATCCTTGTCAACTCTGTAGGAGGGATTTTGAAAGGGTCATTGCAGATATTAGAATTCTCAAGATGAGATCATCCTGGAAAACATGGTAGTCCTAAATCCACAGACAACTCTCCTTAGGAGAGACACATAGAGGAGACACAGTAGAGAAGGACCCGTGAAGACGGAAGCAGAGGTTGGAAGGCTGTGGTTGCCACCGAGGAACGCCTGGAGCCCTCACAAGCTGGAAGGGGCCAGGAGGGATTCTTCCCTAGATCCTCTGTGGGGAGCGTGGCCCTGCAGATGCTTTGATTTCAGACTTCTGGCCTGTAGAACTGTGAGAAAATAGGTTTCTGTTGTTTTAAGTGACTCAGTTTGTGGTACTGTTATAGCGGCCACAGGAAGGAAACAAATCCGGGGGTCAGATGGTTCTCATTACACTGGGTCTGCTGTCAGCCAACCTTGCCTCTCAGGGCCTAGTGGTGTTCAGAATGAAATCTTTCACTTTCTTTTTTTTTTTTTTTTTTTTTTGAGACAAGGTCTCACTCTGTCACCCAGGCTGGAATGATGTAGTGGGGCAATCTCGGCTCACTGCAACTTCTGCCTCCCAAGTTCCAGCGATTCTCCTGTCTCAGGCCAAGTCAGGTGGATCACTTGAGGTCAGGAGTTCAAGACCAGCCTCACCAGTGAAACCTCATCTCTACTAAAAAAAAAAAAAAAAAAAAAAAAAAAAAACACAAAAATTAGCCAAGCGTGGTGGTGTCCACCTGTAGTCCCAGCTACTCGGAGGCTGAGGTGGGAGAATCACTTGAACCCAGGATGTAGAGGTTGCAGTGAGCTGAGATTGTGCCACTGCACTCCAGCCTGGGCAACAGAGTGAGGCCCTGTCTAAAAAAAAAAAAAAAAAAGGCTGGGTGCAGTGGCTCATGACTGTAATCCCAGCACTTTGGGAGGCCAAGGTGGGTGGATCACGAGGTCAGGAGTTCGAGACCAGCCTGACCAACATAGTGAAACCCCGTCTCTACTAAAAATACAAAAATTAGGTTGGGTGTGGTGGCTCTCACTTGTAATCCCAGCACTTTGGGAGGCCAAGGCAGGTGGATCACGAGGTCAGGAGATTGAGACCATCCTGGCTAACATGGTAAAACCCCGTCTCTACTAAAAATACAAAAAAAAAAAAAAATTTGCCGGGCATGGTGGTGAGCGCCTGTAGTCCCAGCTACTCCAGAGGCTGAGGCAGGAGAATGGCACGAACCCGGGAGACACAGCTTGCAGTGAGCCGAGCTCGCGCCATTGCACTCCAGCCTGGGTGACAGAGTGAGACTTCATCTGAAAAAAATTTATCTTCCGAGTAATGTGCAAAGGAAATCAGTATTCGGAAGAGCTATCTGCACTCCCAAGTTCTTTGCAGCACTATTCACAATAACAAGATATGGAAGCAACCTAAGTGTCCATCAATGAATGAATGGATAAAGAAAATGTGGTGCATATACACAATGGAGTACTGTTCAGCCTGATAAAAGAAGGAAATCTTGTCATTTGCAACAACGTGCATGAATCTGGAGGACATTATGCGAAGTGAACTAAGTCTGGCGCAGAAAGACAAATAGTTCATGATCTCACTTGCATGCAGAATCTAAAAAAAAAAAAAAGTCACATTCACAGAAGTAGAGAGTAGAACAGTGCTTACTAGAGTCTGGGGTCGCAGAAAACATGTGGCCCAAAGGATACAAAGTTTCCAGTAGGAAGAGTAAGTGCTGGTGATCTGTTGCACAGCAAGGTGGCTATAGCTAATCATAATGTATATTTTTTTCTTTTTCTTTTTTTTTTTTTTGAGACAGAGTCTCTTTCTGTTGCCCAGGCTGGAGTGCAGTGGCACAATCTCAGCTCAAGGCAACCTCCACCTCCCAGGTTCAAGCAATTCTCTGCCTCAGCCTCCTGAGGAGCTGGGACTACAGGCGCCCGCCACCACGCCTGGCTAATTTTTATATTTTTAGTAGAGACGGGGTTTCACCATCTTGGCCAGGCTGGTCTTGAACTCGTGACCTCATGATCCACCTGCCTCAGCCTCCCAAAGTGCTGGGATTACAGGCGTGAGTGACTGCACCCCGCCCCATAATGTATTTTCAAACTTGTGAAATGAGTGGATTTTAAATGGTCTCACTATAGGGTCTGGTGCGGTAGCTCACATGTGTAATCCCAGCACTTTGGGAGGCTGAGATGGGAGGATCACTTCAGCCCAGGTGTTCAAAACCAGCCTGGGCAATATTTTACAGAACCTGTCTCTAAAAAAACAAACTGTTCTTGGTACAAATAAATAAGTATGTGAGGTGATGGATATGTTCATTAGCGTGACTGCTTTATAATATATACAGTATTGAAACATCATATCATATTCCATAAACATATGCAATTACTTGTCAATTAAAAATAAAAATTAGGGATCAGATATGGTAGCTCACACCTGTAATCCCAGCACTTTGGGAGGCCAAGGCAGGTGGATCACTTGAGGTCAGGAGTTTGTGACCAGCCTGACTAACATGGTGAAATCCCAACTCTACTAAAAATATGAAATTAGCCGGGCGTGGTGGCACGCACCTGTAATCCCAGCTACTTGAGGGCCTGAAGCAGGAGAATCGCTTGAATCCAGGAGGGGGAAGTTGCAGTGAGCCAAGATTGTGCCATTGCACTCCAGCCTGGGCAACAGAGCAAGACTCTGTCAAAAAAAAAAGAAAGAGGCTGGGCACGGTGGCTCACGCCTGTAATCCCAGCATTTTGGGAGGCCAAGGTGGGCAGATCACAAGGTCAGGAGTTTGAGACCAGCCTGGCCAACATGGTGACACCTCATCTCTACTAACAACACAAAAATTAGCCGGGTGTGGTGGTGCGCACCTGTAGTCCCAGCTACTCAGGAGGCTGAGGCAGGAGAATGGCGTGAACCTGGGAGGCAGAGGTTGCAGTGAGCCAAGATTACCTAGTGACAGAGCAAGACTGTCTCAAAAAAAAAAAAGAGAGAAAAGGAAGGAAGGAAGGAGGGAGGGAGGGAAGGAGAAAGAAAGAGGAAGGAAGGAAGGAAGGAAGGAAGGAAGGAAGGAAGGAAGGGCTGGGCGCAGTGGCTCACGCCTGTAATCCCAGCACTTTGGGAGGCCGAGGCGAGCAGATCATGAGGTCAGGAGATCGAGACCATCCTGGCTAACACGGTGAAACCCCGTCTCTACTAAAAATGCAAAAAATTAGCCGGGCGCGATGGCAGGCGCCTGTAGTGCCAGCTACTGGGGAGGCTGAGGCAGGAGAATGGAGTGAACCTGGGAGGCGGAGGTTGCAGTGAGCCAAGCTTGCAGTGAGCCGAGATTGCGCCACTGCACTCCAGCCTGGGCAACAGAGCGAGACTCTGTCTCAAAAAAAAAAAGAAAGAAAGAAAGGAAAGAGAGAGAAAAAGGGAGGGAGGGAGGGAGAGAGAGAAAGAAAGAGAAAGAAAAAAAAGAAAAGGAAAGAAAAGAGAAAAGAAAAGATCTTCACTGTGGTCTGGCTTCCATTGCTAGTCGTTGTGTCTGCCTGGTTGAAATGTCCATCTTAGCATTCTGTTACTCTATCGGCATTCAGCTCTGGTAGTCACTGGTGTGACATTATTGCATAAATGTTCCTGGCCAACAGAGAAGGGGAAAATTTGTAGAAGGGAAGAAAGAATGGATGAGGGAGCATGGGTGGAAAACTTAAGGGTGGTCTGAGCTATACCCAGGAAGCCTCGGATTGGGAAAACCCAACTCTCAGCGTCCTTGGGGCTGAGAGCAACATAAGGTTTAGCAGCCTTAGTAATTTCTTTAAAATCTAAATTGGGGCCGGGTGCAGTGGCTCGCGCCTGTAATCCCAGCACTTTAAGAGACGGAGGTGGGTGGATCACCTGAGATCAGGAGTTCGAGACCAGCCTGGCCAATGTGGCGAAACTCCATCTCTACTAAAAATACAAAAATTAGCTGGGCATGGTGGCAGGCACCTGTAATCCCAGCTACTTGAGAGGCTGAGGCAGGGATAATTGCTTGAACCCAGGAGGTAGAGCTTGCAGTGAGCCGAGATGGTGCCACTATATTCCAGCCTGGGCAACACAGCAAGACTCCATCTTAAAAAAAAAATCTAAATTGGACCAGGCATGTTGGCTCACACCTGCAATCCCAGCACTTTGGGAGGCCAAGGAGACCAGCCTGGACAACACAGCAAGACCCCACCTCTGCAAAAAACTTTAGAATTTGCCAGGCAGTCACAAGTCCCACCCAGGTTTAGGAGGTGGGAACACAGGTCCTGTGATATGGTTTGCATTTGTATCCCCCCCCACCCAAATCTTATGTTGAATTGTAATCCCTGGTGTTGGAGGAAGGGCCAGGTGGGAGGTGATTGCATCATGGGGTCAGAGTCCTCCCTTGCTGCTCTTGTGATAGTGAGTGAGTTCTCACAAGATCTGGTTGTTTAAAAGTGTATAGTACCTCCCTCCTCTTTCTCTTGCTCCTTCTCCAGCCATGTTTCCCCTTGGCCTTCCACCATGATTGTAAGTTTTCTGAGGCCTCCCCAGCTATGTTTCCTGTACAGCCCACAGAACCATGAGCCAATTAAGCCTCTTTTCTTTATAAATTACCCAGTTTTGGGCATTTCTTCATAACAGTGTGAGAAGGAACTAATACACCCCGCCTCTCATGAGAGGAGTACCAGCACTTTGTAAGAAGAGCCTATGCAATATGATCAATACCAGGGCTGACAATCTTTGCAAATCACAACCTGTCATTCCTTTCTCACTTCCCAGCTTCCCTGTTGCTATTTCCTGGGATCTGCTCCCAGGTCAACAACTTACCCCTGCAAATCTTTGTCTCAGGGTCTCTGCCTTTGGGAGGACCCAAACTAAGATATCCCACAAAATCAATAGTGTGTTTATATAGCTGGTATAGGTGTATGTAAACATTTAGAAAAAGGTCTGTAAGGATACACTCCAAACAGACAGCAGTAGCTTCTGTAAGGAGGGAACTGGGATGGGGGTTGAGAGGGTTCATGTATTAGGCCGTTGCCTATATGGGTAAATTTGCTGTAAAGAAATATCAAAGAATGGGTACATTTTATTTTATTTATTTTACTTTATTTCACTTTATTGGAGATGGAGTCTCACTCTGTTACCTAGGCTAGAGTGCAGTGGCACGATCTTGGCTCACTGCAACCTCCTCCTCCCAGGTTCAAGCGATTCTCCTGCCTCAGCCTCCCAAGTAGCTGTGATTACAAGTGTGTGCCACCACACTGGGCTAATTTTTGTATTTTTAGTAAAGATGGGGTTTCACCATGTTGGCCAGGCTGGTCTCAAACTCCTAACCTCAAGTGATCCGCCTGCCTCGGCCTCCCAAAGTGCTGGGATTACAGACGTGAGCCATCACACCTGGCTAGAATGGGTAATTTATAAAGAAAAGAGGCTTAATTGACTCACAGTTCTGCGGGCTGTACAAGCACAGTGCTGGCACCTGCTTGGCTTCTGGGAAGATCTCAGGGAGCTTTAACTCATGGCAGAAGGTGAAGCAGGAACTTCACATGGCAAAAGCAGGAGCAGGAGAGAGAATGGGGTGGAGGGGAGGTGCCACACACTTAAACAACCAGCTCTCCAGGCCAGGCGCAGTGGCTCATGCCTGTAATCCCAACACTTTGGGAGGCCAAGGCAGGTGGATCATTTGAGGTCAGGAGTTCGAGACCACCCTGGCCAACACAGAGAAACCCCATCTTTACTAAAAATACAAAAAAATTAGCTGGCCGCAGTGGCGCAGGCCTATAATCCTGGCTACTCAGGAGGCTGAGGCAGAAGAATCGCTTGAATCCAGGAGGTGGAGGTTGCAGTGAGCTGAGATTGCACCATTGCACTCCAGCCTGGGTGACAGAGTGAGAATCCATCTCAAAAAACAAACAAACAAAACAACTAATTCTCCAAAGAACTCACTCACAATTGTGTGGACAGCACCAAAGAGATGACGCTAAGCCATTCATGAGGGATCCGCCCCCATGATCCAATCCCCTCCCACCAAGCCCCACCTCCAATATTGGGAATTACAGTTCAACATGAGATTTGGCAGGGAAACAGATCCAAACTACATCAGTTCATCTATAATATATGATTTTTTTTTTTTTTTGCCCCGAGGGAGGAAGAATTTTCTGAATCCCTGTGGTTAGTAAAAGAGAGAGGCGGCCGGGTGCGGTGGCTCACGTCTGTAATCCCAGCATTTTGGGAGGCTGAGGCGGGCTGATCACGAGATCAGGAGATCGAGACCATCCTGGCTAACATAGTAAAACCCCGTCTATACTAAAAATACAAAAAAATTAGCCGAGCGTGGTGGTGCATGCCTCTAGTCCCAGCTACTAGGGAGGCTGAGGCAGGAGAATGGCGTGAACCCAGGAGGCGGAGCTTGCAGTGAGCCGAGATCGTGCCACTGCACTCCAGCCTGGGCGACAGAGCGAGACTTCGTCTTAAAAAAAAAAAGAGAGAGAGAGAGAGACATGATCAGGAAGCCGTCATGATGACTCGTGGAGACACTGGCCCTGAAGTAGCTGCAACCCTCTTAATACACAGGAAGAAAGGGCTGGGATGCAGGAAGAAAGGGCTGGGAGGCAAACACAGGCAGCCCCTCTGTGAACCCTCAGGTAGGAGCCACCAGCCATTTTACTGCTGAGTTTAGCATTTGGGGTTGTTCAAGAGTTCAGGGCTTCTGGGAGACTAGAGAATGCCTTCATCTCCAGGGCACTAAAACCTCAGTTACCTAATCTGTGAAATGGGTATGATCATAGCAATCCCACAAAACTGCTGGTAGGGTTACATGTAATTATTTCTCCTTTTTTTCTTTTTTTAAGAGATGGGTTCTCCCTATGTATGTTGCCCAGGCTGGACTTGAACTCCTAGGCTCAAGTGATCCTCCCACCTTGGCCTTCCAATGTGCTGGGATCACAGTACATTTTTTCTTGTAGAAACAGGGTCTCCCTGCTGGGCACGGTGGTTCACACCTGTAATTCCAGCACTTTGGGAGGCTGAGGCGGGTGGATCACCTGAGGTCAGGAGTTTGAGACCAGCCTGGCTGACATGGTGAAACCCCATCTCTACTAAAAATACAAAAAATTGGCCAGGCGCGGTGGCTCACGCCTGTAATCCCAGCACTTCGGGAGGCCAAGGTGGGTGGATCACGAGGTCAGGAGATGGAGACCATCCTGGCTAACACGGTGAAACCCCATCTCTACTAAAAATACAAAAAATTAGCCAGGCGTGGTGGCAGGCACCTGTAGTCCCAGCTACTGGGGAGGCTGAGGCAGGAGAATGGTGTGAACCCGGGAGGCAGAGCTTGCAGTGAGCCGAGATCGTGCCACTGCACTCCAGCCTGGGCAACAGAGCGAGACTCCATCTCAAAAAAAACAAAAAACAAAACAAAACAAAAAATTAGCTGGGTGTGGTGGTGGGCACCTGTAATCTCAGCTACTCAGGAGGAGGAAAATCGCTTGAATCCGGGAAACAGAGGTTGCAGTGAGCCGAGATCACACCATTGCACTCCAGCCTGGGTAACAAAAGCAAAACTCTGTCTTACAAAAATAATAATAATAAAATAACAATGGATTGGTTGAGAGATCACCGTATGCCAGAAGTTGCTTTAAGCATTTTGCATGTATTAATCCATTTTACACCTCACAATATCGCTACCAAGTAGAAACGATTATCTCGATTTTGTAAAAGGTGAAACAGGAAAAAACCACTAGAGCAGAGCTGGCAGACCCTCAACCTTCTTTTCCTTCTGACTCCAAATGACAGACAGCATTCTTTCCATCTCTCACCTCCTCATGCCTCCTGTGGAAAAAATGAATGAACAGATGAGAAAAGTTGGAGCTGGAGAAAGACCGTGTTCCTCGTGTTCTGTGAGACCTGGGAAGGCTGCTAAAACCCAGGGAGCAGGAGTTCTCCTCCCTCCATCCTTATCCACAGTCTGGGTCCCATCCAGACCCTCCTCTCCAAACCGGGGGTTTGCGACAAAGCAGGTGAGGGAGGCATTTCATTCCAGAGCAGAAGAAGGGGTTTCCTCCCCCATCCCACTCCCGTTTCATTTTTAAGGGGAAAAGCAGCTCCCCATACGGTGAGGCAATGAGGCGGACCAGCAGGTTCCCGGGGATCTCTGCAGCCCCGTTGCCATAACAACCGAACTCACTCGCAGCCTCTGATAGGGGAGTCAGCTGGGACCACAGCTTGGGCAGGAAAGGGATGAGGGAGTAGGAAAGAAACTTCAAGATCAACCACTGGCCCTCACACCGAGCTGCGCACACCCCAAGGCCAAGGGAGGCTGGAAACCCTTGTCATCCTTGGGAAATGGGGGAGGGCACTGGTACCCCTGGGACCTCCCTCCTGAATCTGGGCAGCTTTAAACATTTTTTTTCCAACTTTGGAAGACAGTTGTACAACCTCGAAGGAGAGGAGGTGTCACGATTCACAAAGCGTATGGATCACACATGGCTCTAGGGGACATTCTCTTTGCTCTGTTTTATTTTGAGATAGGGTCTTGCTCTATTGCCCAGGCTGGAGTCCAGTGGCATGATCACACCTTACTGCAGCCTCAAATTACTGGACTGAGGTGATCCTCCTGCCTCAGCCATGTGAGTAGCTGGGACTACAGACATGCACCACCACACCTGGCTAATTTTTAAAATATATATGTTTTTGTAGAGATAGGGTCCTGCTACATTGCCCAGGCTGGTCTCAAACTCCTGGCTTCAAGTGATCCTCCTGCTTTGGCCTCCCAAAGTGTTGGGATTATAGGCATGAGCCACTGCATCCAGCATCATTTCTTTTCATTATTATTATGATTATTATTTTGAGATGGAGTCTCGCTCTGTCACCCAGGCTGTAGTGGAGTGGTGTGACCTCAGCTCACTGCAACCTCCACCTCCCAGGTTCAAGTGATTCTCCTGCCTCAGCCTCCTGAGGAGGTGCGATTACAGGTACCCTCCACAATGCCTGGCTAATTTTTTTTTCTTTTTGAGACGGAGTCTTCCTCTGTCTCCCAGGCTGGAGTGCAATGGCGCGATCTCAGCTCACTGGAACCTCTGCTTCCCAGGTTCAAGCAATTCTTCTGCCTCAGCTTCCTGAGTAGCTGGGACTACAGGCAGGCGCCCACCACACCTGACTAATTTTTGTATTTTTAGTAGAGACGGGGTTTCACCATATTGGCTGGTCTCAAACTCCTGACCTTATAATCCGCCCACCTCGGCCTCCAAAGTGCTGGGATTACAGGCGTAAGCCACCGTCCCTGGCCTAACCTGGCTAATTTTTATATTTTTAGTAGAGACGGGGCTTCACCATGTTGGCAAGGCAAGTCTCGAACTTATGACCTCAAGTGATCTGCTCACCTTGGCCTCCCAAAGTGCTGGGATTACAGGCGTGAGCCACTGCACCCAGCCTAATTTTTTTTTTTTTTTTTAATGAAGACAGGGTCTCACTACATTACCCAGGCTGGTCTCGAGCTCCTGGCCTCAAGCGATCCTCCCATCTCAGCCTCCTGAGTAGCTTGGATTACAGGCACAAGCCATCATGACTGGCTTCCTCTTTTTTTTTTTTTTTAATGAATATGGTAAAGTGCACAAATCATAAATTTCAGCGTGGTGAATTTCTACACATGTATACCCATGTATCCACCATGCAGACCAGAAGAACATATTTGTCCCTCCAGGAAATTCCCAAATGCTCTTTCTCAGTCAATATCCTCCAATTTGACATTTTCATCATAGATTAGTTTTGCCTACCCCTGAACTTTGTGTAAGTGGAAATACATGGTTTGGCATCTTGCTTTTATGCAACATTGTATCTGTGAGAATCTATTGTCATGTCTGTTTTCCTGTTCTTTTTCTTTGTTGTATAATATTCCATTGTGGAGATGTATCACAATGTATTTATCTTACTGCTGATAGATATTTGAGTTGTTTGCAGTGAATGGTTATTGTAGATAAAGCAGCTATGAACATCCTTGTACATGTCTTTTGATGAACATAAGTTTACCTCTTGTGGGGATGTGGACAGGGTCTCACTCAGTAACTCAGGCTGGATCGCAGGAACCTGGCTCACTGTAGCCTCAACCTCCCAGGCTCCCGAATAGCTGGGACCACAGGTATACACTATCACACCCAGCTAATTTTTTTGTAATTTTTGTAGAGACAGGGTCTCGCTTTGTTGTCCAGGCTGCTCTTGAACCCCTGGTTCAAACTATCCTCCTGCCTTGGCCTCCCAACATGCTGGGGTTACAGACATGAGCCACTGTGCCCAGCATCTTGGTTTATTGAATGCTGGCGACCTGCCAAGAACTTTACATCAGTTATATCCTTACATAGTCACAACATTATTTATTTAATTCACTCATTCAACACATATTTGAAAATCTAGTAGGTGCCAGGTATTGTGGGACACACCGAGAATAAGAATCAAGGTTTATAAATTTTGGCCAGGCGCGGTGGCTCACACCTGTAATCCCAGCACTTTGGGAGGCCGAGACAAACAGATCACTTGAGGCCGAAACAAACGGATGATGGAGGCCAGGGCAGAAGCCAGGAGGCTGTGGCCAAGGCAACCTCAGTAAATCCAGGCAAGTGATGAAGGAGTTGGGAAGCACAAACGTGAATTCACGTTCTCTCTCTTTTTTTTTTTTTAGAGACAGGGTCTTGCTCTGTTGCCCAGGCTGGAGTGCAGTGGTGCGACCTCCGCTCACTGCAACCTCCGCCTCCCAGTTCAAGGGATTCTCGTGCGTCAGCCTCCCAAGCAGCTGGGATGACAGGCATGCACCACCATACCGGCTAATTTTTGTACTTTTTTTTTTTTAGTAGAGACAGGGTTTCACCATGTTGGCCAGGCTGGTCTTGAACTCCTTACCTCAAATGATCTGCCCGCCTCAGCCTCCCAAAGTGCTGGGATTACAGGTGTGAGCCACTGTGCCTGGCCCTTAACTTGACTTATTTTTTCAAAAAGTTTTTTTTTTTTAATTTGAGACGGGTTTGGCTATGTTGCCCAGGCTGGTCTCCAACTCCTTGCCTCATGTGATCCTCCCACCTCAGCCTCAGGTTCTTTGAACATAATTATTCCCAACTTACAAGTAGAGAGAACTGAATCTCAGAGAGGTTAACTTGCCTAAGGTCACACAGCTATGAAATGGAGAAAGGGTAAGAAAATCCGTCTGACCTTCCTTCAGTTATGCAAAAGATGTCATGTGGTGGGTGGTGTGACCTCAGAAAACCTAGAAGAGTTGGGGGTCCAGGCTGGTGGTGGGGTAAAAGACCCAAGTGAACACACCTGTCCTGCTGGGGTCACTACTCACCCCTAGGCCACAGGGCAAGCAAAGTGGCAAGCCGCAAATTGAATTGTGGGGCTGGAGGGGGATGTTTCATTGATGTCACAAATGAGCATGGACCCCATATCTGCAGCAGGGATGGTTCAGGGCCAGTCAAGGAGATGATCGGGGCCCACGGACCCTCAAACGCGTCAGGAAGCCAGGTTGGTCCCTGAGTGTGTGTGATGGGGTGTGTGTTTGTTGGGGGGACTGCCGCCGCCCGCCCCATTAGCACCGTCATTATCCCAGATTTACGTATGTATAATTTTTCTTCCTCCCCCTCCCCAAACCGCTCCAACATCTCTCCTGGCTGCAAACCCGCCTCCCCCAGAAACAGCCACGGAGCCGCCTGCCACCGGGCCATTAGCACGCAGGGAAGGGGGTGTGGAGGGAGGGGGCAGGCAGCAGGGAAGGGGAAAGGGGGAGCCAGGAGAGGACGAGGGAGGCAGGAGCTGTAAGGATGGGAGTGAGGCGGCAAGATGGAAGAGAAGAGGGGAAGGAAACAGGGCTTGGAGGAGATGGGGAACCTCTGAGGGTTCTGGGGGGAGGGGGGGACACGTGTCCCAGAGGACCTGGCCGCAGACAGCGGCCCCAGGGGCAGCCGAGGGTCTCCTGCGCCCTTTCTGGCCAATGCCAGGGCTGAGAATAGGGGTGTGGGGGTCCCATCGGCCGGGACTCTGTGGCTGGGTCTCAGCCCAGAAGTTACTAGAGGGCCTCGCGCCGGAACCCCTCCCCCACTCTGGGAACCTCCGCCTGCGGGGTGGGGTGGGGGTCTCCAGGCTGGGCGCGGGGAGGGCGCCGGCTGCAGAGCTGGGAGCCCGGAGCGATGACTCCATCACCCTCCACTTTTCCCTCCTCGCCCCCGAACCTGGCCCCCTCCCTTCTTGCGCCCCTCGGGTTGGGGGCGCGGGAGAGCCCCCCTCTATTACGAGGGAAATCAATGCCGCATTAATGCAAGGTTTCCAGGCAAGGAGAGGGGATCGCTTCATAAAAGATGCATTGTTCCCATTGCCTGCACGCGGCTCCCTCCCCAGCATCCTGCAAGATGGCGGCGGCCCCAGGGAGGGAGGGGGAGGGGCTGGGGGGAGCGCGGCCCCCTCTCTCCGGCTGGGGAAGGTGGGAAGAGAGGCCGGGATAAAGGAAGGAAAGGGAGAGAGGGAGGGAGGAGGGGGCTGGGAGGCTGAGAGAGCGTTGGGGAGGCGGGAGCCAGTCAGAGGGAGGAGGGCGGGCTGGGGAGGAGGAGAGAGGGGATGGCTGGGAACTCGGAGGAGGGAAGAGGAACGAAGCCCAAGGAGGTGGCACGGGGGAGGCAGGAGAGCAGGCCGGGGGGTTGGGAGTGGGGGGCGCTGGGGCCTGGAGGGGGGCAGGCGGGGGTGGGGGCAAAAGGGGAGGGAAAGGGGAGAAAAAGGCCGACTGGGCAGCGTGACCAGGAGAGAGGGGAAGACAGTACCCCCTCAACTGTCCCTAGGCTCCAAGCCCCCCTCCAGCGGGGCCCCTTGGTTCTCTCTCTTGGTCCCCGTACACCCTCCCGCCGAGGAGATGATCCAGGGAGCCCCCATTTTCTGGCATGGAGGCCGCTGCACCCCATTGGCTTGCCTCCCTACCCTCCTTCCTGCCTTGGCACCACGGCTGCCATGCTGAGAGGGATCAAGCCTCCTCCATCTGCCTCCCAAGTCAAGGCCTCCAGAGTTGACCCGAAAGAGCTCCTTAGGAAGAAACTGCCGTTTGGGCACACCTGCATCCGTCCTACCTGCTGGGGACGGTTCCAGAAACCAGACAGAGTTTCCAGAGAGGGAAACTGGGGCAGAGGACAGCCGAGAACTCAACACGGGGGGGCAGCGCCCCACCCGTGACCCCAGACCAACCTCAGCCCCCCTCCTCCCCGCCTTTTCTTCCATCCTCCGCTGGCAACCACGAAGAGAGTTTCAAGGCCCCCCACTTCCCAGCCTTCCTGCTTCGCCTAGGGGAGCTCCCAAACGCCTGAAAATATCTTTAAATTAGGAAAAGAGCTAAGCCGCCAGAGTCCTTTGGTCTATTAAAGGAAGAGCAGAGGCCACCGGCGCCCCCACCCCATCCCCAGCCCGGTTTTGCATTTGAAGCCCTGACCGCGGATCTAGCCGGAACAATGACCGGGCCTGCCCAGCCGGCCCCAGCTGAATCCCTTTCAGTGGTCCTGGGCCCCCTGCCAGGTGTGCCAAAATGAGGACGGCTCCCCTCCTAGGCCCTTTTCATCCCCTCGGGGCTGCTGGGGCCTCAGAGGCGCTAATGAAGCGCCTCTTGCCGCCTTCCCTCTAGGAAGAGGGGGCCTGGGGGAGCGGGAGGCAGGGCCACATTGGGGGCAGGCGCCTGGAAATCTGCCTTCCAAGAACTGCCCCAGGAACATGTTTTTGTGCCTTGGTCAGCAGCAGCTCCCTCCCTCCCTGCTCCTCAGAGTCCTCCCACAGGTTCTGGTGACATCCACCTCCTCCAGGCAGCCCTCCCAGCCTGCTGGCATTGGCTCCCTACTGTGTTTCCTTCGGAGTTCGGCAGTGGGGGCAGGCTGCCTGGATTCAGATTGGAGCTCCATTGCTTTCTGGCTGTGGCTCAATTAGCCACCCTGAGCCTCAGTTTCCCCACCCGTCAAGAGAGGAGAATTATAAAAACCTATGTCATGAGACTGTTGTGAAGGAGTCGCTGTGTGAAGAAATGTGGAAGGTCACACGTGCAAAGTGGGTGCAATAATCCCTAGACTTTCGCCTCAGCCATAGGGGCCCCTCACTGCACCCCAGACACACCCAGTGTGTGCCCATTTCTGGGACTTCCCACTGGCTGTTCTCTTTATTTTATTTGTATTTGTATTTTTTCTTTTGAGGCGGAGTCTTGCTCTGTAGCCCAGGCTGGAGTGCAGTGGTGCAATCTCGGCTCACTGCAACCTCCACCTCCTGGGTTCAAGCAGCTTCCTGAGTAGCTGGGATTACCGGCGCATGCCACCACGCCCAGCTAATTTTTGTATTTTTAGTAGAGACGGGGTTTCACCATGTTGGCCAGGCTGGTCTAGAACTCCTGACCTCAGGTGATCCACCTGCCTCGGTCTCCCAAAGCGCTGGGACTACAGGCATGAGCCACCGCGCCGGCCTTTTTTTTTTTTTTTTTTTTTTTTTTTTTTTGAGACGGAGTCTAGCTCTGTCGCCGAGGCTGGAGTGCAGTGGCCTGATCTCGGCTCACTGCAAGCTCCGCCTCCCGGGTTCACGGCATTCTCCTGCTTCGGCCTCCTGAGTAGCTGGGACTACAGGCGCCCGCCACCATGCCCGGCTAATTTTTTGTATTTTTAGTAGAGACAGGGTTTCACTGTGTTAGCCAGGATGGTCTCAATCTCCTGACCTCGTGATCTGCCCACCTCGGCCTCCCAAAGTGCTGGGATTACAGGCGTGAGCCACCGCCCCCGGCCTTCTTTTTTTTTTTAAGATGGAGTCTCGCTCTGTCACCCAGGCTAGAGCACAGTGGTGTGATCTCACTGCAACCTCCGCCTCTTGGGTTCAAGCGATTTCTCCCACCTCAGCCTCCCAAGTAGCTGGGACCACAGGCACATGCCACCACACCTGGCTAATTTTTGTATTTTTAGTACAGACAGGGTTTCATCATGTTGGCCAGGCTAGTCTCAAACTCCTGACCTCAGGTGATCCGCCTACCTCTGCCTCCCAAAGTGCTGGGATTACAGGTGTGAGCCACCTTGCCAAGCCCAGTGGTCCCTGTTATTTACCATCATCTGTCTTACAGCCAGCTGACATTGTATTACTTACCTGAACTCAGGATCTTAGGCTCTCGAATCCAAGAACCTGGGTTCAAATCCCGGCTTCACAGTTATTAGCTGTGTGACATTGGGCATGTTCCTTAACTTCTCCGAGCCCCTTTCCTCATTTATAAAATGAGGATGGTAATAAAACCCACCTGGAGCCGGGTGCAGTGTCTGGAGTCTGTAATCGCAGCCACTCAGGAGCTCAAGGTAGGAGGGTCCCTTTAGGCCAAGAGTTTGAGACCAGCCTGGGCAACATAGCAAGACCCTGTCTCTACCAAAAAAAAAAAAAAAAAAAAAAGCCAGGCACAATGGCTTACACCTGTAGTCTCTAAAAAAAAAAAATCCACAAGGCCAGGTGCGGTGGCTCACACCTGTAATCCCAGCACTTTGGGAGGCTAAGGTGGGCAGATCACCTGAGGTCACAGGAGTTCGAGACCAGCCTGGAGGGGAGGTTGGAGTGCAGTGGCACAATCTCGGCTCACTGCAACTTCCACATCTGGAGTTCAAGCCATTCTCGACCTTCAGCCTCCCGATAGCTGGGATCACAGGCACCTGCCACCACGACCTGCTAATTTTTCTATCGTTAGTAGAGACAGGGTTTCGCCATGTTGGCCAGGCTGGTCTCAAACTCCTGACCTCAAGTGATCCTCCCAAGGTGCTGGGATTATAGGCATGAGCCACTACGCCCAGCCCTACACTTTGGATTTAACTTTGATTCCTGCTCATATGCAGAGTTTCAAACTGCTTAAATGTCTGCAACATTTAGCTGCAAGGAAGAAAGCTTAACACAAAGTCCTCCAGGGAGCAAAAAACTGCATCACTACGCCCAGCTAATTTTTTTGTATTTTCAGTAGGGATGGGGATTCACTATGTTGGCCAAGCTGGTGTTGAACTCCTGACCTCAGGTGATCCGCCCCACTCAGCTCCTAAAGTTCTGGGATTACAGGCCTGAGCCACCCGCCCAGCAACAAGGCTAATTTGAGGGTCACTTGTTTGATGCCTTTTCTTGCCCATGCCATAGGTCAGAACTAGGACAAGCAGAGCAGGTCATATATAAGCTGTGTAAGTCTCTTGGCCGCTTTGTACCTTAGTTTCCCCATTTGAGAAAAACGAATGGATCTTAAGACACACTTTTCAGAGTTCATAATGGGCTTATACCCAGCTAACCAATAATTGTATGAGTTTTTATACAAAATAGTTGTTTACACGTATTCATCTTCTATTTCACTTACAAGTTGTGTAAAAACTGCATTCCGTGCCAGGCCTGAAATGTTCCAAGGCTCAGTTCTGTAATTAAATTGCAGCCCAGATTTCTATAAAAAAAGACATAAGCCAAAGGGAAAAAAAATTATTTCAGAACATTTATCATTTGCTGTGAGTCTAATTTACATAGGATGGAGCATCACCTCAATCCTTTCTCTGTGCACTAAGGCAATCTCACTGTGGAAGATACTGGCTTATGGTTTATACTTTAATATTGCACATGTGGTGCATTAGCTACAAAACAGTGAACGCTCAGTAAATACCTGTGTTAAGTGATCTTCATTTCTCTAGAACAGGATTTCACAACTTCAGTACCATCGACATTTTGGACTATATAACTCTTTGCCGTGGGGGTTTGTCTTATACTTTGCAGGATGTTTAGCAGCATCTCTGGCCTCTGCCCACCAGATGCCAGGAGCACAACCACAGTTTTGTCAAGCAAAAGTGTCTCTGGACATTACCAAATGTCACCTGAGTACAAAAATCACACCAGTTGAGAACCACTGCTCTCTGATGATTCACTATGATCTGTGTAATAATTCTCACACTAATCTTTGCTAGAGACAAAAAGGACTTGCTATATAATTTTAGTACCTTTCTACTGGTCAAATTTTAATCATATTTCAAAATGAATAGCAAAGAGGTTTATAATCAAGTTTTATAAAAATTCCAAATGTAATAAAGTTATATTTGTAACTTACATATACTGCAAAAATGGTAGTGATTCAAATGTATGTCTTTCAATATATCGTATTTTATTGCCTTTCCAAATCTCTCCCAGGCAGAATTAACACATCCCAGGTGCTCTTACACAGGGTTGAGTAGTTCCTGTGGATTTCAGTTGAGTGATACCTCCCCTGTCTCCCCTGCTATGCTAGACCCTATCTCTGAGGACAAGAAATGGGCCTGTTCATTAGCGCAGCTGAGAAAGACCAAACCACCTTCTGTTCTCTTCTTTTCTTTTCTTTTCTTTTTTTTTTTTGAGACGGAGTTTTGCTCTTGTTTCCCAGGCCGGAGTGCAATGGTGCGATCTCGATTCACCACAACCTCCGCCTCCCGGGTTCAAGCGATTCTCCTGCTTCAGCCTCCTGAGTAGCTGGGATTACAGGCATGTGCCACCACGCCCGGCTAATTTTGTATTTTTAGTAGAAACGGGGTTTCTCCATGTTGGTCAGGCTTGTCTGAAACTCCTGACCTCCGGTGATCCGCCCACCTGGGCCTCCCAAAGTGCTAGGATTATAGGTGTGCGCCACCGCGCCCGGCATTGAAGACCAAACCACCTTCTGGATAAAGCCAAGGGATGTAAACCTGCCGGGGTCTCTGGGCACTTGGAAACGCCCATCTGTTTGGAAGTGAGAGGATTAACACACTGGATGCATAAACTGAATGTCAGTGAAGACCCCAGGGCTGGTATAGAAACTGCGTGGGTTCAAATCCCAGCCCTGGGGTCAGGCACAGTGGCTCATGCCTGTAATCCCAGGACTTTAAGAGACTGAAGCGGGCAAGTCACTTGGGGGGTCAGGAGTTCAAGACCAGCCTGGCTAACATGGCAAAACCCCGTTTCTACTAAATATACAAAAATCATTTGGGAGGCCGAGGTGGGCAGATCACAAGGTCAGGAGATTGAGACCATCCTGGCCAACACGGTGAAACTCCCGTCTCTACTAAAATACAAAAAATTAGCCAGGTGTGGTGGCATGTGCCTGTAGTCCCAGCTACTTCGGAAGCTGAGGCAGGATAATTGCTTGAACCCAGGAGGCGGAGGTTGCAGTGAGCCAAGATCGCGCCACTGTACTCCAGCCTGGTGACAGAGTAAAACTCCATCTCAAAAAAAAAAAAAAAAAAAAAGCCGGGCATGGTGGTTCACGCCTGTAATCTCAGCACTTTGGGAGGCCGAGGCGGGCAAATATACTGAGGTCGGGAGTTCGAGACCAGGCTAACCAACATGGAGAAACCCTGTCTCTACTAAAAATATAAAAAATTAGCTGGGCATGTTGGCACATGCCTGTAATCCCAGCTACTCAGGAGGCTGAGGCAGGAGAATCACATGAACCCGGAAGGCGGAGGTTGCGGTGAGCCGAGATCACGCCACTGCACTCCAGCCTGGGCAACAAGAGTGAAACTCCAATTCAAAACAAAAGAAAACGAAACAAAAAAAAAATTAGCCAGGCATGGTGGTGCACACCTGTAATCCCAGCTACTTGAGAGGCTGGGGCACGAGAATCACTTGAACCCCGGAGGTGGAGGTTGCAGTAAGCTGAGATAGCACCACTACACTCGGGCCTGGATGACAGGGCAAGACTCCGTCTCAAAAAAAAAAAAAAACCCTACAAATCCCAGCCCTGCCTGGCATTGACTGAGTCACCTTAGGTAAGTGGTTTTGCTGGTCTGTGCCTCTGTTTCTCTGGCTATAACATAGGTACAATGACAATAGGGTCATTTCAAGGATTAAATGAGAAAAATGCCTGTTGGCTACTCAGAGGTCAGGTGAATACAGTAAGTGCTTAATGAGTGTTGGTCCCATGCATGAATGGAAGCACTGGGTGAGCACGTGCTTGAGGAAGAAGTGCAGGAGGCCGGATGCAGTGGCTCACGCCTGTAATCCCAGCACTTTGGGAGATGGAGGTGGGAGGATCGCTTGAGGCTAGGGGTTCGAGACCACATCTTTACAAAAAATTTAAAATTAGGCCAGGCACAGTTGCTGACGCCTGTAATCCCAGCACTTTGGGAAGCCAAGGCAGCAGATCACTTGAGGCCAGGAGTTCGAGACCAGCCTGGCCAACATGGCAAAACCCCATCTCTACTAAAAATACAAAAATTAGCCACGAGGGGTGGTGCACACCTGTAATCCCAGCTACTTGGGAGGCTAAGCAGGAGAATCACTTGAACCTGGGAGATGGAGGTAACAGTGAGCCAAGATCACACCACTGTACTCCAGCCTGGGCGACAGAGTGAGTGAGACTCCATTTAAAAAAAAAAAAAATTAGCTGAGCACAGTGGTATGCACTTGTAGTTCCAGCTGCTGTGGAGGCTAAGGCAGGAGACTCATTTAAGCCCAGGAGATTGAGGCTGCAGTAAGCTATGATTGCATCACTTCACTCCCTTCTGGGCAACAAAGTGACACACTGTCTCTAAAATAAAGAATTAAAAAGCCTACCTTGGCTGAGGAGATCCACCTGGATAGAGCTTGATAGGGAGGAGAGATCTTTGCTTCAATTCAGATGACAGACAAGAATGACTTGCCCCAGGCTGGTGGCAGTGCAGGTGAGGAAGGCTCTATGGGCTCAGGGTGGGTTTTGGAGTTGGAGTGGACAGGGCTGGCTAATGGATTGGATGTGAGGGATGACAGAAAGGGGAGTCTGCAGTGATGGGGTAGAGATGGGTTACTATCCGGGTGCAGTCGCTCACACCTGTAATCTCAGCACTTTGGGAGGCCGAGGCGGCCAGATCATGAGGTCAGGAGTTCAAGACCAGCCTGACCAACATGGTTAAACCCCGTCTCTACTAAAAATACAAAAATGAGCCGGGCATGGTGGTGCGCACCTGTAATCCCACCTACTCAGGAGGCTGAGGCAGGATAATTGCTTGAACCTGGGAGGCAGAAGTTGCAATGAGCCGAGATCGCGCATGATGGTTCATCCCTATAATCCTAGCACTTTGGGGGGCCAAGGGAGGTGGATCGCTTGAGCTCAATAGTTGTAGACAGGCCTGGGCAACATGGTGAAACCTGATCTCTACAAAAAATACTAAAATTAGATGGGCATGGTGGCGTGTGCCTGTAGTCCCAGCTACTTGGGAGGCTGAGGTGGGAGGAACACCCGACCCCAGGAGGTTGAGTCTGCAGTGAGTCATGATCATGCCACTGCACTCCAGCCTGGATGACAAAGTGAGTCCCTGTCTCCAAAAAAAGAAAAAAAAAGAACAGAGAGTGAATGGTGGTTACCAGGGGCTAGAGTGGAGGGACTGGGGAGATGTTGGTCAAAGGCTATACACTTTCAGTTAGACAGGAGGAATACAGTCAAGAGATGTCTTCTACAGTATGGTGACTATAGCTAATAACAATGTATTGTATACTTGAAAATCACTGAGAGAGATTTTAAGTGTTCTTGTCCCACACAAAAATAGGCATGTGAGGTAATATATATGTTAATTCACTCCATTTAGCCATTCTGAAATGTATATGAACTTCAAAACATCATGTCATACACCATAAATATGTACAATTTTAATTTGTCAATTAAATAAATTTTAGGCCAGTGCAGTGACTCACCTCTATAATCCCAGCACTTTGGGAGGCTGAAGTAGGCGGATCACTTGAGGCCAGAAGTTTGAGACCAGCCTGGCCAACATGGTGAAACCCCATCTCTATTAAAAATACAAAATCTAGCTGGGCATGGTGGCATGGGCCTGTAGTTCCAGCTACTCAGGAGGCTGAATAGGAGAATCACTTGAACTCAGGAGGCAGAGGCTGTAGTGAGCCGAGATTGCACCACTGCACTCCAGCCTAGGTGACAGAGTGAGACTCCATCTCAAAACAAAACTAAACTAAACAAAAAATTAGCCAGATGTGGTGGCATGCACCTATAGTCCCAGCTACTTGGGAAACTGAGGTAGAAGGATCACTTGAGCCCAGGAGTTCGATACTGCAGGGAGCTATTGATCGCACCACTGCACTCCAGCCCGGGCAGCAGAGTGAGACCCTATCTCTATTTTTTAATTAATTAATTAATTAATTAATTAATTAACAACAACAAAAAGCAAATGGGCATGGATGCATTTCAATTAAAAAGAAATAGTTGGTGGCTGAGGCCGTGATCTCATCTGAAAGCTCGACTGGGGAGGATCCACTTTTAAGCTCATGAGTTGTTGGCAGGATCAGTTGCCCACTGGCTGTTGGTCAGAGGCCTCTTCTGGTTCCTGGCCTTGTGACCCTCTCCAATGGGCAGCTCACAGCCTGGCAGGTGGCTTCCCTCAGAGTGAGCAGAAGAGAGGGCAAGAAAGGGAGTGCATCCAGCTGGGCACAATGGTTCACACCTGTAATCCCAGCACTTTGGGAGGCTGAGGTGGGTGGGTGAGGTCTGGAGTCCAAAACCAGCCTGACCAACATGGTGAAACCCCATCTTTACTAAAAATAAAAAATTAGCTGGGCATAGTGGCCCATGCCTGTAATCCCAGCTACTTGGGAGGCTGAGGCAGGAGAATCACTTGAACCGGGAGGTGGAGGTTGCAGTGAGCAGAGATTGCATAATTGCACTCCAGCCTGGACGACAGAGCAAGACTCCATCTCCAAAAAAAAAAAGGGAGCTCACCCAAGATGAAAGGCATGGTCTTTTTTGTGACCTAATTTTAGAAGTGACATTGCATCGATTTTGCCACATTCTATGGGCAGGAAGCAAGTCATAGAGTCTAATCACACTAAAGGGTAGGGCATTAATGCAAGGGCTGGAACATTGAGGGCCATCTTAGAGGCTGTCCCCACACCATGCACGTCAATCCAGTGGCTTCATACCACCCGTACCTGTGACTCTTTGCCTGACTGCTTTGCTCTAGTGCATGCAGGCAGCCAGAAGTTCTGGAGAATTCATTTTCTCTGCTAGCATACCTCAACTAATAAAGGCTGGGAGTTGGAGGATAAATACCCCAGCTCCCTCACCCTTTGCATAAGATAACTCTTGGGGTTTGTCCAAGATGAGTTAAGACCTAGATATCGCAGGATAACCTGCTCATTTCCACATGACATACTGGCTGCCCTCCCTTCTGCATCTCACCTCCTCCATCCCCTGCCAGCACTCCCTGCAATCACCTTCCAGGTAAACCACTTTTACTCAAATCAGAGTGTCTCAGGTACACTTCTGAAGCACCCAACTGTATTAGTTTTCTAGCGCTGCTGCAATAAATTACCACAAACTTGGTGGCTTGAAGCAACATAAGTTTGTTATTCTCTTACAGTCCTACAGGCTCAAAGTCCAAAGTCAAGGTGTTGGCAGGGCTGGGCTCCCTTTGAAGGCTCTAGGGAAGAATCCTTCCTTGCCTCTCTCCTAGATTTTGGTGGCTCCTTGTAATCCTTGGTGTTCCTCAACTCAAAGCTGCATCATTCCAATCATTCCATGGAGAGGCTTCCATGGTCTCTGTGTGTCTCTGTGGTCCTCTCCTCTTCTTAGATGGACACTTGTCATTGGATTTAGGGCTCATTCTAGTCTAGTAAGACTTCATCTTTTTTTTTTTTTTTTTTTTTTTTTAAGAGACAGGGTCTTACTCTGTCACTCAGGCTGGAGTGCAGTGGCACAATCATGGCTCACTGCAGCCTCCAATTTTTGGGCTCAAGCAATCCTCCCATCTTGGCCTCCTAAGTAGCTGGGACTACAAGTGTGTGCCACATGCCTGGCTAATTTTTAAAAATTTTTGGCTGGGTGTGGTGGCTCACAACTGTAATCTCAGCATTTTGGGAGGCTGAGGAGAGTGGATCATTTGAGCTGAGGAGTTAGAGACCAGCTTGGCCAATATGGTGAAACTTCATCTCTACTAAAAATACAAAATTAGCTGGGTGTGGTGGTGCATGCCTATAATCCCAGGTACTTGGGAGGCTGAGGCAAGAGAATCACTTGAACCCAGGAGGTGGAGGTTGCAGTGAGGAGAGCTCCTGCCACTGCACTCTAGCCTGGGCTGCAGAGTGAGACTCTGTCTCAAAAAACAAAACAAAACAAAAAGCCCAGGTGTGGTGGCTCACACCTGTAATCCCAGCACTTTGGGAGGTCGAGGCGGGTGGATCACGAGGTCAGGAGATTGAGACCATCCTGGTTAACATGGTGAAACCCCATCTCTACTAAAAATACAAAAAAAAAAAAAAAAAAAAACCATTAGCCGGGTGTGGTGGCGGGCGCCTGTAGTCCCAGCTACTCGGGAGGCTGAGGGAGGAGAATGGTGTGAACCTGGAAGGTGGAGCTTGCAGTGAGCCGAGATTGCACCACTGGACTCCAGCCTGGGCGACAGAGCGAGACTCCGTCTCAAAAAAAAAATTTTTTTTTCTTTTTATAGAGACAAGGTTTCATCATGTTGCCCAGGCTGGTGTCCAACCCCTGGCCTCAAGTGATCCTCCCACCTCAGCCTCTTGCATAGCTGGGAATACAGGTTCAAGCCACAGTGCTGGGCTAGTAAGATCTTATTTTAACTTAACTAATGACATCTGCAAAGATGCTATTTCCAAATATGGTCACATTCTGAGGCTCCAGGTAAACATGAATTTTGTCAGGGGAGGAAGACACTATTCCATCTCCTGCACCAATAGAGGACGATGATGTGTCATTAACTGAGTTGGGGAGGACAGAGGAGGGGGGAGGACAGAGGAGAGGGGAGGACAGAGGAGGGGGGAGGACAGGGGTGAGGACAGAGGGGGAGGATGGGGGGAGGACAGAGGGGGGAGGACAGAGGAGGGGGGAGGACAGATGGGGAGGACAGAGGGGGGGAGGACAGAGGAGGGGGGAGGACAGAGAAGGCAGGAGGACAGAGGAGGGGGGTGGACAGAGGAGGGGGGAGGACGGGGGGAGGACAGAGGAGGGAGGAGGATGGAGGAGGGGGGAGGACAGAGGAGCAGGAAGGAGGGGGGGAGGACAGAGGAGGGGGAGGACAGAGGGGGGAGGACAGAGGAGCGGGGAGGACAGAGGAGGGGGGAAGACAGAGGAGGGGATGGACAGAGGAGTGGGGAGGACGGAGGGGGAGGACAGAGGAGGAAACAGGTCTGGAGTGTGATGAAGAGTCTGCTTCCGGTGTGATACTTGGGTGTACCCACTGGGTTTCCAGCGGAGACATCTGGGGGGCAGGTGAAGGTCAGCAGAGAGGTGAGAGGTGGGGACGCCACTGGGAGCTGTCGGGTGTAGGTGGCATTTATTTATTTATTTATTTATTTTTGAGATGGAGTTTCACTCTTGTTGCCCAGGCTGGAGTGCAGTGGCGCGATCTCAGCTCACTGCAACCTCCACCTTCCGGTTTCAAGTGATTCTCCTGCCTCAGCCTCCTGAGTAGCTGGGATTACAGGTGCCTGCCACTATGCCCGGCTAATTTTTGTGTTTTTAGTAGAGATGGGGTTTCACCATGTTGGCCAGGCTGGTCTCAAACTCCTAACCTCGGCCTCCCAAAGTGCTGGGATTACAGTGAGCCACCACACTCAGCCCAGCATTTATTTTATTTTTTATTTATTAATTTTTTTTTTCTTTTTAGACAGAGTCTCGCTCTGTTGCCCAGGCGGGAGGGCAGTGGTGCAATCTCGCCTCACTGCAAGCTTTGCCTGCCGGGTTCACGCCATTCTCCTGCCTCAGCCTCCCGAGTAGCTGGGACTACAGGTGCCCGCCACCATGCCCGGCAAATTTTTGTATTTGTAGTAGAGACGGGGTTTCGCCATCTTGGCCAGGCTGGTCTCGAACTCCTGACCTCGTGATCTGCCCACCTCGACCTTCCAAAGTTCTGGGATTACAGGCGTGAGCCACTGTGCCCAGCCTATTTCATTTTATTTTAATCATTTTTTTTCTTGAGACAGAATCTCGCTCTGTCACCCAGGCTGGCGAGCAATGGTGCGATCTCGGCTCTTGGCTTTCTCTTCAAGGCTAAGATTGGGAGATGAAGAGGAATCACAGAAGAGACTAAGAAGTGGTGGCCTTGGAGGTGGGAGGGGAAGCTGGGAGTGCACAGTCCTAGAGGCTGAGAAACGACCATCAGGTTGGGCAGGATGGAGCCCTTCTAGTGGCTGAGTGGGAACAAAATACTGAAAGGAGAGGATCAGAGAGAGGACGAGAGAAGAGCAGCCGGACCCAGCGATAACTCTTGGGATGTTTTGCTAGGAAAGGGAGTGTATTCTAGTCCTCTCTTTGCATCCTGTAGGATTGGTTCCAGGACGTCCCTGGATACCAAAATCCACAGATGCTCAAGTTTCTTTTATAAAACAGCATAGTATTTGCATATCACCTATGCACCTCCTGCTGTATATATACATACATATGTATATATGCTGTATATATGTATGTATATATACACATATATGTATATGTATACATACGTGTGGCTAGAGTGCAGTGGCGCGATCTTGGCTCACTGCAACCTCCATCTCCCGGCTTCCAGTGATTCTCAAGCCTCAGCCTCCCGAGTAGCGAAGATTACAGGCACGTGCCACCATGACTGGCTAATTTTTTTGTATTTTTAATAGAGACGGGGTTTCACCATGTTAGCCAAGCTAGTCTTGAGCTCCTGGCCACAAGTGATCCGCCTGCCTCATTTTTATTTTTTAATTTTTATCATTTTCTGAATCTGGGCTGCAGAGAATGTATTTTTTTTTTTTTTTTACTGTTGTGATATTTTTAACCATAAAGATAATTGTTAAAATAATAAAATAATTAAACATAGGCTGGGCGCGGTGGCTCACGCCTGTAATCCCAACAGTTTGGGAGGCCGAGGCAGTGGATCACGAGGTCAGGAGATCAAGACCATTCTGGCTAACATGGTGAAACCCCGTCTCTACTAAAAATACAAAAAATTGGCCGGGCGCGGTGGCTTACGCCTGTAATCCCAGCACTTTGGGAGGCTGAGGCAGGCAGATCACGAGGTCAGGAGATCGAGACCATCCTGGCTAACACAGTGAAACCCTATCTGTACTAAAAATACAAATAAATAAATAAATAAATAGCCGGGCGTGGTGGCACATGCCTGTAGTCCCAGCTACTCGGGAGGCTGAGGCAGGAGAATCACTTGAACCCAGGAGGCGGAGGTTGCAGTGAGCTGAGATTGTGCCATTGCACTCCAGCCTGGGTGACAGAGCGAGACTCCTTCTAAAAAAAAATAGACAAAAAATAATAATAATAATACAAAAAATTAGCCAGGCGTGGTGGCGGGTGCCTGTAGTCCCAGCTACTCAGGAGGCTGAGGCAGGAGAATGGCGTGAACCAGGGAGGCGGAGCTTGCAGTGAGCCAAGATCGCACCACTGCACTCCAGCCTGGGCGACAGAGCGAGACTCTGTCTCAAAAATAAATAAATAAATAATAATAATAATTTAAAATAATAAAAATAATAAATAGATAAAATATGGTTTTGTTTGTTTGTTTGTTTGGATAGAGTCTTGCTTTATCACCCAGGCTGGATTGCAGTGGTGCAGTCATCACTCAGTGCAACCTCAACCTCCCAGGCTGAAGCAATTCTCCTGCCTTGGCCTCTCAAGTAGCTGGGACCACAGGTGTGCGCCACCCACTGGACTTATTTTGTTAATGTTTTTTGTAGAGATGGGGGTCTTGCTACTTTGCCCAGGCTGCTCTCCAACTCCTGGGCTCCAACAACCCTCCCACCTCAGCCTCCCAAATTGTTGGGACTATAGGCATGAGCCAGCATGGCTAGCCAGGGTTTATTGTTGTTGTTTTTTGTTGTTCTTTTTGTTTTTTTGAGACAGGATCTCACTCTGTTGCCCAGGCTGGAGTGCAATGGCATGATCTTGGCTCACTGCAACCTCCACCTCCCAGGTTCAAGCGACTCTCCTGCCTCAGCGTCCTAAGTAGCTGGGACTACAGGTGTCTGCCACCACGCCCAGCTAATTTTTTTTCTATTTTCAGTAGAGACAGGGTTTCACTATGTTGGCCAGGCTGGTCTCGAACTCCTGACCTCATGTGATCTGCCTGCCTCACCCTCCCAAAGTGCTAGGATTGGGTTTTTTTTTTCCCCTAATGTTTTCCATTCGCAGTTTGTTGAATCCTGGATAAGGAACCCGTGGATATGGAGGGCCAACTATAATATTTCCTGTGACTGTTGTAACCAATGCCCACAAATTGGGTGGCTTCAGGACAGCAGAAAACAAAACAATACAACTATTATATATCAATAAAATATAATTTCAAAACAAAAACCAAAAAACAGACATTTATTTTCTTACAGTTCTGGATCCCTTAAGTCCCAAATCAGTATCATTAGCCCCAAGTCAAGGTGGCCCTCTGGAGGCTCTAGGGGAGGATCCTTTCTGCCTCTTCGAGCCTCTGGTGGCTCCCGACATTCCTTGGCTTGTGGCTGCATCACTCCAGTTTCTGCCACCATTGTCACATGGACTTTTTCCCTGTGTCTCTGTGTCTGGTTCCCTTTTTTTCTTTTTCTTTTCCTTTTTTTTTTAATTTTTTTGAGACAGAATCTCGCTCTGTCACCCAGCCTAGACTGAAGCGGTGCAATCATGGCTCACTGCAGCCTCGACCTCCTAGGCTCAAGTGATCCTCCCACCTCAGCCTCCTGAGTAGCTGGGACTACAGGCACACACCACCAAGCCCCACTAATTTTTAAAAACTTTTTTCTAAAGACAGGGGTCTCACTATGTTGCTCAGGCTGATCTCAAACTCCTGGGCTCAAGTGATCCTCCCAACTCAGCCTCCCAAGGCTCTGGGATTACAGGTGTGAGTCATGGTGGCCTCTCTATTCTTTTCTGATGACATTTTTTCTTTCTTTCTTTTTTTTTCCCCTCTTGCTCTGTCACCAACGCTGGAATGCAGTGGCATGATCTTGGCTCACTGCAGTCTCTGCCTCCCCAACTCAAGTGATCTGATCTTCCCACCTCAGTCTTTCAGGTAGTTGGGACTATGGACGCCCGCCACCACACCCGGCTAATTTTTGTATTTTTAGTAGAGACAGGGTTTCACCACGTTGGTCAGGCTGGTCTTGAACTCCTGACCTCCGGTGATCCACCTGCCTCAGCCTCCCAAAGTGCTGGGATTATAGGCGTGAGCCACCGCACCCGGCCAGGACACTTGTTAATAGATTTAGAGCCCATTCTAATTCAGGATGATCTCATGTCAGGATTCTTCACATAAATACAACTTCAAAGACCCTTTGTCCAAATAAGATCACACTTACAGGCTCTGGGGGTTAGGATATGAACGTACATTTTTGGAGGACTGTCATTCAACCAACTATAGGGAGGAAAGGGATGGGGCTGGGGTGGGGAGGTGACTTGGTGAGCCAAGTGCTTTGGTGTGAATGTTTGTGTCCCCCCAAATTTATATGTTGAAATCTTTTTTTTCTTTTTTCTTTTTTTAAGATGGAGTCTCATCACCCTGTTGCCCAGGCTGGAGTGCAGTGGTGCAATCTCGGCTCACTGCAACCTCCATCTCCTGAGTTCCAGTGATTCTCCAGCCTCAGCCTCCGGAGTAGCTGGGATTACAGGCGCCTACCACCATGCCTAGCTGATTTTTGCATTTTTAGTAGGGATGGGGTTTTTGGCATGTTGCCCAGGCTGGTCTTAAACTCCTGAGCTCAAAGCAATCTGCTCACTTTGGCCTCCTAAAGTGCTGAGATTACAGGTGTGCACCACCATGCCTGGCCAATATGTGTTGAAATCTTAACCCCCGAGGTCGTGGTGTTAAGAATTGGGGCCTATGGGAGGTGAGGAGGGTGGAGACCTCATGAATGGGACCTGTGCCTTTACACAAGAGGCTGGAGAGAGACCTCATGCCCCGTGAGATTAGAGGGCGAGAACGCTAACATCTTTGTCTATAAAGAGAGCCTGGCTGGGCGTGGTGGCTCATGCCCGTAATCCCAGCACTTTGGGAGGCCAAGGCAGGCAGATTACCTGAGGCCAGGAGTTTGAGACCAGCCAGTTCACCCATAGTGAAACCCTGTCCCTACTAAAAATACAAAAATTAACTGGTATGGTGGTGCATGCCTTTAATCCCATCTACTAGGGAGGTTGAGGCGGGAGAATCACTTGAACCCTGGAGGCAGAGGCTGCAGTGAGCCGAGATCACGCCACTGCAATCCAGCCTGGGCAACAGAGTGAGACCCTGTCTCAAAAAAAAAAGAAAAAAAAAAGTCTCAATGCCGGAGGAATGGAAGACTGTGCTCAGGAACAAAAGTCCTCAAGTTTCTGGCCACTCCCCACGCCATTCCCCAGGACCCCAGCATCCCCTGCCCCCACTATCCTTGGCTCCATGACTGTTCTCCCAGGTCAGAGCCCGCATCACACTCTTTCAACCTCCAGAAGTTTGATAAGGAAGTCTCTCTACCTGATTGGCCTTCCCTCCCACAACTCCCTCTGTCTGCCTATCCTTAAAGTAGCAGCCAGGGTGACCCTTCTGAAGGGGGCTTGGGTTATGCCAAGATCTCTTCTTCCTTCCCCTCCCCTCCCCTCCTCTTCCCTCCCCTCCCCTCCCCTCCCCTTTCCTTCCCTTCTCTTCTGACAGAGTCTCACTCTGTCCCTCAGGCTGAAATGCAGTGGCACAATCTTGGCTCACTCCAACCCCCGCCTCCCAGGTTCAAGGAATTCTCCTGCCTCCTCCTGAGTAGCTGGCATTACAGGCATGAGCCACCACACCCGGCTAATTTTTGTATTTTTGGTAGAGACGGGGTTTCACCATGTTGGCCAGGTTGGTCTCGAACTCCTGGCCTCAAGTGATCCACCCACTTCGGCCACCCAAAGTGCTGGGATTACAGGCATGAAACACCATGCCCAGCCTTCTTTTCTTTTTGAGATGGGACCTTTTTCAGTGGCCCAGGCTGGAGTACAATGGCATGATCATAGCTCACTGCAGCCTCAAATTCTTAGGTCCAAGTGATCCTCTTGCCTCAGCCTCCCAAGTAGCTGGGACTAGAAGGCATGTGCCACCACGCCCAGCTAATTTTTAAAATTTTTTTTAGAGTTGGTGGTCTTGCTATGTTGTCCGGGCTGGTCCCAAACTCCTGGCCTCGAGCGATCCTCCTACCTTAGCCTCCCAAAGTGCTGGGATTATAGTTGTGAGCCACCATGCTCAGCCTAGCCCTGCCAAGATCCGTTTTCCATTCCCATGGCACTCAACACTCTCCTCAGAGCAGTTTCCACAATTGTAATTACCTAGTTTGGCAGAGTGATGTCTTAATGTTGCTCTCTCTGCTTCTAGAATGTGAGCC